>NC_000008.11:93214222-94464222 GCF_000001405.40 Homo sapiens | reverse complement strand
TAATCCAGGATCATCTCTCCGTTTCAAGGTCCTGGTCCTTAATCACATCTGCAAAGTCCTTTTTACCACATAACAATACATTCACAGATTCTGGGGATTAGGGTGTGGAAATCTTTGGGAGCCGTTATTCTGCCTACCACACTGAATAATCTGTTGTTTTAATATACCACAATTTATATATCTATTCATTAGTTAATGGTCATTTGGGTTGTTTCCACTTTTTAGCAATTATGAGTAATACTCATGAACGTTTGTGTACAAATTTTTGTGTGGATATGTGTTTTCGTTTCTCTCTTTTTTCTTTCTTTCTTTTTTTTTTTTTTTTTTTTGAGATAGGGTCTTGATGATGGCACCATCATGGCTCACTGCAGCCTCCACCTACTAGGCTCAAGTGATCCTCCCACCTCCATCTCCTAAGTAGCTGGGACCACAGGCATGTGCCATCATTTTTAAATTTTTTTAGAGATTTTTAAATTTTAAATTTTATAGGCTAATTTTTAAATTTTTTATAGAGATGGGGTCTGCCTATGTTGCCCAGGCTGGTCTCTAAGTCCTGAGCTCAAGCAGTCCTCTCCTCAGCCTCCCAAAGTGTTGGAATTACAGATGTGAGCCACCATACTTGGCCATGTTTTCATTTCTCTTGAGTGTATTCCTAGGAGTAGAATTGCTGGATCATATGATAATTCTATGTTTAACCTCTTAATGAACTGACAGACTCTTTTCCAAGCTGACTGCTCCATTTTCATTCTTACCATCAATGTATGAAGGTTTTAATTTTTCCATATCCCTACCAACACTTATTATCTTTTTGATTGTGGCCATACTAGTGGGTAAAGTAGTACCTCATTGTGGTTTTGCTTTGCATTTCTCTGATAGCTGATATGGAGCACTTTTATGTGTGCTTATTACCCATTTGTGTATCTCTTTGGAGAACTGTCTTTTTTTTTTTTTTTTAAGGTGAAGTCTCGCTCTGTTGCCCAGGCTAGAGTGAGCCACTGTGTCCAACCAATATTTATTATTTATTTATTTATTTATTTATTTGTTTTTGAGATGGAGTCTTGCTCTGTCACCCATGCTGGAGTACAGTGGCACAATCCTGGCTCACTGCAACCTCTGCCTCCTGGGTTCAAGCAATTCTCCTGTCTTATCCTCTGGAGTAGCTGGGACTAAAGGTGCCTGCCGCCACGCCTAGCTAATTTTTGTATTTTCAGTAGAGTTGGGGTTTTACCATGTTGGCCAGGCTGGTCATGAATTCCTGATCTCAGGTTATCCGCCTGCCTTGGTGTCCCAAAATGTTGGGATTACAGGTGTGAGCCACCATGCCTGGCCAAGATTTGTTTTTTGATGTAATGTCTAAGGACTAATTCTAGGCAAAAACACAGATTTACTATTTTTTTCTTTTAATTCTATAAATAAATTAAATAGTTATTTTACTTTTTAAAACTGAAGTGGGGCATTTTTGAAATTATACAGCAATTTTAAGCAAGGTAACATGAGAAGCCTAAAAGTATTAGGCTTAGCAGTCAACTCTGCCGTCTTTTTACTTTGTCTGTTACATTCTTAACTTCTTGTTTTTAAACTATTTCTTATCTTAGATTGAATTAACCTATAGTGAGAAAGTATTGCTTTAGTGACTTCAGTGGTGTTTACTTGATTGGTCTGATAAATACAAAATCTGGGACAAATTGAACATCAAAAGAAATATACTAATGGATTATAGCCCATTGAATAATACAGGAGTCAGAATCTATACTAATATATGTAAATAAATGAATAAATAAATAAATGAAGATTAAACTCTTCCTTACAGTGGAATGCTAAAGCATAGAAGTAGAAGTAATGATGGTGTTAGAGAGTCTCAATGGATGCCAAAACTAGTGGGTAAATGTTCAATGAGGAAATAGGATATTTGAATATATTCAAGTATCTCCTCACAACATACTTAAAAAAATTACAAAGGGAAAAATACTTTGGCAGACACCACCTTAATCAGTGATCAAAGTTAATACCTCTGGTAATGGAACAAACCGATATTATGTGCCTCCTAATATGATGAACTGTTGTATTCTTGCCCCAAATTCACAATCTGAAACTAATCATAGGGAAACATCAGACAAATCCAGATTGAGGGATATTCAGCAAAATAACTGGCCTTATTTTGAAATTTTGAAATTTCAAGACCAGAAACGATGAATGAAGTTAGAGATTGAAGGAAACTAAAGGAACATACTGACTAGATGTAATGTGTGATCTAGGATTGGATCCTGATTTGGGGAAAAATCTATAACAGACGTTATTGCGATAAGTGACCAAATTTGAATATAGACTGTGGATTAGATACTGGTATTATACCAGTGTTAAATAATCAATTTTGATAATTTTACTGTGATTATGGAAGAGAGTCTTTGGAAACACACCTTGAAGTATTTAGAGGCGAAGGAGCATAGCGTCTGCAGTTTACTCTCACGTGTGTGTGTACACACATACACAGAGCAAAGGAGGAGAGGGAAATGGAAGAAAATGTAAACCAATGGTTAATATGGGTAAAGGTATATAGGAATACTATTTTTGGAATGTTACCATGAATTTGAAATTATATGAAAATAAAATGTTGCAAAAAAGAAAATTTGTGACCTTCATTAGTTGACTTACTTTAATATCTGATCAGATATAAAAAATATAAAAAAAATTTATCAGGTTTTTTTTTGGAAAATTTATTTACTAACCATGAAATTTATTAAGATGAGTATTTATGGCCGGGTGTGGTGGCTCACGCCTGTAATCCCAGCACTTTGGGAGGCTGAGGCAGGCGGATCACCTGAGGTCAGGAGTTTGAGACCAGCCTCAACATGGAGAAACCCCGTCTCTACTAAAAATACAAAATTAGCCGGGTGTGGTGGTGCATGCCTGTAATCTCAGCTACTCGGGAGGCTGAGGCAGGAGAATTGCTTGAACCTGGGAGGCGGAGGTTGCAGTGAGCCGAGATTGCGCCATTGCACTCCAGCCTGGGCCACAAGAGCAAAACTCCGTCTCAAAAAAAAAAAAAAAAAAAAAAAAAAAAAGATGAGTATTTATAATAACATGACAACTTTGCCTATTATTGTGAGTTTCTATTTAAAAAAAATTCAACCATTTACTACTGTGGTAGACAGAAAAAATGGCCCTTTAAACATGTTCATGTCCTAATCACTGGAATCTGTGTTACTTTACATGGCAAAAGAGACTTTGCTGACGTGATTAATGTTAAGGACCTTGAGATGGGGAGGTTACCCTGGATGATCTGAGTGGGCCCATTATAATTATAAGTGTCCTTAGAAGTGGAAGAGAGAGAGGGAAGAGGATCAGAGAAAGAGATGGTGATTAGGGAAGCAGGGTCAGAGAGATGTAACATAGTTGACTTTGAATATGGAGGAAGAGGGCTAAGCCAAAGAATTTGTTTGGCTTCTAGAATTTTGAAAAGACAAGGAAATATATTCTCTCCTGGAGCATCCAGAAAGGAACTCAGCCCTGGTGATAACTTTGATTTTAATGCAGTAAGACCTAAGTCTGAGTTCTAACTTGCGAAACTATAAAATGATAAATTTGTGTTGTTCAATGCCACCAAATTTCTGGTAATTTGAGAGAGCAGCAATAGAAAACCCATACATATACAAAAAAAAGAGAAAATAGCACATAATGAACTTCCTTGTCCATATTACCTAACTTCAACAATTGAAAATGTATGACTGATCTTTTTTTTATTTTTATTTTTTGAGGCAGGGTCTGGCTCTGTTGCCCAGGCTGGAGTACAGTGGTGTGATCTCAGCTTGCTGCAACCTTGGCCTCCTGGCCTCAAGCCATCCTCCCACCTCAGTGTTCAAAGTATCTGGGACTATTGGAACACACCACTGTGCCTGGCTAATTTTTGTATTTTTTGTAGAGACTGAGTTTCACTATGTTGCCCAGGCTGGTCTCAAACTCCTGAGCTCAAGGACTCTGCTTGCCTTGGCCTCCCAAAGTGCTGGGATTACAGGTGTGAGCCACCATGCCTGGCCATGACTGATCTCGTTTCATCTTTTTTTTTTTGAGACGGAGTCTCGCTCTGTTGCCCAGGCTGCAGTGCAGTGGCGCAATCTTGGCTCACTGCAATCTCTGCCTCCTGGGTTCACGCCGTTCTCCTGCCTCAGCCTCTAGAGTAGCAGGGACTACAGGCACCCGCCACCACGCCCAGCTTATTTTTTGTATTTTTAGTAGAGACCGGGTTTCACCATGTTAGCCAGGTTGGTCTCGATCTCCTGACCTCGTGATCTGCCTGCCTTGGCCTCCCAAAGTGCTGGGATTACAGGTGTGAGCCACTGCGCCCGGCCTAATTTTTTATTTTTTTGAGACAGGGTCTTGTTCTGTCGCCCAGGCTGGAGTACACTGGTGCATTCTTGGCTCACTGCAACCTCTGCCTCCTGAGTTCAAGCGATTCTCCTGCCTCAGCCTCCTGAGCAGCTGGGATTACAGGCGTGCACCACCGTGTCTGGCTAATTTTTGTTTTTTCAGTAGAGACGGGGTTTCACCATGTTGGCCAGGCTGGTCTTGAACTCCTGACCTCAAGTGATCCACCTGCCTTGGCCTCCCAAAGTGCTGGGATTACAGGCGTGAGCCACTGCGCCCGGCCTCTTGTTTCATCTTTAGTTTTCCACTCCAGCTCAAGTCCCTCCCTTCTTATTTTGATGCAAATTCCAGGAATATGCTTTCATTTGTAAATTTTTAGAATATGTCCCTAAAATATAAGAGCTTTTTAAGGCCGGGTATGGTGGCTCACCCCTGTAATCTTAGCACTTTGGGAGGCCTAGGCAGGAAGATTGCTTGAGGCCAGGAGTTCAGACCAGCCTGGGCAACATAGTGAGACCCCATCTCTACAGAAAAAAAAACATTAGCTGGGTATGGTGGCACATGCTTGTAGTTCCAGCTACTAGGGAGGCTGAGGTGGGAGGATCCCTTGGGCCCAGGAGTTGAAGGCTGCAATGAGCTATGGTCGTGACACTGCACTCTTCAGCCTGGGTACCAGACCGAGACCCCATCTCTTAAAAAAAGAGGTGGGGGCTTGTTAAAAAAACCCAACATAGTGAGATTACCATTATCTCACCTAAAAATATTTAAGTATTGATTTTAGTATTGAGAAATTTAACAAGAAAAAGAGCATTTTATTATGAGAATGGCATGTTATGATTTGTTTAAAAACTTCTGATATGTTTAAAATACACTATAATTATAAGCATAATTTTTCATTCTGTCATATCATTCAGTTTTAGTAGCATAATTTAAAATAGTTCTAAAAACAAGCAATAAAAATTAGATTTTAATTAATTAGTTAATTTTTTTTTTTTAGATGGAGTCTCACTCTGTTGCCCAGGCTGGAATGCAGTGGTACAATCTTGGCTCACTGCAACCTCCGCCTCCTGAGTTCAAGCGATTCTCCTGCCTCAATCTCCCAAGTAGCTGGGATAACAGGCACTTGCTACCACGCCAGGCTAATTTTTATATTTTTAGTAGAGACAGTGTTTCACCATGTTGGCCAGGCTGGTCTCAAACTCCTGACCTCAAGTAATTCACCCGCCTCGGCCTCCCAAAGTGTTGGGATTACAGGCATGAGCCACCATGCCCAGCAGATATTAATTTATTTTTAAATATCTAGTTCTAGTTTATATATATAACCAGTATGTCCTGTTTTAAATTAGAATCTTTTATGTAAAAATACAGAAAATACAGAAAATTAGGTTTGAGTTCTGATTTAAATATATATTTGTTTCTTTTAGGGTGTTGCAATTAATAACACCTTTCTCCCGTCACAAAATGATCTTAGAATATGCAGTTTAAATCTGCCTAGTGAAGAAAGTACTAGAGAAATCAATAACAGAGATAATTGCAGTGGAAAATATTGTTTTGAAGCACCTACACTGGCAACATTAGATCCACCTCATACAGGTAAGACTGCTTTTTATTGATAAGGTTTATGCTTGACCAATAGTATTACAGTATTCTTTAAATGATGTTTTAAGAATGAATATGTTATATTAGAAAATTGTTGATGTAATACCACTACATTGTTGGTAGTTCAGGTTTTTTGTTGTCATAATTTATCTTTAGTGATTGGATTAATAACTGTGTGATTAAAGTGCTTTATAGTAGATGTATGCTTAAGACTGTTGATTATAAACTTGGTCAAATGTGATCTTTTCCTCAAGAACCAAGATTGTGTTTAAAGATAGGATTTATACATTTTTTTTCTAAAAAGCATGTTAATAGGACTAAAATTGGAGAGTTGAACTTGAAAGTAGTTACTTGTTAATTCATTAGAGTCTGGAGTACTTCAAATCAGAGTTGAATTATTATGATACATACTTGCATGAAAACCAAGCATTTAACAAATGCTCCATCCCTCTATTGTTGAACTGAGTTAAAATAATGATTATGGTTCTTTTTGTATATGTAAGAGAACACTATTTGTTAGGTAACTAAAAAAATAATTAAGATGGTTCATAGATGTTTATTTGGTCTTGTGAAAGCCATCATTAGACTGTATTTTTCCAAATTACATTTTATTCATGTTTTGGTTGAATGAACAGATTCAGCCAGCCGGCCCCATCTGTTGGGCTACAGAATAGTAACTGCCATCCTTATGATACCAGTGCAAATCAACAAAGTGCCCTAAGCACCATTTTGAAGGAAGTTCTTGGACTTCCTGATGATTAATGAATTTTACCTGTGAATGGGTTTGTATCTTGTCCGGACAGAAAGGAATTCTGTATTTACCTAACTGGCCATTATCTTGGTGCCATTTATGTGCTCCTCATAACTTTTCAAAAGCTGTGACTGGTGTCAGAACAAGGTGGAGAAAGACTTTTTGAGCTGATTCAGTATAGGAAGATCCCTAGGAACAGCTCTGGGCATGGCAGTTTAGCTCTGCTCTATCTTACTGACTTGCTCTCCCTTCTTTCCTCCCTATTTTCCCCACTTCCTCCTTCCTTGCTTCCATCCTTGTTAGGTGACTATTCTGTTTTCCCAGATTTTCTTTTCTACTTTAAGCCCGAGGTAGAAAATGATCCATGTATGCCCAGTTCTTTTCTAATTTCTTCATCAGAAAATGACATTTAGACTCTGGAATATAATACCTTTTATGTTACTAATCTTGGGCTTTATTTGTATTCTACCATAGTTTCTCATTCTCTTCCCTGCTAAATTTGAGAAGGGAGTTAAGAGTTAAGATAAAATAAAGAGGGAGTTAACTTACTCAACTCCTAATCCCGTAATCCTTTCTCTGATTAGTACATTCAGTGGACTGGAGAACCTGTGCCAACCTCCTGATACCCTCCTGTTTCTTGTTCAGAAAGAGGTTAAATTGGGGAAAAAAGCTTTGTGAGAAATGTTTTGTTCTCTATGGTGGATTGTTGGAGAGGGATGTAGCATATAGAAAAGCATAGAGATGAGAGACCTGTTTAGTATCCACTCACCCTTTCACATCTTTTTCATTCTTGATCTAATCCACCTTGAAATGAACTACAAATCTGTATGTCCCAGTTAAATAACATATGTCATTTTCCCCATCACCTTTTTATTTTGAAATATGCCTACAAACTCTCGAGTTGAAAGAATGACGCAATTAACATCCTAAACTCACCAGTTACTAACATTTTGCCTCATTTGTGTGCTTTCTCTCTTTTTCTCTATGTAGATGCACTCCCCTCAACCTTTTGAAAATAAGTTGCATATATCATGCCACTTTACCTCTAGCCACTTAAGTGTGTATTTCTTGAAATAAATGTTTTCTCCTGCATAACCACACATTGTTATTATACCAAACAGGATTAATAGTAATTCATAATATTTAGTTCATTGTTAATGTCATTTTTGCTTAAGCTAGTTTCAGTTTGGTTTCTCTTTCAACTGAAAGAGCCCTGATAAGTACATTTTCACTTTCTTGAATTCACGGGACACTTTGAGTCTCTTCATAACACTGCGTGTTTACAGATAATATCCTTTGTGTGAGAATGAAGATGTAGGTCTACCACTAATGACTTCCCCCAAAGCTTAGGGAATGTGATTTCTTTGGGGGTTGTGGTAGAATGGCCATAGGACCCACTTCTATCTTTTTTGATCCAAGCTCCACAGGTGTTTCTTTTCATGAACAATCCAGTTCAGTACTTTTGACCCTGGGCTTTCAAAAACCAAATTCTGGGAGAGGGGAAATGTAGTGGCTTCAATTGTGTCTCCTAAAGATATATGTTAAAGTCCTAAGCCTTGGTACCTATGAATGTGAACTTATTTGGAAATAGGGTCTTTGCAGATGTAATCAAGATAAAGTCATACTGGATTAAGATAGACCCTAAATTTAATGACTGGTGTCCTTATGAAGAAAGAGATAGAAACACAGAGGGAAAAAGACCATGTGATGGTGGAAGCAGAGATTGGAATAACCACCCATGATTGCTGGAAACCACCAGGGGCTAGAAAGAAGCAAAGAAAGATTCTCCCTTAGAACCTTCAGAGAGAGCATAGCCCTGCTGCCACCTTGATTTTGGACTTCTGGTTTCCAGACTGTGGGAGAATAAATTCTGTTGTTTAAAGCCACCCAGTTTGTTACAGGAGTCTCAGAAATAAATACAGGAAGCCCCAGATCTCTTGGGTATTCAGAGCTATATAGTTTCTTTAGAAAAAGAGAAAGTTTTTTTATTCTTTCTGATTCTTTCTCATTCTGAAGAACTGTGAGAGGAGACTATGCCATCTTCTGTTATCTGTTTACCTGAATCTCCTTCACAAAACTGTGACATGCAAAGGCAGGAATGTTCTCTTGTTAAGGTTTTAAATCAAACTATATAGATTTAAAAATGTTTTGTGACTGAACAAAGAGATCCTGAGAAACTTACAGTTTTCTCTAGTTGAGTCTCTTGGCTGTCTTTGGCTTCAGAGTGCTTCAGGGAAGTCAAGTAGCCACAAAGAGGCTATTGGAACATTATAGTTTGCAGGCTCTGGTAATATTTGAGAGAATAATTTCACAAGTGTTTTGGAACAAAAGTCATGCTGTAATGGATATGTGATGAATGGAAATAGGCCAGTGGAGGAAGTGAATGCGAGTAAGTATGTAAATAAAGTTTGTAAGTAAATAAATAAATTCGGTAGTGAAGGAAGTAGTATCTCGAGGAATGGTAGGGGGCTAGAGAGTTTTGTTGTGTTTTTGTTTTAAGGTAGTATGTTGTAGGCTGAGAGGAAAAAGGTAGTGAAGAGTGGAAGATTAAAGGTATAACAGGGGAGTGATAAAAATCTTTCCCCATTGGAGAAGTTAGCTAAATGTTTCTTAAGTGGGTCTTAGGTCCTTGGAGATGGTTGGGCATATTCTCAAGGGTTTATAAATTCTCAGATAAGTTAGACTTTTGTGTTTTCTTTTAAATGATATGAATAAAAGTGTATACGCTCGTGCTAGATCTTTTGGATAGCTGCCTTATAATTGAGTGCCATTACAAGATTTTATGCCTGCAGATGAGAACAAGTAAACAACTGTATAAGTGGTATACTCTTGCCAAATGAAGGTTTCCCATATTCAAATAGGGATGGTGAATGAATTAAGCCATCTCATCCCCTATTGGATAAAAGGCTTGTTAAACACAAAAGATGTGTGTCAAATCTGTTGGTATCATATTTATATTGTAATTAGCAGTTTAAACTTAGCAAAATATTACTATCATGAAACTAATATATTTTAAAATATTTTATTGGTTTTATTTGTATTCATAAATGTTTGTTTTTTAATTGTGATAAAATATACATAACATACAATTCACCATTTTAATCATTTTAAAGTATACAATTAAGTGGCATTTAGCATATTTACAATGTTGTACAACTGTCACTTCTATCTAGTTCCAGAGCATTTTTCTCTAAAAAGAAACCCCAGATCAATTAAATAGTCACTCTCTTTCTCTCCTCTCTTTCCAGCCCCTGGCAACCACTAATTTGCTTTCTGTCTCTATGGGTTTACCTATTCTGGATATGCGATGTAATGAGAATCATGCAATATGTAATCCCTTGTGACTTTTTTTTTTTTTTAAAAGGTAATGCACGCACATGGTAAAAAACTCAGAAGATGTTAAGAGTATAGTAAAAAGTTGGCCGGGCATGGTGGCTCACGTCTGTAATCCCAGCACTTTGGGAGGCTGAGGCGGGTGGATGACCTGAGGTCAGGAGTTCAAGACCAGCCTGGCCAACATGGTGAAGCCCTGTCTCTACTAAAAATACAAAATTAGCTGAGTGTGGTGGTGCACACCTGTAATCCCAGCTACTTGGGAGGCTGAGGCCAGAGAATTGCTTGAACCCGGGAGGCAGAGGTTGCAGTGAGCCGAGATTGCGCCGTTGCACTCCAGCCTGGACAAAAAAGAGCAAAACTCCATCTCAAACAAACAAACAAAAAGGGAATATAGTAAAAAGTCTCCCTTCCCTGTTACATAGCTGTCTACTTCCCTTCCCCAGAGGTAACCAGTTACTAGTTTTTTGTATGTCTTTTTTGAAGTATTCTAGAAACATATTTGTATACATATATATTTTTTTCTCCATCTAAATAATTGTTCACTAGCTTCCTTGTTCTATACATTGCATTTTTACTGCAACAGTATATCACTGAAATCTTTTTGTCAATGCATTTAGAACTACCTTATTTATTTATTTATTTTTTTGAGACGGAGTCTTGCTCTGTCACCCAGGCCGGAGTGCAGTGGCGTGATCTCGGCTCACTGCAACCTCTGCCTCTGGGTTCAAGTGATTCTTCTGCCTCAGCCTCCTGAGTAGCTGGGATTACGGCACCTGCCATCACACCTGGCTAATTTTTTTGTATTTTTAGTAGAGACAGGGGTTCACCATATTGGCCAGGCTGGTTTTGAACTCCTGACCTCAAGTGATCCGCCCACCTCAGCCTCCCAAAATGCTAGGATTACAGACGTGAGCCGCTGTGCCCGGCCAGAACTATCTTATTTTTAAAACTAATTCCACTGTGTGGATGTGCCAAATGTACTTAACCAATGTCTTAATAATGGATATTTAGTTTGTTTGGGATCTTTCGTTATTACAAATAGAGCTACAATAAATATCTATATAATATATACATATAGGAGACTATGTTCATAAATACCTTGGAGTAGGATACTCATCACAAGGTATATGCCTTTAGCATTTTGATGGATAATGATAAATTGCCTTCTACAGAGGTTAGTACAGGTTTATACTCTCATCAGCAATGCGTGAGGAGTGCATTTATCATGTATTGTGATGCTCAATCTATATGTAAGTATATATTCATATTTTTGATATTTGACAATCTAAGTTAAACAGTGTTATTTTGTTGTGCTTTCAATTTAAACTTTTTGATGTTAAAGATTATTTAAAAATTACAGAAAAAATTAAGGATAGTAGGCTGGGTGTGGTGGCTCAGGCCTGTAATCCCAGCACTTTGGGAGGCCGAGATGGGTGGATCATGAGGTCAGGAGATCGAGACCATCCTGGCTAACACAGTGAAACCCCATATCTACTAAAAATGCAAAAAATTAGCTGGGCGTGGTGGTGGGTGCCTGTATTCCCAGCTACTCTGGAGGCTGAGGCAGGATAATGGTGTGAACCCAGGAGCGGAGCTTGCAGTGAGCTGAGATAGCACCATTGCACTCCAGCCTGGGTGAGTGCAGACTCTATCTCAAAAAAAGAAAAAAGAAAAAATTAAGGATAGTATAAAAAACTTCCACAAATTTAACATTTTTGTGTGTATTGTATGTATATGTGTAATGTTTCAGTACTAGTTGAGAATAAGATACTGACATGGTGCTCCATCACCTGAAATTCTTCAGTATGTATTTCCTAAACAAGGACAGGCTGCTATATGATAAAGTACAGAAGTACAACAGTCAAAATCAGGATATTAACACTGATACAATGCTATGGTCTGAATGTTTCTGTTTCTCCAAAATTCATATGTAGAAACCTAAGCACTAATGTGATGGTATTAATATTAGGAGGTGAGGGCTTTGGGAGGTGACTGGGCCAGGAGGGTGAAGCCCTCATGAATGAGATTATTTCCTCTGTGAAACAGGCCCCAGAGAGTTGCCATTTCTCTTTCACCATGTGAGGACACAGGAGACAGTGCCATCTATGAACCAGAAAGGAGGCCCTTACCAAACACTGAATCTGCCAGTTTCTTAATCTTGGACTTCCCAGCCTTTAGATCTGTGGGAAATACATTTCTATTGTTTATAAGCTACCCAGTTTATGGTATTTTGTTATAGCGGCCTGAATGGACTAAGACAACGTCCTTTATGGCAGAAACAAATTTAAAAATGAATAAACTTTTTTTTTTTCCTGCTGGACCAGGATATGTGTTGTATTTAGTCATCGTGTCTTTTAGTTGCCTTCAATCTGGAACGTTTTCTTAGTCTTTGCTTCTATTTTGTGACTTTTTAACTTAAGGAGTACAGGCCAATCATTTGTTGAATGCTTATCAGTTTGGGTTTGTTTGATATTTCCTTATAATTAGTTTTAGTTTACACATTTTTGGCAGAAATATCACGGAAATAGTTCTTAGTATATCAATCAGAAGGCACATGATGTCAATTTATCCCATTACTGGTGATAATAAGTTTGATTATTTGGATAAATTGGTGTCAGCAGGGTTTCTTCACCATAAAATTATTTTTACCTTTGAAATTAGTATCTATGGAGAGTTACTTTGAAATTTATTACTATAATTGTTGCCAAATGTTAGTTTTCTCATTCCATCTATATTTATTAGTTGGCATTCTGTTGCAAGGAAGAGCTTTCCCTTCTCCCCCATTTATTTGTTAATTAATTTTTATGGATTCATAAATGTCTGTTTTATTCAGTGGGTTATAATCTGTTATCATTTATTATGATGCTCAGATTGTCTCAGATTTGGCCAATGGGAATCCTTTTACCAGGGTTCCTGTGTCCTTTTGACAATCCCCATCAGTTTTTGAGCGTTTTTGTGCTTCCGGCACAATAAGATCTTTCCTGCCCCAGCTGTAGAAATCATTCAAGAGCCCTAGTTCTTTTTTGGTGGAGAAGTGTATTTAAAAACCAGGAACTGACCACTAGGTGTACTCATTGATACTGCAGTGTTATTGCTTTTAGCTCTTCTAGCAGTCAAAACTCGAAAATCTATATATGATTACATCTATATTTATCTATAAATATTAAAAACCATCAGCTCATACCAATACCTCCAATTCTAATATAGTACCCCAGGGTTCATTTTAGTTTGCAGCCCTTTCTTTCATAGTGAAAAATTTGGTTATTGTTATCTTAAATATATTTACCTATTAATTTCTGTTTAACCAGTCTATCAAAAAGGGACCAAATTTAATAGTAAATTTTTTTTTTTTTTGAGACAGTCTCATTCTGGATTCAAGCAATTCTTGTTCCTCAGCCTCCCACGTAGCTGGGACTACAAGCGTCCACCACCACACTCAGCTAATTTTTGTATTTTTAGTAGAGATGGGGTTTTGCCATGTTGGCCAGGTTCGTCTCGAACTCCTGGCTCCAAGTGATTTGCCCACCTTGGCCTCCCAAATTGTGGGATTACAGGCACGAGCCTGGCTGAGATTTTATATCCTTATTAAAAGTGCTTATTTGAATAGAAGTTAGTTATACTTTTTCTCACAGAAACTATGACATGATAAAACTTCTTTTGTTTGTGTATGACTCTTTTAGCCCCATCATAAAAAGGGTTTTTGCATAGTATTTGTGGATTGCTTAACTTTTCCTAGGGGCCTAAAATTCTTTGATATTCAGGTCAGTCTCTTTCCAAGTACCTATCATGTCAACCTTTTGCAAGATTTGCTGTTTCATTTTGTAGTTGATTGTCATGCAGTCTCAAAGAGACTTTGATATTATGGTTGAGGTTTAAGGGACATTTGAATGGAAACTGATTTTTAAAAATTTGTGACCAGTTGATTGGTGAATCTGTTTTCTTTTCTAGTGGCTCTTACTTCCTTATATAACAACCTAGACATAACTGCAAGGAATCAGATATTGAATATTCAGAGCCACTATATCTTTTTCCCCATAGAAAATTCTCCACAGACAATTGAGTTTTGAGGAGATCATCCTTTGTCCTTTAGGGCTCTTTTATGAAGATTTGGGTCAGGGAATAAATTAGGTTTTATGATTTTTGGGCGTATGAGCATTGTTTCTGATCCACACAGTCAGTAGTCCAGTCTGCTGAAGAAGGGGAAACATGATAGGTGTATCCTTTCTCCTTTCAAAAATACACCATTGAAGATAATTCTCCCCTAACTAATTTGCCTTCTAGTTCTTGTCCTAGTTGTCAGGATTAAGAAGGGCTTTTGAGGAAACCTATACACTGGGACTGTTCTTTTGAATTCCTGCCTTGGATGGAAGTGAATAAAAAAGGTCCTAAAGGTACTAAAAAAGGTCCTGGTCATTTGAATATTGACTCTCTCATATGCATCCTTCCAAATCATCCTAAAGGATGTTTGAAACTACTGAGGTGTTATCCAGGGCTATTTCTAGGAGGTTGGGTTATCAAATTCTCTCCAGAGTATAGACCATTTCCTTCTTTTTTTTTTTTTTTTTGGAGACAGAGTCTCACTCTGTCACCCAGGCTGGAGTGCAGTGATGCGATCTTGGCTCACTGTAACATCTACCTCCTGGGTTCAAGTGATTCTCCTGTCTCAGGCTCCTGAGTAGCTGGGATTACAGGTGCCCACCACCACACCTGACTAATTTTTGTATTTTTTTAGTGGAAACAGGGTTTCACCATGTTGGCCAGCTGGTCTTGAACTCCCGACCTCATGTGGTCCGTCCGTCTCTGCCTCCCAAAGTGCTGGGATTACAGGCGTGAGCCACTGCACCTGGCCACCAGAGTATAGAGCATTATTTTTTAGATGGGTCACTCAAGGGAAGAGGCAACAACCTGATGATATGGATATTGGGCAGTAGTTAATTAACATGGGTTCTAGAGGGTTGTCTGTGTGTGTGTGTGGTGGGGGGCGGGGGGGAAGGGTGTGGTATAAGACCTAATATTAAAGCTCAATTTAAAACATTTTAAAAATAAATTTTATTGTGCATACCTGAGGTTTACAACATGATGTTATGGGAGATATATATGTGTGTATGTGTGTGTGTGTGTGTGTGCATGCATGTGTGTATGTATATGCATGTGCACACACGTACATATATAGAGACAGTAAAATGGTAATATAGTGAAGCAAGTTAACATATTACTCATCACATATACTGTTTTTTGTGTGTGACCAGAGCACCTAAAATCTACTTATTTAACAAAGTACCTAATACAATTTTATTAACTATAGCCTTCATGTTGTATATTAGATCCCTAGACTTGTTCATCGTACATATCCACTACTTGTATCCTCTGACGCGTATCTCCCGATTTCCTCTCCCTCCTCCCCCACCAACCCACCTTTCTGTTCTAGTAACCACTGTTTTATTTTTAATCTCTGTATGTTTGGCCTTTTTTTTTTTTTTAAAGTAACATTCCACATATAACGTGAGATGCAGTATTTTTCTTTCTGTGTCTGGCTTAATTCATTTAGCATAATGTCATCCACATCCTTCCATGTTGTGGCAAATGACAGAGTCTCCTTTTTTAAGGCTGAATGATATTCTATTTTGTGTATGTGTGTGTGCTCCCATGATGCAGCGAACATGGGAGTGCAGATTTTTGAGATGGTGATTTCATCTCCTTTGGGTGTGTGCCAAGAAGAGGGATTGCTGGGTCATATGGTAGTTCTATTTTTAATTTCCTGAAGAACCTCCATAATGGCTGCACCAATCTTCATTCCCACTAACAGTGTACAGGGTTCCCTGTTCTCCACACCCTTGCCAACATTTGTTATCTCCTGTTTCTTTTTGGTGGGGGAGTGGGGCGGAGGAGACAGGATCTTGCTTGGTCACCCAGGGTGGAGTGCAGTGGTACAATCATAGCTCAATGGAAAGACAAAAAAAACCCAAAACTATAGAATAGTTGAAATAATAATGACATTCAGCCTCTACTTTTTGGAGAATGAACTGTCTTCCTATCTTGTCTTTCATTTGAATCCTCATTTAAAAACAAAATGTCAGAGAAGTGGTAATTTGAGCAAGGTAACATAGGCAAAGAAGAAAACACAAGGGAAAGAAAAAAATAACCAAAAAGAATATATTTTTATATCAGCTAATATGCTTTTGGTTCAAGTATCGATAAAAATACTAGCTTATATAACTGAAGGTTTTTATTGGCATGTATAACTGGAAATTCCAGGCTTCAGGGCTGACTGGTCTAGCAGTTTAAAGGATATTGTCATGAGCCCAGTTTCTTTCTATTTATTCCATCTGTCATCTGCAGGATGGGTTGCATTCTTAGACTGGCTCCACTCATGTTAAATGATGGATCCCAGCAACTACTGTGGCCACACGCTTTTTCTCATCTATCTCATGACAGGCAGATGGTTCCTACTCAGAATCACTAAATAAGATTTCCTAACTTTGTGCTATTGCTGACCACTTTCCTGTGACCAGGGGTTTTTCTAATCCCAGTCTTAGTTTGCCATCGTGAAGAGGAATCCTTACCAGTTTCTGAGAATCCTCAGTGTACGAAGCAGGCACATACTTTTCATCTCCTTCCTTAGAAGTGAGAGTTATTTCACCCAGATTTTCTGGCTGCAACACAATGAGTGAGTGGTGTAGTGAATATTGTGAGACGCCACCAGCAAACATAATGTTGACTATACTGATAAAATGATTAAGTGAAAGAATGGCTAAAATAAATAAGAGTAGCTTAGCAATGTTTGCAGTATACAAAATTCATCTAAAGGGCAGGCCAGCTTCTGAGGCAGAGAGGCTCCTTTAGCTCAACATATTTTTACACCAAGGACAAGACTTGGCCAAACAGAGATCCTTAATAGACAGCTGGGAGCTATTTTGTGAAGATATATGTAAATTTAGATTATATAGAGTAGGTCTGTGATTCATGTAGCATGGGTGGAGTAAATTTTATAATTTGACTCCTTTGGTTTTGTGAGGGTTTTCAAGGTCCTTAAATCCTAGGTTTTGATTGTCTTAACTGCTTAACATCACAGAATATCACCACCAAAGCACAGTGATGAAGTGTGAGATATTTAAATGCTGTAACTGAGAATAACTCTTAGAGATTGGATTTACCCTAGTTTTTGCCCTATTTTTATGTGACAGATTTTTTTTTTTTTAAGTCTTATCTTCCTCTCATGTTGCATTGTGATTATATCAAACATAATCTTATGTGCCCCTTCAGAGTCCCTTGGCACCATCTGCCTCGTAGAATTTTCTGCTGCCACTGGAGGCTAACCAGTTGCTTCATCTGAGGAATGAGGGCCCTATGCCTTGGTGGCCACCATCTAGCTAAGTTTATGAACCATACTCTGGGAGGGTCTGGCTCCTCCTGCCACTTCCAATCTTGGGTATAACGCCACACAACATCCTTGTAGGTAGCACCCTAAGCATCTGTGAAGGCCAGATGACACAAAATGAAGTGCAGTGTACTTCAGGGTGGACTTTGACCAGTGGGAAATAGGAGACAGGAGGGAACCTGCCAGATAAATTTCTTTTCCCACATGGACTACTCTGAGGTATGGTTTCTTTTTGTAGTCTATCAGGAGACATTCCACAAAGAGTACACCAAGTGGATGCATTTGTTAAGTGACCTACTATTTTTTTTATAGCTTGTTGTAAAATGGTAGCCAGCACTTTCCCTTGCTTTATATATTTTCTTGCCTCAGTTTACCTTCTCTTCACCTTTGATGCCCTGTGTATGCACCTCTCAAGTGAAACATCAGCATTTTAATCAGGCTCTGTTTGCCAGAGAACTGGGCCAAGACAAAGATTAATAAGGCATATAATTCTTATCTTGACTCTTTTGGACTACCTCCTAAAATACAGAAAAAATTTCTGTAATCACTGTACTTTTTGTGCCTTAAAAAGAGTTTGTGGAAAAAATCACCCCTACCCCACAATTATTCTTTACTATTATATCTAATTTATCTAAGTTTTAGTAATTCAACTTTGTTCAAACTTTGCACATTTTTAATGGCTAAAGACTTTAAAATACACTACTTGCTATGTTTTCTTTTTAATGATAATTTTTGAACATTTTATTATGATACTTTAAAAAATCTTACATAAATGTTGAAAGAATTTTGTGTTGAACACCCATAAACCTACCATCTCAAGTCTACAATTAAAATTTTGCTATATGTGTTTTATTATATATTTATCCATCAATCTACATTAATTTTAAAAAAGAGTTCTAAAGTTTCAAATATGAGTACGTTTTCCTCAAAATAATTCATGCAATTCATTAAGATTAATGTACTTAAGCCTAAGTGTGGTGGTTCATGCCTGTGATCCCAGAGCTTTGGGAGGCTGAGGTGGGAGGATCACTTGAGGCCAGGAGTTCAAGACCAGCCTGGGCAACATAGTGAGGCCCTGTCTCTTAAAAAAAAAAAAATTAATGTACCTAAATACATTCTTTTCATAAAACTATCTAAAATACTGCAGATACAACTCAGCTGTTATTGTGGGTGCTGTGCTTCAAATAAATGGTGTTATTCAGTATTTATCTGCTTACAACTTTGACACTTGTGAATAAAAAAATCAAGACAATTAAAGTGGTAAAAACAAATTTTATTCAGTAACCACTGGCAATAGGGGAAAGAGCTGAGCTCCATGATTTGTGCAGTCATGACTGGGCCTTTTAAAGGGAGAATGAGGGAGTACGGAAGGGGAGCAACTGAGGGCTCAAGTAGCGTCAGGAAAGTGAAAATTACAAAGGGCTGGTGCTGTGGTTTGAATGTTTGTTTTTCCCCCACATTTATATGTTGAAATCCTAACCCCCAAGGTGGTGATATTAGGAGGTAGGGCCTTTTGGGAGGTAATTAGGTATGAGAGTGGAGCCCTCATGAATGCGATTAGTACCCTTTAAAATAGGCCCAAGAGATCTCATTTGTTCCTTCTACCATGTGACGACATACTGAGATGGCGTCATCTAAGAACCAGGAAATGGGCCCTTACCAGACACCAAATCTGCTGGTGTTTTTATCTTGGACTTCCTAGCTTCCAGAACCACGAGAAATAAACCTGTGTTGTTTATAAGCCACCCAGTTTATGATACTTTGTTATAGCAGCTCCAGGCTAAGATAGTTGGTCATTGTAAATGTGAGTGGGTCAGGTGTGCCTGCTCGCTGACAGTTATCAAAATTAGGATTCTGTCCTTCCACAGAGACTGGGACACAGAGATCCAAACCTTCCTGATGATTACATTTCAAAGGAGTGGCTTTCTGGTTCTTGAGAAAGACACTGCTGAGTTGTAGGAGATACATACACATCTCAAAGGGACAGAGGAAGAATTTACAATTGTAAACTCTTCTTAGTGCTCTAAGAAAGGAAGGTCAGGGGCCTATAGTCAGGTGTTGGCTAGAATAAACAGTAAGCTTCTTTTGATAGCCCTGAACTTCTCCAGACAGACTGGAGCTCAAAAGGAGGCTGGGTATTCCAGGGCTGAGTGGAGGTGGGCTAGGCTACTAGAAGCTTTGCTAGAGTTGGTCAAGGCTCTTAGAGCAAGAATTTGGATGGAG
Organism: Homo sapiens; assembly: GCF_000001405.40. Classification (NCBI taxonomy): domain Eukaryota; kingdom Metazoa; phylum Chordata; class Mammalia; order Primates; family Hominidae; genus Homo; species Homo sapiens. Next base: position 94,444,573 of record NC_000008.11, on the reverse strand, counting down.
TTGTTTGCCAAGAATTATTTACAGTTCTCATTAGTTTGCCTTGGATGTTTTTTGTTTTCATTTTAGAACACGTAGATCCACCTTATTCTTTTTAATTGCTGCAAAGTATACCATGGTATGAATACATCATAGTTGTTTTTAGTTTTAGTTTTTTTTTTTTTTTAACTATTAAAACCTCTGCAGTGAACATCCTTATGCATGTGGTCTTGTGAACATATGCATGTATTTCTCAGGAGTTGTCAGATCATAATGTGTTTGCATTACACTTTAATATGGTCTGCCAAATTGCCTTCCAAAATGACTGCCATCATTAGTGTATGAGAGAATTTATTTTCCCAACTTCTTCAACACATGTTACTAAACTTTTTAACTTTTGCCAATTGAATGAGGAAAACCTACTGTTATCTTTTGTGTCTCCCTGTTTACTTGTGAAGTTGAGTTCTTTATATGTTGGACATTTGTGTTTTATTCATTAAGTTATCTGTATTCTACAACCATTTTTCTATTGTATTTCATAAGCATAAAATTTAATATAAATTTTATATGATACAGGAGCCTTCATAAGTAAATGAAGACTCAAAAAATTGGTAAACTTGTATATTTTTTATTTTTACAGTTTATTTTTATTTATTGATACATAATAGTTGTACATATTTTGGGGGTGCATGTGATATTTTCATATATGCATACAATGTGTAATGATCAAATCAGTATATTAACCAAAAATGTGACTCAATCAGAGGTTTATTAAGCCAAAGTTTAAGGATACACCTGGGAAAAACACAAGTCACAGGAGCATCTGTTACCTGTGCTTTCCAAAAGAGGGTTTCTGGAACTCAGTATTGAAGAATAAAGAGCAAGCAGAAGGGACAAAGGAAGGTAAGAGAGGCAGTGAGACAAATGGTTACATTTTTGTGAGGCTCTAATTAGTGCTCAGTAAATCTGTGTTTTACATAAGGTAAGGTAAACATTTGAAAAGATGGAGTAGAGGAAAGAGTCAGTTATGCATCCATCTCGGGTTAGCCGAAGGAGTGATTTTTTTTTTTTTGATAATTTCATTTTATTCCCTTGGGTTATTACTATTATTATTTTTCTTAAACTTTTATTTCAAGTTCAGGGGTACATATGCAGGATATGCAGGTTTGTTACATAGGTAGATGTGTACTCTGGTGGTTTGCTGCACAGGTCATCCCATCACCTAGATATTAAGCCAACATTCATTAGTTATTCTTCCTGATGCTCTCCTGACCATCCCTATAGGCCCCAGTGTGTGTTGTTCCCCACAATGTGTCCATGCGTTCTCATCATTCAGCTCCCACTTATAAGTGAGAACATGCGATATTTGGTCTTCTGTTGCTGTATTAGTTGGCTGAGGATAATGGCTTCCACCTCCATTCATGTCCCTGCAAAAGACATGATCGAAGGAGTGATTTTTTGTCTTGTCCCTGTTGTGTACCTAAGAAGGTAAGCTTGTAATTGACATTGTCAGCATGAGATTTAACAGAACTCAGTTTTGAGAGTTAAACTTAGGTTGCACACCCAAGGTTACAATTGGCATGTGCTGGTTTTAGGGGATATGTATCCTGAAAGGTTTAGTGACTAGGAAGGGATTTTCTTATGAGAAATTTGTGAGGGAGGTATATGTCCTTTTGCCATTGCGGGACAATGCTGACTTAACGTGTAATGCTATGACACAGGGTTGTGAAATTATAGCTCTGGGGGGAAAGAGGAGGAAGGAAAGGCAGTGTTGCATGACTAATTTTCTAGGTTTAACTTTCCTTTTGGTATAATGAGTTTGGGGTCCTAAGATTTTATTTTCTTTTACAAGAGTAATTAGGACAGCCATCACCTCAAACATTTTTTATGTTGGGAACATCCCAATTCTTCTGTTTTGAACTATACAATAAATTGTTGTTGACTATAGTCACCGTATTATATTACTGAACACTAGATCTTATTCTTTCTATTTAACTGTACTTTTTTTTTTTTTTTTTTTTCTGAGACAGAGTCTCGCTCTGTCACCCAGGCTGGAGTGCGGTGGCGCGATCTCGGCTCACTGCAAGCTCCGCCTCCCGGGTTCACGCCATTCTCCTGCTTCAGCCTCCCGAGTAGCTGGGACTACAGGCGCCTGCCACCACGCCTGGCTAATGTTTTGTATTTTTAGTAGTAGAGACGGGGTTTCACCATGTTAGCCAGGATGGTCTTGATTCCTGACCTTGTGATCCGCCCACCTTGGCCTCCCAAAGTGCTGGGATTACAGGCGTGAGCCACCGTGCCCAGCTTTTAACTGTACTTTTGTACCCATTAACCAACCTCTCTTAATCCCCACCTCTCCTTCCCAGCCTCTGGCAACCACTAATCAAGTCTCTACTTCCATGAGATTCACCCTTTTAGCTCCCACATGTGAGAGAGAACATACGGTATTTGTCTTTCCGTGCTTGGGTTATTTCACTTAATATAATGACTTCCAGTTCCATCCATGTTGCTGCAAATGTCAGGATTTCATTTTTTATAACCAAATAATATTCCATTGTGTATATGCAGTTCATTTTCTTTATTCATCTGTTGATGGACACTTAGGTTGATTTTTTTGCCTTTGTTTATTGACTGTTTCGTAAACATTTTGTTTCACAAAAATCTCCAACTGAAGTTAATAATAGGTGATATTGTGGAATATATGTTTGGCCTTTGACCCCGTTTCCCTGGTATACAACTCCTAAAATCCTTACGACCTCCAAAGTAATGTCTGTTTGTGTGCTAGTGATTGATTGATGGCTGACAGCCCCTAGGTAGTTTCAGGATGTGAGTTGGTTACGTGAAAGACCAAGGCACCATTAGAGAGTTGGAACGTTCAGCCTCACCCCTATCTCTGGGGAGAGGAGAGAGGCTGAGGGTTAAATTGATTACCAGTGGCCAGTGATTTAATCAGTCATGCCTATGTAATGAAGCTTTCTTAAAAAGCCCAAAGCCCTGTGTTGTAGAGCTTCGAGATAGCTGAATAAGTGGAGGTTTCTGGGGGTTGTGCCTGGGGTGGGCATGGAAACTTTGTGTCCCTTCCACCATAACTTGCCCTATGCATCTCTTACATCTGGCTGTTCATTTGTATCCTTTGTAATATCCTTTATAATAAACTGGTAAGCGTGTTTCTGGAGTTCTGTGACCACTCTAGCAAACTAATAGAACCCAGAGGGGATTGTGGGAACCCCAACTTGAAGCTTTTTGGTTAGATGTTCTGGAGGCCCAGACTTGTGACTGGTTGTGTAGCAGGACGAGCCACAGACAAAACCTCTCAGACACCGAGTTGTAGAAGGAAGGGCTTTATTCAGCTGGGAGCATCGGCAAGCTACTGTCTTAAAATCTGAGCTCCCTGAGTGCACAATTTCTGTTCCTTTTAAGGGCTCACAACACTAAAGATTTCACATGAAAGGGTCGTGATTGATTTGAGCAAGCAGGGAGTACGTGACAGGGGCTGCATGCACCGGTGGTCAGAGTGAAACAGAAAAGAGCAGGGAGTTTCACAGTGTTCTTCCATACAATGCCTGGAATCTATGGGTAACATCGGGTTCTAAGTCATGAGTTAATTTTTAACTACTAGGTTTAGGCCAGGCAGGCCCAGGCCTGGTTTTGGACCTGGCGCCGGGCTGCCTGTCTTTGATTTCACTTCCTTGTTTTTTTCTTAAAACAGGTACTGAGTATAAAACAATATAAAACAATATGAGAGGGTCTCTCTCTTCCCTCAGGTGGGGCCATGGGGTTTGTGGTACTGAGCTCTTAACCTTTGAGATCTAACACTATCTCCTGATAGTGTTGGAAAGTTGAATTAGAGGATACCCGGCTCCTCTCCACTGCAGAACTTAACTTCTTGCTTGGTGTGTGGGGAGAAACTCCCACACATTTGGTCACACAAGTCTTCATGTTGATTGTTGTGGTGTGAGAGCAGAGGAAAAACAGTTTGAGTTTTTCACTCTCAGACAGCACAGTGATTCTTCATAAAACTCTATGACTACACCAACGAGCATTGGCAAAGAACAAAAAATTATTCGATGTCTTTTACCAGTTCCATAAACTGGCAGTGATTCATAGCATTTACACATATATTCGTAATATTCTTAACAAGTATATCCATGATACCTTTTCATAGTCTGCTTTAGAAAGTCCTGCATAGTATTTTCCACTTAATTCTGCATCAGTAGTATAGCTTCTTTTAATTTAAAAACTTGTCCATTCTATTTTTAAACTAGAAAGATAATTTTATTGTAATATAATCAAACAGTAATAAATATTTCAGATTAATCATCAATTACAATTTACATAGGTTATCACTAATTTGTGCTGTCTGCATTGAGGACTAAGCTCTGATTTTTTTTTTTTTAATCTTGCCTAAATTCCTATCTAAGGGGTCTGGGGAATCATGCTCTGTAAACCATACATTCTCATCAGATGGTTTTATTTAACCCTGTATATCATGACTTACTTTCCGATCTGACTCTGGCATAACATGGAAGAAAATAAAAATATTTTACCCCAAAACATGTTTCTCTGCCATATCTTGAAATGGTCGTGCAAAGCCATCCCTTGTGGGAAAAATCCACATTCTATAGAGAATCCACTTTCCCCTTGTTTTCCTTCCTTCCTTTCTAGATCCAGGAGATAATCAAGTAAGAGCCAGGCACTCTTTTAGGTCTGATAATAAACAATATACAACCTGTTCTCTCTGAAGTCTGCTATCTGAGAGCTTCCTCTGCACAATAAAACTTGGTGCCTACAATCCTTTATCTTTACCTGAACATACATTTCCTTTCTATTGATCCCAGGTCTTCAGATAAACTCAACCAATTGTAAACCAGAAAACGTTTATAGCCTGGAACACCGCCCCCGCCGCCACCCCGCCCCCGCCTTGAGTTGTCCCGCTTTTCTGAACTAAACCAATGTATTTCTTAAATATATTTGGTTGATGTCTCATGCCTCCCTAAAATATATAAAAGTAAGCCATACGCCACCCACCTTGGCACATGTTCTTAGGGCCACCTGAGGGCTGTGTCTTTGGCCATGGTCACTCATATTTGGCTCAGAATCAATCTCTAAAAATATTTTATACAGAGTTTGACTCTTTTCGTTAACAGCGTGATATATTCAAACACACTATGATCTGCGTCTTTCATTTTAATGCTGCCTGGAGTAGACCATGATATGGATGTATTGTATGCTTTTAACTCCAACTGATGTGCTTTTAGATTGCTTCCACTGTATGCAACTGCAAAGAATGCTTCGTTGCTCCCGTGTGCATTTTATTTTTCTAAGGTATATTCTGAGACATAAAATTACCACAATTTTAGAAGATTTCCTACTCATGTAAAATATTAGTAGATACTTCCAGATCACCATCCAAAATGTCATTTTACACTCCCTTCAGTGGTACAGAAGAGTACTCTTTCCCTTCTATCCTTTTCCACTCTTGGAGTCTTCTTTTTTTTCTTTTTTTGAGGCAGGGTCTCGCTCTGTCACCGAGGCTGGAGTGCAGTGGCATGATTATGGCTTAGTGCAGCCTCAACCTCTTGAGCTCAAGTGATCCTTCCACCTCAGGTTCCCGAATAGCTGGAACTACAGGCATATGCCACCACACCTGGCTAATTTTTGTATTTTTTGTAGACATGGGGTTTCTCCATGTTGCCCGGTCTGGTCTTGAACTCATGTGCTCAAGTAATCCTTGGCCTCTCAAAACTGTTGGATTACAGGCCCATGTGCCACTGAGCCTGGCCTCACTCTTGGCATTTTAAGTCTTAAAAAATTTTGCTAATCTAGGAATGAAAATCATTTTTAGTATACATTTCCCTGATAACTAGTGAGATTGAACATTTTTTCATATTTTAGTAGTGTTTCATTCTTAACATAATACCTGTATTTCTTCTGAAAATAACAAAATAATTATCTAAAGTATATACCCTGTGTTCTGTAATACCTGTATTTCTTCTGAAAATAACAAAATAATTATCTAAATAAAGTATATACCCTATGTTCTTTCTTTGGTTCTCTTTTAATGTTCCAAAAGCTCAGAAAATGCTAGAATGATTTTGAGTACCTGTGGTCCAGTTGTTGTTGGGGCAGGTCGATTTTCTTTTTGCATCTCTATGGACAAGAATCATTTGCATTACTGATTTCTACAATTTACAGAGCTGTGAAACTGCTCAAAGACAATGAAAGGGTAGAACTATTATGGAATCAAATTACTCAGTAGCGTATACCAGACAACATCTAGCATTCCGTAGAACATCCAGCAATCTTTCACTGTTTTCTGAAAGATAATACACTTAAAGCTTTTAACACATTGGCTCACAGTGAGAGCTCAGTAAATGTAATTTGCTTCTCCATTGTTAAAAGAATGAAAAACAAGATAATTGAGAATTTATAGCATTTCTGTGGAACTACAGTTCCCTGGATAGGTGCTGTATCTAGATTCATTTTTGATTTCATTGGGTCTTGCACAGTGCCTGGGAGCATTTATATACGTGGTCAGTAATTAAAAACAATTTATTTTTCCTACCTCTTAATAACTATCACAGTTGTTCAGTAATAGTTTTATTGGATAGAACTATGTTCAAGTATGTTCTAATTTATTCCCCTATCTGGAAAAATATGTATATTGTGAGAAAATAGGTTTGTCTTGCTTACATTATTATGTATCATATATTTTCATACTGGGGTTAACAAATATATTCTAAGCACCGAAACTGGTGGCCTTGAAAATGGCTAGACTAGCTGTTTCCTTTCATAGTCCAAACTGTGTGAATATAGCTAAATAAAAAATCTGGCTCTATTATAATAGCAAATGTGATTTTGTATGTGGAGTCTTAAGGCGTGATTATACTGTTTCTCACCATGAACAGTGATTTTTTACACATGATAAGGCAGGCTAGCAAATTCACATACATTACGGCTAGAATAATCCATTGCTTTAAAAACATGATTTTTACCTGCTTTTTAGATTGAGTGTTCTATAAAAATTTTTTCTTAAGTGAAAAAAATATGCAGAGGCTAATGTAGACTGTAAAATGAAGGAGAAGCTTAGCTTTACTGTGGAGTCTGGGTCTGGGTGTAACCTAACTAGCTAGAGGATATGCAATTCCTGATTGACAGCAGATCCAGCATTATGCAGATTTTGTAAGGGAGAACACTCAGCTCAGAAACAGTGATGAGAGGCTCTGTTAGGAATTACTACATTCACTACTCATATCTTTTAGTTTTCTGTCTACTGGATTTGTAAATAAATAGCACAAAACAGTTCCTCTTTTGTTTTTATTAAAGTGATACTGCAATGCAGTTCAGTCTGTCAGCTAGGCATACATGTGTGAAATTTGATATTCTCACTAAATTAGCTAATTTTTAGCTGTGTTCCATGCTTATCTCTAGACCTTTGTGTATTAAATCCTGTCTCGAGCTGTTCCCTTTATACACAAGTGTGTTTTGCTTGTGCCTTCCTGTCTTCTTCAGTGAGAAGCTTTATGTAGGTCAGGCTTGGCTTAAGCAGATTTCCTGAACCTGCGTCAGCTTAAGCTGGAGGAATTTTAATAAACCCTCCCCTGTAGGCGTGGGCCTAAATGAGGCTAGCCTAGTTAAGCCTGATCTTTTTCTGTTTGTGAAAAGAGCTGAGCAGAGCTGAAGGCTGCATGGTGGTTTCAGAAACTGCCTACTTAATTTGAAAAGAACAATGGTAGGAAAGGCTAGATCTTCCAATTTTACCTTATCCGAAAAGCTTGATTTGCTAAAGCTTGTGAAGCCATATGTGAAAATTCTCGAAGAACACACTAATAAACATTCAGTAATAGTAGAAAAGAATAGATGTTGGGATATCATAGCAGTTAACTATAATGCAATTGGAGTAGACCGCCCTCCTCGAACAGCACAGGGCCTACGCACCCTTTATAAAAGGCTCAAAGAATATGCCAAACAGGAGCTATTGCAGCAAAAAGAGACCCAATCAGATTTTAAAAGCAATATTTCTGAGCCAACCAAGAAAGTTATGGAGATGATTCCCCAGATTTCCAGTTTTTGCCTGGTAAGAGACAGGAACCACATACAAAGGTAAGCTTTATTTTGTTTTGTTATGGAAAATTATGGCGCCTCCTATCTATTGGGCTTTGGCTTAGTCGTGATAGAGATATGCATAGTAAGCATCCCCACAACGGGAGCAATGAATAGTGTCTTTGTTTTGCATTTTTTAAAAAGAGAAAAGTGAGGCTATGAGGAATTTTTCTGTTGCATTTAAGCTACTTTTTACTGTCTTCCCCTCCCCCTTCCCTCCTGTAGTTTCTAAAAGTAAAGGTTAGGGAGGAATAAGTGGGTTGAAATTTGTGACATCACTTCATAAACTTCTTAAGCTTTAAAATTAAATTATTTAGTTTGCTTCTGAGAGATACTTTTTTTCTCATTTAAGATTACATTTCACTGGAATTTTCAATTTTATATAAAATTTATATAAAGTTAGCAGTTTCTAGAGAAATGGAACCTTGCTTTTTTATGAATTGTCATTGTCTACACTTATTGAATATATGTTAACTAACAAATATAAACAAAATCAATAAGTAAACTTGTTAATGGCATGATTGTGTATATGAAGACAGTTTAAATTATTTTTCTAACACGTTTAAAATAAAGATGAACACAACTAAAGGGAGTTAATGCCTAATTAGGGATTCAGTTTACTTAATAAAATTAAAAGTTTTTTGTTGTTGTTGTTTTTATTCCTTAATAGTCTAGTTTCACTTTGATCTTGGGTCGTATAGGAAAGAGTAAGCTTTCTCTTACTGCTTTGCAAGGATATCAAATTATGAATTTTAAAATACCCCTAAGAGCAACTGGGTTTTTTTAGAGTTAGAAGCAATTTTTTGGTTAAACTTGTCTTCTATGTAACTATTTGCCTTGGAATTTTCAAAAGTATTATCTTGCCACTAATTCAGATTGTAACCTCTGGCAAAATATAAAAATGGCAGCTACATTCTTATTCTGAACCATTTAGGGTAATTTAAACAAATTGTAAACTCCTTGTTAGTTTGAGGAGCCTTTCAAACAAAGCTTTACACAATGTGCTTTTCTATTGGTGGAAGAGGCATTATATAAGCAAATTATTGATTACTATGAAATCCCTTTGAAATTAGGAGAGAAGCAGAAAAAAACCACTTTGTAGCCAAGTGCATATGTTATTTTGGTAATTTACTAGGAAAGTATTTTTGAGCCTAGCTTCTTACCAGATACTGCTTATTTCTACTTGATAGCACAGTAAAAAAAATATCACCAGTGGGAATCCAGGACATGAATACACAGTGGATTAATTCTTGGGGCCACTGGTTAAAATGTTCACTGTGATGACAAATGATGAAATCCCAATAGCTAGATATCCAGAAAACTACGCAGTAAAATTGTTTTATACTGTGCTACTTATGCAGAATTTTCTCTCCCTTGAACCATGGAGAAAAGTGTTTTTTGCATCGCAGGTATAAAACTGTACCCTTTGGTTAGTAGGTATAGGTTTTTATAATTTGAAAACGACATGTAGAAACTGTAATTTTAGTTAGTTGCATATTTTAAAAATAACAGTGAGTAGAAGAAAAATAATATATAAATATACAAGTATCTGGTTACATTTTGACTATTTGTGTGTGTGAATATTTACAATATTCACACACAAAAAATCTTTTGGGATATGAACATTTCTCTGATAAAAATGAGTTGATTTGTACATTTCTATACCTATGGCTTAAATAATACCAATTTGTTAGGTTTTAAAGGGAAGAATATAAGAAACATGCCTTTTAAATTCTTATGTTACTGTGTCTACATTGACATTTTCTCTGTATTAGCTTATTTCTTTAATATATATATTTAATGTGCTTATATTTATTTGATTGATATCATCCTTGAATCTTAATAATCTCAGAAGTTTATAATTATTCTATAATCTTAACTATACTTCTACATAAATATGCCTGTTAATCTTACCAAACTCTTCCTTTTTAATAAGGAAAATACTAGTGTTTGCGTTAACATACTTAAAAATATATACCTGTTTTGTAAGGCTATTTATTTTCTGTAACTCACATTGACTTATGTCTTTATTTTTACCTCTTCCTAATATCAGTTTATATTTTGTGTTTTTGTAAACTGATCTTCAAAGTTCTGATTCTCAAGTCCTTCTCTGTCATTTTTGTGACCTGCTCTAAAGCTTTTTTTCTCCCTTTTTATATTGTTATGCCTTAGTTGTAATGTTTTAGCTAAAATGGAAAGGAATGTTCCAGATATGAGGCATATTTTTAATTTACTTGGTAGTATTATGTCTATGTTTATACTCTCTATTTTACATACTAATTTGAAATAGTAATTATGTGGTTTTAAAAACTTAATTTTCATATGCAATTTTAGCCTTTTCCCATTCCAGGTTTTAGCAGAGCTATTAATAGAAGCAGAGCTTGCTACTTTGAATTACATTTATAATTAATTGTTTTGTTTTTGGAAATAATAAAATGACACAAACAGAGACAAGAACAAAAATGAATTTATATAACCTACAAATAGATTTTTTATTATATACTATATATGTTTCATTTTGTCTCTTAGATAAATATCTGATATTTCTGGCAATTTAATGGCATTAGTAAGTAACGTATGGGTAGTTTTAATCTTTTTCTATGCATTCTGCTTGAACTTGTTCCAGCATTTTAATCATCCATGTAGAATGTATTCTTTTAATTATGTTTCTTATTATATGTAAAATCTTCTCTAAATAATATTAAATAAAGTATTTCCATTCATGTTCAATGATCTAATTTCCCTTTATAACTTTTATTTTTAAGTTAGGCAGAAGCATAAATTAAAAAAAACAACCTCAAGGAGCAGATATTCTTAATTCACAGCTTCACGTTATACATAAAATTATGTTTATAAAACAGAATTTTAAGGTTTATTGCATTTATAATATCATAACTTGTTATGCTGAAGCTTAAATTATGCTAAAGCTGTAGTTGTCTCCATTGGGAATGCATATTTGGTGGAAATTATGTGTAAATTTAATAAACCTTTAATATATCTGTATAGGCCATTAAAAATGTTTCATTAAAAAATCATTTAGTTTGTTTTTTTTCAGTCATTCAACACATAATGAGCACCTACTAGGTTCTAAGTACAGTACCTGCTAGGTACTGAGTATACAGTTGTGGATTAAAACCATTGCTCTTGTGAACTTTACCTGACCAGTGATTGAAAGACTTAAACAGCATCTGAGTCATATGGTTCAGAATAGGTAAAACGGAAGTTTTTCCTATCAGATAAAAGCATCTGAAATAAGAAAGTTAGGATAACCTCCAGTAGTTGAGCATATCCCAAAGCCATATACAATCTTTATGTTTTATTTTTTGGGCAAATGCAGAAATCAGTACCTCCCATAGATGGCCTTTCACTGTCCTTTTATAAGTTATGGGCCTTCATGGTTTTAAGATCAGTCCAGGAGAGCAGAAGCCTGAGGTCTAGGGCTAAGGTATGGGGATAACAAGACTGAGAATGCATTAAATGGCTCTGTACACCATTTGAAAACCTTAGGGTTGTGGGAAAGATTGGTGTCTGTTTGACAACATGAAAACTGGCTTTTCTTTTTATTTTCTTCATTGGCCTTCTATAATATTTGTAATTTCCTGCTCCTTTAAAGCACAATTTTAAAGTTAAGGATGGGGGAGATCTGTGAGTATGTATTATTGAAATCCCAATCTTAGTCACTTTAATGTATTTCAAGTGTTTAAGATTTTTTTTTATTTTGTAACTTTATAGTTTTAAAGCTTTATCATTTAATGTACATTAAATTAAAATTATGCTATAAATATACACTTTTTCTTCATTTGATTTACATATTATAATGCTTTTTTGTGTGCTATAGTGCAAACTTGGATGAGGAGGCACAGGCTGGTACCAGTTCACTACAGGTAATGTTGGATCACCATCCTGTTGCTATTACAGTGGAGGTGAAGCAAGAAGAAGACATTAAACCACCTCCTCCACTGGTTTTAAATTCTCAACAGAGTGATACTTTAGAGCAAAGAGAAGAACATGAATTAGTACATGTTATGGAAAGATCCTTGTCGCCTTCACTTTCCTCTGTTGATATGAGAATGACATCGTCTCCATCTTCTATTCCAAGGAGAGATGATTTTTTTCGGCATGAGAGTGGTGAACACTTTAGGTCACTATTAGGGTATGATCCTCAGATCCTGCAAATGTTGAAAGAGGAGCATCAGATAATTTTAGAAAATCAAAAAAATTTTGGATTGTATGTTCAGGAGAAGAGGGATGGATTGAAAAGAAGGCAGCAGCTAGAGGAAGAGCTACTAAGAGCAAAAATTGAAGTGGAGAAGCTGAAAGCAATTCGCTTACGGCATGATCTACCTGAATATAACAGTCTCTAAGTTTTTTTTTCAATCTTGCAATTTGATAATTTTGATTTTGGCCAAATTACTTTAATTTGGGAATATCCTGAAACAGAATACACGTTCTTGAAAAATGTTGTTAATCTCTATTATGGAAAAACTTTTTAGATATAATTTTCTAATTATTTTCTTTTGAGATATTAAAATTTACTGGTTGGTTGGCATGGTTATAGTTTTTATTGTCTTCTTTTTTTTTTCCCTAAGTTTAATTGTTGACCTTACAAAAGATATTTTATTCTGATCACTAAGATATACACAAATGCATATACAAACACATATTCTTTCAAAGTTCTGAGTCTTCAACATTTTTAGTTAGAACTTTGAAAGCTATAATTAGAGATTTTTAAGTCAGTCTAATTTAGGAGCTATACTAACCTAATACCAAGAAGCTTGTCTGTATGACATTGGTTTTTATGCTTTTATCTTTTGAAGGAGTAAATCCTAGGATTTTAGAGATGGAAGATATTTGGAGAACACTTTTTTTCCATCTCTGCAGTTTAGGGGTAATGAAACAGGTCCAGGGAGAACTCAATGACTTACTTAGGGTAACAAAGCTATTTATGGCAGAGCAGAGACCAGCACTTAGTTTTTCTTTGTGTAATTTCCATCCCGCTATTCGATAGAAGTAAATATCCACTAAAACATTCTCTAGATTTAAATATTAGAAGCATTTCTTTCATTAAAATTGCCTTTAAAGATTGTTAGGTTGTGAAATCAGGATAATTACATCAATTACCCCCATTCTCTCTCTATTTTTGTTCCAGCAAAATAGATAAGGTATTCCATTGAAGCTATTATATATTTTGGCTGTGTGATTTAAAGACATGTCTTAATTCATTTTGAATGTCCTGTTCTGGAAAAAATTTCTTTCACAGTAAAAATCAGAATGAACAAAATTAAAATTTTATGTATTTTATAAGTATTGTTATTTTAGTATTCATGGAAATAAAACCTCAATTCTTAAAGCATACATATTAAATTTATATTAAATCTCTAATATGTATGTTACTTAAGAATTTCTATTTTTGCTGGGGTTTTGTTGAGAAGGGATTTTTAAGCCAAGTTGTAGAATGGGGTGGGTGTAATTTCAGCAGTGAAGGGGACCATGGGTGTTTGAAGTCAAGAGTGAGACGCTGGAAAAAAGACAAAAGAATGGGAAAAAGTGGATTGAGTATATAAGCACAAATGCAGTGCTAAGCCATTGATTTTAAGTGAATGTAGAGAGAGTCAATTTGGGCTGTAGTATCCTGGACTAGGAAGGACATCTCCCTGGACTAGGTAGGGTAGCTGCTGTTTAGCTCCAGCAGAATTTTCACATGCGGGGATAAACCAGAAATCTGCATTTTTTAATGAGGAATCTTCCAATTTTAAAATGTTTGCAAATAACACAAAATGCTTTTAAAACATTATACAGACAACATGTGAGTGGGCCTCACTGAGCCATTGGGCTTCCACTTTGTGGCCTTTGGAGTAGACCAATGGTTTTCCAAGTATGGGTCCTGACCAGCAGCATCAGCATCACTTGAGAACTTGTTAGAAATGTAAATCCATTTCCAAGTGAATTAGAAACCCTGGGGGTGTCAGCAATCTCTTTTAATAAACCCTTTAGCGATTCTGATGCATGCTAAAGTTTGAGAACCAGTGAAACAGAGTATTTTGGAACCTCGCTTGGTGCCTAAATCATACTAGTCTCAAAATTTTTGTCGAAGAGTAGTTGAAAGTGAACTGAGGGATATAAATTTGGATGATGGTTGATACCAGATTATGAATTACATTAAATACTTTTTTTTTTTTTTTTTGAGATGGAGTCTTGCTTTGTCACCTAGGTTGGAGTGCAGTGGTGCGATGTTGGCTCACTGCAATCTCCGTTTCCTGGGTTCAAGCGATTCTCCTGCTTCAGCTTCCCAAGTAGCTGGGACTACAGGCGCACCACCATGCCTGGCTAATTTTTTGTGTTTTTAGTAGAGACGGGGTTTCACTGTGTTAGCCAGGATGGTCTTGATCTCCTGACCTCGTGATCTGCCCGCCTCGGCCTCCCAAAGTGCTGGGATTACAGGCTTGAGCCACCGTGCCCAGCCTAAATACTATTTTTAATGAGTCAGACTTAACGTACAATGAGAAGCCATTGAATGCTTTGAATTAGAGGGCTAATTTGATTATAGTTGTGATTTAGGAGGAGTGGCATTTAGGGACAGGCATTGTATTGGAAGAACTTAAATCAGAAATTTAAGTTATGGCTATAGAAATAGAAAAAAATGAACTCAAGGTACTATTTTAGCATGTTGACTACTTAATTTCATTGGTTGGATTAAAAAGAGGGTGTTTTATAGCTGGTAGAGTTAACTTCTTTAATTATAAAGATGTCCTGAATATATAACTTGATATATCCTTTTGACAATGTTACCTTTTCTCTTTAATCTGTGCTATGACTTTTCTTTGAGTCTAATGAATCTTGTAATTCTTAATTTGAGGTAATGTTTCCCAGTATAATTCTAGTAAACACATCTTGGCAGTAGTAAGCTTTATTTTTTGAAATTATTGAAAGCACATATATGAGATGTAATTCACTTTACAGTTTCAGCATGCTACTAAGAATTGATAATGAATGTTCAATTTAAATGTTGGCTTTTACAGCAAATCAGAGTTTTCCCAAGTGTGTTCTGTGGAACATTAATTCTGTGAGATGTTTCTAGAAAAGAGATCTGTGTTAAAAAAAAGTGCAGTATACATCTTTTTTATTTTTGGTGGTTAGGTTCTAAAATAATTGTGGAAGGTAAAAATTATGTATATACAAAATAGCCCTTGAAAATTCCTTTGCTGCCCATAAAATAGCATAAACATAGTCTGCTACAATCATATTTTTCTGCAGCATTGTTTAAGATTGCTTTTTCTTTAGTGTGTTAGGTGACACAATTCATTAGCATTTAGGGGCTGTATACAATAAGAAACCTATTTTTACATATTTTTAAACACCAGAATCACACTCTTTGAGTTTACTGCAGCAACTTTTCCAAGTCAATCTTGTTTTTCTCCAAGTCAGTCTTGTTTACTTTTAATTTGCAAAAGTTTAAATGCATATAATTCTCCTCATTGTCTACCTCCCCTTGTATAACCATGATTAACATAGTATAGTTTATGAGAATTCCTGTATAAAGAAAATTATTTATTTGACCATAGAATCCTTTTCCGAGGCTGTTTATTATCTTACAGAGTATCTTAGGGTAATTTGGAACCAAACCTTTTTTTTTCTTCTTTTTTGTATTGAGACTTTTTTGAGTTAGGGGACTACTTACCAACTAACATTAGCAGTTTTTGTTGAGGACAAGTTTCATTAAGGGGAATATATAGGGGAAAGTTTGCTAGTACAATGGAATGTACACTTGGCTTTCTATCTGCAGGTTTCACATCTGCAGATTGAACTACTGTGGATTGAAAATATTCAGGCAGAAAAATAAATAACAGTACAACAATAAAAAGTAATACGAAATTTAAAAAGACGGTATAACTGAGGTAGGAGTTGGGCTAATCCCCAGTTTTGGGGCTCACTTGTCCTGTATCCTAACAACTATTTACATAGTATTTACATTATATTAGCCATTGTAAGTAATCTAGAGATGATTTAAAGTATATGGAAGGATGTGTGTAAATTGTATGTGAATACAAACATTTTATATAAGGGACTTGAGTATCTGTGGATCTTGATGGGGTAGGGGGTGTCCTGAAACCAATCCCCCTTGGATACTGAGGGATGACTATACACTTAAGCCACCAGACATCTTGCATATCATAGACAATTGTTTGGGGTCCATGAGCTTTAATTACAAAATGTAATGCTGGGAGAACATAGAGAAGAGTGATTTTGTTTTTTAAATGTAGACTTGATTCTGTAGAAATATACTACATTTGATAAATATACTAAGTATATAGATTATTTCATCCAATATATTAGTAATTTAGATAGTGGATAGCCACTTTCCTATCTTTCTCTTATCCATATGAATGTAATGGATATGTTGTTACAACTTATGATTTTCTAAACTAGCTGTGATTTATAATGACATCCTGAGAAAAGTCAGTGAAACTCATTTCTAACGAATACCAGATTTCTTAAAATAGTCAAGTATTTTTCTTTTGTGTATGATGAGATATTAACTTGGTGTTATTTCATTTTTTTTTTTAAGGAGTCATTCTACCCTGTTCTATCTTTACTTATGTGAAAATGTTTAAACTATGAGTTTTTTTCATGTGCCTTCTTTTGGAGTAATGTCAACTTTTAAATACACATGTTTAAATAACTTAGAGTGTAATAAATTGTGTTTAATATATACTGTAGATAATGATGGTTAAATGCTTTGTTAACACATGTTCTTTTAAATACAAGATACTACTTTGTACTGATTTGTGTACTTTTTTTGTGTGCCGTTAAGACAAATAATTCAGTACTGTAGAGGTAAAATTTTTTGATGAGGTATAATTGAAATACATTTATTTAGATGATTATGTTATAATAGATGGCCAATGTACCATATCTAAATATCACATTTCATTTCTTTTTTCAAATGTTAAGAGCCACAGCTTCTCAAAATCAAATATTTGATGGTGAATTTGATTGTAAACACTTAAAAGTAATTAGATGAAATATGGTTGCATACTTAAACAAGAGTAAGTTCTTAGAATATGCAATCTAATTAAACATTAACAGTCAAGCAAAATCTTTGTATACGATTTTGAGAAATTGTTCAATATATTTTTATAAATCTTTTATATTGATTAAAGCTAGTAGTTATAATTTGAACATATTATTTATTTTTAGTTTCCAATTGCTTTGTAATAGTGGAAAGCAAAATAAATGAGTAAATAAAAATAAAAATAAAAATATCGCTCATATCAGTCCTGACAACTTAAACTAAAAGGATATATCATTATAATTCCACTTTGCTAGCAGGTCTTTTTTGTTTTAAAATTTATGTGTGAATTCACCTCTGTTACAAAGTTTTTTTTCCCCTAACATTAAGAAACCTTTCAAACATACAGAAAAAGTGAAAAGATAGTTATAGTAAGTATCCATATATCTACCACATAGATTCTGCAATTAATGTTTTGCTATACTTGGCTTCATCACCTATTTATCCATCAATTCTTTTTTTTAAAGGAAAAATGTTACTTCGAAACAAGTTGTAGAGTTAGAATAATTTACCCTTAAGTACTTCAGCATGAGTATTACTAGAGTTCACTATTTATTTGTGCATGTGTGTTTTTTAGGTAAGATTTGCATACAGTGAAATGCACAAATTTAAAATATACCATTTGGTGAGTTTTGATCTACAACTGTGTAGCTCAAACCTCTGTCAAGAATTAGAACAATATCACCTCAGAAAGTCCTCTCTTGCCTGCTTCTAATCAGTCTTCTTGCACGTCAGGCAACCATTGTCCTAATTTAAAAAAAATTATAGATAAGTTTTGCCTATTCTAGAACTTCATGTAATTGGAATCATACAATATGCATACTTTGTTTCTGTTTTTTTCACCTTAGTGTTTTTAATATTCATCCATGTTTATCCATCCTATTAGTAGCTCATTGCTTTCTGTTGCTGTGCAGTATTCCATTGCATAAATATACCACACTTTTTATCCATTATCTTTTGATGGACTTCTTGGCAATTTCCATACTTTGGCTATTATGTATAAAGATTCTATGAATATTCTTGTGCAAGTTTTTCATGGACATAATGTTAGTTAGGGAACCATACAGACTTAACCTTTAAGAAATTGCCAGACATTTTCTAAAGTGATTATATCATTTTACACTTCCATCAACAGGGTATGAGTTTTTTTTTTTTTTTTAATTTTTGCAAAAGGCTGGGCACAGTGGCTCACACCTGTCATCCCAGCACTTTGGGAGGCTGAGGCGGGTGGATCGCTTGAGGCCAGGAGTTCGAAACCAGCCTGGCCACCATGGTGAAACCCCGTCTCTACTAAAAATACAAAAATCAGCTGGGCGTGGTGGCAGGCACCTGTAATCCCAGCTACTCAGGAGGCTGAGGCAGGAAAATTGCTTGAATCTGGGAGGCAGAGGTTGCAGTGAGCCCTGATGACGCCACTGTACTCCAGCTTGGGCAACAGAGCAAGACCCTGTCCCAAAAACGAAACAAAACGCCCTTTGCATGTTCAGTGACTGGAATGTCAGAAGTGAAATTGATGAATAATTTTTGTAATATTTAAGTGCATTCAAAATGTTGGACAGGTAATTTAGATATCTGGGAATATTGTAGTTTACTGGTTTTTTTTTTTTTCATTTTAGTACTAGTTGCATATATGCTCTGACATGAGGTATTGAAGAAATATGAAATGTGTAGTCTCTGCTACGCTTATAAAACATAATTCTGAAAATGATCTTTAATGCAAAGAAATATCTTCTAGGTTTATTTTATACTTATTGATACTTATATTTAGTTCACATTCAATCTCTTAGATATAAGAAAACTGTGAGTGATTATCAGTTTGAAGGGATTTGTATATTAATGTTTGTATGCTTTTTAGTGTAATAAAAACTGTTTCAATCTTAAATTTATATTGCAGTTATATGTTAATGCATATTAAACATTGGTAGGTTTTGGTAATTTTAAAACTCAAAACATGATCTGCAAGAGTATTTACATTCTTTATTGAATTTGATTATATGAGACATTTTAAATTTTCATTTGTGCCATTGAAAACAATGTGTGTATTTAGAATTGTTAAACAAAAGAATATTAGGCTGGGTGCGGTGGCTCATGCCTGTAATCCTAGCACTTTGTGAGGCTGAGGCAGGAGGATTGCTTGAGTCCAGGAGTTGGAGACCAACCTGAAGACCTCTTTAAAAAAAAAAAAAAAAAAAAAAGAATATTAAAGGCTTAGGTTTATGGGTTGTACAATTAAGTCATTCAACTCCAGAGTGGCTATGCTTAGGAATCATTCACTAAGACGATAATGCCCACTATTAATATTAAATGACATTATTTCCCTTTATCAAAACATGCCCTTATGAATTTTTTTTTTTTTTTTTTTTGAGATGGGGTCTCGCTCTGTCACCCAGGCTGGAGTACAGTGGCACAGTCACAGCTCACTGGAGCCTCAACCTCCTGGGCTCAAGCAACCTACCTGCCTCAACTTCCTGAGTAGCTGGAACCACAGGTGTGCACCACCATGCCCAGCTAATATTTGTATTTTTTATAGAGACAGAGTTTTGCCGTATTGTCCAGGCTGGTCTTGAACTCCTGGGCTTGAGTGATTCTCTCACCTTGGCCCCGCAAAGTGCTGGGATTACAGGTGTGAGCCACTGTGCCAGCTGCCTTATGAGTCTTGCAGATAGACCTTCAAGTCTCTTGTTTATGCCGACCACTTTTTGGTATTGATTTGGCAAGCACATTACAGGGTCAAGGGGAAAATAGATCAGAACCCAGTTTACAGTTAAGAAATTATAGACTGGGATTGTTAGGGGTGGTTATTCTGGGACATAGCAAATTAGTCAATATTTTCTGTAATACAAGTAGTCTAGATATAGGAGGTTATGTTCCACTATTCCATGTTCCCAACGATCTTGTTTTTACCTTTTGGAATTATTCACCCTCTCTATTCCATGCTGTATGGCCTACATAATTTTAAAAATGGGAGTAATTGAGAAAGGGACAAGGGCAAATGTTGATGGTGTAAACATTAAGGGAGCACTTACTATGTGGCAAATACTGTTGTGTTTTACATATATTCACTAATCCTTGCTCACAGTAGGTTTGCGAGGTAAGTATTAGTATTATATTCATTTTATAGATTTATAAACTGGCACAAAGGTGTTAAGTAACTTATATAGGGTCATAGAGCTAGTAAGAGGCAGACTTAAGACTCTGACCCAGCCAGTCTGTCTCCATAGTTCATGCCCTTCTGCTGTTCTGCAAAAGAAAAGTGTATATCCGAGAATCTTATGGTATTTCAAAGTTACTTATAAGTAATTTCTGAATTATCAGAATTTAGTTATCTTGTTCATTGTTTTTTCTGGGAGCTGGTGGGATGGTGGCAGGGAGGGTCTTGGACATAACATCCATTCTCTTAGACCCTGGTAATACAATACGGTATTTTACTCCAGGATGTTTTTCCCAGTCTTTTGATGAAGACATTCTTTTTACCCGCTCTTTAGGGTAAAAGGGGAAGTATGTTTTTCTCTTGGATAACCTAATAAAAACAGAGAAACACATTTTAACTATGCAGAAAGATTTTGTCAGTTTTTAATTCAATGCACAGTGACTGCTACTGGTAGAAATAATACAAAAAGAAAACTAATTAAAATTGACTAAAATTGCACACAGCAAAATTTGTGTGAAAAGAGTTCAAAAGCTAATTGAAGTATTCTGTCTTTTGTTAATGCTAAAAACCTCAAAACTTTATCTGGGAAGATCGGGCTTGGTAAAACAACGAAAATAACCCATGACAGCTACAAATTTATCTAAAAACTGGTTAAGTTTTCTTGACTAAAATTTGTTGGATTAATACGATCCTGATAATATTTAGCTGTGCAAAATTTGACTCAGTAAAACTTCATTTGGTAGAAATTATGGTTATGAAAGAACATGTTCATAAAAGCTTTCACCGATCAATGAAATAATATGGTACATAAAGAAGTGACTGAATCTTTGCTACAAAATTTACTTGGAAAATGATCCTGATGATAACAAGTTTTTTTTGTTTGTTTGTTTTTGAGATGGAGTCTGGCTCTGTTGCCTGGTCTGGAGTGCAGTGGCGCGATCTTGGCTCACTGCAACTCCGCCTTCTGGGTTCAAGCAATTCTCCTGCCTCAGCTTCCTGAGTAGCTGGGACTACAGGCGCCTGTCACCATGCCCAGCTAATTTTTTGTATTTTTAGTAGAGATGGGGTTTCACCATGTTAGCCAGGATGGTCTTGATCTCCTGACCTTGTGATTAGCCTGCCTCGGCCTCCCAAAGTGTTGGGATTACAGGCGTGAGCCACCGTGCCCGGCCGGTAACAAGTCTTTGTCAATGAAAATAAAAATTGGGTAATAATGGAAATGAGGACAGAGTTATATTCTAAAGCAACTCTTAATGAAAATGAATTTTAAGATAAATATATATGTATATTTATACATATTCTCTTTCCCAATTAGTCCCATTTTTAAAATTATGTAGGCCATACAGCAGGGAATGAAGAGGGTGAATAACTCCAAAAGGTAAAAACAAGATCATTGGCAACATAGGATAGTGGAACATAGCCTCCTATATCTAGACTACTTGTATTATGAAAATATTGACTAATTTGCTATGTTCCAGAATAACCACCCCTAACAATTATATATATATATATATATATATAATTTTTTGTGGTGAGGAGGCTTTCTAGAAAATTCTGAAACTGGATTTAGAATTGGCAAAAACTGGAAAATTCTGAAAGAGCTGTAACACTGATAATTTTATATATATATATATATATATATATATATATATATATTTTTTTTTTTTTTTTTTTTTTTTTTTTTTTGAGACGAAGTCTCGCTCTATCGTCCAGGCTGGAGTGCCAGTGGAATGTTCTCGGCTCACTGCAACCTCCGCCTCCCGGATTCAAGCGATTCTCCTGTCTCAGCTACCCAAGTAGCCGGCACTACAGGCGTGTACTACCATGCCTGGCTAATTTTTGTATTTTTAGTAGAGATGGAGTTTCGCCACGTTGGCCAGGCTGGTCTCAAACTCCTGACCTCAGGTAATCCGCCTGCCTCAGCCTCCCAAAGTGCTGGGATTACAGGTGTGAACCACTGCACCCGGCTGATAATTGTATTTTAATTAAATGTTTTTATAAACATTTAGTCAAAATGTACCTAGAGTCAAAATAGCAGTTTTTGAAAAGTATCTTGTTCTGTGAGTATGGTGATGAACAAATCAAAACATACTCTCAGGACTTTATAAGTTACTGGGGAAGGCTGACATTAAATAATTTGTTACATAACTAATTATTGAGATAATGTTGAGGTAATAGGGTAACTAGATCTAATTTGGCAATCGGAAATTTAAGTTGTACAGAGAGTAGAAGTTAATTTAGATAAGGGCATTAGAAGAAGACAGGTAAAAGTCTATAGCTGGAAATAGCATACTTCCTTCAAGATTACTAGGACTCATGGATTTTAAGCAAGAGGGATACTTTATCAGATTCACATTTAAAAATAGATAACTATAATAAATGTGGAAAACGGTTTTAGAGAATAGAGGTGGCAAAAGACGCTGTCAGTAGACTTGTTGGGAAGCCCCTGCAGTAATACCAAAATTCAGATCAGAGATGAGTTGAAAAAAGTGGAGGCAATGGAGAAGGATACAATACATAGCTTTGAAAACCTGGTAGGGGGCAGAATTGTCTGGATTTTGTGGTTGATTGTCTGTGGGACTGAAAAAGTAGAGTGTCAAGGATGATTTCCAGTTTTCTGGCTTGTATAAGGACGAGACATGGGGAAACCAAAGGAGGAACAATTTTTGGAGAAAAGATACATGGACATGATGAGTTTGAGATGTTTATGAGATATGTGGACATGTCTGGGAGGCAATTGGATATGCAGATCAAGAGTTGTAATCTGGGCTAGAGAAAAAAAGGTTTTTAGTACCTGGGCAGCACTGAATCCGCTCAAGTGGACAGGCTACTTAAAGAGAAGTGGTGCACAGTGAGAGAACAGGGCCTAGAAGTCAGTTCTGAAGAACTCCAATAGATAAAAGGTAGATGAAGTATGAACTGGCAAAGATGTCTAAGAAGAAGCAAGCAAAGAGGTAAGAGGAAAATTTGAAGGATGTTAGAGAATCTACAAAAGTATAGTTCAGTATTTCTAGGAGGAAGTAGTCAACATTGTCTAATGCTTTTGAGAACTTTGATTAGGACTAAAAACACAACCTGTGGGTTTATAGACAAAGAGTTCCTGGTAACCTTTAACAGGGCAGTTTAGGGGGAATGACTACTGGAAGCCATATTGGAGCAGTTAAGGAGTGATTGGGAATTTGAAGAAGCAGAGGCAGTGTGGGGGTGGGAGTGTTTGGATACTTGAAGTGGAAACAATGGGGTAGACAGCTTCTTATGGTAGGAAAACATCTCTTTTTTTTTTTTTTTTGAGACTGAGTCTCGCTTGATTGCCCAGGCTGGAGTGCAGCGGTGTGATCTCGGCTCACTGCAACCTCCACCTCCAGGGTTCAGGTGATTCTTCTGCCTCAGCCTCCTGAGTAGCTGGGATTACAGACGCCCACCACCACGTCTGGCTAATTTCTGTATTTTTAGTAGAGACGGGGTTTCACCATGTTGGCCAAGCTTGTCTCGAACTCCTGACCTCAGGTGATCCGCCCACCTTAGCCTCCCAAAGTGCTGGGATTACAGGCCTGAGCCACCGCGCACGGCCAAAAACTTCTTTTTTTTTATGTATGTGTTTCTTCCTGCAATACATGTTTCTCCCTGAAATATAACATATTACATAATAATCTTGACTTTATTTTTCCATGCTATGTTTTTTCCCCATGATTTACTGTGGAGAAAGGAGTTTATTAAGTAGGAAGTCAAAGAGTGACCTTGTTAAGAGCTCTTTGGGAGGCTGACGTAGACCAGACGCTTAAGCTCATGAGTTCGACACCAGCCTGGGCAAAATGGTGAAACCCTGTCTATTGAAAATACGAAAAAAAAAATTAGCCGGGCTTGGTGGTGCATGCCTGTAGTCCCAGCTACTCAGGATGCTGAGGTGGGAGGATCGCTTGAGCCCAGGAAGTGGAGGTTTCTGTGAACCAAGATCACACCACTGCACTCCAGCCTGGGTGACAGTGAGACTCTGTCTTAAAAAAAAAAAAAAAAAAAAAAAATCAAGTTTTCTTTGGCGCTTTTACTACAGCATGTCGATATATTGATTTAGAGTACAATCATGTTGCTTAATGACAGGAATATGTTCTGAGAAATGCATTGCTAGGTGATTTCGTTGATGTGTGAACATTGTGGAATGTACTTCCTCAAACCTAGATGGTATAGCCTGCTACACACCTAGGCTGTGTGGTATAGCCTATGGTTCCTAGACTGTAAACCTGTACTGCATGTGCTGTGCTGAATACTGTAGACAGTTGTAACACAGTGGTATTTGTGTATCTAAACATATCTAAAAATAGAAAATATACAGTAAAAATATGGTATTAAGATGTTACGGGACCACCATCATATATGTGGTCTGTGGTTGATCAAAACCTTGTTGTGTGGTACATGACTGTATACTAAAGTGTTTAATAATTTCTAGTAAGTGTGAGTGGGCTTATTTCAACCTCTTTTATTTTACTCTGTTAAATTGTTCATGTTGCTTTTTTTTTTTTTTTTTTTTTGGTGGGGGCCAGGCTGTGAGAGAAGAGGGAGGAGTTTTTAAATGACCTGGGTTTATTTAAAATATTGTAACAGCCCCGTAACTTAGTACCTCCTATTAAAGAAAATATTAAATGGATTCTTAATTCTTCCAGCACAGTCAACACTTGTGTTCCATGTATTTTGTAGCATTTTACATATTAAAATTCAGTAGATTTATTTTTTGCTTTAATTTTATTTTCATTTATTTATTTATTTTTTTGAGACGGAGTTTCGCTCTTGTTGCCCAGGCTAGAGTGCAGTGGCATGATCTCGGCTCACTGCAACCTCCGCCTTCTGGTTTCAAGCAATTCTCCTGCCTCAACCTCCCGAGTAGCTGGGATTGCAGGTGCCTGCCACCACGCCTGGCTAATGTTTGCATTTTTAGTAGAGACAGGGTTTCACCATGTTGGTCAGGCTGGTCTCGAACTGCTGACCTTGTGATCCACCCGCCTTGGCCTCCGAAAGTGGTGGGATTACAGGCGTGAGCCACCACTCCCAACCTTTTTGCTTTAATTTTAACAGTTCTTACTAATTGAAATTCTTTTATGCCTATTTTTTACTTAAATATTTTAAGTAAAATTCAGGGATTAGATTCTACATATTGGCAATATGTCGGCTGAATGTTGAGGGTTTTCTGGTCAGATTAAAACTTTAAAGATATGAGAATCTTTTCTTTTTTTCTCAGGTACCTTCTTTAAGTGTAGTGTGAAATTAGGAGAGTCTAGCAAAGAGGAAATGAAGATACATTTAAAAATATCCTATCACTAATCAAATTCAAATTGCAGCATTAAGGAGATATCATTTCTGCCAATTAAATTGATAAAGATGAATTCACAGAAAAAGTTCATAGAAGCTTTATGATAGTCAAAGCTATCAAAATTAAGCTGAAAACTCAACTGTCTGTCACTATCCTATATAATAATAAGGAACAAATTGTTGATACAGGCAACAATTTGGGATGAATCCCAAAGACATTATGCTGAATGGGAGAAATCATTTTTGAAACGGTTGTATACTGTATGATTCCATTTATTCGACGTTCTCAAAAAGAAAACAATATTCATGGAAAACAGGTCAGTAACTGCAGGGGTTTTGGGTAAGGGGAGGGTGTGAGTATAAAGCAATAGCATGAGGGAGTCTTTCGGGATGATGGAACGATTCTATATCCTGATTGTGGTCATGGTGGTTCTGTGAATCTATATATGTGTTCAAATTTGTAGAGCTGTACATCAAAAGAAAAAGTCTATTTTACTGTATGAAAATTTAAAAACAATAGTTAAAAATGGATAAAGGTGATGTTTTGTGCTAATGTAGGTGTAATGGGTGTAATGAAGTGGACACCCTTGCTTGGTGGGAATATCATTGATACAACCTTTCGTGGAGAAAAATTTGTCAGTCTAAATCAAGAATCTGAAAATCTTTAAATTCATTGGACTGGTAATTTCATTTCTTGGACTTTATCTTCCACAAATAACCAGAGATGCACAGATTGAATATGATAGAGCTTAAAAAAAAAGTCCAGTAATAAGGGACTAATAATATGTAGAAATATATCCACAATAACATATGAAAAGAGAAGGGTAAAAAACTATCCACTACATCTACTGGGACATTTAGAAGCACATTTCCCCCAAAAAAGTATCTGAAAAATGACGTGTTATCCATACACTCTCATTAGGGAAGGAAGGTCAGAAAACTGGAGGAGCTGCACTTAAGTCCTTTGTCTTCTTGGTTCCTGCTGAGGGCTCTAGCAGACTGAATCCTTTCAGGAACTGATCAGAGTTCATTGGGTCATGCCAGACAGAGCTGACTCAAGCTGGGTATGAATCATTTGTTTTCTCAGAAAACAACTTTGGTGGTTCTGAGTATAATTTACTGGTTGAAGATAGCCAAGACTCACTTTCTAAATCCATGAATGCCAGTAATGAAGATACAATTTATCTGAATTCTAGTAGTGATAAATTTTCAGGCATTTGGCAGGTTGATTTACCTGGCTTGGAGATGTACAAGTTTTTTTTTTTCCAGACATATGTCTTCTTTTTCTTTCTTCTTCTTCTTCTTTTATTTTGGTGAATACCTAGCAGTGTAATGGCTGGTTATGGTAGGTGTATGTTTAACTTTTAAAGAGTCTGCGAAACCATTTTCCAAACTAGTTGTACTGTTTGACATTCCTTCCAGCAGGATATGATATTTTCAGTTGCTCTATATCTTTATTAGCACTTACTGTGGTCAGTTTTTTTTTTTTTTTAATTTTAGTCAGTATAATCAAGATGTGGTGTTATTTCATTGTGTGTGTGTGTTTTAAACAGCTTTATTGAGATACAATTAACATACCCTATGATTCAGTCATGTAAAGTGTACAATTCATTGTTTTTTAATATAGTCACAGTTAATGTGCAACCATCAGAACAGCCAGTTGCAGAATATTTTCAATACCTCAGAAAGAAACTTTTTACCTTTAGCTACCACCACCCTGCTTCCTAACCCCATCCTTACCCTCCAGCCTAAGCAACCATTAATCTATTTTCTGTCTCTGTAAGATTTTGCTGTTCTAGACATTTTATATGAATGGAATCCTAAAATATATGGCCTTTGTGACTGGCTTCTTTCACTTAGCATAAATGTTTTCAGGGTTCATCCGTGTTTTAGCATGTATTAGTACTTTGTTCTTTTTCTATGATGGAATTATATTCCATTGTATGCATATGCCACATTTTGTTTATCCTTTGTCAGTTGAATGCACATTTGGGTTGTTTCTACCTGTCGGCTATTATTAATAATCCTAGCTATAAACATTCATATGCAAGTTTTTTTGTGGACATATGTTATTATTCTTTTGGGCATATACTTAGGAGTGTAATTGCTGTGTCATTTGGTAACTCTTGTTTAATTGTTTGAGCAACTGTCATGCTGGTTTTTCCAAAGTGCTGCACCATTTTATACTCCTACCAGCAGGGTATGAGGGTTTTGATTTCTCCACATACGCATCACACTTGTTTATTATCTGACTTTGCGATTCCAGCCATCCTAATGGTTGTGAAGTGGTATTTCAGGTTTTTAATATGTATTTTCTGGATGACTAATGATGTTAAATATCTTTTTATGTGCTTATTGGTTGTTTGTATATATCATTTTCTGAATTGTCTAAGATTTTTGCCTGTTTTCTATTGATTTGTTTGTTGTCTTATTTTTTTTTCTTTTTTTTTATTATTATTATACTTTAAGTTTTAGGGTACATGTGCACAATGTGCAGGTTAGTTACATATGTATACATGTGCCATGCTGGTGTGCTGCACCCATTAACTCATCATTTAGCATTAGGTATATCTCCTAATGCTATCCCTCCCCCCTCGCCCCACCACACAACATTCCCCAGAGTGTGATGTTCCCCTTCCTGTGTCCATGTGTTCTCATTGTTCAATTCCCATCTATGAGTGAGAACATGCGGTGTTTGGTTTTTTGTCCTTGTGATAGTTTACTGAGAATGATGATTTCCAATTTCATCCATGTCCCTACAAAGGACATGAACTCATCATTTTTTATGGCTGCATAGTATTCCATGGTATATATGTGCCACATTTTCTTAATCCAGTCTATCATTGTTGGACATTTGGGTTGGTTCCAAGTCTTTGCTATTGTGAATAGTGCCGCAATAAACATACGTGTGCATGTGTCTTTATAGCAGCATGATTTATAGTCCTTTGGGTATATACCCAGTAATGGGATGGCTGGGTCAAATGGTATTTCTAGTTCTAGATCCCTGAGGAATCGCCACACTGACTTCCACAATGGTTGAACTAGTTTACAGTCCCACTAACAGTGTAAGTGTTCCTATTTCTCCACATCCTCTCCAGCACCTGTTGTTTCCTGACTTTTTAATGATTGCCATTCTAACTGGTGTGAGATGGTATCTCCTTGTGGTTTTGATTTGCATTTCTCTGATGGCTAGTGATGGTGAGCATTTTTTCATGTGTTTTTTGGCTGCATAAATGTCTTCTTTTGAGAAGTGTCTGTTCATATCCTTTGCCCACTTTTTGATGGGGTTGTTTGTTTTTTTCTTGTAAATTTGTTTGAGTTCATTGTAGATTCTGGATATTAGCCCTTTGTCAGATGAGTAGGTTGCGAAAATTTTCTCCCATTTTGTAGGTTGCCTGTTCACTCTGATGGTAGTTTCTTTTGCTGTGCAGAAGCTCTTTAGTTTAATTAGATCCCATTTGTCAATTTTGGCTTTTGTTGCCATTGCTTTTGGTGTTTTAGACATGAAGTCCTTGCCCATGCCTGTGTCCTGAATGGTAATGCCTAGGTTTTCTTCTAGGGTTTTTATGGTTTTAGATCTAACG
This sequence comes from Homo sapiens, assembly GCF_000001405.40. NCBI lineage: Eukaryota > Metazoa > Chordata > Mammalia > Primates > Hominidae > Homo > Homo sapiens. Next base: position 94,415,388 of record NC_000008.11, on the reverse strand, counting down.
TTTAAGTCTTTAATCCATCTTGAATTGATTTTTGTATAAGGTGTAAGGAAGGGATCCAGTTTCAGCTTTCTACATATGGCTAGCCAGTTTTCCCAGCAGCATTTATTAAATAGGGAATCCTTTCCCCATTGCTTGTTTTTCTCAGGTTTGTCAAAGATCAGATAGTTGTAGATATGCGGTGTTATTTCTGAGGGCTCTGTTCTATTCCATTGATCTATATCTCTGTTTTGGTACCAGTACCATGCTGTTTCGGTTACTGTAGCCTTGTAGTATAGTTTGAAGTCAGGTAGTGTGATGCCTCCAGCTTTGTTCTTTTGGCTCAGGATTGACTTGGCAATGCGGGCTCTTTTTTGGTTCCATATGAACTTTAAAGTAGTTTTTTCCAATTCTGTGAAGAAAGACATTGGTAGCTTGATGGGGATGGCATTGAATCTATGAATTACTTTGGGCAGTATGGCCGTTTTCACAATATTGATTCTTCCTACCCATGAGCATGGAATGTTCTTCCATTTGTTTGTATCCTCTTTTATTTCATTGAGCAGTGGTTTGTAGTTCTCCTTGAAGAGGTCCTTCACGTCCCTTGTAAGTTGGATTCCTAAGTATTTTATTCTCTTTGAAGCAATTGTGAATGGGAGTTCACTCATGATTTGGCTCTCTGTTTGTCTGTTATTGGTGTATAAGAATGCTTGTGATTTTTATACATTGATTTTGTATCCTGAGACTTTGCTGCAAGGCTGGTTCAATATACGCAAATCAATAAATATAATCCAGCATATAAACAGAACCAAAGACAAAAACCACATGATTATCTCAATAGATGCAGAAAAGGCCTTTGACAAAATTCAACAACGCTTCATGCTAAAAACTCTCAATAAATTAGGTATTGATAGGACATATCTCAAAATAATAAGAGCTATCTATGACAAACCCACAGCCAATATCACACTGAATGGGCAAAAACTGGAAGCATTCCCTTTGAAAACCAGCACAAGACAGGGATGCCCTCTCTCACCACTCCTATTCAACATAGTGTTGGAAGTTCTGGCCAGGGCAATTAGGCAGGAGAAGGAAATAAAGGGTATTCAATTAGGAAAAGAGTAAGTCAAATTTTCCCTGTTTGCAGACGGCATGATTGTATATCTAGAAAACCTCACTGTCTCAGCCCAAAATCTCCTTAAGCTGATAAGCAACTTCAGGAAAGTCTCAGGATATAAAATCAATGTTGTCTTATTTTTAAACTATAAGAATTCTTAGGCTGGGTGCAGTGGCTCACGCCTGTAATCCTAGCACTTTGGGAGGCCTAGGTGGGTGGATCACTTGAGGTCACAAATTCAAGACCAGCCTGGCCAACCTGGTGAAACCCCGTCTCTGCTAAAAGTACAAAAATCAGCTGAGCATGGTGGTGGGCGCCTGTAATCTCAGCTACGTGGGAGGCTGAGGCAGGAGAATCGCTTGAACCCAGGAGGCAGAGGTTGCAGTCAGCCGAGATCACACCACTGCATTCCAGCCTGGGCTACAGAGCAAAACTCTGTCTCAAAAAAAAAAAAAGAAAAAAAAAAAAGAATAATTATTCTGGATACAAGACCTTTGTCTTATTCATATGCTGTGAATATTTTACCCCAGCCAGTGGCTTCCCTTTTGTTTTTTTAATGGCATCTTTCAAAAAGCAAAAGTTTTAAATTCTGATAAAAGTTGATTAATAATTTTTGATTTTTATGTTTCGTGCTTTTGTATTCTAAGAAAGCTTTGTATATCCTGAGGTTACAAATATTTTATCCTGTGTTTTCTATTAGAGATTTTTTGTTTTAGGTTTTACATTTAGGTCTATCATTCATTTTGAGTTGAATTTTGTATATGGGGTGACTTAATGGTTGATGTTTATCTTTTCCAAATGTGTATCCAGTTGGTTTAGCAATGTTTGTTGAAAAGACTTTCCTTTCCTCATTGAATTTGCTTCCCTACCTTTGTTGAAAATAATTTCGCCGTATATGTGTGAATAGTTCTATTTCTTGCTTCTCTTCCAATGCATTGGAATGTCTATATGTCTTTTTTGGAGAGGAAGGGCAGTACCAAACTATCTTGATTATCGCAGCATTATTGTAAACATCCAACTTTGTTCTTTTCAAAAATTGCTTTGGTTAGTCTACGTTACTTTTATTTCCATATGAATTTTTAAATCAACTTGCCAATTTTACTAAAAATGTCCTGGGATTTTGATTGGTATTGTGTTAAATATATTGATCGTTTTGGGGAAAATTACTATCTTAACAAAATTGAATGTTCCAATTCATGAAATAGGAGCTGTGCTTATTTATAAGAGCTTTGTTAATTTTTTTTCAACAAAGCTTTTTAATTTTAGTGTAGAGATCTGGGTTATCTTTTGTTAGATATTTTCCCAAGTATTTCACATGTCTGTTTTTTGGAGCTACTGTGAATGGAATTTAAAAAATTTTATTTTTGATTATTCCTTGCTAGTCTATAAGAATACAGTTGATTTTTGCATATGAACCTTGCATCTTGTGACTCTGCTAAATTTATTCTTCTTTATTTTTAGATTCTCTGGGGATTTCTATGTAAATAGTTACATTATCTGTAAATGCTCCGGTTTTATTTCTTCCTTTCTGATCTTTATACTTTATATGCTTTTGTTGCCTTATTCCTATTTAAGTAAGTAGGAAAATAGTAAAAAGGAAAAAAAATTACTTCATTTTGTTTTTAAAATTTTATTGTTTTGATAGTTTCCATGGTTCAAGTGTGTATGACGTAAAAGACATAGTGAAGAGCTCTTCAGTAATGGCGGGAATGAGATTTTGCTGTCTTCAGCTAAACCACCTTTTATCCAGCCACTGAAAATCTAGTGTGTGCAAGTTAGGTGTAAGAAGCAGGAGACAACGTAATTTTAATAATATTTATTCTCATTTCTACTTTGCTGTTTTATACTTGTTCTTATTTGAAAAAGTAACATATCATATGATCCAACACTTTCACTTCTGGGTATATAGCCAAAAAAAAAAAAAATGAAATTGGCATGTTGAAGAGATATCTGCATTCCCATGTTCCTTGGAGTATTTTTCACAGTAGCCAAGATGTGAAGTCAACTTAAGTGTCCATCAATGGATGAATGGATTAAAAACTTCTTGGTATAGGTACACAGTAGAACACTACTCAGCCTTTAAAAAGAAGGCAATCCTGTCACTTGTGACAACATGGGTAAACCCGGAGGACATTATGCTCAGTGAAATAAGCTGGACACAGAAAGACAATTATTGTGTGATCTCACTTATGTGTGGAATTCAAAAAAGTCAAACTCTTAGAAACAGAAAGTAGAATGATGGTTACCTAGAGTTGGATAGAGGTGGGGCATTGGGGAGATGTTGGTCAAAGGATCCGAAATTTCAGTTAAGGAGGAATAAGTTCAAGAAATCTATTGTATAACATGGTGACTATAGTTAATAACAATGTATACTTGAAAAATGCTAAGAAAGTAGCATTTTAAAAAATGTTTTCACCACAAAAAGTATGTGAGGTAATGGATAATATTAATTAGTTTGATTTAGCCATCCCACAGTGTATACATATATCAAAACAGAATGTTGTGCACCTACATATATATAATTTTTGTTTATCAATTAAATAAACAAAAATTTCAGGTTTTACTTTCAGAGAACTCTGTAATCTTTGCCTTTCCTCAGCTTGTCATGTTACTTAATTAAATCAGTTTTGTCAAAATGTGATTTTAGATATTTTTCCATGCTATAGACATTGAAATAATTTCTTAATTTTTAGAGTTTTAAAATGTTTACAGTGATTATTATGTTATTCTACTTCATTTGAGTTTATTTGACTTCGGAACAGTAAGACATTTGTAGTAATTATACTCATCTGGTAATATTAACACCTGATATTTGGATTTCTTAGTTTATAAAATGCTAACATGAGTATGATCAAATATTCTTTCATACTATTTCTTAATATAATCTAATTTTCTTGTGCCTTTTGGTTTTGTTTGAATGACCTTACTACTTAGACATTAAAGTCATTTTTAATAATGTGTGTTTTTTTTTTAATTGTAGTTCATTCGGCTCCTAAAGAAGTAGCAGTGTCCAAGGAACAAGAAGAGAAATCTGATAGCCTAGTTAAATATTTCAGTGTTGTTTGGTGTAAGCCTTCAAAGAAAAAACATAAAAAGTGGGAAGGTGATGCTGTTCTTATTGTAAAAGGAAAGTCATTTATATTAAAGAATTTGGAAGGCAAAGACATTGGAAGAGGTATTATGATACTACCTAATGTTTACAGTTTGGCCTGAAATTAGTATGTATCTCCGGTTACATAATTGAAATGTAATTGGGTTTTATAAAGAGATGATAAGGTATTCTTTAATGGATGTTCATGCCTCAACTGTGTATAATACATAAAATAATCTCATAATGGTTAGTGAGCCTGACAATCTTATGGTTTATGCTAGCTCAGTGAAGCAAATCCTATCCTATGGTTTCATTTTCTCCAAAAATGGCCAGCCAGCTATATATAGTTATTTTGGTACTTTTCTGAGCTTAAACACTAAATTTGACTTGGTATACTTTCTCTCTCTCTCTTTTTAAGAATGCTAAGTGGTTAAAATTGAAAAATATGTTGATATCAAGTTGAATGATATGTAATTTCAGCACTACTCAATAATGTTTTGAAAAACAGAGCAAGGAGATAATGGTTAGGCCTGACCTAGATTAACATATGGAAATTGGAGGTTGCCATTGTTTCTGTTACAAAATGTTGCCAGCATAATTTGTAGTAATACAAGTTAGGCTACAAATTAAGAATGGCTAACACCAACTACAGTGTCTTTGCATTGTCTCAGTTCAATTTTGAGTGTGACCTATAACTATAAAATCTGTTCTACATGTTTATTTACTTAAAAATATAGTTTATAGTTTTTAATAACTATTATGTGCCAGGCAGTATGCTAGGAATACCAAAGATGATTATAATTTATAATTTAGTGGGAACAAAGCAAAGTAATTGATGATTAGGAAGCAATAATACAGTTGTTTCAATGAGAAGTTTTACTAAATGCAGTTGGAGCATAAAAGAACCATTTAATCTGCCCAGGAAGCAGTGGGAGCATAAAAGAACCATTTAATCTGCACAGGAGGCTAGGGGTAAGCTTGATAGGAGTTACCGTTTAAGATACTATTTGAAGGATGAATAGTTTTGGAGGTTATAGGTAAGGGCCATGTGCAAGAGAGAATAGCACATGTAAAGGCACAAAAGCAGGAAGGAATTCAAACTAGTTCAGTGTTTCAGGAATGTAGTGTATGAAAGGCCGTGACAGTGTTAAGAGTTGAAGCAAACTAAATTATCTACAATAGAATGTTTTATTTATTATAAAAATATGGAACAACTGTGTATAGTGATTGGGGAAGTAAAAAGAAAAATAGATAGTACACATTCTATGTTGGTTAAGGTCGATTGGGGCTAGATTTTTGGAGAATTTGTTCATGCATTGGTATTGCCTCTTTAGTGAAATTCTAAAGTCAGTGAGAGAGGAAAAATTATCACAATTACTTTGGAATATCTTTTACCCCTAAGGTATAGTGTGCATGGTTTTGCATATGTGTAGTTTATAATAAAATGATCTTTCAGTTGCAAGTAACAAAAAATGAAAATTAGGCTTAAAACAGTGGGTTTTTACCCTGACCATGCCAGTAGAATCATCTGAGGTGCTTTTAAGGGTGTAGTGGCTCACGCCTGTAATCTCAGCACTTTGGGAGGCTGATGGGGAAGGATTGCTTGAGGCTAAGTTCGAGACCAGCCTGGGCAACTTAGCAAGACCTTGTCTATACAAAAAAATAAATTAACCAGGTGTAGTGGCATGCATCTGTAACTCTAACTACTTGGGAGACTGAGGCAGGAAGATTGCTTGAACCCAGGAGATCGAGGCTGCAGTGAGCCTTGATCCTGCCACTGCACTCCAGCCTGGGCTGGAGAGACCCTGTCTCTTAAAAAAAAAAAAGAAAGAAAAAGAAAAGAAATGCCGATGCCCAGACTCTGACCTTTCTTTGAGGCTCTGATTTATTTGGCCTGTATGGTAGGGAGAGGGACTGAACATAGGTATATTTTAGGGTTTTCAAAATGAAAATATCCAAACATAGGACTTGGTTGCTTAATTATAACATTAATAAATGTATTAACCTGAAGTTAATTTTGCAAGTTACTGTCTATAAGCAGTTTTTCTTTTAAATAACTGGGATATACAATATGTAAATTTGTTAATGTAAAGATAGAGGTGCTAAGAAAACTGAAAGCTGGAATGCTAAAATTGCTAATAGCTTGTGATAATGCATCAGGCTCAGTTGGCCATCATTGCATAATACCTAGGAAAAAAAAAAAACCAGTATGTGAAACAAAGTTTAAGAGTAAAAGAAAAGCTTCTAGCGACTGAGATGTTTGAAAGAGTCACCTTTGGATCAAGATCATCTATGGATCTAAATGAAATGAGAGATCTTGGAATTAGAGCTACTTTAAAGGTACCTCAAAGTTAAAAGGTTATTCTTGTCTTCCATTTCCATGTAAAACTGAGATTAACAGTAATTGGATTTTATGTGAAGATAAAACTATAATCTTCATTAATTTGGATAAGTGAAGACCAATACTGATTTGGGATGGAGTGATGGGTCTTTGACATTGAGCTAAGTAATTTCTTCCTATATCAGAGCATTACAATTAAAAAGTATTCCACCATAAATAATTTAAGACTATATATTAAATACAGATTGGCACAGATTATAAATTTTAGGCCAGTTTCAGTAGAGAAAATTTTAGTAATTTTCAACTACTTGAAAAGGGTCATCATATTTTCTAAAATGTGGCAGTCTTTTATTATTATTTTTAGAGACTTAAAAGTTTCTGGTATACACAGCTCCTTTGCTTGGTAATGGCACAATAACTACACATTTAATAGTTTAATGCATTTAATAGACAAGCATGGAAGTCTAAAATGCCATCTATGTGGTTAGTGAACTCATTTTAAGCAGCCCATGACTGACTTATCCATACTTATATTTCATCAGCACCTTTACACAGCAACACTTAATAAATGTTCATCAAATTAATAATAATTCAAACAAGCTTAATATTACAAAATATTCCATGTTTTATTAAAGAGTTAGAACATGGAATATCTGTGACCTCTTGCCACAACTGTATTTTAACTTTGCTATCTCATGTGGAACAGTCAGTACTAGTTGTGGTAGCAGTTGCTTTTATTGCTAGTTCTCCTTCACATTTCTAGCTGTTTCTAAGTGAAAATAGAGGTACCATGATGTTTCTGTAGTTTATTTACAAGAAAGGAGGATACATATAGCCTATCAAACTATTTTCTTGGCTTAATTTTTCCGGACAAGAGATGGCAAAACTATAGAGTACAATAATCTATATTTTCAATAGTAAAAAAATTCTTGCTTTCTCTAAAGCATGGCTAATTTGATAGCTGTATTATTTCTTTTGATTTTCAATGTTTTTTTTAACCAAAATGTTAAATTATGCTTCCATTTTGGCTAATGCATTATATAAGACTATTTACATTCAAAGTGCAGTTTTTTTGTACAGTTACGGGAAGGTGACCGTGGTATCATAGAGTGTCAATTAATTTTTTTCTTTCTTAACTTAAAGGCATTGGTTATAAATTCAAAGAGCTTGAAAAGATTGAAGAGGGCCAAACACTGATGATTTGTGGAAAAGAAATAGAAGTCATGGGTGTAATCTCTCCAGATGACTTCAGCAGTGGCAGGTGTTTTCAGCTTGGAGGAGGAAGTACTGCTATCTCGCATTCTTCTCAGGTTGCCAGGAAATGTTTCTCTAACCCTTTCAAAAGTGTTTGTAAACCAAGTTCAAAGGAAAATAGACAGAATGATTTCCAAAATTGCAAACCACGCCATGACCCATATACGCCAAGTAAGATTTTAAAAATAATTTGAATTTTCTGTTTTTACTGTCAAAATGTTTTTTGTGTGTGAATTTGAAGTTTAAATTTTGTTTTAAAAGTTTTAGGTGAAAGTATACATTATTCTTGAGATATATAATCTGACATAAGAGATAATGTTGAAGTCAAATAACAATATAGTTTGGGAATTATTTCATATGTAAATGAATAATTCTAAGAATACAGTAATAAAAATACTGTACATGTGTTGAAGGAAACATATCTAAATTGTATGTGTATACATTACACATACATGTGTATAATTTTGAATAAAATCTGACTTTTTAGTAAGGAGAGAAATTAGTAAATGTATTAATCTGGACTATGATTATACTTCTAATTTGAGGACTGTATGCCTTGATCACAAGCATTAGTGTGTAAAAATATTGAATGGTAAGATTTCATGCAAAGTCCAAATTTTACTAGTGAAAGTTCCATTCAATCAGTTAATTTTCACACTGATGAATGCAATTTTAAAAATCACATTAAAAAAAAAGAAACCTAGATTGTATCTGATTGTTCTTTTGACTGTTCACTCAGCAGGTATTTCTTGATTGCCTTTTATGGGTTGGGCCTAAAGATAAAACTGTCATCACAGAGCTTCTCATTTGGTGAGGGGAAGGACAAGTAATCCGAATCAAAGTATAGTGTAGTAGATGTGAAAGTTGAGACATAGAGGTGACTTCTTTCCTCACAACAGCAAGTATATAAAGTAATGATTATTTTTCCCCATTGCAAGTATTATGGAAACATAAGTTTTGAAGTAAAGAGGCCTTTGAGATCATTTAGATTCGTCTCTTCACTTTGCATTGGAGAAAACTGAGGCCCAGGAAGATGAACCGACTTACCTAAATACAAATAATCAACGGCATTATTGGGACAAAACCCCACAATTAAAAATTCTGAGTTCTATATTAGCTTATCCCAAAGACTTAGTTGAAATACAGGCAGTGGAAGCTGATGCAGCTGAATTTTCTCTTTTTGTCCAAATATTTTGTCTGTCCCACCAGCTCTTTTAACAATCCCCCTCCTCTTTATTCTCCTTTCTCTTTGTACTTTTACTATTACACAATACAGGGCTGTGGGGAACTGAAAAGAATACTGTGCTTATTCAGAGATCTGAGTAAGAATCATGGTTTTGCCACTGAACTAACTGGTTCTTTGACCTCTTGGGGGTAGTCACTAACCTTCCTAATGTTTTGCCTACTCATGTGTAAAACGTGGGTCCTAATAACCACCGTAGAGATTTAGAGTGTCTAGTATATACTCTTTCCAGGAAATACTTGTTGAGTGAGTGAATGAAACATTTTATTGTGGCATTTATGTGTTGTGTGTATGTGATGTAAATGTATATATATGTGTACATGTGAATTTTATATATATGTGTGTGTGTGTGTGTGTGTGTGTAAAAGCACTTCAGGTAAATAGTAAATGGTTAATTATTCTTATGTATTTATCTTAGCCAAGGATAGAATTAGGTTGTAGACTTTAATGCCTCAGACATGTTGTTAATATTAAATGATCGTCTTCATCATTGTGAAGATAAAGAAACATCTTAAAATTTGAACTAGTGTTCTATGATTTTGACTGTTTAGGTTTCTCTTTCTTGAAGATGGGCCTTTTATTAGGTGATTTATAATCCTATAGTCCTTTTTGCTTGGGCAGTATGTGATTTTTCACCTCTATCTTCTCTTTTTCCTTGTTGTCCTTTTTAAAAGATAGAAAAATAACGGGGCCATTTCTTGACTGGAAATCCACAAGGAGCACACTCTTACTTTGCTACAGTGATATAGAGGAAAGCCAAGGACTACATTTCCCATTTTTACTTCCTAGTCTCCTACCTAACAGGAATTGACCTCAAAGATGAAAGTTCATTTCAGTTACTCAGAAACCTAGGAAGATCCAGAGAAAACTTACCCTCTGGGTATTTGTTAATGGTAAACATGACTAAACTCTTATTCCTGTGACAGTATAGTTCCACACTGATGAATATTTACATAGTCTACTGGAGTCTATTTCTTTTTATCTCCTCTTCTCATCTCCTCATTCTTTTTTCTTTTTTTATCTAATTCAATTTTTATAAACATGATGTAGGCATGCAAATATATCCCCAAAATAATTTTGGTGGGTTTATTATCTAATTTCAGATTTATCAATTGAGACCTGCCTTCTAGTTATATTTGATTTTGCCTTTTTGGGTGATATTTTAGTAAATCTTTTAAATTGTGTTAGCATAGTTTTGAAGAATTACATTGTTATTCTATGATGACTTCATGCTGCTTTAAAGAGGTTCATGAGGCTGGGTGCAGTGGCTCATGCCTTTAATCCCAGCACTTTGGGAGGCTGAGGTGGGCAGATCACTTGAGGTCAGGAGTTCGTGACCAGCCTGGCTAACATGGTGAAACCTTGCCTCTGTTAAAAATACAAAAATTAGCCGGGTGTGGTGGCGCGAACCTGTAATCCCAGGTACTTGGGAGGCTGAGGCACGAGAATTGCTTGAACCTGGGAGGCGGAGGTTGCAGTGAGCTGAGATCACACCACTGCACTCCACCCTGGGCAACAGAGTGATACTCTGTCCCCAGAAAAAAAAGCTTTATGAACTTGACATTCATGAATGTAGTAATTAACTTCAAGCAAATAATGGTGGCTAAGTCAATGGAGAATTTATCATTTTTTCTCAGTTCTAATTAATAGGAGTAATGATCATTGTTAGTGTGTTTAGGACTGAAAAGATAGAAAGCCTGTATGTTAAATTTGGGGAGACTTTTCAGAATGAGAAGCTGTGAACATTGGCAAATGCATCTTGGCAAAATTCCAACCTGTACTTTCAGTTGGAAATAGTTCTCTTTGCTCTGAATACTGAACTATTCAATGTTGTGGCTTATTGAATTCCTTACTAGACAATAGTGAATTTCATTGCTTTCGAAGCACTTTTGGGTATATGAAGTTTGGAAGGCTCTTCGTAATTCTTTGCATGAAATCGTTCATCAGTAAGGCATGAGATTTTCTTTTTAAATTTTGTGCCCTTGGGTAACATTACTGTGACTAAATTTTGGACTTTTTTGGCCACAAATGATGGCAAACATTTCTATCTTAGGGTAATGAAAACAAGATAATGTTGGTTGCTGAAAAAGTGAAATTACAATACTTGTACTTTTATCATTTTTTAAGATTCCCTCGTTATGCCACGACCAGATAAGAATCACCAGTGGGTATTCAATAAGAACTGTTTCCCTCTTGTGGATGTAGTGATTGATCCTTACCTTGTATATCATCTTCGACCACATCAGAAAGAAGGAATCATATTCCTTTATGAATGTGTAATGGGAATGAGGTAGGAAAATAAATCATTTGTTTAATCTAATCTGAATTTTGATTTAACCTGTAACACAATAATGGTTTTCTAAGAAGATCCTAATATAATGAGTCCTGAGGGTACACTATGAATTTCAATTGGTAGGAAAGGTGAATAGTGCTTACTGTGTGCATTTATTCCAAAAGTGGTTCTTGATAGATGCCACGTGCCAAACATACTGCTAGGAGGTGGGCATATGGGAATCAGGACCACGGTCCTTACTTTTAAGTGGCTTTTAAAGTATTTGAGTAAACAGATAAATGCAATTGACCTTAATGTGGTATAATAAAAGCTTACCGACTGCTAGTGTGGTAAAGGGTCATAAGAGCAAGTGAAAGAGGCTTTTAATTCTGGTTATAAGAATTTTTTTTTTTTTTTGGAGACGGAGTCTTACTATGTTGCCCAGACTGGAGTGCAATGGCGTTATCTTGGCTCACTGCAATCTCCATCTCCCAAGTTCAAGTGATTCTTGCATCTCAGCCTCCTGAGTAGCTAGGATTACAGGCGTGCTCCACCATGCCTGGCTAATTTTTGTATTTTTAGTAGAGACGGGGTTTCACCATGTTGGCCAGGCTGGTCTTGAACTCTTGACCTCAAGAGATCCACCCACCTCAGCCTCCCAAAGTGCTAGGATTACAGGCATGAGCCACTGCACCTGGTTATGAGAATTTTGGAAAAAGATTTTCTTCTGTCTCTACATCTGAAAATAGAAAAAAGTTTCTTCTTCCTTTTTGCATTTTCTGATTAAAGAATAGTAGTATCTTAAAGATATTTTAGAGGACACAAAAAAACAGGAGAAAAAAAGAATCAAAGGCCCCTGCTAACATTTCTTCCAGTCTTTTTTGTTTATTTGTTTTGGTTTTGTTTTGCCTTGTTTTTAAATGCCAAGACCCTTGATTTTAAAATTTGTCCTTTAAAGGTAGTTGGAAATGAAATTCTCCCCAACTCTAAGAACTCCTTGAATGATGACAAGTTAAGGGAATACTGTCTTCCAGAAACTGTTAACTAGACTCATATTTCCTCCCAAATCTGCTTTTTCTTTCGAAGGTCTTATCTCAGTTGGTCTGTGAATCATCTTTGATTTCTTCTCTCTCACATTCTGAATCTAGTCAAACCTGAACTTTTAATTATTTTAACCTCCTAAATATTGTTTCCTAATCTTTTCTGTCATTCCACTGCAGCATCTCTAGTAACCGATGTCATAAAAATATCATATTTTATCTAGACTATTGCAATGGCTTCTAACCTGTATATTTGCTTCTGATGCTTCTCAAATAATGTATTCTACTTAAAGCCACCATCTTGAGTTTTCTGAAAAACAGTTCTGAACATGGCATTCCCTTATTTAAAATCATTCAGAGACTCTCAGAACTTAGAACAGTGTTTCCCAAACTGTGATCCCTACTCCACTGGCAGTATATGGGACCATTTTGAGGTGGCAAGTGGACAAGCCTTTAAAAAAATTTGAATAGTAGCATATTTAGTTAATTATTGGAAAAATAGGCTGGGCATGGTGGCTTACACCTGTAATCCCAGCATTTTCGGAGGCCAAGGCAGGCGGATCACTTGAGGTCAGGAGTTCAAGACTAGCCTGGCTAACATGGTGAAATCCCGTCTCTACTAAAAATACAAAAATTAGCTGGGTGTGGTGGCAGGCACCTATAATCCTAGCTACTCAGGAGGCTGAGGCAGGAGAATCACTTGAATCCAGGAGGCGGAGGTTGCAGTGAGCCAAGATAGCGCCACTGCACTCCAGCCTGGATGACAGAGCAAGACTCCGTCTGGAGAGGAAAAAAAAAAAAAAGAAAAATAGCACATTAAACTTTTGGTTTCACAGATAAATTATGCTTAGAAAGAGTTTTCTTTTCAAATTTAAGTTAAAATGATTTGAAGAAAAATCATAAATAACATATAGTATCACAGATATGACAACAAATCGTGATGGTAGTCATGAAATACTGGTGTTTGGGAGATGCTGATATATAAGATACAGTCTAAACTCTCAAGGTTAAGTATCCTCATCTTTTGTCTTCTACCTGCCGTGCTAGCTTCATATTTTTCAGTTCAAGCTCCAACTATATTCAGCTGCCTAATTAGTGTAGTAATTATTTACCCTTTACAATTTTGCTCAAGGTACATCTCCATAAAGGCTTCCTGTTTGCTCCCTTCTCTTTATCGTGAAAGGATGAATCTGGATTTTCTCTTTGCTATTCACTGTATCTCATTGGGCTGACATTTGGTCCTTTGTTGCCAAAGTATTGATCTAAAACAGCCACCTAAATAGTAGCCGTAATTTATGTTGGTAATTTTTTTCTCTATACCTTGAAATGGAACACATATATAAAATTGCATATTGGTTCTTAATTTCTACTAAGAAGAAATACAATTAACTGACAAACTACAGTTGACTCTTGAACAACTCAGGAGTTAGGGGTGCTGACCCACTGTGTAGTCAAAAATCTGCATATAACTTTTGCAGAAACTTAACTAATAAACTACCGTTGACTGGAAGCCTTACTGATAACATAAACACTCAATTTACACATAATTTCATATATGTATTATATACTGTATTTTTACAAGAAAGCCAGAAAAAAGAAAGCATGAAGAAAACCATAAGGAAGAGAAAATGTATTTACTATTCATTAAGAGGAAATGGATCATCATAAAGCTCTTCATCCTTATCATGTTGAGTAGGCTGAGGAAGAGGAGGAAGAGGAAGGGTTGGTTTGGTTGTCTCAGGAGTGGCAGAGGTGGCGGAAGAGGTGGAGGAGATAGAAGGGAGGCAAGAGAGGTAGGCACACTCATTTATAACATTTATTGAAAAAAACCCATATATAAGTGGACTTTCACAGTTCAAACCCTTCTTGTTCAGTGGTCAACTGTATACTTATGTATTTTGGTAATATCCTTAATTCCCTTGGACTTTCTTAACTTTAAAAATATAAAACATACACTTCTAAGGTCTTTAAAAATATAAAGTGGCATAAAAATACATGGTCTTACTAATAATATCTCTAATAACATTTAATTTTAAATTATATAACAGTAGGTCTGTAGGATAACAACTTTTACTAAATTATATGTATTATATCAAGTGTTTAGTGTTTAATTTTTTTATGATGCAGGGAGCTATTTTTGTTGAGGACTTCATTTACTGACAGAATCATAAAATACAGCTCAGTAGATCTTGCTGATTAAATATAATACAACAATATATTTTAAACTGTTTTGATATCTGAAACCAATAAAAATCACTCAACTCTTAGTGATGAGAAACACAGTTATAGTTAAATTATCCATATGCAGATATAAAATTGGAATTCATTTCTAGCCTCTAAATATGTACATGTAATAGTAGCAGATGATTTAGATTCAACTCTCTAATTTCAGATTTATGTTTTGGTAATTTAGTTGACAATATGTAATGGATATAATTATCAAAGATGCAAAAGATGTGTTGTAAATCAGCTAATGAAGTACTAAAAGTCTTCAGTGTCATTACAAAATATCAGTTTCTGGTTCTTGATGATTTTAAGAGCATAAAATATTTTTCTATTGTGATTAAAGGAAGTAAAATTATTTCTAACAGAATGAATGGCAGATGTGGAGCTATTCTTGCTGATGAAATGGGTTTAGGGAAGACATTGCAATGTATTTCGCTCATCTGGACCCTGCAGTGTCAGGGACCCTATGGAGGCAAGCCAGTAATAAAGAAGACACTAATTGTCACACCTGGAAGCTTGGTGAATAATTGGAAGAAAGAATTTCAAAAATGGCTAGGAAGTGAAAGGATCAAGATATTTACTGTTGATCAGGTAAGAAACTTAAAAGTTTAGCCTTAGTCATTTAAAAAAAATCTAGTTTTTCAAATCAGTAATTCAGTTTTTACTTGTTAACTCCCTAACCCTTTTGCACAAAAATGGAGTTTTAGCTTACATTTTGGTTTTGAGTTGTTATGGACTGAATGTTTGTGTCCCCCAGATTCATATGTTGAAACCCTAACTTTCAATATAGCAGTATTAGGAGGTGGGCTTGGGAGGTAGTTAGGTTTAAATGAGGTCGTGAGGGTAGAGCCACGTGATGAGATTAGTGCCTCCGTAACCAGAGCAAGAGACACCAGAACTTCCTTTCTTTACCATGTGAGGATACAGTAAAAAGCATTCTTCTGCAAGCCAGGAAGAGGGCTCTCACCAGAACCCAACCATGCTAGCACCCTGATCTTAGACCTTCCACCAGAACTGTGAGAAATAAATGTCTGTTGTTTAAGCCACCCAATCTATGGTATTTTGTTTATAGCAGCCTCAGTTGACTAAGACAGAAAGAGTTAACACATTCCAGTTCTTAGTAAGTGACTGTCAGGAATAGGCTGCTTAAATTTGATTTCATATAGTTTCTGTTCCTGATTTTTAAAATACTATCTTTTTTCCTCAGGACCACAAAGTTGAAGAATTCATCAAGTCTATATTTTATTCTGTTCTTATTATCAGTTATGAAATGTTACTTCGTTCCCTGGATCAAATTAAGAATATAAAATTTGATCTTCTAATCTGTGACGAGGGGCATCGTTTGAAGAACAGTGCCATTAAGACAACTACAGCCCTCATTAGCCTTTCTTGTGAGAAAAGAATAATTCTAACTGGTCAGTATTCAGTTTGGGGAAGATATTTTGGAATTTTTGCCTAGTGAACATACAGACTTGTACTATGATGCTTAACATTCAAATAACTGGTGGTGTTGGATGGAATTTATACTAATAAACCTGTGTTAATTAACTCTTGGTAGGATTCTGAATCTTCAAATCCATGTGTAATTTTCTGTAGCCCAGACTTTGGAGTTTTTTAGGAATAAACACAATGATATCATGATAAGGAATTTAGGAGATCAGACTGGATTGCTTGTGCTTGGTTCCCGAGTCTGACATAGCTGTACAACTTGGAGCAAATTATTTAGTGTCTCTGTGCCTCAGTTTTTTTAAATCTCTAAAATAGGAATGATAATACCATCTAACTTTGTAGAGTTCTCATGAGGGTCAGAGGAGTTAATCAATGTAAAGTTCTTGGGAAACTACCTGACACGTGGTAAGTGTTTAATATCAGTTATTTATAACTACCTGACATGTGGTAAGTGTTTAATATAAATATCAGTTATTTTTATATGTATATGCTACATATGCATGGTTTATTGTTGGACAGAGCTTCTGGACCCAACTGTCTGGAAAGGTGGAATGGATGGTAAATACGAGAATCCTCTTCTACCTTTTTATTTAAGGCCTAGACTGGAGTATGATCTAAGTAGCTCAATGTAGCTTTTCTCCCATATCTCATCTTGGTCTTGTATGGCCCTTCCACTTTGCCGTTGTGTCAGCAGAATAAAGAAGAGAATTGTATTCATTACTAATATTTACAATTCCCCTATTTTCTACTTGGGGCTTCATTTTCCCTACCATCTTCAGCCCTTTTGGAAGGAATGGTCAGGATATGATTATTCTTACTGTGTCATCGTCATTTTTTCCTTCATGTGTCGTTTATGCATGTCACAGCTCTCTGAAGTTAAATGAAGAGAGAGAAGGAGTATGACCAAAAACTTGTACCTCC
Organism: Homo sapiens; assembly: GCF_000001405.40. Classification (NCBI taxonomy): domain Eukaryota; kingdom Metazoa; phylum Chordata; class Mammalia; order Primates; family Hominidae; genus Homo; species Homo sapiens. The sequence goes on along the minus strand of NC_000008.11, from coordinate 94,398,458 downwards.
TTCCTATACTGATAGGGTGGAAATATGCCCCAGAACAACAGAGAGGAGAAAACTCCTCCTCTTCTGTTCTTACTGTGTTGGGGTGGGGAAGACTATCCACCTTTAAGAAATTCCTCATGATTTGACTTCCAATTTGTATAGGAGGATTGTATTAACCATTATCAAAAGCGATTTTTAAAATGATCTGTGCTTTAAAAAAATGATTTTGGGAAATGCTAAATGACCTTTTTATTTTTTGAATTTAATCACGATGATAAAGACAAAAGGACTAGGGTCAAATTTCATAGTTATACCCCCAAGATTTTCTGGATGCCCAATGAATGTTTGTCAGTAATAGTGAAGTGGAAACCAAAGAATAGGAAAACTAGTGTTGAATATTTATAAAATGCCATTTTTAAAGGAAAAAATGAGTCAGGGAAATAGGAACCATACTCTGAATGATTTTCATATCTTTGGCTGTTTGAGAAGCTGAGTGGATTCGTTATACTTGATTTCCAGTGCTGCAGTTCAGATTTCTTTACTGGCCTTTGATCTTGAGATCACTGGAGCCAGAAAAGTAATGAAAAAAAAAATGAGTTAGCTGAATTTAGTAACACTGAGTTAGAAGAGAAAAAGACTGTTTCTTCTTACTGCTTAAGGATGGGGGTCAGTATTGCTTATTTAAAGAATAGTTGCAGATATAAAGTAAAAATGTTTAGCACTAGAAGGGAGAAGAAAAATAAATAAAAAAGAAGAGTGAGAAATAAAATATACTGAAAAGTACTGAAGATAAGAAATAAAAGTAGTTCCCTTCCTCACTTGAAAATCATAATTTTCTGTAGCAAAAATATATAATTTTATTGATATACTCAATGATAAGCAAATACTAATTTAACATTCCAAATTAAATTTAATCTGCAGTAGAAAATTGATCTAGGATTTCATTCAACAAGAATGTCTTGATAGCAACCAGTGAGATTGTTTCATTTGAGGCATTAGTATTGTCCTCTGTATCCTTTGTCAATCTTAGCTTGTTTCTGTTTTGCTGTCCTTATCACTCTTATCCCCTGAGCTATGAATTTAGGTAAAAACTAGCCCTAACTAACCTTTTTAATTTAGAAATACTCATAGTTGGTTTCTGTATTCTTAGAATTGCCTGAATGAAGTCTTTGCTTTTATGGGCAGGACGTTTTACCCCAAGATGATTTGTTCCTTATTATGAAAGTACATGTTTGTATAGGAGTATGTACAGTGATATATACATGATAGGTGCTCAATAACTAAGAATCAAATGAAAATAATTTTGATTTTGTTTCCTCATATTATCTAGCCCAGTGCTGTGGAGTTAATATTTACTGGAAAATGGTTAGGATTCAGTTTGATTGATAGAGGGGTATTAGTCTTGTAGCACTGCCATAGCAAAAGACCACAGACTAAACAACAGACATTTATTTTCTCACAGTTCTCGAGACTGGAAGTCCAAGATCAAGATGTCAGCAGGTTTGGTTTCTATTGAGGTCTCCCTGCTTGGCTTGCAGAGAGCTGCCTTCTCCCTATGTCCTCATGTACTCTATCCTCTCTGCAAATGTATTCGTGGAGTATCTCTCTCTCTTCTTAGAAGGACACCAGTCATATTGGATTAGGGCCCCATCCTTAGGACCTCATTTAACCTTAACTGCCTTCTTAAAGGTCCTATCTCCAAAAACAGTCACATTGGGGGTTAGAGCTTCAACATAGGAATTTTAGGGAGATACAGTTCAGCCCACAATTAAGAGCTGAATGATTATTATAAGATCTTCAATGCCCTTTCATTATATCATAGAAAAGATAAATCTGAGATTAATTCTTTACTGTTATAAATAATGTGGTGATGAATATCTACAAGCATATACTCTTTGTGTATAGATTCCTAGAAGTGGGCTTATAGGATTAAAAGGAAAAATATAAATGTGTATAAAAAGCTCTCAGAGCTTTCTGTGGAGGTTACAGGAGGATATAGGTGTAGGTTATTGACAGTGTTGGGTTGGGTGGTAGATTTATTTCTTTTTTAAAAAAACAAACCAAAAAACAAAGAAAAAGCTTTTTTTTTTTTGTAGGGATAGGGTGGAGGTAGGGAAAAGAAAGAGTCCTTTCATTTTCTCAGAAGTTTCTTTCCCATACTCTTGAAAATAGTCTTAGTAAGTACACCAACTTGACTTGAAAATCTTTAGTTTTTTTTTTTTCTTCTACAGGTTTTACCTAGTCTAGAATTAGAGCACTGAAATAGCAAATGGGGATCTAAATTACCACTAGAAAGCAATGTGACAAACTCTTACAATGATGCTATACTATACAATTGGTTCTGTCTTGTAGCCATATTCCCCTTCTCATCTTTTTCCCCCCTTCCTTACTCTTTTTCCTTCTTCTTTTCTGCCCTAAATCCTTTTTCCTATTCCCTTCTTGTGTTCTGCTTTTCTTCTTTTGTCCAGTTTTGTTCTTGCCTCTTCCCTTTGTATATCAGTTGGGATGATTTCAGATGCTGGTAACAGATGATCTGAATCAGATGTGCTTATTCCCCCATATAACTGGAAGTCTAAAGGTAGGCCAGGCTACAACAACCCAACGTTGTCATCAAGGATTCTGGTTATGTCTTCTGCTCTGCCATATTTGGTGTTGGCTTCATCCTCAGGCTGGTAGCAAGTGACTGCAGCAGTTCCAGACATCACAGCTAGATGTGATGATATCCAAAGGAGAACAGGACTGGCTCTTCTTGTTTCTCTGTGTTTAAGAGGGACTTTCCTCAAAGCCCCTCTGTGATGACTTCTCATGTCTCATTGGCCAGGATGAGTCACATGCTACTGATGGAACTTCTTGGTGCCCTTTCTAGCTCTCCTTTTCTGGGCTGTTGTATCCATCCTTTAGCTGCTGGTACTATTGATTAAACAACTTAGAACCCCTTCCTTTTCTGGAGAATTATCTTTGATTGAATGAGAGCTGTATTCTCCTCTATAGTTTGCAATCAACGACTGACTGATTTAGGGGTAAGCAGCAAATGGCAGCTCCCTTGCCTTAGAGTGATTTCAGGACCAACGTTATGGTGCAGTTTATGCTCTAGAGCTCCCTGTAATTTAGCTCAAGCTAAATTATAGCTGAGGCCATTCTTGCTTAGTTTCTTCCCCTACCATTTTCTGATTCCATTATTCCCTTTCTCCTGAGAGCTCTCCCTCTGTAAATCACATGCAAACAAATCACTGTCTTAGGCTCTGCTTCCAGTGAACGCAGTATGAGACAAGAACCCTTGAGTATGTCAGTCATTTGCAAAGGAGGGGACAGAATTACCATGATTGACTTAATCATTTGGGGTTTGATGAATGTCTGAAAGCCAACCACAGTGATCCTTCTACCGTTCTTTCTCGTCTTTCCTATACTCCCCAATCTTTGTCATCATCATGCATATTCTTTTAGAGGCTTAACTGAATATATACCAACATAAATGTATTTTTCCCAACTCTTTCAATGATGTGTCTAAAAATTTAAAACTGACTAGATGTGTTAAATTTAAAAAAATTAGCAATTGCTGGTCCAACCTGGGGGTGGGGAGGACCCATTAAGTTTTAGGGAGGTGATTATTAAATTCCTTGACATTAAAAAAGTTATGTCATCTATCTTAATGAAATAAATGCATTTTTATTTACTTTTCACATTATTTATATCTTTGGACAACATTTTCTAATCTCTTATTTGAAAGCCATCTGATATTACATTGTTTGTGCTGATTTATATGTTCTTTTGGCACTATTATAATTATTGAAACATGCTAATGTTTCTTTGAAAATTAGCCTAAAGCTATTGCATACTATATGTAATATATAGAAGGTATATGAATCCATTACAGTCTGTATTAACCCTTTGGATGGTGAAGATCTTAATTTGATCTGATAACTTTGAAAGGTAGTAATAATAGGTGCCATTCAATGAGTGTCTACTGAGTGTCAGGCATTTTGCTGGGTACTTCATATCCATTGTCTCTACTTTCCATTATAATTATTCTGGGAATTTATTATCTTTATACGTTTATAAATGAAAAAAAAAATTCTGAGTTTAAAGGACTTAAGCAGTTTGTCCAAAGTCACACAGCTATAATAACAGTAAAATTACTAAAGTTATAGAACATTTATTATGCTGTAGGCACCATTCAAAGTATATTATATGGATTGACTACTTTGATCCTCACAACCCTAGGAACGACTGTTATTATCTGCATTTTACAGAAAATAAACTGGTGTAAATAACTTTCTCAGGGTCACTCAGGGAGTAAGTGATGCAGGTAGGATTTGAACCTAAGCAGTCAGACTCCACTGAGCCTGCACTCAGTCTCTATGCTATACTACTATGTAAGAACTTAGTATGCAATTAAAACCAGAGTTAAAAGTTTATGTGGTGATTAATATGTTTTAACTTGCTTTGACTGCTCTTTCTTAGTTTTAGGCAATTTGCTTGTATTTATTCCTTTTAGGGAATAAATTTCTCCAAACTTCCATTGTGGTTTTGCTATAAACCTGAGATTGTGATTGTAAAACACAAACTTGACCTTTTACTCATTTTTGTCTCTCTTTAGGTACTCCAATTCAGAATGATCTGCAAGAATTTTTTGCATTAATTGATTTTGTAAATCCAGGAATATTAGGCTCTTTGTCATCTTATAGGAAAATATATGAAGAACCCATCATTTTATCGAGAGAACCTTCTGCTTCTGAGGTATAATTTACTCTAATAAATAGGTTTTTAAAAAGCCGTATGTCTGAGGAAATCATCCATAACTTCATATTATTTTGATTTAGAAAAATCAATAGTGTGAACTCTTTATTTTTCTCCACAATCCTTCGTTTCTTGCATTCCTTATTTTAGAATATGACATCACTTGTCTAAAATTCATGAATAGGAACTTCACAAAGAATTATGACAATAAACATATAAAAATGTTCATCTTTACTAGTTTTGAAAAAAGTAGAACAAAATAACCAAAGTGACTTTTGTACTTTTCTATTGGTGTGTGTTTGTTTATTTAGAGATGGTGTCACTCTGCGTTGCCCAGTCTGGCCTTGAACTCCTGGAGTATCCTTTTGCCTCAGCCTCCCGAGTAGCTGGGACTGCAGGTGTATACCACCTCCCCAACTTGGATTTACTAGTAGTAGCAAGTGTAGACAAGAGTCTCCTATTTGGAATGTAAATTGTTGGTTGGAATGTACGTTGGCACAACTTGGGGAAAGTTTGGCAATGTATATCAAAAGCATTAAAATTGTGTATATCTTGTGGCCTGGCAATACTCCTTTTATGAATTTATTATAAAAAAAAGTACATTTATTTAAAAACTTAGCTGGCTGGGTGTGGTGGCTCATTCCTGTAATCCCAGCACTTTGGGAGGCTGAGGTGGGTGGATCACTAGGTCAAGAGATCGAGACCATCCTGGCCAACATGGTGAAACCCCGTCTCTACTAAAAATACAAAAATTAGCTGGGCATGGTGGCACATGCCTGTAGTCCCAGCTACTCAGGAGAATCACTTGAACCCGGGAGGCAGAGGTTGCAGTGAGCTGAGATCATGCCACTGCACTTTAGCCTGGTGACAGAGTGAAACTCCATCTCAAAAAAAAAAAACAAAACTAAAAAATTAAAAACTTAGCTATAGGGTATAGGGTGACCTTATGTCTACCAAAAAAAAAAAAAAAAAAAAAAATCAGCCAGGTGTGGTGGCATGTACCTGTGGTCCCAGCTACTTGGGAGGCTGAGGTGGGAGGATTGCTTGAGCCTGGGAGGTGGAGGTTGTAGTGAGCTGAGATCACATCACTGCACTCCAGCCCTGGGCGACAGAGTGAGACTCTGTTTCAAAAAAATAAAACGAAATAAAAACTTAGCTGTAAGGGTAAAAAATTAGAAACTGGCTGGGCACAGTGGCTCATGCCTGTAATCCCAGCACTTTGGGAGGCTGAGGCAGGTGGATCACTTGATGTCAGGAGTTTAAGATCAGCCTGGCCGACATGGTGAAACCCCATCTTTACTAAAAATATAAAAATTCGCCAGATATAGTGGTGTGTGCCTGTAATCCCAGCTACTCAGGAGGCTGAGGCAAGAGGTTCCCTTGAACCCGGGAGGTGGAGGTTGCAGTGAGCCGAGATCGTGCCACTGCACTCCAGCCTGGGTGATAGAGCAGGACTCTGTCTCAAAAACAACAACAACAAAAAAGAAGCAAACTAAAGGAAACACAAATGGGAAACAAACATTTTTAAAGGTAGGACAATGGTTAAATTATGGTCTACGTGTTGTATACAGACTATATTTCATTGACTCTAAGATTCTACCAATTATAGGATATATCATTATTTTGTTATTTAGGAGACTGTGACTTCACTTAATTAAATGGTTATGCTAAACATATAAATAGATCATGGTTGGTTTTTCTGTCCCTATACTCATATTTTATTTCTTTTAAAATTTGTTGGGAAGCAATGAGTAAATGGTTTATCATTATGAAATCTTTAATGTTCATTTTAAGTGTATTTTTGTCTATAACACTTTCATTTAAGTCTGCTATTTTTCCATAGGAAGAAAAGGAGTTAGGAGAAAGAAGAGCAGCTGAACTTACTTGCCTCACTGGACTCTTTATCCTTAGAAGAACCCAAGAAATTATAAATAAATATCTCCCACCTAAAATAGAGAATGTTGTCTTTTGCCGACCAGGAGCACTACAGATTGAGCTTTATCGAAAGCTGTTAAATTCTCAGGTTGTCAGGTTCTGCCTTCAAGGGTTGTTGGAAAATAGTCCCCATCTAATATGTATAGGAGCTCTTAAAAAACTGTGCAATCACCCCTGCCTTTTGTTCAACTCTATAAAGGTAAGTGCATAGTATCTGAAACTGTGTCAGGGATATGAGGGTTCTATAGTATATGAATCTAAGAGGGCAGACAGGGCTAATTTCTGAGGTTGCATTTGTGGGTTTTCAAAAAGCTCTGCTGGCTATCTAGTATGGTTCTGCTGTAGAGCTTATCCAGCCTTTCATTTGTTCTTCAGAGCATGTCCACACTCCTAGAGCTGAAGTAGGGAAGAGATGAGTTTGAGGTACTGCCTTCTATAGTTTGTGCCCAATCCCCTTTGGCACCTTATCTAATACTTGGCGATCGTCTCCCTTCCTATTTTATGTTAATATAGTCTGTCAGTTTTGTTTGTTTGGTGCTGACAAATACAAAATGTGCCATTAAAAATAATTTATTTTTTTCTCATTTTGAAAGTGATACATGATTGTGCATAAAATTTAGAAAATTCAGAAAATCACAAAGAAAATAAAAATCATCTTAAGCTCAACCCATGGAAAATCACATTTTGGTATTAATAATATTAGCTAACAGTTATTAAGCACTAATTATATACAGGTTGAGCATTCCTAATCTGGAAATTAGAAATTCAAAATGCTCCAAAATTCAAAACTTTTTGAGTGCCAACATGACATCACAGGTGGGAAATTCCATACCTGACATCTTTGCTTTCTGATGTTAAGTGCGCACAGACTTTGTTTCATGCACAAAGTTATTAAAAATACTGTATAAAATTACCTTCAGGCTATGTGTATAAGGTATATATGAAATATAAATGAATTTCGTGTTTAGACTTGCAGCCCATGCCCAAGATGCAAATATTCCAAAATCTGAAAAAATCTGAAATCTGAACCACTTCTGTTCCCAAGTATTTTGGATAAAGGATGGTCAACCTGTACCAATCACTAAGTGCTTTATTAGTGTTATTTTATTTATTATTTACAAAACTCTGGAATAAGTACTAGTATTACCATCCCCATTTTTTTGGTGAGGAAATAGGGGCTCAGATATATATGTATATATGTATATATATTATATATAAAATCTCTATATATAATCTATATATATATAATCTTATTCTGGAGAAACTTAGTGATGCTGTTTATTTATTTGTTTATTTATTTATTTTTTGAGATGAAGTCTTGTTCTTGTCCCCCAGGCTGGAGTGCAATGGCATGATCTTGGCTCACTGCAACCTCCACCTCCCACGTTCAAGCGATTCTCCTGCCTCAGCCTCCCGAGTAGCTGGGATTACAGGCGCCTGCCACCACACCCAGCTAATTTTTGTATTTTTAGTAGAGACGGGGTTTTACCATGTTGGCCAGGCTGGTCTCGAACTCCTGACCTCAGGTGATCTGCCTGCCTCGACCTCCCAAAGTGCTGGGATTACAGGCTTGAGCCACCGCACCTGGCCCTTTTTATTTATTTTTTTTAAAAATATTTATTTTTTAAAAAATAGAGATGGGGTCTCACTCTATTGCCCAGGCTGGTCTCGAACTCCTGAGCTCAAGTGATCCTCCCACCTCAGCCTCCCAAAGTGCTGAGATTACAGGTGTGAGCCACTGCGCCCAGCCGCAACTTAAAAAAAACTGATTCTATATACAGTGATAAAAATCAAACCCTTTGGGCATGAAGCACGGTAAAAATAGCCAAAAATTTCTTCATTAAAAGGAAGACCTTATGATGGCCCAGAGTATACCAGTTAATTTAGAATATGTTTGTACATTCTTGAAGAAAGCAGCAGGGGGCTCTGAGTGTTTCTCCATTGTTGCCATGCAGTCACTAATAATAGGCATAGGATACTTCAAATAGGGTACATAATTTATAGTCTGATATTTATTCAGAAAAGCCTTTTCTCTAACTTCATAGCAAATAAGGATTGATATAAAAGGGCAGAAATGAGCCTTCTACATGTATAAATAACCTTTAAGCAATGGCTTGTAACTATGTTTCTATTGAAACTAAATTGTTTCCCAAGTTCAATTAAGATGTTAGGTCTTTCTTTAGGAAATGTGAGTGGAACGTAACCAGTAACAATATCATAACTCATAATTGAAGTGTACATGGAGTCAGAAGAGATAGTGTCGCGATTAGCTTGAGATGAGAAGTCAAACTGGTAAATCTCTATGATGGAGATGCTGCATCAGGCTGTCACAGTATAAAGATATTATCTATTGGTCAATTATTAATTAGTGGTACATATTATAATATCCTGGGAAGCTCTTAAAATTACATTAGTCCAGGCCTCAACACATATGGATTAATTCAGAGTTTGTTTGAGAGTAGGACCCAGGCATGAGCATTTTTAAAAAAGCCTTTTCAAGTGATTCTAATACGTGTTCTTGGTTAAGAACTTGTGCATTAAGATCGCCCGTCTTGGCCAGGGCGGTGGCTCACGCCTATAATCCCAGCACTTTGCGAGGCTGAGGTGGGAGAATTGCTTGAGGCCAAGAGTTCGAGACCAGTCTGGGCAACATAATGAGGCCCTGTCTCTTTAAAAAAAGAAAAGATCACCCATCTCCCTGTACTCTGATTTAATATTCACCAGACACCTTCTGTTAGTGGTTTGACTTTCCCTGGGGACGTTCTTTCATAGGACAGAATGCACGTGCATAGACTGATTGGTCTAAATAGGCAGGTCTCATAGGTCAATACATTTTCATTCTGACTTATTCAGTCTCTTAATTTGGTTAATATGAATAATTTCCCTAGAGCTTAAGCATATTCAAGTTTCTGAAGATGAAAAACTGTATACTAGACCCTGGGCCTGTGGTCCTTTGATGATCTTTCCAAGTTGTAGGCAGAGCTAACCTAAAGCAGCCAGCAGCTACTTCTTTCTCCTCATATGTCCCAGTGATAGAAATATTTTAGAGTTCCTAGTATTTTTAATCAAATGACTACACCTAAATATTGCTGTATTTTGACAGTAAGCCAAATTAAAATTAGTACTCTGTGCCCAGCATTTTTATACATTTCACATAGGATTCACTGCCCTTAAAGTGTTTCTAGTATTACTAAAGAGGGGGTGCAACACACAGGAAAACATTTGTGAAGTATAAAAAAAAGTCATTCGATCTTAAACAACCCTGGGGTTAGGGGGGCTGACCCCTGTGTGTGCTGTTGAAAATCCCTTTATAACTTGTATGACTTTTGACTCCCCCAAAACTGAACTACGAATAGCCTACTGTTGACCAGAAGCCTTACCAGTAGCATTAAGTCAGTTCACACATATTTTGTATATTATATACTGTATTTTTACACTAAAGTAAGCTATAAAAAGAAAATGTTATTAAGAAAAGAATGAAGAAGAGAAAATATATTTATTATTCAGTAAGTGGAAGTAGATCCTCACAAAGCTCTTCACATTGAGTAGGCTAAGAGGAGAGGAGGCAGAGGAGGGGTTGGCCTTGCTGTATCAGGGGTGGTGGCAGAGATGGGAGAAAATCTGCATATAAGTAGACTTGCGTAGTTCAAACCCATGTGTTCAAGGGTCAACTGCATATCATTAACTGCTCAATTAGATAAAGTCAAACCTGAAATGTACTGTGTAACCATAAAGGTTAAAACTCAGTGCAAACAAAGGCTATGAATAATCAGGTATAATTTGCACTGGGTCCTCAAGTGTTTATAGGATTGGGATAATTGAGCAGCAAAATAAAAAAGTATTCCAGACAAGGGGTTTAGGTTGAACAAAGTTTCAAAAACAGTGATAAATCTGGTAAATATGGGAGAGAGTTAAGAGACCTGCCAATCCTAGGAATTTAACCCAAAAAGTGATGTAGTCATGAATATCTCTGATCTCTAGTTATATGTTCACATATCAGCTAGGCAGTTTTGGAGGGGGAATTTCAGAGGTGCTGATAATCACCTTGGAATAAATTTATTCTACAACTATTGGTGAAATAAAAAGTATTGTTGTAAGTAAGAATAAATTTCTCTGTTAATTTATTGGTGAAATTCTTCCTTCTTACAGAAGAAACTGGTAAGATTAAGTAAACGATAGTGCTTGTTTTTGGATGTAAAGGTGTTGTATGAAGCCCACAATTCAGTAGAGAATACTAACAGGGAGGGAAGGAGAGAGGAAAAGAGAAAAAGATGTATCAAAGATGCAAAATGTTAGGGTTTTGGAGAGGATGGATTTTGTATCACCATTTGCCCTTTATTTCTCTCTCCTTTCTTTGTCTGCTCCTACTTCCTGTAGTTACATGTGGGAAATATTAATACTACACTTGCAGGGTGAAGGTAGCAGGCATGAGACTGCGTTAGAACTGCTCTGTAACTAACTCAGTAGAAGGCATGTTACTTTTTTAAAAAATGATCAAATCATGACCTATAAAGATTTACCTAACAGTTTCTTGGACTTTTCAGATAGCCGTTAATCTTCACCTTTTTCCTTCCATAATTTTAGCATTTTCCCCTCCTAATTAAAAAAACAAACTTGAGCCAGCATTAACAATCATCATTTTGAATAGGAAAAGGAATGTAGCTCAACTTGTGATAAAAATGAAGAAAAGAGTCTATACAAAGGCTTGCTAAGTGTGTTTCCTGCTGACTACAACCCTCTCCTGTTTACTGAAAAGGAGTCAGGAAAACTACAGGTGTTGTCCAAGCTCTTAGCGGTTATCCACGAACTTCGACCTACTGAAAAGTAAGATCGATTTAACAAACTTATAAGTGCTCATAGAGTTTTAGTTTGCACTATTTCTTTACTTCCTACTTCCCTTTTAAAATAAGAAAACATTAAAAATAAGTTATTTTCTTCTTTGGGAATATGGTTAGCTTCTAGTATTTCATAAACTTGTAATTAACAATGTGTCTGTAAGTTTTAAGAAAAACTAAACATATGTATACTTTTAAAAACCTAGTGATATTTTCTGATATATAATGCTTGTTTCTCAATTTTCTTCAGAATCCTTTCTTCTTTTACTGTTTCTTAAATACTGATACACCTTAGGATTTTCTCTTTAACTTTCTCACTCTTAACACACTTCCTGAGTGCTATACTCCCTGTACTTTCAACTATTGCACACACACATGCACACACACACACACACAACCATACCATGTGGTCCAGTGTGTGTGTGTGATGACTATATATATTTTATATCTTCTTGGATACCAAACACATATAATATTGAAACAAATTTATATCTCTAGTTCAGTCCTCTCTTCTAATTTCTACATCTTTATTTTTAAGTGTTGAATGGACATCTAAATCTATCTTGATGTCCTATAGTACTTCAAACTTCCCAGGTCCAAAACCATGTGACAAAACCATCATTTTGTTATTGTAAGCCTCATCTTGTCCCATTATTCCTTGGTACCATAATGCAAGCAAAAACCCTGGAAATTATTATAGACTCACTTTTCTTCTTTATTTATCCCACAGTGTCAGTCACTAAATTCTATTGATTTTATTTTTTAATTTCAAGAATCCATCCTCATTTTTCTGGTACCAAGATTTTTGTTTTGATTCTTAAAATTACTGATTTGGGTTATGATGATCTCTTATAAGCTACTTCCCTCTTACTTTCAGCCCCCTGACATACTCAACATTGCCCTGAATTATATTTCTAAAATATAAATATGAACTTGTCACTCCTTTTCTTAAAAAATCATTTGAAGACTCCCACTTGTCTTCCAGAAATTTCTAAATTCTTTAGCACATTAGGCAGGACCCTTCATGACATGGTTAATGCCTCCTTTTCCAGCCTCATCTCTCATCACTCCTTCACACATACCATGTGGTCCAGTCATACCAAACCACCTGCAGAGCCTGTAATTTGCCCCACTTCTGCTCTGCTCTTACATGTTGCAGGTTTCTGTGGCTGGCTTACCTCTGCTTCTCATTCTTCTGGCCAACTTTTTCTCTTTGTTAAGCCTCAGCTCAACAGACCAAGTGCAATTGTTTATACCTATAATCCCAGCACTCTGGGAGACCAAGGTGGGAGGATTGCTCGAGGCCAGGCATCGGAGGCCAGCCTAGGTGATAGAGTGAGACCCCTTTTCTACAAAATAACAACAACAACAACAAGACTCAGCTCTCATGCTTTCTCCTATCTCAGATTGAGTTAGACTCCCCTCCTCTGTACTCCATAGCATCCTGTACCTACCTCTAATGGAGCTCTTCTCACATGTTTTATTAGATAATATTTGCTATGTGCAAAAGGGCATGTGAGATGTACATATGCAGATTGTGACCCAGTTTAAGAGTGCAAACTTTCACTTTAGCTTCTATTCATATCTTATTATCTTTTTTTTTTTAACTGGACTTTTTTTTTTCTCTGAAGGGTGGGCGGGATAGGTGGCTGTCATTGGACAAAGGATAATGAGTGAAAAGAGTTTTGGAAGAAATGAGAAGAGATACAGTTTGAATATAGATGTGAGAATTTATCTTTGAAGATGTCATAGGGGAAAGTTTCCCTCTTGTGGCAAGAAGGAAGAAAGGAATGAAGAAAAATATAATGATTAAGAAAAATAAAAGTAATATTTGGGGATTGAAGTTGGGGTGGTCTTTTCTCTTTATCTTGAGATAGGGTCTCACTCTGGGGCACAGGCCGGAGTGCAGTGGTGTGACCTCAGCCCACTGCAGCCTTGACCTCCCAGGCCCAAGTGATCCTCCCACTTCAGCTTCCCATGTAGCTGGGATTACAGGAATGTGCTATCAAGCCCTGCTAATTTTTGTATTTTTGTAGAGACGGTGTTTCACCATGTTGCCCAGGCTGGTCTCTTAACTCCTGAGTTCAAGCAATCTGCGTACCTCAGTCTCCCAAAGTGTTGGGATTATAGGTGTGATGGTCATTTGACTCCTTGTGGGTCCTTAAGAAACCTAAACCCTGCCATGTTGCATTGAAGGAGAAGCTACACTTTCATAAGTGGCACAGGCTGGGTCTTTGTTCTGTTGCTTCACATTATCTGAAGAGATCGCCTTTTCTTTAAAAAAAAATTGTGGTAATATAGACATAACATAGAGTTACCATTTTAACCATTTTTTTATGTATAATTCTGTAGTGTTAAGTACATTCACATCCTGGTGCAACCAATGTTCAGAACTCTTTGCATCTTGCAAACAAAACTGAAATACTATTTCAGTTTTGCAAACAAAACTGAAATCTATTAAACACCAACTCCTTATTTTCCCCTCCCTTAACACCTGGACTACCCTTCTACTCTCTGACTCTGACTATTCCAGATACCTCATATAAATGGAATCATATAGTTTTTCTTTCTTTATTTTACTGACCAATTTCACTTAACATAATGTCCTCCAGGTTTATCCATGTTGTAGCATGTGTCAGAATTTCCTTCCTTTTTAAGGCTAAACAATATTCCATTGTATGTATATACCACATTTTGTTTATCCATTCATCTATTGCTGAACACTTGGGTTGTCTCTACTTTTTGGCTCTTGTGAATAATGTTGCTGTGAACATGGGTGTGCAAATAACTTTTCAAAACCCTGCTTTGAATTCTTTTTTTTTAATTTATAGATATATTTTTATTATATTCTAAGTTCTAGGGTACATGTGCACAATGTGCAGGTTTGTTACATATGTATACATGTGCCATGTTGGTTTGCTGCACCCATTAAATTCTTTTGGATATAAATCCAGAAGTGGAATTGTTGCATCATATGGTAATTCTATTTTTAATATTTTGAAGTACTGCCATACTGTTTTTCATAGAGGACTGCACCATTTTCATTTCCACCAACAGTGCACAGGGTTCAAATTGCTCTATCTCCTTACCAACTTTGTTACTTTCTATTTTTTTGATAATAGTCATCCTAGTGGATGGGAGGTGGGATATCATTGTAGTTTTGATTTGCATTTCTCTAATGATTAGTGATATCGAGCACCTTTTAATGTGCTTTTTGGCTATCTTATCCTTGGGAATCCCCATCTTATCCTTGGGAATACCTTCCAAGACCAGGAATGGATGCCTGAAACCACAGATACTACCAAGCCCTATATGGATTTTGTTTTTTCATGTATATTCATACCAGTGATAAAGTTATAAATTAGGCACAGTAAGAGATTAACAACAATAACTAATAATAGAACAATCATAACAGTATACTGTAGTGAAAGTTATGTGAATGTGCATCCTCTCTTTCTTTCTCAAAATACCTTACTGTGTGTAATATTTTTGAACCGAGGTTGACCGCAGGTAACTGAAACAGTGGAAAGCAGATCTGCAGATAATGGGGTACCACTGTGGTCTCTAGGTGCCTCTGTATTTTCTTTGTCTTTCCTCTGTGAGTCCTCTGTCTTCCTGCTACAATTTGAACTGATCTCTAATCTTGCTACATAGCTGTCATCTTGGGGCTTTTTTTTTTTTTTTTTTTGAGATGGAGTCTTGCTCTGTTGCCCAAGCTGGAGTGCAGTGGCGTGATCTCAGCTCACTCCAACCTCTGCTTCCTGGGTTCAAGCAATTCTCGTGCTTTGGCCTCTCGAGTAGCTGAAATTACAGGGGGATGCTAATTTTTTTTATTTTTAGTAGAGATGGAGTTTCACCATGTTGCCCAGGTTGGTCTCAAACTCCTGACCTCAGGTGACCCACCCCCCTTGGCCTCCCAAAGTGCTGGGATTACAGGTGTGAGCCACAGTGCCCGGCATCCTGGGACTTTTAAAAAGCCATCACCTATGCATTAGTCCGTTTTCACACTGCTATAAAGAAATACCTGAGACTGGGTAATTTATAAAGGAAAGAGGTTTAATTGACTCACAGTTCCACATGGCTGGGAAGGCCTCAGGAAACTTATAATCATGGCAGAAGGCAAAGGGGAAGCAAAGACCTTCTTCACAGAGTAGCAGGAAAGAGAGAGCTAGCAAGAGCAGGGAAAACTGCCTTATAAAACCAGCAGATCTCGTGAGAACTCACTCCCTATCACGAGAACAGCATGCAGGAAACCGCCCCCGTGATTTAGTCACCTCCCACCTGGTCCCTCCCTGAACAAATGGGGGTTCTGGAGATTGTAATTCGAGATGAGATTTGGGTGGAGACACAGAGCCAAATCATATTAACTTATAAATTCATTTTTTTCCTCTTCTGTGTTGGATTTTCTGTTTTCTGAATTTCACATTTTGCTGGAGCACATCTCACAGTAGTTTCCTAAGAAAGATGGGAGATTAATCTTTTTGACTTCTTGTACATCTGAAACTGTCTTTATTCTACACTAGCACTTGACTGACAACTTCCCTTGTCATAAACTTCTAGATCAAAATAGTATTCCCCTAGAATTTTGAAGACATTGCTTTACATGTTGTTTTCTAGTTTTTAGTTGCTTTTGAGAAGTCCGATGATTTTCAAATTTCGATTCATTTGCATATGACCTATTTTTCTTCATCAAAAATTGATCAACTTTTATTCATTCTTCATACTTTGAGTTATAATCTTGATATACCTTAATATGAGTCCTCATTAATTGAGCTGGGAACTTTTTAGTAGGTCCTTTTTATCTGAAGACTCCATGTCTGGGAGATATCCTTTCTCGCTCTCTTTTTTTTTTTTTTTTTGAGAGGGAGTCTTGCTCTGTCGCCCAGGCTGGAGTGCAGTGGCGCGATCTCGGCTCACTGCAAGCTCCGCCTCCCAGGTTCACGCCATTCTCCTGCTTCAGCCTCCGGAGTAGCTGGGACTACAGGCGCCCACCACCATGCCCGACTAATTTTTTTGTATTTTTAGTAGAGACGGGGTTTCACCGTGTTAGCCAGGATGGTCTCTATCTTCTGACCTTGTGATCCGCCCACCTCGGCCTCCTGAAGTGCTGGGATTACAGGCTTGAGCCACCGCGCCCGGCCTTTCTCTTAAAACAATTTCTTGTTTTCTTTGGAATTCCTGTCAGTCAGATATTGAACCTCATGAATTGATTCTCTAATTCTTTTTTTTCTCTCCTATTGGTCATCACTTTTTCTTCTTAATGTATTTCCTGTCAAACTCTCGTACTATTATCTTCCAGCTCTCCTGTTAAAACTTTGTCTATCATTTTACATTTCTAAGATATTTTTCTAATTCTTGATTGTTCCTTTTGAAAAATTGCATCCTCTTCCATTGAAGGATAGATAGCTCTTGTTTGAGGACATAAATTATTTTCGGAAAGTTTTCTTCTGTTTTTTTTCATTGCTTTGTTTAATTCAGGTTTGTTTATTTTGATTTTTCCTTTTCATGTTGAAGCTCACTTCAAATAGCTGGTGTTCCCTGGTGTCCACAGTTAAGAGTGAAGCAGTAAAACATTAATTGAACACTGTATGGATAGGCAGGGCTCGTTGACTAATAATCATCATTGGGTAATCAGGCAGCAAGCTAGCTTTTAAATTTGGGGACTCCCTATCTGTGGATCTTTTCTGTGGAATCATTTAAGTCTTTCCATAGATGAATCCTTTAGTAGTATCTTCCTTGGGCTGGCATATGGGGTGCCTGGCTGCTGGTATTCTAGTAGTTGGCAGGAAAAGGGTAGAGGGATCTTATTCAGTATCTAGACTTTCATTAACACATTTTTTTTTTTAAAAGACAGGGCCTTGCTCTATTGTCCAGGCTGGACTGAAACTCTTGGATTCAAGTTATCTTCCTGTTTCAGCCTCCTGAGTAGCAGGGGCTACAGGCATAAGCCACTACATTGGCTCTCCTGCCTTCTACAGTCAGTTCCCTGGTCTAAGTTTCTTTGGTTTATTTTCTCCAGATAATAAATACTTTATTTGGGAAAGAAAAGTCAACTGATCACATGGGAGCAGGGCCTGGGTTCTACGTACCAATGTTGTAATAGTTCCAGTCTAAATTCCTTCCTTCTCAGGTACCTTAGCAAGATTCTGTGGTGCAAATGAACTTTCATTTGTTTCTTACTGGAATCTCCCTCTTTGGGCATGTAGGCATCACCTTATGTATACTCCTAAGCAGGTGACTGCTTCACTATGGTTTTTGTTTTCAAATATCTTCAGAGTTAGTTTCTGTTCATTTTTGTATTTTGCTCATTCTCTTGCTGTTTTTAGAGTGAACCTCAGAGAGATGAAGAAGGCAGAAAGGTCTTTGCCGCACTGTCTTAAAACTGGAAGTTTAGATATTGACTTTAAAATGGAATATGCAGGAATACCTATGTTTTAATTGTACAAGGTCATTGTTGCATGTTCTCTCAATGTCAGTGATAATATTATTGTGGTATTTTCTTTCAACTAAGAAAATCTAATGCTGCCTTTAAATTTATCTAAAGAATCTTTCTTTTTGATTGACAGGGTGGTGTTGGTATCCAACTATACACAAACCTTGAACATTTTACAAGAAGTATGTAAGCGTCATGGATATGCTTATACAAGACTTGATGGACAAACACCAATCTCTCAAAGGCAGCAGATTGTTGATGGCTTTAACAGTCAACACTCTTCTTTTTTTATTTTTTTGTTAAGTTCAAAAGCTGGTGGTGTAGGACTTAACCTCATTGGAGGATCTCACTTAATTCTCTATGACATTGATTGGAATCCAGCCACTGACATTCAGGTAGGAATATTTATGCATTAAATAGATATTATTGAATGCCTGAGGATACAATGCCTATTGAGGATACAAAGATAATGATGATATATAATATCCACTGCATAAAGAGCCCTTATTTTGCGTGAGGCACTCTCCTAAGTGCTTTCCATCTGTTTAATCCTCCTAACAAGCCTACAAGGATGGATATTAGTAGTCCCATTTTACAGATGAAGATATAGAAGCTTGTTCTAGATCCCACAGCTTGTAAGATGCAGAGCCAGGATTCAGACCTAAACCTGTATGTCTCCAGGTTCTAGTTTACTGCAGAGTTGGCCTTTAGGGTGTTCATGACCATCAGGTGAAGACAATAAAGTTACAGATGCTATGATTAGTGTTTATGCAGGCTATAGTAAGGGTATAAAAGTAACATATTTAGGAAAATGTTTGAGAAGCCTTTGGTTTTCTTTAGAGTACAGCCCATCTTTTTGTATCTTGAGTTTTCTACCTGTAGGTTTGCACCTCAGTTGGTATGTGCATTGGGGGATCCCAAGACAACCCTCAGGTTTAATGATTCACTAGAAGGACTCAACTGAGAAAAGCAGCTATACTCACAGTTATGTTACATTATAGTAAAGAATACTCAAAGCGGTAAGGAAAAGGTACTGAGTCCAGGGCAGAGTCCAAGAGAGACCAGGCACAAGCTTCCAGTTGTTCTCTGCCAGTGGAGTTTTATGGACAACACTTAATTCTGTCGGCATTGGTGAGTGACAGTGCATATAGAATATTGTCCACCAGGGAAGTTCATCCACGTCTTGGTGTCCAGAATTTTGTTTGGGGTCAGTTCTGTAGTCATGGAACACCTGCATGACTGACCTTAGTTAATCAGTCTTTAGCCTCCAGAAATCAAACTACATGATCCAAGGCCCCACCATATAACATTGTTAGCATAAACTATCTGGTGTGGCCCAAGTGTCTGGTAAACAGACACTCATATCAGGCAGGACATTCCAAAGGCCTAGAGATGATCTCTTAGAAGTTGGTTGAAGGCCAGATTTTTATTTGAAATGTGCAGGGTTTGAACATCAACACTTTAATGCACAGTATCATTGATAAATCTTTAAACCACAGGGATCCACCTAGAGCCTTAGCTGATTACATGTATCCTAGGTAGTTCTCAGGGGCAAATCTTTAGCTATTTGGACTGAGAATGAACCTCCAAGCCCATGCTACACTTGGTTCTTTCCATTCTTGCTGTCCATACTCACTGTCCCATTGATGAAGATCTATTCTCTCACTCTTGCATGATACTCTTGTAGTTATTTTACAGTACCATAGTAAGTGTTCACTCATCCCTTTCTTTCTGCCAAGAAAAAGCTATGAAGTAGGGCATGCTTCACACACCTGAGATTTGTTTTCTGAAGCTGTATGTAAAATATAGAATTCCGAATTTTAAAACATATTTCTGCAAATTGCATGTGTGGAAGGGGCCATTAGTTTCTACTGTACTCTCAGAATTCTCACTTATTTTCTATAGGCAATGTCTAGAGTATGGAGAGATGGTCAGAAATATCCTGTACATATTTACAGACTCCTAACTACAGGTAACAACCCTTCAGTGTGACAAAAATGTATACTCTTTGAATAATTAAAATTATTTTTTGTTAGCCTGTGCTTCAGTGTCAGGAATATATTGTTATTTTATTAACTAGTATGTTACTAAACATTATACCCAACAAAAATAATGAACATAAAGATCTGAAGGAAATCTAATTAATGTTTTCTCTTTAGGTACAATAGAAGAAAAGATCTATCAAAGGCAGATCAGTAAGCAAGGTCTTTGTGGGGCAGTTGTCGACCTCACCAAGACATCTGAACATATTCAGTTTTCAGTAGAAGAACTTAAAAATTTGTTCACATTACATGAAAGTTCAGATTGTGTTACTCATGATCTGCTTGACTGTGAGTGTACAGGAGAAGAAGTTCATACAGGTTAGTTATATTTTAATTCTGTTACTATGTAGTAAAGTTAATTTATTTCTTGTTAGCAGTTGAAAATATTTAAAGAATAACTTTATAATATTTACCATTTGCATATGTTAGTTTTATTTTTTTCTCAGCTCATAGGGCAGCTGCCAGATAGAGATATTTGAGAAAATATTCAGTAGAATCTTTTTTTTTTTTTTTTTTTTTTTTGAGACGGAGTCTCGCTCTGTCGCCCAGGCTGGAGTGCAGTGGCGCGATCTCGGCTCACTGCAAGCTCCGCCTCCCGGGTTCACGCCATTCTCCTGCCTCAGCCTCCCGAGTAGCTGGGACTACAGGCGCCCGCTACCACGCCCGGCTAATTTTTTGTATTTTTAGTAGAGACGGGGTTTCACCGTGTTAGCCAGGATGGTCTCGATCTCCTGACCTCGTGATCCGCCCGCCTCGGCCTCCCAAAGTGCTGGGATTACAGGCGTGAGCCACCGCGCCCGGCCCAGTAGACTCTTATTCTCTGAATTTTAGCTTTTTATTTCTGAATCACTTGTGAAAAATTGAACTTATTTAGGAAAATCTTTCAAGTCCTGGTGTAATGGCTTTGGAGTTAGAGTTTTTTTTTTTTTTTTTTTTTTTTTTTTTTTTTTTTCCAAGACAGGGTCTGGCTCTGTTGCTCTGTTGCCCAGGCTGGAGTGCAGTGGTGCAATCATGGCTCACTGCAACCTCCGCCTCCTGGGTTCAAGCAGTCTTCCAGCTTCAGCCTCCTGAGTAGCTGGGACTACAGGTGTGCACCACCACACCTGGCTAATTTTTGTATTTTTTGTAGAGACGAGATTTCTTCATGTTGCCCACACTGGTCTCGAACTCCTGGGCTCCAGCGATCTGCCCGCCTCAGCCTCTCAAAGTGCTGGGATTACAGGTGTGAGCCACCGCATCCAGCCAGAAAAATGGTTTTAATCCCTATTTCTCTTTCGCAAAAAAACATACAGTTGACAGAATAATCCTGTTGTTTATGTTGTACAGAATTTATTCATAATGGGGTCATATTTTCTGAGGCACTTAGAAGCATAGGTCACCATACTTCTCAGTACTTGATGTAAGTGCTAGTGCTGCTTAAGTAAAGCTGAAAATTTACCCTCCAGAATAGACACCATTCAAAAAGGAACTAGATCAGGAGTAGGACTTGAGCAATCAATGTCTAGTAGCTGAAAGTTACTTGATGAATTATATTAAGATAGGTTGAAGAAGTTAGACTATATAAGACTGAGATGGAAGAATTTAGATTTTATATAAACATAAATATATTTTATATAAATGTTTCTCTTCTATGGAAATGTTTCTTTATATAAATGTTTCTCTTTAGGTACAATAGAAGCTTATTAGTTTATTAGTTATTTGTCATATAAATTATATATGATTATATTTATTAGTTATATGTCATATATAAATATATAACTAATAACTAAATATAATAAATATAATCATGCACAATATATAATTATAACAATATATAATATTTATGGTAGTTAAAATATGTATATATTTTTATTTTTTAGTGGGTAGAATTTAAACTTCATAGAAATGTTTTCAGATTTTCTTCATAGCCATTTTGGTAATTAAAAATATTAATTAACACTTTATCCTCCCTATTAAATTTTTTCCTGTTTTAATAATTTCTCTTCTTTTCTCCTTTTTCCTTGTATTTACTCTAATGTTCTTTTTCCAATATTTAAGTTTAATACTTAGCTTAATGATTTTTCAGTCTTCTTTTCAAAGAAGTGGATATTTAAGACTATACATTTTCCTCTAAGCTGCCCATAATTTTGATATACAGTCTTTCATTATTCAGTTCTAAATATTTTGTTTTTTCATTATGATTTCTTCTTTGTCTCATGAGTTATTTAAAAGTATGTTTTAAAATGTATTTTAGTTTTTGTTACTGAACTCTGGCTAATGCTCTGTAGTCAGAAATAGAACTACATGATATGGATTCTTTGGTAATTATAGAGACTTGGGGTATGGTCTAGTGTGTGGTCATTTTTTGTAAATGTTTGTTTTGTGCATGGAAATCGTGTATATCCTCTTAATTGCCTAGTGTAGAATTCTGTCATATTAGCCAGATTTTGTTATGTAATCCATTTTTTCTTTTATAGATTTCAAAAATGACTAATTTAACTTTTGAATCGGTAATATATTTACATGACTCAATTATTTAAAAATATAAAATGTACATGGTGAAAACTCTTCCTCCTACTCTACCTCCTACTCTACCTCCTACTCTACCCTTATCTCCCTAATTTCTAGCCTTCTACATCAAAAGAAACCACCACTATTAGTTTTTTTGTGTATCCTTCCAGATATATATGTATGCATATATAAGCCACTCTAGATATATATTCTTGCCCAGTTTTCCTCCCAATAAATTATAGCATATTATATTTCTGTACCTTTTTCACTCAGTAGCGTATCTTGAGATCTTTCCGTATTGTTACAGAGTTTCCTCATTCTTTTTCTTCCTCAGCTGTATAATCTTCCAGTGTATAGATATATCATAATTTATCCCCCACTATATTAGTCTGTTTTCACGCTGCTGATAAAGGCATACCTGAGACTGGGCGATTTACAAAAAAAAGAAGTTTAATTAGACTCACAGTTCCACATAGCTGGGGAGGCCTCACATTAATGGCAGAAGGCAAGGAGGAGCAAATCAGATCTTACATGGATGGTGGCAGGCAAAAAGAGAGCTTGTGCAGGGCAATTCCCATTTTTAAAACCATCAGATCTCGTGAGACCCATTCATTATCACAAGAACAGCACAGGAAAGACCTGCCCCCATGATTCAATCATCTCCCACCGGGTCCTTCCCACAACACGTGGGAAATATGGGAGCTGCAAGATGAGATTTGGGTGGGGACACTGCCAAACCATATCATCCATAGATGTACAATTAGGTTATTTCCCATAAGTGTGTATTTTATTCATGTATCATTTTGAATATCTTCAAGTATACCTATAAGGTAAATTTTTAGTATTGCTGAGTCAGAGAATGTGTACATTTGTAATTTTGATAGATATTGCCAAAATGCCCTTTGTTGGATGTTGTGTCAATTTACACACTCCCAGAAATACACTAGAATGTCTATTTTCCCATAGCCTTGCCAGTTTAGTGGATTATCAAATGTTTGTATATTTGCCAATCTGATAGTAAGAAAATAATATATTGGTATAGTTTTAATTTGCTATTCTCTTATTACGAATGAAGTTGAGCATTTTCCTAAGTTTAAAAACCATAGTTCTTTATGTGAACCATCTCTTCATATTGTTTGCCCATTTAAAACATTAACAACCTAATTTTTTGTTAGATATATCTATTATTCAAATAAATATATTAAAATATGAAACTGTGACAGTGGATTAGAGAAAATTGTTATTTTGTCATTTTCTGCTTCATATATTTTATATCTTCCTTGTGAAATATTTTTTTCATTATGGTTTCTCTATTTTATTGTTATGTAGTGATCGCCTTATCCCGAATGCCTTTTGCTTTCATTTTGTCTTAACATATTACACTAGTTTTCTTATCATTAGGGTTTGTCTGGTCTATCTTTTCCCATCTGTTTACCTTAAATTTCTCTGTGTTCTTATGTTTTAGGTATCTCTTGTCAATAGCATAAAGCTGGGTTTTATTTTTTGTCCAGTCTAATATTTTGTTTCAGTGAGAACATTTAGTTTGTTTGCATTTATCATTATTAAGGTATTTTTATTTATTTCTACTGTCTTTTCATTTTTTAACGAGGGCCTAATACTGGCGAACTCTTGGTTAGCCAGAGGTTTTTTGGTTAGTACTTTGCAGGTATTATTCTATTGTCTTCTAATTTTGGAAGCAATCTTGTCATCTCTTTTCTTTTTTTTTTTTGAGACGGAGTCTTGCTCTGTCACCCAGGCTAGTGTGCAGTGGCGCTATCTCGGCTCACTGCCAGCTCCGCCTCCCGGGTTAACGCCATTCTCCTGCCTCAGCCTCCCGAGTAGCTGGGACTACAGGCGCCTGCCACCACGTCTGGCTAATTTTTTGTGTTTTTAGTAGAGACGGGGTTACACTGTGTTAGCCAGGATGGTCTCGATCACCTGACCTCGTGATCTGCCCGCCTTGGCCTCCCGAAGTGCTGGGATTACAGGCGTGAGCCACTGCGCCCGGCCTTGTCATCTCTTTTCTTAAAACCTCAATGATTATGAACACTGACAAGAATTTGATGATATTAAGGAATGACTTGAGGCTTTTCTTTTAGGTGTGATAAAATTTCAAAGAAGTGTTTATCTTTTAGAAATGTAGAATGAAATATTTATAAGTGAAATGATACATGCTATATATTTATTATATTTATTTGAAATTTCCCATAATTAAAAGGTTAAAAAAATAAAACCTCCAATAGCTTCCTATTGCTCTTAGGATAGATACTAAAATCTCTAAATTGATAAGTTAGTCAGGGCAGTCTAATTGCTGTAACAAGAAACTAAAAAAGCACAATGGTCTAACACAATAGAAATATGTTTCTCATTTGTGTAACAGGTCATTGTGGGCATTTAGTGGACAGCCTTTCATAAGGTAATTTCGTGATCCAGGGTTCTTTCACTTGGAGCTCTTCCATCCATTTGGACCTTAGAGTCCTCTGCTGGGATACCCTGCATCTGCCAGCCAGCAGTGAGAGAAGAGATAAAGTAGAAAATTGTTCAGTTTGAAGGATGTTTATAGTTCAGACCTGGAAGTGACATAGCTGCATTCCATAAGGCCAGACTCAGTGGCAATATCTAACCGTAAGGGAGGCTGGAAAAGGTGACTAAGTGCCCTGGAGGAAAGAGAAATGGATTTGGTGAATAACGGCTGGCCTCTGCCATTCATGTTTTGCATAATCCAGCCCTTGAATACTTGCTTCACTGTGCATTACTTAACTTCTTTTGCATTATTCTTTGCTTTTACTCTATAGGCTTTAATTGCATAGGCTCGTATCAATTGCTCGACTATGCCAGTGTCCCTTCCTTTTCATAGCTTTTTAATGTGCTTATCATGGAATGCTTTATCTTTTTTCCCCATCTAGTTCTTTTCTCATCTTTCAGATCTTAATAGAACATTTCCTCAGGGTGCCCTTCACTTACCTTCCGGACCAAGTCAGCCTCTCTTGTCATATGTAAGATAGTTCCCTGTATCTTTCCTTCATACCCTTACCTCTGTTTGTAATTCAGCTCCACAGTCCCTTATCTTCAATTCTGAAATCTAGAAAGCTCAAAAGGTTTTTTTTTCTTCATAAATTTGTGACAAAATTATTTGTGGCAAAACCTTACCTAAATTGATGTGAGTTTATCAATAGTCTTTATTTAACCCATTTTGTAAGACTATTTATGACTTGCTACAGAATGTTAATGAGTTTCATTATGGAATGCTGACCCAGATTGTTCGAATTATATTCTGAATTTGTAAACGTGGCCCCACAGGTTTTAGGAAAGGGATTTTGAATTTGTAATACATTTTTCAGATGATTATTTATTTAATGTATATCTCTCCCACTAGACTGTAAGGTCCTTGAAGTCAGAGACCATGCCTGTGTTTCTTCATCATTTTACCTTTGCTGTTTAAATCAGTACATAGTAAATAACTTATAAATGTTTGTAAAAAGAATGAATTTGTTTTAACTTGAACCATGGTGATCAAATGTAATAAATCACATAAACTAATTATCATAAAACAAAAAAGTATTGTATTTAGCAGGATATTGGCTTGCCTAAGGATTTTCTCATTGTTTTACTTATTACAGGTGATTCGTTGGAAAAATTCATTGTCTCTAGAGATTGTCAGCTTGGTCCACATCACCAGAAATCTAACTCCCTGAAACCTCTTTCTATGTCCCAGCTGAAGCAATGGAAACATTTTTCTGGAGATCATTTAAATCTTACAGATCCTTTTCTTGAAAGAATAACAGAAAATGTGTCATTCATTTTTCAGAATATAACCACTCAAGCTACTGGCACATAGTGAAAGATTACTTCTGACATTCCATTGCTCTTCTTTTGAAAATTAGTATGGTAATTAAATGTACTTTTTGAAAATTAATAGAATTATTTAAATTACAGTATATGTTGCAAAATATATCACTTTTGATACAATAGTCAAAATTGAGTGGTTTAATGTTTTGTAAATATTAAGTGTTTAAATGAAAAATAAAGATGTGCTTATATCATTGTATAATTGTTAATAATTCCTTGATTAATACACTTTCATTAAGTATCTACTGAGAAATTTTTATAAGGAATATAAAAAGGTAAAATACTCTCTGTCTTTGGGAAAACTAATCTGATTAGAAATATTAGACAGATGTTTGAAACAACTGAAAAACTTGGTAAGTTTAAAATGTAGCTCAAAGGAGAAAGAGAATGAGAGGTTAGGATCGCAAATGCTAAAGATGTTGGATGTAATAGTTGCTGCAGGGCAGTTTGAGTGAGAAAAGTCAATGGGTTAGTGCAGGAGTTGAAGGATTTGGGAACACTTGAGAGCACTAGTTCCTAGTTTGGGACCTCAGACTTATGCAGTCTATAAAGCCATGTCTACCAAATATTGTTTATGCACTGAACAAAGGTTCAGCTACCATCATTTAAGGGTTATCTGGAGTAATTTTTGGCATTGAAAAGAGTGTTTTAGCTGTGCGCAGTGGCTCCAGTTTGTAATCCTAGTTACCTAGTAGGTAGAGGCAGGAGGATTGCTTGAGGCCAATAGTTTGAGACTAACCTGAGCAACACAGTGAGACCCTGACTCTAAAAAACAAACTTAGCCAGATATGGTGGCACATGCCTGTAGTTCCAGCTACGTGGGAGGCTGAGGTAGAAGGATTGCTTGAGCCTAGGAGTTTGAGTTTGCAGTGAACTATGATTGGATATGATCCAATATCCATCCTGGGTGACAGAGCAAGACCCCATCTTAAAAAAAAAAAAAAAAGGTTTTAATATACAAAGCAACCTTTAGAAGACTGAAGCCTGCAAAGAGAAAGGAGTTACTAATTTAATTTCCAAATGGGGCTTCTGTAATCAGCTTTTGTTTCCATTTAGGAAAATTTCTTTTAGACAGAAAATACAGGCATACCCTGGAGATATTGCAGGTTTGGCTACAGACCACTGCAATAAAATGAATATCACAATAAAGTAAGTAACACATATTTTTGGTTTCCCAGTGCATATGAAAGTTATGTTTATACTATACTGTAGTCTATTAAGTATGCAATAGCATCATGTCTGAAAAATGATGTATTTTCCTTAATTTAAAAATAATTTGCTAGAAAATGCTAATGGTCATCTGAGACTTTAGTGAGTTGATGCCTTTTTTTTTTTTTTTTTTTTTGAGACGGAGTCTTGCTCTGTCACCCAGGCTGGAGTGCAGTGGCATGATCTTGGCTCACTGCAACCTCTCCCTCCTGGGTTCAAGCAATTCTTCTTGCCTCAGCCTCCCGAGTAGCTGGGATTACAGGCATCCGCCACTGTGCCCAGCTAATTTTTGTATTTTTAGTGGAGACAGGGTTTTGCCATGTTGGTTAGGCTGGTCTTGAACTCCTGAGTTCAGGTGATCCACCTGCCTTGGCCTCCCAAAGTGCTGGGATTACAGGCATGAGCCACCATGCCCGGCCTGTTATCTTTTTGCTGGTAGAGGGTCTTATACTGATGTCAATGACTGCTGACTGATCAGGAACCTGGTGAAGGTTGCTGAGGGTTGGGGTGGCTGTGACAATTTCTGAAAACAAGACAGCAACGTTTGCCACATCAATTGACTCTTCCTTTCACAAAAGCTTTCTCTGTAGCGTGCGATGCTATTTGATAGTATTTTTCCCACAGTAAAAACTCTTTCAAAATTGGAGCCAGTCCTCTTGAAACCTGTCACTGGTTTATCAACTAAGTTTATGGAATAGTCTAAATCATTTGTGGTAATTTCAACAATGTTCACAGCACCTTCACCAGGAGTAGATTCCATCTGAAGAAACTACTTTCTTTGCTCCCCCATAAGAAGTAACTCCTCATCTGCTCAAGTTTGGTCATGAGATTGCAGCAATTCAGTCAAATCTTCAGGCTCCACTTCTAATTCTAGTTCTCTTGCTGATTCCACCACATTTACAGTTACTTCCTCCACTGAAATCTTGAACTCCTCAAAGTCAATTATGAGGATTGGAATTAACTTCTTCCAAACTCCTGTTAATGTTGTTATATTGACATCCTCCCATGAATTGCAAATGGTGGATCTTTTCCAGAAGGTCTTCCATTGATTTTGCTCAGATCCATCAGAGGAATCACTGTCTATATGGTCATAGCTAGCTTTACACAATGCAATCCTTATATAATATGACTTGAAAGTCGAAATTACTGCTTAACCCATGTACTGCAAAATGGATGTTGTGTTAACAGGCATGAAAACAACATTGATCTCCTTGTACATCTCCATCAGAGCCATTGGATTACTAGGTGCTTTGTCAATAAACAGTAATATTTTAAAAGAAATCTTTCATTCTGAGCAGTAGGTTGCAACTGTGAGCTTAAAATATTCAGTAACCCAGGCTTTGTTGTTTCATTTCTAGAGCACAGGCAAGTAGATTTAGCATAATTCTTAAGAGCCCTGGGATTTTTGGAAGGTGGTTTCAACTTAAAGCTACCAGCTGCATTAGTCCCAAACAGAGCCAGCCTGTCCTTTAAAGCTTTGATGTCAGACATTGACTTATCTTCTCTAGCTATGAAAGTCCTAGCTGGCATCGTCTTTCAATAGCAGGCTGTTTCTTCTACATTGAAAATCTGTTGTTTAGTGTAGCCACCTTCATCAATGATCTTAGCTAGATCTTCTGGATAACTTGCTGCAGCTTATCCATCAGCACTTGCTGTTCACCTTACACTTATATGATGTGGAGACAGCTTCTTTCCTTAAATATTATGCTAGCTTCAAACTCTTCTGCAGCCTCCTCACCTCTCTCAGCCTTCATGGAACTGAAGAGATTTAGGGCCTTGCTCTGGATTAGGCTTTGGGAATATTGTGCCTGGTTTGAACTTCTTTCCAGGCCATTAACACTTTCTCCATATCAGCAATAAAGCTGCTTCACTTACCATTTGTGTGTTCCCTTGTAATTTCCTTTAAGAGCTTTTTCTTTGCATTCAGAACTTGGCTAACTAATGCAAGAGTCCTAGCTTCCAGCCTGTCTTGGCTTTCAACATGCCTTCCTCACTAAGCTTAATTCTGTCTAGCTTTTGACTTAAGGTGAAAAATATATGACTTTTCCTTTCACTTGAACACTTAGTGGCCATTGCAGGATTATTAATTAGCCGAATTTCAGTATCGTTATGTCTCAGGGAATAGGGAGGCCCAAGGAGAGGGAGAGAGATGGGGTAACCAACAGTTGGTGGAGCAGTCAGAACACACACAACATTTATTGATTAAGATTGCTATCTTACATGGGCATAAGTTATGGTACATCAAAACAGTTACAATAGTAACATCAAAGATCACTGATTACAGATAACCCTAACATATAATAATGTAAAAGTTTGAAATATTGCAAGAATTACTAAAATGTGACACAGACATGAAGTGAGCATGTTTTGGGGAAAAGTGTCACTCATTTGCTTGATGCAGGGTTGTCAGAAACCTTCAATTTAAAAAAATCACAATATCTGGGAAGCACAACAAAATGGGGTATACCTGTATTGTCTTGAGGTGTTAAATACTCAGTTATGTATAATCAAGGATGAATTCTTTTAATTTGTTAGTGCCATACCTGGGTAGCTAGCTGTACATCTAGGATTCATGAACAGGCAGTTTGGGACCAAATTCGTCAGTGAGGAAGTAGCCAACTAGTAATAAGTAAAAATGGTATTTCTTGGCCCCATGTATATAGACTTCATGCATGAGGCTTTATATACAACTTTTTTTTTTTTTTAAGAGATAGGGTCTCACTATGTTGCTGGACTGAACTAAACTTTCAATATCTATCTTGCATCGTATCCTTTTCAGGCATAAAGTACTTAAAAAACATTGATAAAGGGCAGGTAATTCTGCCTGTCTTTTTAAACAAAAATTTATGTATGTATGTATGTATGTATGTATGTATGTATGTATGTATTTATTTTATTCACATAGTTCCAGCCACTCTGCAACTGCTGCCTGTCTTAACTGTGGTGTATGCAAGGGTGTGCTGCCCAGATTGCCCCTTTCAGAACCAAGGCGCTTGTTTCTCCAGCTGCCAGAAGCATCACCTGTGGGCCACTTATAGCCAAATTCTTCCCCAAGAATAGCCCTCAGCTGAGAGGATCTGCCTCACCCAAGATTATGCTCCTCCCCTGGTTGGCCAACATTTGAGACTGGTGGATGCTGGGTAGAAAGGCCCAGCACCCTTATCTCAATTCAAGACAAATCTGTCAAAAGGAACATTTCAGCTCCTTAGGTAAGGGTGCTGGGCCCTGTTTTTATAGTGGATACCTATTGTTCTTCATAAAGTTGTTTGTTTGCCAAGTAGTGTGGGAAGTAACCTTCCATCCATTTCTCTGCCTCACTCTGAAATCTTCCAGTATCCTGCATGAGAGTGATTTTGCAGTAGAAATTTCAGAAGAGGCTGAATTTCATGGGAGAACCCATGTGACATGGAATAAAGGTAGCATATGTGGCATGGGATCTCAGAGGCTGAGAAGTACAGAAGATAGCCCTCTGGGAATTGATGAAGACTTTGGACTTTGACAAGCCAGGCATTTGTGGGGGTATAGACTCATTTTATCCACATGTTAAGGGACCTTAACACCTGGTTTGCACGTATAAAGCAGCTTTTGCGTGAGAGGTGCTGTTTATAAGAATTTTCCCTTTCTCTATGTTCCCAGTCCATATGCTCATGTGGTCGCATGCTCTCCCTCTCTCTCTTGGTGGACTCCTTTGAGGATGGGGATTTAATCTTACTTACCCTAATATTCTCAGGACCTTGTATGGGACCTGGCATAGAATAGCTATTTAGTAATTGAATGAATGAATGAGGTACTTTACCTCTTTTACTTCTTTAACCACCTTGATCATGTTTCTTGCTCATAGATCTCAGTTTCAAGGTATTTATTTACGCCAACTGCTGAGCATGGAGCTGTGCTCAACACTGAAGAAAGCAGAGGCAGCAGTTTCTTCTTGCCTCTGACAGCATCCAGACTTCCCTTTTTGTTATTGCGATCTGTCAATCTGCTGCATGAGCTGACAGAAGCTGTCACTGCAATGGGTAATAATTTAAGTCACATACATAATTCATTTCTAATTACACAAATACACCTTTCACACAGCTTTATGTCATAATGTTCTGGTTCTAAACGACAATGCAAATACATTTCAGTCACGTTTTCATTAGGATTGAATTACTAAAGCTGAATTTAAACATGAGCAGCTCTGATCTGCAGAACTAAACTCCTAGACAGCCTATCCATCCATTTAAAAGGGTGTATGACAAAGGAGCAAGTGAAAAAAATCTGGCTGGCATTTCATTTGAGTGGCTCAATTATGGCCTACAGTCACATTGCCTGAGCAACTGTGTCCTAATATTATGTGGCAAGATTAAAATTTTGACTGTGACTCACAGCAAACAATATGTATAATTAGCTTATGGCTTTGTTTTTCTGAATTGTTCCCAAATTAATATATTGTATCCTAGAGGGATTTGTAGATATGCTATTTTGGTATTCAAGGAAGGCTTCAACATGACTTGATAGAAAGGGATATTATTTTGTCTTACCTTGTATGATAAAAACATGTTTTTGGTTTAGACCAGTTTCCTGTGGCACTTTTCTATAGCTAACCTGTGATCTTTGCTTCAAACCATTACAAATTTCTATCCCTAAGATACTGTGTTCACAAAACCAATACCAATTCAGAATACAGCTTTTATGATGTAAAAACTGTAAAAAAAAAAAAAGTACCTTATTGACAGACAATAGTTTATTGGAATTTGTTACACTTACTTGAAAACCTGAAGTGTTCAGTGTGATTTAATCTTTACAATTTTTTTAGATTTATTAAAAATTATTTTTTGTGAGTAAGAAGATAATAAAATTCCAAAGTAGACCAAAATTAACAATTCCTTTATTTTTATTTTTTGAGGAAATGTCAACAAAATACTGAAGACTTTTTTTGAGTAGTTAAAAAAAATATAACATCATAAATGTCTACAGCATAAATTCTGGCCGGGCACGGTGGCTCACACCTGTAATCCCAGCACTTTGGGAGCCGAGGTGGGCAGATCACAAGGTCAAGAGATCGAGACCATCCTGGCCAACATGGTGAAACCCCATCTCTACTAAAAATACAAAAATTAGCTGGACGTGGTGGCACGTGCCTGTAGTCCCAGCTACTTGGGAGGCTGAGGCAGGAGAATCGCTTGAACCCGGGAGGCAGAGGTTGCAGTGAGCCGAGATTGTGCCACTGCACTCCAGCCTGGGCTACAGAGCAAGACTCTGTTTAAAAAAAAAAAAAAAAATCCTTTGTACCTGCAATGTATTTATTTTCACGTATTCCTTTTTTTTTTTGAAGTAGAGATGGGATCGTGCTGTGTTGCCTAGGTTGGTCTCAAACTCCTGCCTCTGC
The DNA here is from genome assembly GCF_000001405.40 of Homo sapiens. NCBI lineage: Eukaryota > Metazoa > Chordata > Mammalia > Primates > Hominidae > Homo > Homo sapiens. The sequence continues at coordinate 94,365,578 of NC_000008.11, read as the reverse complement.
CTCCCAAAATATTGGTATTACAGGTGTGAGCCACTGTACCCATTCCCTGTTTTATTATTAAAAATTTCATCTCTGGAGGTATGCATAGTTTATATAGTAATTATAGATCAAGTTAGAATTTGAAATTGGGAGTTAAAATCCTTCCTGAGTATTTATTTCTGGATGTGTCTGCGAGAGTGTTTCTAGAAGAGACTAGCCTTTACCTATAGAAGAGATTTGCTTTATCAACATTGGTTTGTATCATCCAATCTTTTGAGGACCTGAATAGAGCGAAAAGGCAGGGAGGGTAAATTTACTTTCTGTTTGAGCTGGAACATCCATCTTCTCCTACCCTCTGACATCGGAGCTCCTAGTTCTCAGGCCTTTGAACTCAGACTGGGACTTACACTATCACCCGTGTCTTTGTCCATTTGAGGTGCTATAGCAAAATACCATAAACTGGATAGCTCATAAACAACAGAAATTTGTTTCTTACAGTTCTGGAGCGGGGGTAGTCCACGAACAAGGCACCAGCAGAGCCAGTGTCTGGTGAGGGCCTGCTCTCTGTTTCATAGATAGCACTGTGTAGCTGTTACCTCACATGGTGGAAGGGACAAGGAGTCTCTCTTGGGCCTCTTTTATAAAGGCATTAATTCCATTCATGAGGACTCTGCCCTCATGACCTGATCACCTCCCCAAGACCCCACCTCCTAATATCACATTGGTAATATGGTTTCAACATGAATTTGGGAAGGACACAAACATTCAGACTATAGCAACCCCTTATCCCCTTCTCAGGCCTTCAGACTCAGACTGGGACAGCAGATTTTGGGACTTCTTGCCTTCTATAATTATGCGAGTCTATTCCCATAATAACTCTCTATATATCTATTTATCTCTGGACAATTCTGACCAATACAGATGTATACCATTGTTTAGCATCTGAATGGAACAAAATTACAACTGCTACATTTGTTTAAAGAAAATCTATAGGAATGTCAATCTAATGCTTCTGTCTCTTACATAAATATAATGATGCTAAGTAAAAGTTTAGTATTTATAAACCTCTGTTTATTATGTATGCAGTATAGCCATTATGGACTAATATAAATAAATGAGATAAGATAGGATCAATGATTTTCTGAAGCAGACCAAAATGAACACGTGAAAATCAGGTGCTTGAAACATGTGATAATCTACATTTATTTAGCTCTTTACAGATAAGTGGTTTGCTCCTCACAACAATGCTGAGAGTTGAACAGAGCAAATACTCTATTATCTCCGTTTTATAGATTTAAGGCTTACAGAGATTAAATAATTATTCAAGATCATTCAGTGACAGAGCTGAAACTTGAACACCAGCCCCTCTTTTAACTCAAAATCTGAAGCTCTTTCCAGTGCACTGTCCTGCCTTTTCTATGATTTCACCATGCCAGGTTCCTGAGACAGATGTATATGTGAGAAGAAAAATGAACTAATGTGAGTGTTTCATATCATGTTCTCTTTTCAAGTGAATTAATTAAAGAATTGGGTTTTGGATTAGGGTGTGTGAATTTCATGAGATCTGAATCTTATGTTTATCCTTTCACAGAACAATAGACATGGTATTTTACAATTGAAGCAGTTGATTTGATTGACCACCCTTTCTGCTCAGATTGCTCAAACTGACAACTCACAAGACAAAAACACAAGGTCACAAGACACTGTGGGCTGCATCCAGCTTTAGGTTTACTTATCTTTAAGAAAGCATACACAGCAGGCAACGAGAAAGCATGGATTGCAAAAGCAGAGTGGAACTCTTATGAGTCCAGGCTAGGCTTCCAAATGTCTCAGTCTCTCTGTACCGAGGATACATGTGGTCATGTGAGACAAGACTGAGTGTGTGTAGAAAACCACCATTAGTGGGAGCCATCAGCTCTGGGATTCCTTCAGCTTTCATACTTTGTTAAGGTGGGAAACAAAAAGTACATATGGAGGTCAAAATATCCCTTTCATTTTTGGTAATAGCTTACTTGATTGGCTTGGCTTTACATCTGTTACCCAAGTGGGTTGTTAATACTGAGCTCTGTCCTACCCATGAGGAAATGTTTCCCAGGTAAGCTTCAGGGTTCGGAGGCACAGAAGAAGCTTGTGTTTTTTGTTTTCTTATTGTTGCTATTTTTGAGATAGGATCTTGCTGTGTTGCCCCGGCTGGAGTTCAGTGGCACTATCGTAGCTCACTGCAGCCTCGAACTTCTAGGCTCAAGCTATCTTCCCACCTTAGTCTCCCTAGTAGCTGGGACAATAGGCATGTGCCACAATGCTTGACTAATTTTATTTTATTTTTTGTAGAGACAGGGTCTCGCTATCTTTCCAGGGCTGGTCTTGAACTCCTAGCCTCAAGCAGTCCAGCCACCTTGGTGTCCCAGAATGCTGGGATTACAGCCAAAAATCACTGCACCCTGCCTTGAGAGCTTGTGTTTTCTACACGCAAACTCATTTCCAGGAGGAAGAAGGTGGAGATATTTCCATTTTTTTTTTTTGCAGTTTTTTTAAATTGAGGTAAAATTCACATATTATAAATCATAATTAAAAATAATTTATTGAGGTGAAGTTTATATGGCATAAAATTGATTATTTTAAAGTGTACAATTCAGTAGAATTTAGTACATTCACAGTGTTGTTTAGCCATCACCACTGTCTTATTCCAGAACATTTTCATCACCCCCAAAAGAAACCCCATACCTGTAAGCATTTACTCCTAGTTCTAGGATGAACTGTGACCATTGTGGTCCCTTTCATCTTCTGCTCTAAAACAGCAGCAAGGGAAGGAGGGTAACTGAACTTTTGAGGTTCTTTAGAGGTTGTTCCTCAGGGCCATGAAAGTAGGGTTGGGATGGGGAGTGACAGTGCACTGAGCAAGGTTCTAGTGGGTCCTTTATCCCACCTGCTGGTTGTCAACAAAGGGTTCCAGTGACTTCTACTGCAGGCCTATTTTAACTTTCCATTTGTATTAGGGTTCTTCAGAGAAACAGAAACAATATGAGATCTCTCTCTATATATCTATATCTCTCTATATCTATCTCTATACATCTATCTGTCTGTCTGTCTATCTATATATATATACTTAGAAATTTATTTGTTTTAAGAAATTGGCTAAAGGGATTGTAGGGGCTGGCAAGTCGAAAATCTGTAGGGTAAGCCAGCAGGCTGGAAACTCAGGCAGAATTTCCATGTTGCAGTTTTGAGGAATTCCTTCTTCTTTTGGAAACCTCAGTCTTTGCTTTTATTGCTTTCAGCTGATTGAATGAGGCCCACTCACATTATAGAGGGTAATCTGCTTTACTTAAAGAAAACTTAGTGTAAATGTTAACCACATCCACAAATACCTGTACAGCAACCTCTAGACTAGTGTTTGACCAAACAACTGGGCACCATAGTCTAGCTAGGTTGACATAAAATTAACCATCACATCATTTACTCTTATTTATTTTATTTTAAATTAATAGCAGCTGTGTAGCACTCATTGCCTGCCAGGGACTTTTCTAAGTGCTTTATGAATATTCATTTAATATATTTATGCTTATTAACAAGGATCCATTATATGTACATGAATACAAATCTTAGTGTATAAATATAAGTTCATGACTTGTTAGTATGGTTTGCCAAATGCTTGTTTTTTCCTCTTATTTATATACCTTTTGTTCATGCTTAATCTCAGTCACTAAACCTTTTTATTTGGACTTATTTCTCTGGGTATCCTCTAATCACTTTTTCCTGGGCTGTGCCTTTTCCCCCAGCATTCTTGGACTCCCTGCTGCTATTTTGTGGCTGTAATTGTCAGAAAACCTGTAATACAGGGGCTTAAGTAAGGCAGAAGTTTATTTCTCAGGTGAAAGTCTGGGTCGGCAGTCTGGGCTGGTGTAATTTCAGTCGCTGGGGACCCCAGCTCCTAGCTTGTTGTGGCTCCCCAGTCCCTATTATGCAGCTTCCACCTTGTGGTATACACTGGATCCAGTAATCATATTTGCATTTCAGCCAACAGGAAAGAGAAGGAGAAGACTTCCTCTTAAGGGCTTATTCTCAAAATTGCATACCACATTTTCATTTACATCCCATTGATCAAATTAACCACACGTCAAGGTGGAGATATTCTTGATAAATTTACCAGTCAGAGAGGTCACTATCTCCCAAGGGGAAGGGTGAAACAGGTTGCAAAGGGAGGCCAGGAGTTAAATAAACTGAGCTCCCTTCACCAGAAAGGTGAAGAAGCGCTTCCCTCTGACAATGGCCAGTCAGTACAATTTTAATGACACCAATGGTAAAGCCATTCACTAGATACTGGGTATAGTGGGGAGCTTTGAAAAAGTAGTTTATAAGAGAGCTTTGCAAAGAAGGTTGGTGTACATATAGGCTATGGTTTTTGTTTTTGTTTTTGGCATTGTCGAATTTGTTATCAAGTTTTGGACGGAGTGATTATTTATATGATTATTTAATCTGTCATAATGAGAGCAGCAGTAGTGCTGATAGCCTGTGGCTTGTATCAACGCTTTAGAAATGTTAACAAGTAATGACTATTTTCTGTTAGCAATAACTGTAGCAATCGTGTGTCACCTTAACCTTTATCCTCTGAATCCTATTCATATTTTTAATTTCAATCACTAGTAAATCATATACTGCTAGCTTTATTATCTGAAACCAGCTGCTCTAATATTTCTTCCTTTATTTATTCAGACCTCTGCCATAGGAGGGAATCATCAAGGAGAAGCCTTGTGTTTTCATCATGAGGCCTCATTAAACACGATAAGGTTGGAATGTAGCCAGATTTTTCCCCATGGTTGGCCTTGGAAATCAGTTTCTAACTCAGGGGGCATCAAACGAGGTGGCTCTAAGGCGGCTGTGAGTGATGTTTTTTTTTTTCCTTCCTGGCCTTTATGTTCTTTTCTACTCAGTGGCTAAACTAACTTAAGCCAGCTCACGCGTTACACCAGAGTCCAGAGGCAGTTAGGAGGGGCCACAGCTCTGCAAAGTCAAGGGCATGCCAGCTGGAATAAGGGACTTGGTTTATCATACAGAGCAGCCACTATCCTGCTCAGTCTACTGATTAATGAGAAGTTCCTGGGGCAGAGATTAGGGAAATTAGGAGTGGGCAAGTGTAAGAAAGCAAGAGGAAGGTGAATGGTGTGGGGCCAAAGCCCCTGTTCAGACCCCAGTTCATGGGCTAATTTATGAAACCAGGTTATGGGCCTCTCTGAACTTCTGGCTCAATCCTGAGGTGCCTGGGTGTGTCTGTGGAAGGCCCTCTGGCAATGCCTAGGGTGATAGAAACATGGTACCTAATACTAGTTATCTACTTCTGATCATTTGGTAATTTTGCTCTTAATTACCAAAGGAAAAAATTATTTATTACGTTTTTCCCTCAATCTTTCGCTCAGAGTCTAAGTTAAAAATTTCACAGTGGCCTCCAGGCCTAACATGATCTGGCCCCATTATCTTTCTGACTTCATCTCCCCTCACTAACTACACTTCATTCCCACTCCCCCCCTTGCTGTACCTTAAATGCTGAGTGTGCTTCTGCCTCAGTTTTTCCCATGGTGTCCTAGAGCCTGACCCATGGTGAGTATCTGCTCAGCAAATTGTCGAGGACTTGAAGAATGGTCAGCGGTGTCCAACCTTTCTATGGAAACAAAGGGAAATGTGGGACAGGAAAAGACCACTGGATGAGTACAAACACTTTCTCTGTAGTGGAGGCACTAAAAAGTGGCTTTGAGATCAGTTAGATATATTGTCATATTGTCTTTGGCAATAAAATTCTTAGAAGGGGTTACACCCTTAAAAGATGGGAAAGAGCTACATGATTCAGAGGGTTGACCAAATGCCAAAGAGCATTGCTGTCCATTTGTTTCCCACACGCTGTGAACCACCATTGATTGTGCAGAACTAGAGCCTTAAAAAACATAACGGGCAATAAAGAAGGCTCTGGTGCCTGTGTATTGAGATGGGATTGAGATCAATAAATTTTTCTATCACTTGCTAACAATCCATACCCTTTATAAAACTTTCTAGTCCCTTTAATAAAGCTAATTTGGGAAGCAAACACTGTAAATTCCCCCTCTAATCTTGGTACTCAGTAACCTCCAGTATTTAGTTTCCATGCAGTAAGTTAACCTCCAAAGGGTGGAAAAGTTTTTGGAAATCCTTGTTTAGAAAGAATTGCAGACATAGGAATAATTAGTATATAATTTAACATTTGATGAGACAGCAAGTCCAGAATGATTCCTCATTCAAGTTGAAAGGGAGATAAAAATCTAATTATAGGACAATATTTTAAAGGTACCTATGCAAGACTTACCATTGAGACACAGTCGCTTCACTTATTTTCTCTGTAGCAAAGTAGACCTTTGGCACTTCTGGTCTTCCCCAGCTCCTGATCCACAAAACTTCAGCCACAAGGCTAGACGGGAATTCACACTGCCCTGTCTTATGCTGCAGGGCAGCTTTCTCAGTAAGACATCAAAGGAACCTGGCTTTAGTTACTGCTTTGAACTAGACTAGAAATTGTTTCCACTAACTGTGCTGGAGAGCGCCCCTCATGCCTATGCTCCACCATGAACATATTGAATAGCCTTGCTAGACAGAAACACATAATGGAAAGCTGCTTTATTTATCTGAAGCTCTGCAAAAGAAAGAAATTTCAGAGCTTAAAGAGGAATCTCATGTACTTGCTTCTTATGAGAAATATTACCATAAAAATACCACTTCTGTCATCCAAGGGGGAGAAAGCTGTTTTCAGATGTAGGAGGGACGTCCAGTGGAACCTAATGGTTTGTCTAATTCTGGGCTTAAAAAGGACTTCATATTTGAAAAGTGATGTTTTCAGCAATCTTGGCCTATCCCAAAAGAACCAGAGTCTTCATCTTAATTAGATAAATAGAAAGCATCATTGCAATACGATGTTCAAAGCCCTTGGCTTGGAATCAGCAGATTTGGAGGTTCTAGTCAGAACTCTCCCATTGATTTGGCTTCTGATTGTATGGAAGTCTTAATTTTTACACTTTAATAATAATAATGAGTCATTCATTGATGGCTTACTATGTGCCAGACATTTTGCTAAATGCTTTATATGCATTATTTCATTTATTCCTCTTGTCAATCCTAAGACATGGGTATTATTATTATCCTCATTTTACAGGGAGGATACTGATGCCTAGAAAGGTTAAATGCTTCCCAAGAGCACAATGCTAAGAAGCTGGATCTGATCCCAGGTTGATGTGGCTATAGAACTTGTTTGTATGCACCAGCCTTAAATTCGCCAGCTAAATGAAAATTTAAGGAATATCTTATAGCAGTCATCAGTGTGATGAACTGTGGGCTTCTACCTTTTATGCCAGGATCACTTGTTCTCATATTAAGATATATTTACCAGGAACCTGATTTAAAAAATGCAAGGATTTAGGAGCTTATGAAAAAAAAAAGGAATAAAAGATAAGCAGAAAGATTAGGCCTGTTTGTTAAATAAATTTTAAAAAGGTTATATATGGTAGATTTTAAAGAAGTGATTGTTACTGAGGATACCCATGAAAAAGATTTGTTTTTTTATCTAATTATTTATCCTGATTAAAGAATGTGGTGGTCAAGAAATATCAGTAGGTAAGTTGGAAACAAAAAGCAAAGGGGAAAATACCATTTTGTGAGAATGGCCTGCTGGTGGCAGCAACAGATCACAACAATTGTCTCCCATCACATCAGGAATTCCAGGCATGTCTTTAAGCACACAGCTTCCTGTTTTATGAGATTTCAAATCACAGGCTGCTGTTATGATGGCTATAAAAACTGGCAAATCATTCTAGCTATCAATATGACTGACAGGATTATTTTCCACAGCATTTTATATTGTCAGAGCTTTACACTTATTGTCTCCCCATGGGTCGTGTTGGTAGGGGGGTGGGTATTAAATTATTAATTAAATGAAAAATGAGCAAACTTTAAAGTTTGATGGAAATAGTCTTGAAATCAGTGACACCTTAGTTATTAACTTCTGATTTTGTTGTAAGATGAATATAGGTTTAATAAACAGACTTTTGCACAGAATTATTTGTTTTTTCACTGTGATTTTTTTTGTGAGACCTCCAGTAACAATTTTTCAGTTCTCCATAAACATTATTAAAGGATTTTTTTGACTTAAATAGCTTTGAAAACACAAAACATTAATGTTTATTCCATAAGTAGCAGACAATGAAAACATATGTTTTAGTTACTGTATTTATGCCTGAGGAAATACCCATAAAGAGAAATTCTCAACTGCTGCAGTGCCTGAGCCTTTGATGAAGGCCAGCCTCTGGTCACCAGGTGGAGCTGTTGACTCCTAGCAGTGCCTTCGGGGCCCAGGTGTAGAAGGGTCATGTGGTCGGACAGTGATGCTTTGACCTGGATGTTGCTTTCTGTCTGGGTAGCTTAGTACTGGAGGCTTCCATACATCTCAGCCTGGTTTCTGCTCCTAGGGTGGGAAGAGTTTGTGCTGCTGAGGAAGATGAATTAGAAGATCCACTCTTTTCGTTAGTACTGTGAGCAGACTACATCTGGGTTCCTGTAATGGAAGGAACAAATACTGAGGCTTCCAGAATGCTAAGTACCTTTTAGGTAAAAGGGGATCTGCTTGAAAGTTGGACCTGGGTGGAGCCCTTTATTGTGAGAAATATGATCGACCTTCCTGGACATGTTGAGACTTCAGTCATTCCTATATCTTGAGATGTTGACGGCACCAAGTGGGTGCTCGATATAGGTGAATTAAATGGATAAACGAGTGAATTAAACAAATAACAAAATGCAAGGTAACTCCTTTCATTTCCTCAGTAAGGGGCTCTATGTCTCATCTCATTCATTTATTAATTCATTTGCCATACAGTGTTTGAGAACTTACGATGTTCTAGGTTTTTTAAAAAACGCCGAAATTCAGAGATGCTTATTTTCATTTCTGCAGGTTCTGCCATCTATAATTTTGGTGTGAGGAATGAGTTAGGAATCTAAATTTTAGAAAACGGTTGCCCAATTGTAATAACACTTAAATAATCCATTCTTTCCCTATTGATTTTTCTGTTCTTGAACAGTATTTTAATTAATATGGATTTCAAGATTTATTATTATTTAGGAGATCAAATTCCTCTGTAGTATCCTTCTTTTTCAGTATTTTGTTGGTTACTCTATATCAGTTATTTTTCTGGATTAATCTTAGAATTATTTTGTCAATTAATTTTGAGAAAAAAATGAGATAATTTAGAGTATTCATCCAGGAATATGGAATGTCTCCCTAGATATTTATGTCTTCTTTTATGTTTCTAGGAAATGTTGTGTTGTTTTCATGTAGAAGAAAACATTCCTAAACATCACTGGCTTCCTTAATTAGTTTACATCTAGGTGCTCAGTCATCACCTCCTCAGAGTAGCCTTCCTAACCATTAACTGTACTATTTGTGTTTTTGTGGGTTTTTTGGTTTGTTTTGTTCTTTTTCTTTAAGAAACAAGGTCTCACTTTGTTGCCCAGGTTGGTCTCCAACTTTTGGTCTCAAGCAATCCTCCCACCTTGGCGTCCCAAAGTGCTGATATTACAGGCATGAGCCAGTGTGCTGGGCTGAATCCATGCTGTTTGAATGGCATACTGCCCACCCCTGCATAAATATTTTCCTCCATTTTTTTTTTTTTTTCAAGGCAAGGTCTTACTCTTGTTGCCCAGGCTGGAGTGCAGTGGCGTGATCATAGCTCACTGCAGTCTCAAACTCCTGGGCTCAAATGATCCTCCCAGAGTGCTGGGATTACAGGCATGAGCCACCACACCTGTAATTTTTTATTGTGTTAAAATGTACACATAACACACCTCCAGTTTTTTGTGTTAAAATACATATAACATTTACAATCTTAACCATTTTAAGTGTACAGTTCTGTGGTATTAAATACGTTCATAATGTTGTGTAACCATCACCACCATCCATTTCCGTAATTCCTAAAAAAATTTTTTTAAATTTATTTTATTTTTCAAGACAGGGCCTTGGTTTGTCACCCAGGCTGGAGTGCAATGGCATGATCTTGGCTCACTGAAGCCACAACCTCCTGGGCTCAAGTGATCCTTCCATCTCAGCCTCCCGAGTAGCTGGGATTACAGGCATGCAGCACTATGCCCAGCTAATTTTTGTGTTTTTTGTGGAGACATGGTTTTGCCCTGTTGCCCAGGCTGGTCTACTGGGCTGAAGCAATCTGCCTGCCTCGACCTTCCAAAGTGCTGGGATTATAGGCGTGAGCCACCATACCCAGGCTAAAATTTATTTTAAAATTTTAAAACTTTTAAAAGAGATAGAGTTTCATGTTGCTTAGGCTGGAGTGTAGTGGCTGTTTGCAGGCGCAGTCATACTGCACTATATCCTCGAACTCCTGACCTCAAGCGATCCTCCCGCCTCAGCCTCCCGAGTTGTTGAGACTACAGGCACACGACACCACACCTGGCTGCCATAACTCTTTCTATCTTGTAAACCTGAAACTGTACCCACGAAATAACAACTCCCCATTTCTTCCTCCCCTCGGCTTCTGGCAACCACCACTCTACTGTCTGTCTCTATAATTTTGACTGCTCTAAGTAACTCATATAAGTGGACTTATACGGTATTTGTCTTTCTGTGACTGGCTTATTTCACTTAGTATAATGTTGTCAAGGTTCATCTCTGTTGTAGCATATGTCAGAATTTCTTTATAAGGCTAAATATTATTCCATTGTAGTGTATACCACATTTTGTTTATCCATTTATCTGTTGATGGACACTTGGATTGCTTCCATGTTTTAACTATTGTGAATAACTTCTATGAACATGGGTTTACACATATCTCAAGACCCTGTTTTTAATAATTTTGGGCATATACCCAGAAGTGGAATTGCTGGATCATATGATAGTTCTATTTTTAATTTCTTGAGGAACTTCTGTGCTGTTTTTCACAGTGGCTGTACCATTTTACATTCTTACTAACAGTGCACAAGGGTTCCAATTTCTCTACATCCTCACCAACACTTCTTATTTTCTGTTTTGTTTTTTTTTAAATAGTAGCCATTCTAATGGGTGTGAAGTAGTATATCATTGTAGTTTTGATGTGCATTTCTCTAATGATTAGTGATGTTGAGCATCTTTTCATATGCTTATTGGCCGTTTATATATCCTTGTTGGAGAAATGTCTATTCAAGTTCGTTGCCCGTTTTTTAATTGGATCTTTTGTTGTTGAGCTTTAGGAGTTCTTTATATATTCTGGATATTAATCCTTGTCAGATGTATAGTTTGCAAGTATTTCCTCTCATTCTGTAGGTTGCCTTTTTTACTCTTTTCATGCACAAAGTTCAAAATTTTTCTTTAAGTCCAATTTGTCTATTTTTTTTCTTTTGTTGCCTGTGCCTTTGGTGTTATATCCAAGAAATCATTGTGAAATCCAGTGTCATGAAGCTTTTGCCCTTCTAAAAGTTTTATAATCTTAGGTCTTACACTTAGGTATTTGATACATTTTGAGTTACTTTTTGTAAGTAATGTAAGGTAAGGGTCCAACTTCCTTCATTTGTATGTGGATATCCAGTTATCTCAGCACTATTTGTTGAAGAGATTATTCTTTACCCATTGAATGGCCTTGGTACCCAATTAAAAATCAATTTACTATATCTGTGAAAGTTTATTTTTGGACTCTTAATTCTAGTCCACTGATCTATACATCTATCCTGTGTCATCACCACATGTTATAATTACTGTAGCTTTGTAGTAAATGTTGAAATCAGGAAGTGTGAGTCTCCCAGATTTGTTCTTTTTTTGATATTGTTTTGACCATTCAGGACTCTTGAGCTTCTATTTGAATTTTAGGGTGGGGTTTTCTTTCTTTCTTTTTTTTCATGCTGTATTATCTTTAATTAAGTACAAAGACCTTTCTAACATGTAACTTAGAGAACATTTTACCCACTGATTTGGCTGCCAGTCTCTTGTCTCTGTCTTCAGCAGTGGCTGCCCTTGCCAATGTCAAAAATGTTGGAGAGCCTGGTGATAAAGCTGTTGCCATTGGCATCTTTCACATGAACCACATCAAAAGATCCAAGATGTCTTTTCTCTGTTGGTGATCACACCAGTTTGTCTCAGATTAGCACCTCCAGTAACCATACGTACGCTACCAGTGTCAAACTTGAGGAAATCAGTAATCTTGCCAGTCTACAAGTCAGTCTAAATGGGGTCATTCACCTTGATGAGGGAATCAGGGTAGCAGACGGTGAAAGCGTCATGAGTCACCAGATGAGGGATTCCTTTTGTGCTCACAAAGGTTTTTCTCACTTTGCACAACTTGTACTTTGTCTTCTGGGGTGTAATAGGATGAACAGCGAAGTGACCCTTAGTGTCATAGATTAGATGGAAATGCTCTCTGGTCTTGTCAATGCTGATGACATTCATGAAACCAGAAGGGTAGGTTATATCAGTTCAGACCTTGCCATTAATCTTAATGAACCGCTGCATGCAGATCTTCTTTTCTTCATCTCCTGTCAGGGTATACTTAAGTCAGTTCCTTAGGAAAATGATGAGGAGAGACTCTCAGCTTGTAGGGACCAGTGGATGTACAAGGAGCAAACATACCGGTTAATTCATCCAGCATCCAATGCTTTGGGGCTGCTGCTCACTTCAGGTGCTTCTTGGGACCACCCACACAGTGTAAAGTCAGGCCGTGCCAAAAAGACAATGATGAAGAAAACCTTTCTCTGGCAGGCAGACCCAGTGTTCACCTGTCCTGGACTTGCAGTCCATTTTTCCTGGCCCACCTGTAGCTCTGGTCTGGGAGGAAAAGCCATTTCTCTTGGGGTTGGAGGATGTTTGGCCAGGTCAGAGATAAAGTGCTTCCTGCCAGCGGCACCAGATCTGCCCCCACCCAGCCCCTACCCTAGCCCAGCATTTGCTTTTCTCCCTGGAGCCTGGCCTGGCCAACCACAGAGGCTGCAGTCCCTTTGCCTCTGCCCGGCAGTCCCCTGCCAGAGTCCCAAGACCTGAGACAGCCCCAGCCTAGGGAGGATAGAGGAAAATACGTCCCTGGATGGGTTTTTCTATTTCTGCCAAAAAAGTCATTGGATAATAGGGATTGCACTGGATCTGTAGATCACTTTGGATAGTATTGTGACATCTTATTAAGTCTTCTAATCCATGACTATGAGGTGTGTTTCTATTATGTCTCCTTTAATTTATTTTAGCAATGTTTTATATTTTTTGTTGCTTAAGTTTTTTACCTCCTTGGTTGATTCATAAGTATTTTACTCTTTTTGATGCAGTTTTAAGTAGAATTGTTTTTGTAATTTCCTTTTCCAAAAGGAACTAACTAGTTCATTGTTAGTATAGAGAAATGCAACTGATTTTTGTCTGTTGATTTTGTTTCCTGCTACTTTGTTAAATTCACTTATTAGTTCTAAGAGTGTTTTTGTGGAATCTTTAGGATTTTCTACAGATAAAATCATATCATCTGGGAACAGAGATCATTTTACTTCTTTTTTCCCAATTTTGATCTCTCTCTCTTTACCTAATTGTCTAGCTAGAACTCCAGTACTATGTTACTATGTTGAATAAATGTGGTGAAAGGAAGCATCCTTTCTTTGTTTTCTTTTTTTTTTTTTTTTGAGATGGAGTCTCGCTCTGTCACCCATGCTGGAGAGCAATGGCGCGATCTTGGCTCACTGCAACCTCCCCTCCTGGGTTCAAGCAATTCTCCTGCCTCAGCCTCTTGAGTAGCTGGAATTACAGGCATCCGCCAACACACCCAGCTAATATTTGTATTTTTAGTAGAGACGCGGTTTCACCATGTTGGCCAGGCTGGTCTCGTTCTCCTGACCTTGCGATCTGCCTGCCTCAGCCTCCCAAAATGCTGGGATTACAGGCATGAGCCACTGTGCTTAGCTTCTTTGTTTTCTTAAAGGAAAAGATTTTAGTCTTTCGTCATTGAATATGATATTCATTGCAGGTTTTTCATATATGGTTTTTATTATGTTGACATAGTTTCCATCTGTTCCTAGTTTTCTTCAGTGTGTGTGTGCGTGTTTTTAATTGTGAAAGGGTGCTGAATTTTGTCAAATGCTTTTTCTGCATCAATTGAGATAATCATGTGTTGTTTTTCCTTCATTCTGTTAATGTGTTATATTACATTGACTAATATTTGTATGTTGAACCATTCTTGTATTCCAAGAATAAATTCCACTGAGTCATGTCGTATAATACTTTTAAGATGCTGCTGAATTTGGTTTGCTAATATTTTGTTGAATATTTTTATATCAGTGTTCATAAGGGATATTGGTTTGTAGTTTTCTTATAGTGTCTTTGTCTGGTTTTTGGCATCAGAGTAATGCTGACCTCAAAGACTGAATTAGGAAGTGTTCCTTTCTTTTTAATTTTTAGATTAAAATTAAAGATCCTTCTCAAATCTTTCTGTAAAAATTAAAGAAAATTTTTTAATATTTAAAAATTTTTAAAATTTTTTAAAATTAAAGATTTGAGAAGGATTGGTTTTACTTCTTTAAATGTTTGATAGAATACACCCCTGAAGCCATCAGGTCCAGGGCTGTACTTTGTTGGGAGATTTTTGATTACTGATTGTCTCCTTACTAGTTATGGGTCTATTCAGATTTTCCATTTATTCATGATTTAGTCTTGGTATGTTTTGTGTTTCTAGGAGTTTGTCCATTTCATATAGGTTATTCAATTTATTGGTGTACAATTGTTCATGGTATTCTCTTTCAGTCTTTTAAAATTTCTATAGAATCAGTAGTAATGTCCTTACATTTCTGATTTTTATAATTTGAGTCTTCTCTCTTTTTTTTTCTTAGTCTGTTTGGCTAAAGATTTGTCATTTTTGTTCATCTTTTTGAAGAACCAACTTTTGGTTTCATTGATTTTTCTCTTTTGTTTTTCTCTTCTCTATTTATCTCTGCTTTGATCTTTATTATTTTCTTCCTTCTGCTAGCTTTGGGTTTAGTTTGTTCTATTTTATTTTTTGAGACGGACTCTTGCTCTGTCGCCCAGGCTAGAGTGCAATGGCGCGATCTCGGCTCACTGCAACCTCTGCCTCCCAGGTTCAAGTGATTCTCCTGCCTCAGCCTCCTGAGTAGCTGGGATTACAGGTGCCCGCCACCACGCCCAGCTAATTTTTGTATTTTTAGTAGAGATGGGGTTTCACCATCTTGACCAGGCTGGTCTTGAACTCCTGACCTCGTGATCCACCTGCCTTGGCCTTTGAAAGTGCTGAGATTACAGGCATGAGCCACCGCACCCGGCCTCTAGTTCTTTAATTTGTAAAGTTAGGTTGTTGATTTGAGATGTTTCTTGTTTTTTAATGTAAGTGTTTAAAGCTATAAATTTCTCCCTTAGCACTGCTGTCATTGCATCCCATAAGTTTTGGTATTTTTTTTTAAATTTTGTTTCTCCTGTAAATATTTTCTAATTTCCCTTGTTATTTCTTCTTTGACCCATTGGTGATTTAAGAGTGTGTTGTTTAATTTCCACAAATTTATGAATTTATGTTATTGATTTCTAACTTCTCGCTGTCATCAGAGTAGATACTTCGTATGATGTCTATCTTTTTAAATATAAGACTTAATTTGTGGCCTAATATATGGTCTATTCTGGAAAATGTCCTACGTGCACTTGAGAAGAATGCGTATGCTGTTGTTACATAGAATATTTTGCATATGTCTGTTAGATCTATTGGTTTATTGATCTAATAGATAATATAATATTATATATAATACAACATATATATAGTGTGTGTGATATGGTTTGGATTTATTTCCCCGCCCAAATCTCATGTTGAATTGTAATCACCAGTGCTGGAGGAGGGGCCTGGTGGGATGTGATTGGATCATGGTGTTGACTTCCCCTTTGCTGTTCTCATGAGAGTAAACGAGTTCTTATGAGATCTGGTTGTTTTTAAAAGTGGGTAGCACCTACCCCTTCACTCTTCCTCCTGCTCCAGCCATGTAAGACATGCCTGCTTCCCCTTTGCCTTCTGCCATGATTGTAAGTTCCTCAAGGCCTCCCCAGCCATGCTTCCTGTATAGCCTGTGAAACCGTGAACCAATTAAACCTCTTTTCTTTATAAACTACCCAGTCTCAGGTCATTCTTTATAGCAATGTGAGAATTGACAAATACAGTGTGTATTTATATATATATTATATATATATATATTCAATAGATTGGTTGGTTTTTTGTGTTGTCTAAGTCCTCTATTTCCTTATCTTCTGCGTGATTGTTCTATTCAATATTAAAAGTAGAATATTGAAGTTCCAACTATTATTGTAGAACTGTCTATTTCTCTCTTTAATTCTATGAGCTTTTGCTTCATATTTTGATGGTCTGTTATTAGGTGTGTAAATGCTTATAATTGTATTGAAGCTTTTTGAATATATACATGCATGTATATATTTCTCTCTCGTAATCTTTTTTGACTTAAAGTCTCTTTTGCCTGACATCAGTATAGCCCCCTCTGCTCTCTTTGGTAATTATTTGCATAAACTATCTTTTTCCATACTTTTGCTTTCCACTTATTTGTGCCTTTGGATTGAAAGTGAGTCTCTTATTGATAGCGTATATTTGGAGCATGTGTTTTGATCCATTCTGCCAATATCTGTATTTTGACTGGAGAGTTTAATACATTTACATTTAAAGTAATTATTATTAATTACTTCTGTAATTTTGCTACTTGTTTTCAATTTTCCTGTAGCATTTTTGTCTCTCATTTCTGTCATTGCTGTCTTCTTTTGTAATTACTTGTTTTTTTAGTAGTAAAAATTTTGAGTTCCTTTCTAATGTCCTTTTGTGTATAATCTATAGCTATTTTCTTTGTGGTTACCATGGGGATGACATTTAACATACTAAAGTTATAACGCTATTTTGAATTTTTACTAGTTTAACTTCAATAACACATAAAAACTCTGCTTCTTTATAGCTCCATTCTTGCCCCTTTCAGTTGTTGATGTTACAAAATTACATTCTTATACATTTTGTGCCCCAAAACATAAACTAATAATTCTTTTAAATGCTTTAGTCTCTTAAATAATACAGAAAAAAAGTTACAAACCATTGTTACAAAAATGCTAGCTTTTCTGATTGCCTGTGTATTTACCTTAGTTGAGATATTTATTTCTTCATATGTCTTTGATTTACTGTATAGAACTATTTAATTGCTTGCATGGCAGATCTAGCAGTAACTAACTCTCATAACTTTTATTTATCTAGGAATAGCTTATTAGGTTGGTGCAAAAGTAATTGTGGTTTTTGCCATTTTAAAAGTAATTGTTATTCTTTTTGAAGAATAACAATTCTTTTGAAGAATAACAACTGCAATTACTTTTGCACCAACCTAATAATTTCTAACTTTTTTAAAGGACAATTTTGCTGGATATAGGATTCTTGATTAACAGGTTGTTTTCTTTTAGCACTTTGACTATATTGGCCCACTACCTCCGGCCTCCAAAGTCACAGATGAGAAATCTGCTGAGAGTCTTATTAAGAATCCATTTTATGTGATGAGTTACTTTTGCTGCTTTCAAGATTCTCTCTGTCTTGAAATCATCTTTCTTGGAATTAATTGAGCTTATTGGATGTTTATATTCATACCTTTTATCAAATTTGGGAAGTTTTCAGCCATTATTTCTCCAAATATTCTCTTTGCCCCTTTTTCTCTTTCTTCTTGTTTAATTCTGACAATGTGTATATTAATCCACTTGATGGTATCCAACATGTCCCTTTGGCTCTGTTCACTTTTCTTCAACCTTTTTTTCTTTCTGTTTCTCAGACTAGATAATTTCCATTGTCCTGTCTTCAAGTTCACTGATTCTTTTTTCTGCATGCTCAAATCTGCCTTTGAATTCCTTTAGCGAACTTTTAATTACAGTTATTGTACTTTTCAGCTTCAGCAATTCTTTTTGGTATCTTTTTAGGTTTTCTGTCTCTACTGATATTTCCATTTTGTTTATCATCATTTTTTTGACTTTCTGTACATCTTCCTTTAGTTTTTTGGGCATCTTTGAGACAATCGTTTTAATCATTGTCTAGTAGCTCTTCCATCAGGTCTTTTTCAGGAACAGTTTCTGTTGATGTATTTTTTTTCTTTTAATGTGCTAAACTTTCCTGTTTCTTTGTATTCCTTTTGATATTTTTGTTGAAAACTGGACATTTGAATCTAATAATGTGGTAACTCTGGAAATCAGATTCTCTGGAAAACTCCTTTTGCCAGGGTTTGCTGTTTCTGTTATTGTTGATTTATTTATTTTTTTATTGTGGTAGGTTGTCTCTTTACCAAGGATCATCCTGAATATTAAACTTAAGGTTTTCTCAGGTCTTCTCTGAGCTTGTACCCTTCCCTGGACATGTGTGGTCACTTTCTCATTTTTCTGATGCAGTTGTTTTTGAAAGTCATAGTCTTTAAAGTCTGGATCCAAAAAAAGACAAAAAAGAAAAGTGAAGAAAGAAAAAAATGGTGCTGGCCTTTTAAATCCATTGAAAGTCACCTCAGCTGGAGGGGGAGGGGCTTGCAACAATGAGAAGGAGTGAAATAGCAATGGTCACCTGCCGTTTGTCTGCAAATCTGTGATCAGAAGCAGCTATCAGTAATCTGAACACAGATCCCTAGTATTTGGAGAACAACGCTTGTTTTGCCCATTCTGGCTCCAGCAAGCTGTGTAAGCTGCTCCAGCAACACGTACACAGCTCTCAGCTATGGTTAAACCAGACACATTCTGCCAGTATAATTGTTGTCTAGGTGGGAAGACAAATTTCTGGTGCTCCCTACTCTGCAATTTTTCCAGAATACTCCCCCTCAATCACTTTTTTTTTTTTTTTGCTTTATTTTTCTTCACAGCACTTAACTATCTATCATAGAAATTTGTTTTATTTTTATGTGGTCCATCTTCCCAATACAATGTGAGCTTTGTGTGGTTGGAGACTTTGATGTCCTAGTCATTGCTGTATCCCCAGCCTGGAACAGTGCTTGACACATTCTAGTGAGTATTTGTTGAATAAATTATAGCCACTACTCATATCTTTCAAATGTTAACATTTTGCCATATTTATTATAGATTTTTGGAGAGAAAGAAAACGATACAGATAGAGTTGAAGCCTGCTCTGTATTTATCTCCAGTCCTATTACCCTTTTTTCTTCTCTGAGTCAATTACTGTCAGAGGTTTAATGTTTAACAGCTTTATAAATGTTCATATGCTTTTATTGCACATTTATGTAATATAATTACTATCTATAACTATTTGCTTTTATTTTTAAATTTCATGGTAAATGTGTATATAAAAATAAGTAATACATATATATGTTTGCAAATTGTCTTTTAAATAAATTTTTATTTGACAAATAATAATTATGTATATTTATAGGGTATAATGTGATATTTTGATACATTAGGGAAGGATCAAATCAGGGTAGTTCACATATCCATTACCTCAAATGTTTATCACTTCTTTGTGGTGAGAACATTTAAAATCCTCTCTTGTAGCTGTTTTGAAATGTACATTATTATTAACTATAGTCCTCCTGCCATGCAATAGAATACCAGAACTTCTTTCTCCTATCTAACTATAACTTTGTATCCACTGGCCAATGTCTTTCCTTTCCTTGTGTTCCTTCCCACTTCTTTTTCACTCAGTGAAAGGGATTTACCCATGCTGACATATGTAGCTCTGGTTCTTTTTTTTTATTTTTTATTTTGAGACGAAGTCTCTCTCTGTTGCCCAGGCTGGAGTGCAATGTCCTGATCTTGGCTCACCGCAACCTCTGCCTCCTGGATTCAAGTAATTCTCTGCCTCAGCCTCCTGAGTAGCTGGGATTCCAGGCACCCACCACCACACCTGGCTAATTTTTGTATTTTTAGTAGAGATGGGGTTTCATCATCTTGGCTAGGCTGGTCTTGAACTCCTGACCTCGTGATCTACCCACCTTGGCCTCCCGAAGTGCTGGGATTACAGTTGTGAGCCACTGCACCTGGCCCAGCTCTAGTTCTTTCATTTTTACATTGGGTTAATAAACCACAATTCATTTATTCATTCTCTTGTTGGTGGACATTTAGATTGTTTCCTTTTCTTCTGCTATTAAATACAATGCTGCACTGAAAATACTAGTACCTATCAGAAGTGAATTGACTGTGCATCTTCATTTTTATCAAATGTTGCCAAATTGCTCTGTGAAGTAGGTGCATCCCAGAAAGATATGAGAACTGTTGTTGCTCCACATGAGTCCAACACTTAGCTCTGAGAAACTTTGCAGTTTCCAGTCTGATGGGTATGAAAGGAAACCTTATTTTTGAATTTTCCTGATTACTAATTAGGATAAGTATATTTTCCTGTGTTATTTGTCATTTGGATTTCCTTTTCTGTGAATTGCCTGTTCATTTATGTTATCCATTTCCTTGTTGTTTTTTCTTTCTCTGATTGATATATAAATTTAAACTTTTTATGTTAATTTTAATATTTAATGTTAATATTTATTTAATATTAATTTAATATTTTGTATTTGGTTACTAATACAGATATTATATATTCTTCCAGAGGTCTGTTTTTTATGTATAAAAGTCTTAAATTTTAATACAGTCATTTGTTTGTATATATTTTTAGAGTATGGGATTTTTTGTTTATGTATTTGTTCATTTATTGAATAAATCTTTTCTTGCCCTGGAGTCACAAAGAGATTATTCTATAGTTTCTTTGAAAACTTTTAAGTTTTATATTTCATACTTAGTTCTTTAATTTACCTGGAATTTATTTTTCCAAGTGACATAAAATGGGAATCTGGATTTTTTCCTGCTTGAATAATGAATTGCCCTAATAATATTTACTGAATAAATGTATCCCTTCCCCCAGACTGGAATGCAATGCTACCGCTGTCATATTTCAGTTTTCCACAGTTGGAGAGATAAGTTCCACATTTTGTATTTTTAAAATATTGGTTTATTAGTCTAACTCTGACTATACTCTTTTAATTAGCATGACTTTATAATAAGCCTTGATACATGAGTGGAAGGCCTTACTTGTTTGACTTATAATTTGTACCCGTTCTTGGTCTTTGGCTCTTTTTTTTTTCTTTTCTTGAGACGGAGTCTCACTCTGTCGCCAGGCTGGAGCGCAGTGAATTTCAGCTGTGAAGCTAACAGAATCATTGACATTATTTTTTGGCTTCTTATTCTCTATTTTAGTCAATTTTAATGGTAGTAAAAATGTAGTAAGAGTACATTTGAAAAGATGATCTTATCACCCCAAAATGCATTATGTGTTTGTGTATTTTCTTGGATTCTGTTTTCCATACTGAATTTTAATTTTTACTAATAAGCATGGTTGTTTCTTCCTGGCTAGGACAGTTTCTTACTCCAGTCCCCCTCTATCCTGCACTGTTGTCCCTCACCCCTTAATTTTCTTCTTTCTGCTTCAATAAATCTTTGTACATCTTTAACAGCTCAGCCCCACCAAGTGTTCTGAATTATATCAAGAAATCTTTGTTTGCAGCTATTTAATTATAGATTTTCTAAAAATGGCCCACATCAACCTTTCTCCCAAATCATAGTGGATGAAACCATGTTATAATGTTTTGTTTGATCCTTTGAGCTGACATAATCTTTAGACTTAATATTGTGCCTACATCTTTCCCAAATCTTGAGTAAAACAATATCACTGATTCTGAGAGTCATTACATCTTTGATAAGTGTTTTTTGTGTACAGTGAGGTAAGTTTCTTTTTACCCTGAGATGCCATAATTCTCAGGGTAATTGTCTTACCCTATAATTACCCTATAATTGTCTCTTTGGCTGTTGGTAGGCCTGCCAGCTGTACAGACCCATAAAATACTACAAAAAGCCTTAAAACTTCTACTTTCCTTCCAAGTGCCAATGAGGTTACCTTGTGTCTTAGGATTTATTTGTTTGTTTTTAGTTACTTCTTAGAAGTCAGGTGTTCCAGGATTTTCTGTATAGGTCAGCATTGGTATCGTCTACCTCTATTAAATAAAAAATGTGATTTTAGCTGATGTTTGGAACATACTTTATAATGTGGATAACATTCACAGAAGTCTAGAAATATAAACAAGTCCTGGCAAGATGTTGCTAGCCAATACCAAATTTATATTTTTAGGGGGTGCTGCACTGGACATGAGCTCTCCTTCTGGGACTCAGAGCTTCACTTGCCTCTACTGAAAAGCCCAAGTGTTCTGATAGTCAGATTGGCTCAGGTTCATTCCCTCTGAGAGGATTTCCGTGTCTCCCTTGGAATGAACCCAGAAGAATGGAATCCAATTTTCTCCTCACAGCATTGCCACAATGTGCTCCTTCACCACTGACTCAGGTTGGAAATCTCAGGCTGCTGCACCATCAACCACAATTTTAGGAGCACTGCCATGCCCTGTGGCCATGAGCAAAGATCTGGGGCCCACAGATCTTTTTATTTGGGCCCCAAGCTAGCAAAGTTGATTAACTTGTGCCTATGTAGACTTTTGATGGTTCCTGGGCTTCAGAAACTTCTCCTGTAAATGAAAAGAATGATGTTTAAATTTAATGTTGATACCAGGCTGCCTGCTCCTTTTTCCATCCAGACCCTGTGAAGCACATGCCATTAGACGATGGTGCCAGATAACTCTCTTTGTTGCTGCCCTCTACTCTTCCTAGTTCATACATCCTCATTCACTGAGGACTTGATCACTTGGGTCATTGTCTATTTCCCCACACTACTTCATTGCCAGACAGGTATTCAGTATCTGTTTATGCAAGTTTCTCTCTTTTTGAAATTATGAAATACATTAAACATACAAAAAAGTATATAGTGCAATGTCATAGTAACTACTGAAGGAATTAACAATCTGCCACCCCAAAATATGTTGCCCTGGTACCTTGACCATTTTGAGCTAAAGGCACATGAAAAACAGCAGATGTAAGAAGATCACTCTAACCTTCCCCACTCAACTTTTCTTTAGAGAAGGGGTCTGCTCTGTCACCCAGGCTGGAGTGCAGTGGTGCGATCATAGCTCACTGCAGCCTCAAATTCCTGGGATCAAGCGACCCTCCAACCTCAGCCTCCCGAGTAGCTGGAATTTTTTAATTTTTATTCTTTGTAGAGATGGGGTTGTGCTATGTGGACCATGCTGGTCTCAAACTCCTGGCCTCAAGGGATCCTCCTGCCTTGGGCTCCCAAAGTGTTGAGATTATAGGCGTGAACCAACACACCCAGCCCTTCCTTCTGTTTCTTTAATGGAGGAGACACAATTCCTATGTGAAAGTTGTTCTCTCCACATAAGAAGGAAAATATTCTTATCATCAAGGATGGGCTTCTCTACCCAATTAACTACCCTGCCCAAGCCCCTTTGCCTTGTCCCAGTTTCATAATTTACTATTTTTTGTCCAGTTCAGTATGTAAGTGTTCATTGAACTCTACCTAACTGCTTCTTTGAGTCTTTATTCTTCATGAAGGCTCCAGTGCCATGTAAAATTTATATTAAATAAATTTGAGCTGGGCGTGGTGGCCTGTGCCTGTAGTCCCAGCTACTGGGTGGCCTGGGGGCAGGGGGTGGCATGCTGAGTTGGAAGGCTGAGGCCGCAGTAAGCCATGATCATGCTACTGCACTCCAGCCTGAGCATCAGAGCGAGATCCTGTCTCAAAATAAAATAAAATAAAATAAAATTTAAAAATTGAATGCTTTCTCCTGTTGATCTGTCTTATGTTAATTTAATTCTCAGGCTCAGCAGGAGAACCCTGCAAGTAGTGATAAAATTTTGCCTCCCCTACACTACCTGTGTACCTATCACACAACTTTACACAGTCATAACATCTTGTGTTTGTTTCATATCTTCTTTCATTAAGAAATAAAAGCTAACAAATATGGTGAACCTCACTCGGATTTCATTTCTCTACCCAGGAATCATTAATGTTCCAAATTTGGTATTTATCATCCCCATGAATGTTTTTTTTTTTTTTTTAATTTTTTTAGTATTTATTGATCATTCTTGGGTGTTTCTCGGAGAGGGGGATTTGGCAGGGTCATAGGACAATAGTGGAGGGAAGGTCAGCAGATAAACATGTGAACAAAGGTCTCTGGTTTTCCTAGGCAGAGGACCCTGCCGCCTTCCGCAGTGTTTTTGTCCCTGGGTACTTGAGATTAGGGAGTGGTGATGACTCTTAACGAGCATGCTGCCTTCAAGCATCTGTTTAACAAAGCACATCTTGCACCGCCCTTAATCCATTTAACCCTGAGTGAACACAGCACATGTTTCAGAGAGCAGGGGGTTGGGGGTAAGGTTATAGATTAACAGCATCTCAAGGCAGAAGAATTTTTCTTAGTACAGAACAAAATGGAGTCTCTTATGTCTACTTCTTTCTACACAGACACAGTAACAATCTGATCTCTCTTTCTTTTCCCCACATTTCCCCCTTTTCTATTCGACAAAACCGCCATCGTCATCATGGCCCATTCTCAATGAGCTGTTGGGTACACCTCCCAGATGGGGTGGCGGCCGGGCAGAGGGGCTCCTCACTTCCCAGACGGGGCGGCCGGGCAGAGGCGCCCCCCACCTCCCAGACGGGGCGGTGGCCAGGCGGGGGCGGCCAGGCGGGGGCTGCCCCCCACCTCCCGGACGGGGCGGCTGGCCGGGCGGGGGCTGCCCCCCACCTCCTGGACTGGGCGGTTGGCCGGGCAGGGGCTGGCCCCCTCCTCCCGGACGGGGCGGCTGGCTGCCCATGCATGTTTTTATCCTATTACTGTATATGTTTCTGTCCATAAAGTTTTTATAATATTGTTTTGCAGGCTGTAAAACTTTATATAAGTGTTATAATTCTGTAATCTTTCAACCTGCTCCCACACTACATATATTTTTAAAAGTATCCATGCTGACACTTGTAGCTCTAATTTTTCTTTTCTTTTTTTTTTTTTTTTTGAAATGGAGTCTCCTGTCTCACTCTGTTGCCCAGGCTGGAGTGCAGTGGCACGGTCTCGGCTCACTGCAACCTCCGACTCCCTGGTTCAAGTGATTCTCCTGCCTCAGCCCCCTGAGTAGCTAGGATTACAGGCATGCACCAACATGCCCAGCTAATTTTTGTATTTTTAGTGGAGACAGGGTACCATGTTGGCCAGGATGATCTCAATCTCCTGACCTCGTGATCCACCCACCTCGGCCTCCCAAAGTGTTGGGATTACAGGTGTGAGCCACCGCGCCTGGCCTGCAGCTCTAATTTTTCATTCAATTGTATGAACATTTATTGAACATTATTCAATTGTATGAACCACAATTTATTCATTTTTTTTCTTCTGTTGATGGACATTTAGGTTATTTTACATTTTTTTGCTTTTACAAACAATCCTCCCAAATTTATTCTTATGCAGGTCTCTGTACACATGGGCAAAACTTTCTCTAGAAGTAGAATTGCTTGGCCATATGGTATGCCCATGTTTATGGGAAAATTACTCTCCAAAGTGGTTTCTGCCAATTTATATAAGTGTGGAATTGTACCTTAATTTTTTTCTTGCATTCTCTTAACTATAAGCACAACTGAGTATATAGTCATATTTTTATTTACTGTTCAGACTTTTTCTGCTAAGAATTATCTACTTTAAACATTGGACTTTGTCCTGCTCTTATTTTTTTGGTATATGTTTTTAATATATTCTGGATACTAATCTTTTGTCAGTTTCATGGCAACTATCTTCTTTCAAGTGACTAGTATTTTCATTTTTTAACAGTGTCTTTTGGTACAGGGTTTTAAAATTTGGCCTTTCCTTACGGTTTTCATTTATGTTTTGGTTAAAACTTTCTTCCTTACCCTAAATTCATAAATATACTTTTCTATATTTTAGTCTAAAAGACTTAATGTTTTGCTTTTCTCTTTTGATTTTTATCTGAAATTTATTTTCATTTATGCTTAATGAAATGAAAGCATATGTTTCATTATGTTTAATAGAATTCTAATTTTACTTTTTTCCTTATGAATAACCACTTATTACAATATAATTTACTGGCTAGTTGAGTCTTTCCCCATGATATTTAGTACAATGTCTGACAACTATCAAGTTTTTTATATTATTCTTCAGTTTCTTGGCTGTTATCTCTCATTGACATATTTGGCTATCCCTGCACCACTACTATGCTGTATTAAATCACTGTAGCTTAATATCCAAATATGTTCTTCTTCAACAGCCTTTGGCAATTTTTTGCTTTTTTTTTCGCATATGAATTTGAGAATCAGCTTGTCAAGTTGCACAAGTAGTTTGAGTGGATTTACACTGCCTTTATAGATTTACTTTGAGAGTCTTGATCTCTTAACAATATTGAGTCTTCTCATCTGTGAACAGCAAAACATCTCCATTTATTCAGATCTTCTGTACTGTCCTTCAGCAAGGTTTTGTGACTTTTTCCACAAAAAAATTTGCAGATAAATTATAGATTTAGTCCTTGGTACTATATAGTATTTATCATTTGTGAAAGCATGATATTAAAATTTACTATTGCTACTTGTTTGTTCCAGGTGTATGGAAAAATAATTGAGTTTTGCCTATTGGTCTTGTATTCCAATAACTTGTTGAACTCTGAGAGTTTGTCTGTAAATTTTCCCGGATTTTCTGTGTTCACAATCATACCATCTATTAATGATAACAATTCTGTTATTTATTTGAAACTCTTATGTAATTTTTTTCTTTTCTTTTCTTTTTTTTTTCTGCACTGCTCAGTGATAATGAACATCCTTTACTTTTCCTACTTTAAAGGGAATGTGTAGAACATTTACCATTAAATAAAATGTTTGCTTTAGGAATTTGGCTGGTTCCCATTCTCAGATTAAGGACATTCCTTTCTATTATTATTTTGCTACAATTAAAAAATTTATGAATGGGTTTTGAGTTATATCAAATGTATTTTCTCCAACTGTTGAATCGCATAACTTTATTTGCTTTGTTAATATGGTAAATTACATTTTTTTTCTAATATACTGTTCTAATTTCTATTTCTCAGAGAAATGCAGTTTAGACAAGAGGAATTTTTTATATACTCAGATTTTAAGAAACATTTTATTTAGTTATGACTTTCACATTTATGTTCATAAGTGATATTGGCCTATAATCTTCCTTTTACATACTCTCATTTAGTTTTGGTATAATAGTTAACATTAGTTTTATTAAATGAACTATTAGCTTCATTAAATTGATGGATTTTTTTTTTTAATGCTCTGGATCATAAGATTGAGATTCTGTTCCTTCAGTATTTGCTAGAACTTTTCTGTGAAATGCTTTTGATTTGGTATTTGTGGTACCTGTGTGCATGCTGTGCACACCTGTGTGTGTGTGTACAAGGAGGTGGATTTTTAAACACAAACATTTTCTTTTTTTAACCTTTTTTTTTCTTTTTTTTAAAATTATTATTATACTTTAAGTTTTAGGGTACATGTGCACAATGTGCAGGTTAGTTACATATGTATACATGTGCCATGCTGGTGTGCTGCACCCATTAACTCGTCATTTAGCATTAGGTATATCTCCTAATGCTATCCCTCCCCACTCCCCCTACCCCACGACAGTCCCCAGAGTGTGATGTTCCCCTTCCTGTGTCCATGTGTTCTCATTGTTCAATTCCCACCTATGAGTGAGAACATGCGGTGTTTGGTTTTTTGTCCTTGTGATAGTTTTACTGAGAATGATGATTTCCAATTTCATCCATGTCCCTACAAAGGACATGAATTCATCATTTTTTATGGCTGCATAGTATTCCATGGTGTATATGTGCCACATTTTGTTAATGCAGTCTATCATTGTTGGACATTTGGATTGGTTCCAAGTCTTTGCTATTTAAACACAAACATTTTCATGGTTATTGGTTTATTATGTTTTTTTAAAAAACTTCTCCTTATAAGTGACATTTTTCTAAAATTGTCATTTTAAAATGTATGGCATAAAGTTGTTTATTTCTTATGATTTTAATATATGTATTTTCTCTGTAGTTATGTCCCCTTTTTTATTCCTAGCACATTTATTTTCACTTTTCTTCTTTTATAAATTTTATACATTTTACTGGAATGTATTTTATCAGTCTTTTAAAAAAAATCAACATTTGATTTTGTTGGTTGTGCTAGTTATTTCTTGTTTTTGGATTCATTAATTTTTGTTCTTGTTTGTTTGTTTGTTTCGAGACAAGGTCTCTATCACCCAGGCTGGAGTGTAGTGGTGCGATCATGGCTCCTTGTAAGCCCAAAATCCTGGGCTCAAGTGATAACGCTACCTTGGCCTCCTGAGTAGCTGGGACTACAGGCAACTACAGGTGCCACCATTCCTGGCTAATTAAAAAAATTTTCTTTGTAGCAATGAATTCCTGTTATGTTGCCCAGGCTGGTCTTGACCTCCTGGCCTCAAGTGATTCTCCTGACTTGGCCTCCCAAAGTGCTGGGATTACAGGCTACTGTGTCTGGCCTCTTATTTTTATTTTCTCATTCTTTACACTTCTTTGGGGTTGTTCTGTTGTTCTCTTCTGAAGCCTTTAAGTTGGACACCTTCCCCATTCATTTTCAGTATTTCTTCTTTTTAAGGTAAACATTTAAAGGGCTTCTCAAAGGGAGAAATGACCCCAAATACCAGGTTCACCTCTCTGGGATTCCTTTTCTCCTGGATCTTGGCTATGTCATTTTTCAGTGCCTTTTTAGGCTGTCCAAAACTTTCAAGTAGACTTTTTTTGTTGAGATATATGATTGAAGTCATTATTGTATATATTGCTGAGGCAATGATTAAAGTGTAGTCCACATACAGTGTGCATATATAAATTGTACAATTTGATGAGTTTTGACAGGTATTTAACCATGAAACCATTACCACAATCAAAATAATGTACGTATCCACCACCCCCAAAAGTGTCCTCATGGCCCTTGGTCATCTTTCCTTCCCTACCCTCTGCCCCATCACAAGTCTCCATCCCCACGCAACCACTGATTTACCTTCTGTTATGATAAACTAGCTTGCATTTTCTAGAATTTTATATAAATGAAAGCATACAGTGTTTACTCTTTTTTTGTATGGCTTCTTTCCCTCAAAATAATTATATTAAGATTGATTTGTGTTGTTGCATATATCAGTAGTTCCCTGCTTTTTAATACTGAGTAGCAGTCTGTTGCATAGCTATATCCACAATTTGTTTATCCATTTACCAGTTGATAGGCATTTGGATTGTTTCTAGTTTGGGCTCTTACAAATGAAATTTCTATGAACATTTGTGTAAAAGTCTTTTTGTGGAAATATATTTTTATTTCTTTTGGGTAAATACCTCGGAATGGAATAGTTGTATCATATATGGCAGGTACATGTTTTAAAATATCTTTCCTTGTTCTAAACAGGATAGTTGGTTGAATTACCTAATCTATTATTGCAAGAAGTAGAAGTCCCTTATATTTTCTTCTTTCACTTTTGTTCTTTCTTTTTTTCTGTTTAAGTTTCTGATTCTTCTGGATTTTTTTTTAATGTAAACAATGAGGTATCTAACATTTTTTGCAGCTGGCCAGTCAATTGTTCCAGTTCTATTAACCCCATACATTTGATAGCAATATAAATAAATTGATGCTGCAAGTATACTCTTAAAACTCAACAGAAGACTGAACGAAGATTTTGAAATCTTGTTAACCAAAGTAAACAGAAACAGAGGCTTGTTTCTTCTTTCCAAGATGGATGCTTGGAAAGTCAACAGGGAAGTGAACCATTATCAAATGAAACATTAACTATGGTTATTTTGAGGACCTTTTTTTTTTTTGCCGTACTCAACAGAAGAACTGAAAATAAAAGATATTTTAACTTCAAATATTTATCTCAGGCAATCACTTTATGTAGTCTATATTTTTCCTCAAAAACAATTATGTAACTTTATGAAACAAAACTGTACTATTTTGGATTTTGATCGGGTTCATTAAATGTAAAATGAGAAAAAAAAATGAAATAGTCTTTCAAGTAGGCCAATGTGAAAAAAAAAAAACAGATTTAGTACAATTTTCTCCTATGATTCATAGCCTAGAAACAAACATTTCTCCTTTTTGATTTCCCAATGGTTTCTTAAGATAAATAATCCATGAAGGGACAAAATTTACATTTCTATAAATATAAAAAAGAAACTACCACTGGAAAAAAGAAGTTACTGTTTTTTTAGATGACTGTTGATTCCCAAAGCACGTGGGGTATGTCTTTTTGATTACCATGCTAATTAAGATAATTCTTAAATATTTTTATTTTAGATTGCAGCCTTATTATGGTTGCTATAAACAAAAGTTAATAACTCTTGCTGAAGAACTATTCATTCATTGCACTGGGGGTTTGAAATGTTGAATGTTTTTATAAGAAAATGAGCTAAATATAATGCATAGTTTGTACAAAATATAAATTTGCTTTTAAGAAGATTACACTGGGAGGGCGAGGTGGGTGGATCACCTGAGGTCAGGAGTTCGAGACCAGCCTGACCAACCGGTGAAATCCCATCTCTACTAAATACAAAAAATTAGCCGGGCATGGTGGCACAGTCCTGTAATCCAGCTACTTGGGAGGCTGAAGCAGGAGAATCACTTGAATCCAGTAGGTGGAGGTTGCCATGAGCCAAGATTGCGTCATTGCACTCTAGCCTGGGCAACAAGAGCGAAACTCTGTCTCAAAAAATAAAAAAATAAAAATAAATAAAGAAGATTACATGAACTCATTGTTTCTAACACTGTAAACTCTGGCTGGGCATGGTGGCTCACACCTGTAATCCCAGCACTTTGGGAGGCTGAGGTGGGAAGATCGCTTGAGGCCAAGTGTTTTAGACCAGCCTGGGAAACATAGTGAGAGCCCATCTCTACAAAAGTTAAAAAAAAAAAAAAAAAATAGCTGGGCCTGGTGGCATGCCTGTGTAGTCTTGGCTATGTAGGAGGCTGAGGTGAGAGGATAACGTGTGCCTAGGAGGTCAAGGCTGCAGCTATGATCCTGCCACTGCACTCCAGCCTGGGTGGACAGAGTAAGACCCTGCCTCAAGACAAACAATCAAATACTATAAACTCTGTTATTAAAGCTTTTTCTGGTATGAATTCCCTAAGTTTTGATCTATCTTAAACCAAATGCATTTTAATGTGTTCCTTTAGCCAACATTTATTTCATTTATTCAATAGATCTTCACTGATACTGTGAATTAGGCTTAGGCACTGTTTAAATGTTGAGGATACGATGAGGAACAAAGGTTGACAAGGTCCCTGATCTCATGGAGTTTGGGAGAAACAGACAATAAACATGCAAGTAAGATAACTGTAGGTAATATTAGACATTATAAGAGAATTAACATAGGGCATGAGAGAGAGTGAAGAAGGTGGACAGCATACAGGGGCACAGCTCCCTAATATGTGCTGAACACTGTACCAGGCCCTTGGGAAGAGGTGCCTGAGATCTGGGCTCTGGAAAAGACCAAATCCCATCTCTGCTCAGAGGCCAACTTACCATGAGCTAATGCTGCTTCAGCCTCAGGGCCTGGCTTATCATGAGCTAATGCTGCTTCAGGTTCATTTGCATGTTACATAATGTTCTTGATGGAAGCCAGGTGGCAACCAGGGAGTGTTTTCAATATAAATATTTTAGGGGAATTGTCCAAAGCCCTCTTAGAAGAAAGGGGCTTGCATATCTAAGGCTCAAGTAATTAGTTGTTTCTGTTCTCATTCTGAATATTCTCTTTCTTACCTAATTTTGTATATGTATACTTGTATACTTGAGATCTTTTTCTTTAAGAGAGCCTGCTTACCCCAACTTGTATAAGTTTCAAGCCCTGTGTAACCTGGTTTTGTTCTTGGCTTAGCCATTGTCTACCTGTGTGAGTCTAGGCAAGCTATTTAAACTCTTCATGCCTCAGTTTTCTCATTTTTAAAATGGAAATATTACCTAAATCATCAGATTGCATGAGCATTAACTGAAATTAAATAATATTTCAAATGTTATACCTAACACCTGGCACACAGTAGGTACTTCATAAGTGGTAGCTATTATTAATATATTATAATTATTAATATTATGATTATAAGCCCTCAAAAGTTTTATAATTCTGTTGGGGAAAAAAATCAACAGATGTAGATCCATGGGATACTAACACAGAACAGTCTCAAAAAACAGAACAAAACAAAAACAAAAAAACAACATCAACAGGATACACACAAATTCTTAATAAGTAGTTGCCAGTGCCTAGAGAGGGAGAAGAATGGGTGTAGGAATAAAGAGGATTTCCAGTAAACCTGTAACATTGTATTTCTAATTCAATCTGAAATAAATATGATAAATATTATAACATTATCCTTATACTTTAAAAAAATTAGATATTTCAATAAATGGTAGCTATTAATAATACATAGGGAGGTTTGATTAATAACCCAATAATCTGGTATGTTTTGTTTATAGGAACATTGTGCTTTTCTCATATGAAGCTTCCTCTGGGCATGGTAGCACAGTTCCTCTAATCAACAAAACTAGCAACCTCAGTGTCACAGTTCCAATATGTGATTGAATGTAACTTCATAAATGCCTAGTATGGTATTCAATGTTGGGTTTGGTGGAATAGCCAAAGCAAATATGCTCACAATATTAAACTCTTCCAAGATTTCCCTGTGTCATTGGAGAGTGGCACAAAGTAGCATAAATTGACTGGGGCTGTCCATGAAACTATTACAAATATGAAGAGAAAGGAGAAATCAATGTGTGCTGCAAACATCAATGAGAGCTTCATAGGACGTGTGATGTGAATTGGACTTTGGCGATGGGGTAGCTTTGGATAGGTGGGCCAGATGGCTTAGTATTCTAGATGTCAGAGGAGAAGAGAAATGTCTGGGAAGAATAAAAAACCATGTAAGGTTGGGTGGGAGGGAGACATGGAGGTCCTTAAGAAGAGCCTTAATGAAGTGTTGAAGAGTTATAAAAGCCTGTAAGCAATAACAATTTGAAATTTCATTTAAAAAAATTGGATTGGTATTGAAAACATATGTAAAATTTTGTCTCTGTCAGTAGTTCACTTCATATTCTAGTTGGCTAAACCTTTGGTTCTGATATGATTTGGATCTGTGTCCCCACCAAATCTCATGCTCAATTGTAATCCTCAGTGTTGGAGGTGGGGCCTGGTGGGAGGTGATTGGAGATCATGGGGGCAACTTCTCATGGTTTAACACCATCCCCCTTGGTGGTGTTGTCACAATAGTGAGTTCTTGTGAGATTTGGTTGTTTAAAAGTGTGTGACATCTCCCCCGTCTTTCTCTTGCTCCTCCTCTGGCCATGTAAGATGTGCTTGCTTCCCTTTCACCTTCTGCCATAAGTGAAAGTTTCCAGAAGCAGAGCAGATGCCAGCGTCATGCTTCCTGTACAGCCTGCGGTACTATGAGCCAATTAAACCTCCCAGTTTAATTAACTACCCAGTTTCAGGTATTCTTTATAGCAATGTGAGAATGGACTAATGCAGGTTCTAAAGCCACAAAGAAGAGAAAATATTTCTTTCACCTTGGCACTGAATCCTTGGGTCACAAGTATGAGAAGTGACTTGGTCCGTCATGACTTGCCCAAACAATTAAGACTAGGGCTGATTCATTAATGGTCTGTTTTATTAATAATGGTTATTCAGCTAACAGAAAGGGAATACTTCCCAGACAATAAGGATGTCTAGAAACCAGCTTTAATAGGGCGTGGGTAACCCTGAATATCAGGACAAGGACTGCCCATTGGAGTGGGGGTATCCACCATATTCTAGGCAATTGTAGACAATAGATACTGCACCTAAATACATGTCTGTATGGCTAGACAGGGGAATAAGAAGTTCCAATAGTGAAATGGAGGAAATTTTTAAAATATTAAACAAAAAGCATTCCACTAAGAAGAGGGTCTTATGTAACTACCCTAACCATTTAGGCAATTTGAGTTAATGTCCTACTGCCTAACACAGGCCTGGGCATCCTGTCATGATTTCACACCGCTGTAAAGAATGGACAAGCAGAGAGCAGCAGGATAGATAATTACAAACAACTTCCTGGCTGAGGGCCAAGGATCACTTTGCGAGGAGTCAAGGTCCAGAAAAGATCAACAGGTGAAGACAGCAGCAAATCAGATATCCAGCCAGGGACACACTGAGCTTTGCGTTACTGTTGGGGAAAACTGGTCTCTGTTAACTCAGTTTAGACTGTGCATTGTTCCACATTCGCTAATAAAAATGGGCGTTAGATATGTTTCACACATTTCACACATTGTAGAAATGTTAGCAGGATGCATGTGGTGATTTGATTGTTATTCTCTTGAGATTTAAAAAATTTCAATCGCCTCTACTTCTCTCCTCTCCTCTCCTCTCCTCTTCTCTCCTTTTCTTCTACCTTCTGTCTTTCCTCCCTCCCCCACTCTAATAAGTATAATAAAAACACTGGACCTTTAAAATTCATATATACTGCTTTTAAATGGGTAACTCTAAGTAACAAAGTTAAAATGTCATGATAATTTTTGGACATAAGTGTTAAAAGAAAAACTTTAGACAAATTTAATAGTTTAATTGGGCAAAGAACAATTCATGAACCAGGCAGCCCCCAGAACTAGAACAGGTTCAGAGAAACTCTGGGGCTGTCAAATGGTCATACACCATTTTTGGACAGAAAAAAGAAAGTGACGAGCCAGGTGGCTCACGCCTGTAATCCCAGCACTTTGGGAGGCCAGGGCGGGCAGATTACCTGAGGTCAGGAGTTCAAGACCAGCCTGGCCAACATGGTGAAACCTCGTCTCTACTAAAAATACAAAAATTAGCCAGGCGTGGTGGCACATGCCTGTAATCCCAGCTACTTGGGAGGCTGAGGCAGGAGAATCGTTTGAACCCTGGGAAGCGGAGGTTGCAGTGAGCCAAGATCGTGCCACTGCACTCCAGTGTGGTGACAGAGCGAGACTCTGTCTCAAAAAAAAAAAAAAACCAAAAAAACAAGAAAAAAGAAAGTGATGTATGAAAATGGAAGTGAGGTGCAGAAACAGCTGGCTTGGTTACACTTTGGCATTTGCTTATTTCAACATGGTTTGAAGAGTTGGCCACCTGTGATTGACTAAAGTCAAGCTGCTGTGATTGGCTGAGACACAGCTATTTGTTACAGAAGAATATTCCTAAATGAGGCTTTCAGTTTATTTACATACAAAGTTAGGTTGCAGTTTGTTACATAAGGACTCAAGCATGCAAGTACAGAGGCTTTGTCTCAGGCCAAGTTTAGTTTGATTTAACAGTTCTCTCCTTTTGGTCAACATCTCCATTTTGAGAGACTGACCCAAACTTTGGGCATTGATGCCACCCTCTGTCACTATCATAGGTGGACTTGTTTGGTCTCTGTGGAATTCACAAATCTTATTTGTTCATAGTATAAAATTCATAAGTTGCAATGTCACATCAGTTGAATAATTATGTTCTTGCTGAATTAATCAAAGTGAGAGCATTCAACACTCAATGAATGGCTGCATACAAAATTTTTAAGACTTGAGAAGATATAGCATACCAGCGGAACTAATATGATGACAATCAAGAAGATAATACCAAAAGACCAAAGCATACTTCTTAAGAGTCCTTATGAAATGAATCAAACCAAATCAAACAAGTCAAAGTTCAGGCAATAGAGGCAGCTCTACAGTATTTGCAACTAATTGATTATAGTCGTTGTTTGGGGTGTTATGGTGATTAAGGACCATAGTTTGCTGTAAAATGGCCTGATTTAAAGAGTGGTTGACTTTTGTTGTTAGCCTGGTAACACAAGTCATAATAACTTGGAGACCCACTAGAAGAAATATGAAGATTAGAAAATCTTGAGAAACCCAAGCTTATTATCCACCTTTAGAATGCCTGCAAACCAAATGTTAGTTGCTCTTGTAAACACATCCTATGTTTCTTTCTCTTGAAAAATTTCCTTAATGTATTTGATGGCAGTGTCTATGGAAACAGCAGTATTAGCCACCTTGTAAATTAAGCTTTCTGTACTAACAAAATCAGAGAGATGGGTACAGCATACATTTTTATTCAGTACCAATCATAAGCCCCAAATTGAAGGAAAAAGGAGATTTAAAGCTTTATGATATTTTATTGCGTGGTGTTTATTGAACATGTATGTTATTATTCACCTTTTAGAGAGTGGCTTCTACATGTCTGAAGCCCTGGGAGATCTGATTGACCACAAACTTGAAGATTTTCTCCAATTTATAGATTAGCTTCAAATTCCATACAATCAGTACTCCACTACCACCAAGAGTGAGCCCCCAGATACCCCACTGGAATCTTTCCTCAGTGGAAACTAGCTTAACTTTGTCTGTTTGAAGGTTGATGATAATTTTGGTTATTGACCATTTTAGCCTCTGATTATAGGAGCTATTATGGAGACTTCCAGGGGAATGAATTTGACAGGCAGGAGTGAGCTACGCCAAATAGCAAGATCCAAACAAGCAAGGAGACAGAACAGAACAAGCAGATTTTCTGAAGATCTGATATAGGCCTTTGGGGGTTGGAAAGAGGGCCACCTAATTGTGTTTGAGCAGAGGTCAGTCAAATTTGATAGCTTCCAACAAGGTCCAGTGGAAAATTTACTTTTTGGTGGCCCCTTTATAACATACTGTAAGGGAATATAATCACATTTAATGAAAAAAGATTCTATTGAATTTAATCCAGTGACATTATACAATTACTTGTACCCACATAAGTAATTCCAAGGTCTTGAGTGCATGATGTCTGGAAGCACAGTATATCTTTTGCACGCACCACTCAGATAGGTTTTCTACATTTGGTAACCATCAGGTTAATTGGAAAGGTTAGAGTGTTGGTTCTAGTGAGTATAGAAAGCAAGTAACAGTGATGTTTAGAACAGCAAAGATAGCTTTCAGCTATCTTCCTGTGGAATTTCAGCATTACTCTCATTGGGAAGATGGAGAGGTATTGGCACTGATGGAAATGTTTCCTGTTTTTTGTTGTTGTTGTTGTTTGTTTGTTTTGATATTAGCCCACAAACCCAATGATTGCTCTGTATTTTGTACTATAGCATAAGCTATAGCTAAAGCCATTCACTGATTATGGCTCCATGGATTTTCCTGTAAGGAAAAGGAAAGGATTAGGACAGAAGGAAATGAGAAAGAAAAGAAGAAAAGGATAAGCTTTTCTAATCACAGAGAAGTGTTGATCCATAATCTTGGGAAAGCTGTCCACATTGAGGATACTATTTGCTTCTGGAAAATTTTTCTGGCCAGCTTTACCTTAAATTTTCCAATAGACATACAGTTCCAAAAGTCTGAAGGTACCTTTTTGAGTTGTGAGATGTGGTTCCAAAGTTTGAAGCCTTGAAGTCTTATTTCAAGTAAGTACTTCAAGTAAGTAGTGAGAATAACTTGGTATAACCCCTTCCAATGGGGTTCAAAGGCAGTCTTCTTCTGATGTGGTTTCCGGAAGACCCAATCTCTGGTTTCTAGACCATAAAAAGTTTGATTGTCCTTAGTCAGTGGATCACAGAAAACTTCCTTTACCTGATGAAAATACACTCTGGCATAATGCATTAGAGCCTTGCAGTATTTAGTCATAGCAGGAGATGCATCAAGTTCTATTATTAGGATCATAGGCCTTCCAGTGACTATTTCAAAAGGGGTCAACTTATGTTTTCCAGTGAGAGTAGGTCTCATTGCCATTAAAGCCAATGTTACCTTTGGCCAAGGCAGCCCAATTGATTCTGTTAATTTTGCCGGTTTCAGGTTTAAGATGCCATTTGTTCTTTCAATCTTTTCAGAAGGTTGAGGTTGATAATGTCATTGTGCCCATAACACCTTATTTAACTGCTCTATAACTTGCCCAGTAAAATGAGTTCCCCCATCACTGGAGAGTTCTCCAGCAATGCTCCATAAAGGAAACATATTTTCTAATAATTTCATAGCTGCTATCACAGCATCAACTTTCCTACATGGGAAAGCTTCAACCCAACCAGAAAGTATATAAACTTACAAGAAAATACTGATACACCATTGATGGTGGCAATCGAAAGAAGTCCATCTGTATGTGTTCAAATAGTCCACCAGGTGGTGGAAATACACCGCTTGCAGTTTTTATTTTCCCAGAATTATGAGTTTAACAAACCAAGCATTGGTTATAAACCATTTTAGCAATTCTGGAACAGTCACCTCACTGATATTCTTTTTATAATTTGGATCATTTTTCTGTTCCATGATGATCTGTGGAGGGCAGAGCTTTTAGCAACGAAGTCTTCAGAGTCTCAGGAAGAACAGGGTGGCCATCCAGGCCCTCTGTGTATTCACACTTAAGATTCAATTTACAGACTTTTAGATACCAATTTTGTTTTTCCCACAATGCACTGTTTATTAAATAGGCCATCACAAGGGAGTTGACTTGGCTCAACCTCATGAAATTTGTTCAAATTGCATATCCTAACAGTTTCAGCACTAGCTGATTTAGCACAAAAATCTGTTAGGGCTTTCTCTTTATATTCAGGTTCAATTTTACAGGTATGGGCTTCAATCTTAATAATGGGCAATCTGTGATGGTAACAATATAGCAGGAAGTTCATCTACTTGGAGTATATTTTTGGCGGGGGTCCCACTAGAAATGAAAAGCCATTGTTGTTTTCATAACATTACAAAATTGTGGACTACTCCAAAAGCATATAGTGTAAATATTTACTAATTTGTCCTTAGCTGTATGACAAGCTTAGGTGAGAGCAAAAAGCCCTTTGGGTTGAGCTGACTTAACTGGGGAAGAGTTCCCTTCACCATTAGCTCATTTTGAGTTGTAACAGCATATCCCTCCTGATATTTTTTCCCTTCTGAGTTTTTGGCATAGAACCCATCAACAAAAAGTTTAACTCAGCATTAGCCAATGCAGTATTTTGTAAATCAACATGAGGGGTCACTATCTCTGATATTACACTTAACAATTGTGGTATTCACCATCATCAGGCAGAGGTGGTAGAGTAGCAGGGTTAAATAGGTTGCAGCATTTTATATGAAGATTAGGAAACAGGAGAAGAATTCAGTAAGATGTTAATTTACTTGCTGAAAAATGCTGAGTTTTGTTGGAATTTAATAGATTTCCCACAGCATGTGAGACTTAGAAGTTAAGTGCATTTCCTAAAACTAGCTCAGAGGAAACTTCTGCCAACTTGGTTGCTGCTGTTACTACTTTTAAACAATTAGAATATGCCTTAGCTACTGAGTCTCAGTGCAAGCTATAATATGCAAAGGGCTTATACTTCCTTCCAAGTTCTTGGGTAAGAACTAATGCCTGATTGTTACATTCATAAATGAACAAGGTAAAAGGCTTAATGTAATTTGGAAGTTCTAAAGCTGGAGGCTGTTGTAAGGCCAATTTTATTTGGTTAAAAGCTTGCTCATGACTTTCTTCCCAAGGTAAAGGTTCTGGTCCTGCATTTCTAGTGAGCTCATACAAATGTGAAGCCATTAAGAAAACATTCAGGACTCATGATCTTCAGTATCCTGCAAGTCCAAGAAAACCTCCTAATTGTCTTTTGGTTGCAGGCCAAGGAAAACTGAATAATTTTTATTCTCCCAGGCAAGAGGGAAATCCCTTAAGCACTCAAGTCATGTCCCAAATAGTAAACTCTTTCTCTTGAAACAGAAGTTTTTCCACCGAAGCCTGTGACCTTTTTGTACGAGTTGCTGTAAAAGGTAAATTGAGACAATTTCAAAGCATTTTTTAGTGGGAGAGCATGACAGCAGATCATCTACATATTGAATAAGAGTATAATTCTGAGGAAGCTATAGGGTTATTAAGTCTTTATGTAATGCCTGGGAAAAATAGGAAGGGGCTTCAGTAAGCCCTTATAACATTTCAGTTCAGGTGTACTGCTGATTTTTCCGAGTAAAAGCAAAAAATGTATTGACTCTCTTTGTGAACTGGAATGCTAAAGAAGACTGAGCAGAGATTTATTACTGAGAATCATTCTGAATCAGTGGGCATGTTAGATAATAAAGTATTAGGGTTTGGGACTATAGGAAACCTTGGTATTACAATTTTAATTGCCAATAAATCTTGAACAAATCTCCAACATTATTCATTTGGTTTTTTAACTGGTAGGATTGGAGTGTTGCAAGTACTGGTATGTGGAATTATAAATCCTTATTTAATTAAATCCACAATTAGTAAGAGCTCTTGAATTGCTTGGGGTTTTAGTGGATATTGGGGTAATTTAGGCAAAGGTTTAGAATGATCAATTTGGACTCTTATAGCTTCCACACTTTTAATCCTTCCTGCATCATTGAAGAAGAAGCTCATAAACATTCAGTTATTTTAGAAAGGTCAGAGTTATTACAGGCCTGAGTTGCAGTCTTATCAATTTCAGCCTGTAGACAGCATAACAGTTCTGGTTCAGGAATCAGGAAACTCTAAGATTATTTCTCCCTCTGGAGAGAATTATATGCCCTTTTAGCTTTGAAAGTAAGTATCACCCTAGCAAGTTTACTGGAGCACTACCACATATTTGAAAGATACGTTTTTCTGAAAATGGCTTCAACATCAATTGGATAGGTTCAGATATGGGGACCTATTGAACTTGATTTGAAACTCCCACCACATAAATGACCTTTTTTTTCTTTATTTCTTCTAAAAAAAAAAGTGATACATGTGCAGAATGTGCAGGTTTGTTACATAGGTATACATGCACCATGGTGGTTTGCTGCACCTATTGACCTGTCCTCTAAGTTTCCTCGCCTCATCCCCACTCCCCAACAGGCCCTGGTGTGTGTTGTTCCCCTCTCTGTGTCCATTTGTTCTCATTATTCAACTCCCACTTATGAGTGAGAACATGCGGTGTTTGATTTTCTGTTCCTGTGTTAGTTTGCTGAAGATGATGGCTTCCAGCTTCGTCCATGTGCCTGCAAAGGACATGATCTCACCCCTTCTTATGGCTGCATAGTATTCCATGGTATATATGTGTCACATTTTCTTTATCTAGTCTATCATTGTTGGGCGTTTGGGTTGGTTCCACGTCTTTGTTAGTGTAAATAGTGCTGCAATAAACATATGCGTGCATGTGTTTTTATAGTAGAATGATTTATATTCCTTTGGGTATATACCCAGTAATGGGATTGCTGGGTCAAATGGTATTTCTGGTTCTAGATCCTTGAGGAATTGCCATACTGTCTTCCATAATGGTTGAACTAATTTACATTCCTACCAACAGTGTAAAAGTGTTCCTATTTCTCCATAGCCTCACCAGCATCTTTTGTTTCCTGACTTTTTAATAATTGCCATTCTGACTGGCAAAAGATGGTATCTCATTGTGGTTTTGATTTGCAAGAAATGACCTTTTTTACTCTGAGGGATTTGTTGGCTTACTAGTGGGGCTTACGGTAGATAGATAAGGTGGCTGTGGTATCCACCAGGATTGTACAAGGTTCCCCGTTTTTTTCAACTCTTGTTTCTTCAGGTTTATTTAAGGGTATTAGGAGGAGTCATTTACTGTAGAATCTATTGGAGTCTCCTTAATGTTGACTAATATCACAAGAGCTAAAATCTTTTGGACTCATTCTAGTGAGAAACCAATCTCGCCTAAAGGGAGGAGGTTTATGGTGAACTGATATAAAAGCAGACAATCTCTTTTCCAGTGTCCTGGTTGTTTTCAATGAAGGCAAGCACCTGGGGTAAATGGTTTCTTATTTTAGGACCTCTTGGTTGTGATGTAAAATAAAAACAAGAAGGTCCCTTTGGTCTATGTTCTTGTAATTGTTGTAATTGGAAAAACATATGCTTGTTAGCTTTCTGGGATTTTTTCTTGCTGTAGAGTCCTCTCTAATGTTCAACTAAGGCCAGCAATTCAATCATATCTGTAACTTCCCATCCTGATTTATGTTTTTTAAATTAGGCTACTAAGTTTGAGATGAAGTCCTTTTATAAAACAGTTAATGCATTTTCAGTCCCTGCAGGAAATACTCCTTATTGTAATTCAAGGCTAGAATATTTTACAAATAGTATTTCTAAAAGGGCTTTGTAATCTGAAGCTGCTTCATCCTTTTTTTTTTTGTCTGTAAGACTGTATAATTGACCAATTTTTGTGGAAAAATCTTAGGAATTTAACTGAAAATGTTTTCAGCAATGTTTCTAACTCCTTTTGGTTCATCTCATGAGGAGGTTTTCGAGGGGTCTTTAATATCCTTCCAAGGTTTGTCCCATTCTGCTTCTGCCATCCATTTGTGAGCTTCATCAAGCCCCAATACCATGTGAATAAATTGGTAAAGATCAGGGATTCCTGCATTGTAAGCTCCTATGAGGATTCTAAATTCCTCCATAAATTTTTGAGAATTTTCACTTGTGTTATGGGATTCCTTTACAATGTCTCTAAGCTCAGTTTTAGACTATGGTATAAAGGTGGTTACAGCAGGCAAGCCTGGCTGATCAGAGGGACTCACTTTGTAAGGAATCTAACTTCTCTTTTAAAAAAATTAATCTTCAGAGTGAAAGGGAAATTTAGCAAAAAGATTAGAAGACTCAGAGTAGGTAGAGGCTGGTTGCAGTGGCTCATGCCTGTAATCCCAGCACTTTGGGAGGCTGAGGTGAGCAAAGCACCTGAGGTTAGAAGTTCGAGACTAGCCTGGCCAACATGATGAAACCCCATCTCTACAAAAAATACAAAAATTAGCGGGGCATGGTGGCACATCCCTGTAATCCCAGCTATGTGGGAGGCTCAGTGGGGCAGGAGAATTGCTTGAACCCAGGAGGTGGAGGTTGCAGTGAGCTGAGATCACACCACTTCACTCCAGCCTGGGTAACAGAGCGAGACTGTCTCAAAAACTAAAATGAAATGAAATAAAATAAAATAAAGAGTATTTAGGTAGAAACAGATAAAGAGAATGAATAGTCAGAGTTAATTCAGCCACAATACAGTCCTTTTTTGTCATGTCATCAGTGTGTTGCATATGCTTTTCATTTGCCTTTTGTAAGGAATCCTTTATGGAGACAATTTTTAATTTATTTAATATTTTAAAGGCCTCTGCATAACAATTGAAAAATTCATTCCATTGCTTTTGTGGAGTCTTTGAGCCCTTCCTTTATAATGTGCCTGCAAGTAAACAATTCTATCTAAATTAAATCTTACCCATTGTGACCATCTTAATTCTAAGCTGTCTCCAATAAGGTTAACCCATTTTTCTGAAAATGCACCCATTCTAGGCCCATAATTCTTATACATAAAATTAGCTGGAATCCCAGAAGGTGGAGCCCCAGATTGAAACAAACCCATTAACAAAAAGGTACCTACTCTAGGCCTCTAACTGAATCTAATCCAGTTAATTATTAAATCCAATTAGGTCCTGCACCCAATCCAGTCTAATTATGTCTCAAACTCAGAAAGCTCAGAACACAAATGAGTAAAGCTCAAAATCTGAGAGTAAACTCACACATAACCTCCAGTTTCAAACAAGAGTATAGTGAGCACAATGGGCTTGATGGGTACCTCACCTTGTTGCCTGGTATTCCTGGCAGGGGGGGTCACAGGACTCTTACTTGGGATCCTCACTTCTGACACCAAATCTGCTAAAAGAAGAACAGAGTTTAATTGAGCAAAGAGTGAGTCACAAATCAGACAGACCCATGAACAAGAACCAGTTCAGAGAAACTCCAGGGCTGCACATGATTGGATAACATTTATGGACTTAAAAAAGAAAGTGACATACTGTATTGGTCCATTTTTACATTGCTATAAAGATACTACCTGAGACTGGGTAGTTAATAAAGGAAAAAAGTTTAATTGACTCACAGTTCTGCATGGCTGGGGAGGCCTCAGGAAACTTACAATCATGGTGGAAGGCGAAGGGGAAGCTGACACCTTCTTCACAAGGCAGCAGGAGTGAAAGAACAAGTGCAAGGAAGTGCCACACTTTAAAACCATCAGCTCTCCTGAGAACTCACTCACTATCACAAGAATAGCATGGGAGAAAATGCCCCTGTGATCCAATCACCTCCCACCAGGTCCCTCCCTCGATACGTGGGGATTACAATTCGAGATGAGATTTGGGTAGGGACACAGAGCCAAACCATATCACATACAGAAAACACAAGTGAGGTACAAAAACAGCTGTATTTGTACAGCTCACAATTTGCCTTATTTGAATACAATTTGCCTTATTTGAAGAGCTGGCCACCTGTGATTGACTAAGCCCAGCTGCTGTGATTGGCTGAGACTCAGCTATTTGTTACAGAAGCATATTCCTAAGTTATGTTTTCAATTTACATACTAACTTACATTGCGGTTTATTATCTAAGGAGTCAACTCTGAGA
The DNA here is from genome assembly GCF_000001405.40 of Homo sapiens. Classification (NCBI taxonomy): domain Eukaryota; kingdom Metazoa; phylum Chordata; class Mammalia; order Primates; family Hominidae; genus Homo; species Homo sapiens. Next base: position 94,321,324 of record NC_000008.11, on the reverse strand, counting down.
GTACAGAGGCTTATTTAGGCCAAATTTAATTTGATTTAGCATAAGAATAATGACAATTTGTGACATTAAATATATGATTTAAGTCAATGAACTTTAAATATTTTTGATTATGTAAGATATAGCTCCAATGGGGGGCACATGCCTAAAAATTCTATTAGTACAGTAGTAAATTCAATTAGTACAGAAGTAATTCAATTAGTACAATAGTAAATGTATATAATTTATTAATTGAAGTTTTACTATGTTCTTCCCATACCTCAATAGATTAACTTGTGTAATTTTAGGAATGTCTGACCTCCCACCTCCCATTCTAAATCCCAACAACTTCACATAACAACTGAAATAGCTATTATTTTATTTTGTTTGATTTTTTTTTTATGTTTTTTAGAGACAGGGTCTTGCTCTGTCACACAGGCTGGAGTGCAGTGACATGATCATACCTCACTGCAGTCTCAAACTCCTGGGCTTAACCAATTCCCCTCCCTCAGCCTCCTAAGTCATTGGGACTACAGGCATATGCCACATACCTGGCTAATTTTTTTTTTTTTTTTTTTGGAGAGATAGTATCTTGTTATGTTACCCAGGCTGGTCTCAAACTCCTGGGTTCCAGTGATCCTCCTACCTTGGCCTCCCAAAGCGCTGGGATTACAAGTATGAACCATTGTGTCTAGGCTTTATTATTTTAAAGAAAGGGGTTTTTCATATTCTCATAATCCTAATCACAGGAAAGGAAACAATATATAATTTTCAAAATTTAATAATTGTTGTCAATATTGTGCTTTCTGGATTTACCTTCTATCTCATCAAACCAATACATAAGATTCACAAGGAGGAAGCAGGGCAAGATGGCCAAATAGAAGCCTTCATCGATGATCCTCTCCACAGGAACACCAAATCAAACAACTACCCACACAAAAAGGCACTTTCATAAGAACCAAAAATCAGGAAAGCAATTACAGTTCCTGGTTTTAACTTCATATCACTGCAAGAAGCACTAAAGATGGTAAGAAAGACAGTCTTGAGTTGCAGATGCCACCCATTCCTCATTCCCCAGCAGTGCCTCTGTGGCATGGAGAGAGAATCTGTGTGCTCAGGGGAGGGAGAGCACAGTGATTGCAGGACTTTTCATTGGAACTCAGTACTGCCCTCTCACAGCAGAAAACAACACTGGGCAGAACTCAGCCAGCGCCCATGGAAGGAGCATTTAGACCAGCACTAAGCAGAGAGGAATCACCCATCCTAGTGGTTGGAACCTTAGTTCTGGCAAGCCTCACCACTGTGGGCTAAAGTGCTCTGGGGTTCTAAATAATAAACTTGTAAGGCAGTCTAAATAAACTTGTAAGACTGCAATTCCTGGGCAAGTCCTGGTGCTGTGCTGGGCTTGAAGTCAGTAAATATAGGGGGCTCATGACTGAGTAAGATACCAGCTGGGATCACCAAGGGAGTGCTTGTGTCTCCCCGCACCCCCACCAACCCCAGACAGTGCAGCTTAAGGAGAGGAAAGGGAAGAGTAAAGAGGACTTTGTATTACAACTTGGATACCAGCTTAGCCACAATAGGATAGGACAGCAGGTAGAGTCCTGAGACCCCCACTCCAAGCCCTAATGCCCAGATGGCATTTCTAGATACACCCTGGGTCAAAAGGGAACCCACTGCCTTGAAGGGAAGGACACAGTCCTGAAAAGATTCATCACCTGCAGACCAAAGAGCCCTTGGGCCCTGAATAATCAGCAGTGGTAGCCAGGCAGTACTCACCATGGACCTTGGTGAGATTCAGAGACATGCTTGGTTTCAGGTATGACCCAGTACATTCCCAGCTGTTATAGCTATGGGAAGAGACTCCTTCTGTGTGAGAAAAGGTGAGGGAAGAGTGAAGGGGACTTTTGCTGCTTAGGTACCAGCTTGGGCACCATGGTGTAGAGCACCAAGTAGGCTCCTGGAGTGCCTGATTCCAGGCCCTGACTCCTGGATAGCATCTCTGGACCTGCGCTGGAGGGAAGGACAAGAGCCTAGCTGGCTTTGCCATCTGCTGATTGTAGAGCCCTAGGGCCTTGAGCAAACATAGGCAGTAGCCAGGCAATGGTTACTGTGGGCCTTGGGCAAGACCCAGTGCTGTATTGCCTTCAGGTCTAACCCAGTGCATTCCTAGTTGTGGTAGCATGAGGGTGCTTATGTCACTCCTCTCCCACCTCCAGGTAGCTCAGCAGAGAGAGAGAGAGAGACTGAGACTCTTGTTTGATTGGGAAAAAGTAAGAGAAAAGAATAAGAGTCTCTGCCTGGTAATCCAGATAATTCTTCCAGATCTTATCCAAGAACACCAAGGAAGTACCTCTATGAGTCTGCAAAGAGCCACAGCATTACTGGGATTGGTGCCCCATAATACAGATATGGTTGGGGTGACCAAAAACTTAGATCACAACATTCAAGTCGTTTTAAATACCTAGAACACCTTCCCAAGAAGGGTGGGTACAAACAAGCCCAGATGGCAAATACTGCAATAAATACCTAACTCTTCAATACCCAGACACCAATGGACATCCAAAAGCCTCAAGATCATCCAGGAAAACATGACCTCACCAAATGAACCAAATAAGGCACCAGGGACCAATCCTGGAGAGACAGAGATATGTTACCTTTCAGACAGAAAATTCAAAATAGCTGTTTTGAGGAAACTCAAAGAAACTCAAGATAACACAGAGAAGGAATTCAGAATTCTATTAGACAAATTTAACAAAGAGATTGAAATAATTAAAAATAAGCAGAAATTCTGGAGTTGAAAAATGCAATTGACATACTGAAAAATGCATCAGAGTCTCTTAACAGCAAAGTTGATCAAACAGAAGAAAGCACTAGTAAGCTTGAAGACAGGCTGAACATACACAGTAAGAGGAGACCAAAGAAAAAATTAAAAAGAAAGAAGCATGCCTGCTGGATTTAGAAAATAGCCTCAAAAGGGCAAATCTAAGAGTTACTGGCCTTAAAGAGGCAGTAGAGAGAGAGATTAGAGTAAAACGTTTATTGAAAGAGATAATAACATAGAGTTTCCCAAACCTAGAGAAAAAGATCAATATTTAAGTGCAAGAAGGTTACAAAACACCAAGCAGATTTAACCTAAATAAGACTACTTCAAGACATTTCATAATCAAACTCCCAAAGGTCAAGAATAAGAAAGGATTCTGAAAGCAGCAAGGGAAAAGAAACAAATAACATACAATGGAGCTCCAGTAAGTCTGGCAGCAGCAGACTTCTCAGTGGAAACCTTAAGGCCAGGAGAGAGTAGCATGACATATATAAAGTGTCAAAAGAAAAAAAACTTTTATTCTAGATTAGTATATTTAGTGAAAATATCCTTGAATCATGAAGGAGAAATACTTTCCCAGATGAACAAAAGCTGAGGGATTTCATCAACACCACATGTATCCTACAAAAATGCATTTCTTCACTGACCACTGGTCATTCAGGAGCATATTGTCTAACTTACATGTGTTGTGTAGTTTCCAAAATTCCTCTTATTATTGATTTCTAATTTTATTCCATTGTGATCTGAGAAGATACCTGACTTTAAGATAATTTCAATTTTTTTTTTTTTTTTGAGACGGAGTCTCGCTCTGTCGCCCAGGCTGGAGTGCAGTGGCGGGATCTCGGCTCACTGCAAGCTCCGCCTCCCGGGTTCACGCCATTCTCCCGCCTCAGCCTCCCAAGTAGCTGGGACTACAGGCGCCCGCCACTACGCCCGGCTAATTTTTTGTATTTTTAGTAGAGACGGGGTTTCACCATTTTAGCCGGGATGGTCTCGATCTCCTGACCTCGTGATCCGCCCGCCTCGGCCTCCCAAAGTGCTGGGATTACAGGCGTGAGCCACCGCGCCCGGCCTAATTTCAATTTTTTTTTGAGGTTTTTAAGACTTGTTTTGCGGCCTAACATATAGTCAGTCCTTGAGAGTAATCCATGTGCTGAGGGGAAGAGTGTGTATTCTGCAGCTGTCAGATGAAGTGTTCTTCAATCTGAAAGAAAAGGATGTTAATGAGCAATGATAAATCATCTGGAGGTGCAAAACTCACTGGTAACTGTAAGAACACAGAAAACTACAGAATATTATAAGACTACAATTGTGGTGCATAAACTACTCATATCTTGAGTAGAAAGACTAAATAATGAACAGATAAAAAATAATAACTACAACAACTTTTCAAGACACAGTACAATAAGATAAATAGAAACAACAAAAAGTTAATAAGCAGGGGACAAAGTTAAAGTGTACAGTTTTTCTTAGTTTTCTCTTGGCTTGTTTGTTAGTTTATGCAACCAGTGGCAAATTGTCATCAGTTTAAAATCATGGGTTATAAGATATTATTTGCAAGGTTCTTGATAACCTCAACCAAAAAGATATACACGGATACACAAAAAATAAAAAGCAAGAAATTAAAACATACTACCAGAGAAAATCACTTTCACTAAAAGGAAGACAGAAATGAAGGAAAGAAGGAAGAGCAGACCACAAAACAATCAGAAAACAAACAACAAAATGGCAGGAGTAAGTCCTTACTAATAGCATTTAATGTAAATATACTAAACTCTCCAATCAAAAGATGTAGAATGGCTGAATGGATAAAAAAGTAAGACCCACTGATCTGTTGCCTACAGAAACACACTTCATCTATAAAGAACACATAGCCTGAAAGTAAAGGGATGGAAAAAGATATTCCATGCTAATGAATACCAAAAAAAAAAAAAAAAAAAAAAAAAGAGGAGGAGTGGCTACACTTATGTCAGACAAAATAGACTTCAGGACAGAAACTATAAAAAGATACAGTTCATTATATAATGATAAAGGGGTCAGTGTGGCAAGGGGATACAACAATTATAAATATGCACCCAACACTGGAGCTCCAGGAATATATAAAATAAATATTATTAGAGCTAAAAAGAGAGATAGACTCCAATATAAAAATAGCTGGAGACTTCAATACTCTACTTTCAGCATTGGACAGATCATTCAAAGAGAAAATCAACAGGAAAAAAAATCAGACTTAACCTGCACTATAGGCTAAATGGAACTAACAGATATTTACAGAACACTTCATCTGACAGCTGCAGAATACACATTCTTCTCCTCAGCACATGGATTACTCTCAAGGACTGACCATACGTTAGGCCACAAAAAAGTCTTCAAAAAATTCAAAAGCTGGAATTATCTTAAATTCAGGTATCTTTCAGATCACAATGGAATAAAATTAGGAATCAATAACAAGAGGAATTTTGGAAACTATACAAACACCTGTAAGTTAAACAATATGCTCCTGAATGACCAGTGGTCAATGAAGAAATAAAGAAATAAATTACCAAATTTCTTGAAACAAATGATAATGGAAACACAACATACCAAAACCTATGGGATACAGCAAAAGAGGAAAGTTTATAGCTATAAGCACCTATATCAAAAAAGTACAAAAACTTCAAATAAATAACCTAATGATGCATTTTGAGAACTAGAAAAGCCGGAGCAAACCAAACCCAAAATTAGTAGAAGAAAAGAAATAATAAAGATCAGAGCAGAAATAAATGAAATTGAAATGAAGAAAACAATTCAAAAGATAAATGAAACTAAAAGTTGGGTTTTTGAAAAGGTAAACAAAATGACAAACCTTTGGCAAGACTAGGAAAAAAGAAAAGATACGAATAATAAATTAGAGATGAAAAAGGAGACATTACGACCAATATTACAGAAATTCAAAGGATCATTATAGGCTACTATGACCAACTATATGCCAATAAACTGGTAAACCTGGAAGAAATAAATTACTAGACACATACAGCCTACCAAGATTAAACCATGGAGAAATCCAAAACCTGAACAGACCAATAACAAGTAATTAGATTGAAGCCATAATAAAAGCCTCCCAGCAATGAAAAGTCCAGGATTCAATGGCTTCACTGCTGAATTTTACCAAACATTTAAACAAGAACTGATAACAATCCTACTCAAACTATTCCAAAAATAGAGGAGAAGGGAATGCTTCCAAACTCAACATTTGAGGATTGTGTTTACCCTGATACCTAAACCAGACAAAGACTCATTAAAAAGAAGGAGAAGGAGGAGAAGGAAGAGAAGAGGAAGAAGAAGGAGAAGGAGAAGAAGAAGATGATGACGACTTCAGGCCAATAACTCTGATGAACATTGGTGCAAAAATCTTCAATAAAATACTAGCAAACCAAATTTAACAACACATTAAAAAGAATATTCATCATGACCAAGTGGAATTTATCTAGGGGTGCAAGGATGGCTCAAACATATACAAATTAATCAATGTGATACATCATGTCAACAGAATTGTAGGACAAAAACCATATGATCATTCAATTGATGCTGAAAAAGCATTTGATAAAATTCAATATCCCTTCATGATTTAAAAAACCCTAAAAAAAAAAAACCGGGTATAGAAGGAACATACTTCAACACAATAAAATCCATATATAACAGACCCATGATTAGTATCATACAGAATGGGGAAAAACTGAAAGCCTTTCCTCTAAGACCTGGAACACAGCAAGGATGCCTACTTTCATCACTGGTATTCAACATAGTACTGGAAGTCCTAGCTAGAACAATCAGACGAGAGAAAGAAACAAAGGCATTCAAATTGGAAAGGAAGAAGTCAAATTATCCTTGTTTGCATATGATATTATCTTATATTTTTAAAAACCTAAGCCTCCTCCAAAAAATGATTAGGACTGATAAAAATTCAGTAAAGTTGGAGGTTACAAACTCAACATGCAAAAATCAGTAGCATTTCTATATGCAAACAGAGAACAATCTGTAAAAGAAATCAAGAAAGTAATCTTGTTTACAATAGCTACAAATAAAATACTAGGAATTAACTGAAGAGGTGACATACCTGTGCAATGAAAACTATAACACACTCATGAAAGAAACTGAAGCAGACTCAAAAATATGTAAAGATATTTCATGTTCTGGATTGAGTCAATATTGTTAAAATGTCCATACTATCCAAAGCAATGTACAGATTCAATGCAATCCTTATCAAAATAAAAATGACATTCTTCACAGAAATAGAAAAAAATCCTAAAATTTATATGGAACTATAAAAGACCCAAATAGCCAAAGCTATCCTGGGCAAAATAGCCAAAACTATCCTGAGCAAAAAGAAAAAAACTGGAGGAGTCACATTACCTGAATTCCAATTATACTACAGAGCTATAGTAACCAAAAGAGCATAGTACTGGCATAAAAACAGACACATAGCCAATAGAACAGAAGAGAGAACCCAGAATCAAATCCAAACATCTACAGTGAACTCATTTTTTGCAAAAGTGCCAAGAACATGCAGTGTGGGAAAGGACAGTCTCTTCAATAAATGGTGCTGGAAAAACTGGATATCCTTATGCAAAAGAATGAAACTAGACCCTTTTCTCTTGCCATATAAAAAATCAAATGTAAATAGATTAAAGACTAAAATCTAAGACTTCAAACTATGAAACTCCTCAAAGAAAACATTTGGGAAACTCTCTAGGATGTTGAAGTGGGCAAAGATTTCTTGAGTAATACCTCATAAGCACACGCAACCAAAGCAAAAATGGACAATTGGGATCATATCAAGTTAAAAAACTTGTGCACAGCAAAGGAAACAATCAACAAAGTGAAGAGACAAAATGGGAGAAAATATTTGCAAACTATCTAATAAGGGATTAAAAACCAGCAAAATAAGGAGCTCAAACAGCTGTATAGGAAAAAAGTCTAATAATCTAATTTTAAAATGGGCAAAATATATGATTAGACATTTTTCAAAAGAAGACACACAAATGGCAAACAGGTGTATGAAAAGGTGCTCAACATCATTGATCATCAGAGAAATGCAAATCAAAACTACAATAAGATATCATTTCAACCCACTTAAAATGGCTTTTATCCAAAAGATGGGCAATAACAAATGCTGGCGAGGATGTGGAGAAAATGGAGCCCTTGTATACTGTTGGTGGGAATGGAAATTAGTACAACTACTATGGAGAATTACTGTACAACTGCTATGGAGATTCCTCAAAAAGCTATATGATACATTGTACAATCCAGCAGTCCCACTGCTAGGTATATACCCAAAAGAAAGGAAATCAGGATATCAAAGAGCTATCTGCACTTTCATGTTTAATGCAGCACTATTCACAATAGCCAAGATTTGGAAGTGATCTAAGTGTCCATCATCAGATGAATGGTCAAAGAAAATGTGGTACTTATACACAATGGAATACTATTCAGCCATGAAAAAGAATGAAGTCTCATCATTTGCAACAACATGGGTGGAACTGTAGGTCATTAAGTGAAAGCAGCCAGACACAGAAAGACAAAGTTTGTATGTTCTCACTTTGTGTGAGAGCTGAAAATTAAAACAACTGGACTCATGGAGATAGAAAGTAGAAGGATGGTTACTAGAGGCAGGGAAGAGTAGTGGGGCATCAGGGGGAAGTGAGTATGGTTAAGGGGTACAAAAAATGGAAAAAAATGAATAAGACCTAGTATTTGATAGCACAACAGGGTAATTATAGTAAATAATGACTTAATTGTACATTTAAAAATAACTAAAAGAATATAACTAGATTGTTTGCAATACAAAGGATAAATGCTTGAAGGGATGGATACCCCATTTACCACGATGTGATTATTACACATTGCACGCCTGTATGAAAATATCTCAGGTACCCCATCTATATAAATACCTACTATGTACACACAAAAACTAAAATTTAAAATAAAAAAAAAAAGGATTCTCAAGAAACAGTATGAGGTGGAGTAGAAAGCTGTTGGGAGCTGGTGCGGGGCAAGAAATCAGGGACAGGGGAGACATTTTTAAAAATTCAATTTTATTTTCCATGTGTTGTGTCATAGGCACAAGGTACACCAAGCTGTAGAAGAGATTATCTCTCTCCTTAAGTTATTTTTAAAAATCATAGTAACTTAGAGAAATTTGTCTTTTTAGGAGGAAAGAACCAGGTATCCCTAATTATCCAAGCATTAGCTTAACCCACCTAAGAGAGACAATGGGTAGAAACAGTAAAGTTGTTCCCACTAGTTAATGACTACTAATTGAATACTCATTCTGTGTCATATTAATTTCTATATATTATCTCATTTAATACCCTCAAGAATTTCTCATAAGATAGGCACTGTTATCACTGTTGTACGTAGAAGGAAATGGAAGCTCAGATATGTAAAGTAGTTTGTACAAAGTCAACAGCTGATAAGTGGTCTAGCTAGGATTCCAACCCAGTGCAAAGTAGTTACTATTGACTGAGTGTTTCTTACGTGCCAGGCAGTGATAGTATCTCATAGTATCTAATAAATTTCAAGAACAACCCTCTGAAGTACCATTATTTTGTGCAAATTACAAATCAGGAATCTGGGACTCTGAGAGTTGCTAATGGCACACAACTGCCAAGTGACAGGTTGTTTGACCCCTTTCCTTGATTGTGCTTCCCCTGGAGGTGGGACAAGGAAATGTTGGGCAAGGAAGAGACAGATCATGACTCTGAGGAGCAGCCTGTCAGGGGAAGTTATGAAGCGATGGTGGATTCCAGTGGCCTAAATGGGAATTACTTGCTTATAGACTCATTTATATCCATAATAACATATGCTATCTGTAAATAGTTGGGTATGCTTTAGCTAAATGTTTAGTAAATTTGCTTTTAATCTCATCCATAGAGCATAAACATTACATTCTTCCCAGGAAACTTCTAGACATACAGGCTCAATTTAAGAACAATGGCAAGGGATTGACTGTGTTTAACATGAAACCTACTGACTTTACTGACCATCTCAGACTTTATACTGGTGCCCAGGCTGACAAAGACCCCTCAGACTGGATCTCTCCACTTTGTTGGAAGAATAATGATAATAGAATTTATTTTCAGCCTGTTCTTGAAACTTGCTGTTCCCATTAATCCTCATTATCCTCCTTTAGTCTTCTGAGTCATCTCACCTGAAAGTCTTAGAGCTCTGCTTCATTTTAGGAACCGCAGGCAACCATGTAGGTAAATAAAGTTTTTATTCTTCCCTGATCTCATAAAAGTAGAGTTGTGACTCAGTTATATTCTCCAGAGAGCCAAAGTTATATGTGTTCAGGCAAGGAGTTAGTCACACAAACAGAGCGGGGTTGCTAAGCAATGTAATACACATTTCATTAATTACAACAATGGCACTTTTGCTGTCGGTGCCCTTGATTATGGGGGATTCCAGGTTGAAGCCCTGAGGACATAGGAACAGTGAGGTCCAGAAGGGCCCATATGTGGTGTCTTTTGGTTCAACCCCATCATCTTATTTTTCCTTGTCAAATCTTTTTGGATGATTTCACACTTTGTGGTCAGGAGTAAAACAGTAAGACATGAAAATGGGAGCCAGGGCTGATGAGCGGGTCAGTCAGCTGAGATATTAACACATTAGGGCTTTATTTGTGTGCAGGCATGTGAAATAATTCAACCCTAAAACACCCACAGCTGACTTCCCCTGTTTTTTTTTTTAAGGTTCCAGCTTACATATCAATTTTTTCCAAAAGCAACCCCAAAAGGATTAGGTGTTTTCTGGTATGGATATTTGTTATTTCTGGTTATATTATTGTTGTTTCTTGTTGTTAACATCTAAAACCCTACCAAGTTTAGGGAGGAATTGTCTTATAGTAGTATTTGTGGGATCCTTTACTCCTTGTACCACTGAGGAAGCTGTAGAGGGGAACATCTTTCTCTCCCAACCCCTAACAATCTAGGTCTCACCCAATCTGACCCTACTTTTTGGAATTTTAGATCACAAGTGAGCGACACAAAGATAAAAGAGATGGCCAGAATTCATTTCCTGTTTCCAGGGGCAGGGGTAGCTGCCTCATGGAAGAATTGTTCTTTCCACTTGGTGTTTGGAGCCTTCTGGGATCCTCCCATTATAGTAGGTAGCTAATCAGGTATGAGCAGGGCAGGAGAGGGCTCCCCCAACCCACACAAGGAGTGTTGGGCAACCATCAGTGATAGTCAGGTTGTTGTTAGCTGTCCCTCTAAAGTAATAATTGGTCACAGCCGGCACCAGGGAAGGGCATTCTCCTAATAGGTAAAACACACCTGAAACTGGTGATCAGCGGCTTCCCAATAAGATCTCAGGAGTGGGGAGAAGTAATGGAAGACCCCGGAAGTATGTCAACATATAAAACCCCAAGTCAAGCGGTAAAGCCATGCACTTGGTCTCTCAAATTGCCCGCTTGGCCCTCTTCCAAGTGTGCTTTCCTTCCTTTCATTACTGCTCTAATAAGCTAACTTAGTTTTAATAAACTAACTCCTGCTCTAAAACTTGCCTTGGTCTCTCCTTCTGCTTTATGTCCCTCAAATTCTTTCTTCTGAGGAGACAAGAATTGAGGTTGCTGCAGACCTGTACGGATAACTACTGCCATTAACATATTTTGGTGCTGTGTGTCTCGGAAACCTTCCTCTGGTAATACTCTCACCTTCTGAGCTTGCTCTTCCAGCCCTTCTAGATCCTATGAACCACATATTGAAGTCCCTCTCCCCATAGCCTTCCAGAGAGTTTTTTTATCTAAATCAGCCTGAATCATTTCCCAAACTTGACCCAGGAACCCTGATTATGAGCCATTTTCCCGTGAGCTCTCAAGAGCATCTGTATTAGTTTCTGATGGTTGTTGTAACAAATTATCACAAATTTTATGGATTCAAGTAACACAAATGTATTCCGTAACACTGCTAGAGGCTGCAAATCTGAACTCAGTATCACTGGATTGAAATCACGTATTGGCAAGACCGTGCTTCCTCCAGAGACTCTAAGGGGGAATTTTTTCCTTGCCTCTTCCAGCTTCCAGTTTCTGGTGGTTGCCAGAATTCCACAGTTTATGGTTTGTGGTTGCATCATTCCATTCTCTGCCCCAGTGGTCACATTGCCTTATCATCTTCTGTCTGTATCAAACCCTTGCCTCCCTTTTATAAGAACATATGTGATTGTATTGAGGGCCTACCCTGATAATCCAGGATAATCTCCCATCTCAAGATCCTTAACTTCATCACACCCACAAAGACCCTTTTTTGCCATATAGGGGAACATTCACAGATTCTAAGGATTGGGATGTGGATATCTTGGGGGGCCATTTTTCACCTACCCCAGTATCCTCAACTGTATGCTCAAGAGTTCTGCAGCTGTTGTGGTCCATTTACTTGCCTGTCTCCTGTACTAGACTGTGAATTCTTGGAGCTCAGAAGCAATTTGTCGTGCCTATCATTTATCCCTGGTGCTACCCTTCTGGTAGGCACACAAAAATACTTGAATGAATCAATAAACAAGTTAAATTCATGATGCAATTCTTATTGCATATCTGTTTTTTAGCACAAGTTTGGAAATTTAAAAATTTAGGAGGAAATTGTATCTCTTGTAGTAGGCACATAGGTTTCAACACTATTTCTCTGTTTAATAGAGTTCGTTTGCTTTTGAACTTCTGGTGGCTCTTCTCTACGATAACCCTACGTCAGAAGACGTGAAGCATGCAGACGCCATCCAGCTCCCAGGGCAGGTATTGTTAATCTTTTCTGAAAAGTGCAAACACGGCCTTAGAATCTTTGACACAATGTTCCAGGCAGCCAACTCAAGGCAGCTGAGTGAAGTTGAACTGCAAGATAAAACTTTTCACGTCATTACACTCAGAAGATAAAAAAAAACCAAACTGCTCAGTCTGGTCCCACTTTGCTCAGAGACTCTTATTATTTCTTTTCTTTTTGTTTGAGACAGGATCTCACTCTGTTGCCCAGGCTGGAGGGCAGTGGTGCAATCTTGGCTCACTGAAACCTCTGCCTCCTGGGTTCAAGCAATTCTCTTGCCTCAGCCTCCTCAGTAGCTGGGCCTACAGGTGCCCGCAACCACATCTGCCTAATTTTTGTATTTTTGGTAGAGATGGGGTTTTGCCATTTTGGTCAGGCTGGTCTCGAACTTCTGAGCTCAGGCAATCCACCTGCCTCAGCCTCCCAAAATGTTGGGATTACAGGCGTGAGCCACCGCGCCTGGCCTCCCTCATTATTTCTGACGTAAAGTATGCTTCAGCTAGGATCAAGCATACTACATTCATTCTCCGTAAGTTCATAACGTTCCTCTCCCCTCTCTCCTATCTAGGCAATAACCCCCTTTAGGTTCCAAAGCAACTCCCCACTTCAAACAGAAGAGATTTTTCTTTAACCCTGACACATACAATCATTTATTTTCATGCTGCCAAATGCAATTTGTTTTCTCTCCAGGTCTCCAATTATAATCAGCACCTACTTGCCCCAGGAAGGCTCCTTCTCTTCCTCCATCATATTGACATTTAATTTATGATCTCTCCTCAAAATACAAAATGTTAAACACTCATTTCTTTTCTACATTTCTCAGACGAGACTCTCATGACCTGCCAAATGCTGCCATTAATTGCCAGTTGGTGCCGATGTGCCCTGCCCCGCACCTTCATGTCTGGTTGAGGGGACTGCTCCAGGGGTACCTGGTCCTGACAGTGGTAACATGAACTCGATCTCTGGACCAATCAAAGGGATCCACAAGGCTCTGACCTTTTCCTTCTGGACAGGGTAATTTCAATGGTACAGTGAATAACACTTCCAATACAAACAGCTTAGTCACTGTTTACAGTTTTAGAGTAAAAATTGCAAAGAAAACTCTCTGTTATGTAGGTATTTGAGGTTACTGTTCAGTGCCAGTATCTTTTGGGGATGGGACAGTCATTAGCTTTGGCAATTAACAGTTCTCAGAGCAGCTTCTAAAACACAATTTCTGCTTGTCCACCAGGCCAGAATTAGACCAATTAGAAATAAGGCGTCTGCTGTATTATTCACTTTGAAGCATCAGAATATGGCAGTGTTGCTCATGTCTAGGTTATTTTCCAGTGCACAATGCCAACCATCTGATATTTGTGCTGTGTGATTACTGAAAGAAATAGTAGTGAGGGCAGCTTACCAACAGGACAGATTGCAGGGAGGCCTCTCAGCTACAGTAAATGAGATTTTGGATTTGGATTCTGCAGTGTCCATCTAGAAAGCGGGGTGAGGGCTGCACTCCTTAGATGTCTGGTATTTCGCTCTTGGTTTCAGCCACACATAAACATTTGGGCAAGGCTTTGAGGCACACAGTCAACACTGATTAGTGTTGTTTATAACAAATAACTAATGACCTTAATTTGAAAAGAAGCTTTTTTTATCCCCCCCCACTATTATCTGGTTGCAGGAAGGCAAGCATGTTCTCAGAGAAAGGACTCCTCCTGTCAAATGTTGGATTCTTAAAGGACAAGGGCATGACAAGAGCAAAGACCTTGGGAAAGCTGGTCTGTCACTGTTTGCAGAAGGTTCTAGAGCAGTGCTTCCAAAACTTGAATGTGCTCACCAACTTCAAGACACAAAGCACAGTTCTGCACTGGGGCCTGAGAGTCTGGATTTCCAGTAAGTTCCCAGGGGATAGCTAATGCTCCTGGCCCATGGACTACTCTTTGAGGAACAAGGGCTTATATCAGTGATTCTTAAGTGGGAGCAGAGAAGGCACGTATAAGAACTGAAGGAAATTCTTTCAGAATACACATCCCCCTCTTTTCCCACCAGGACTATCAAATTGGGAGAAATGAGGGCACATATATTTATTTAAAGCTTTATTGAGGCATAATTTACTACCATAAAATTCACCCACTTTAAGTGAACAATTAAATGATTATTTGTATTAGTCGTACAACCATCATCACCACAATCTTATTTTAAATAATTTCCATCATCCCAAAAAGAAAACTTGCTGTTTGCCATCATTCCCCATTTCCACCCCTAGCTCCAGAAAACTATTAATATATGATCTGTCTCTGTAGATTTACCTTTTCTGGACCTTTCATATAAATGGAATCATTTAATATGTGGACTTTTGTGCCTGACTTCTTTCACTTAGCATGGGGTTTTTGAGATTCATCCACGCTGTAGCATGTATGCAGTACTTCATTCCTTGTTACAGGCACATGGGCTTTTAAAAGCCTTTCATGGTGATTCAGTGGCCTCCTGGTTGAGGACCACCATATATATATGTGTGTGTGTATATATATAAAAGTGTATATATATGTATATGTGTGTGTATATATATATGTACATACCATATCAGTTTAGAAATTATCTTCTTTTCAAAATTAGGAAGCAGAGAGGCTAAACAACTCCTTCAAGCAATTATGATTGAAGCCAGTATCTTTTGACTTCAAACCCAAAGCATTTTCCCTGATACATACTCTTTATAAATGCAGCAGATAGCAGATCTGAGGTAATCTCAGGTACGCAGTGCTCTTCCAGAGCTCACCAGAATGCAACCAGGGTAAGACTTTGCATCAGTCTTAACAAAGGGTAGCATTCAAAAGAAGAACACTTCCAACTTCAATAAAACCTTGTAAAAGGATTTCAGTCTTTATGGAAGTCCATGGACAAGGCACAGAAGAGGGGCATTACATTGCATCATATAGAGCAAACTAGCAACCCACTTTACATGCCACCTCTTCCCCAAATTGCACAAAGTCTAGCAGCTGTCTCCTCCTCTAGGCCATACTTTCTATCTTCGCTCTCCCTTAGCCCTTTTCCCTCAAACTCTAGCTTCTGCTGGCTGGCTTGTCTTCTGCTACCTCCTTCAGGGAGCTGTGATTTTCTTTGGTCTGGGAGTACCTGGCTCTCTTAATGAAAATCACCTTAGTCTTACTCAGCATTCTCTCCCTTCTCCATTTGTATCTTTGTCCATTTCTCAGAGTGGCACTCCAAGAATTTGTAAAGGTAGAGAAGCCCATGACTAATTTTTAACTTTTTCTGTCCTGTTCATAAATGTTGGAGATAGGTTGTGTTTTGGGCCACCATAGCCACCTTTTGAAGGGGCTTCCAGGGGCCAGCCATGAATGCTGACTGGCTGAAGTCCAGTCTAAGGAAGGAAAAAATCCATCCCTCTTCTTGCCTGGTCTTCCTTGGCTCACTGCCATCCCAGTGCTCCTATTCTCAATATCAGGCTAGATTTAACCTTTTTGGTAAACACCTAGTAACAAAATGATTGCTTAAGGAAACTTGGTCTGTTTAAAATGACATAGTTTTCACCTCATCCCAATCTAATACTTTTCCTCTTGTTCTGGACACAGATAAGCATCTGTTCATAGCATCTCTTGTTATTAATTATTAATTTATTAATTATAAAGATGTTCAAGTATATAATTATAAAATTATAATTAAACAAACATATAATAAAACAACTATTGTTAATGATTCTTTATTAATTATTAATTCAGGCTATTCCATGCTGGGTGTGGAGCAGAGCATTGTGGCACATCAACAGTTTGAGTCTCTCTGATCTCCACTTTGTCCATGTCCTGGGCGCTTCTCCCTGCCTTGAGCTTCCTTTCCTTATTTAAAAATGAAGATCTGGCTACTTAGAACCTCAGGATCTCAGAAGGACAGAGGTGGAAGTGTCCTCAGAGCTTGTCTTCAACATTCTTCATTTTTCAGGTGAAGAAACCAGGGTCCCCAGGGGTGAAGTGTCTTGCAATTATTGTCAGCATTTTAGCTGCGCTTGTGTGTGAGGTTGTAGGAGAAACAGAAGGGAAAAAGTAAAGAGAACAGATTCTGTAGAAAGCCAAGAGCAAAGTGTGATATAGCAAAAGCTGGAAAACAGTAACATTTGAAATGGAAGTGAATTCCCAGACAAACTGTCTCTCTCTCACCCGTTGTCTGGGTCAGAGGAGTGTTGAGAATATTAAGTATAGTGCTAGAGGTAGATGGGTGACATATTATGGTTTTAAGAGACAAAAAGATTCTGAATAGCTTCTGGAAATGACATGTCTAACGTGGTCCTGGTACACTGCAGGTGCTGAATAAATATTTGTTGGTTGATTCAGGTAAGATGACAAAAGGTAGACATGCTCCACAGTGTGTGCAAAATTAACAGGTTGCGGTTCCTGCATTTGGCTTGCAGGTCTCTTGGGTACTGGTTTGCAGGTCTCCTTGTAAGGGTCTTTAAAGCTTCCCATTAGTGAAGAGACTGTCTACCTGCAGCAGATTCAGCTGAGTTCAATTTCACAGTAAGACATTCTGAGTGCTCCCTCCTCCTTAATCTTTCCTAGAAAATGGAGCTCAAAGGGAATAGAAAGGAGAGGCAGGGAATGTTACACCTCTTGGGTCTGATGTCTAATTTTTGTTTAGTAGTAACAATGCTTTATAGCTTGTAGAACAATTCACATACATTTTCTTATTCAGTTCCCTCAGCAACTCTGTCAAGTCTGGGCTCCCGAGAACTAACGTCAGGCTGCCTGATCCCAGGTCAGTGCCTGTTTTCTGCCTGCTCTGAGTTCTTTCGGGCCTGGCCACCCTGTGAGGTTTCCATGGCACCCTGAACAACAGCCCAGCATGTCGGGCAGGGCCTTTCCTGAGTGCTGCCTCCTAGTCAGTGCATCCTCTGGCAGAGCTTCCCTTGAGGTTTGGGGCTCCTCGCAGCCTTGTTTCCCTCGGGAGGTGTTCTGTGCTCAGAGACCATGACTCATGAGCTACAGGAAGTTTTTGGCATGCTCCCTGCATGCTGAAAGAAAATTAATGGCTCAGCGAGTGTTTGGTGAAGGAGAAGGGTGCAGGCAATGGCAGCAAAGTTCTCAGTTGGAAAACACCTGCTGGTCCATGGGGAGGTTGTCCCTGGATTGGCAGAACTGGTGAGTCCTATGTGGAATTGTGGGCCAGACAGAGTTTATGTTGAGGTCTCAGGTTGTGATAGTTAATACTGAGTGTCAACTTGATTGGATTGAAGGATGAAAAGTATTGATCCTGGGTGTGTCTGTGAGGGTGTTGCCGAAGGAGATTAACATTTGAGTTAGTGGGCTGGGAAAGGCAGACCCACCCTTAATCTGGGGAGGTACCACCTAATCAGCTGCCAGCATGGCTAGAATAAAGCAGGCAGAAAAACATGAAAAGACTAGATTGGCCTAGCCTCCCAGCCTACCTCTTTCTTCTGTGTTGGATGCTTCCTGCCCTTGAACATTGGACTCCAAGTCCTTTGGTTTTGGGACTCAGACTGGCTCTCCTTGCTCCTGAGCTCACAGATGGCCTATTGTGGGACCTTGTGATCAAGTGAGTTAATACTTAATAAACTCCCTTTTATATATATAATTATCCAATTAGTTCTGTCCCTCTAGAGAACCCTGACTAATACAGATTTTGGTACCAGGAGTGTTTCTAGAGGAACAGAATATGAAGGATGGAGTTCTTTCATTGGTTTTGGGTTTCTGGTGTTGGCTGCTTAATATGATTAGACCCAAAAATGCTAAGGACCCTACTTCTAATAGTATAGAGAACACTGATATGAAGAGAACTTGGCATGAACTGTTTAGAGAGCTATGCAAAATAAATGCATTTGACACTCCTGATTCACTGCTCATGAGAGGCAAGGAGTCTAGTGACTCTATACATAATACCTTTGACCATATGTGGAGAACCAAAGAACATAATGAAGCTGGTTGATTGCTCCTAAGTTCAGTGGACAAAGTGATGAATTTTGTCATCACTTTGTTAGAGTCAGGGATTCTAACTCCTGGCTTCAGAAGCAGAAACTGAGCCTCAAATCTGCTAAGATTTCCCTGAGTGAGAGTCTTATCTCCTATAGAAAAAGAGCTGAAATTGTGGGAAAAAAGGCACAAGCTCTTATTATGTAAGGGGCTGACCTGCAATGGAAGGTGCATGCACAGCCTCGCCAGGTGTCTACTGCTAAAGTGAGGGCGTTGATCGGAAAAGAATAGGACCCTGCAACTCGGAATGGGGATGTGTAGGAGGCCACTGATGAAGCTGGGGACACTGAGCTTGTAAACTCTGATGAAACTTTTTTTGCCAGAAGAAACAGCTTCCCCATCGCCTCCCTGACCCATGCTGCCATCAGCCTTTCCCCCTTTGTCTGAGGAGATAAACCCTGCACTGACTGAGGCAACAGTGATGGCCTCCCCTGAGGGAGTTGCCAGGCAAGATAATGTTGATTCTCCTCAGGAGCCACCCCCAACACCCCTGTTTGCTTCTAGACCTATAACTAGACTAAAGTCCCATTGGGCCTGTAGAGGTGAGGTTGAGATATGACCCATGAGGTGGTGCACTTTTCGAGTGTCCTCAAAAAGAGTGTACTTGAAAAGAACTGCTTGAGCTTTCTAATTTATATAAGCAGAAATCTGGAGAACAGGCATGGGAATGGATATTAAGGGTGTGGGATAATGGTGGAAGGAACAGAGAGTTGGATCAGGCTGAATTTATCAGTTTGGGCCCACTAAGTAGGGACTCTGCATGGAATGTTGCAACTCCAGGAGTTAAAAAAGGTTCTAATAGTTTATGTGCTTGGTTAGCTGAAATATGGATGAAAAGATGGCCCACTGTGAGCGAGCTGGAAATACCTGATCTCCCTTGGTTTAATGTAGATGAAGGGATCCAAAGGCTTGGGGAGATTGGGATGGTGGAGTGGATTATTCACTTTAGACCTACTCATCCCAGCTGGGAGGGTCCAGAAGATATACCCTTGACCAATGCCTTACAGAATAGATTTGTGAGGGCAGCACCTGCATCTTTGTAGAGCCCTGTAATTACTCTTCTCTGTATGTCAGATTTAACAGTGGGAACTGCAGTCACTCAACTACAAAATTTAAATACAATGGGAATAATTGGATCCTGAGGTGGCAGGAGCCAAGTGGCAGCACTCAAGTGTCAAAGGCAAGGTGGGTGAAGCTGCTGCAATGGACAGCAGAGGCGAAGATGCAATCAGAATAGTCTGACTCATGTAGAGCTCTGGCATTGGCTAATTAATCACGATGTTCCTAGAAGTGAAATTGATAGGAAGTCTACTGCATTCCTACTTAATTTATATAAGCAGAAAACTTCTAGGTTGAATGGGCAAAAAACTAATTTGAATTATAAAAACAGAAAATCACAGCCCCTCAATCAATGTCCAGACTTGAGCCAGTTTACAGACCCACAACACCTTGAATGAAGGGGAGGCTGGGTCCCCTTGAGGAAGGACCCCACTAGACTACCGGCAATTTATGCTGTCAATCTTCCTCCCATCCATCCCCAAGGAGACCTCCAGCCTTTTACCAAGGTAACTGTGCACTGGGGAAAGGAAAATGATCAGACATTTCAGGGACTATTTGACAATGGCTCTGCGCTGATGTTGATTCCAGGGGACTCAAAATGTCATTGTGGTCTTCCAGTTAAAGTAGAAGCTTATAGAGGTCAGGTAATTAATGGAGTTTTAGCTCAGGTCCAACTTACAGTGGGTCCAGTGGGTCCCTGGACTCATCCTGTGGTCATTTTCCCAGTGCCAGAATGCATAATTGGCATAGACATACTTAGCAGCTGGCAGAACCCCCAAATTGGCTTCCTAACTGGTAGTGAGAGGTGACAGCGTGCTGGCAGTCCTCACAGCCCTTGCTCGCTCTCGGTGCCTCCTCTGCCTGGGCCCCCACTTTGGCGGCACTTGAGGAGCCCTTCAGCCCACCGCTGCACTGTGGGAGCCCCTTTCTGGGCTGGCCAAGGCCGGAGCCCACTCCCTCAGCTTGCAGGGAGGTGTGGAGGGAGAGGCGCGAGTGGGAACCGGGGCTGCCTGCCGCACTTGTGGGCCAGCTGGAGTTCCGGGTGGGCGTGGGCTTGGCGGGCCCCGCACTCGGAGAAGCCGGCCGGCCCTGCCAGCCCCGGGCAATGAGGGACTTAGCACCTGGGCCAGCGGCTGCAGAGGGTGTACTGGGTCCCCCAGCAGTGCCAGCCCACTGGTGCTGCACTGGATTTCTCACCAGGCCTTAGCTGCCTTCCCGCAGGGCAGGGCTCGGGACCTGCAGCCCACCATGCCTGAGCCTCCCACCCCCTCCATGGGCTCCTGTGCAGCCCAAGCCTCCCCAATGAGCGCCACCCCCTGCTCCACGGTGCCCAGTCCCATCGACTACCCAAGGGCTGAGGAATGTGGGCACACAGTGCGGGACTGGCAGGCAGCTCCACCTGCTGCCCCGGTGTGGGATCCACTGGGTGAAGCCAGTTGGGCTCCTGAGTCTGGTGGGGACGTGGAGAATCTTTATGTCTAGCTCAGGGATTGTAAATACACCAATCGGCACTCTGTATCTAGTTCAAGGTTTGTAAACACACCAATCAGCACCCTGTGTCTAGCTCAGGGTTTGTGAATGCGCCAATCGACACTCTGTATCTAGCTACTCTGGTGGGGCCTTGGAGAACCTTTGTGTCTAGCTCAGGGATTGTAAACGCACCAATCAGTGCCCTGTCAAAACAGACCACTAGGCTCTACCAATCAGCAGGACGTGGGTGGGGCCAGATAAGAAAATAAAAGCAGTCTGCCCGAGCCTAGCAGTGGCAACCCGCTTGGGTCCCCTTCCACACTGTGGAAGCTTTTTTCTTTGGCTCTTTGCAATAAATCTTGCTACTGCTCACTCTTTGGGTCCACACTGCTTTTATGAGCTGTAACACTCACCGCAAAGGTCTGCAGCTTCACTCCTGAAGCCAGCGAGACCACGAGCCCACCGGGAGGAACGAACAACTCCAGACGCACCGCCTTAAGAGCTGTAACACTCACCGCGAAGGTCTGCAGCTTCACTCCTGAGCCAGCGAGACCATGAACCCACCAGAAGGAAGAAACTCCGAACACATCTGAACATCAGAAGGAACAAACTCCGGACACGCCGCCTTCAAGAACTGTAACACTCACCACGAGCGTCCACAGCTTCATTCTTGAAGTCAGTGAGACCAAGAACCCACCAATTCCGGACACAGTAGGGTGAGGGCTACTATGGTGGGAAAGGCCAAATGGAAGCCATTAGTGCTGCCTTTACCTAGAAAGGTAGTAAATCAAAAACAATATCTCATCCCTGGAGGGACTGCAGAGATTAGTGCCACCATCAAGGACTTGAAAGACGCAGAATGGTGATTCCCGTCACATCCCCGTTCAACTCTTCCATTTGGCATCTGCAGAAGACAGATGGATCTTGGAGAATGACAGTAGATTATTGTAAGCTTAACCAAGTGGTGACTCCAATTGCAGCTGCTATACCGGATGTGGTTTCCATTGCTTGAGCAAATTAACACATTTCCTGGTACCTGGTATGAAGCCATTGACTTGGCAAATGCCCTTTTCTCCATTCCTGTCCATAAGGCCCACCAGAAGCAATTTGCCTTCAGTGGGCAAGATCAGCAATATACCTTTACTGTCCTACCTCAGGGGTGTATCAACTCTCCAGCTTTGTGTCATAATCTTATTCAGAGAGACCTTGATAACTTTTCGCTTCCACAAGATATCACACTGATCATTTACATTGATGACATTAGGCTGATTGGATCCAGTGAGCAAGAAGTAGCAAACACACTGGACTTACTGGTGAGACATTTGTGTGCCAGAGGAGGGGAAAGAAATCCAACTAAAATTCAGGGAACTTCTACCTCAGTAAAATTTCTAGGGATCCAGTGGTGTGGGGGCTGTTGAGATAGTCCTAAGGTGAAGGATAAGTTGCTGTACTTGGCCCCTCCTACAACCAAGAAAGAGGCATGATGCCTAATGGGCCTATTTGGATTTTGAAGGCAACACATTCCTCATCTGGGTGTGTTACTCTAGCCCATTTATTGAGTGACCTGAAAGGCTGCCAGTTTTGAGTGAGGTCCAGAACAGGAGAAGGCTCTGCAACAGGTCCAGGCTGCTCTGCCACTTCGGCCATATGACCCAGCAGATCCAATTGTGCTTGAGGTGTCAGTGGTAGATAGGGATGCTGTTTGGAGCCTTTGGCAGGCCCCAATAGATGAATCATAGTGGAGGCATCTAGGATTTTGGAGCAAGGCTCTGCTATCTTCTGCAGATAACTACTCTCCTTTTGAGAGGCAGCTCTTGGCTTGTTACTGGACTTTGGTGAAAACTGAATGTTTGACTATGGGTCATCAAGTCACCATGCGACCTGAACTGCCTATCATGAACTGGGTGCTTTCTGACCCATCTAACCATAAAGTGGGTCATGCACAGTAGCATTCCATCATCAAATGGAAGTGGTATATATGTGATCGGGCTCGAGCAGGTCCTGAAGGCACAAATAAGTTACGTGAGGAAGTGGCTCAAATGCCCATGGTCTCCACTCCTGCCACACTGCCTTCTTTCCCCCAGTCCACACCAGTGGCCTCATGGGGAGTTCCCTATGATGAGTTGACAGAGGAAGAGAAGACTAGGGCCTGATGCACAGATGGTTCTGCACGATGTGTGGGCACCACCCAAAAGTGTGGACAGCTGCAGCACTACAGCCCCTTTCTAGGACATCCCTTAAGGACAGTTGTGAAGGGAATTCTTCCCAGGGGGTAGAATGTTGAGCAGAGCACCTGGTTGTGCACTTTGCATGGAAGGAGAAATGGCCAGATGTGTGATTATGTACTAATTCATGGGCTATAGCCAGTGGTTTGGCTGGATGGTCAGGGACTTGGAAGAAGCATGATTGAAAAATTGGTGACAAAGAAATCTGGGGAAGAGGTATGTGAATGGACCTCTCTAAGTGGTCAAAAACTGTGAAGATATTTGTATCCCATGTGAGTGCTCACCAACAGGTGACCTCAACAGAGGAGTATTTAAATAATCAAGTGGATAGGATAACCTGTTCTGTGGATACCACTCAGCCTCTTTCCCCAGCCACCCGTGTCATCGCCCAATGGGCCCATGAACAAACTGGCCATGGTGGCAGGGATGGAGGTTACACATGGGCTCAGCAGCATGGACTTTCACTCACCAAGGCTGACCTGACTGTGGCCACTGCTGAGTGCCCAATTTGCCAGCAGCGGAGACCCACACTGAGCCCTCAATATGGCACCATTCCTTGGGGTGATCATCCAGCTACCTGGTGGCAGGTTGATTATATTGGGCCTTTTGCAACATGTAAAGGGCAGAGGTTTGTCCTCATGGAATAGACACTACTCTGGATATGGGCTTGCCTATCCGGTATACAATGCTTCTGCCAAGGCTACCATCTCTGGACTCACAGAATACCTTATCCACCATCATGATATTCCACACAGCACTGCCTTTGACCAAAGCCCTCACTTTACGGCTAAAGAAGTGTAGCAGTGGGCTTATGCTCATGGAATTCACGGTTTTTACCATGTTCCCCATCATCCTGAAGCAGCTGGATTGATAGAATGGTGGAATGGCCTTTTGAAGTCACAATTACAATACCAAATAGATTACAATACTTTGCAGGGCTGGGACAAAGCTCTTCAGAGGGCCGTGTATGCTGTGAATCAGCATCCAGTGTATGGTACTGCTTCTCCCATAGCCAGGATTCACAGGTCCAGGAATCAAGGGGTGGAAGTAGAAGTGGCACCTCTCACTAGTGATCCACTAGCAAACATTTTGCTTCCTGTTCCCACGACATTATGTTCTGCTGGCCTAGCGGTCTTAGTTCCAGAGGGAGGAATGCTGCCACTAGGAGACACAAGAACTATTCCATTAAACTGGAAGCTAAGATTGCCACCTGGACACTTTGGGCTCCTCCTATCTTTTAAGTCAACAGGTTAAGAAGGGAGTTATAGTGCTGACTGGGGTGACTGACCCAGACTATCAAGATAAAATCAGTCTACTACTCTACAGTGGAGGTAAGGAAGAGTATGCATGGAATACAGGAGATCCATGAGGGCGTCTCTTAGTATTACCATGCCCTGTGATTAAGGTCAATGAGAAACTGCAACAGCCCAATCCACACAGGACTATAAAGGGCCCAGACCCTTCAGGAACGAAAGTTTGGGTCACTGCACCAGAAAAAAACCACGACCTGCTTAGGTCCTTGCTGAAGGCAAAGGAAATACAGAATGGGTAGTAGAGGAAGGTAGTCATCAATACCAGCTACAACCACGTGACCAGCTGCAGAAAGGAGGACTGTAATGGTTATGAGTATTTCCTCCTTCTGTTAAAAACACATTTGTGCATGTATACACTCATATTAAGAAAATACCTTCATTTTATTTCCTTTTTCCTTTATCATGTGATATAAGATTTATTGACTTCATATCAGCATTTAAGTATTGTTAACTTTATGTAATAGTATTTGGGTTGGGGATTGGTGCCTTTCCAGTTGTATGAAGGATAGTTGTATTATGTTAGGGGTAATTATGAGCTTATTATTGTCTTTTTTTTAATTTTAATTTTTTTTTGAGATGGAGTCTCGCTCTGTCCCCTGGCCAGGCTGGAGTGCAGTGGCACAATCTCGGCTCACTGCAACCTCCGCCTCCTGGGTTCAAGTGATTCTCCTGCCTCAGTCTCCCGAGTAGCTGGGACTACAGGTGAGCGCTGCCACACCTGGCTAATTTTTGTATTTGTCCTTGGAGCCCTCTGGCCAGCATTAGGTTCCAGGCCAGTGCTTTCTCTCCAGGAGGCTGTGATGGTATCTGGTAACTTCAGCTGCTGCTCTGGGGTAGCAGCATCACTGGTGCAAGCAGTGAGCCTTTCTGCCTCGCTGTAATTTGGGTGGCCTTGGTCCAGACTTCTCTCACATCAGCATTCCAACTCCATCCCTCCATGTCTCTTCCACTGCAAGCCCATGTTTCTTTTTAGTGTAAAATGTAGGTTGATGCAAAAGTAATTGCAGTTTTCATCATTAAAAGTAATGGCAAAAACCACAATTACTATTTTTTTTTTTTAAGTTCTGGGATGCAGGTTTGTCACATAGGTATACATGTGCAATGGTGGTTTGCTGCACCTATCAACCCGTCATCTAGGTTTTAAATCCCGCATGCATTAGGTATTTGTCCTAATGCTCTCCTTTCCCCTGCCTCCCACCCCCTGACAGGCCCTGGTGTGTGATGTTCCCCGCCCTGTGTCCGTGTGTTTTCATTGTTCAACTCCCACTTATGAGTGAGAACATGCGGTGTTTGGTTTTCTGTTCTTGTGTTAGTTTGCTGAGAATGATGGCTTCCAGCTAATCCATGTCCCTGCAAGGGACATGAACTCATTCTTTTTTATGGCTGCATAGTATTCCATGGTATATATGTGCCACATTTCCTTTATCCAGTCTATCATTGATGGATATTTGGGTTGGTTCCAAGTCTTTGCTATTGTAAATAATGCTGCAATAAACATACATGTGCATGTGTCTTTATAGCAGAATGATTTATAATCCTTTGGGTATATACCCAGTAATGGGATTGCTGGATCAAGTGGTCTTTCAGGTTCTATATCCTTGAGGAATCACCACACTGTCTTCCACAATAGTTGAATTAACTTACACTCCCACCAACAGTGTAAAAGCGTTCCTATTTCTGCACAGCCTCGCCAGGATCTGTTGTTGCCTGACTTTCTAATAATTGCCATTCTAACTGGTGTGAGATGGTATCTCATCGTGGTTTTGATTTGCATTTCTGTAATGACCGGTGATAATGAGCTTTTTTTCATATGTTTGTTGGCTGCATAAATGTCTTCTTTTGAGAATTGTCTGTTCATATCCTTCACCTGCTTTTTTATGGAGTTTTTTTCTTGTAAATTCATTTAAGTTCCTTGTAGATTCTGCATATTAGACCTTTGTCAGATGGGCAGCTTACAAAAATTTTCTCCCATTCTGTATGTGGCCTGTTCACTTTAATGATAGTTTCTTTTGCTGTGCCAAAGCTCTTTAGGTTGATTAGATTCCATTTGCTATTTTGGCTTTCATTGCAATTGCTTTTGGTGTTTTAGTCATGAAGTCTTTGCCCATGCCTATGTCCTGAATGGTATTGCCTAGGTTTTCTTCTAAGGTTTCTATGGTTTTGGGTTTTACATTTAAGTCTTTAATCCATCTCGAGTTAATTTTTGTATAAGGTGTAAGGAAGGGGCCCAGTTTCTGTTTTCTGCATATGATTAGCCAGTTTTCCCAGCACCATTTATTAAACAGGGAATCCTTTCCCCATTGCTAGTTTTTGTCAGGTTTGTGGAAGATCAGATGGTTGTAGATGTGTAGTGTTATATCTGAGGTCTCTGTTCTGTTCCATTGGTTTGGTAGCAGGACCATAATGTTTTGGTTACTGCAGCCTTGTAGCATAGTTTGAAGACAGGTAGCTTGATGCCTCCAGCTTTGTCCTTTCTGCTTAGGATTTTCTTGGCCAAACAGGCTCTTTTTTGGTTCCATATGAAATTTAAAGTAGTTTTTTTCAAATTCTGTGAAGAAAGTCAATGGCAGCTTGATGGGAATAGCATTGAATCTATAAATTACTTTGGGCAGTATGGCTATTTTCATGATATTGATTCTTCCTATCCCTGAGCATGGAATGTTTTTCCATTTGTTTGTCTCCTCTCTTATTTCCTTGAGCAGTGGTTTGTAGTTCTCTTTGAAGTGGTCCTTCATGTCCCTTGTAAGTTATATTCCTAGGTATTTTATTCTCTTTGTGGCAATTGTGAATGGGAGTTCACTCATGATTTGGCTCTCTGCTTGTCTATTGTTGGTGTATAGGAATGCTTGTGATTTTTGCCTATTGATTTTGTATCCTGAGACTTTGCTGAAGTTGCTTATCAGCTTAAGGAGTTTTTGGACTGAGATGATGGACTTTTCTAAATATATGTCACCTGCAAACAGAGACAATTTGACTTCCTTTCTTCCTATTTGAATACCCTTTATTTCTTTCTCTTGCCTGATTGCTCTGGCCAGAACTTCCAATACTATGTTGAATAGGAGTGGTGAGAGCGGGCATCCTTGTCTTGTGCTGGGAAAACCACAATTGCTTTTAATGGCAAAAACCACAATTACTTTTGCACCAACCTAAATATTAAATTAATACAGCCCAGTGAAATAGATGCTTGGGGAAGACACACCTCATGTAGCCTGCAGCACCCATGACAGTGGCATAGAAACTCAGAGCAGGTGCTCAACAAGTGTTGGTTAAAATACATCACAGCATTCACTGAAAAGCTTTTTGAAAGTGGAGGCACTCCAGCAGAAAGCTGTGAACCCCCAGATTTTAGGTGCCAGGCTCCTTGGGTGGAGGTGGTGGTAGTAGCTGTGGTCATGGGGCCATGGTCTTTATCAGATGGAGAGAGTGATGGGCATTGAATGTCCTTGTCTGGGGTGTGGTGACCAGAAAACAACCATCCCTTGCCCCTGCTCCCTGCTCCCTGCTGTCTGCCCTAGGTGAGGAGCAGAGATGATTCCTCTCCTGCAGCCTCTGGGGAAGAGGACTCATGCCTTGAAGGCTACTTGGTAGCCATCTTGTGATGAAGTCATCTGAGGGAGATTAAAAATCACTCTTTTACTGAGCCCTTGCCACACCCAAAGTCCTGTACTGAGCACTCATCATACACTTGATCCCCACAATGGCCCTGTGAGATGATATTAACAAGATTCAATTCCCCAGTTTTATGTGAGGAAAATATCCAAAGCTAACTGAGGTAGGCAACCTGACCCAGTCACTCAGCTTATTAGAGGCAGAACTAGAACTGGACTCCAGGGTCCTCTCATCCATGAGGCAGATGGATGATGTGGGCCCTGTGCCCCGACTCCAACAACCTCCCACTCTTCCTCAGCTTCCTAACAGTGGTGCTGCAGCCTCCGAGTTGAAACGGCCACTGCGTGGTTTCTCCTGATTTGGCTACAAACGCGCACACACGGGACAACCTGTGAGAGCACTCTCCTTTCACCAAAGAATCAAGAGACCCTGTACAAGGCCTTTCCCACTTGGGGGCATGGGGGAGAGGCATGCATGCCCCGCTCTCCCGCAGCACTCCTGCTGTCTGTGAGTGTACCTGGCTCCTTTTTGCCTAACCTTAGAGAAGGGAGGAGAGTGAGGGCTCCAACTCTGCAGCACCTCGTGTGCAAAACCTCAGGCCCCAGCAGCCCCCATCAATACATTTGCTACCACTGGTTTTCAGTAATACGGCTTAAAAAAAAAAAAAAAAAGAAAGAGTTTTCCAGGTGCAGATTTGTCAGGATTGTGCGTTGAGCCAGCTCTTCTCAGAAATGCCCATGACTGTAGGGTGATTGCTTTAAAGTGACAGAATGAGCACCTCGTGACGCACAGCCCCAGATCCTGTGGTAGCCTGTGTGTGGTGGCTCCAAGGCCAGCCCTGGAAGTGGGGATGTGCTGGGCATAGCTGGGAAGGCCTGTTTGTTCTTTGCTGACCAGAGAAGACTGCAATGCACACCTGGATTTAATCAGCTGTCAGTTGGTTACCAAATACTAAAATACCCACAGAAGATGCCTTTGGCTTGCCAGTTTACGGCAGGGTTAGACGTGCATGTGTTTTGCCACCCTAAGGCATGGCATTTAATCAGAGGGGGTTTTCTTTTCATTGAGAAGTTGGCTGGAAGTTGTCTTTCCAGAGGATAACTTTTTTTGACTTTGAATCAACGGGTTCTTTTCAAATAAGTTCCTCCTCATGGGCAGGATTTATCTTCCTTTGCCAAGGGAACAACTTTTCCTGGGGTTCTGGCAGGCCCCTCATGTAAGTGCTGGTGATGAGTCACATGGAGGGTCAGGCTGCAGGGTGGGGAGTTAGGGTGTGGGGGCGAGGGAGCTGGGCTGGCAGCTCTCAGGCTGCAGGCATGTTTCACCCTCCATGCTGCCGAGAATGGCCTCCATCCTGCTCTTCATAGATGCACTTCTTTTGTGTAGCAGAGAGGGGCCTGGTTGCCTAGGAATGACTATTTTTCGCTTGTCTTGGGCTGGGCAATCTCCCTGTCAGTGTTTATTGCGGTGTGTACTAGGTCTTATGCTGCATGCTATGGTGATACTGAGAGGTAGAAGACAGAATCCTGCCCTCCAGAAGGGAATACTCCAGGTAGGAAGACATGACAGACATTTATGGTGAAACGACAAGACAAAACAACAGAGCAAGGGCAATCCTCAGTTGGAACTCACTGAACTGTCAGAGGAGAGGCAGGAGACTTTAGCAAGGAGGCTGAGCTTTCTGTGGTTGGTAGGTGGCATGGGGAGGGAAGCAACGGTTTCCACAAAGTGGGTAAACCATGCAGGGCTTTAAAGATTTGTGGAATTTGGACAGCTGGATGCTGCTACTAATAATGATGGCAGCCATGTGGTGAGCATTTGCAAGGTATAAGCACTCTGGTACGCATTGTACGAATATTTCAATCTACATCAACTTTATGGTGGATGCTATTATACCTATATTACAGATGAGAAAATGTGTTCAGAGAAATTAAGAAACATGTCCAAAATCATACAGCTAGAGAGAGAGGATCTGGAACTTGAACAGAAGTGAGTCCAACTCCAGTGTTTACTTTTATCTTCTGGAGGTGGTTGGGAGATGTCTCTCCAAGGGCCTCTGCATTTCTGCATGTCTTATAAGTGGGCACTGGCTGTTATTTCTTAAGTACTATCTTTTCAAAGATGTCTGTGTACTGAACAGTCTTGGAGGATAGCAGTAGCATTTCCTTCCAGAACAAGGGACAGGCATGCTCACTGCTCATTGTATAAGATTCAGGCTCCCTAAGCACTGAGGTCCTCTCCTGTAATGCAACCCCACCACATGAGCAAGGGTCAGCTGACCCTTTTCACATTGCCTGGTGGGAACTGGAGCTTGGGGAGCCAGTGCCAAATATGGTGACACTTATGCTGCTTGCTGTGCCTGGCATGAATAATAAAATCCTTTGTTCCTGACCGAGGAGTCTTGTGTCTTTGGCCAGCATCCATGAAATGGATGTTCGTTTGTAAGCAGGGCAAAATCTAAGTTGTTAGTTTGTAAGTAGGGCAAAAGCTCAGACCTTTCATAGTTCTTGACAGTGGGGTGTGTGCATGGATGCATGTGTACTTTTGCATATGGGAGCCGGATGGTGTCAGAGCAAGGAAAGAGACTGGGTGAGGGGTGAAACTTTGCAGGTTATGATTGGGAGGCAGGAATGGAAGCCCTTGTGGAAGATCAGTGTGTACATGGATTTGCCCAGCATGGAGAGCTTGTGTGAGGAGAAGTGAGAGAGAGGGCTGAAGGAGTAAATTATGGCCAGCTCACGAACTTCTTCAAGTTTAAAACAAGAGCATTATGATGAAAATCTCCGAGAGACAAGATTGGTGCCTGGAGGGTTTCTTTGGTATCATATAGGAATGAATTTTAATGTAGTTCAGCAGCAGGTATGGATGACATACACTGAGCACTTGGCTACAAGGGCACCAGCAGCCCACACCTCAGCCCTGCCATGCCCAGCTGCCTCATGGTTTGTGGACCAGCTATGGTCCTGATTTTCCCACTTTACACCAGCCCGTTTCTCTGTTCCCAGACAAATATCTGGGCTTCGGCAGAAAGCACTTAAGCAGCCTCAGCTCTCCAGGGCCTAGCCCAAAGCTGGTGTTTGTAATACTTTACTTTGTCTGGGCTACTGGTTTGCCTGAAGTGTGGCTCAGGATGGTGGGCTGCCTGGACCTTGTCCAGATCTTAGCTTTCTCCACTCTAGATTGCAGGTCCAAACAGTTCCTAGATGTTGTCTTTGCCTGTCCAGTTTGGGATGTAACCCGATGAGCTTCACTGACCAATATAGGATGGACAGTGACAAAGATGAAGAAGGCTTCGGGTGGCTGATCATTCAACAGGAGTGGAAGACAGTGAGGCTTGTTTATACAACATAGCTTACCCTTAGGAATGTCTCCTTTTTCTCTTTCTTCCTGGTTTGTAGATGTATTCCTTCCTGCCCCAAACTCTTTATTATTTATTTATTTATTTTTCAAGAGACAGGATCTTGTTTTGTCACCCAGGCTAGAGTGCAGTGGCATGACCGTAGTTCAGTGCAGCCTCGAACTCCTGGGCTCACGTGATCCTCTTACTTCAGCCTCCTGACTAGCTGAGACAATAGGCACTCACCATTGTGCAGCTCTGCCTCAAACTCTTTCTGGTCATGATTCCTTACCTTGGTGTGGAGATGCACTTGGAATCTCAACTGTCTGTGAAGTTGATGCAGAAGCTGAGGTGGGACCTGGAGCTAGGGAAGGGCGGAGTGGAGACAAGAGTGGCTGGTGGTGCTCTGCCTGTGTCCCCCTGGCCCTCACCATCTCCATTCATGCCTGCCTTACTCCCAGCCGCAAGCACTGCATCTGCTTGCCCAAGGAATTGCTTTGGCTGCCAAGGCTCACTTTTCCTGTGTTCCAGGCAGGCTAGAAGTGCAAGGGCATTAACACCTTTAGGAAACACAGAGAAAGAGTGAAAGAAAAAACCCACAAAAACTGCGTATCAGTGAATTACATGATCTATAATATATCACATGATCTATAATATATCTATAATATAACTATAATTGGAGTACCTTAATGGGGTTGGAAGAGGCAGAAAAGTATGTGAAGAAGTGGCTGTATCCTGTTTCATTGTGTTAATAAACTATAATTTATTTAATCATTTCCTATTGTTGGGCATTTAGGTTATTTCCAATTTTATAGCATTAGAAATAGCATTCTAATGAACATTCTCATATATTAAAAAATATTTTTGTATGTTTCTGTTTCCTTGGGATAAATGCCTATAAGCATGTATATTGGGCCAGAGGATATAAACATTTTTTGAAGCTTTGGAGATTTATTTTCAAATGGCCCTACAGAAATATTGACCCAAATTACACTTTTATAAGCAGCCCTTGAGGTGCCTATTACCCTATACCCATACACATTGGTCAATCTTCACCCATTTTATAGGCAGTATGGTGTCTTCATTATTGCAAAATTGACTGTCACTTTCTTTCTTTCCTTCTTTTTTTTTTTTTTTTGAGATGGAGTCTTGATCTGTTACCCAGGCTGGAGTGCAGTGGCATGATATTGGCTCACTGCAGCCTCTGCCTCCTGAGTTCTAGCGATTCTCTTGCCTCAGCCTCCTGAGCATCTGGGATCACAGGCGTGTGCCACAATGCCCAGCTAATTTTTGTATTTTTAATAGAGATGGGGTTTTGCCATGTTGGCCAGGCTGATCTCGAACTCCTGACCTCAGGTGATCCGCCTGCCATGGCCTCCCAAAGTGCTGAGATTACAGGAGTGAGCCACTGTGCCTGGCCAGGTTTGAAAGGGATCTGAAAAGAGAACTTCTTTTTCTCTCTCTGATTTTCATTTAATCATTTGAATTGCAAAGCCTAAAACATCTGCTGTGGTCTCAATGTTTTTGTACCCCCTCTCCCTCTTCATACATTGAAATATAATCTCCAATGTGATGGTATTAGGAGCTGGAGCTTTGGGAATTGATGAGATTATGAAGGCGGAATCCTCATGAATGAAATGCTGCCCTTATAAAAGAGGCCCCAGGGAGACCCCTTCCACCTTCCGCCATGTGAGGACACAGCAAGAAGGTGCCATCTATGAATCAGGAAGTGAGCCCTTACTAGACACTGAACCTGCCAGTGCCTTGATCTTGGAATTCCCAGCCTCCAGAACTGTGAGAAATATTTGTCATTCACCACCTGATGTTGTTCACCACCTGATCTATGGTATTTTGCTATAGCAGCCTGAATAGACTACAACAATATCTTTTATACCACTTAATTCTCACATGTTAGAAAAAGCTGTCATCTTACATTATATCTTAAAACTCACAGCCAGAAGCAAGAGGCAGGGGATGGAGTAGATTAACACCTTGTGTCTGTAGGGAGAAAGACAGGCATATAACCTTCCCTGTGTGGCCCAGGATCAGATACTGCCTTCCTCTCCATCTATATCTATCTATGCACTCATGTTCATATGATCTACAGATAACTATTTTTATTCAGCTTTGTATTTCCGGTACTTAGCATGTTTGGTGAACAACAATTATTGAATGAATGAATGAATGAACAATGATTCATTGAAAATGCTCAGACACTTTGGGTGCTTGAACTAGGATTAGAATTTACATCCGCTGAATTCAAGCCCCATATGTTTTTGTCTGGATTGGTCAACATCTGGGTTTACAGAGACAACCATCTCTCCCAGGAGTTAAAGGTTGGTCATTCTGGAAGGCAAAGGTTGACCAGTCGCCCCAGGGATTCTCCCAGTCTTAGCACTGATTCCTTACTTAACTGGCTCCAGACACAAGCCAGACTCTGCTTCCACTGTTTGGGGGTTGTTTACAAAGCCAAGAAGTATCCCTTAAACAATCTCTTCTTTAAAAAACTCTGAATAATAGTGAGCAGCCACTGCTGGATTTCCTTTGGGGGAAGAACAAAAATTCTAGAGGGCTGTGTTTTAACTTGTCTGCCCTAGAGCCTCATGGAATGCCAGAAGAATGTTGCTAAGACCTGGGACCAAAATCAAAGTAATTAAATACAATCTTCCTAAGGAACAAAAAACTTTTCATAAGGGACCAGTTGTTGGGAAATTCTTAGGTATTTTGCAAGTCTTAGTAGCTGGTTCATATTAGCTAGGATTATTTTCCTTAACTGTTTTCCCTTAAACATTTTGACTGTTTTTACTTAGGTCTGCCCCTGCCCCCCTTTTTTCTCTACAGTAGCTACAGCAGATTCAATTCACTAAGATTTTACTGAGTCTGCTGAATACTAAACCCTTTGTAGGGACATGAAATGTAAGTTGTGATCTCACCCTCAGTGTAATGATGATAATAGGAGATAACTTATATAGTGTTCCAGATGGTGTGCTAAGCATTTTATATGTTTTATTTAATTTCCTTCTCACAGTCACCCTAGGAAGTAGTACTTATTTTTTCCACCTTACAGATGGGAAAACTGGGTACAGACTTTTAGTAACTTGCCTGGGTTACACAGCCAAGATTCAAGCCCATATGTATCTGGTCTCAAGGACTGAAGTCTTAGCTGCTGCCCTGTATTCCCTGCTCATGGTCTACTTGGTGATTTATACAATGAAAACTCTCAGCTACGAAATGTTTAGAACATGAAGGAATGCATTAATACTTACATATAAAACTATTAATAAAGGATACACTTTTATAATCATGCATGGATATAGGTGTAGACGGTTTTTCATTTTCACTTTTAACTTATTAGTATTTTAAGAGTATTTCAAGCATATTATAACTTTATTTTTAAAGGGTAATAAGATAAAAAATGACGATACATCTAATGTAGGCCATAAATACATACATCTACTATGTACCCACAAAAATTTTTTAAAAATGAAAAAAAGATGAAAAATGAAAGTCTTCCACTTATATTTGTATATTTGCTCTATTATTTGAGAATTTTCAATTCTGCTATAAAAAAGAAAACAAATAGAATAGATAAAACTTAGAAGGGTTAGATGTAGATACCAAGTAAGCAAGTAGATTGTGAGATGTAGGCAAAATTCGTAAGATGTGTTCAATTGATAGTAAGTTCGTAACCCATAAAACATAGTTTATGGTAAAAAGAATGGGACAAACAGAAGTGACACCCACTGGAACACCCAGTACACTGCCTTTCTGGCCCCAGATGTGCTATATGTAGAAATGCCAATAAAATTCTGGTCAGCAGGCTGGGTGGTGAGATCCAGCCATGGCCAGCTATCCATGTGCCTGCATTGCTCCGTTTGAACAAGAGTGTGTGTCAGCTCCAGACACTTCTGTCTGTTGGGCCCCCTTCCTCCAACCTCAGTTCTGGTCCTCATAGCTACCCCATCAGTGAAAATGAACCATACTGCAGAGAGGGAGGCAGTACCTGATCTCCGGCCACACATGGAAGGTTATATGCCTGTCTTTTCTCTCTGCAGAGCCAAGGTGTTAACCTACTCCATTCCCTGCTTCTTGCTTCTGGCTGTGAGTTTTAAGTAGTTTTAGTTTGCTCTGTGAGTCTTTCTGTTCCATGACCTCTGGTATAGCTTGCCTGGTAGTGTTCTTGGAAGCTACCAAAATTACATTAAGGTAATTTTTTAAATGATACAACTCTACTCCTTCCTACCTCTGGCTTCCTTAGTAGAATAATTCCTTTTAATTTTTCCTGTTTTTCTGCATATATTCTTCTATTTCTCTATATATCCACTTTAACTCCCAACTGACACCTCATTATAAAAGATAAGATGTTAATTATTTATATTCTCCTTCATCTCCTTTGCTTCTCCACCTCTATGTTATTACAGAAAACTTATTATATTAGATTTTCTGTTGAGTACTATTATAACTTAAAAAATGAACTTAATCTTTGATTTATGAGCTTCCTTTTGTTAATACTTTTTTGTCATTGAAAAAGTAATAAGTGCACAGAGTAAAACGTATAAATAGTATGAAAGGGAGCAAAATGAAAAGAAATTCTCCTGCTTAGCCTGGTATCCTCCTTAAAGGCAGATACTGTAATCATTTATTAAAAATTCATCTATAAAATTTATTTATAATTAGAAGCACACATATGTATATATTCCCTTTATTTTTTACTCTAAGAATTTCTTAGATTTTCCTCTAGAACTTTTGTGAACCCGTTTTAAAACAAACTTTATTGAGATACAATTTATATATAATAAAATACACAGATTTTAAGTGTCCAATCTGATGAGTTTGACAAATGTAACAGCCACTCAATCAAGATACAAGGTATTTCCATGACCTCTAAGAGGTCGTGCTCCTCGGCCTCCCACCCCTGGCCCCAGGCAACCACTGAGCTGCTTTCTGTCATTGCTGAACCCATTTTAAAATCTTTGATTTACCTAGAATTTATTTTATTGTAAGGAAAGAAGAGGGTTGAGCTTTGTTTCTTCTAGATGACCAATGGTCCCAACTTTCCTTGTTGAATCATCTACCTTCTCCCATTGTTTTAAAATGCTATCTCTATCATATATAAAATTCCTATATGTATCTGAATAGTGTTTGCATTGATATGTCTTTCTCTTCCTGTGCACATCCCAAAGTGTTTCAATAACTGTAGTTTTATATTATTTTAAAATATGTGACAGTGCAATGCTCCCCACCCTACTGTGGCCATTCTTTTAAATATTTTTTCATGGCTTATCTTGCATGTTTATATCCCAGATACCACCCATACATTTTTCCTTTAGAAGAAATGTGTCTAGTCCTCCTAATAATCCTGTTTTTTTAAAATTGAGATCAGATTAAATGTAGAGATAATTGAACAAATCAGAGGTAATTTAAGTAAAAATTTGGAGATAATTGACTTGATATGTTTATATTATTCATTTGCCCGGTTTAAGATTAAGTATATAATTCCATTTATTTGAGTCTTATATTTCTACACAGAGATTCAAAGTTTTCTTCATGTAGGACTGCACATTTCTTGTATAATTCTTAAATATTTTGTCTTTTTCGTGCTTTGATCAATGAGATGTGTCCTTTTACTATATTTTTGAATTGGAGCAGTGGTATAATGACATAGTAGCTAAGCATAGGGCTTTGGTGACAGATCCCCTTATTTAAATCTAATCTTTAGCTCTGTGAACTAGGGCAAGTTACTGCGTCTTTCTGTGTGACTTGGTGTCCTTCCTTGGTTTCCTTGGAGTCCCACTGGCCAAAGATAGTATAAATTGAGCTTGAAAAAGAATGATAGTTGGAATCAATAAAAATCTATCAAATATGTTTAAATCCATGACTGTTAAATTTATATATATGTATATATTTAAATGTAATTGATCACCTCTGGAGGATGAGATTATCTTGAAAACTCGTGAAGACTGGGAAAGAATCAAGCATTTATCCTGCCTTTTCCATTTGAACTTTACTACTGGAAAACAATATTGTAAAAGAATGGAAATACTCTTTAGGTAAATATTTAGGCTGATAAATGTGAAATAAATGATAAAATTAGAATATCACCATTTTGCAATCCCTGATTAGCTCTACACATTGAGCTTCAACACCCTTTAATATGAAAAAAGAGTGAAGACTGGACATTTTGTACCTCCTAATGAAACAATATATAACCACCTTGAAAACATTGTTGAAGAAAGAAGCCAGTCACAGAAACCAAATATTATATAATTCCATTTATATGAAATGTCCAGAATAGGCAGTTCAGTAGAGGCAGAAAGAAGATTAGTGGTTGCCTAAAGCTGATGGGGAGGACTGTGGATTTAAAAGGATGATGGCTAGATGGCATGGGGTTTCTTTTCGAGTTGATTAAAATGTTGTAAAATTGACTCAATACTACAGCTAATTTTACTACATTTTTATCACCTATGAATATACTAAAAGCCATGAATTGCACACATTAAGTGGTTGAATTGTATAGGATGTAAATTTTATGTCAATAAAACTGAAACAACAGCAAAACTTAACAACAAAAAGAAAAAAAAAAAGGAACATATTACCACCTATTATCCTGTGAGAAGAACAGAACCTGAGTCCAATCCCAGCTCTGAATCTAGATGCCCATTTTTAGGAATACAGAGAAGATGAACATGCTGAACTGTACTGTAAGTATGCACTCAGCAGTGTCCAGACTACGTATTTTTCAATACATAAAATGTAAGAAAAAAAGAGGGATAGAGGGGAAACCTATATATTAAAAAAAGCCTTAAGAGATATCAAATTTTTAAAATGACTGAGATTAAACTCTAACAGCTAAGGATGCATACTTGGGTGATAAAATATCCAAAGAAATGATTAGTGTAAAACCCAGGAGGGTTGAGACTGGGATAGTGAAAATGGAGGGGATTCTGGGTGGGTAGCAATGTTCTCTTCCAGGAGCTGAGCAGTAGTTAAATGGATGCTCTCCTAATAGTAATTCATTAAATTATATGTTTGGTTTGTGCCTCTCTTGTATCTTTATTTTACTTTACAATAAAAATGGAACAGCAATAAAAAGTTTACAAAAACATGAATCATGTAAATATTATTTTGTGTAGAACATGCAGTTGGAAGGAAATGTAGTCATATACCACAGAACTGAACTACACAAAGTAAAATGTTCCAAGCATCAGAAATGAATTACCTTTTTTTTTCACTCTCAGTGGCTCAAAGTCATACTGCACTTTGGCTTCATTCTGAATTTGGTTGTGGTTTCCTTATCTTTGTATGCTTCTCCCCAAATAGGGTTTCTATTTGTCTTTTTTTCTTTTTACTGTGTACAAAAGAAGCACATAACTTCATATTATCACCAAGACCATCCAGCTGCTTAATTTATTAATGTGATTTCACTTCTTGAAGACTTATTCTCTGAGTTCTTTGATTTATTGTTTTAATTTAGATTGGTTACTTCCTAAGCGCTGTACAACTGTTATCCCAGGCTTTTAAAAAAAATTTCTTTTCTTTTTTTTTACATTGAGCTACTTGATTGGGTCCCCTGTGTATTAGAGTCCATGCTTTTCTTTTTTCTTGGATTCCACGTTTTCTTTCGACTTGCTGG
The DNA here is from genome assembly GCF_000001405.40 of Homo sapiens. NCBI lineage: Eukaryota > Metazoa > Chordata > Mammalia > Primates > Hominidae > Homo > Homo sapiens. Next base: position 94,282,109 of record NC_000008.11, on the reverse strand, counting down.
ATACTTTTAAAGGAATTTATTTTCCAAAAAGATTATGTGAGAGGTCATTTTTTTGAGCTCTTGTGAGACAATTTCATCATTTTCACCTCATATGTCATTGAGATTTTGGCTATTTACAGAATATTAGGTTCAAAATAAATTTTCTCTTAGAACTTTGAGAGTATTTTTCAACATCCGTTGTTGCTTATTCATGTGAGACAATCTAATTTTTATTCTTTTATAGTTAATCTTCATTTTTTAAAATCTAAGGACAAATAGATCTTCCCTTTGTCTGTGGTATTCAGAAGTTTCAATGATGTATCCTTGAATGGGTCTTTTTTATTTCTCTGATCTGTACTTGCTAAGCCTTTGTAATCTATAAAGCACATATCTTTCTTTAGCTCTGGGAAATTTTCTTCTGTTATTTATTTCCTATTTTTCTCCCTTGTATTTTCTCTTTCTGAAATTCATATGGGGGTTACTACTGGATAAGTCCTCTATATGACTCTTAACATTTTGCTTTTATTTTTCATTTCTTTGGCTTTTGCTATATATTCTAGGGGATCTCCTTGACTTTTTTTGGTTGCTTTCTAATAATTTAAAAATATTTGGTTATCATATTTTTTATTGTTCCTTTTTTTACCTACTGTAGGTTTTTTAGGCATAATTGTCTCAAATCTCTTTAAGTATACTAATTAGAATTATTTTTAAGTTGTCTTCTCATCACTTAATTAGCTGTTTCCTTTGACTACAGATATTTAGTTTGATTATCTAGGCCTCTCTATTTTGTGCCATTGGTTTCCACTATTGCATGGGTCTGTGGCATCTTTGAATGGAAGCTCTCATAGTTAGCCCAGAACTAGTGGGTGTGGACTGGCAGCCTGTGCTATAGGGTAGATGGCAAGGAAGGAAATGCTATACAATAAGGGCTCTACTCTGGGTTTACGTATCAGTTATGGTTTTTTGGATGCAAGGGAAACTTACGGGGAAGATATGGGGTAGTATACAAAGTCCGGGGTGAAGTAGAAGAACCAGGTTCAGGGCAGAATAGGAGCCAGGGTCCACAGAAATCAGAACATCTCTGGGGATTTACCTCTAGGCAACATCTCCATGAAGGTGAAACATCTCTATTGGCAGGTGAAAAAACTTGAGCTGTTTTCAGCGTTTGTGTCAGTCTCTTTTGAGAGATGATCCGATTGGCCTCTCTTGGGTCAGGGAGCTTCCCCTTAGCCAAGAGAGGAAGGCAACTTGGCTCACAGTTTCTTGATTGACCAAACTGTAGGCAGTGCAAGATAAGTGGTTCCCCAAAGCAAACGTGGAGTTCTAAAAGAAAGGGAGATGCAAGGCAGGCCAAACGATGGGTGCCCATTGCCAGGGCCAGCACATGAACCAGCAGATGTGGTCCTCCCCAAGGACAGTTTTTACTCTCTCTAGCAAGCATAGTTTTGGTTTCTTCCCAGGTGTCATCCTCCAGCTGACAGTTCTCCAAATATAAAAGTGGAGATGCAGCCTGACTTGCCTCTCTGTTCCAGCAGCAGGCCTTCCATTCATCCTCCTGATTTCTGCTCCTCTTCCCACTCCCACTCTATTCCTGCTGACTTGGAACTCAGAGCCCTCAAAATGGCTCCAGCCTTAGCTACAGCTTTCTGTGGTGTACATTCTGAGCTGTTGCTGCTTCCTCTCTGTTTTATCTGCCAGTGCAATCTCATCTTCTCTATTCCCAGAAATCTGCCAAATTTCTGACTTGCTGAAAGCTTCTTTTATGTGATTTATTCTTTTCTTTACTGGCATGTCAATGTGATTTTAGGAAGGAGGGGAGGTCGAGGCCTGTTGACTCTGCCATCTTGGACCAGAGGCCTCTGTAGATAGATTAATCTCTTGGTTTCTTTGAATGTTTCCATGGATGGTTGATTTTAAGGGCTTCTTTGTTCTGGGCAAATAGTCCAGATTTGTTGAAAGTTAGATGGGAAGCCCCTGGCATATCTAGCTTTTTCTTGCTCAAGATGGAAGGAAGACTTACTGTTTATTTAAAACTAAGCTTAGGTTTTATCAGTGGGCACTTCATAGATCCAGGCACAAGGCGCCAAAGTATCTCAGATATCCTCTGCCAACTGGACTGAGCTCACTGCTGACAGACCTCGCCTCATTCATCTTCTCCCTTGACTTTTGTGCTTGTCTGGATGCTAAATTTTATGGAAAACTCCCTTCCCTCAAAAGAAACTAAAATGAAGATGTGTTCAATTTTCAAAGGCTTAAGTTCCCTCTATTCTGCTAATCTACCAGCAGAATAAGATTTTATCTTTAGGGAAGGGAGGGAGCTTGGAACAGTGTTTTAAAAGTAAAAACCAGAAGACCTAAGGTTTTAGCCCTTTCCTTGTCACTTACCTTTGAAAGGTCTCTGAGCCTTGGTTTCACCATGTGATAAATGGGGCTAGGAAGACTGCCTCGTTTTCCTCACCTGATGTCATAAAGATAATATTTTAAAAAGCACTTTGCAAACTATATATAAATGAAAGCTATTGTTCAGAGGGGTCAGCACTATTGAAGCAACCCTTACAATTGCCTATGGGCTCTAAGAAAAGTGCCTATGGGCTCTAGAAAAGTCTTTGCTGGGGAGGGCTCAGAAGAATCATCTTAGAGAATATCTAAATGGTTGTGAAGGGACTATTAATAGAAATCTAAATTTTAAGGACAATTCTGGTGAGAATTCAGAAGGAAATGAGGAACATGTTATTGGAAACTGGAGGAAAGTGGATCCTCTTACACTTAGTAGAATTATGACTTGCACTTATGTGGAAAGCAAAATTCGTAAATGATGAGCTTGGATATCAAGGTGAGGAGGTTTCCAGGCAAAGTGTTAAAGGTATGGCCTGGATCTTCTTGCTGCTCACAGTCAAATGCAAGAGGAGCAAGGTAACTCTTAAAAAAAAAAGAAGATCCAAGACTTCATGTTTTGGAAAATGCTTAGCTTATTCAGATTGCAAAATATGCTAAAATGGAAAGATCTCCTGTTAGGAAAGCATCCTCTTAAAAAAAAAAAAAAGGCTGAGGGTGTGGCTGTACGATCGATACAGGTAGGAGGCAGAGAAATTCTAGGCAGACACGGGTGGGTCCCTGGTGAAACCCCACCTTCAAGCCAAAGTAGCCTGAAACCCATGGCCCAAAGTAAGAACTTCTATTCCTGTTTGCCCGCTCTCTCTTGATTGGTTCTATCTGAATAATGTCTTTTTACCAGTCAAATGTCTTTTCCAAAACTACCTAAGGCCTGCCCTTCCCCCATCCTGTGCCTATAAAGACCCCAGACTCTGTCAGTAGTGTGGGAGACGGCTGGACTTCAGGGAAGACATGGCCAGACTATGGAAGAGACAACCAGACTTTGGGGTAAGACAGCCTGTCCATCTTGCCCCGTCTCCAGCTCCCCTCTCTGCTGAGAGCCGTTTTTAATGCATAATAAAATTATCTGCCCTTTAATTGTCTGAGCAACCTCATTATTCCTGGATGCTGGGCAAGAGCTTGGGACCCACTGAGTGTGGGTACCCGGAAAGGGCGTTACACTGGCCTTTTGCCCTCTCTGGCGGAAGGCAGCTGCCCTAAGCAACAAGGAAAAGGGCCAACTGAATTGCTAACACACCACTGTCCGCAGACAGCAAAACTAAAAGAACACTGTAACACACTCTGGGATCTTGGGGTCATGGGCACCCTCACCCAAGTGCCACTACAAGGGGTCAGCTGAACTGCTAACACACTGCTGCCTGTGGACAGCGGAACTAAAAGAGCACCGTAACACCCACCCTGGTGCTTCAGGGTCACAGGAACCCTCACCTGGGTACCACCAGGAGCCCTCCATGGAGCTTGCTTCTGCCGGCGCCTGGAGCAGCTGACCGGATCTCGCACTCGCTCACTCATGTGCTCCCTCCCACAAGGGGTTCAGCATGGCGGGCCGAGTAGACAGGACACCCCTCCTGCGAGTGGAGCGAAGGGGCCAAGAAAAATCCTCCATCACTACCTTTTGCTATTATCTCAGAAAGATCAAAAGATCAGAGCATTCAGTCACACAAAAGCCTCCTTGAAGGGTGTGGCACACAGATATCTTAATCAAACCAGAGAGCATCTAAGAAGCTTAAGGGCATTGTCCCTCAGCCATCTCAGCAAAAGCAAAAATAGAAATAAACTATGTAGCAAAGATCTGTGGACAAGACTCTTGCCTAATGGAATGAATTCCTGTGACATACACAGAGGACTCACAAGGTTTTTAATAATTTTATACCACAAGAAAGGCTGCCAATTTAGCCTGAAAGGGACAGAGCATGAAATGAAGGAAGGCTATCAGACCTCCTCCACCTCCCCAAATTCTACAGGTGGGAAACAGGCCGACAAAACTACTCAGCAGCAAACATGCTACCATTCATGAAAAGAGAAGGGGCTGCGGATGGAAAAGAAAAAAAGGAGAACTTAAAAGGTGGACATTTCTGGGTGCCCTTCCTAGGTAGACTTTGAAATGGGCCCCCAGTTTGTTTGTGATGAGCTGTGAATAAGCCTGCATTCCTGCCACGATGAATTGTGGTTGTGTATGCTTTTGGATGCTGTGGGACAGAACATTGGGGTTATATTTATAAGCAGATTATACAATTATATCTGGTATGGCCCATGTTATTTTGATGATAATAGAAGCTAGATTAGAGAACTAGCACAAATTTTCAAGAAGATGTCAAATTAGCCTGATCTCAGCTTAGTTATTTGGAGAAAACAAATTTTCATGCCAATGTAAGAGAAAGGGTAAGGATAGTGACATAAGACTAGAGTTGATAAAGGTTAATACCCTAATTTTAAAAAAGCACTGGCAGTTTTAATTTTGAAATTTCTCTTATCAGCAATGGATTAACTATATTTCTAAAGACTTATGTATTCATTTAACAACAGACTTAAAATATTGTCCATGTGTACCAAACCTTATATTAGGTGCTAGGGAGAATAGAGCTCATTAGGATGTGTTTCTTTGCTTGTATAGATTGCAATAAATGGCCATAGATTCCTCCTTTCCTTGTATTGGATGCTCTGAGCAATATGACTTTGCCTCTCTTCCCATCAATAGGTGAAGTCTATTTCGCATTTTGAATGTGAGCTGACCTTGTGACTTGCTTTGTCCAATAGAATGAAGGAAGTTACACATTATAGGAGTTTTAGCTGTGGGAGTTCAGGCCTTGCAGCTTCCAGTCTTGTTCTCTTGGAATGCTACTGCTGCCATGGGAAGAACCAAGGCTAATCTGGTTGGAGATGAGAGACCAGCAGTAGCTGCCATGGGAAGAACCAAGGCTAATCTTGTTGGAGATGAGAGACCACATGGAGAGAGAGAGGCCCAACCAACAGCCAGTCAGATGAGCAAAGCTATTTTGTATCATCTAGTCCCTGCTAGGCTGCTACCTGATAGTTGCCACATAAATAAGCCCCGATGAGAAGCACCCATCTGCCTCTAGCCCATGCTGATGACACATAGTATCATGAACTAATAAATTATTGTTATTTTTAAGCTACGAAGTTTTGGTATGGTTTAGTATCACTGCAATATACAACTGCTATCGAGGGGCTCATGTCTAATCAATATATTTTCATGGCTTTTTCATTCTAAAAGATTTACCTAGGAATTCTATATTTACATTTGCAGTAATTAAACTCATGTGTTTCTCACATTTGCATATTCTATTTTGGTTTTTTATCCTTGTAGCCCAGATTTTCTGGATATCACATGCTACTTTTGAACTTTGCTAATAAGGGTTTATTCCATTTTAGATCTGATGTCTCAAGAGAAATCACTGTTGGTTTTACGTTGGACTTCTACTTGGCAAGAGCTGTTTTATACCACAAGATGTGAGAGAGGGACCTGTGGCAGGGACAGGCCATCTACACCAGATTTGAATTCATTTCAAGAAGCAGGGATATAGCTCTTCTTAGACAGGTTACTTCTCCTCCTGTCTTCTGAGCCTGGGTATCCTGACCATGAGGGTAATTCTGACCAATGTCCCTCCTTATGGAAAGAGTTGTACAAAGCTAGACAATGCGTTTGTGCTCCTCTACCATTTAAAATAATATTTTACATTTCAGTTTTGTAAATGAGCCCAAAAGGACATCTTTATTCAGTGGCATGACAGAAAGATTGCCCATCTGTGGCTATCAATTAGATAAAACACATCATACCCCTAATGAAGTTTTCCCTAGCTGAGAAGCCCCATCTGGGCTGGCAGCAAGGATGGGTATGTGACTATTCTTGGGTGAAAGAACTTTCTGCAGCAGAGGATCTGCATCTTCAGTACAGGGATGTGCTCACTAGTAACTGGATGTTTTAGGTCGTAAATGAATTGGAAGCTGGGCTTGTATCTAGGAGATTAAAATATTTAGGATCTTATGTGTAACATAATGTATCTGTCTTTTTCTAAAACTCCTATTGGTTCTCAGTGATATGTTCTTTTGTTCTCAGTAATATATTCTTTCCTCTTACTTTGTGTGTTACATTTCTCCTTAATTTATAGTGAGAATTGAGGCATTGTAACATTTCGTATTAATTAGCTCATATTTCTCAGTGAAGAGCAGGACAGAGAGCAGATACTTTTATACGCTTGCCTCTAGCTGCTTAAATAAGTAATTTACAGAGGATTTTACAAAAAGAACCACAATATTACCACCAGGATTGTAAGGCCTTAGTCACCAAGAAGTTATGTAGCAGTCAACGATTCTGTGATGTGTAGGAGTTTTTTCCTTTAATCTATTAATTGCTTGCCCTATTTTACTTTAAGACTCTTGGAAGTAGGTATTTGAGAAGGACAAGGTTTATTAAGGTTTAGTAAAATACCAGCTGAGGGTACAATAGTACACTGAGTAGTACAGTAGTAATTTTATTTTATTAAATGTATTAATTGTATTAAATGTATATGAAATGCTAAACTAGTTATTGTTTGAGAATTTAAAAAGCGTAGAGATTCCTAAGGAGCTTATTTTATTAATATGTCAAGAGAGTATTTGGAGACATGACAGGTCTTTTGCAATGTATTAGAAGCTCATAGGAAAACTGCCAGACCCATGGCTCTTTTCTGGGAAAAGTAGAAGCAGATGGTTTGCTTATTTTTGTACCCTCCATCTCTATTCTATACCCTGGTAACCCCACTGCCCTGGCCATAGCTGATGGGACCACAGATCGATTGATGACTGACCCAAAGAGAGCTACAGGTCAGTTGAGGTTGACAGGCCTGTCCAACCCAATCTACTTTTTGGGAGAATTAATTCTGTTAACTCAGAGAGATGCTGTCAGTCAAGTGGCACAGAAGTCAAGAGACATGGAGACAGGCAGTAAGTAGAAGGCGTGAAATAATAGCAACTATAGGTAAGAAGAAGTCATGAGACAGGGAATAAGAGAGGGGAGAAACTTAGCGAGTAGAGACTACCAGTATCTGGGTCACCATAAAGCAGAGCCCTGGGACAGGGAGCAAGGGAAGCTCTCTGAGGGGAGATGACAGAATTGCCAAAGATTAGCAGACACCTTTTGTGGCCTTTGCTCAGTTCACAGCAATCCCTTTCTTTAGAGAGCCTCCTCCTTTCACACTCAAGGCTTCTGTGTGGCAGCCGTATTTGTGCTACAGTTCCAGGCTCTGCCTTCCAGGCTTCAGTTGATTGGACCAAGGTTGATTGTTTCATCCAAGCTTAGCCAATCAGATGCTCTTTCCTGGGACTTTGGAATTGGGTCTGTGAGATTGTCTGTCCCTGCCTGTGGCTGGAACAAAGGGACTAGAGCTATGGGGTGAGAAGAAGCAAAGCCAGTGTGTGGAGAGAAGAGAAACATATGTGGCAAGAAGCAGACATGGAGAGGCCATGTGGAAAGAGGGCGTGAGACAGTGTGTGAGTCTTGGCTTCTGATAGATTTCTATTTCCTGTCTCTGACCCCTTGAAGAAGTCCCTTAGGGCCTCAAGATATCTGCATTTTAATAATATCCACTAGTATTTTAAAAAATTGGCCAGGCATTGTGGCTCACGCCTGTAATCCCAGCATTTCAGGAAGCCGAGGTGGGAGGATTGCTTAAGCCCAGGAGTTTGAGACCAGCCTGGGCAACATGGCGAAACCTCATCTCTACAAAAAAATCCAAAAATTAGCTGGGGGTGGTGGTGTGCCTGTGGTCCCAGCTACTCAGGAGAATGAAATGGGAGGATCACCTGAGCTCGGGAGGTCGAGGCTGCAGTGAACTGAACTGTGATGGCACCATTACACGCCAGCCTAGGCGACAGAGTAAGACCCTGTCTCAAAAAAAAAAAAAAAAAAAGTGACTTGAGACAGTTTCCAATTTTTGCAACGAAGATTCTCAATGAGAAAGTAGAAGTTGTGTGGTAATCTGTATGAAATTTGTGTTTTCCATGAAACTCAGCAGGGCAGCAGTCAACATAGTTTCTTGCTTCTCTCACAGTAAGTCTACAGCTGAGAATGTCTCAGTTTCTCGCAATCTAGAAAGGACTAACACAAATGTACTTGGAGAATCTGACATACTAACGAAATCATCCCATAATAATGGATAAAGGAACTAATGGAGTTAGATTTTTAAGCACCAAATACCAATTGCTATTTGAGAATACTTCTGCTGTTTTCTCTTCTGGTTACCCTTTGCTTTATACACATCTTTGTGTCCTTGGAGGGCAGGAGCATGTTTGCTACATTAGGATTGGGAGCACTGCATGCCCTTTTTCTCAGGCTCAGTGGTTCCTCTTTCCCCAGTTGAAGTCTCACTATGATCTTGTCCATGTGTGATGACAGGGCTTGGTCTTTGAGGTGAACAGACATTTCAATACTGAATGTGGGTTCAGTGATTATGATTTTAGTAAGGGGAAGGATTGTGTTGTTTTAATTTGTGCATCCCAGAGACAGCCTAGCATCTGGCCCAATACCTAATGGGCTCTTCAAAATTCATGCAGTGAAAGAGTGAATACATAGTTTTTCTCATTGGCAATTTGAAGGTACAAAAAACAACATAAAACCTGACACCAAACCACATATTAAATTATATAATCTAAGCATACAAATGGATGGATACCTAATAAAATTCTTTAGGGTAATAATTATGATGATGGTATTTTTGCTATGCAATTTCTTAACCCAAGGAGAGAATTCCCTAGTGTGAGAGACATAGCCAAGGATATTGGTTCTATGTGTCATTTGCAAGGGGCTTGCTTTTCTCTACCCAGATTGTGTTTTAATTTAGAAAGAAAAATGGCAAGCACTGTTGCCACTGGGTCATGCATCACTCCTGCTGAATTTCCCAAGGGTGATGACTTTACAATTTCTCAGAGGTTTCTACTTATTTCATTTGTCAGAGGAACGTTTATAGTTTTCATATAAATTTTAATGGGCAGAAACATCTGTTCCCCATCCAACCGTGATGTTTCACATTGAGTATAGATGGCAATCCCTCGGCTGAGCACAAACCATATTTGCTGTGTATTGGATGCTCAGAAAAATAACATAGATCCAGGACAAAGAAGTGGAGAGGAGAGAAGGGGTGTGGGAGGAGAAAGTGGAAGAGGGGAATAGAAAGTGGGTGTTTGGGCAGGAAACGCCTCCCTGAGCCAGCTGGTGGCGCTGTGCACGGGCACATCTCTCTCAGGTGCTCTGGCTGGTCCTGGCAGATCTCAGGTTCCCCCTGGGGCGTGGGGGGTTTGGGTGGCGCAGCCAGCGGGCCTCGTGTGAGCCTCTTAGCTCCATTTTATGGAGCTGCTCCCTTATAGAAACTGTGGGTACCTCCTGGCCCTTGGATGCGTACCTGCATGTCATGGCTTCTGCACCCATTCAGACGTGAAGGCTGAGGAGCTGGCTTCTCCTTGTTTGCTTCTGGACCTTGATAGGTTTCTCCTTACCTCTTGTCATCTGACCTCCTGCTGGAACTTTGAGTTCCTGGCAGAGGAGTAAACAGAGCATTTACAAAGCCAATGCCTTTTCTTTCACCGCTCAGAATTTTTTTGAGGACCCATGACTACCTTTCTGGCTCTATCTTTTCTTGCATTTTCCCCACAGCTACATTGTTCTTCATCCATCTCAGATAGGCTTTCCAGATGCTATTTTTGCATACGCATATCCTATCTACATGTTGGTGTGTGCACATGCATGGAACACACAAATACACACGCCCTCCCCCGACATGTGCACACACAAATACACACACCCTCCCCCCACATGTGCACACACAAATACACACACCCTCCCCCCACATGTGCACACACAAATACACACGCCCTCCCCCAACAACACATGCAGGCATGAAGAAACTTCCCTGCCAATTTCTTTCCGTACTTCAAAACATATGGATGGCTGAAAATTATTTTGTAAAGTTTTCTCTGGTCCACTCAAGCACAGTTTATCACCCCAACTCCTTTGCTGCCTCCACCATTACACACTTCTGTGATAGGGTCTGTCATGTCACTTTACAATGATGGTTTTGGGTATATAATGGCTGCTACTCTGAAGTACAGTTGCTTGGATACAAGTCACAGTTCTGTCACTGGGCTGTGTGATCCTGGATAAGTTACTTAATATCTCTGCCTCAGTTCCCTAATTTGTAAAATGTGGATAGTGTTAATAATGACCACATAGGATTGTTGAAAATATTAAATGACATGATACATGTAAATCGGTCGACAAAATACCTGGCTCAAGAATGGGCAGCTATTAATATTGTTAATTACTTGGTTTTCTTCCTGACCATCTTGTACAGGGACTGTCATTTATTTGTATTCCTAGAGCCTGCGATATAATAGGTATTTTACATGTTTGCTGAGTTGAATTGTATTGTTGAATTTATGGTTCCCAGTGGACTACTGGATTAAGTCCATGTTCTCCGGAATCAGAAGTTGGGGTTCAAATCTTTAGCTTTACCATTTTCTAGCTGTGGGAACTTGGGCAAGTTAATCAAAGTTTCTACATTTCAGTTTCTTACTATTCTTATTAATGTTACGAGTATTATTACATTTAAAGGCTCATCTTAATATCACTATATCAAGCCTTCTCAATCACTCTAGCTGGAAGTAATCACATTCTGTATTGAATATAATTATTAAATGCCACCTATAAGCCAGGCGCTATGCTAGATACTGAGTGTGCAGTGGTAAATATATCAGATATGATCCCCACCTCCGTGTAAGTTGAGGTTTAAAGGAGTGATAAACCTCAAAAGTTCTCAGACCATAGATTTGGGAGACAGGAAGAGGTGGGTTGAGAAAGGAGGGATTTCTTTTTATATATGAGGAAATTCTTTCCCAGGAGCTTTCATTCTTTTGCATCTTATTGACCACAATGAGATCAAGTGCCCATATTTAGATCAATCCCTGACATAGGAGATGAGCTTACCTTGACCGATTTAGACCAATTATGATCCATCCTCTGAGAGGGAAAGCTGTTGGAGGGCCGTCCACTAGGATTGCCATATTGTTCATGCAAAGAGCAACTGCAAGCCTTGTGCCACTTGAAGGAAGAGGAAAAGGAAAAGCAATGCCCCATCCTGCAGGCAGCCTTGCTCCAGTGAACAAGTAAGGAGACCTGATTGCACATGCTCAGTCTCTTCCCTGATCTCGCCAATCAGGAAGGTCAATCCTTCTCCATGGAAGGAGAAGGACCTGAGGAGAGGACCAGAGGAGATGGTTCCCAATGTTGCTCTTCCCAAGGGAGAGGAGATTGCAATTACAAGAGTGTGCAGCATGGGCCCAGGCAGGCATGATGAGGGGCGGGGAGGCTCTCTCGCAAAGGAGGAGACCCTGTGGTCTGTGCCCTCATCTCATTCGTTGTGTTACATCTAGCATTGCATCTCACCACATTCTGCATCCAATCACACCCTATGTGTGCACATCTTTCTTTCCTTCTGGGCCCTGATCCTCTCCAATGTGGGGCCTTGTTGTACCTTGGCACATTGTGAGAGCCGAGCACATGATTGTTGAATCACTCAGCTCCACTGCCTGGGATGAAGGCCTGTCCTTCTGAAGAGTTACCGTGCAATGGTGAAATTAGGGGCTTTTAAATAACTGACCAGATAAGGTGATGGTGCATGTTGTTCATTTATTCAGTTTTTCAATGGACACATACTGAGTTCCCTCTGTGTGCTAGGTTTGCTCCTAGGAGCTGGGATACAGAGATGGACAGGAATAGTCCTGCCTTCCAGCAGCTCCCAGTCATGTGAAGGAGGCTGACCTATACATGCATACAGCCACCTCTGTACTAATATGACATTGTCCAATTTTTTTCACTTACTTACCACTACCCAGTGCTGGTGTCTGCACTTCAGAGCTGAGAAAGTCTCACTGCATGGACCAGAGTTGTAGATAAGGGTTAGATGGTAGCCAGGCATGGCATGGTGGCTCATGCCTGTAATCCCAGCACTTTGGGAGGCCAAGGTGGGCAGATTTCTTGAGTCCAGGAGTTTGAGACCAGCCTGAGCAACATGGTGAAACCATGTATTGCAAAATACAAAAAAAATTAGCTGGGTGTGGTGCTGCATGCCTGTAGTCCCAGCTACTTAGGAAGCTAAGATGGGAGGATCACTTGAGGCTGGGGAGATTGAGGCTGCAGTGAGCCATAACTGCACCACTGCACTCCAGCGTGGGTGACAGAGTCAGAACCTGTCTCATAAAAACAAACAAACAAAAAAGAGTTAGATGAAGTCTGCCAGTTCCTAGCTATGTTACCTGATCTCAGTCTCCGTATCTATAAGAGGAGAATAATAATAGTACTTGCTTCATAGAGTTGTTGTGAGGATTAAGTTAGATAATGCACATCAGTGCCTGGCACACATGCTAGCCACTATAATCATTATTTCATCTATTAAATTCACCAACTCCAGTAAATGCACTATTCTGGGTTAAAAATGATACCTTGCTTACGTAGAGAACACAGTATAACAGTTTTTTACTCAAAGATTTTAAATGGGGAATGAAGGAATCTTTACAAAATAACAGAAACTTAGACATATAACTTTTCATCAATTAAGGGCTTCATTCATTTTTATTTTTTAAAACATTCTGGATGATGTTCATTGCAGGGGTGAGTTACTTGCATCCTACCAAAGCTAAAGAGTCTTGCTGCCTTTTAAGTGTTGGAGAAATCATCCACCTGTTTCAATAAAGACCTGGAAATCAGGAAGATGGTGAGATTAAGCAAACAAAGCAGGCAAATGGGAATAATTATAACCATGTATGAAAGGTGTTAACTGCCTATGTCTTCAACCCAGCTGTTTCTTCCTTTGACCTTTCTAAATTTATCATTGAAGAATCCCCATGTCATTATAATTGGCTAAATCAAGGACTTTGCATTAGTCTTGTTTTTGACTCCTTGGGTCAAAATAGTGTCATTAAGCATTCTGTTGCTGAGGGAGGGAACTCTAGGAAAAAGGTTGTGTTGGTTGGGAAACCAAATATGCATTGGGCTAAAGCTTTTATGTAGCTCTTAGATGATCTCATGGATTTGGTACTTTCTGGGGAAAGGAACATCAGACTTTAAGCTCCTGGAGGACAGAAACCTAGACTTGTATAATTCTGTGTCTCTGCAGCTTAGGATATTGCTTAGTAATAACAAGTACTCGATAAATATTTGTTAGGCTCACATCGGAGTTTTATTTTTATTTATTTATTTGAGACAGAGTCTCTCTCTGTCACCCAGGCTGGAGTGCAGTGGCACGATCTCAGCTCACTGCAACCTCTGCAAAGCAATTCTCCTGCCCCAGCCTCCTGAGTAGCTAGGATTACAGGTGCCTGCCACCATGTCTGGCTAATTTTTGTATTTTTTTGTAGAGGTAGAGTTTCACCATGTTGACCAGGCTGGTTTTGAACTCCTGACCTCAAGTGATCTGCCCGCCTCGGCCTCCCAAAGTGCTGGGATTATAGGTGTGAGCCACTGCACCTGACCTGTTTAGCTCACATTGTTGAACTACAGTTTAGTTGGGCATAAAATTCCACATTAACAATTATTTTCACTGAGCACTTTCATCTTATTATGCAAGTATTTCCTGGCTTCTCGGTTGTTTTTGAGAAGTCTTCTGTCCATCTAATTGTCATTCCCCTCCTTCACTTGAGATAATTCTATTCTGAAGTTGATGTCTATTTTTCTCATCCTCGTTTCTATCCTTTTACTAACTGTGTATTTAACCATAAAACACTAGTGTGGTATGTAAAAATTATATAGTGTATTACCCTGTTGATATCCTGCAATTTGCTTCTTCAAGTTACCATATGGTCTCAACATTTACTTCTGTTGATACAAGTAGATCTACTTCATCCATTTTCAGTGCTGTATACTATTTCATTGTGTAAATATACCACAATGCATTTATTCATTGATGGCCATTAGTTGGTTTCTGATTGTTGCTATTGCAAACAGTGCTTTCATGAGCATCCTTGTATTTGTTTTTTCTGTAACATATAAGATGTACATTTAGAAGTGGAATTGCTGGATCTCAAAGGATATGCACATCTTAGGTGTTGATAGTTGATTTCCAAAGTGGCCTTACGAACTTACACTCCCACCTGCTGGGCATGAGAGCTTCCATTCTTTACATTTTCACTGACCTGGGTGTTGTCAGACCTCTGAATGGGTATGCCCTTAATCCCTACTTTATACTTCCTTTCAGTATTATCATTCCCTATTTGCAGATGAGAAAATGGAGGCTAAAGGGTCGCATGCTCAGAGAAAGAATGAGTGCATGAATGACTGAACATGGTGATACTTTATTTCTTTATTTATTATTTCTCCTACCAGAGTAGAAGTTCTGTGAATGTAAGGATCATATTCTTAACCCTTAGAACAGGTCTTTACATAACGTAGATTCTCAGTAGTTATCTGTTGTTTAATGAATGAATGTGGATGGATGGAGGGAGCCTGGGAAGAAAACATTTGCTTTCTTTAGGAGGCTCCTCCCAGCCTACTAAGATACATTCTGCACTTACTCTGCAAGCTTTTAGAAGGAAGGGCTCTAGCTATCTCTGCCACTGGCACTCTCCAGGCCTGCAGCAGGCTGGGCCAATGGAGGGAAGGAGGGGTGATAGCTAAGAATTTTTTCAATGGAAAATTCAATCTGCTCAGCAGGAGTCTGATGAGAAGCTGGGGGCTGGTCTGGGGAGGATGCAGCTGGAGGGGCTGTCCATCTGGATCTCACAGGCCTCTGGATGCTGACACGTTATTCTTAGCCATCTTTTCTTCTGTCTTTATTTTCTTGTAATCAGGCCTCTCTTGAATTTGCGATTGAAGGCTTTTTTATCCCCCTTCTCTAAAGCAATGATTTTCCATATAGTAATTCTTTCCTTCTTTAGACTTCCCAAAGTTGGTGGGTGGTTCTTTTTGTGCTCAGACACTTTGCAAATTGCTTCCCACCCAGCTCCTCCCCTGAATGTTTTTGTGGCTGGTGGAGACCTATGATGTGTGCTGGGTATTTGGCCTCCATCTTCTTGTTTACAACAACCTCCTTGCTAATGATATTTTCCTAGTAACATCTAATATGAGCATATTTCTCGCCCATCCTCCCTCCACCCCATGTGTCTTGAATTCTGCTGGATTAATTTAGCTGGAGCCTTAAGAGGCAGCAAAACCGAGGGCAGGTGGCTAAGCTTCAATCCTTGGCTCCTGCGTCATAATCATAATCACTCTTATTGACATAGTGCTCCGTGGTTAACAAGCACTTCCACATTCCATAGCTCTTTAGTCCTCAGAACAGCAGAAGCCAAGGCCTCTGGGGCTTGGTGACATCCCCAGCATCACATGCATAAGAGGAAAGGCCTGGATTTGAACCTCCTTTTCTGATGTTAAATCCCCTACCATTTCTTTCAGCCCAGGCAAAGATCCCAAAGTCAAATGCCTTTAGGGGCCAGGTAGATAGTATAAATGAAACTGCTTGGAGTAGAATATATTAAGGATTAGTAAGGATTGTGGGAAACTGGCCGGCATGCTTTGCCTAAAGGCATTAAAATGCAAAACAGAGCCCAGCACCTATAGTCCCAGTAACTCAGGAGGCTGAAGCTGGAGGATCACTTGAGCCTGGGAGTGGTGAGGCCAGCCTGGGCAACATAGCAAGATTCTGTCTCTCAAAAAACATACAAAAAGAAAGAAAGAAAGAAAAAAAGAAACATTTAAAAAATAATAGGAAAAAACCCATTTAATTTATTTCTTACTCAGTGTTTAGTCTATAATCTACCTCCTTGTTGGGAAAGGGAGAACGTTTGCATGGTGTCCCCTTTACCACTGAGTAGCATTTACTTGATGGCTTGGGCAAGCATGACCTTGGTTGTAGTAAGTCTATAGTATAGATGATTCTGTTGCTTTTAGATTCTGTTGCTTTTGGAATAGAATTACAGCTTTTAGAATAGTATAATGGACCCAGGCATGTACAGATCCTGAGCCTACCCATCATCTCTCCTCTCTTAGAGTTTTCAAGACATGGTATTCAAAGTAATATTATCTTAATGTCTGTGCAAGTCCCAGATGCCCTTATTTACAACCCTGGTCAAAGGTCCTATTCTTTCCCTACGTCTTTCCTTCCTTTCTCATCCTATTTGAAATCATGGGAACTGGTTGCTCAAGTCTACATGCTAAGTGACAGTGACAGTGGCAGAGTAGTAGGCAGAGTCCCCAAACAGACCCCAACTTCACCTTCTGCCCTAGGGCAGGGATGTGGAGAAAAGAGAGAGGAAAGGATGGCTCATGCCTTTAAGTAGAGTAACTCGGCCCACTAGGAACAGGTGGCCCAGTGAAGGTCATGGGCTTTGGCCAATCAGACAAAAACTTCTCCTTTGAGGGTTTTAGGAAGGTGGTAGGCCAAGGTGGGGCTAGTATGGGAATGAGGACTGACGTATATCCCCTACTCTAAATAGAACAGCAGTTAAGACTGTGGCCCCAGAGAGTACACATCTGCCACCTAACCACCCTGTGACCCTGGGCTGGTTATTTAACCCTCATTCCTCAGCACCTTTCCCCATAGAATATGGGTAACTGTAGGGGTGATGCGGATTAGCTGAGATAGGCATGCATTTTGGTAAGTAAATGTGAGTTATTTTTGTTGCTTTGAATTCTGCCTCTTTGCTATACTCTTGAGCTACTCATTGTAGCTAGAAACTGAGGAAGCCTTCAAATGCTGGCAGAAAGAATATGGAGAGAATAATTCATAGAACAAAAGACAACTTTCTGCCAATTTTTCCTCTTCAAAACTTGCCACTTACCCAAATGCCCTGATTCTACCTTTTCTCTCCAGCTCCACACCCTCAAGATGATCCCAGTGAGCTGGAATCCTGGTCGAGGGATCTGAGACTTGGCTAGATGAGATTTGGCGCTCAGATGTGCTTTTTGTGAAGTATAACTATGATTTTTCTCTAAATAATTACTCAAACTTAACTTTTAGTCAAGACTCTTCTTAAGTAGTGTTCTTGTTTGTGTTCATGTGGCTTCTTGTGAGACAGACAATTTAAAAAATTTAAAAATTGTTCTATTATCCAAACACAACATTGCTGTGTGCCCCTTCCCTTTCCCCAGTCCCTGGAGTTCATTTTCTTTTGTATGTTTCACATATACCAATGACAAATAGTTCATAGTAGATATTGCCTAGGTATGGAATTAGTTTTTTTTTTGTTTGTTTTGTTTGTTTGTTTTGAGATGGAGTCTTGCTGTGTCGCCCAGGCTGGAGTGCAATGGCACGATCTCGGCTCACTGCAACCTCTGCCTCCCAGGTTCAAGCGATTCTCCCGCCTCAGCCTCCTGAGTAGCTGGGATTACAGGCATCCACCACCATGCCCGGCTATTTTTTTGTATTTTTAGTAGAGACAGGGTTTCATTACGTTGGCCAGGCTGGTCTTGAACTCCTGACCTCGTGATCCACCCACCTCAGCCTCCCAAAGTGCTAGGATTACAGGCGTGAGCCACTGTGCCTGGCCAGAATTAGGTTTTTATAAATGTGAAGTATTAGATTCTTATCAATCGGCAAAAGTAGAACTGAGGAACTATATCATATGCTTATAAACTGATTTCTTCTTAGTTTTTACTCCTATGATGTTTCTGTTGAGACCAGTTGACAGAGTAGGAGTGTCAGTATGGAAAAAGCATGGATCATTTTGAAACATGGATTATTCATCAATTACATGTGTTTTAGAATGGAGTCAGTGATATACTCTTGGAGATGATCTCCCCCACCCCCCATCTCCTCTCCTTTTCCTTTCCCCACATCTGTAGCCACTTCCTGTCAGCGAAACCCAGAAGAAAAACTTGACAGAAGCAAAGGGCATCCAGAGAATTATGATCCCCAGGTTGTAGTTCCAGTTCTGTCATGTCCTAAGCGGTCATCTCCTCTCTGGGTCTCAGGTTTCTTATGTATAAGATAAGTAGGAGATTGGGGCCACAACACCTGAGACTAAAGGAATTCTAAGTTTTCATTACTCTATGGATTCCACCTTTGCTAGCTTGGGACCTGGCAGGTCTCAGCAGCTGGTCATGTAGCTAATTCTCAAAGCAGATAAATGCCTGCAGGATAACTGTGAATTGACTCTAATCACAGCAGAGTCCAGCTGCTTCAATAGATGCTGGTGCCTTTGGCTGCTTCCCGGAGCCACCAGCCAACCCAGAGTTGAAGCTGGCTGGAAAAGCAGATATGTTGGAGAGGCCAGCATCATCTCTAAACACAGCATCTGGGAAATACCCATGTCCCCAGAAAGAGGTCATTGAAATCCTTCACTTGGTGGTGCAGTGCAGAGACTCAGGAAAACCAGGCTTTGAGTCCTGACCCTGCCACTTATACCAGCGGTGTGACCTTGGGCAAATTCTCTGGCCCTATGTTATCTTCCTCCTCCATACAATGAGGGTAGAAATAGAGCCACCTTGCAGAAGTATAGTAAGGATTAAGGTCCCAGGAGGCCTAACAGTACCTACTAAGCAGAGGTCCTCAGAGGTACTTAATAAATGGTAGTAGTAGTTATTATCCTGTGCCCTTTGTTCACAGGAGTCTCTTACAGGGGTGTTGGTCTCAGTGCTCCTCCCCATGGCCAGGCTGTATTGGCTCATGCCCAAGGCGTAGCCTTGCCAGGGAGCCTGGTACAGAGATGCTGCTGATTGGGATGCTGATTAAATTCCCTGATTGAGGAGCCTCAGCATTCTGGCCCAGAGCAGGAGGGCCAGCAATATTTAGCACAATCTGCTTGGATCCTCAATTAAATTGTTTTTCCAAACTGCCCTTTTCAAGGTCTTGTCCTCTTTCCTCACCTCTTTCTGGCCCCTTCTCTCTGGGTCCTTGCCAGAGAAGGGAAACAAAGCCTTGTGGGGCTCCATCTGCTTCCCCCTATCCAGAAGAAGGTGACAAGGCTGTCTTCGTTGCAGAAGATGTGGTTAAAACAAGCCTTGGCTATTCAAGGTGGCTGCAGTCTCATCCTGGAGGCTAAAGTCTCTGCGCATTCCAGGTTGATCTCTGTTTTCTTGGCAAAACTGAGTTCTCAACTCAAACCTGCCTCTCCCTTCCATCCTTTATCCCGACAGCTCGCAAGTGCTTTGCTGGGAAGGACGATTAAGTGTCACTTAGTGTATTTTTCCATTTTCCTGTGTTCATCTGGTAAAAAGAAAATAAAACAAAATAAAGGAGGCCCAGGATTGAACTGTCATTATTTTTTAAATGGAGAGAGAAGGGGTCACATGACTGCGAGTAACTGATTTAGCCAAGTGGCTGCAACTCCGAGTTTGCTGCAGAGCCGCCCCCTCCCGGCGGGGGCGCTGACGTCACGGAAAAGCCCCGCGGCGGGTCGGCTGGGCTGGTTATAAACCGCCCGGCCGCGGCGGCTGCAGGCGGCGGGCAAGGACGGCGGGCACAGCGCAGCACTCCCCGCTCGTTGGCCCGGGTATCCCAGCGCGGACCCACGCGATACGCTGACGCCCCGACGCCGATCCGGCCGAGCCAAGTAAGGGGGACGGCCCGAGACGGAGAAGGGAGAGAGTGGGAGTTTCCCAGCCCGCAGAACTTTCGAAGTTGAGAAAAGAACCCCTGGAACGTGCGCTCAGCACTGGGATTTTCTGGTAGGGGTCAGAGCTTCAAGTGCAAAGGATGTCGCTTCTCATCAGCAGGTTCCTTAGTTCAATTCGGTAGAAGGGTCACCTCCCTCTACAGATCGAGTGGTCAGAGAGGGCAGCCCTTAATGATGCTTTATGTATTTGTTGTTTGAATGTAAGTCTGCCAACTGAGGTGCTGCTTTTGAGACTAAAAAACCGGCTGGTCGTCCTGGTTAGTGGCGAGATGTTGGGGTACGGAGTGTGGGGGTGAGGGTGGGAGAGGAGTGTTTGTGCATCTTGCTGATTGCAACGTAAGTACTTATACTTTATCACCAGTAGCCGGAAAAACAGACCTCCCGGCTAGGGGAGGCAGTCTGCAAAGGGAAAGTTGTAGAGAAGTTGTTGAATATCATTTAGGGGAGTCTTCAGCCTTCTGATTTGCTTCAAGAAGGGGATCTGAGAATGGTGGCTCAGGCCTGTGATCTCAGCACTTTCGGAAGCCGAGGCAGGAGGATCACTTGACCCCAGGAGTTCGAGACCAGCCTGGGCAACATAGTGAGGCCACTGTCTCTACCAAAAAATAAAAATAAAAATAAAAAAACTAGTGGACGTGGTAGTGCAGGTCTGTAGTCCCAGCTACTTGGGAGGCTGAAGTGGAGGATCTCTTGAGCCTGGCAGTTGGAGGCTAGCTACAGTGAGCTATGATCGTGCCACTGCACTCCAGCCTGGGTGACAGAGCAAGACCCTGACTCAAAAAAGGAATCTGAGTTGAATTAAAGAACTCTTGAGAATGGATGTGGTTTTTTAAGAATGAGGCACTTTCTCTGCAAATTTCATAGGTCTGAACATGAGCAGGTCATTTCTCTGCCAGGGTGTCTAGGTTTGGAGCCGGGATGTTTTAAAAGTGGTATCTGTGGGTAAGAGGGCACAGCTGAGGCATAAACTTTAAACAGAAAATTTCCCCCCTACCCCCAATAATGGCAGGTGGATGCTCTCCAGGCAGCTGGAGAGCATCAAGGCAACTTTACTAAACATGGAAGTTCCAATAAGTGCCTGTCCAGTCCAGCCAGGGTTGCAGTGGGCAGGGGAGGGGAGGGTGATGTCATTGCCACGTGTTTCCCACTGAGGCACAAAACCTGCTGGACACTGGTGCAATTAAGAGCCAAGTTTAGACAAGAGCAGCTAACCTGACCAGCTGGTCCCCAGCAACATTAACTTGTTGCTTTTCAAGCCATCTTTGGAGTCTGCTGGTTCTTTCCAGCTGCCTTTGTGCCAGCTCTGAGTGCAGCTCTTCTTTCATCCAAGTCTGCTTTGAGGAAGGGGGAAGCCCATGGGCAGTGGGTGATGTTAACCGTATTTGTTTTCCCATGCAAATGATAGTCTGCCTGAGGAGCTGGTTACTGACAGTGTGGGCAGCATGTGTGTGTCCAGTTGAAAGCCTGTCTTGTTGGGGTTTGGGGGACTGTTTAATTGGTGGTCTTTATGTTAGGGATACTTGCTTCTCATCTCATCTAATAAAATATTACTGATGACTGACCATGTATTTGAGCGGAGCTCTCACTCATGCTTACTAATGCTGCCATCTTGGCTGCTTTGCTCCCCAGGACTCAACGATGACTCTGAATAATGTCACCATGCGCCAGGGCACTGTGGGCATGCAGCCACAGCAGCAGCGCTGGAGCATCCCAGCTGATGGCAGGCATCTGATGGTCCAGAAAGAGCCCCACCAGTACAGCCACCGCAACCGCCATTCTGCTACCCCTGAGGACCACTGCCGCCGAAGCTGGTCCTCTGACTCCACAGACTCAGTCATCTCCTCTGAGTCAGGGAACACCTACTACCGAGTGGTGCTCATAGGGGAGCAGGGGGTGGGCAAGTCCACTCTGGCCAACATCTTTGCAGGTGTGCATGACAGCATGGACAGCGACTGCGAGGTGCTGGGAGGTAGGTGTCCCAGCCCCAGTGGGCTTCTTTCCACCAGGGGTGGCCCAGGAAGAAAGAGTGAGGGTGGGTGACTTATTTACCCACAGAGTTGGGAGCTGAAGTTAGGCATTTTGGACAATTGATGGGGGAGCTGAGTCTCTAGAAAAGCCCAAGCACAGGCTTTCGGGCAAGAAAATGAAAATGCTTGTAGACAGGACCAAAATCTGTTGATCCTGGGCCAGAAAGGGAATTCTTCAGATTCCAATTCTAAATGGGTTGGGGAAGGCTGATTAGAGAGGGCAGAGCCAGAGGGTCAGCGCCCCACTTGACTTCTGCTGACTCTGACTTGAACATTCTTCCCGGAACTCAGTATAGACACAGCCTTTTTCCATGGTTATACCTAAAACAAGCCAGTTGGAAAAGCTGTTAGGATGGCTTGATCAGTTTGCTTCCACCAATATTAGAAAGTTTTGTGGGTGTTAAATAGTTCAAAATCTGTATTTGAAATAGCATAATAATTTTTTAAAATGTGAAGTATAACAATGAAACTTTCTATAGAGTCTGACAGCTTTTCAAGACAATTTTCCCTGTACAATTTCATCTATTTATTGATTGGAGCCTGGCCTATTTCCAAAACTGTTTTGAGGTGACATTATCTCAAAATGCATGTATTCTTCAGCTAGGGGTAAAGCACAGCCCTATGTTCTGCTAAGTAATATGAGGATCCTGATAGCCAATGCCATCCATAAAGTGTCTTTCAGCCACAGCTTCAGTCTGAGCGTATGCGACCAGGGTAGTTATATGTCCCTATTTGCAGCTACAGAAATAAAGGAAGCACTGCTCAGTGTTTCCCCAAGTCACATGGTCTGTGTTCTGTCGCGACTCACAACTGAATCACAGAGTAGGGAGGTGTCTTAGCGATGACTCAGTTCTCCCCTGCATTGATGCATATTAATGTTATTCCTCACTACCCACAGCCCATCTCATCTGGAGGTTTTATTCTTCTTGATTGTCTCAGTGTCAAGGAGTTCACTGCCTCATGAGGCAGCTCAGGAACTGGGCTATAAATAATGACTCATTGTTGTAACATTGATTTCTCTCCTCACTCCTGGAATCTCAGAAGAGTAAAGGGAGAAATAGGGCCAGTGTTGTACAATTGATTCCCTCTTTCTTTGTAAAGGCTGCCAGGTGACTTGCTAGGAAAGAGAAACGGGAGGAAGGGGCTAGCATTTAGAGTGAATGTTTGCAACGGGAGAGGCACTTTGTTAGGTGCCTTATATTTGCTGCTGTTTATTTTGGTCTTCACAAAGTTCTTGTACTCATGAGTAAACTAAGTCTCAGGGAGATCAAAAGCCTTATCCAGAATCACCCAATAAGGAAGGTGGATTTAGAATTTGGGATTTTATCATCTTAGTTCAGTTCATTTTACCATTTCTGGGGAACTTGCTATGTGCCAGGCACTGTGTTAAATACTTCCCACACATATTTTTGATAATACTTGAATCAATCTGGCATTAATATACCTATTTGACAGGTGAAGAAATGGAGGCTTACAAAGTCAAGTGACTTTCCCAGGGTGAAAAAACTAGTACATGGTATGACCAGGATTCAAATCTAGTTGTGATTGAACCCAAATCCTGTGTCTTTTCATAGCCCCCTGCAGCCCCAGGATTTAGCTTCCAAATACTAAGTATGACAGCACATTGGGCATCAGCCACACACCTGGCTCTGGCCTAAGCTCTGGGATACAAGGCGATGGATGAGGTATACCATGCCCCCTAGTAATGAGCTAAGTGTTAGTTGCTATGTTGCAGAGCAGGGTCACATTAACTAATATTTTAAGCAGTAACGATACAGTGCTTTGGGCGTTGACATAAGGAAGAGATGGACTGGGAGTTGTTTTTTGTTTTTAAGAGGGAAGAATTGAAAAAAGTTAGTGGATAGTAGACTTTCAAAAATGTTTGTCCATTAGAATGGAGTTGTATGTATCCAGAGGGTAATATTCCCATAGGCATAAAATGTTAAGAAGACTGACTCATACCTGGAATTTGGAAAGGTAGCCTTCCCAGATATTTTGGGAACTTCTTTGTTGAGAGAGAGAGAGAGAGATG
Source organism: Homo sapiens (assembly GCF_000001405.40). Lineage (NCBI taxonomy): Eukaryota > Metazoa > Chordata > Mammalia > Primates > Hominidae > Homo > Homo sapiens. The sequence goes on along the minus strand of NC_000008.11, from coordinate 94,258,082 downwards.
CCCAATATGACAGCACATTGGGCATCAGGCATATGGCTGATCCTGGGGCCGCAGGGGACCATGAAAAGACACAGGATTTGGGTTCAATCATGAGAGAAAGGGAATCCTTTCCCTAGCTTCTTACACAGAGAATCTGTAGGACCTGCTGGAATCACTAGTTGGTTTTGTTTCCCAAGAGGAAGGTTTTCTAAGGCACACCCCTACATTTTTTTTTTTTTAAATCAGCATTCACTGTAAGAAAAAAAATCGACATAATATTCTCATAATGATTTCTCCTAATAAAGATGGATATTGTTACAGTTACACTACAGTAATCTTATGACTCTCTGTATACACTGAATGCCATTCATTCATTCATTCATTCCTAAGAAGTTACTGAATGTATAGCACAGAGCTTGGTGAGGCACTCTGGGGACATGCAAAGAGTCATGGGGCTTCTTCTGCGGAGATGCTCACAGTATGCAATGGAGCATAATGTATACACCAAGTAGAAATTGAGATAGGATGTGGTAAATGTCTTGAAAGTGGTGTAAGGAGAGTGCTGTGGGAATTCCGAGGCGAAAAGATTACCTCTGACTGTGGATTTAAGAGCTTCATGGTTGGCCCGGCATGGTGGCTCATGCCTGTAATCCCAACACTTTGGGAGGCCGAGGCAGGTGGATCACCTGAGGTCAGGAGTCCAAGACCAGCCTGGCCAACATGGTAAAACCCCATCTCTACTAAAAATACAAAAAATTAGCCGGGCGTGGTGGCATGTGCCTGTAATCCCAGCTACTGAGGAGGCTGAGGCAGGCGAGTCATTTGAATCTGGGAGGTGGAGATTGCAGTGAGTCGAGATCTCACCATTGCACTCCAGCCTGGGCAACAAAAGTGAAACTCCATCTCAAAAATGAAATAAAATAAAATAAAAATAAAAATAAAATAAAATAAATAAAATAAATAAAAGCTTCATGGAAGAGATGGTCTCTGAACTGGACCCTAGGGACAACTAGGATTTGGAAGCCCTGAGCTAGGTGGGAAGGCACACCACACATATATAGCAAAGTACGGAAGTCTCATTGGGCTTGGGGTTTGATGATGGGTTTAGACGCAGCTCTGACACTGACTTGGCTGGGTGCTCTTGGACAAGCCACTTAGCCTCCTCAAGCTGCCTCATTAGTGTAATTGGGGTAATACCTCCTTCATAGGGTGTTACGAGGATTAAAGGATATAACATGTTGAGCATGGAGCATGGTGCCTGGCACATAGTAAGTACGAAATGAGCATTAGTTAGAGCTGATTCTGAATCTACCATTTCCTTTTGATGTGCTTATCTTTCAAAAGTGGTGGTTTCCTTGCTTGTGGCCCCTGTCCACTTTGGTCACTGTTGGCTGGGGCCCGTGGAGCTGTCCAGAGGGGACCGGGGCCAGTAGAGTAGAGGACAGTATTTGTAGAGCAGGCATTTCTTCTGAGGTTCCTTGGGATCCCCTGAGCTATGAAAGCTGGAAGCAGTTGAAAGTTTTCAGGGAGAGGGATGCTGGAGTCTCAGAACTTTAGAGGTGCTGCAGGAGTCAGTTCTGGCAGTGAGAGAACACTTGGGCGGGTTTCACACACACACAGCACTTGAGCCAGTCTTGGGCAGAAGGGGCCTCACTTCCAAGCACAAGGAGTGTTAACGAAAAAATTATTAACATGGTAAGGAAGACTTTATTCAGGGCCATTGCAGTAGGCATCCCAATAGTGGGGAGAGATGGGGCTCAATTCCAAGTACAAGAAGAACAAGTGGGCACTTAGCCAAGGAGCAGGTGGGAGGGGGTCAGAGGATAGAAAATTACTAAGAGGAGACGTCAAGGTTAGGGGGATTCTTGCTGAAGTCAGGCCAAGGAGCAGGTGGGAGGGGGTCAGAGGATGGAAAATTACTAAGAGGAGACGTCAAGGTTAGGGGGATTCTTGCTGAAGTCAGGCCAAGGACTTAGACTATCAGAGGTGGTGGGTGAGGAATTTGATCAGATATTGAAGGTGGGGGATTCTCACTAAACTGACTTAGCAGGATTCTTGCTAAAGCTGAATTCTGCCAGGATGGAAACGGAAGCCCAGGGAGAGGCCGGGTAGAGAAGAGGATTCAGAGGAGCCTGACTAAAGTTTGGTCAGGGAGAGAGTCTGTCAGGGGGATCAAATGAGGAAAGACAAACTGGTCTAGAGAAAGTGGCTACTGACCACCATCACCCCTTATAGAACGTCTGTCTGTCCCCATCAGCATGAGTTCTTTTGCTACATAGAGTGTGCACAGACACCCCAGCTTTCTTCCAGTGCACTGGAGAAGTAGGGGTGTCTCCAGACCCAGATTACGGAAAAGCCTCACAGAGACTAATCAGTATCCAAACCTTTCTCCACACCTTTACTGGAAGCAGATTTCAAAGAGCTCTCCTAGAGTCTGGTATTCTTTTCCTTCCCTTCTTCTCACCTGATTAGCACTTGAAAAGGATAAAAGATGAGCTGAGCAACTTAGATGAAGAGAAACCTGGAGCTCTGGTTACTCCCAGGCTTGCACCTGGTTAGGGGAGAGCCTTCAGTCGGGATGCCATGTGTGCTGGAAGGGTCCTGGTGCACACAGCCAGAGGCCGTATCTAAACTCATGTACTGGGGTGGGGGGTAAAGTGGGGAGCACACGTGCTGAGCAGGGAGGAGATGGATTGTTTTAGCCTCCCAGGCCTCCAACACCGTAATTTTCAGGCAAAGGTAAGATCAGACAGAATGATCCTGTCAGGAAGCTTCTAGAACGGGAAAGCATGTTTTTACTTTCATGGCTGTGATCCTTAGTCCACTTTTTCTCTAGACTTGTTCTGATATCTCTTAAGCCAGGAGAAAGTTGGGTTTTCCTTTTCCGTCAGCGATTGGAACACAGTATGTTTCTATTTGAATGACTGGGCACTCAAGCGAGTCCCCTGTACCTGAGTGGTGGGCTGAGAAAGTTCCTCCATCATTGAAGGAGTTGTCTGAGTGCAGGGAGGGGTTTTAGAGAAGAGCTAAGAACCCTGTGGTGGGAAGCAGCAGTCAGGCCATCCCCGTTCTGTGCTGCTCAGGCTCTGACAGTCTCCCTTGCGTTGTCTAATTTACAGGTTGAGGTTGTGAGGTTCTACCCCTGGTAATCCAAATAGTCCCACTGTGATCTCATTCCTTCTGCATATTGTGAGCAGGCACACGATGGGCGAGACAGAGTTTTAATTCCCCAAGGGCAAACACTTACTGATTAGAAGAATGACGCTGTGGGAGGTGGGGAAACTCACAGAAAGACAGGGCCATGCCTGGTTAACTCTCTTCTTATTTGTCCAAGTTTTCCTTCTCTAAGGAAGGGAAACCTCTCCTGATTCCAATTCTTAGATGATGAAGCATTAAACCAGGAGCAGTGTTTTTCGTAAACTGCTCGCTATTGTAAAACAAGAAGTGCCCTGGTTCCAACGTAGCTCTCTTAAGCTAGGATTTATCTGTAGTGAGGAAGTGCTGAGTATGGCAAGAACCAGCTTCCTTCACCTGAAGAAGTGATAATGGCTAACACTGACTGAGTTTCTACTTTGTGCCCAGGCTTAATACAGGTAATTGTCACATAGCCCTAAGGTGTGAGTACTATTATCAATCCCATTGCACAGATGAAGAAAACTGAGGCTCAGAGAGCCTAAGTTGCGTAGACCCCCAGAGTTCATAAGGGATGGCACCTGGATTTGAATTCAGGTTTGCTTGTTTTCACAGCCACAATGCTATATTTATCATTCGTTCACTGTACAAACTTTATTGTGCACCAGCAATGTACCAATGTGCTGGGGGACACAGTAAACAGCATAGATGCAAATGTCTGCCCTAACATTACGAGAGGGGCAGGAGGGACAGAAAATAATAGAATAAGTAAGTTAAATGTGTTGTATGTTAGGTGGCAATAAGTGAGATGGAGAAACATAAAGCAGAGAAGGAATATTGTGGGATAGAAGTGTTGCAATTTTAAATGGATGGCCAGGAAGCACCTCCCCCAGAGGGAGGTAAGGAAACAGGCCTTGTGGGTATTTGAGGGAAAAGATTCTAGACAAAAAGAACAGAAGAAAAATGATAAATCATTATGAAAGTCATAATTTTCAAAAGATGAAATTCAAAACAGGAAACCTCATTGTGAAAATAGAGTGGGGATGGGCTCAATGGTATTGGGATGAGGGAAATCCCACTTGCAAAAATCCCACTGTACCCCTTTTCTACGCCTGCCCCCCATGGATTTTCCAGGCTGGAACTGCTTTGGCCCATTGTACTGTACTGTGTTCACCCTTCACCTACACAAGATCTGGGCTCAAGTGCAGGGAGGAAAGTTTCCATTACCAAGTAGAGCTGGAGGCTGCATTTCTATTATACTCAAGATGGAAAAACAAGCCCACTTATTCCTAGGGAACAGCATTTTTTTTAAAAAAAGGAAGAAAACTACAGCCAAAACAGGGAGAGTCTCAAGATTCATTCTTGCACTTGTCCGAAGAGGAGCAATGTCTCTGAGCCCAAAGCTCCTGAAATTGCTAGTGAGTATTCAGTAACTACCCACTGAAAGGTACAATGGACTTATGAAAATGTGGCTTACAGTTTCACTGGGTGGTTAATGTTTCCTCATAGCATTAACCATTGAATCTGAGTCAAAAGCTCTTGAGTAAGTTTATCCTCACAAATGATTTTGCCATACAAAAGGTCCAGGAATGATGCAAACAAATGCCTTTTACTCCATGTGGTTTAGTGACACATGTTCGAGAGAGACGTTCTGCTGGATAAGGACTGGAGGAATTATATGTAGAATGTTGTTGAAGGTGACAAAAAATAGTAATTTGCCTTTGAAAATATCTGTATACTTACATAATTAATTGCATATTTAGTAAGTTTATGTTCTAGCACAATTTTCTACCTGACCCTCTTATGGAGAAGTGTTGCATATTCGCCTGACTCCAATATCTTTGTTCTTTCTTCTCTAGAAGATACATATGAACGAACCCTGATGGTTGATGGGGAAAGTGCAACGATTATACTCCTGGATATGTGGGAAAATAAGGTATGCAGAGCCTGTAGCTCTCTAAATTCCTTTAGGGCTTTCCTTTCAACAAGTTGTTTGGTGCAAGGGTGACCTTGTCCTATATAGTAGGTGTTCCAGATGAGGTGGGCTCATTTTCTTGATTAAAAGCATACTGCTGAAGAATGAGACTGTTCTAAGGAACAGGTCGTTCACAGATGAGTTCTGAATAACAAGCAAGTTGTAGTGACTTGCCTTTAGTTCTATTAAAAAACACACCCAAAAAGTTTATTTGTTTTAGGGAAAATACAAACAGGCATTGACTGTTATTTTAAATAACATACATCCATCTCATATGAAGTTGAGATTCTCAATACCAGTCTTCAACATTGGCTTTTTAAAGATTTTAAAAAGCTTCAGAACCTATGTGCTAGACTTCTGTTAATTGAAAACCCTCCTAGTCCCACAAAAGTGTTCTTAATCTCATCACTTGGAAAAGGCAAAAGGGAGTTTTTGGGAAGTCAGAAAAGGCTCATTTTTGGTAGATTAAATAGAAATTGGAAATGCTGTTTGGCAGAGAAGTTGTGTAATTTATCAAATCAAGCTGTAGAAGATACTGAAAAGTGAAAACTTTTTGGCATAAATACTGGACAGGCTAGCAATCTTTACAGCCACCAGACATCTTATAGGCATAGAAGACCAATGCTTTTAGGGAGTTGGAAGCGATTTTCTTCCTTTTTCCTATTTTTCCTATCAGCAAGTGTACTTTAGGATACACATATTGTTTCTTTGCAAACTGATGCTTTATTCCCCAGGCCTAACTGAACTCACAGAAGATCTTATTGTTTCATTAGGGGGAAAATGAATGGCTCCATGACCACTGCATGCAGGTCGGGGACGCATACCTGATTGTCTACTCAATCACAGACCGAGCGAGCTTCGAGAAGGCATCTGAGCTGCGAATCCAGCTCCGCAGGGCCCGGCAGACAGAGGACATTCCCATAATTTTGGTTGGCAACAAAAGTGACTTAGTGCGGTGCCGAGAAGTGTCTGTATCAGGTAAGAGGAGCAGAGCCAATACTGTAGAAACAATCGCTGGATCACATGTGTTTTCCTTCAGACACGGGTTCTTCCCTCCTTCCACGAGGCTGGATCTAGGAACTCATTAAGATGCTATATGAAATTTTAGGTGTGTTTCTCAGACTCCTACAGTCCCAGTGGGTCTCCTCCACACTAGTTGTTCTCCCTTGTCCATCTGGTCTACCTGCAGGATACTAATCCTCCCGCTTTTAAGGAGTTTCCTGGAATTCCCAAGAGTACAGGGAAATGAAAGTAGCATCTTCATGCAAGGAGGATAGGGAACTCTGATTTAGGGGAACTGTGAGAAAGAGTTTCATTGAGGAAAAAGAATTCTACTCTGGCTGACTCTGGTTCCTGTGAGCCCTAGAAACACTGTCCTACTCTCCTACTCCCCATCCCTGGCTTCTGAAATTTCATTTGAGGCATCAGTCTGATGGGGTCACATATTCTTCTTCATACTTAGCTCAGGGAAAATCTCTATCTGCTGAGTGGGCAGCCAAGTGCTTTTATAGCCCTTGAGATTTTACTGGCCTAATTCAGATTTGATCCTGGTACAATTATAAAACTAAAATACTACATTGCCGGGCCCTGCTCAGGAGGAAAGACACCTGATAAAGACAATGTACACACTAGTTTGGGAATGTCTTCCTACTAGGACACAACTGTCTACAGTAATCATTTTTTTTCCAAACCAAAACTTGATGCATGGTCATTGAATGCAATGAAATACTTGAAATTGAGACTGTCCCAGAAAAGCTTGTATAATTTAACTGTATTACACATTTGTAAAATTCTCAATTTTTTCCCAAGATATCTCATTATTGCTTTATTTTTATTTTTATTTTAAAAGAGAGGAAAGCTAAGCAGTAGAATTCTTATTTCCAATTCTGGAAACTGGGTCAGGAGAAAGAGTTGAGTATGGGCTTGAGAACTGAGCAGACCTGGCTTCACTGCCACTTACAGGCTGTGTGAACTTCACCTGCAGAGGAGACTCCCCTCGGTTTCTTCATGTATTTGACAGGGATAATAATGTATTTTCCAAGATTGTTGTGGACATTGAAAACAGTGTTTATAAAGAACTTAGCCTTGTTCTTGGCACATTGTAAGTCAGCAGTAAATTAAGGGTATGGCTTTTACTGTTATAACTAATATCACTATATTTGATGAAATGGGACCTTCAGACAGTGAATTTATGGGGGATCAGATCTAAAGCCCATCTCCCTTACTTCCAGGGACCCTCCAGTGAGACATTTTCTATTCATGCCCTGGGAGGGCCCATGCCGCAGCAGCATCCTCTATCCACTGCATATACAGCTGACTTAGTGTTACCTCGAAGAACCATCCAGCTTGACTGTGTGCTATGTGGGACTGTGCTCTGCAGTCCCTCTGACCTCTTTCTTTCCTTCCCAGAAGGGAGAGCCTGTGCAGTGGTGTTTGACTGCAAGTTCATCGAGACCTCTGCAGCTGTCCAGCACAACGTGAAGGAGCTGTTTGAGGGCATTGTGCGACAGGTGCGCCTTCGGCGGGACAGCAAGGAGAAGAATGAACGGCGGCTGGCCTACCAGAAAAGGAAGGAGAGCATGCCCAGGAAAGCCAGGCGCTTCTGGGGCAAGATCGTGGCCAAAAACAACAAGAATATGGCCTTCAAGCTCAAGTCCAAATCCTGCCATGACCTCTCTGTACTCTAGGAACCCAGGGTCACCCAGATGTCCCTTTGATGGCCGTTGTTGAAGGCCATTGGGACCAATAATCTATATTAGATTGAATACTTAAGTTAGATGTGGTTTCCCCCATTGTAGCAGGGAGCTAGCGTATTAGCCTTGTGGGCAACATGATGCATGGGAAATGAAAGATTTTTGTAAAAAGTCAGTATTTATTTCCAGGAAAAGCCTGACCTTGCTATTTGAACACCCAAGACTCTTTAGAGGATGTGTTTGGTGTTCACATGTGTTTCTTCTATTTTGGATAGTAGAGAAGTAAAGCTTACAAAGAATGCCTAGAACAAGAACTTTTCATCATTAAAAATTTTTCCCAGTGTTCTGATATGTGACTTTGAGGCCAATGAGTCATAAACAAATATAAGAAAGCTGTCAATGAGTTTCTTCAAAGGAGGGAAAACTTTCTACGAATCTAAGATCCATGGAGCTAGAATTGTAGAACTAGGCTCATCAGAATCGTGACTATTATTGCTCCATCAAACTGTGAAAAGAAATGATGTGGACCTTGCTGGAAACAAAGGCTTAGCAAACAATTTTTGTTCAATGCCCACCAAGACATATAGAATTGGGAACTGATACATGTGTCCCTTATAGGCTCAAAAATTATATCTTACAATTTCTTATTTAGGGGGAAATTATTTGAATCAGATTCTATTTAGTCAAACCACCTTTTATGTTTTATTATTTTTGAATTCATGGAGCCATCATAAAAATATTTTTAAAATCAGAATTATTGATACCCTGTAGTGCAAAATGTCAATTTTTAATGTATAATCAGAAGTCTGAATTTTTATAAAACATATAGCATAAAAACTTCCAGTACTTTGGTTGACCCTTGTATGTCACAGCTCTGCTCTATTTATTATTATTTTGCAAAATAACCATTTTAACATTTGATAAAGCATATTTATGAACATATTTCTTAATAAGAAAAATATCCATTTTATTACCATTTTCTATCTTTTTCAAAATATGCAAGTTTTTACCTATATGTCTTATAATAAAAGAAATAAAATATTTGAAAAAAGGCATTCTTGATTGATTTTCCTCCCCAAACAAGATGATTAGGATTATTTTTATACAGCCTTTAGAGCAAGCACATTCCAAAGAGACATATGCCTATTGTTTTCTTTCTTTTTCTCACTAGCAATAGCCCAGTCATTATCCGTTTTAAAGGATATCCCTGACATCTCTGCTTTGAAATCACGATTCACGGTAATGCAAAGTTGTTTTTGGCTGATACCGTTGGGAAGTATTTGGGGTCATCTCAATGCTGTTATAGGAAAAGCCAGATTGACCTTTTACTTTGGTCTGGCAAATGCCTGACTGAACAGATGGGCTTCACTTTGCTCCCTGGAGGCTGATGGTCTTAAGCTTGACTAAGGCATTAGAGGAAGTTATAAAGGATTAGGGGGAAATAAAATAAAGGAATCTAGTGATTTCCAGCCTGAGATCTAGCCAGGCAAAGCTTTCACCAAATTCTCCTCTCTGACATTAATATGGCTTGACATTAATCACTTGGCATCTATCCAGCGGCCGTATGCAGCCCTTTTGCTGGAATGGAACTTCTGGTGTTCTCCCTTCACATCTTCTCTGGCCCTATATGCACCCTATTTCATTCTCTTCTCCCTAGCTTTTTGAGTTTGTAGTGAGACACACACTGATGGTGACAATCATGGGACTTCAGACATTCCCTAAAGCTACACAGTTGTTGTTTTCTTGAGACGGAGTCACTGTGTCACCCAGGCTGGAGTGCAGTGGCGTGATCTCGGCTCACTGCAACCTCCGCCTTCTGGGTTCAAGCGATTCTCCTGCCACAGCCTCCCAAGTAGCTGGGACTACAGCATGCACCACCACGTCAGGCTAATTTTTGTATTTTTAGTAGAGACAGGGTTTTACCATATTGGCCAGACTGGTCTTAAACTCTTGACCTCAGGTGATCCGCCTGCCTCGGCCTCCCAAAGTGCTGGGATTACAGCCACAAGCTATCACGCCTGGCCTTAAAGCCACGCAGTTTTAAAGGGTGTCTGCTCTGTTTTCATTGCCCTTTCTCCCCTTTTTCCAAGTTGAGCACAAAGGTTCCCATCTCTCTGCACTTTGCATCTTAGAATTGCTCAAGGCAATAGCATGGGGAGATGATACAAGTAAAGATTCAGGTTACATAGATCTGGGGTGAATTTTGGCTGTGGAATTTAGCAACATGGCTTTGGAGTAAAGGTTAAAGGTTTCTAGCTATCAGTTTTCTCATCTACCAAATGGGATTGCTAATAATACCCACTTGGTAAGGTTAACATCTTTGTGAGATTAACATCTTTTAACCTGCCATACAGTAAAGAGCTCAAGAGATCTTCCTTTTCATGGTTGCACATTTTCCATTCCGTATCATTTAGAGTTAGTTTTACATGTCTGTTTCCCCTAATTTGAATGGAAACTCCTTTGAATCAGGGACCACCACTCTGTTCCTCCTTACCCTTCTACTCATCAGTGCAGCGCACTGCATATACTGGGATTTTACGAACTTTCTTCTTGAGCTTCATAGATCCTCCCAACACCTATGTGAGGTCAATAGGCCATCTCACAGCAAACCAGTTCAGGTGGATAAATGACTTGTCCAAGTTTGTTCAGATGCTAAGTGTCTGAGCTAGGACTGAGGTCCACCTGTGACTCCTGGTCACTTGTATATTCTTATCTCCAAAACTTTCCTATAAACACAGCCTGTTTCATCCCCAGGTATCATCCTATACACAGAATACACAGACACACACACACACACACAAAATGCATATATATTCTTTACACTATTTTTCTCACAATCTCAAGCTTCCTCATCACTTCTTTTAGACCTTCCCAACCAAATGGCCAACAGATGCCAAGGCTCCAGGTTTAAGGGTATGTTCAAGGTTGTCATGATCACATTCCCTTGGCTTGAAGCAGGGCAGGATAATGCCGGCTGCAATCCAATCCAAGAGGATTTTTGGTTAAGAGCTTTAGCTCCAGGGTTAGACAAACCTGGGTTTCAATCTGGTTTCATCACTTACTGGATGTGTGGCCAAGAGTCAAGTTCTTTACTATCTCATAGCCTCAGTTTTCCCATCTGTAACATGGGAAGAATGCCCACCTCATAGGGTTGTGGTAAGGATTATGTGAGACCTGCAAAAGTTATGTCATCATCTCAGGGACAGCACTGACTCTGCCTGCTCTAGTGCAGCATCCACACCTTCACACATTCATGCATTCTTCAAATATTATTGGACACCCAGGTGCTAACAGCTGCTGGGAATATAATGATGGCTAAGATATTATCCTCATCCTCAGAGATCTCAAGAGTAATAAATTTGTCCTGAAAAGCCAAAGGAGGTAGCACTGGTGATAGGAAGAAAATAAAGAAATTGTGAGAGGATTATACCAGGAAGGGACTCAATTTTTATTCATTAGATAAAATTCAAATGATGAAAACGTTTGTTAAGATGATTGAGTTAGATGTGGAAAAGAAAATTGGGCCATTTAAAAAATTCCAGTTGGGAAAAGTGGGAGCATTGGGGAAAGGTGAGTTTTTAAGCATCCTACATTTTTGCTTACAAATACATGAACTATTCAATGCAGAGAAAGATGCAGATGATTCTAAATTCACTTGGGCAAATTTGTGGAGCTCCGGCTTAAGAAAAGTACTGTGGAGAACACATGGTGGGAGGAGGCAGTTTTGCCTTTAAGGTGCTTGTAATATAGTTAACAGTGGCAGGAAGCAGATGTAGTAGGGAATGGAGACAACTGCACAGAAACCTAGAACGTGAGGTTGAAGATAATATGGGCCATCGGAGACATGTGCTGTAAGGCAGTTTAGCTTTGGTGGAAGAAAAATCCTTTGCTTGGCGTTGCAGTAATGAATGTCTTTTTTTTTCTTTTTCTTTTTCTTTTTTTTTTTTTTTGAGACAGAATCATGCTCTGTTGCCCAGGCTGGAGTGCAGTGGCATGATCTCAGCTCACTGCAACCTCCACCTCCTGGGTTCAAGCAATTCTCCTGCCTCAGCCTCTGAGTGGTTGGGATTACAGGTAGGTGCCAACACGCCCGGCTAATTTTTGTATTTTTTGGTAGAGACGGGGTTTCACTGTGTTGGCCAGGCTGATCTCGAACTCTTGGCCTCAAGTGATCTGCCTGCCTTGGCCTCCCAAAGTGCAGAAATTACAGGCGTGAGCCACTGCACTGGCCCATGGATGTCTTCTTAGAGGAAGTGATGTTGAGCTTCATCTTGAAGACTACACAAGATTTCCACAGGTAGGATTGGTTGAAAGGAAGAAAAAGGGAAAAACTGGCCTATGTAAAGAAAATAGCATGAGCAATGACAGAGAGGCAGGAAAGGGAGAAATCTATATAGAAAAATGAGAGAAGTCCAATTTGGCCGGGAGCTTTCTGGGAGGCGTTAAGTGAAGGTGTTAATGTATGATGCTTGATAGCCTGAGAGATTTAGTTTCAAATTCTTACTTGTTGGGTGTAGTGGGTTAAACAGTCTTCCCCCAGAATTTGTGTCCACTTGAACCTCAGAATGTGACTTTATTGGGAAATAGGGTCTGTGCAGATGTACTAGTTAAGGATCTCAGAACGAAATCATCCTGGATTAAGGGTGAACCTTAATTCCAATATGTGGTGCCTTTATAAGAGAAAGAAGAGAGATTTTGACACAGAGGGGACACAGAGGGAAGAAGGCCATGCAGAGATTGGGGTTGCAATGCCAAGGAATGTTTACAAGCACCAGAGCTGAAGAGACAAGGAAGGATCTTCCTCTAACTCCTTCAGAGGATGCATGGCCCCGCCAACATCAAGATTTTTGGATTTCTATACTCTAGAACTGGAAGAGGATACATTTCTGTTATTTTAAGTCATCGAGTTTATGGTAATATCAGCAGCCCCAAGAAACTAAATACATTGGGTTACTTAGGGCAAGTCAATCTTAATGTGCCTCAATTTCTTCATCTGAAAAACAAGGATAATAACACACATCTTATAGGAATATCATTAGGATGAAATGTAAAGCACTTAACTTATCAATTTATTGTTTGCCCAAGAGGTGGAGAGCGAGTGAACTGTAAGGGTAAGTTGGGAAGCAATTGTAGAAGACATTGAGTTCCAAACTGAGAAATTTGGACTTGGCTTGGAAGGTAATGCAGCTGCTTGAATATTTCTAAACACGGGTGTGACAGATTAGAGTGGTGCTGCTTCAGGACATCGCCCAGAAGGGCTGAGCCTGGCAGGAACCGAGTCATGAGACCCACCCAGGGAGACCAATGAGGAAGCCACCGCAACGCTGGGACTCTCGTCCGAATCAGGAGAATTGCTTGAACCCAGGAGGTGGAGGTTGCAGTGAGCTGAGATTGTGCCACTGCACTCCAGCCTGGGCAACAGAGCAAGATTCTGTCTCAAAAAAAGAAAGAAAGAAAAAGAAAAAAGAAGACATTCATTACTGCAACAGCCAAGCAAAGGAGTAGTGAGTAAGGCATTTCAGGCAGAAGGAAGGAAGTCCTTCGTCAGGGGCAGCCTCAGCCCAGCATGTGCATTTGCTGTGCTTATTGGACTTAGCACACGTGTCCAGCAGCATTCAAGGTTTTCTGTGAGAAGTGCACATAAAGTGGTGAGGCCTGATGCCCACAATAGCCAGAGAGCAACACAAAATGACAGCAGGAGAGAAAGGGAGCCGTTCTGGCCAGACACAAGCCCTGGCCAAGGCCCTGGTGACAAGATTGCGCTGGAGTAAGATATGGAGTCCAGTCGTGTGACTGGATAGGAGACAGCCACAAAACGACAAGAGACTCTACCCAACCATCAGTAAATCATCCAGTCCAACCCTGGGGAAATGAGGAAGTAAATATTATCCACCTGTTTTTCTTGTCATGCAGCTAGGGAAAAAATAACATATGCAAACCAAGGACATGAGGTTTTTAGCGAAGGAACATACAGGTGATCGTGTGTATGCATGCACGTATGCGTGTGTGTGTGTGTGCATGCACGTATGCGCGTGTGTGTGCATGCACGTATGCGTGTGTGTGTGTGCATGCACATATGCGTGTGTGTGTGTGTGTGTGCATGCGCGTGCACGTGTTGGGGAATAGGGTAGAGGTGGGAGAGAGGGGGCTCACAGCTAAAGGAAAAGTAGAGTACTACAATTAGTAAAACAAATATCAATGAGACTCTTGTCTTGCTCCGCTCTTCAATACATATATTCCAAAAATGGGTATGCTGTCAGTCTTATTTATTTATTCCAGCATCTACCAAGGAAGGTGAGTATCCTAGAGCATGCCCTTTCTGGAACTCAGGACAAGTAATTGTTATTTCAGTTTTACTGGGATCATGCTCAAATAAAACAAAAATGTTCTTGTATCTTCTGTTGTATTAACGTTTTAAACCACTCCATTGGAAGTAGAGAAACTACCCCCTTACTGTCAGGCTTCTGGAAAAGTAAAAATGCAGGAGGACTGAGAAGTACTCTTGCTAGTATCACTCAGAGGCCCCAAGGCAGTTGCTTGACTTGGAGAAATTACCGTGTGGATAATTTGAGATAGCTTTGGAGAACACTTTCTTGAAAGGTATTTGCAATTTTATTTGCATATACATACATACCTATTATGCATATACATGTGTGTATGCACTCAGATATATATACACACACATTACATACACAATTTTTTTTTTTTGAGACAGAGTCTCTGTCGCCTAGGCTGGAGGGCAGTGACGCCATCTTGGCTCACTGCAAGCTGCTCCTCCCGGGTTCATGCCATTCTCCTGCCTCAGCCTCCCGAGTAGCTGGGACTACAGGCGCCCACCACCACGCCCTGCTAATTTTCTTTTTTTTTGTATTTTTAGTAGAGACGGGGTTTCACCGTGTTAGCCAGGATGGTCTCGATGTCCTGACCTTGTGATCCGCCTGCCTCGGCCTCCCAAAGTGCTGGGATTACAGGCATGAGCCACTGCACTCAGCCGACATACACATTTAAGCCAGTCTTGATTAAAGGTAGGGAATAATTGCAGTGCAGATGGCAGCTATTTTATTGATTAATTTTTATTTGTATAAGTTTATGAAGTACAAGTGTAATTTTGTGACATGAATATATTGCAGAGTGCTATGAAGTCAGGGTTTTTAGGGTATCCCTCACCCAAATCAAGTACATTGTATCCACTAAGTAATTTCTCATCCCTCACCCCCCTCCCACTTCCCCATCCTTCCAGGTCTCCATGGTCTATAATTCCACTCTCTACGTCCATGTGTACACATTATTTAGCTCCCATTTATAAGTGAGACTGTGCAGTATTTGTCTCTGTTTCTGAGTTGCTTCACTTCAAACAATGGCTACTAGTTCTACCCATCTTGCTTCTAAATACGTGATTTTGTTCTCTTTGATGACTGAATAGTATTCCATTGTGGCAATACGCCACATTGTCTTCATCCCATCCAGATGGCAGATATTCTAAAATAAGTATCTAATGGGGGAACTCCTACTTCTCTGGCATACCCACAGACACAGAGGAAGGGCAAATGCATGACATCAGGAAATGGGCAAGGAACAGTGTTGGAGGTGGTGCAGCTCAAGCAGTTAGGATTTATTTGACTAAAAATCACATGTATTTGAAAGTAGCAACCTCTCTCTTTGTAAACATCAGGCCAGACAAGACAGTGAGGTAGAAGTGGAAATCTTACTTAAAAATCCAAAGGAAATGGCCCTGTGACTCATCTATTTGCTAATAAAATGGAACTGGTGGCCTGCCATAATGTGTTTCAAAACTTGGAAACAGCAGTGTGAGGAGCTTGGATTATTTGAGGAGTGACTGGGCAAAAGTACCTCTGAGCTGGGTAGGAGAAAAATAGGTAGAGCCAGGCCCTCCAGATGTCTTTTCGACAAGGACTGCCATGCCATAAATCTGCAACCCAGGGAGGCAGGCAGGCAGCCTCGACTGTGACCACCGCCCCCACGCTCGGCTTCATGCAGCACAGTGCAAAGGGCACTGTTTACTCATCATGTGTGGATGATCTGAGTCACAGCCGAGATGATGATGTTGATGAGGCTGGAAGGAGCTGACGTTTATTTAGCTCTCATTGTCACATGGAAGCACACGCAGACCTACTGACCCCCAAAGATGACTCAAGCTTGTTAGAGCCTGAGAGTATCTTAGATGTCAGATCCCCCAAATCCTTTTCATACAGAGAGAAAATGATGCCCTGACAAGCGTGATGTGCTCTAGGCGACTCAGTAGCCCAGTTGGCCTGAAACCTGGGGCTCCAGATCCCAGCTCAAGGTCTTTCCCACAAGCGTGTAGTGCGGTCTCTTGGCTCCACATCAGGATCAGGCAGCTGCCCCGCTTCCCAGCTCTGCAGAGACAGGCTCTTTGGTCTTCTTGCTTGGCCCTTCCTTCTTGTCCTTATTCCACAATCCAGATGTGGCTCTTCTTAGGGCACCAACCAAAATTTACTTGTCCCAGCTTCAGACTTCTGCCAGGTGAAAGAATTGTGTAAGAGATGAGTGCTAAATTCTACATCCAGAAAACATTGGGCTTGGGTGAAAGCCTTAGATGCTAGTCCTGTCTTTGCTAACTATGAGTGAGCTTTAACATCCTCCTATATAAAGTAAGAATACTGATACCTGCCTTGGAGGGTTTTTAAGACTGAGATAAGTAAAAATGATTCGTAATCTCTAAAGGGCATTCGAATCTCTGCAGGGTTATTAAAGTGCTATGCACATATGAGGTGGCATAAGGATTTGTTTGCACTTCAATTCATTCACCAGTGTTTGAGGGAGAATGACAGGCATGTATTTGGCTGGCACAGGAAAGAGATCTTCGGGAGCAGTGGGTACCTCAGTGCCCACCCCCATGTTAGGCCCTGTTTCCAGCATGCAGGTAGACACTCACCTAGTTTGCTGACCTATTGGACTGGGCTTGATTGTTGTCCCTGGGAACATATAAAGCCAGTTTAGAAACATTAGCAGTTGGGAAAATGCCAACTCTATCTCTTCTGGCAGCAAGAGAAGGAAACTCTTCATTTGATTTCCTTTACTACGTCTTTGAGACTCTCTGCAGACTGGGCAATAAGAAATGCCATTTTACACGCTGAAGAGGAAGATGTTTGAATCATAAAAAACTCTGGTTGAAGATGACACGGTCCATTCCCCAGCTTAAAAGGAGAACATTGCCAACAGATAAATGGGCCTCTAGGGTTTCACAGGTGCTCCAAGTTAAAATTCTCAGTATAGGAAAAAAGACAGAAGTGGACAGGAAGAATCCACCTGCTTTGCTACTAAGAAGGAAGAAGCAGACTGTAGAGGTGTGTGGGAGGGTGGCTGAAAAGATGGGATAAAGTGGCAATGAACAGGGTGGGTTCTGGAATCCAGTTGCCAGGATTTGAATCCTGGCTCCACTGGCTCCCATCTGGGTAACTTGGGCAAGTAATTTTATCTTTCTAAAGCTCAGCTTTTTCATCTGAATGGAGAATTTGAATAAATGAATTAAAAAGTAATCCACTTCTTAGGTTTTTTTCAGGGGAATAAATGGAAAATGCGTACTAAGTGCTTGGCGCTTTCCCCGGCACATAATGAAAACTCAAAAACTTTTAGCTATATTTTATTATTTTCTTTATTCAGATGAAAACCAAGAGCCTTCAGAGATTTGTCCTGGGAGGAATTCTGGAAGTAGGGACCCGCTATCTAATCAGAGACTCTTCTACTCTATTATCCTAAATTTTTGTCCTCCCATTGGGCAGCCTTAGTAATGTTCTCATGGGTAATCCAGCCATAATGACCTGGCCAAAGGATGAACCAAACTCCCTGGCCAAAGGAGTTCCCCTTAGCAGCTGAGAACAGGCTAAAATTTTCAAAAAGCCTTTATTCAGTTCTGAGGTTGCTAAGCAACCTGTATTCGGCATGTAAACAATACAGTCTACAGTATCAGAGGTACTTAGCCCCCTACCTCTTGGGCCATATGTTGAGAGGCATGTTATCTCAGGCCTCCTGCCTGGATTTGTTTGCAAGCTTCCAATTCTGCCTCCAATAGGGGATTCCTCTTAAGAACTCCCACTCAGAAGCTACCTCATAGATATCATAATGTCAAAACGCAGAGAAGAAGATGTCTTCCCTGCCCTCTGCAATTCTAGGCTCTCCCTCGAATGCTAATTTACTGAGTGAGATACAGGTATCTTCCTTCCCTAATGACCGGTCCAATGTGTTTCTCCTCCACCTGCAGTGAGTGCCTCACCCTGTGCCACCATGGGGTTTCTATCCTTGAAGGTCCCGTCACAATGCCACAGGCCAGCCTTTCCCAAGTGTGTTCTCTGGGACCCTTGCTCTCTGTTGTATTATATTCATGTGAATTCTGGTGAAAAGGGGGATTTCCATGGTCAAATAATTCAGGGAAAGTTAGGTTAAAGAAAGCAAAATGGTTTTCTTATTTTTATTGTGGTAAAATACACAGAACATAAAATTTACCATTGTAATCACTTAAAAAATTTTTTTGAGAGACAGGTTTTCACTCTGTCACCCAGGCTGGATTGCAGTGGTACAATCATAGCTCACTGCAGCTTTGAACTTGTGGGGTCCCACCTCAGCCTCCTCTGTAGCTGGGACTTCAGGTACACACTGCTGTGCCTGGCTAATTTTAAATTTTTTTGTAGAGACGGGGTCTCACTGTGTTGCACAGGCCGGTCTTCAACTCCTGACTTTAAATGATCCTCTGCCTTGGCCTCCCAAAGCATGGGGATTACCAGCATAAGCCACTGTGCCCAGCTTAACAATTTTTAAGTGTACAGTTTTGTGCATTAAAGTATGTTCACATTGTTGTGTAATCATCACCACCTTCCATACTCAGAAATTTTTCATCATCTCAAACTGAAACTCTATACCCATTATAAAATAACACCCCATTTTGCCCTCTCCCCAGCCCCTGGCAACCATCATTCTGCTTTCTGTTTGTATGAATCTGACTACTCCACGTACCTAAACAATATTTGTCTTTTTGTGACTGGCTTCTTTCATTTAGCATAATGCATCCAACACAAGTTGGAGCGTGTGTCAGAATGTCCTTTATTTTAAAAGCTAAATATTATTCCAGCTGGGAGCAGTGGCACAAGCCTGTACTTTCAGCTACTGGGGAGGCTGAGGTGGGAGGATTGCTTGAGCTCTGGAGTTAGAGACCAGCCTGGACAACATAGCGAGACTCCTTCTCAATCTTAAAAAAACTTATTCCATTGTATTTGCCACATTTTGCTTATCCCATTGGTGACAGATAATTGGATTACTTCCGTCTTTTGGCTATTGTGAGTAATGTTGCTATGAACATTGTACAAATATCTGTTTGAGTTCCTGCTTTCAATTCTTTTGGGCCCAGAAGTGGAATTACCAGATCCTATGGTAATTCCAATTTTATTTTTTTTTTAGGAACTGTCATACTGTTTTCCGCAGAGGCTGCAGCATTTTCTGTTCCTACCAGCGATGTACGCACGTTCCAATTATTTTCTGTGTTTTTGTTTAAAAATACATAATAATCACTCCCATTGGGTGTGAAGTTGTATCTCATTATAGTTTTGATTTGCATTTCCCTAATGATTAGCGATGTCAAACACCTCTTCATGTGCATACTGGCCATTTGCATCTCTCCTTTGGAGAAATGTCTATTCAAATCGTTTGCCTATTTTTAAACTGGGTCATTTGTTTTTTGTTGCTATTGTTGAGTTGTAGGAGTTCATTATATGTTCTGAATATTAATTATTTATTAGACATGATTTGCAAACATTTTCTCCCATTCTGTGGATTTCCTTTTCAATTTGTTGATAATGTCCTTTGAGCCACAAAAGTTTAATTTCAATGAAGTCCAATTGATCTATTTTTTCTTTTGTTGCTCGTGCCTTTGGTGTCATATTCAAGAAACCACTGCCAAAGACTTTCTCTGTGTTTTCTTCTAAGATTTTATGGTGTTAGTTCTTATGTTTAGGTCTTTGATCCATTTTGAGTTAATTCTTGCATATAGAATAAGAAAGGGTCCAATTTCATTATCTTTTGCTTGTGAAAAATTGGTTTCTTTCATCAACTAGAGTTCATTGTTGCAAGCAACAGCAACTGAGAGAGACAAACTTAAGGAAAAAAAGAAAATGATTGGAATAATTTTAGATAGTTCATAGGAATTAAAGGAAAAGGTGAACGATCAAATCACTGGATGTACAGGATCTGGGAAAGATTTAGGAGTCTTAGTAACAGGAACTTACGGACAGCTTCTAAGAGTGCTATGATCTGAGAGATTCAGTTCCAGTAATCTTTTTTGAGCATGTAATTCTGCACTGGTTACCACATTTGGCTAGGGGCCTGCAGGTGGGAGTGTGTGTGTGTGTGTGTGTGTGTGTGTGTGTGTGTGTATGTGTATGTGTTGAGGATGAGGCAGCATTGTCGCTGAATGGTCTCAACAAATCAGACCACATGAAATGCAGGGTCATGGTGGGTGGGAGGGAGGGAGTTGTTCCCCAAAGGAAAACCTGAATGCTGTTACCAAAGGAGGGAGAAAGGACTGCTGGGCAGGCCAAGCAATAGACACCTACTACTTTTCTTCACTGAACGTTCTTAGAGCTATTGATATTGCTTTGTGAATTTCGGGCCGGGAGGTATAGTGTGCAGCATTTCTCATACCTGTTTGTCCATAAAACCCTCAGCTGCATCTCACAGGATTCATGTTCCATAGACCATGTTTTGGGAAATGCTCCTCTATGCTAATAAAAAGAACAATGTTCTTGTACAGACTTCATGGGAGATTTTGACAGAGCAGGTCTTTAATGAGCACTGTCCTAAACCTTGGGACAAAGGCTGATAAGGCTCCTGGAGGTAGAAAGAACTCTGTTTTTCAAAATGCAAGCCACATACCGTGGCTCATGCCTGTAATCCCAACATTTGGGGAGGCTGATGCAGGAGGATCGCTTGAGCCCAGGAATTCAAGACCAGTCTGGGCAACATAGTGAGACCTATCTCTACTGAAAATAAAAAGCATTAAAAAAACAAAAACAACAACAACAACGACAAAAAAAAAAAAAAAACCCAAAATGCAATAGCTGGTCTTCCAAAAATGAATAATGAACTTCTTCTGAAGGAGCATACATACAACCAACACGGTTCAGTTTCCTCATCCTGATACACTAAATTTGCCATGACTACCCCCTTAGAGCTGTGCTTTGGAAGTCCCTGTAGACACCCAGGAGAGGGTCTGGCTATGTGGCCAGGCAGGTATCGGCATGACTTTGGCCAGGTGCCTGCTTTGCTAACTCTTGAGTATCTGACAGCTGCTGGCCTGGGGAGACTGGGGATGGAAAGATATGGGGGCTGGGCCTTTCAAGCTTTGAAGTGGCTTCCTAATCCTCTGATCTCAAAGGCTAGCCTTGCTTCGCAGAAGACCAGGTTTGGGGATTAATAATCTGAAAACTGAGTGCAAAAAAAGCTGGGACTGATGAGATGGGAAGTGGGAGGTCTCCTGGTACCGAGGGAAGTATTTTCTAGAATGTGAACCAGGAAGCCGGAAACTGGGGATCTGGGGTGCAGCCTCAGCTCTTCCATAAATATTTTGGTCTCCTCTGTCCTTCAGAATTTAGTTTTCCTCTATAAAGTGAAAAGAGTTGGGCTAAATCAACTAATTCAAAAACGAACATTTACCAAGCTTTGATTATGCACGGGGCTCTGTGCTAGAGGGCCATGACATTATTATTATTATCATTATTGTTATTTTTTGAGACAGGGTCTTGCTCTGTTGGCCCAGGCTGGAGTGCAGTGACGTGATCTCGGCTCACGACAACCTCTGCCTCCGGGGTTCAAGGGATTCAGGGACGTGACATTACATCAGGCATGCTACATGCTCTTGTGAAGATGTGTGCAAGGCCTCCTGCCGCTGTCACATTCTGAGTCTGTGAAACAATGCC
Source organism: Homo sapiens (assembly GCF_000001405.40). Lineage (NCBI taxonomy): Eukaryota > Metazoa > Chordata > Mammalia > Primates > Hominidae > Homo > Homo sapiens. The sequence goes on along the minus strand of NC_000008.11, from coordinate 94,236,357 downwards.
TGACTTTGGCAGCCCTTGGACACCGTGTGCTTTCACAGGCATTGTCACAACTGTGCTGAGAGACGCGTTGTTCTTCCCATTGGTTGGAGGTCAAGGGACTTGTCTAACGACACACGGCTATTAAGTAGCAGAACTGGGCTTGAATTCAGATCTGCTTCTCAGTCCAGTGTTCTCTGCTCTGTAACTGGCTGTGACTCTTCTCGCTCCTCCCAGATGTCCCCACGCAATGAAATAACAGCTATCATTTGCCAATCACTTACTTTGGGTCCTGACACAGGTATCATCTCATGGAAATCTCACGGCGCCTATGATTGTCATTTTATAGGGGAGGAAACAGGCTCAGAGAGGTTGAGTACTTTGCCCAGAATCCCACAGCTTGTCAGCAGCCTTTGATCCTGGGTCTGCCTGCCTCTGGAATCACCAGAGGGGATGGAGAGGACAATGGGCTCTGTTCCTGCCCAGAGAGCAGGAGCCTGTCCCTTTGGCAGATTCCCTCCTGGAGGAAGGGGGCAACCCAGAGGAGCCCAGGGAGCTGCTGCAAAGAGACCTTGGTGGATTCTCGGCTTGAAGGCCCGAGGCTGGGGCCTTGATGGGGAAACATCACAGACATTCAAGGCCCCAAAGCCATCCCAGGTCCCACGGACTCAGAAGCCCCTAATAAGTGCCAGCGGAGAGGCGGGAGCACTGGGCCACTTTCCAAAAGGGATCTGGGAACTGGTGGGAAAGGCACTGCTAAGGGTTGAGGCCCTCCCGTATCCCAGTGCCTGCCATCTGGGATCCTGCAAACTTCAGGCCCAAAAGGCCTTTCTTCTTCCTGAAGCCTGCCTTGGTCCCCTCTATCTAGCGCTTGGCGGGTACAGCGAGTACCATATTCACCTGAGCCACGCAGTGTCCTCACCTCAGGGCTGCTGCGTGACCTCCTGCCATTGTGGGAAGGCTGAAAAATCACGAGGTGCACCCCCAACCCACAGATGGGGAGTGGAGGCTTAAAGGGGATAGAAATAGCTCACCTCACTCTCCACCAACAGAAAGGGGTTGGGCTGAAGCCCTGACCTCAGTTTCTAGAGACATAGGTGGAGTTGACCTGCCACATGGGTGGATGGAGCTCACACCTACTCTCTGTGGCCCCTTTATCTCATCACAACCCCGCGAGGCAAGCAGTAGAGTCTCCCTTCTACCAAGAGGCTAGGAGAGGTTCAATAACTTAGCCCAGGACACTCAGTGAAAGGACAGGATTCTAACTCCAGCCCTTCTGGATTCCAAGCCAGGGATTCCCAACTACACCCTCTGGGCCCCTCTCCCTCCCCTCCTGTGATTTTCCAGACTTGGAGGGCTGGAAGTAGGGCTGGCAGTTCACTGGATATGAGGGAACCCAGGCGGTCCCTTAAGGTAGGTGTGTGGCTGTAAGTGGGGTCCTCATTGCCTGCTGAAAGCTGGCCCCGCAGGCCCTGGTCTTTAACCTGCAAGCAGCCGTGCTAAGCTCAGCCTCAGCTATTAGCAATAGGAAGTGTGTGGGAAGCGCAGAAGCTCCGAGGGGACCTTTTAAGGTAGCCGGCAGCTCAGGCACAGGCCTGGGAGGAGTAAACAGAGCGCCCCGAGATGAAGCTGGAAGCGCCGGGTTGCGGGGGTGATCCCAGTCCTGAGCCCCAGGAGAGGGGGCTCTGACAACTGCGAGGTCACCCCCCAGTGACAGACGGCAGTGAATGAAGGTCACGGCCTCCACAGAGATGGTGCGAGATGGTGTGAGGCAGGGCAGCATCTCTGAGTCACCGCGGGAGACGCCCACAGTCTTGCCCCGGAACCCAGGGACTCGGCCCGCGCTGTCTCCACACTGCCCTCCCATAAAACACGGGATTCATTGTCATAAAAGCTCCTCACCCACAGGCGGCTGCACACTGGCTTTGCCCTCAGCGCGAGGAAAAGGCGCTTCACTTTCTACCAATTCTCATCTGACCTGCCCGAGTCCTCAGGGATGGGCTCCCCCGCGCTGGGAGGGGAAATTCTCTGCCAGGGATGCAGGGAGAGGGAGGCGCAGCTCGGGATTCCTCCAGACTCTGAAGCGCCAGAGGGCGGATGGGGGAGCTGTGCGAAATACTCAAGACAAAACCCGAGCAGATGGGGAAGAAATGGGCTTAACTGTCCGCTTTCCCACCTGCGGGCGACCTGGGGCGGTATAATGAAGCCTATTCTCTTGGAATTTGAAAGAGAAATCAAGCGGCAGTTGTTTTTGTCTTTTCTCCTCAAGAAACATAATTTTTTATTTTATTTTATTTTTATTTTTTTGGACGCAGAGTCTTGCTCTGTCGCCCAGGCTGGAGTGCAATGGCGCGATCTCGGCTCACTATATCCTTCGCCTCCCGGGTTCAAGCAGTTCTCCTGCCTCAGCATCCCAAATAGCCATCCCAAATAGGGATGACAGACATGTGCCATCACGCCTGTCCAATTTTTAAAAATTTTTTTATTTTTATTTATTTATTTATTTTAGTAGAGACGGGGTTTCACCATGTTGGTCAGGCTGGTCTCGAACTCCTGACCTCAGGTGATCCACCCGCCTCAGCCTCCCAAAGTGTTGGGATTACAGGCGTGAGCCACCTCGCCCGGCCACAGTTTTTTTAGGGGGGAAATTCCCAGGATACCCACATGACTTTGACTCTGTGTCCGCAGAGAGGGGTGGAAGCAGGAGCTGTGGGGCGGGCTCTTCTCGGTTCAGATGCTCCCTGTGACCCCGAGTGTGTCGTGGTTTTCCCTACTGTACCACGTGAGGGGCAGCAAACACTTGTGTGTGTGTGTATGTGTGTATGAGTGTGTGTGTATGTTTGTATGAGTGTGTGTGTATGAGTGTTTGTATGTATGTGTGTGTGCGAGTGTGTGGTGTGTGTGGAAGTGTGTGGTGAGTGTATGTGTGTGGTGTGTGTATGTTAGGGTGTGTGTGTGTACGTGTGTGTGAGCGTGTGTGTGTGTGTGGCTTCTCTGCGCTTTGGAGCAGAGCACAAACTCTGGGGAGGAGGAATTGGGTAACTGCAGTAAGTCATGGGACCCCAGGCTGCTTCTCAGCTCCTGATGGAGGACCAGTGCCGCCAGGTGGGGGAGGACGTTGTGAGCACAGGAGCTGACACACTGGCTTCTGCTGAAAACAGTGGAGGGGAAATTAAGGAAGCCAATAGGAGTGCTCATTGGAGTGAAAAGTCTCAGGCGGCTGATTGGGATGGGAGAATCTGGATCTGAGGATTTGGGATCACTTTATTCACGCTTCAAATAAGAATTTGGAAGTCTCCACATTCATGTACAACATTTATTTTTCTTTGTTGACAATTTCTTCCTTTATTTTTCCTGTTATTCCCTCCCCCGCCCCTCCGCGCTATTCACTAGTGCAGTGAGGGCCTGGGAGTTTGGAGTTCCGGGAAAAAACATTCAGAACTCTGACCAGCTAATTAGATCTACTCAGAGAGCTTGAGTCAGGCACACCTGGTTCCACCACTTCCCGGGTGAGTTATCCTGGGGAGGTTACTTAACCTCTCCAATCCTTGGATTTCTCACTTATAAAATGAGGGTGATAAATCTCTCCCTGTCATGGTGGGTATGAGGATTGGATGCAAGGGTCTGCTGCAGGTGTGTTTCTAGCCCTCCAGCCTGACAGTGTCACCCTTTTCTTTAATATCCCAACAGACTCACCCAAGGCCCATTCCACATGCTCTGGCTTGTCCAATCTCCCCTCCCTCACTGCTCTGGGAATTCTGTGGGGGATTTGCTTTCCTTCCTGATAACCTCCCACCCTGGTTTCCTGCCTCTTTGGAGCTGTGAAGCCCCCTCTGCATCTTTCCTGCCACGACTTCCCTTCTGTATTCCCTCTTCTTCCCCTTCCACTATGTACTAGGAAAGGCATCATTCACCAGGGTTGTGTGTTTATGGAAGATTTGGGCCTATTTGGGGTGGTTTAAGGGGGTTTACAGCCCAGATCAGATAACAACTTAAAACTGAGTGCTAGACATTACCCTCTTATGTCTCTCCACCTTCTCACTGGCCATTTAGCTAATTCGACATAACCATCCTCAAATCATCCCCAAACTCAGTTATCACAATCCTGTGTATTAGCAATTTAGGATCAGCTGGGTGGCTCTTCCAGCTTCTGCTGGATTTTCATATGGGTCTTCAATGAACTGTGGGTCCATTTGCTAATCTTGCTGGGACCCTCTCACATGTCTGGAGGCTTGGCTGGGACACTTGGGCTCTGGTTCATGTGGTCTGTCAACTTGAAGCGGATGAGCCTTAGGCTTGTTTGTGGACATGGTGAGTGAGTGTGATGCAAGATTTCTGAGACCTGGGCTTGAACTGGGACTCCACTGCATTCTGCTGGTCAAAGCAAGTCACAGGGTCAGCCCATATTCAAGGAAAGGGGAAATAGACACCATGTTTGAATGGGAGAAGCTCCAAAGCCGTATTGCAAAGGACATGGCCACAGAAGTAGTGAAGTATTGTATCCACTTTTTGCAACCTTCCATGCCGTCTTCCCCGTCAGGGTCTCACCTATTGTCCTGTTGCTGGATCTTCAGTGTCTCCACCTGGACTAGAGCTCTTTCCCAATATTATCTTCTGCCTATTCTATGGGCCCCGACTCTTCTTTCTTTTTGAAGAAGTCTCCAAATTATTGTATAATATTTATTTTCCTTTGTTGACAATTTTTTTTCTTTCCAATCATGTTCACAACTGAAAAATATCCTAAGTGTGTTTGAACGAAGTAAACCAGTGGTTCTCAACACGCTGGGCACAAGAGTGATCTGCAAAGTTTAAAAAATTTACTGATATCTGGGTTCCACACCCAGGTCTGGGGTAGGTTTTAGATATTGCTATTGCTTAGAAGGTCCCCAGGTTGTTCTAAAGTGTAGCTAGGGTTGAAAACTACTGGAATACATTAAAACACCATGTACCTCTGAGATGAATTTCTCACCTAAAATATGGACATCTACAAGCTGTTTTTATTTTTTGTTTTTCTTTACACGAACAGTTTCCTTTTTCCTATTCCATTGATAAAGCATCCAGTGCATTTCAGGTGCTCACTACATATAAGCTATCATCATTGTTACTCCTGCTATCATAGGCAGTATAATGTTGTGGTGAAGAAGGATTCTGAAGATGGGTCACCTCCCCTCTCTCTGCCTCAGTTCCCTCATCTGAAAATGAGGATAATTAAAATTCCTTCTTCATAAATAGCTACCTACATCATAGGATTGTTGTGAGGGTGAAATGTCTACATGGTTATACTGAGATGCACAGTAAGTGTTCCGTAAGCAGTGGATAGCGTGTCATTCCTGTTTTATTCATTCAGCATCCCATGGTTTACTAAGCTTATCCTCAGTTTGCTTTACTCTTTGGTCCAGTTTCCAAGCAAATGTGATGACAATGGGTAGAGAGGTGGTGCTGCCTTTATTCTGGGCTGGGGCATGCTAGTGTTGGAAGAATGCAAAAGAGACACTTCCACTGCTTGGGGGAACCCTTAGCTCTGCCAACTGTAGATTATTAAGAACATTAAGAAAATTCTGTGGCAAACTTGTGTCTCCCCTTTCTTTTCCAAGTTGAGTTTTCTTCAGCCCAACATTCGTTTTGTGTGCCTCACACTTGTGCAAGTGCTTGAGTAGTGTGTGACGGGCATACTTAGCTCAGTGCAGATGTCTTGGAAATAGTAGATGTGGGCAAAGATGTGAAAATCTGCTAACAGGAGCCTAGGCCAGGTCTGAGTGCCAGCCCGTGGGGGAAGCCAGCAGCACACTGGGTAGGGGCAGGGGGACAGAGGACATCTTGGAATTACAGGGAGTCTGAGTCAGCAGGACCCTTTGACATTTAAATACACATACAAGGAAACCGAATCTAGAAGAGTTAAGCACATTCGAAGTCAGGCAGCTGGTGATTGGTAGAGCTCTGACTAGGGAAATCGTGGAAATTGCAGCTGTTATTCTTTGCATCCTGTGTCAGGAGTTGTGTTAGGTCTTTTTTGTTTGTGATAAGGTCTCACTCTGGCACCCACGCTGGAGTGCAATGGTGTGATCATGGCTCACTGCAGCCTCAGCCTCCTGGGCTCAGGTGATCCTCCCACCTCAGCCTCCCAAGTAGCCAGGACTGCAGGTGCATGCCACCACGCCTGTCTTACATTTTTTTGTATTTTTTATAGAGATGGAGTTTGACCATGTTGCCCAGGCTGGTCTTGAACTCCTGGACTCAAGTGATCTACCTGACTTGGCCTCCCAGTGTGCTGGTATTACAGGCATGAGCCACCTTGCCTGGCCGTCTTTAGTATTTTAGTAACATCTTACTAAACTCAAGAAGTAGATATTACTGGCTCCATTTTGTAGTTGAGAAAACTGAGGCTTAAAGATGTTATGACAGGCCGGGCGCAGTGGCTCATGCCTGTAATCCGAGCACTTTGGGAGGCTGAGGCAGGTGGTTCACCTGAGGTCAGGAGTTCGAGACCAGCCTGGCCAACATGGTGAAATCCTGTCTCTACTAAAAATACAAAAATTGTTCTGGCGTGGTGGCAGGTGCCTGTAATCCCAGCTACTCGGGAGGCTGAGGCAGGAGAATCTCCTGAACCCAGGAGGCGGAGGTTTCAGTGAGCTGAGATTGTGCCGTTGCACTCCAGCCTGGGGGACAAGAGTGAGACTTCATCTCAAAAAAAAAAAAAGTTATGATGTCACAGCAACCATGTGAAGAGTCAGGTCACAGTATTGCCTATAACACTGTGAGGACTGTTTAAGGCATTGGAATGACATCTTTTAAAACCCTATACAATTTCTTTTCATCTTGAAACAGATTGCTCACCTACCTACAGACCCTGAATGAGATTACCTCCATGGTATGACTTCAGGAAGACCCCATGTTAAAAAAAAATCTCTCCCCAAAAGTGAAAACCAGAAAACCCAAATCTCACTTCAGTTTCCTTTCATCTCATTCACTGAGATGTGAAAATGAATTAGTACTTAATTTAAGGTCTTAATTTCTGATAAAATAGTAACAGTCTTGAAAGAAACTAAACCTTAATGTGACCTAAAAGAAGCAACACGGTGTCAGGGAAGGAGTACCCACATCCCTTGTGAGTATGTGATCTCATATTTTCAGTAGCCTCCTCGGCCCAGTAAAAGCCATGTATGTGGAAAATTATAGAGAAATGGCACAGATAAGATCTTATTTAGTGGGAAAATATTTAAATTATAAAAATATTTGGAAAACATTCATTTTTTTTTAAATAAATGGGGTCTTTCTCTGTTGCCCAGGCTGGAGTACAGTGGCACAATCCTAGCTTACTGCAGCCTCAAACTCCTGGGCTCCAGCAATCTTCCCACCTCAGCCTCCCAAGTAGCTGGGACTACAGGCGTGCACCACCGTGCCCAGCTTTTAAAAAAAATTTTTAGTAGAGATGGGGTCTTGCTTTGTTGCCCAGGCTGGACTACAGGTGCACACCACTGTGCCCAGCTATTTTTTTTTTTTTAAATTTTTAGTAGAGACGGGTCTCGCCTTGTTGCCCAGGCTGGACTTGAACTCCTTGCTTCAAGCAATTCTCCTACCTCAGCCTCCCAAAGCGCTGCGATTACAGGCGTGAGCCACTATGCCTGGCCAGAAGACATACAATTTTATTATAGTCTTTATTATAAACCAATGGATGTGATACTATTACGCAAAATAAGATGGAGGAATTAAAAAAATGATAAATCTCAACAGACAGCAGGCCTGACAATGCCTCATAAGCACAAAAACATTATACAATCAGAATGCCATATAATAGAGTGGTTACGTTTTTAGACTTGGGAATCAGACTTCCTGGCTTCAAATCCTGGTGGTACCAATTCACTAGCTGAGTTACTTTGTGGAAGTTTACTTATGCTCCTTAGGTCAGAGTTTCCTCACTAGAAAATAGTAATAATAGTAAGTACATCATGGCTAATGCTTTCAGATCGGAATGAGTTAATGTTATCTTTTTCCTGGTGCAGGACCCTCTGTACAGGAATCTTGTCATGGTTATCACCTTATTGCTAGCAATGTGGTTTTTGAATTAAAGCAACCATTTTCCTAGTTTCTGATCATTATCTTTGTACTAAACAGCCTGGGATTACCCCTCTGCAACTATAATTTAGGACATGCACATAGCTGCCTTGACTTAGATGGACTGATCTTGCACTGGTTTTCAGCTTGGCTCTGACATTCAGAACTTTGGCAAATGTGCACTGGTCAAGTGTTTGCAGCGAGAGGCACTGCAGAGGGGAAGGCAGGCCCTCCTGTGTCGCTTTCACTAGGAGGTGGCCGTGGCAGAACTAGCTTCCTCTGAAGTACCAGGTGGGTGACATGCCATGGACTGGGGTGTGATTCTCACTCATGTCTGCATCTAGAATGCCTGTGGTTCTACCACACACTCGGCCTCGCCCCCATTTCCCAGGCCTCTGGTCCTACTGAAGGTCAGATAATGAACTAAGGCAGGAATAGGATTCTTTTTGCCATTTGATATACAAAGTTGTGGGGTGGGTCGAAAGAGGGCACAGGAGGAAGAAAGAAGGTAGACCACGTTCCCAGAACTAATCCCAACCCAAACTTTAAAAGCACACAGCTCAAGTGCTTCTATAACAACCACCTTTTCCATTTTTCCACCCTCTGAACATCCAGCCATGAACAAGGGCAGTTCTTTTTTATCCTTTTTTTTTTTGAGATGTAGTCTTGCTCTGTCACCCAGGCTGGAGTGCAGTGGTGCAATCTCAGCTCACTGCAACCTCCGCCTCCCGGGTTCAAGCAATTCTCCTGCCTCAGCCTCCTGAGTAGCTGGAATTACGGTCACGCGCCACCACGCACGGCTAGAACAAGGGCAGTGCTAAGCATGATCCACGGACATGGTTTCCCAAGGGGAGCCCTGGAGTGGGTCGCTTAGGGTACTGTGCGGGGCCAGCTAGAGAGACAAAAGAGCAGCCCTGTCATCAGTTGCCTGCATCTCAGTAGTTCTTTGGAATAGCTCTGCCACCAACTACAAGCAACCGTTAGCCTAAGCTTGGCAGTTGGCCGACATCAGAGGCCTGGCAGATGGCCCATGTGGGAGCCCTTCCAGGACCTCAGTCGGAATCTCCAACAGATGACATTTGCCTAGAGAGTGTGGTAGGTTGGGCAATTCTTGCTCCCATAAGCATCTACAAATCTCTTTAGCAGGAGAGGTTCTGGTTTGCAGGCCATGGGCTTGGATGCATATCTGTCTGTGAGTGCTCCTTCCCACACATCCCCTAACCAGAGATGGAATCCTGGAACAAAGTGTACTACTCCACGCTCAACATCGCAGGTTTCTTCTGTTACAGACATTTGCTGACATTCTTGTTTTCCTTACCTGTGGGGCAGCATGGAGAGAAATCACAAGAGACATTTGAGGACTTGTGTTGAAATTTAGATTCTTCCATCTTTTAGCAATGGATGCTGGGGCAAGTCACTTAATTGAAAAGAGTTTCTTTATCTGTGAGATGGGGATAGAACAATATTTACCTGAGACGTTTTAAAAATGGCATCGTAGGTAGATAATGAATGCTGTTTTTCAGAATCGATGAATTATTTTTCTCATGAAAGAAGAGATGAAGTCCTACTTGGAATTGATGCAATAATGCTCAGTGCTCCTCTCCTCAGGTATGGACTTCTCCGAGGGTCTCAAGATAGCCCTGGTGGTTGGCATCACACCTTGATGCTTCCTTCCTCACTTTGTTTGTTTTTTGAGATGGAGTCTCACACTGTTGCCCAGGCTGGAGTGCAATGGCGCGATCTCGGCTCACTGCAACCTCCGCCTCCCGGGTTCAAGAGATTCTCCTGCCTCAGCTCCTGAGTAGCTGAGACTACAGGCGTGTGCCACCATGCCTGGCTAATTTTTGTATTTTTAGTAGAGATGGGGTTTTGCCATGTTGGCCAGGTTGGTCTCGAACTCCTGACCTTAGGTGATCCGCCCACCTTGGCCTCCTACAGTGCTGGGGTTACAGGCGTGAGCCACTGCACCCTGCATTTCTTCCTTACTTTGTGATAAACTTTGCTCGTGTGTGTGTGTGTGTGTGTGTGTGTGTGTGAGAGAGAGAGAGAGAGAGAGAGAGAGATGGAGACAGAGACAGAGGGAAGGAGGGAGAGATTAGAGATTATGATGGTTAATTTTCTGTATCAACTTGGCTGGGCCATGGTGTCCAGGTATGCAGTCAAACACAATTCTGGATATTTCTGTGAGGGTGTTTTGGATGAAATTACCATTTTAATCTGTGCACCGTGAGTAAAGCAGGTTGCCCTCCCTAGTACCGGTGGGCCTCATCTGATCTGTCAAAGGCCTGAAAAGAACAAAAGACTGACTTCCTCCAACAAGATGGAATTCTGCAGCAGACAGCTGGCCTTCGGACTCCAGCCAAAACGCTGGCTTTTCCTGGGTCTTCAGCCAACCAGCCCACCCTGCGGATTTTAGATTTGCTAGCCTGTAATTGCATGGGCCAATTTCTTAAAAGAAATCTTTCTGTGTAGAGATACATATCCTATTGGCTCTGTTTCTCTGGAGAGCACTGACTCAGAGAGATACGAGAGACAATGAGAACATTGGCATTCTCTCTTTCTCTCTTTTTTTCCCTGAGACAGGGTCTCACTCTGTCACCCACGCCGGCATGCAGTGGCACGATCTTGACTCTGCTTCCCAGGCTCAAACGATTCTCCAATCTCAGCCTCCTGAGTAGCTAGGACTACAGGCACATGGTGGCCACACCCTGCTAATTTTTGTATTTTTTTGTAGAGATGCAGTTTTGCCATGTTGCCCAAACTGGTCTCGAACTCCTGAGCTCAAAGCAATTTGCCCGCCTTGGCCTCCCAAGCTGGAATGACAGGCGTGAGCCACTGCACCCCGCCAACATTGGCATTCTCTGCTGCCTTCTCTGGACTGAGGAACTTCACTCAACAACTGGGCTCACAGCCCTTTTTCCGCAGAGATTTTGTGGAATAGCCTTTTTGTCTCATGCCTGCTTTTCATTTATTTGCTTGTTTGAGATAAATTAAAAGCAGAAAATGAAGGAATCGTTTGGTGATTATTAGATTGCACTACGTTTAAGTGAATCTTAACTCAAAGTAAGACCAAAGACACACACCTATTCCACTTTTGAAGATAAAAGACAACACAAGCCAGTTTCTACCAACCTAGTTCTATTATAAGTACCTATAAGATAAGCATCATGATTTAATAATTATAATATGATAATAATAACAATAGATGCCACTTAGGAGCCCTTGACAGTTTGGGCAGACACAGGCCCTTTACATATGTTATTACTTAAACATAATTGATGCCAGAGACCTTACTCAATGCATTGAGGCATCACTGCAGGCTCGCAAATTATAGTGCTTAATTTCTTCTTAGAAATGATATATTATGAAATAACTGTCTCCAGACATTTTTCTGTCATATACTTTCCAGTTCAGCTCTAAGTCTATCTTCTCCACAATCTTCAAGTGATGCAGTAAATATGTATGCTGCAGAGGGTCATGTTTGTCTAGATCCAATGGTAGAAAAGCCAGCGTGGTCTGAGAATGTGTTATTCTGGCTAATCAGGTATTCTGGTTCTATGGATTTCACATGACCATTTGTGGCTGAACAGTGTCAGATAAACTTAACTCAATAAAATACATTTAATGCTTGGCCTCTTTGGAATATAATTGTGTTTTGATGATGAGTCATAAACTTCTTTAGGATATCTGGCCGCGTTTGAGTCATGTTTGTGGTCATCAGTTCTCATTGTATTGTATCCCTGCTTTCTAATCAATAGGATGCTAAATCAATTAGCTTTTATTGCATTACTTGCCACAGGGGAAAAGGGGCTGAATTTGTCTAAAATATCCTTCATGAGCTATTTAAAAGTGATATAAGATAATGGGAAAAAGGAGCTGGGAAATACACATTCTTTTTTTTTTGTTTTTCACCAGCACCTGCCAGGCTCTCTGAACACTTTTACATTTGCTGCCTAGATAAATGACTGTGGCATGATCTGTCTTCAGAACTCACTGGATTTCCTGAATATGCTATTGTCTTTCTTGCAAGGATTAGAATTTTGACCCAGGAAATGCTCTGTGTATGACCCCTGCAGCGACACCAACCACTGGTGTCCATAAAGTGCTGCTCCATGGCAAGTGAAACGCAGACAGTGGGGAAAGAGTTTTGCAGGCAGGCTGCCCTACGTTAGAGGACAAGCTACATCACTCACCAGCTGTGTGACCTTGAATAAGTTACTCAATTTCCCTGGACCTTCTTCTTTTCTGTCAAAATGTGATGATAATATCTGTGTCATGGTTGTTGGGGCAAGAGAGTTATAAAGGTTCAACGAGGCAATTAATGTAAACTGCTTAGTACATCGTCTGGAATGATAATTTACAAATGGCATGTGGTATAATTGTTTGTAACCTTGTCATCAGCTCAGATTTCCCTGACCAATGGAGATTCAGACAAAACTCTCTAGAACTTTAAATTATGCTGCAATGATCCCCAAAATTCCTGCAGATTCTGGAGGCTTAGTCTCAAGTGGACAATCTTCCCATTTTCCCTCCATCCCCCCTCACTCCCAGGCCACTGGCTTTGTGCCTGCATGTGCTATTTCTGTTTCACTTTGCACCCACCTGGACGTGAATCCCAGCTCAGAGGAGCGATTTTACACTATTCAGATGCTGACAAGGTAGAACAGTTCTCATGCTTCAATACTCATTTTAGTACTTCGACTTCCAAATTTTTCCTTCTAATTCAGAAATGTTCACTCAAATTTTCTGTAAGGCCAGATCAAGAATGTGAAATAAAGAAAATTCAGCACATGGTACTATGGTTGAGTAGTCTCTTCTTGGGCAGCTTTCCAGTGAGAACATGTTCATTTTTATCCTTAAGGAGGTAAATTACTTTGTTATTTTATAAAAATCACCATTCACCCAATTATTGACCCAGACCCTCGGTTCAAAAACAAGAGCAGGATGTGTGTTTGTGTGTGTGTGTGTGTGATTTTTCACACTTTGATATTTTTAATAGAAAATTTAAAACATAAGCAAAAGTAGAGAGAATAATGTAATGAGTTAATGAACCCCCGTATGCCATCACCCAGCGTAGGGAAGAATCAGCTCATGCCCAGTCTTATTTTATCTCTGCTTCCCCACACCACACTAGCCACCCCGTTCAACCCAAATGGATTCTTTTGAGGCAGATCCAAGGCAGCAAACCATTTTGTCCATAACGATGTCCATATGTATTGGTAAATGATAAGAACTCTTCTTAAAAACTAAAACCACATAACCATTATCATACTTAAAAATAGATGACATTCAAATTTCTCTAATTGTATTATTTTTTTCCTTTTTTATTTTTTGAGAGTTGGTTTGTTTCAACATTCTTTTGAATTTTTTTTTTAATGTACAGGTTTCTTCTCTCCTTTGTTTTTCAGTTTATATATGGAAGAAGCAGAGGCATTGTCCTGCAGTTTCTCACATTTGGTATTTTGCTGATTGCAACCCTGAAGTGCATTTCATCTGCAACCGTTTTTTTCTGACCAGCGTTTCTTATAAATGCTAGACTCTAGAATTGGAAGTTTGAGCTGATTCAAGTCCAACTTATTTGCCAAGAATCCTCCATTAGAAGTATCGCATACTTCTCTTAGGAGACGCATACGGACCAGTTGTCTCTGTGATGCAGCAGCTGCTGATGGTCTTTGTTTACATCCATTATTTCAGTAGGGGTTGCAAAATGGCAATATTTTAATTCTATCATTCCTTAATTTATTATTTGAGAGACTTACATAAAGAGAAACTTTACCTTGAAAAATTACCCTGATACACTGTTTATACAGCAAGGACAGGCAAAACCCTTGATTCCTGCCCCGTATTTTCATGTTTATAATGTGGTTCCCTGGCATCCACTAAAGGTGGTCAGTGAGTATTTGCTGTCAAGTGTAATTATGATCTCATGGATTTTAACACATTTGATTTGTTTAAATTCATCAAAGTCATTGTTCTTACTTGTTCTCAAATTTTTCCATACTTTCCAAGTGATAGCCACTTAATTTTGGCTTCTAAATGCTTCGAAACAATCACAGTTTTTAGTAAATTCCTTGGTGTCTGGTATGTCAAATGTGCTAGGCACATGTACTTTTCCTGCCCCAGAACTATGGTCAGCAATTTCTCCAAGGAGGCTTGATTCCTTTAAATATCATTTTCCAATGATTTTTCAAAATTATAGGGCCAGGCCCAGCATTTTGGGAGGCTAAGGCAGGCGGATCACTAGGTCAGGAGTTTGAGACTAGCCTGACCAACATGGTGAAACCCCGTCTTTACTAAAAATACAAAAATTAGCTGGGTGTGGTGGCACATGTCTGTAATCCCAGCTACTTGGGAGGCTGAGGCAGGAGAATCACTTGAACCTGGGAGGCGGAGGTTGTGGTGAGCTGAGATTGTGCCACTGCACCCCCCAGCCTGGGCAACAAGAGTGAAACTCTGTCTCAAAAAAAAAAAAAAAAAAAATTATAAGCTGGCTTTAGGGCTGCCCATTGCTTAAGAATTGGTCATTGTTCCCAGCTTTTTTCAGTGGACAGAATTGAAAACACTACTTTAAAGAAAATGCATCGTGAGTTCATACTAATATTTTGAACTTGAATTTAGTATCACAGCGTTTTTTAAAATTTAGCTCCTTTGATTTTATATTTATCTATCTTCTCTCTTCTACCTAAAATCTTGGTTGCAGACAATATTAACATAATTACTTACTTGCCTTACTATATATATTTTAGAATAATTAATATTGATATCATTGCTAAAAGTGTGATTTCTGAAAACAGTGTAAGATTTCTTTTTGTTTTTGTTTTTGTTTTTTGAGACAAAGTCTCGCTCTGTGGTCAGGCTGGAGTGCAGTGGCACAATCTCAGCTCACTGCAACCTCTGCCTCCCGGGTTCAAGCGATCCTCCTGCCTCAGCCTCCCAAGTAGCTGGGACTATAGGCGTGCACCACCACGGCCAGCTAATTTTTTATATTATTAGTAGAGACGAGGTTTCACCATGTTGGCCAGGATGGTCTCAATCTCTTGACTTCATCATCTGCCTGCCTCAGCCTCCCAAATTGCTGGCATTACAGGCATGAGCCACCACGCTTGGACAACAGTCTAAGATTTTTCTAGGTAAATTTTGGTATCTGACTGTGTACTCTTCTAGGTCTCTTATGCTATTCTGGAATCAAATTGATTACCGGAAAGCTATATCCTGGATGGATCTCATTAACTAACACTGCTATGGAAAGTCTTTACTCAGTTGCCCTTTAATGTTCCGTCCTTTGCTTTCATCAAGGGCGGACATAGAAAAATGCCAATACAGAGAATGTCTCCATATCTTCTACACAATCACTGCAAAGAGATTTCCTCTTATATTGTCAACCTGAATGACAGAGAAATGCTTTCTAAAATAAAATATTTATTTGGGTATAGATCATTGCAATGGGAATATGCCTGCCATAGTAAACTATGCATGGATTCAGGGAGGTAAAGAAAGACAAAGGTTTTTAAAGGAAAAAATGAGGAGGATTACATAATTATTTGGAAATGATTATACTTGACCATAAAGATTAATAACAAGGGTGATCCCAATGCAGTTGAACAGGCAGTTGCTGGGCAGATATCCTTGTAGAAGTATTTTTTGTGTAAGGTTGCAGTGGCCATTGTGCAAGATTGTGGTTTTTGAGGCTTTTGTGATAGTTTTGTTATTAGGCATACAAGCATGAGAACCTGTCTTCATGGTCTTCCACAGGCCTATTTGTCAGGGTTTGTTTTGATTTTTAACAGTGCCAACTCCATTTTGATTCTGGCAATTTCACAATTGTTAGGTGAATCTAGAATTGGTTTGATTTGATCCAGATACAATGCTTTCGGCAAGAATCCTTCCTAAGTAGCATTTCATATCTAGGAGGAGGCACACAATGACCAGCTGTCTCTCTTTCTGTGAGGTAGCAGCCATGGATGACCCTTGCCTAGACTTACTTCCATAGAGGTTTGTGAAATGATAATATTTTAATTTTATTGCCCTCTCTTCGTTTATTAGCTGGAGGATTTCTAGAAGAGAAACTTTTCCTCATGATCCACAGCCCATGGCAAACATGATTGAAGCCTGGAAAAGCTAAGGAAAGTGATCACCAGTTGCCTTCCCCAATCTTAGGAGAAACTTAGTGACTCCAGGCAGCGTCTGAAATGGAGACCAATGTATTTAGACAGTGCCGTCTGGGGGAATTTATGTAAATATGCCGCAGAGGGATAAGAGCATAAGAGTTAATAGGGCTGGTTTAACATTGCCTACTTGAATATTAGAGTTTGCCCCAAGCAACGATTTTAGTTTTGGCATAAATTCTTCCAATTCTTTTTTAGACTGTTGTAAAACAGAGTCAGTTACCTACGAAGGCCTCTTCTGGTTGGTAGCAGTAAAGCCACCACAAGGGCAAGTGATGAGAGAAGGGCATGGCCACGGTGTCGGGGTAGAGGTGGTGACTAGGACATCGCATAGATTAGGAACAGCCTTCACAGTGGCAACGGTTGTGAGTCAGCATGCCTGATTCAAATCCTGGCTTTGTCACCTGCCAGCTATGTGAACTTGAGCAAGATATTTGACTTCCCTGAGCCTCAGATTCCTCAACTGTAAATGGGGATTGGCGATTTGACTTGCCTTTCAGATTTGTGCACATTAGAGATAACATAAGCCAAACACTTTGCCCAGTGCCTGGCACAGAACAGACGTCAGCTAACTAGAGGTCACAAAGTAACTGTTTAATTAAATAGTTAAGTGAAAATTGAGCCCACCCCTAAATCCAATACATGAACATTTCTGGTGGCAAAGTAACCTGTGAGTCTTTAAACTAACTTTAGATAGACTCTATGCAATTCGGCTATAAGTGTGCAAGTTTCCCGCTGCGAAGGGTTCTAGACTTCACAAAATATGAAGACATTGCTGCAGAATTATAAAGTCAGGGCAATGATTTAGTGGCTACCTACAGGAATCAGAGTTCCCACCGTGCTTCCCAAAGCCATTTGCTGAGAAATATTAATAGTACGACAAAATCATGTTCACTGTGATGTCTAGTGACCCATCTTAAGGTCTCTCACTGAAGCTTGCTGTATTTTATTTTTTAAAATAGAAACTTGTAAGAGGATCTGAACTTGACTTTCTGTGGCTTTCTCTGTATTTGGTCTGGTATGTTAATGACACCAGGTTTTAATTTTAGCTTCCTAACGGCCTAGGTAATAGCACGAGATAGGGTGATCGGCCACCAGTTGCTTAGGCTTGTGACAGATAAGGCTAACTGCTATCAGTTTCTGGTCTGAGTGTGGGTGGAAGATGAATGAAAAATACTTTTAAGTCAGGGCAAGTAGAGCTGAAAGGCTCTTTAGAAAAGTAATTTATAGAAAATGTTGGAATCTCCTCTTTATACCTTCAACATGTACTGAAATAACTTGGTACCGTTTTTAGACAAACAGGGTTCAGATCTCCCTAACAAAGACCTGTAATCCACCTTAGTTTTTACTTCCTTGGTTGGGCCATTATATTTATGAGCCCAAACAGACAGAGGAGGGGTGTGATATCGAGGGTCCACATTAGAATTCCCAAACCCATATTGGTGAAGAATATCAAGGCCAAAGAATAGCCTTGGAATTGGGATTCAGTCCCAATTTGCCAGTCTCTAAATTTTTGGTCTTAAATAGTGTTATGCCCAACCCCTATTAATCTTATAGGGATTCAGGGTTCGAAAACCTCTGGCACAAGATTCAAGAGGCTGAAGAGCCCCAGAGCCAGCAAATGAGACATGGGATTTTACTGCGGGTTCACATGCAGGGGGACAGGGTCCAGCAGCAGTGGGCTATACAGGAGAAGTGCAACTACTTGCAAAAAGCATCAGTTTATACAACATTTTCACTTAACACCCTCCCCTAACAACCTCCATCTGGCAACCTTCATTAAACCCAAAACAAAGGACCTCCATCCCCAGTATGGCCCATGTTCCATGGGATGGGGGCGGAGGGTGGAAGGTGCGGTGGGAGATGCTCAGATGTTCCTCATAGACAAGGAACCAATCTCCGCGTTGACCACTCCCGGATTCCCGAGCTCAGAACACACATTGAGGTGCATCTGCCCTGCAGGAGCATGCTCAGATTATGCTTAAGTTATTGCTGTCAGGTGTGTCTACCTTAAAACCAATATGCCTTAAAGAATACCAGCCTAATTATTAGGGAGCTGAATCAAGATTGGGAGAAATAAGTTCTCATTGCCCATGTCAAGCTCAGGAAATATGCCATTGACACTGAGTCCCATGGGACTGGGTCCCTGGTAATTCTTTTTTTTATTTTTTATTTTTTTACTTTTACTTTTGGTAATTCTTTCTATACTTCTTTGCTTTGTGACCAGAAAAGAAAAGGAACCTGTATTCCAGCGATATAAAAAAAATGATTTCAAAAAGTCCAAGGTCCTTACAGACCATGTTAAATTCCAGAACAAAGATCAGCAGGTCAGCATTGCTGTATTGGGAGCCACTTTCTACCCTGGTCCTGAAGAGGATTTTCAATATTGAGGGAGGGTACATTTTAGAAAGTCCACTGAATCGAGATAATTCAGTTATTGCTGGGGGCAAGGTACTCCTGGCATTATGCACAACTCTGAATAGTACCGGTTGGCTACCCCTGGCTTGTCTGAGTTGAGCCGAGCTACACTGAAGTTAACCACTTCCTCAGTAGCTGTGGGAGAGGATGCCTGCCTCCTGGACAGCTGAAAGAGAGCAGCTGCATTTGAGGGGGTCAGGTGGTGCTATTGCTCTGTAACGGGGGTCAGGTGGTGCTATTGCTCTGTAACAAGGGAAATGGGGAGGAAATATAAAGGGATATCAGCTGGAGCGGAGCTGTGGCGGGAAACGCTATAGGGGATAAAGTGGTGGGTATTACTGGTTCATGAAAATGCTACCTAAGCAGGCTTTTCAGCGAAGGCAGGATTCCCAACCATATAAAGCTCAGAAAGATCGAGTGGGAGGGGCGACTGGTGAGCATGTAATCACGGTGGAAGTATGATATTTTGGCTGTGGATCTGAGTTGATCAATCTGCTTAGTGGACTTGAGTCCCCCCACCCCCGCTTGTCTGATTGGGGCTCCTGGGAGGTAAGTAGAGCTGGGCAGGAGGCTCACTCAGCGGCTGCTACGGGAGCTTTGCCGAGGGTAGCAGCTCAGGCTTTATTCTTATTATTTTTTGAATCAGATCCGGATTCAAATCTGAGAGAATCGATTTGTATCTTCTTTGCTCCTGTATTTATTTATTTGTAAAGTAGTAAAAATACCTTCCCGTGTTGCTGTGAAGATTGAGATGCAGAGCAAAATTGCTTGGTAGAGGGTAGACACCAAGCCAGCAGTTCTCAACCTCGGCTGCACGTTGGAACCAAGGGAAACTTTAAGAATGACTGCTGCCAGGCTTCACCAAAGACCAGTCAAATCACAATCCCAGTGGCTCTATGCGGCCAGCGTTGAGAACCCCTGTACTAAAAACTTATTTGTACTGAGAAAAACCTCTCTTTAGAGATAAAGAAGAGGAGTGGAGTTTGGATAACTTCTAGTCAAGTATTGTGTAGTTAACTACCATTGATTTTCTTTAGTATAAAGTGGTAACTTAGAAGAAGTACAGCTACCTCTGTCCTGTAAATCCCTTTAGATATAGTCCTGGTTCTAGGCAATTCCCTTTGTTTCTCATACTTAGGAGAGCAGACTTGGGAAGATCTGAGAATTAAAAAAAAAAAAAAAACAAACCCTCTGGAGCCCTCCCTTTTTGAGAAGCTGGTCTATCTAATCAGGTTTAAAGCAGGAGCATGTGGGCTAAGTGAGACTCCAGCAAGGAAGTGAGGGTCCTCCGCCGGCCTCCTCCCAGGCCTCCTTAGAAGGGATCTGACGCTGGCTGAGGCTCATTGATAGAGCCAGATGGTCTCT
This sequence comes from Homo sapiens, assembly GCF_000001405.40. Lineage (NCBI taxonomy): Eukaryota > Metazoa > Chordata > Mammalia > Primates > Hominidae > Homo > Homo sapiens. Next base: position 94,216,381 of record NC_000008.11, on the reverse strand, counting down.
CCCAAGCAGGGCTTCTGTTCTCCCCTCCTCCTCCACTGCACTGTGGGCTGCTCCTGTGGACCACCCAAGGCAAGGGAATTACACAGATTGCAGATGTGAGCTTTCATTTCCTGTGTTTCCTCCTGTAGCTATTGGAAAATTCTAGTTTGAAGATAACATGGCTTTTCCAGAAACTCCTGGATTGTTCCTGAGACCAGGCCCAATGTAATCCTGAGTGGGAAAACTAAAGGGAGGAGAATTTGGCCTCCTTGTCTCCTGAGTTACTAGGTTTAGTCATGTAGAAAGAAAATAGTCTTCGTTCAGGCAGGCAGTTGAGTCAAGTTTATCTAGGGCTGAACTGCCTGGGCTGAGACACTATCAGAGGGGCTGAGGGGCCATTATGCCCACATTGTCATTTTCTACTTTATCCAGGGCAAAGATAATCTTTGTGTACTGAAATGTTCTTATTCACATTTTAAAAACACAAAAAACAAAAGAGGTCAAATAATAGGTAAAATTAGTTAAAAAAAAAAAAAAAACCTCGTATACTTAAAGGAAAATAAATGATTTTGGAAACCGTAAGACATTTCCGATAATAGAACAAAATGATCTGAAGGGCCTAGACCGAGGTAACTGAAAATGTTTAGCCTATGTTTTGTATATTTATGTCAGTTCAATTTCATTATTTTGCAGTGAATATGCATTAGTTGCAGGGAATACTTTTTTTAAGAACAGCTTTATTGAGATATAATTGACATATCATACAGCTTACCAACTTAAAGTGCACAATTCAGTAGTTTTTAGTGTATTCTCAGAGTTGTGCAACCACCACCACAATAAAACTTAGAAAATGTTCATCACTTTCAAAAGCAGCCCCATGTCTTTTAGCTCTCAGCTCTAAATTCCCCCTCTGCCCCCCAACTGCAGGCAACTCCGAAATCTTCTTTCTCTGTCTATGGACTTGCCTATTCCAGACATTTCATGTGAGTGGATTATATAATATTAGGCTTTTTTTGTCTGACTTTTTTCACTAAGCATAATGTTTTCAAGGTTTAGTCTTGTAGTATCAGTATTTCATATCTTTTTATATGAATATTCTATTATATGGATAGACAAATATTCTATCATATGGATACCACATTTTATCCATCAGTTGATGAATATTTGGGTTGTTTCTATCTCTTGGCTATTATGAATAATGCTGCTATGAATATTTGTGTACAAGTTTTTGTGTGATGTTTTTATTTCTCTTGGCTATATACCTAGGAGTGAAATTGCTAAGTCAAATGGTAACTCTATATTTAAGTTTTTGTTAAAACTCCCAGACTGTTTACCAAAGTGGTTGTGTTATTTTACATTCCCACCAGAAGCATATGAGGATTCTAATTTCTCCACATCATCTTCAACACTGGGTATTATCTCTTTTTTATTATAGCTGTCCTGGTGGGTATGAAACACCCTGGTGGGTATGAAATGCCATCTTATTGTGGTTTTGATTTGCATTTTGCTTATGCCTAAGGATGAGCATCTTTTCATGTGCTTTTTAGCTATTTGTATATCTTTTAAAAAATTTCTATTCAGATCCTTTATTTTTTGATTGGGTTGCTGTAAGAGTTGTTTATATCTTCTAGATACAGTTCATTTGTCAGATACGCGACTTACAAATATTTTCTTTCCTTCTATGAATTGTCTTTCACTTTCTTAACGGTGTTTTTTGAATCACAAAAGTTCTTAATTTTGATTAAGTCCAGTCCAATTTGTTTTTTTTTCTATTGTTATTTGTGCTTTTGGTGTCATAGCTAAGACATCATTTCCTAATCCAAGGCCATAAAGATTTACCCCTGCTTTCTTCTTAGAATTTTATAGTTTCAGCCCTTATAATTTATGTCTTTGATATATTTTAATTTTTCTGAATGGTGTGAGGTCAGGGTCCAGTTTCATTGTTTTGCATGTGAAGATCAATTTCACAATTTACTAAAAAGAGTATTCTTTCCCAGGAAATACTTCTCTTAAGGGCAGAATTTCCAGAGGCAATCCTGTTTTGGTGTCTAATGAGAGACCCACAGGCACAGAAGGGGGACCATTTAATAAGCCTTAGTGTCCAAGTCTGAGTCCTTCCAAGCAAAGCTCACATGCATGCTGGTCTCCTACTTGACCCCATGACAGTACTTCCTAGGCAGTCACTGCACACTGTCTGGCTAAGTGGTGATGACCACCAGGGCTAACATGAAGGGGTAGTGTTCTAGGAGGCGTATGTTTTGGAGAATTAAAACAGTACAGTTCACTATGGCTGTGTGGAGTTTGTTGTGCACATGGGACACCTTGGCGAAGTTGTGGAATAGTCAGTTGGATATAGAAAACCAGAGCTTTGACCAGAGGAGAGATCTGGTCTAGAGAGAGACTCGAGATGTTGGCAAGTAGATGGGAGCAGAGTTGACCTCCACAGAGTGAGTGACAGGACAGGATAACCTGGGATTGGGCCCAAGGAGTTGGATGAGTCACAAGTAGGACTGCAAGGGACTAGCTCAAGAGGTGGAAGGAAAATCAGAGTATTGGCAAGGAAGCCGGGGTAAAGGGAAATTTGAGGAGAGCTCGCCATGGTGTTGAAAGTTGTGAGAGGTCAGGTGAGGTGCAGACTGAAAAGCGTCCATCTGATTATCATGAGGAGGTTGTTGGCAACCTCGGTGAGGGTGGTTTCAGTGGAGCAGTGAAGATGGAAGCCAGACACTGTGATCTGAGCATGAGCTGGATGGGAGCAAAAGCTTGTTAGGTGAAATCTGATAAGAGACAGAGATAGGTCTCAGAAAACCAATAAGAATGATGGTCATTTCTTGGAATTTAAAGAAAATCCAAGATCAAATAAAAAGCTTAGCTGTCTGAGAAAAAAATGTCTGAGGGAAGATGAGCATGCTCATGTCTACCAGATCCAGCTTGCATGTTCAACATCAGACCGACTGCATCATTATCTCAGACATTCCTGCAGAAATGGGTTCTACATGGTGGGGTAATTAATCTCAATTCAGAATAGGCTTTGCTGAAGAATATTTACTGGAGGATAAAGCAATGATTCCTTAAGCTAGTGTTTCTCAGAAGGGCCTATGTAATCACCTGCATCAGAAATCCAGAGTGCCAGCCAGGCATGGTGGCTCACATCTGTAATACCAGCACTTTGGGAGACCGAGGCAGGAGAATCACTTGAGCTCAGGAGTTCAAGAGCAGCCTGAGCAACATAGAACCTATCTCTACAAAAAATTTTAAAATTAGCTGGTGTGGTGGCACTTGCCTGTAGTCCTAGCTACTTTGGAGGCTGAGGCAGGAGGATTACTTACGCCCAGGAAGTCGAGGCTGCAGTGAGCCATGATTACATGCTGCAGTCTAGCTTGGGCAACAGAGCAAGGGACCCAGGGACATACCCTGAACCAGGATTTCATAGTGTAAGCCCCAGTTTTAGTGAACTTCAGTTTGGAAAGACCTGGAAGGCATTTGTCCAATGTACAACTGATGATGTGAATACTTACTAGCCATCCCATTCATGAGATTCTCCAGCCACTTCATGGCATGCGTAGCTGGAGCCAGATTGAGGGCCCCGCCTGCTGGGCAGTTGCTTGGAGCCAGCATCTATAGATGAAGTTAAAAATCTTCCTGGAATAAACAAAGTACAAAGTGGGTCCACTTCTGTCAGAGTAGATAGTGGGGAAGAAAATCTTTACTAACCTCAAACTATCTTCCTTAAATATTTTTCAGAATATCGCAAGGTGGCTGTCAGCTAAGATTTTTAAACAGCATTATGTATGATTCAGTGTTTCTTACTTAGAACTAGTGATTCATTTTGTTATCTAAGTTTTAAATCTTGTGATAATTCTCTCAAGTGTTCTGGTTTGGAAAACTGCCAAAAAAAAAAAACTCAACAACAGAGAAGCCTCCAAACAAAAACCCCAAACCCAAACTCAGAAGTAAGTATAGGCCAGGCGCAGTGCCTTACACTTGTATTCCCAGCATTTTAAGAGGCTGAGGTGGGCAGATCTTAGACCCCAGGAGTTGGAGTCCAGCCTGGATGGATGAAACCCCATCTCTACAAAAAAAATGGGATATGGTGGTGTGTGCCTGTAGTCCCAGCTACTTGGGAGGCTTAGGTGGGAGGATGGCTTGAGCCTGAAGGGCCAAGGCTGCGGTGAGCCGAGATCGCACCACTGCACTCCAGCCTGTCAGCCTGTGACAGAGCGAGACCCTGTCTCCAAAAAAGTAAGAGCTACATGGAAGTAAGACCTGTTTTGCTTAAATTTATCAGAAAATGGACTCTGTCCTGGCCAGCAAAAGTAGTTAAGAAAGATTCTGCTTCAGCCTAAAACAATGACTAGCAGAAAATTAGTTTCACTTCATTCCACTAAATAAATGTGGAACAAAAACTGTGAACTCTAGGTTTCAGGGGGTTCAAAATTATTTGCTTTTCTGGGTTCCTATTGGCCTTGGTTGAGCCTGCAGGTAATCATGACTATTTAGAATTATTGAATTAAATAACTGAATGGAGTTGAGTCCTAAGAAGTACTTATTGAGTACTAATTGAAGACAAAGTTTCTGCCATCATCAAGTTAACAGAGCAAGACAGATATTAAGTAATTAAAATATTATTTTACACTTCTGTTAGGTGAGGGTTGTGTGTTGATGGACTCATGATAAAATATTCTGAATGTGTAGTATGTAACACATAAAGAACATAAAATGCAAGTACTTGAAAAATTGAGAAATTTACCACTCATAGATTTCATTTTGAGTTTTAAAGAATAAAAATAGGCCAGGAGCAGTGGCTCATGCCTGTAATCCCAGCACTTTGGGAGGCCAAGGCAGGCAGATCACCTGAGGTCAGGAGCTCAAGACCAGACTGGCCAACATGGTTAAACCCCGTCTCTACTAAAAATATAAAAAATTAGCCGGGTGTGGTGGTGGGCACCTGTAATCCCAGCTACATGGGAGGCTGAGGCAGGAGAATCACTTGAAACTGGGAGGCGGAGGTTGCAGTGAGCTGAGATTGTGCCATTGCACTCCAGCCTTGGGGACATCAAGACTCCATCTCAAAAAATAAATAAAATAAAATAAAAAAGAATATAAATATTAGAAATGTAACATGCTTTGACTTTTAGGAATAATTCCAAGTTTTCATAACTTTTTTGTCTGGGAGGCTATCTAGACTTTCTTACAAATGTCCATAAATTAATTACTTATTTATGGACATTTGTATTTTCTAGGGATAATATTGGAGGAATGCTTAAAACATTATAGACAAAAGCGTTGAAATGTTTTCACCACCATGAAGCTGTGAGTTGAAAGCATTAGCCCAAGTCCTTTCACTTGTTCAGTTTTGTTTTCTTTTTTTTTTTTTTTTTTGAGATGCAGTCTTGCTCTGTCGGCTAGGCTGGAGTGCAGTGGTGCAATCTCGGCTCAATGCAACCTCCACCTCCCAGGTTCAAATGATTCTCCTGAGTCAGCCTCCTGAGTAGCTGGGATTACAGGCACCTGCCACCACACCTGGCTAATTTTTGCATTTTTAGTAGAGATGAGGTTTCACCATGTTGGACAGGCTGGTCTCAAACTCCTGACCTCAGGTAATCTGCCTGCCTCAGCCTCCCAAAGTGCTGGGATTACAGGTGTGAGCCACTGCGCCTGGCCTTCAGTTGTTTTCATCCTATAAATCATACCTCCTTTGCTTTGGAAAATTAAATCAGTAATATTTATCAATTACATTTTCCTTATTCCTATTATTAGCAAGTCTATTGAACCAGCAATGTCTCACTTTTCATGAAAATGAGTTCCTAAAATGCAGTGGTGGCTACCTGAAACGTGCACATTCTTAACATTTGGATTTAATCTGGAAGGATGTCTAAACCATGTAAGGAATATATGAACAGCTCTCAGAATCTTGTTAACCTGGTATCCCACAGTACAGAAATAGCTTCTGTAATTCAGAAATGCAATAATCACCTGTTAATTTCTCTGATGGGTGGTTTAGGCATTTTCAGTGTTTAATTAACCTAATTCTTTGAGCTGGAAGCTGGGGGCTAGAGATAGCAAGTGATGTACAGAGGAACCCCATTTCGGAACTTGGCCATCTTCCAACAGGAATGGGCTCATGCAGGGATTTCTGCCCTTGGACTTTTTTTTTTTTTTTTTTTTTTTTTTTTACTCGCATAAAGCTGGAAGGAAAAAAATCTGGCAGAGTCTATAGCTGTAGTGAATAGGATGGGATTTGAATCAGAACAGGGTTGCAGTCCCGATTCTGTAGTCAAAGGCTGTGTGACTTAGACAAGAAATAAAACCTCTCTGTGTCCCCATTTTCTGTCTATAAACTGGAATCTACTTTGCAGACATGCTAAATGAGAAAACAGAATTTTAATTGATATACCAACATGTCACGATCATTGTTATTGTTGCTGAAAAACAATGACTATAAATGATACATATGCACTTTATTTTTGAAAAAAAAAAACTCATAAATTTAAAAGCACTTTATTATTTTAAAATTTTCAAAGAAGACCCAAACTTCTTTATGAACAATGCTGTGTGATGAGATGCTTGCCCTTGATTCCAGGAACTGAAACATGTGGCAAGTGGAAGCGATTTGATTTTGTAGAACAAGCACACTTTATTCAGCTAATGGGAGGGCAGAGGTGTGAAGAATGTGAGAAGTGCTTAGCCTCAATAACCTCATTCTTCTAAATGAGTGATGCTGGCTGTGGGACAAAGCAAGAAGGGCCTTTGCTGAACCCACCAGTCCACCAAGGATGTTAACAGCTGGCATGCAACTAGATGGTTTCACTTGCAGGGTCCTCAGGATAAATGAGGTCTATTCCCACAGTGGCTTAGAGCACTCATGAAACCTTCTCATGAAATCTGGAAAGGAGGGAGCCCTTCTAGAGAGTGGGCTGGGCTCTCTTGCTTTCCCTCTGTCAGATGCACACCTGGAGAGGAATGGAAAACACAACCTCAGCTCAGGAGAAGCCAAGAAATGAACATGAGAAGGTCCACAGAAACAGGGCCAAGTGTAACACACCAGACACAGACATGACATTGATGCTCACCTTCAGTGTGGATTCCCAGAGTGACCAAAGTGTGGAAATCAGGAATTGGTCTAAAAGAAGCCTTGACTTGAGAAATCTGGGGGCATTGGCTTTTATTGGTTAATCAAAAACCTCATTTTGATTGGGGAAAAATAAGTTGTTCCTAGGTAAATCCATTCCCTGAATTGTGGGGGGGAAAAAAGGACTTGGTTTGTGTTTGGGGGAAATTTGCTATCGGTTGTTTCTTGCAGACTTTGGAAGGGACCCTTGGATTTCAAAAGCAGGCACAGCCATATTGTGTCTTTCCTCATGTCTTCTGAGTCATTTATGATATCTCATGTGGCTGGTTATCAATGAACTGTGTCATTGCTCAGACATGGCGCCCCTGCTCCGTCTTTTGTGTTTGAGATGGAATCTACATAAATATTTGCTGATCAAGTCTCCTGTGCTAAGTGTTGGGGGTACAAAATATGGAAAGTCTTTGATGTCATGAACCTCACACTCTAGAGATAGTTGGATACACAAAAACTTTTCCACTCTAACTTCTTGTCTTTTCATTGACTCATCTACATTGAAAAATGTAGCAACCTGTTTTGAGATGGATTAGATGTAAGTTAAACTTCTTTTGATACAAAGTCATTTCTTTCCTGGAGTAAAAGTAATGACACTTTTTATGATACCCAGTGGCTCTCGAAGAGCAATAAAAAATGTTAATGGTTAATGTTTGACTGAAGCTGAAGGGAGAGGCTGGGAGGCAAAGCAGGGAAGAGGGAGTGTTCCCGGGGGAGATACTCCAGTCGTAGCAAGAGTCTCGACCACTGAATGGAAGAAAAGGACTTTTAACCACCATTTTGTGACTTACAGAAAGGTAAGGGCTGACATGTCTTAACTGTGTCAGTAACGTATTTATTCCAGAAGGACAAAGTAGATGGAGGGGGAGGGCACTTAAAAAGTTGCTTGACAAATTTGTTCCTTGAGGTGGGCTATGCAGATGCGGAGAAGGGAAATTTGTTGCTGGCATGACAAGTTTTGCTTATGGAGCACAATTTTTTTTTGTAGTTTCTTTTCATTGGTCCATATTTTATAAATTCATTTGATGAAGTGGCTGCAGTGAAATCAAGCTTGGCAGTGGAATTAAAGGGGAAATTGAGTTCTCTGATGTTTAAACAAGTATCACATCCATTCTTTGTGATGAGTATATAAAAGTCCCTGGTCTTAAGATGCTCTAGGGCTCTTGTATTCTAGAAATTGGGGTTGGAATCACATTCTCAAAAAGCATGTCATTCTATCTACTTCTCAGAGAATGAGATTCAATTTGGGATTCTTAGAATTGTCTAGGACACAGCAAGGGAGGGAACATGCAGAGAAGAAGAAAAGTCTTTTTGTAAAAGTACTAGAATAAGAATTGAAGACAGACAGACCTGCCTTCACAAGTGAGAGAAGAGGCTGATGTGCGTGTTAATCAGCTTCCTGGGCTGCTTTTGGCCTTGGTGGTGGAGTTACCACCTGCTAATGTGTGGTTATTTTTATGTTAAGCCACACACAGCTTATTGGTATCTTCAATGGTCCGATATTTGCCTCTGTCTTGGTCTTTTATGACAGGTGACTTTATAGGGACAGATGCCCTCTGTGGTAGGGGATGCCAAGCAGCAGATTGGAAGGACAGTGCCTTCTCTAATATTTTCTTGTCTTTATTTTTCTTCAAAAGCTTAAATAGCAAATGAGGCATTATTTGAAAGAAGAAGAAAAAACACATGTTTAGATGAAAGGAAGATGAATGCTATTCAGCTCTCACCAGGAAACAAAGCGAGTCCTTTACTGAGAGAGGGTTTCTAGTGAGTTACGGGGCCATATGAGTCTTCAGGGTTGGCCAAATGGGTTAGGCCAGTTTCATCATTTTCCAACCTGTGGGCACAGAACAGAGAGCTGCCACTAGAGACTTGCCTAACTAGGTAGTTGTGAGAAGTAAATTAGATAAGTAGGTAAAGAGCTTACTATGTTGCTTGGTGCATGGTACACATCCAGTGAATGTTAGCGCTCTGTTCCATGAGAAAGTTCAAGTAGGTGACTCAGGATGAATTGAGAAATTTTTGTTTCATTCTTTAGAAAAATAAGAAAAAAATCAGTGATGCCATAAAAATAGCATCTACCATTATGCAAGAGAGGAACTAATTCTATGTTCAGGAAGTAGGATTCAAAAATATGAGAATAATAAAACTATTGGTTTTGCTATATATATAGCATTTTAAAGCCCCTCTCATGGTTCCCATATAAGTCTTTGGGTGAGGTGCAGGTGGGGCATCCTTTGAAACTCACCCAGATGACCCCTGAAAAAAGTCATCACTGTTCAAGGTGAAGGTTACATTTCCGGTACCTCCTCCTTTCTCATACAAAAGGCAAAATATGGCTGGGTGTGGTGGGTCATTCCTGTAATTCCAGTACTTTGAGAAGCTGAGGAGGGAGAACCGCTTGTGCTGGAGTTCAAGACCAGCCTGGAAGGTCTGAACATAGGGAGATCCAGACTGTACAAGAAAATTAAAAATTAGCCAGGCATGATGGCACTTACCTATAGTCCTAGCGACTTGGGAGGCTGAGGTGAGAGGATTCCTTAAGCCCAGGAGGTTGAGGCTGCAGTGAGTCATGATTGTGCCACTGCATTCCAGCCTGGGTGACAGAGTGAGAACCTGTCTCAAAAAAAAAAAAAAAAAAAATCTGGATGATGTGCAAAATATATCCTGGCAGAAACTCTACTTCTCGTTCCATTGTCAAAAAAAATGTCTAGAAGGATGTGTCCCTCATTTTTCTTCCACATTAACAGCAACAGCTCTGAGGAGGAAAGCTGGGCATTGTCATGCTCCTTGCTCTGGAGGCCGACAAACAGTGCTTGAACAGAAGCTGGTTCACATGGGTAGAGATGTATAGATTTGACATAAAATTGCATTGATTCAGAAATCTCTGGTATCAGATTTAGAATGGGGCTAGTTGTTCTGTAACTGCTCGTTGATTATCCAAAGAAAGACACACGGAATTTTAAGGGAATACCTATCTACTTATTTGTTACTTGTAAGAACAGACAGGAAGAAGAAGGAATGTTTACTTAGGTACAAGAAATATTAACTTAATAAAAGCAGATATTCCCCTAGTGGCTGAGGTATTAACTACACTAAAGTTGATTTTTTTTTTTCACTTAAGCAATACGTAACAAGCTAAGCTATGCTTGATTTTTGTGTATGTGGTACAAAGAAAATTTCTCTTCAAATATTCTGTAAGACTGACATGGAATTCTCTCATTCATGATATTTCTGAGTTATTCATTTTTGACCATATACTTATTACTTAAAAATATTAGGACTTGTTCTTAAGTGACGGATGAGGAGAATGGAAATGGTAGATTTGTTCCCTTAACATCTAAGCTAAAGATGAGTTCTCTTCCTCACCAAGAGGCCATCTAGCAGAGTGGCTTGGTGCTTGGCCCCTGCATTCACACCACTTCCTCAAGCGCTCTAAGCATCAGTTTCCTGCTCTGTGGGATAACAACAGGACCCACATTATATGATTGTGTTGTTCAAGTAAGTTGTCCAAAGTGTTTAACTTAGCTTGCATTTGTTGAGCATTTGCTATTTTTTAAAACAATTCCAATGATTAAAAAAAAAAACAATTCATGAATGAGATTTCATCGTGGTCTGGCACCTTTTATTAAGCAGAATTAAATTTATTTTCCCTTCCTCTCCTACCCATCCCAGTTGTCAGTTACGATTTAATTACAGAAATTGGAAAGTGAACCTGCCATACTTAAGCATGACTGCACATTCTTGGCATTAAAATTCCTGCCTTGGGTCACTTTGCAAATGAACTGGTATTAGAGTATTTTTCTTTCTCTTCTCTTCTCTTTTCTTTCTTTCTTTCGATCCTTCAGTGTCTAAATCCTATGGGATGGAACCTAATTTAGATTTACTTCCTACTGAATTTCTAAGGCCAGGATGTGTTGCTTTATTATCTTGACAAAATGCTCATCCGTAAACTTTATATTACATAAAGAAATGTTGTGTAATACATAAAGAAACACTTTGTCAAAAAAAAGTCAAGCCACCCTTTATGAGAAATAGTGATTCCAGTCCTCCTCTTTAGTCCAGGGAAGATGCTTGTGATATTGTTCTGCTAGATCTGGGGGAGAAAGGGTCTCCCCCTGCCACCTTCTAGGGTTTTTGCGGGTATATAGCTGCACACGTGAGGGAAGTCAATGCTGAAATTCTTCCTGGCTACCTGCTTAAAACCCATTTATGCCTAGTGTTCCATTATTGGAACACTAAGCATGTGGGAGTTATTTATATCCTTCTGCACAAGGTCATCGTCAAGGTCTGATTGCAAAAATTCAAAAAATTGCAACCTCAGGTATAAATGGGTTACAACATCAGGCAAGTGCCCTGGTGGGACAGTCACTGTTGTCCCTAGGTCAGTGGCTCCCTTTCCTGTGACTGCTCTGGCCCCCCTTCCATTCAATGCTGGGATGTTTTGGGAGACTTGGAGGAGAGGCCTCTTCTCCCCAGCTGATCCTTCCCTTGCTCTGTCTTGGGGAGCACTGGGGGAACAAACGCCAACCAGGAACAACATGACACCTCTCTCAAATATTTCTTGGAACTTGTTATTCTTTTCTTTAATAAGAATAATTATGCTAGTAATCCCATTACTGGGTATATACCCAAAGGATTATAAATCATTCTACTATAAAGACACATGTACACGTGTGTTTATTGCAGCACTATTTACAATAGCAAAGACTTGGAGCCAACCAAAATGCCCATCAATGATAGACTGGATTAAGAAAATGTGGCACATATACACCATGGAATACTATGCAGCCATAAAAAAGAATGATTTCATGTCCTTTTCAGGGACATGGATGAAGCTGGGAACCATCATTCTCAGCAAACTAACACAGGAACAGAAAACCAAACTCTGCATGTTCTCACTCATAAGGGGGAGTTAACAATGAGAACACATGACACAGGGGAACATCACACATCGGGGCCTGTCCTGGGGTGGGAGGCAAGCGGAGGGAGAGTATTAGGACAAATCCCTAATGCATGTGGGGCTAAAACCTAAATGACGGGTTGATGGGTGCAGCAAACCACCATGGCACGTCTATACCTATATAACAAACCTGCATGTTCTGCACATGTATCCCAGAACTTAAAGTAAAATTTTTAAAAAAAGAAAAAGTGAGACAAACATTTTTTAAAAAAAGAATAATTATGCTAGTAATGTGTATTATAATTGATTATATCAATCTAAACCATTTTAAGTTCTCCAGGGGACCATTTAGCCTCCCGTGAGCCCATCTTCCCTATCATGAACCTATTGGTAGAACAAATCATCACCTCTAATTTTGCATGTGTGTAAATCCAGATTTTCATATACTGAAAGATTGGCATATCTATATTACAGAGTTTAGTGACAGAAAGCTGGGCTTATGTTTATGTATGTATGTTCATCCCTCCCTCCCTCCTTTCCTTCCTTCTTCCCTGTCTTCCTCTCTGCTCTAAAAACAAATCATCCAGCTGCCCATTCCCTCCCCATGTGGAGTAATCTGTTTGAAGTGTGAGGCAGAAGCCCAGATTTATACCTGTCTGCTTGTTTCTAGCTTATTAATGGCCACTTTAATTGGGTCCTTAATTTGTCAAAAGTGCAAATTGGTCAGATGCTTCTGCGGTTCTCTAAACCTTGAGTGATGCAATTGGTGCCAGAGATCTGTGAGCCAGACCAAAAAGATGGGCGTGGCAGATCTGAACATTAATCGATGAAAAATGGTTTGGGCGAGATTTTCATCTGATCTTTATATCTATCTGGCCTTGCCTTATAATTTATGCCGCTCTTAGCAATATACAGTGAGGAGGAAAAATAAATGGCTCACAGGATATTTGGCACTGTTTGGTCCTGGTGGTGTTATGAATTCCAGTCACATCCCTTCCTGCCCACACTACCTTAGGATATTTGAAAACAAATTCTGTAGCTCTCTCCTTCTGCAACTTCTTTGTTCTTTGAAGCTTCATGGCTCAGCCTTAGTGCTAGGTGAATTATTTTAATTCAAAGCCCTTCATGCTTTTTAAAAAATAAATAAATAAGAGATGACTGACTCTAAGATTTGTCTATCACTTAGCTTTTTTCACGGGGGACAAAAATCAATGCTTATGTGTTGACTTGTAAATCTGGAGATCTGGGACGTAGAAACTCCTTGTCCTTACTCAAATAAATGGGTAAATGACAAGAGCGTCTAAACATCACCTTCCCATCTTGCAAGATGGTGGGTGAAAAAGTTGAGAAGCCGGATACTAAGGAGAAGAAACCTGAAGCTAACAAGGCTTTGCCAGTGGCAAGGTGAAAAGGGGAACCTCAGAGCTAAAAAGCCCAAGAAGGGGAAGCCCAAAATCCTGTCCTCATTGGAGGAATTGGCAGATATTCCTGATCTGCTATGTATTCCAGAAAGGCCATGTACGAGAGGAGGTACTTAGCTGCTAAACCCAAGATTGAAAAGAATCTCGCAACCGTTACAAACCCAGTTGAGGTGACAAGAATGGTGATGCCTGGCTATTTAAACTTCACAAAATGCCTTGATATTATCCAACAGAGATGTGCCTCAAAAGCTGTCCAGCCATCGCAAGAAACTCTGCAGTCAGCATGTGAGAAAACTTGGAGCCAGCACGGCCCTCGAGACCATTCTGCTCATCCTCCCTTGGTGCCACCAAGGCAGGAGGGTGGTTTTCCTGGAGCAGCTGGGCAGTAGCTTGTTACTTGTGGCTGGACCTCTGGTCTTCCATGGAGTTCCTCTGTGAAGGACACACCAGAAATTTGTCATCACCACCTCCATAAAAATTGATATCAGGACTGGGTGCAGTGGCTCACACCTATAATCCCAGCACTCTGGGAGGTCAAGGTGGGTGGATCACTTGAGGCCAGGAGTTCGAGACCAACCTGGCCAACATGGCGAAACCTCCGTCTCCATTAAAAATACAAAAATTAGCCGGGTATGGTGGCACACACCTGTAATCCCAGCTACTTGAGAGGCTGAGGCATGAGAATCACTTGAACCTGGGAGCTGGAGGTTGCAGTGAGCTGAGATGGCGTCATTGCACTCCAGCCTGGGCATCAGAGCAAGACTGTCTCAAAAAAAAAAAAAAAATCGATACCAGCAGTGTGAGAAACCCAAAACATCTTACCAATGCCTACTTTAAGAAGCAGTTGTGGAAGCCTAGTCAGTAGGAGGGTGAGATCTTTGACAGAAAAAGAGAAATGTAAGACTACAAAGCAGTGCAAGGCTGATCAGAAAACCATGGACTGGCAAATTTTACCAAAACTCAAAGCTATTCCTCAGCTCCAGGGCTACCTGCAATCTGTGTGTGCCCTGGTGAATGGAATTTATCCTCACAAATTGGTGTTCTAAATTTCTTAAGAAGAACCTAATTATGTAACTAAAAAAAAATAAATGAATGCCGTTAATCCCCTTGGGAGCTTGGAGCCTGGTGGGAGAATCAAGGAAGCCTTGGGTGGGCTGCTGGGATGCGGGGGGTCCCTAGGTGTCTAATGACTGAGCAGAGCCCCCTGTGAGGCCACCTCTGTCCTGGGACAGCAGCACAGGCTAAACAAAAGTTCCATGGGGTCTTCATTTGCTAGGGCTGCCTTAACAAAATACCACAGAACGGGAGGCTTAAACAGCAGATATTTACCATCTCAGTTCTGGTGACCAGAAGTCCAAAATCAAGAGGGCAGTAGGGTTGGTTCCTCCTGAGAGCTGTGAAGGAAGGATCTTCTGTGCACCTCTCTCCTTGGCTTGTAGATGGCTGTCTGTACATTCACACAGTGTTCTTTCTTTGTGGATGAGCCTGTCTCCAAATCTCTTCTTAGAAGGACATCAGTCATTGTGGATTAGAGCCCACTCTAACAACCTCATTTTAACTTCGTTACCTCTGTAAAGACTCCAAATAAAGTCACATTCTGAGGTGCTTGGAAGTTAGGACTCCAACATATGCTTTTTGAGGGGGAGGGAGACACAATTCTACCCATAGCATTTGGATTGATTTAAAAAAGGGAAGATTCCTAAGGTGAAGCACAGAAATGAGGAGAAATAGTGAGACACAGAGATACATTTGCAGTAGAAACAAAACTTCCCAGACCAAGGCAGCCTTTTCCTCCAGGCAGGTCGGGGCAGGTCATGTCAGCATCTGAAAAAAAGAGCAGCTGCAAAGTAGGGGGAAAAAACCTTTTCAACATTTTGGAAAGATCTGTAGTGGATTAAATGATACTTGGTGTCTCATCATCAGGATATTTGTGTTTCAGAGGGAGTGAAAATTAGCCTGGCATTGTGACCTTGGGCAAGTCTCTTAATTTCTGTGGTCTTCATCGTTTGATTTTTCATTTCATCTTTAAGAGGTATATTATAATAGCATCTGCTCCATAGAGTTGTTCTGAGAAATCAGCAAGATAGTTTTTCACCACCAAGTCTTATCGGTGCATGCAGCAAATTGTTTTCAGTCAATGTTTGCTGCCTTTGTCGTTATCCGGGCTGGATGCAGATCCAGGCCGCGGCGGGATTCCCATGTCTTCTGTTGTGTGGTAGATTAAAATGAGGCACTGTTCCTGCAGAGCAAGCCCAGCAGCCCTGGTTCCCGTCTGCAAGCAGGTGCCCTGGTCTACTGTTGAGCAAGTGGTGGTCATGGTGGTGCCCATTGGGTGAGGGGCAGCCACAGTTTGGGAACCGAGGCCTTCTTTTCAAAACTCCTTTTTTTGTAAAAAAAAAAAAAAAAAAAAAAAAAAAAAAACAAAAGATAATAATAATAACCCTCTGATCTATGTTGCAAAGGGTGTGCTTGGTCTCTCAAATAATTGCTGTAGTAACTGTCTGAATTTAGTCCTTGTATCTGAGGGAAATCCTGACAAACGGCAAAAATTCCACGCAGACGGTTGGCCAATTATTACAGGTAGTTCAGATAAAATGCCACAGAATCCTCTGGAAATCTATTTCAATTCTTTTCCAAGTAGTGTTTTTGAGGAAACCTAGGTGTCTGGCTTGGTGGTTTCGGGCAATTTCAGTGATGAAGGATGGCTTCCCATCAGCACCATTGCGACCCAGGGTACCCCACACTTGAATGGTATTGTGTCCATGGAAGGAGGAAGTGTAGGTGGGACCTGTTTGAGAGACCAAAGTCCTCTTTTGACATAATCCTAGCACTAGTGTAGTTTGCCTTGAATCATTCGGGTAAAGGCTTTGCCTTGCTGCCTCATTTGGCTGTGAGGATGTTCCTGTGTAGGCTGTTTTTAGAATATTTTCATTAGTGGGCCACCAAAAGTTGGGAATTGTGAAGAGAAATGTCCTGTTGGACAATGTTTACAGTTTTGACTAAGCAAACGTGAGTGGCAAAATGAATTTTTGGCCAACAGTATTCCAAATATTAACTCGCTGAATCTCTTAACTCTCGAAGGTAGGTATTATTATTATTATCCCTGCTTTATAGATGAGTAGATAGGGCCACGAGTCAGCCGGTGGAGGAGTTAAGACCCAAGCCAGCCAGTCTAACTCCTGGGTCTATGCTCCTAACAACCGCATGGTGTGGTAGATTTGTCTTCAAATAAATCATGGCACCCTACGTGTGGCAATGGAAAGCAGTGACTTCTACTTCCCACTGGAAACCCTCGGTGAGGGGCAGGCCTAAATGTAAATGACAAAATAAAGGATAAGTACATTTCTCCTTCTACTTCCTAGGTTCCATTGAAACATCCCAGACAGTGATCTCTCTGAGCATCTGACCAAAATAAGGCATTCCTTTTATTTTTATTTGCTTTTCTATCATTTAACTTGTGTTTTTCTGGAAGACTGAAGGTGTTAAAAAAAAAAAAATTAGTTCAAGAAGAGATGATCTAGTTCGACCAGTTCTGGGTTATTTACTGAGCAGAAATCTGTTAGTGTATTCAAAGGAGAAACAACTCTTTTCATCAACAATAAAAATGTATTACACAATAAAGCTTTGAATGTTGAATGAGTTTCCTTTAATATATCATGTTTATTGAAAGCTCTTACAGGTGAGAACAAATTAATAAGATATCCATGTTAGGTAATCATAAATGTTTTAGAATTTACCCAACATCTGATGATGGCTTGATATATGCAAGGGATAGTATGAAGAGACCTGATAAGTTAAAAATAAGGCCTCTGCCCTTAAGGATTTTATTTAATAGTGGCAGTAATGCTAACAGACAAATGATAAAAAAAAAAAAATATATATATATATATATATATATATATATATATATATATATATATCAATCAGAACTGGCTCTGAGAGGAAGAGACTGGCTGGAAATCAAGGAAGATTTCATGAAGGAAGTAGGGTTTAGGTCCTAGCTCCATGAAGATAGAACCTGTACCCCTTATTTTGGTACCCCAGTTCTTGGCACGGTATCTGGGACATACTAGAAGTGGTGTAGTTCATTGCTATTTAAATAATTAAGTTGAACTTAGATGGTAAGATGTGAGAAGCAGAAATGAGGAAACATCTCCATCCAACCTCATTAAGCAAATATCCATTGTCCATTTTCTCTGGGCCAGGCCTTGTGCCAGGCAGGGAGAGCAGCAGGGGTGAGAGCTTGGCTGCCAGAGAGCTCAGGGTGCAAAGTCCATCTGGGTGGAGGTGTGACTGGGTGTGGGAAGGGAGTGGCAGATAAGGCTGGAAGAGTTGGGAGCAGCATTTGAAAGATCTTGAATGCTGAGGAGTTTAAGGAGAAAGATCTCCCAATGTGTCATTATTGCCTATATTTTTACTTGTATTAAGCAAATACAGGTTGATAGCTGACCGTGTACATTTTGCTAATATTACAGAAAACTAGTTTGTTAGACTTAATTTATTCATTTATAATTGATAATATCATCTTGCAATATGCTAGAATCTGAGGTTGTTACTTGTTTCTATGTGTTTCCAAACCAAATAAGTACTCTAAAGCAGTAATGTCTTGTTTAACTATGAGTTAATTCTAAAATGATGTTTAGATATGTCAACCAAATTAATTATGTTGCAAAAGCTAATTTTTAAACATGCAAGGAATTTATGAATCTTGGAGTCCTGAAGGGTTTTAATCCTAGCTTTTCCTTAAAATAGTTGTGGAATTTCAGGGCAAGTTGCTTAATTTATATAGCATGTATAAATATATATACATACATACATGATATTTGTATATCTCTACAGCTCTATCTCTGTCCATGCTCTATGTCATACATCTACATCTAGGTAGCTATCAAACTATATAAAGCACAGTAGCAAGAGTTGAAATTCCAGAGTTTAAACTCTGGAATTGATAATCTGGTTGGAGGCAAGGTAATGTCACTTCCTAGCTGTATGTCTTTAGGCAAATTGCTTGACTTTTAACCTCAATTTTCTCACCTACAAAATGAGAAGAACAATTCCCAGCTCATTATATCTGAGAAAATCATAGGAGCACAAACTTTTTCTTTTTTTCTTTTTTTTTTTTTTTTTTTAGACAGAGTCTCGTTCCATCACCCAGGCTGGAGTACAATGGCCCAGTCTCAACTCACTGCAACCTCTGCCTTCCAGGTTCAAGCAATTCTCCTGCCTCAGCCTCCCAAGTAGCTGGGACTACAGGCACCTACTGCCACTTCTGGCTAATTTTTGTATTTTTAGTAGAGACGGGGTTTCACTATGTTGACCAGGCTTGTCTCGAACTGCTGACCTTGTGATCTGCCTGCCTCAGCCTCCCAAAGTGCTGGGATTACAGGCCTGAGCCACCGTGCCTGGCCAAGAGGACAAACTTATTATTGAGCAATGGCTATGTGTTTTCCATGTGAGGAGACTAAGGCACCGAAAGATGAAGTAGTATATCCATAGCCACATAGCTATAGAGAGCAGTGCTGCGTTGCTAGGCCAGCTTTCTGACTCCAAGCCTACCTGCCATACCACTCTGTTACTGTTTTTATTTTTAATTTTAATTTATTATTTATTTTTATTTTTTGAGACAGGGTCTCGCTCTGTCACCCAGGCTGCAGTGCAGTGGCGCAATCATGGCTGGCTGCAACCTCTGCCTCCTGGGCTCAAGTGATCCTCCCACCTCAGCCTCCCAGGTGAAGTGGCATCATTGTCTGGGATAAATACCCGAGGTCATCAACTCAGGGTAGAGAAATAGAAAACCTGGGCAAACAAGAAGTGAGTTTAAGAGCAGAGGTTTAATAGGCAAAAGAAAGAGAAAGCGGATTAGCTCTATCTCCTGCAGATAGAGGGGGGTGCCCGAGTGGGTCTTCCGGTTTTGTGGTGAAATGGCACAGGGTTTTATATATGAACTTGAGGAGGCGGTATCTGATTTACACAGGGCCGGAGAGATTGGTTGGACCAGGTGTGATGTTTGCATAGTGCTTGAAGAAGCTGGCCTAATCTTTTATTATGCAGATGGATTCTCTACCTGGCTAGCACCATATAGTCTGTTGCTTACTGTACACGTGGTTACAAAGAAAAGGGAAGATGGAGCCGCCGTGTTGAACATGCCCGGCCCCCAGATAGCCTTTTCCTATTGGCCGAGCTGCTGGCATTCACCTGTGGAAACTTCCAGCTTGCTTATCTATGTCTGCAGCTGGATTCTACAGGCTGCTCTTTGTTAGAAATGATTTTGGGGCTGCTTTTTGTTAAAAGGAAACCTTACTGAGGACTCTCTTACCCTTACTATCTGCCTAAATAATTTATTTCCAGCTCCTGTATCACAAGTAGCTGGGATTACAGGCAATGAGTCACCCACCTGGCTAATTTTTGTGTTTTTAGTAGAGATGGGGGTCTCGCCATGTTGGCCAGGGTGGTCTCAAACTCCTGAGCTCAAGCAACCCACCTGCCTCGGTCTCCCAAAGTGCTGGGCTTCTGGATGTGAACCATTGTTTCCCGCCTGTTACTGTTTTTAAAGACCTCTCTGCAAATCTACATCCTGGGTGATGCTTAATAAAGGATTGTTTCTTTATCTCCCAGAACATTGGTGAGGCTAAAATGAAATAGCATTTTTACCCTTTAAAGTTCAAATATAAGTTATGCAAATGTAGGGCATGTAAAATTTTCAGGATCTAAATTTTTAGAGTGGTTAAAATGTTAGTGAAATTTTTTCCATGCTGGTGATATTAGTGATATGTGTTCAATGTAGAAAAACTTTAAAGAATAAGATGATGAAGTAAACCAAGATTATTCCTAATCTCTAGAGATAATAAAGTGATTGGAATTTTCGTGAAATAAATACATTGAAAAAATTTTCTTGACTCAGCCAGGTGTGGTGGCTCACGCCTGTAATCCCAGCACTTTGGGAGGCCGACGCAGGCAGATCACGAGGTCGGGAGATTGAGACCATCGTGGCTAACACGGCAAAACCCCATCTCTACTAAAAATACAAAAAATTAGCCAGGCGTGGTGGCAGGCGCCTGTAGTCCCAGCTACTTGGGAGGCTGAGGCAGGAGAATGGTGTAAACCTGGGAGGCGGAGCTTGCAATAAGCTGAGATCGTGCCACTGCACTCCAGCCTGGGCGACAGAGCAGGACTCTGTCTCCAAAAAAAAAAAAAAAAATTTCCTTGACTGTCTTTTGGGGAGGGGCAGTCCAAACTTATGACAGGTAACAACACTGTTTTCCAGGCCATGTGGAAAATTTCTCTCACATCTTAAAATCAATTAGTCATGACATGTCTCATAGTGAAAGTCACAATCTCTGTGAAATGGGAAGCCTTAAGGAGGAAGGGAAAAATAATATCGGACAGGAGACAATAAGGACAGAGTTCAGATTTTTGTTTGATCTCTTTTGGAATAGTAAGAAATTAATTTTTTCTTAGGTTTATTGTGTAGGTAATGACAATATCTAGAAGATCAAAGAGGCAGCTGGTGACATCTTTGAATGAAGAATTGTGAGCATTCTTTAGTTCTTTTCACTTGCGGAATCTCATATGTTTGTGGCTTTGAATCAAAATGTTTAGTTATCCTGGAATCTGCCAAAATACATCTTCTCCATCTGTATAATAGGAGTGAAAGGAATACTCATTGCTGGCTGGGCATCTGTAATCCCAGCACTTTGGGAGGCCGACGCAGGCAGATCACCTGAAGTCAGGAATTCGAAACTAGCTTGGTCACCATGGTGAAATCCTGTCTCTACTAAAAATACAAAAAATTAGCCAGGCGTGGTGATGGGCATTTGTAATCCCAGCTACTTGGGAAGCTAAGGTGGGAGAACTGCTTGAACCCAGGAGGTGGAGGTTGCAGTGAGATGAGATTGCACCACTGCACTACAGCCTGGATGACAAAGTGAGACTGCGTTTCCAAAAACCCCAAAACAAACACTCATTGCCCATCATTTAAGACGCTGAAATGAAGAAGATCATAACAAAGCAAAGCAGTTAGATAAATGGAATTATTGTGAGCATGTTTTGAGATGTTGGCTTGCATATTGCTATGGATGATGTGCATGAAGCTTCTGGAAGACTGGGCTGCTCCATATAGAGGAGAGGCTGGCCTTTTGGGATACCATTTTACTAGATTTATAACTGGATATCATCCATTGATTCTTACTGATTGGAAAGACATGATTTTAACAGACTGGTAACTAACCATTTTTTTATCTGGTTCCTTCACAGGAATTTGAATAAAGAAAACTATGATACTTCAGGCCCATCTTCACTCCCTGTGTCTTCTTATGCTTTATTTGGTAAGAGAAGAGGGTGTTCTTCTCTATTTGTTTACTAGAATATTTTCTGCTATCTTTCTACCCCACACCAGGGAAAGAATGGCTATTATTACTTAAAAAAAGATGACCTATCAAAATTAAGTTGTTGTATAGAATGGAAACATAGCTTGTTCCACTGTGATATTTTCGATGAAATGGCTACAAATCACATGTCTGCCCTCGACTAGGGAATGTATTTTCTTTCCAGCTCTTAAAAGCCAACACCAGTTATGGGTAATGTTGAAAACAAATCTATCTATAGCTCAGGGAATCTGAAATGACATTGCACTGATACATGAATTAGTCTGTGTCCCTTAATCTTGACTTTCTTTTTTAAACTTTGCGCATGAAAACTTACCACCAAAACATCAAGAAAAGCATTTTCTCTATTTTCAGCCTTGCTCTGCTCTATACTTTTCTTCTCATCAAGGGTTTGGAATTTTCTGGTTGTCTTTAACCATTTGTTGGGTTAACCCTATTGACTGACAGGCTTCTAGAGCTCGGAGCTGGATAGAAACTGGGGAGTCCTCACCCTTGACCTTGGGGTAAACAGTAGGTGCCTTTTTTTAAAATCTACGTGACTGCTGAGGTTCATAAAGGTTGCCCCCAAAATTGCTGCATTATGAAACGAGATTATAAGATTTAGAGGAAGCATTTGCTCTCTTTTTTTTTTTTTTAAAGAAGGAAGCTTCTAGATCCTCATACCTCAAATCTTACTTCCTTTCTTCTGGGATCCATAAATAATACATCAAATTTCAAGTCCCAAAAAATACCCTAGAGCTCACATAGTGACAGTGTGAAATTGAATGAAACTTGAAAACTATCAGAGCCTTCCTCCCGGGGGAAATCTGCAGTTCAAACTTTATGAGAAGCCTGAGTCCTCACAGCCTGCAGGCTCAAAGCCTGTCTCCAGGATTGTGGAAGGGCTGGATCAAACATCCCCACTTGACCTCTCTCCTCATGCTACCCCCTCAAATGCCCTTTGTCACCTATGTTATCCCAGGGTAGTGACAAATTCAGACATGGATTCAAACTCGGTGCCTCCACTACCAGTGATAAGAATTTGGTGAGTTACCTAAGCTTTGAACCTCAGTTTTCTGCCCTGTGAAGTGGATCTAATAATAGTACTTGTCTTATGGGATTTTGTGGCAATTCAATGAGATACTGCATTTACAAAGCTCTTGGATCAGCGACTGGTGGTTAAACACACAATAAACATTAGCTACTATAATTACTACAGCATTTTAAGTGTTCAGTGTGTACGTCCACATGGACTCTGACCTCCATGAAAAATGGACTGTGCTTTTATCATCTTTGCAGATTCAGCACTGAGCACACTGCTAAATTATTTAATAATAATATCTAATTATTAGGCCTTATTTGCTTCTTGTCTGAGAAGGGAACATGCATTTTTATTCCTGGATGAAAGGTGAAAATAAGGTTTCCTTCTCTCTACTCTCACCCCAGTGGGATTTCTATCTAGAGTGAAAATACTGCCCAACCACTGCTGGCAGCAGTGCCTTACCCAGGTGAAAGCCACAAGCACAGCTGTCTCTGGGTGAAGTCAGGGAGTGGGATTTCAGGGGTGTTGGGAGGGAGCCACTTCTCTCTCCTACCTCCTCCCAAGGCCTCTTCTATGAAGACTGGAAGTTTGCTTGAAGAATCTTGCCTTCTGCATAGGGCTTTATTCAACAGAAGCACTAATTTACTCCAGACTGCGAGTAGATCTTCTGTTCTTTTCCAAGAGATAGATTTATCAGAGGGTTAGAAACACAAATACGGCATTGATGTACTTCAGGGGCACCAAAGAGAGAGTAAATAAGTGATCCAGGGTTTGGGAAATGGTACTGAACAGGGAATCGGAGGAAACCAAGGCAGAGCCATCTGTTTTGGAGTTATGCCTGGGCCTTCCAGAAGGAAGATGAGTTTGGTACAAATACTACATAATCACTGCACTGAGCTCTTGATGGAGCTACCAAGTAGGTGAACCTGGCAATTGCACATGTCCTTTGACCTGGAAGGCAGTAACAATGTGGTTAAGAGTTGGGGCTTGGTGGTCCAATGGCGCTGGGTCTGGTCTGGAGGTAGCTCTGTCTCTGAATGCTTTGCTTCTACTGTGGGACTTCTCTGGAGATACTTTCTTCATAGCATTGGTCAGAAGAAATGATGTCTTGTGGTGATCAAGTCCCATTACTGCCACATAAAAGATGCTAAAAATGACTTTAAGATGGCAGTTCCATTCTCTTCCTTTCACCTCTTTGTGCAAGATGGAAAACGCTATTCCCTCCAACTCCTGCATAAAGCCGCCATCTTGTCCTTTCACAGATTTCCACCATACCATCTTTCCCACTTCTGGGGAAAGCGGCTTGATGATTCACAGTGTCCACATGCACTTTGAAATCTTTATAGCCCCAATAGTCATGTTTATTGGCAGGAAGAGAGATTTGTTGCCCCAATACAAGCACGCAACTTTGAACCCTGGAACCAAGACTTGATTCTCATTTTCTGATGGGTGAGCCAGCTTGTCCTTGTTGGAATAGTGCAGCCTTGTTTGTGTGTGGCTAATGTAGTTTTCACTGGTGTGACTAACTGAAAGACTGCTTGCTGACATGAGTGCAAAGCTGATAAGCAGCAGCTCCACAGAAAGCACTGACCTCACTTAAGCAACCATGGTGGTACCTGGACATCTGTCCTGCACACCCAGTTCTTATGCCCTGCCTTCTAGAGGAGCTGATGGAACAGGAAAAGATGTGGAAAAGGAGTGAAAGGGATGAAGACCTCCCAAAGGAAGATAAACTTAGAAAGGAGGAGATGGGCTAGAAGTCTGGCAACATTACTTTGTGAGTTAAGGATGCATTTTCTTGGCCGGGCATGGTTGCTCATGCCTGTAATCCCAGCACTTTGGGAGGCTGAGGCGGGTGGATCACCTGAGGTCAGGAGTTCGAGACCAGCCTGTCCAACATGGTGAAACCCCATTTCTACTAAAAATATAAAAAATTAGTCGGGCATGGTGGGGGGGTGCCTGTAATGCCAGCTATTCAGGAGGCTGAGGCAGGCGAATCGCTTGAACCTGGGAGGCAGATGTTGCAGGGAGCCAAGATCGTGCCACTGCACTCCAGCCTAGGCAACAAAAGTGAAACTCTGTCTCAAAAAAAAAAAAAAAAAAAGCATTTTCTTGCAAGTAACAGGAAATTTGACTTATTTGACTTTAGAGCATTTTAAATAAATAGGGGTTTATTTTCCTCAGATAACAAGAAGTCTGAAGTAGGCAATCCAGGGCAGGTTTAGCAATTCCATGATGTTGCAGAGACTTGGGCTACTTTTCTTTGCTACACCATTTTTTGAGCTGGTTTGTCCTCTCAGGGTTCATCACAGCTGCCCCAACTGCAGACACAAGGTACATTGTCTCAGCAAGAGTCACAGGAAAGGGCAATGGCAGCCACAACTACCCTTTTTTTTAAAATCAGGAATATGGAAGCTTGACCACTGCCAGTGGACTTCCCCTCTCATTTCATGAACCAGAACTGGGCCACTTGGCCACCTTCCTAGCTGCAAGTGAGCCTGGGAAAGGGAACTTGGTTTACCGGTCTCTGTGGTGGGAGGAAGAAAAGGAGAGGGCTTGGCAGTGGCCCAGGGGCAGCAAATCTAAGGCCCTACCACAAATCTGAGAACAGAAGACCAAACTTCAAAGCCCCTGTGTTCTCATTCATTATTGCTTTTTTGCCAGACATCCAGCATCCAACTTAGTCAAGGTTCCCCAGACTGAGGGATCTAGCATAAGACCTTTCTCTGATCACTGGCATATTGATGGCTTTTGGGTATTCCCAGCAGGGAGCAGTTTCCATGGCAAGAGTGTGCTTGCTCTCCCTAAATAACTGGAAAATAAATGGTTTTCCCCCAACCTAGTGGCACCTGGACATCTGTCCTGCATACCCAGTTCAGGGAGTGAGAAGACTTTTTACTCTTTTATTTTTATTGTCTAGCTCCAAAAACCATTGGCTTGCCACATCATGCTTCTGATTTCAATCTCTTTCACCCCTGATTTCCACAAATGGGAGACCCAAAGTCGTGCCCAGGAAGGAGAGAAGGCCAGCGTGGGGATGAGGCACTAAATCCCTGGTCCTAGAGGGTGCCCCAACGTGGCTGCATGACTGGCTGTCCCTTCCCGTGGGTGCCCACTCCATCTGCCTTCAGAGGTGCTGTTGTGGTGAGGGCTACAGTGATGCTCCCCATGTTCTGAGACTGGGAATGGTGGGAGTCACACTCTCATGCACATCTTCAGTGCAGCCTGCCAGTTTTCCCTCCAGGTTGCCTTGGCTGTTTCACCCGCTCTGGTGGGTGCTGGTGCATAGAGGCTGAGAGGGCTGGTTCCAGAGTTGCAGGTTCAAATCTTGCTTCCAGCCACTACCTGGGCAAATAATTTAACCTCTTTGGGTCTTAGTGTCATCACCTGTTAAACAAGGGTAACAATAGTAACTTTCTGCCAGAGTTTTTGTCAGGATTAAATGTGCTTAGGACAGAGCTCCACATGTACTAACTTAGCAAGTGTGAGCCACTCTTCTTACCATCCCAGCCACATTCACTACTACTCCAGTCTTGACTTGGGTGTCTGCAGAGCCTGCTTAGCTTTCAAGTTTAGGGTCTTTGGATTTTGGAACCATTGTGGGGCTACTGCTTAAAGTAAACATTTTGTACTTTTATTTTTTTCTAAATGAATGTAAAGAGCTAATCAAATGTTAAAATAGTAAGCTTTGCTTAAAGTTATAGTTCAAATTCAGATTCAAATTTGGCTAAAACTTACCGTGTAACTGTGCCAAGCAAACTTTGTACTAAATACGTCTATATTTTCTTTCTCCCCCTTATAAATTCAAAACACTAGAGTGCTGGCAATCTGCTGTAAATGTCTTTATAAAATAAAAAGAGTGGAGGGAGGTGTTTTATGAAGCTGGAGTAAAAACATATATAATTTAGAAGACAGTGTGGGATTGTGGAAGACCATGGGCTTTAGTTCAGTTAGGCCTGAGCATGTGTGCTGTGTTAACCTTTTTAAGCTTCATTTGTAATATGGGGATGTTAACATTCTTCTCATAGAGTGATTCTTCTCATCTCACATTCTGCTCAGATGTTTAAGAAAAGCAATGGAAAGGTTTGTAACAAGCTACTTTGACGTGGTAGAGCTTCAACAGCTATTACACTCTTTCCTGTTTTGATCAGATTTCAGCCATGATAGAATCCTATGTTTTGTATATTGGTGCTGGAAGCCCTAATAAAATCAATGAGTGACACAGACACTTCATACAAGATGCTAATTTTCTCTTTCTTTTTTAACAGGCAACTGGATATGGCCAAGAGGGGAAGTTTAGTGGACCCCTGAAACCCATGACATTTTCTATTTATGAAGGCCAAGAACCGAGTCAAATTATATTCCAGGTAAAAGCTACCCTTGATCACTGTCCTCTTGATTTTGTATGCTCTCTTGGTGGACTTTTACTTCCTTATCTATTGTATAGCAGGAAATAAAATAAAGGCATGGCATTCTCATTATCAAGAATGATTTCAGAAGCTAAGTTAAACAGAGAGATGAGTGGCCTCAGTATCATAAGAATTGTACCTGACATTCTATTTGGACTTCCTCAATCATCTCTGGGGCGAGTGCTCCCAGCCCTCTGCAGGGAGCTTGGTGGCTGCAGGCTCTGCCTCTCCCCTAGAGTAGAAAGGGAACCTGTCTCTGGAGAGGGGAATGACCATCCACCCTCGAGGCTGTCTGATCAATGAGCTTGCTGCTTCAAGTACTGGAAGATACGGCTTCTCTGGAGTCAGTGCTAGAATGAGCTTTCTGGCCAGAGGACTGCCTTTTCCTTACCACCTTCTCTGAGCCCCCATGTGGGCCATTGTCAAGGTGCACTGGGAGGTGGACGTTTTATTTAGTTAGATAACCATGAACAGTATCAGATGGAGGGGCAGTCTGCAGGTGGGAATAAGGGAAGGGACCTAAGTCCCATCTTAAGTGCTATTAAAGACACAGAAATAATCCTGGAAATGTAGTGGAGAAGGGGAAAACACTACTGTATTTACCAGACATCCCCTGAGAAAGTCACTTGGCCCTGAAGTGATTGGAGGATGCTGATGAGCCTTCTTGGGGGTGCCCGTGACCCCTCCCCGTCCCCTGAACCAGGGAAGTGGCAGAGGTTGCTGAGCTACCTACCTTCTAAGGCAAGTGCCTTCCATTAACTGCCAAAAATTTACAGACGGCCCTCTGTATCTGTGGGTTCATGCATCAGCAAATTCAACCAACAAAGAATCAAATATATTTGGGAAAAACAATAAAAATGATACAAATTTAAAAATACAGTATAATAATCATTTACATAGCATTTACATGGTATTAGGTATTATAAATAATCTAGAGATGGTTTAATGTATATGGGAGAATGCGAGTAGGTTCCATGACCATAATACACCACTTTATATAAGGGCCTTCAGTATCTGTGGATTTTGGTATCTGCGTGGGTCCAGGAATGAGCCCCCACCAATGCCAAGGGACAACTGTATTGTGCTGGACAGTTCCCCTCCACAGAGGAGAGGCTGAAAGCTATCTCTCTTCCCCTTTCTTTCATTGGTACCAGCTTAAGGCAAAGGGCCCCAGAGTAAGAGCTGGCAGGGGCATGCTTGCATGTCTATGCAGCCCGGTGAGGTAGGGTGTTATTAGGGGCCTCCACCTCTCCAGTCAGGGAAGTCAGGGCCTGAAGAAGCAGTGAATGTGTTGAGAGCTGGAGGTTGATGGGAATTAACTTGGTGAGGAAGGGAGGGAAGAAAGCTTAGAAGAGGCCCGGCAGGGATGGCTGCCCTCTGCCAGGAGAGGGCAGGAGACATACCAAGGACTAGCAGAAGGCCATGCAGGTAGGGAGGATGGAGCCAGGAGGAGCAGGTGGGAGAGGAGGCCACAGAGACAGGGAGGACCCTGACTCCTAAGGATCTTGAGTTTTTCTCAAAAGCAATGGATCTGAATCAAGACTCCATTGAGAAAAGGTCACTCTGGCTACAAACTAAAGGAGGAAAGAGAGGATTCAGGGAACTGGCTAGGGGACTCTGGCAGGGGCTCACACAGAGTTGAATTACTTACTTTTTCTCACAGACTTTCTTTTATTAACCATGTACGGAGTGACTACTATATATACCAGCTGCTCTGCTGGGTACTGGGGATATGGGATGACCCCGACTCCATCCCTGCTCCGGTGAGCTTACCAGCTAGTAAGAGAAAACTAACAAGGAAACAGACACATGCACTGAAGCTTCTCATGGGAGGCTGGTGGGATGTGGAGGGGGCAGAGGGTAAACTAAGAAAGAGTGACTGATTTTTATTTGTTTATGTTTATTTTTAATTGACAAAATTGCACATATTGTGTACAATGTGTTTTGAAGTATAGAGAGAAATGACTAAATGAAGCTAATTAACATATGCATTATCTCACTTATCTCTTTTTTGTGGTGAGAACACTTAAAATCTAAGAATGATCAATTTCAAATAAAGATGGTAGTGAGCGAACAGAAGAGGTTTCATTGACTCCTAAACTGAGTACTCAAAAACGAGCAGGTGCTCACAGTCAGGAAGCAGGTGCTGAGTACAGGATGGGAAAAAGCATGGGGGTGTGCACTTGTCAAGAAAATGACAGCTGGCATGTGGGCCAGAGTATAGAGTGGGAGACAGGATGCAGTCAAAGGTCTGCATGCCTGCGGAGGTCAGCACGGGCTGGACTAGCCCTTCGTCCTATAGCAGGCTGCAGGGTGCTGCTGGAGGGTTTCAACAAGGAAAACCGTAACTAGATTTGTGCTGTAGAAGCTTACTGTGTGATCACTCAGAGCATGAGCTGCAAGGGAGCGAGCCTAGACGTTAAAAGGATTTTAGAAAACTGTTTTCAATAGTTCAACGGGAAGTGAGGGAGGCCTGGTTTGAGTAACTATAGAGGTCTGAATGTTGGTGTCCCCACAAAGTTCATATGTTGAAGCCTAATCTCCAATGTAATAATATCAAGAGTTAGGGTCTTTGGTGGGTGATTAGATCATGAGGGCTCTACCTCTATGAATAGGATTAGTGCCCTTATAAAAGACGCTTGGGGGTGCCTGTTTGCCTCTTCTGCCATGTAAGGACACATGAAAGGTGCAGTCTGTGAGGAGTGGGCCCTCACCAGACACTGAATCTGCTGGTTGGATTTCTCAGCCTTCAGAACTATGAGCGATAAACTTCTGTTGTTTATGTTTCTGAATGAGCACAGGGGATGAGGGAACAGAAAGAAGGACAACTCTTAGGTCTCTGGCTTGCTTGACTGGGTAGTTAGTGGTGTCACTGAGTGAGAGAGAGAGAGAGAGTACAGCAAAAGATTTAGAGAAAAGTGAATGAGTTTTAGGCTTATTGATTTTAAGGTTATCTGTGGGGCAGCCAGGTGGAGAGGTCTCAGACAGTGTTAATATGGGTCAGGAGATACAGATTGGGGAGACTTCCTTATATAGGTGCCAATAGAGTGCTTGGATATGACATAGATACCTGTCTGTGGTGAGTTATCTCAACTGCTCTTAGGGGCTAGCTGAGTGATAAATGAAGCCATATGGAAAAAAGAAAAACAACAGCCAAACAACAACAACAAAAAACAGATATGAGAAAAAAACCCAACTGCACAAATATGAAATCAAACGCTTTCTCATACTTGTCTTTAGTATTTGGGACAAGAGGGAGTAGTGGGGACTGTGGCAAACTGAAAGTAAGTCAAAAGGGGATAGGCTTAATTTAGCTCCAGACGATTTTCACGAGTTAGAATTTGGGTACTACTCTACTAGATTTTATAATTTTCCTAGAAAAGGCATAAAATGTTATATTTATATAAAATTCACTGATGTAAAAAAATTGGCATAGTTTTTTTTTAATTACAAGCTAAATAAAACATATTTGTGAAACAAAGTTTGTGGCTACTTCTGAGATTTCTGTATGAAAAGACCCAAGGTCAAAATAGAGTAGGTGTTCTGTGAGTACAGGTCCACACTCCATTGAAGACAATCAGGATTGTACATAGATGCAATCTTCAACTTACAAGCTTTACAACGGACAAACATCCAGACCTAGAAACTGTTCAGTAGGATCATTCCAGAGTCTCTGGGGATCCTAGCCAGTAAAAGTCATGCCTTGGGCTGCTCCACTTTTCTTTTTTTGTTTTGTTTTAGTTTTTCTGTTAGTCATGCTGCAAAGTTATCCCTTCTTAGCAGGAAATGATAGCCTGGTTATCATGGTTGAATGTTTCTTCTTTACAGGGGTGTGTGTGTGTGTGTGTGTGTGTGTGTGTGTGTGTGTATTGGGGTAGGGTGTGGGGTTGGGATGACAGAGTAGTGAGAGGAAGATGAAGGGGATTTTCTTTTTAGAATCACAGAAGCTTCATGCTAGAAAACACACTGGGGAGTTTTGGTACAACCGCTTGTTTTAAAAATGGGGAAACTGAGGCTTAAGTTAGTTAATGGCAGAGCCAACAATAGAACACAGGTCTCCTGACTTCTAGTCAAGCACATTTTGCTCTCTCCATCTTTGTACGTGGAAAGAATGCAGCAAACCCAGCCTTGGTAAGATGTGCTCGGAGCTCTTTGCTTCAGTGGTGGGGAGGAGGTAGGTGTACAGATCCTCTCATCCAGCACCTGGACCTACAGAGGCATGAAGAACACTCATTGCCCCATGAGGTTGGTTCTTGGGTTTTTAATATGTCCTCAAAAATAAAATGAACTGAACCACCATACACTTCTTTCATTGTGGATTTTCAACTAGTGCCAGCTCTGTACTCACCAGGGGCTTCCATATCATCAGACAGTGTGATATAAATCTGAGAGAGGTCTTTTTTTTTCTCATTTTAAATAAGATGTAACCCTAAAAATTCATGCCTCTAAAATTCAGTAGTTTTTAGTATCTAAAAAGACGTGCAAATATCACTGCTATCTAATTACAGAACATTTCCATCAGCCTCCAGAGAAATCCTATGCCTATTAATAGTCACTCTCCAGCCTCCACTCCCCTCAGCCTTGGGCAACCACTAATCTACTCTTGATCTCTATAGATTTGCCTGTTCTAGACATTTCATGTAAATGGAATCATACAACATATGGCCTTTTATGTATGACTTCTTTTATGTACCATAGTATTTTAAACATTCATCCATGTTGGTAACATGTACCAGAACTCCATTCCTTTTTATGACTGAGTGATATTCCATCATCTGGATATATCACATTTTGGATATCCATGTGTCAATTGATGGACATTTTTTTTCATTTATGGCTATAATGAATAATGCTGCTATGGCTATTCATGTACAACTTTTTATGAGGACATGTTTTTGATTCTCTTGGACACACACACACACAAACACACACACACACTCAGTAGCAGGACTGCTGGGTCAAAGTTAATTCTGTTTAAACTTTTGAGAAACCACAAACTGTTCTCCAAAGCAGCTGAACCATTTTACATTTTCACCAGTAATGTATGAGTTCCAATTTCTCCATATCCTTAGCACTTGTTATTATCTGTCTTTTTTTTTTTTTTAATTATAGCTATCCTAGTGGTTGTGAAGTGGTATTTCTTTGTGGTTTTGGTTTATATTTCCCTAATGACTGATGTTGAGTATTTTTTCATGGGGCAATTGACTATTTATATATCTTCTTGGGAGAGATGTCTATTCAAATCCTTTGCCTACTTTTAATCAGGTTATTTGTCTTTTTATTGTTGTAAGAATTATTTACATATTCCGTATACAAGTTCTCTCCCTTATCAGATATGATTTGCAGCAAGTATTTTCTCACATTCTATAAGTTATCTTTTCACTTTCTTGGTGGTGTCCTTTGGAGCACAAATGCTTTGAATTTCGATGAAGTCCAATTTATATTGTTATTGTTATTTGTACTTTTGATGTCATATCTAAGAAACCATTTCCTCATTCGGGGTCATAAAGATTTATGTCTATGCTTTCTTCTCAGAGTTTTATAGTTTTAGTTTTTCTATTTAGGTCTTTGATCCATTTTGAGTTAGTTTTGTGTATGGTATGGGGTAAGGGTCCAACTTCATTCTTTTGCATGTGGATATCCAGTTGTTCTAGCACCATTTATTGAAAACACCATTCTTTCCCCCACTGAATTTAGCATCCTCATCAGAAATCAATTGAATTGTTTCTGGCCTCCCACTATGATTCCATTGATCTATATATGTTTATGCCAGTACTGCATTATCTGGAACTACACCTTTGTAGTAAATTTTGAAATTAGAGAACGTTAAGTCTTCCTACTTTGTTGTTGGCTATTCTGAGTCCCCTGTAGTTCCATATGAATTTTAGGATCAGCCTGGAAATTCTACAAACAAGGCAGCTGTAATTTTGATAGGGATTGTATTGAATCAGTAGATAAACTTGGGAAGTATTGCCATCTTAATAGCATTAGATTTTTAAATCTGTAAACACTAGGTGTCTTTCCATTTATTTAGAACTTGTTTAATTTCTTTCAACAGTGTTTTGTAGTTTCCATTTTATAAGCTTCATATTTCTTTGCTTAAGTTTATTCTGAGATATGTTATTCTTTTTGTTGTGGTTGTAAATGGAATTTTAAAAATATCATTTTTGGGTTGCTATTTGCTAATGGTTAGAAAGATTGATTTTTGTTTATTGATCTTTTATCCTGAAACCTTATAATACTTGTTTATTAGCTGTAATAGTTTTTTTAGGTTCCTTAGAATTTTCCCTATATAAAATCATGGCAACTGTGAATAGTGATAGTTTTATTTTTTTATTTCCAATCTTTATGCCTTTTATTTCTTGTTCTTGCCTAATTCCCCTTGCTAGAATCTCTAGTACAATGTTAAATAGAAGTGGCAAGATTGAGTATCCTTGTCTTGTTTCTGATCTTATGGAGAAAGCTTTCAGTCTTTCACCATTAAGTACAATGTTAGCTGTGGGGCTTACTTCGGTGTCCTTATTAGGCTGAGAAGTCACCTTCTATTCCTGGTGTGTTGAGTGTTTTTATCATGAAAGGATGACGGATTTTGTCAAATGATTTGCTGCCTCTATTGAAATATGTGGTTTTTATCCTTGATTCTATCAATATGGGATACTACCTTAATTGACCTTCATAGATTGAACCAGCTTTGTATTCTGGTATAATTTCCACTTGGTAATGGTATATAATACTTTTCATATGTTGCTGGATTCAGTTTGCTAGTATTTCATTGGAAAATTTTGTGCCTATATTCAAAAGAGACATTAGTCTGAAGTTTTCTTGCATTGACTTTTTTCTGGTTTGGGTATCAGGATATTGGCCTCATAGAATGAATTGAATAAGTGTTCCTTACTCTTCTAGTTTTGGAAGAATTTCTGAAGGTTTGATGTTAATTCTTCTTTACATGTTAGGTACAATTCACTAGTGAAGCCATCTGGTTCTGGGCTTTTTTGTGTGTGGAAATTTTTTGATTACTAATACAATCCCTTGTTATAGTTCTATTCAGATTTTCTATGTGTTCTTGAATCAGTTTTAGTAGTTTTTGTCTGTCTAGAAATTTGTCCATTTGATCTAGGTTGTCTAATTTGTGGGAAAACAATTGTTCACAATATTCTCTTTAATACTTTTTGTTTCTATAAGGTTGGTAGTAGTCCTCTTATATTCCTGATTCTAGTTATTTGAATCTTACCTCATTTTTCTTGATCAGTCCAGCCAAAAGTTTGTCACTTTTGTGGATCTTTTCAAATAATCAACTCTGGTTTTGTTGACTTTTCTCCTGTGCTCTT
Source organism: Homo sapiens (assembly GCF_000001405.40). Classification (NCBI taxonomy): domain Eukaryota; kingdom Metazoa; phylum Chordata; class Mammalia; order Primates; family Hominidae; genus Homo; species Homo sapiens. The sequence continues at coordinate 94,181,816 of NC_000008.11, read as the reverse complement.
ATATTCTCCATTTCATTAATTTCCACTCTGATCTTTGTTATTTTCTTCTGCTTGCTTTGCTATTCTTCTTTTTCTTGTTTTTCTTTTCTTTTTTTTTTCTAAGTAGAAGATTAGGTTCTTTGGGATATTTCATCTTTGTAAAGTATGAACATTTACAGTGATAGATTTTCCTCTAAGTACTGCTTTATCTGCATCCCATAAGATTTGGCATGCTGTGTTTCATTTTCATTTACATCAAAGTATTTTCTAATTTCCCTTGATTTCTTCTTTGACCTTTGGTTTTTAGAGTATATTGTTATTTTACATATTAGTGATTTTCCCAAATTTCCTTATATTGTTTTTAATTGTATTCAATTGTCAAATACTTTGTATAACTTCAATCCCTTTAAATTTATTGAGACTCGCTTATGGTCTAACATATAACCTCTCCTGGAGAATGTTCCATGTGACTGGCTTTTGTTGGATGGAGTGTTGGGTGTTTGTTAGCTTCTAATTGGTTTATAGTATTGTTCAAGTCTTCTGTTTCCTTATTGATTTTCTATTCTATTATTTAAAGTAAAGTCTTGAAATCGTCAATTATTACTGTTGAATTATTTAATTTCCTTTCCATTCTGTCAGCTTTTCTTTCATGTGTTTTGAGGTCCATTGTTAGGTGCATATATGTTTATAATTGCTATGGTTTCTTGATGGATTGACCCTTATATCATTATAGAATATCCCATTTTGTCTCTGAAAATTTTGTTTTAAAGTCTGTTTTGTCTGATAGTAGTATAGGTTAATTTTATCCTCATTTTGAAGGATAGTTTTGTAGGATTTACAGTTCTTACTTGGCCACTCTTTTTCTTTCAGCACTTTGTTTTTTTTTTTTTTTTTGGTTTGTTTGTTTGTTTGTTTGCTTGTTTTTGTTCGAGACGGAGTCTCACTCTGGGAATCTCACTCTGTCCTCCAGGCTGGAATGCAGTGGCACAATCTCAGCTCACTGCAAGCTCCGCCTTCTGGGTTCACGCTATTCTCCTGCCTCAGCCTCCCAAGTAGCTGGGACTACAGATGCCCACCACCATGCCCGGCTAATTTTTTGTGTTTTTAGTAGAGATGGGGTTTCACCGTGTTAGCCAGGAAGGTCTCGATCTCCTAATCTCGTGACTGCCCACCTCAGCCTCCCAAAGTGCTGGGATTACAGGCATGAGCCACTGCACCCGGCCTCTTTTAGCACTTTGAATGTGTCATTCCACTGCCTTCTGATCTCCATGGAAAATTAGCTGTTAATTTTATTGAGGATCCTTTACATGTGATGAGTCTATGCACTTTTAAGATTCTCTATCTTTCAAATGTTTATGATGTGACTAAATTTGGATTTCTTTGAGTTTATTCTATTTGGAGTTCATAGTGATTGTTGGATATATAGATTCATGTTTTTCTTAAATTTGTGAAGTTTTGGGTCATTCTGTCTTCAAATAATCTTTTTTCCCCCTTTTTCCTTTCCTTCTGGAACTTTTATTATGTATGTGTTTTTCTGCTTGATGGTGTTTCACTGGTCTCTGGGAATCTATTCATTTTTGTTCATTTTTTTTCTTTCAGTAATCTCTATTAATCTATTTTCAAGTTCACAAATTCTTTCTTTTGCTAGCTCAAATCTGCTTTTGAACACCCTCTTATGAATTTTTCCTTTCAGTTATCATCCTTGTCAACTGTAGAATTTCTATTTTAAAAATTTCTATTTTTAATCAATATTCTATATCTGATGAGGCATTGTTTTCAAACTTTAATTCTTTAGAGATGATTTCCTTTAGTTTTTGAATCTATCTAAAATAGATTTTTAAAAATCTTTAGTAAATCCAACATCTGGGCTTCCTCAGGGACAGTTTCTATTGACTTTTTAATATTTTTGTACATTTCATAATTTGTTGAAAACCAAACATTTTAAATAATGTGATGTGGCAACTCTAGAAATCATATATCTTTCTTTTCCTGGAGTTGGTTGTTGATGCTGTTTGTTTGCTTAGTGACTTTCCATAATGAATTCTGTAAAGTCTGTATTCTTTGTCATGTCTGGCCACTGAAGTCTGCTCAGTCAGCTTAGTGTTCAGCTAATGACTAGATAGAGAGTTCCTTAAATGCCTTAAGCCAGTAAGTCTCCTGGTGTTTACCAAGGGGCACTGTGTGCATGTTGGGACACAACCTTCAACTATGTGGCAGGCAGTTTACAACTCTGCCTTCGCCTTCACTTTCTGCTTATGCAGAGCCTCCAAGTCAGCCAGAGGTGAGGGATTAGGGCCTTCTCAGGTCTTTCCCAGGCATGCACACAGCCCTGCTCATGATAGTGGCCTTGTAGATTGCCAGGAATATATTAGAGATTTTCAAAGCCCCTTATGGACATCTCATTTCCCAGCTTTCCCTTTTAAGTGTTTTGGTCAGCTGCTTCTTTGCTTCAACTGTTATCACAGCCTCAGGCAGCTGCAATGTTGAACAATTGCTAATGGTTGTTTTCAACAAATGCCCCAGGGGAAAAATTGTGTGTGGTGTATGAATTCTGAGTCCGGTCAAATGAAGATAAGTGTTGTAAGTAGATGTTCCCAGGGAAATGCCAACAGGATAGATAATGATAGTTCTCTGGTGATGGAGCTTTTGGGAAGCTACAAACGCTTCTCACCCTCTCCATGGTACTGTGGTGTGAGGCTGTTGCTTTCAAGGCTACTTCAGATCTTAGGAAAGGACCATGGGATTAGGGTGCATTAAAACACCACAAACCTTAGTTTTTTTTTTTTTTTTTAATAAACATTCCTTGGATTTTGCAAGCATCTGGTTAATTTCCCATATTCTTAAAAAGATGATATTTACAATTTTTGCCAGTGTTCTCATTGCTTTTATGGAGGAGCAGTTTTCTGTAGGCCCTTACTCCACCTTTCTCACTGATGTCCAGGTCTTTTTCTGAAAACACAAAATAGCAACATGTTCATTTATTATATAAACAATATAATATCAACAAGCAAACATGCACAAAAACTTTTTAACTTACAATCTTACCCATTTAACACATCAACTCTTCTTATATTTTAAATTCCATTTCTTACCTACTGACATGAATTCTTTTGGTACCATAACAGTCTAGATTTACTCTCAAATTTACTTCTGTTACTTTACATCATTGTTTCTTATGTTTCTTCATAATTTGTAGAATGAACATTTTAATGATTAATATTCTGTCAAGTTCATGTGCCATAATAATTTCACTGTCCTTTTTTTTTGACCATTTAGGAGTTTTCAATCTTACTGGTATTATAAATAAAGTTACTTTCACTATAAGCATGTACTTGTTTGAAGAAATATTTCCTTAGGGTAAATTATGTATAGTAATGTTTGCTATCAAAGGGTACAAACATTTTATGCCTCAAGTTATTTCCAAAAGGATTATAGGAATTTATATTTCCATCAACAATGTTTCTTTATATCCATACTAACTTTGATATTGCTTTTAATTTAATAAAAATATATAAAAGTATACTAAAACTTAAGGTTGAACAGCTTTTATGTTTTCTTAGTTTTATGTGAATTTTCTGTTGCTGTGGTCTTAAAAGTGATATAGCCATATCTATGAATATGGTGGTCGGTATTTTCTCCACTTCTGAAAAAGTAATAGATTATCATATAGCATTTGCATTAAGTTAAAGCCACTTATAAATTCTTTTCCTTAACATTAACGTGTCTATTAATCTTTGTCACAATTTTTAGAAGTGCTAAATGACATATTTTATCCTAGAGAGAAAGCTACCCTTTTAATGCTTCTTAGAAGCTAGTAATGTCATAGATTTCAGATATTACCAAAAAGTCTCTTTTAACCCCAGCTATAATTTAAAGCATCAATGACTTTTGTCAATGTATTGAATAATAGTATACAGTCTCTTGAGGAAAATGTATGTTAAATGTTACACAGTTATTGTGCAAACAAACTTTTAGAAGGTACCACTTTAAAAGTTGAGGATTTCTTATTTAGTAATTGAACCAATGAAAATTTTACCTGAAATTGGTGACTTTCTACAAATTCCACAACATTGTTTTTTCCCTTACAACTTAATCTGTTTTTTGCTTTTTCCCCAGTTTAAGGCCAATCCTCCTGCTGTGACTTTTGAACTAACTGGGGAGACAGACAACATATTTGTGATAGAACGGGAGGGACTTCTGTATTACAACAGAGCCTTGGACAGGGAAACAAGATCTACTCACAATCTCCAGGTAAATTGATACCAGCTGAAGGGATCTAACTCCAACCTCTCTGAGCACCCTTTGTTCTGGAAGTATGGCTGGCACCTTCCTTCCTTGCACAGAATCCAGTTACAGCTTTCCTTACATTAATGGGACGCTTTGCAATCCTCACATGTCCATTTCTTACCAACTACAGAGGGGTGTGGCAAACATATCCTTTTCCTTAGGCTTTTTAACCAACGTAACCCCACTTACATTGCCAGGACCCTCTGATGGCATTACTTATCCAAGTAAGACCATGCTTAGGTACTTGGATCAAAAGTCAGCACATCTCTGATACTTCAATGGTATCTGCCTGTGGCTGTTGCATTGGCTTGGGACCCATGAAGAAGGCTGTATCGGTGCTGGGATGGAGCTCCTTTGGGCGTTGGAAGAAGCAGAGGGAACCAGTAGCCAGGAGCTGACTAAAAAGACCCGTCTCCCTCTCTTTCTCCTTTAGTTTTCACCGTTGGTATCTGAATACCTAGGAAAGTCAGAGAGCCTACTATGGAAAAAAGAGTGAGATAAAAGCTTTCTGTCTGGTACTTCTGCTGCAGGCCTTGCAGGCTGACCGCCATAATGGCTCTGGAAGAGAACACAACACTTTCATATTCTCAGGGGTCACAGTGCTCTTGTTTCATGGACTTCAGCCATCCAGAACAGATGCATGTTCAGTGTCCAGAACACCCTGCTGATAGAAAGTCACCATCATGATTAGCCAGGCTTAACTGATACAATCCCTGTTTTAGCATTTCCCAATTTGGCCTTTTGTGAGTTCTTTCTCTCCTACAGTCACCAGGCCATTGGTTCTTTGAGTTCTAATTTCCTTCAAGTGATTTTTGGGCATGTGACATGAAGTTCAGTCTCACCAACATGGTTTCCTTTTCCTCAACATCAGGTTGCAGCCCTGGACGCTAATGGAATTATAGTGGAGGGTCCAGTCCCTATCACCATAAAAGTGAAGGACATCAACGACAATCGACCCACGTTTCTCCAGTCAAAGTACGAAGGCTCAGTAAGGCAGAACTCTCGCCCAGGTAACAGGCAGGGGCCAGAGATATTTATGGAAAGATGGAAGGGTGTCAGGTGGAAGGGGCAGACTTGTGTGGCTAATAGCTGCAGCTGTCACTCAATAAGCACTATCTTACCTACATTTCACACTGATTTGGGAGTTGTTTCACTATCTCTATTGCTCCAGAGCATGGTCTCTCAATGCAGCACTATGTATTGACATCTTGGGTCTGATAATTCTTTTTTTGGTCAGAGGCTATTCTGTGCCTTGTAGGATGATTGGCAGCATCCCCCTGACCTCTATCCACTATGTGCCCCCCTGCCAAGTTGTGGCAATAAAAATGTCTCCAGGCATTGCCAAATATCCTCTGGTGGGTGGAGGGCACAAAATCCCAGTACTTTGGGAGGCTGAGGTGGGAGGATCACTTCAGCCAGGAGTTTGAGAACAGCCTGGGAGTTTGAGACCAGCCTGGGCAACAAAGTGAGATCCTGTCTCTACAAAAAATAATAGTTTGCCAGGTGTGGTGGTGCATGCCTGTAGTCCTAGCTACTTGGGAGGCTGAGGTGGCACAATCACTTGGTCCCAGGAGATTGAGGCTGCAGTAAGTTGTGATCACACTATTGCACTCGGTCTGGGCAACAGAGTGAGATTCTGTCTCAAAAATTACCCCCAGTTGAAAAACGCTTTTCTAGGGTGATCTCTAAGATACCTCAGAGCTCTAGAACACTCTAGAAAGGTAAGCTTACTCCCCTGTATCTTCTTAGGAACCTCCATTGATATTGTCACTGGTGGTTTCCAGCTCTTTTCTTCTCTTACATCCCATCTGTGGCTCAGCCCTTCTCTATGCTGCATTGACCTTCTACCTTTCACTTCCACAAAAGCCCTTCATTAAGCCCTTCATTAAGGCCTTCATTAAGGCGTGAGTGTGTCCAGCAGGCACCTAGGAAGGAGCATCACCTCCTAACAGTTGCACACAACATAAATGAATATTAGACTTCAGAGTTCTTAGAAATATGGTTTATCTATTAACATTTACTGTATTAGAAATTTTAAAGATATTCATTTAAAATAATACTAATCAAGACTTGGGGCCATTTGCATCATCCCACCATCAAGCTTCTTCCTTCTCTTTCTTCAATGCCTGCCTCCGAGAATTCCAGGAAAAAATTCACTTCAGTTTATTATGTGGAGTGATGTCCCTGTCCCTGAAGCTGCATACCAAAGACTCACACAGACTCTGCTAAATGTGTAGGCTCCAGGCCGTACCTTTTCTCTCTTCACTAATAGAATCTGCTAGAGAAATGGCTCTCAAACTTTTTGGTTTCAGGACTTGTATATTCTCTTAAAATTTACTGAGGACTCCAGAGAACTTTTAGACAGGTGGGTTATATCCAGTGGTGTCCTGGTAAAGGCTTAACAGCTATTTTTCTAGGGGGACAAAGCTCTGATTTGTAGAATTTTCTAGTTTCCATGTTGCAAATACTCCTACCATGGCCTATTTCAAGTGACCATTGGTATTAATAATTGACACACAAAATTTCTGAAAATTCAACAACTGAGTCTCATGAGCTGTCTCTAGTACATCACTGGTTATATCTATCAACATTTACTATATTAGAAATTTTAAAAAATTATTAATTCATTAAAAATAACACTAATCAACATGTTTTAATGAAAAATAATTGATTTTAAAGACAAAAATAGTAAGAAAAATGGCATTGTGTTAATCTTTGCAAATCTCTTTAATGTCTGGATTAATAGAAAACGCTTGGATTCTCATGTCTGTTTCTACATTCATTCTCTTGCCATGTGCTAGTTTGGTTGAAATATATGAAGGAAAATTAGCCTCACACAGATATGCAGTTGGACAAGAGAGGAATATTTTAATAGTATTTTCAGATAACTGGACATTCTTTAGTACTATACCCAAACTCAATAAATTGTGGTTTCTTAAAGATTAGTTGCAAAGTGAAATCAAAATTAATACCATATTTTCCATTCTTTTACACTACAATTCATTAAATTATCTTGTACTTTAAATGGATCTTTTACAGAAACATGACCTTTAGCTTTACAGAGCACTTGAACAGTTTCAGGGACCCTTAGAGGTTCTTGGACCAGACCTTGAGAAACCTTATTTTAGGGAAGGGGGGAGTGGGATAAATATTTATTTCCCCACTGGTGTGAATTGTCATACCTTTCCCTATTATATCTCCACTTTTTAGATGGAAAAAGTAGCTATGGTTGGTTTGGGTTTCAATTAATATCTTTTTTTTTTTTTTTCTGGGTACGTCTTGTTAAACAGGAAAGCCCTTCTTGTATGTCAATGCCACAGACCTGGATGATCCGGCCACTCCCAATGGCCAGCTTTATTACCAGATTGTCATCCAGCTTCCCATGATCAACAATGTCATGTACTTTCAGATCAACAACAAAACGGGAGCCATCTCTCTTACCCGAGAGGGTAAGTTCAGGGGTGCCCTGGTAGGACTGTCTCGATCAGAAAAAGGGAGTTTGGTCTGTCTCTTCCAGAGACACTTCCTATTCCCTTCTCCCCTACTTCTCACAGGATCTCAGGAATTGAATCCTGCTAAGAATCCTTCCTATAATCTGGTGATCTCAGTGAAGGACATGGGAGGCCAGAGTGAGAATTCCTTCAGTGATACCACATCTGTGGATATCATAGTGACAGAGAATATTTGGAAAGCACCAAAACCTGTGGAGATGGTGGAAAACTCAACTGATCCTCACCCCATCAAAATCACTCAGGTAGTACCCAAGCCCAAGTAACACTGAGAGCCAACTAGATAAATGGCTTCACTTTGTAGAGACCCACCCTCACAGTCTTCACTGATACACTTATTAGATACCTTTTTCATAGCATGATTATAAAGCAAATTATATAGCCTCTGGCCCCGAGTCACTGGACTTGACCATGCATCATGGGCAGGCAACTTGGATGCAGATATTATGTTAGGCCGTTTTTGTATTGCTATAAAGAAATACCTGAGGTGGGGAATTTGTAAAGAAAAGTTTAATTGGTGCATCGTTTTGCAGGCTGTTCAAGCGTGGCTCCAGCATCTGCTTCTGTTGAGGGCCTTGGGAAAATTACGATCATGGCAGAAGGCAAAGGGGGAGCAGGAGCATCATATGACGACAATGGGAGCAAGAGAGTTAGGTGGGAGGTGCCACACACATTTAAGCACCAGGTCTCATGTGAACTCAGAGTGAGAACTCACTTACCACCAAGGGCGTGGTGCTCAGCCATTCACGAGGGATCTGCCCCCATGATCCCACCTCCCACTGGGCCTCACCTCCAATACTGAGGATTACGTTTCAACATGAGATTTGGAGGGGACAAACATCCAAACGACATCAGATATATACTTTTGCTTTCAGAGAGAACTTCACTCACCCTCACCTTAAAAGTAGACAGCAGTGATGTTTGTTGTTCCCTGTTAGCAGTGTGGGATATGGCAGCCCTGCAGTGGGTCATTTATGGTGCACTATGTATGGACATGGTTTGATTTGGGGGTTGCAAATAGATTTGAAAGGCTGCTGCTTCTTATTGTGGAAAAAATCTTGACCCAATAGACTTGCCCATCTTAGGCTGAGGGACGGAGATAGGACTGGCTAGGGGTAAAAGGATCATAGTAGGGAACCTTTCCCCTTGGAAACTCCCTCACCCCTGGCACTCTATCTCCTGTGTGTGCCTCTCCCCTCCGTTCAGATGCTCCTACTTCCCCACCTCTGTGGCATGTGCTCTTACCCTGGGCCCCCTCCTACCTTAGCTCCTAGAAATTCACTCTGGACTCCACCCAGATTTGATATTTTCTGGAAGCCCAGGAAATTCCTCCACATGAAAGCTGTGGGTTAGTGGGAGATCCCTGGATTTGGAAGCAGATGAACAAAATCATATTCCTGTTCCATCACTTGAATGACTGATCATAAACAAGTCATTTAACTATTCTGAGCCCCAATGTCTCATCAATAAAATAGGGATAATACTTCAGTGTTTTGTGAAGATTAACTGAGACAGTATCTGTAAAAGTAGATAAAAATATTAGATATAAAAGGTATTATTATGAAGAAGTACTAGTCTGTAGTTCCCCTAATTTTTTTTTAATGCTACTATTGTTAAGGGGCCCTGGAATGGCCTATTCCATCATATTTATTGGGATGGGCCCAGGGACATTTATTTATTGAATGTTGAATTAATGAACTTCAACTTCAGGAGGGAAAAAAAAGGAAGAACAGCAGGAAGAATTCTGATTTCCCAGTTAGAAAGAAAGCATGTCAGCACTCATTACCATGAGAATTTCTGATTGGGGGCCTAGACTAAAGTCTTCATAGCTATTATTCAGGTTACTCCCAAAGGGATTGGTAAATGCTGCAAAGAACTCATGCTTAGTTGCCTTGGGGCTGCCAAGGGAAAATTCTAGAGTGCCTACCCAATTTTCAGGTCTGGAAAAAATGCTCTGGGTGTTCTGAAACCCAAAAGGAGAGAGGGAGAAAGAGAGAGGGGGAGAGGGGGAAGGAGGAGCGGGAGAAGGGGAGGGAGGAGGGGGAGGAGGGGGAGGGGGGAGGGGGGAGGGGGAGATGGGAAGAGGAACTCAGACTGAATTTTTAGAACACAAGAGGAGCCCACTTTAGAACCAAGAAGGTAGTCTGCAGGGACAATGGGTGATGCTTAAATAATTAGCAAGGGACAAAGTTGCTGCTGTGATATCTTCCCAGGCTGCTCTGAGAATAGTTTACTGTGGAAATTTCAACTAGCAGTAGGACCTTGGGCAAGTCGCTTAAATTTTTTGTGCCCTAGTTTCTTCATTATAAAATAGAGATAACAGTAGTCTGTACGTCAGAGGACTGTTTGGAGATTAAATGAGATATAACACATAAATATGTTTAGAATTGTGTCTGGCATGTGGCAAACTCAGTAAACATTATTAATATATCAGACCAGGCTCTGTCTATATAGCAAGTAGACTGGTCTTACTTGTGTTTATTTTTTATTTTTGCCAGGTTGTTTACAAACAACCCTAGGAGTTGGCAGTTATTCTCATCCCTGAAGTCTCTGAGGCTAAATATTTAGGAAAGGAATGTCCTTATTTTTGTATCATTTGTCTTACTTAATGGCATGGAGAAGACTTCAGAGTGGCCCCTATTGCCCCTGTTCATCTTCATTGGTGAGTATTAGATGCTCACCATACATTGTGGCTTAGTCCTCAGACACTGCCAGCCACAAAGTACATTTTGTTTCTTAAATGGATGGTTCGTGGATAGAAAGCTTTCACAGTCAGACTTCCAAAAGAAAGCAGCCCAGAAACCCTGTAGAGGGTTTGTGAAGAATTGCTTTAGAGAAGAAACATTTCCTGGTGTGCTTTTTTCGAGCAATATAACTTGGTGGGGGGAAACAGGCTTATTTTAGGTTAAAAGTGAAAAACGTAATTCAGTTGTTACAAGAAACCACAAACATACAAGGTTGTCAGAGATTTCAAATTGAGAACTAGAAAATTATTTCCTTTCCAGTTCTCTCAGTCCAAATACAGCTTTCCTCACAACTGACTTTGGGCCCTGTAGGTGCGGTGGAATGATCCCGGTGCACAATATTCCTTAGTTGACAAAGAGAAGCTGCCAAGATTCCCATTTTCAATTGACCAGGAAGGAGATATTTACGTGACTCAGCCCTTGGACCGAGAAGAAAAGGATGCAGTGAGTAAAAGAGAAGAGTTTCACAGGCGACAAGACAAAGTCCTATGCCCATCTACAGTTGAGAGCAAAATGGATTTTACTTTAAAGAAAAAAAAAACACACATTTCAGACTCCAGCATATTATTGGTTTTCAAAGACATGATAATTTTCACATAATTCTGACCCATCTCAGTTTTTAAAATTTTCCAATTCTAAGTGAATTAAAAATAAGGGAGTAAATGACATAGAAATGAAACAACGATTTTCTCTGCTTTTGACAGAGGGTGGTGGGTGAGTCTTGCCTTAACTCTGACTTTCCTGTTGTAGTATGTTTTTTATGCAGTTGCAAAGGATGAGTACGGAAAACCACTTTCATATCCGCTGGAAATTCATGTAAAAGTTAAAGATATTAATGATAATCCACCTACATGTCCGTCACCAGTAACCGTATTTGAGGTCCAGGAGAATGAACGACTGGGTAAGAAATGAGAGCTGCCTAATGCTGTGTAACTGCCCTCCATTTCTCTCCTCTGCTGGGTAAAAGGTGAGCAGGAGACCTTACTGGGAGTCAGTAATCCATGTCTTCCACAGCATAGAGGTTGACTGTACCTTGGGAGTCACGTAAGGACCGTATTTGGGATCAAACAGTATCTGGATAGTATTCTTAAATTGGGGCTTTTATAGCTACCATTACCGCTACTACCATTATCACTATCATTATCAACCTTACTACTATCATTAGTATCACAGCCACCTACACTAGTATCTTATATACATGTATATAGGGATATCTCATTTGCAGGATTTCCCCATACGTTATTTGACTTCTAATAATCTCATTAAAGAGATAATCTCATCACATTTGCCAAAGAATTTAAACATTTACACCCAAAGTCAGACAGACACCCTGCAATAAGTAAGCAACACCAATGGAAGTTGACTTTTGACCCTTGGGCCCCCCTTTCCAAGAAGCTGATAATATAATTCAAGAGGCTGCTAGATGAAGTCAAATCCCATCTATTTTTATCATTTTTGCTTTGTCTTGCTATGTTTTCTTTTACTGTGTCCTGTGATAGCTTTTTAGTTTTTGTATAGGAACAACTACTATAAGAACATTATAATTTCTGGGAGTTTTATGGCTTCTCTGGGTTTGGGACAATGCTTGTCTGTTTCCCCCTTGGCAGTGAGCCCCTTGACTGAGCAGACTGGCATTTCTTGAACTGTTTTGTTCTGTTGTGCTGTGTACCTTTCAGAGGCTTCCAAGTGTAGCAGCCTCACGACTATCATTTCTAGAGCTTCACTGCCCTTGTGGAGAGATCCTCCTGTGCTTTGTGGATGGGCTCACATTTTCTTTTCGTCCCTCCATTCCTCACCAGACACACCTCTGACAGAGTGGGTGCCTTCCCGGAGGCTTGGTGGGCGCTGCTGGAGCGGCTTGCTCACACTGCTCATTATTTTTCTTCTTGCTATCAGGTGTCGTGTGGGCTGCCTTTTGTCAGTGTGTTCTGTGTCACTGTGTTCTGTGCAGGTCCTCTCTGTTTCATTTTTCTCAACTCTTGCCACAACAGGAAGAGTTAATGCCAGCTTGAAGGACTTCAGTTCGTTATAAGGAAGAATCTTCTCACAGTCACAGTAGTGTAACAGTAGCCAACAAACACGTGTGCCATCACCTTCTTGGGAAATCTGGGATGGTCTGTGACACTGAATAAAGGTGGAAAATCTTTGACAACTTTCTTGACCCGGACATGACACTTCAAGCCTCTTTTACATTGGGCCAATCATATAGTCTATTTGTTACCTATTTCTGCAAAACAGATTGCTCTAAATCTTGGCAGCTTGAAACAACAAGCATGTATCATGTCACAGTTTCTGTGAGTCTGGAATCTGGGTGAAGTTCAGCTGGATACCTCTAATTCAGAGAGTTCTGAGAGAGAGGGAAAGAGTACGGCAGAGCAGGAAAGGACAGGCATCAGTCTTTCTATGACCTAATCTTGGAAGCGATCCCATCACTTTTGCCATTAGAAACAAGTTGCTAGGTCCAGCCTGCACTCAACAGGATGGGGTTCTGAAAAAGCACAAATATCAGGAGATGGGGGTTGCTGGAAGCTCTTTTCGAGGCGCCTACCTCATCTGGGAAGAGGATAGTGCTGGTTTTCTGAGACTGAAGAAGTCATTGTTGGTAGAATAAATTTTGAAGGGGCTCAGCTTGCTATTTGCCTCTCTAAAGGTGAGAATTTATTTTGTAAAAATATTTCAGAGTCTTTAGTGGACCAAGAATTCTTATAAATCAACTGAGCATATTCTATATATGTAAGCTTAAAAGGGTACAAGACAATGCTCCTGCCTTGTGGGGACTTACTGTCTAGCTTAGCTGATAGGACATGAGTAGGTGGAAATATTCACAAATAAAACCTTGATAAAATACTGAATTAGGCCAGGTGCAGTGGCTCATGCCTGTAATCCCACCCAGCACTTTGGGAGGCCAAGATGAGCAGATCACTTGAGGCCAGGAGTTCGAGACCAGCCTGGCCAACATGGCGAAACCCTGTCTCTACTAAAAAAAAAAAAAAAAACTGCAAAAATTACCCAGGTGTGGTGGTGCATGCCTGTAATCTCACCTACTTGAGAGGCTTGTAGAGATTGCAGTGAGCTGAGATCATGACACTGTGCTCCAGCCCAGACAACAGAGTGAGACTCCATCTCACACACACACACAAATATATATATATATATATATATATATATATATATATATATATATATATATATATATATATTCCCCAGTGTATTTACATTCTCCTGTTTGGTATCTTGTGGAACTCGTGTCCCCAAGTCTTAGCAACACTAACATTTATTCTTGAATCCCACTTGCCACCAAGTCTTATGTATTCATACAGAAAATTTAGACTCTCATAAAAACCCCACCTCCCTAAATATTTCTGCATATTTCTAAGAGATGCTACGTATACTCCTGTATCAGTTTGAGCTCCACTTGTTCCAGGCCTCAGTCACTCAGAGACATGGTTTTCCTTTCACTTCCGACTGATCCACAAGGTCCTCTGCTCCCAGCGAGGGGTGTCCTCTGATGCCAGCAGTCCTCATGGTGCCTCTGGCAGCATGGAGGTTTCCTGTGAGTGAGAGGAGGACAGTGTCCTCAGTTTCTTGCTCACTTGCTGAGGGGATAGGGCTATAGCAGGGCTGCTGAGACACCAAAGGACCACAGAATTTAGTAAGACACTCTTTCATCCCAGCACACAGATACTTTTCTTGCAAGGGCATATGCATGCCATATGCACTAGAAACATATTCTCTTCTGTCCTATTCATTCCGATGGTCCCTGCATGCAGCCCATGAGGCACATCTGCATGTGTCCAGCTCTACTGTAGACATACATAGGTACTTTCTTTTTCCTCCCCCAACCCAAAACCAAAAAACCTCTAAATTTCCATATGCGTCAGTGGATGCAAACTGTGTCAGCTGATGGGGGAGGGGGTGTAACTCCACAAATGGGATGAATTCAAGTTTGAGCTCCTACGTGGGATTCTTGCTACATATAAAGAGACCTACAATTCCCACCTCCCAGAGTAGGATGGTCTGGAACCTGTCAGAACTTGCCCAGAGCTGGGTGCAGAACCGAGTCATAGCCACTGGTTTGTAGAACTCCCTGGACTGAAACCCTCACAGGAATAAAATACTTAGGACCACAAACTACAGCAAGGTGGAGAGGATCCTGCCTGGTCCCTGCCCTGTGTTATCTTTGGAGTAGAGTCAGTTTCTGCAATTGTTCCATGAAGTTGCTTAGATGCAATCTAGGGTTGGCTTCTCTTTGTTTAGTGATACCATTTGCCATGTGTATTAGCGTCCTAGGGCTACAGCAACAAATCACCACCAATTTGGTGACTTAAAACAACAGAAATCTTTTCTCTCCTAGACCTGGAGGCTGGAAGTCTGAAATCAAGGTGCTTGCAGGGCAGCGTTCCCTCCAGAGTCTCAAGGGGAGAATCTTTCCTTGCCTCTTCCGGCTTCTGTTGGCATCTGGTGTTCCCTGGCTACTTGTGGCAGCCTATCTCCAACTTCTGGCTTCCTCCTCCAGATCATTTCCTCCTCTGTGTGCATCTCTGTGTTTCCCTTCTTATAGGGGCACCTGTCACTGAATTTAGGGCTGCCTCTAAATCCAGGATGATTTCATCTCCAGAGCCTTAACTAGTGACATCTGTGAAGGTCTTATTTGCAAATGAGTCCCATGCTCAGGTTCTGGTAGACATGAAGTTTTGGGAGGGAGTACTAGGTGTTATGGGCTGAATGTGTCCCCGTGCCCCCCAAATTATATGTTGAGGTTGTAACCCTCTGTTCTAGGCTACATCTTCCCCCTCCCCCAGATTCATAGGGTGAAGTTCTAACCCCTAGTACCTCGGAATGTGACTATATTTGGAGATAAGGTTTTAAAAGAGGTAATGAAAGTAAAATGTCCTTACAGTGGGCCCTAATCCAGTATGACTGGTATCCTTATAAGAGGAAATGTGGACATAGGGAGGTTCAGAAGGAAGGTGCTGTGAAGGCACCGGAAGGAAAAGACAGCCACTCACAAGCCCAGGAGAAGCCTCGGAAGAAACCAACCCCAGCAACACCTTGATTGCAGACTTCTGGCCTCCAGAACTGTGAAAAAATAAGTCTCTGTTGTTTAATCCATGATACTTAATGACAGCCCTGGCTGACAAATACACTATTCAACCCATTACATGATAGGATGAGAAGAACCAAAATAACTCTAAGAGCATTTGTCTGCTATTCAAAGTTATTCATGGTGTTTTCTAGGAATGTGCTTATTTTAGTGAAACTATTTTAATAGATTATGTGGAGCCTGTAATGGTGGGTTTTCCTTCTTTCCTTCCTCATAGGTAACAGTATCGGGACCCTTACTGCACATGACAGGGATGAAGAAAATACTGCCAACAGTTTTCTAAACTACAGGATTGTGGAGCAAACTCCCAAACTTCCCATGGATGGACTCTTCCTAATCCAAACCTATGCTGGAATGTTACAGTTAGCTAAACAGTCCTTGAAGAAGCAAGATACTCCTCAGTACAACTTAACGATAGAGGTGTCTGACAAAGGTTAGTATCATATCCACCGTCTTGAGTGCAAATCATTGTTTTCCTTCTAGCTATGAGTTATTTTCCTGCGCTAATGTCTGGTATGTTATAGAATGATGCCATTTAAACATTCTTTGCTTCCTTTGTGAAACACACATAACACAGAGATAGCTGGTTGAACACTGTAAAGGCCGGAGCTGCAGCTCAGGCACCATTGTTGTGTTGGTCTGGGTCCTATGGGAAGCAGATGCCAAAAGGAGATTAAATGTACGAGGATTTTATTGGGGGGAGCCCGTGAGAAAAAATTGCGGAAGGGCACAAAGAAGGCTGGGAGAGTCATCAGACCTAAATACAAGCCTGATGCCTGACGCTGGGTGAAGGGGAGATGGAGAAGGAAGGCTGGTGGGAATGTCCTAGACTAGGACAGTCTGAGGAAAGCTTGGCACAGCTGTCGGGGAGTCTAAAGGGGGCTGTCAGAGGAATTCATTGTCTTTGAAAATGAGCTTTACAATTGCTGCTTTTCTCAGTCACTGGCTGTGTACAGTCCAGGGGAGTTGAGGTCTCAGTGTGAATGTGGTAATAGATTCCAGAGCACAGCAGTGGAGCTGTTGTCAATTAACAACCCTGTTGTTGGAGGTCTGCCAGGCACATTCTGCAGAACATAATCACAAACAGGAAAATGAATTGTATTTCCCAATTCTTGCTTTCAGACTGAAAGGACTCTACTGTAGGAAAGTGGAGGAGAAGAGCATCTTTCGGAAAGTTCTATCTTACCCTAACAGCTTCTAGTTGGCCGTTTGACAGTATCAGGAGACATTCTTCCCCATACTCCTTATACAATTGCAGAGCAAGTGGTTCTTAATCTCTATTGGGTCACAGGAACCTTTGAGAATCTGATAAAAACTATGCATTCTTAATCAACTGCACACATTGTTAAACAAATGTGCACAGACACACAAAATACCTGGATTCAAAGACAGACTCATTTCAAGGGCACTCAGACTCCTAGAAGGTCCTTTGAGTTAATGCGTACTAATCTTCGATTACCATATAATTCAGTAATTGTTCTGCTGGCAGGCACGGATGACACAGGTATGGAGAACAAACAAGAAACGTTTCACACTGTGCTTCATGTTTCTGTCCTTTACAGGGATATTGAGATACTAGGCAGAAGCCAGGTTTAGTAGGGCCCTAATGCGGAATGTTTGAAACCCAGTAATTTGACAAATATTAAGGCCCTAATATTTGTCTAGCATTATTGTAAGAGATAGAACAGATGTAAGTATAATAAACCTTCCCTATTCATGACGAGCTAACAATTTCACACTATCAACAGTCCATTCTTTCAGCAGTTATTCTGCATTTACCTATTTGAGGCACCATGCAAGGTACTGGGGAGACATAGATGATTCTGTCCTCAAGGAGCACTCATTCTGGTAGAAGAGACGGACATGTGAGTCAGTAAATTGCAAGGAACTGCCCAAGGTAGCCCATGAAGGAAATAAGTGACTCAGTGGAGGGAGAGAACAGGTACTGCTTTCTGGAAGAGGTATTTCTGAGCTGGGCTTTGAAGGATGAATATGACAAGTTACAAAATCATGTAGGACTTATGGGAGAGTGGGAATCCATGTGGAAATACATGAGGACCTGGAGCAATTTGAAGATAGAGTTTAAAGTGGGAATCAGATTACAAATTGTTTATTTGCATGAGTACGTCTATAGAAAATATGGACCAGATTATAAAATATATTAAAATACATGTGTGTGTTGATATAACTAAACATTCAACTGTGCACTACAGAAAACTAGAGACTAGGCTATAATTAACACAGTTTTACATAAAACCAGGGAAGGCCTTTTACCCAGAAAGGCCCACTGCTGGTCAAACGAGGTGTGTGCAGAGCAGTGAGCCAGTGGGTTCTGGGTCTGGGACCACTCCAGTCTTCAGCCATTCTTGTTGTCTACAAACGTTCTGAGGACCAGCCTTAACTTCAATCAATATCCACTTGGTTGTAATTGGATTGTTAATAGATTCTGTCCCTGGGATCATGTCCAGTGCATTGAGCACCAGCTCTAGAGTTAAACTACCTGGGAATATTAGTCAGGATCCCAGCAGGAAGTGGAGACTCCCCTCAAAGAGTTGAAAGAAGGGATTGTTTGCAAAGGTTGTGGGCAGGGTTAAGGGAAACCAACAGGAGGTGTGAAGCACAGTAAGCAGCATTTTCTGCCCTAAAACCTGAAGGAGCCAGGGAGGGGAGCATCCCCCAAAGGAGCAAGGCCTGTGCCTGTCACTAGAAGAGGGCTGTTGGCAACGGGGGCGTGACACCCCCAGCTACACTCTTCCTGTCCTCCCTCCAGTCTCTTGCCACGCCTCTCAGTGGCAGAACCCAACTGTTACCCTCAGGGTGAGGATGTACATTGATGCAGTTCATAAGGTCAGCCCCTTGGGCTACAGAGCACAGACAGAGGAATGGATGGTGGCTGCAGAGGGCAAAGGGAACCTCTGGGTTTGAATCCTGGCTCCATCACTAGTTAGTTGTGTGACCCTGGTTAGGTTACCTGAACTTCTCTATTCCCTGGCTTCCTCATCTGTTAATTAAATGGGAATGACAGTAGCACCTACAACATGAAGTTATCATGAAGATGAATGAGTAACTCGGGTAAACAATACAGTTGCTGCTATATAGAGGCCGCTAACAACTGTATTATGATGAAAACATCTGTTCTGTTATTCACAGTTTACAGATAAATTGAGTGAGGCACCCAAGCTCTCACATACATGCTAAGTGGCAGAGCCAGAGTCCAAACAGTGAATTCCAAGCCCAGAGTCTTAACCATTATACAGTGCAGTGCACCATGGTTAGAACAACAGCAACCCAACAAAGAACCTGTCATTTTATCTCTTGTTCTCTCTCCCCCAGGCATCCTGTCCCCACCTGCACTCCACACACATCTGGAATCTAGCTGAAGTGGCTGTGTGCCTAGGTCTTGGAATTGTGAAACCCATCCCTGAAAGCCTGGGTGATTTCTCCAGGGTTCCAGGAGCTACCTCTGTCCCCACCTTGCTTCCTGCAGGCTGGGTAGCCAGACTCTTGTGAACAGGCCAATGGTGGTAGTTCCTCCCTTATTTAGATAGAAGAGAGCAGGCCCTTGGACCTCACCATCATAGTAGTCAGAGCAGATGTAGGTTGGATGTGTTCAGAGAAGGAGAGACAGCCACTGGGATGCTCACAGAAGGCTTTCTGGAAGGACAGTTTTGCTCTGGACTTTGAAGATTACATAAGTTTCACTAGTCAGAAAAAGACTGCTTCACAAAAGGAAGCCATCCTGCTCAGGAACAAACCTTACCTAACTTTACTTAGGAGGACAGCAGGTGGACGGCAATGAAAAACCTAGAAAAATCTCTCTTAGATCTGTCTTTAGCCACCCTGCCCCACACTTGGTGACCACTTGGGTACAGGTGGGAAACAGAGAGCCCACTCTCTGCACAAATTGCATGTCAATTGCAAAATTGTGGCTATGGCTGTCACTTCACTTGCCAAGTATTTTCTTGCAGATTTCTGATATTAATGCATGGTTTTCAGTGAAAATTTCTATGACATATGACTTTGGTTTTCAGATTTCAAGACCCTTTGTTTTGTGCAAATCAACGTTATTGATATCAATGATCAGATCCCCATCTTTGAAAAATCAGATGTGAGTAGTTGTCATTATTTGTTTTTTCTTTACTTTATTCATTTTACTTCACCCTTTCTTCTGGGATAGAGACACAGACAGTAGCTAGGAAAAGTGCCAGACTTAACAGGTAACCTTGGTCAGTGCACAAATAACCCAGATGCCATCTTCAGTGGAACTTTTTGGGGAACAATAACATTTACTATTACAGGTGTCTGGGAACATTCATTTATAAACTCCTGCCAATAGCTCATTTATTCCAAGGGCTGCTTAAAAACAACAACCACAATCTTTGTCAAATTGAAAAAAGGTGAATGGCGGCTTACAGTTTGTCATTATATATTTTTTTGTGTTAGGACAATAAATAGATTTACTGCTAGGTCTCAAGCATTTTTAGCCAAAAATTTAATATTTGGAATATTGGCGATTTAATTTGTAATAATTGGGTAAGAGAAAGGGAGAAGAAAAAAATTAATCTCTGACTTAAGCCAAAGAAAAATGTGCCCAAGACATTTGAGAGAATTAGAACTGGACAGAAAGAAAAAAGTCAATTTAGAACCTCAAGAAAAATGCAAATTACTGTTTTCTTGTCATCGATAGGGCGTTCAGACTTGGTGATGACTTTATCATTGTTTCCCTAAGGAGGGAAGTCTCTATTTTGAAGGAGCAAGAAGCCTATTTGACTAGACTGTTATGTTATTTTTGAAGTCAGTTATGAGGCAGCCCAGAGCCCTGTGATGATGTTCATAAATCAAAATAGGGACAAGCCTGCAACAAAGAAGGGAATTGATTTATGAGGGGGCTAGGGGTGGGAAGAGGTGTGAGTGGATATGTCTTGTATAACAGGCACTGAGGTTCAGCAGGCATCAAATAACCCATTTCTTCTCAGCCTCCATTCTCTTGGGCTTTTGATCCTTTCCTAACTTTGTGACCTCCTCGCCTTTTATCGAGACAGTGTTTTTTAGATTGAGGGTAAGAATCCTGCACTTGAGGTCTCAGAGCTTAAATACTAATCTGGCTACAGAGAGTGAACCTGCTTGTTTCAATGCTGTGGTCCTCTCTTCTGAGACCTACTTATAACCTTCTTTAGGATCATGATGCCAAGAGAGATAATCTGGGGGATTTTCAGTGGAGTGGGAGATGGTCTAGGCCAGTGTTCAAGAGCATAGGCTTTGGAGTTGCACAAACATGGCTTTGAATCCCAATCCCTTTGACCCACTAGCTGTGTGACCCTTGGTGGGTTTTACTTCTCCAAGCCTTTGCTCCTCGTAAGTGGAGATGGTAACATAACTACTCCGTAAGGTGTTTTGTTGATTTTCTTTATTGAGCACTTACTATGTGCCAAGAATTTAGGAGCTTTACATGCATTGTCTCCCTTAACACCCACAGCAAACATGAAGTAGGTTCTATTACTATTGTCTCCATTGGACAGATGATGAAACTGACACTTAAAGAAGTGAAGTAACTTGCTTCAAGCCACTCAACTAATAAGAAGCAAGCCTACAATTCATATTCAGGCTGTTTAACTCCAAAGTTCAAGCTTTTAATCAACCTCTATTCATTGGTTGATTTAAGAATTAATTAAATAATGTATATAAAGTGCCTACCACCTGATAGATACTCAATACATGGTGGCTATTTATATCATTACTACTACAATAATTAAGTTATTAAACAAATTGGATATGGGAGGGGGAATTTGTTTTAGAATCCTACCAGTAGCTCTCTGAGGTATTGCGTTCTTTGGTACAATGGATATCAGCTCATGAGTATGACTGATGTTAAAATCAACTGCAATATATTCATCAATAGGAAAAAACATGCCCCATGAAGATTGATGCAAACTATGACTTGTGTCTATTCTGAAACCAGAGAGATAAGTTTGTCCTTTGGCTTTGATGACAGCAGACCTTCTCATTGTTTCCTTCTCCATTTTCTCCTTAGTATGGAAACCTGACTCTTGCTGAAGACACAAACATTGGGTCCACCATCTTAACCATCCAGGCCACTGATGCTGATGAGCCATTTACTGGGAGTTCTAAAATTCTGTATCATATCATAAAGGGAGACAGTGAGGGACGCCTGGGGGTTGACACAGATCCCCATACCAACACCGGATATGTCATAATTAAAAAGGTAAATAGCCCATTTATTTAATAGAATTTGTCTTTGTTTGTGGGTTAATTTACTAATGACAGTGTGAAGACCTATAAGCAGAGGTGATGTATTAGCAGCCATCTCTCAGGCATGGTGATGGGTTCCTGGATTCCTGGATTCCTCTTAGTCGTTCCTGTCTTCCTGACAGACGGGAAGTCAGGATTCTAGACCTGGCTCTGTTGCTAGCTAGCCAAGTAACTTTTGCAGGGAGGTAACGTCATATAAAATATATAAAATGCAGGATGAACAATTTTTTAGTATAAGTGTGTTCTATGCAATATTTGGGATGCACTTATACTAAAAACTTGTTTGTCATTTATCTGAACTTCAAATCGAACTTGGTGTTCTATGTTTTTATTTGCTATTTGCTAAATCTCGCAACACTCTTACGGTCTGGGAGTGGCACTCAGGGTCTCGCTTTCACTTCCCCCTTTGCAAATGTGAGGAGTTGGGTTGGATGACCCCATGGGCCTTTTAGGCTGTAAACCCTTTATTCTAATGTGCCAGGCAGAGATACCTTTTGAATAATGCAACTGCTGGGTCTCCTTCCAAGGTTTAATAGACAAGTGTCTTTTTAATCCCCCTCTCCGCTGCTTTACTTTCACCTTTTACTGTATTGCTAAGCCCACGGGCTCTCATTCTGTCTCTCCCTCTGTAAGGACTGGATAATCTGGAGTCAAAGTCTTAATTACCTTGGTTCCTGTCTCTTTGTACAGGATTCTCCCAACCCTCCCTCAATCTACTCCTGTCCCCTGCCATGTATACCTGAATCTTGACTCTTTTCTCTGTGGCTGCCTCATCTGTGTTTAGAGCATGTCATGGGTTTACCAGATGACTCAATTGGAAGCAGCACTCAATGCCGTCCAATGTACTTACAGTTAAGATACTTTCCTAGGAAAGAGAGTGAAACCTCGCTGTTAAAAAGGGCCAGAGAGAATCTGCAAGGGTGGCTAATTGTTTAAGGTTTGCAGTGCAGTGTGCTGGAAGCTGCAAAGGAAAGCTCTGGAGTACAGTTTTGAGCCAGAATAAAAGAAAACTGAAAGAGGCTAAAAATGAAGACAAAATAGAATAATTTCACAGAAAATGGACAGAAGCACAGAGAAAAAAGCACTAGTGCTGAAGCAAGCCCTAGGACAGAGCCTTGGAATTGTGATCCTACTGTTACCAAACATTCCAGCTTGAACCAAGGGCCCTGCTGCATTTCAGCAGAGAGGTTGCTGTGGACCAGCTCAAAGCCTTAGCCTTGTGTGTGAGTCTGACATTTGGAAAAGGTACCATGACAACCTCCCCTTGTGCTCACAGCAGTCTGCATGGAGAGAGAATACCACAGAAAGAAAGGATAAAGGAAAGGGCAGTTTTCAGAGCTTGCAGTGGGTTGGTGTGTTCCTTTGCAGGTGACGGGGGCAGCTTCCTTTTATCCTTTTGCAGGACCAGAGCTCTCTAGGAATCTAAGGGAAGATAGAGGCCCATCCATCCCAGTATGAACAAGGCCCGTATGTCATATTTTTTTGAACAGCAGTTTAACTTGGCCATTTGTGGTTAATGGGCCCTTTTAGGGAGATGTTGGCACCTATCTCAATGATTAGCTGTGGGTGAGAGCTGTAAGTATCCTCCCTCACAACTTGACACGAGAGGTATGCTACAGTAGAGTAGGCCTCTGACCAAACTCTTTGTCACATCCTTACTTTATATGTGGTTCTATTTCAAGTGTCTATTATGTCTCCTGGCATATATTAGAGGTTCAATAAATATTGCTTGACTTAATGAATAAATGAATTCTGTCCCATATACAATTATGAACAAGCAGACACATAAGTGATCATCGAACCTGTGCTTTAGGCCTGTGACATCCCAGCTCTCTGTCCCTTGGGCACTGTGATAACTGTCCTTGAGCAAGTGGATTTGTTCAACCATCCAGAGGCAGGTGATAACTGGCAGAACAGAACTGAGCCCTGGAACTCTGCAGGGTACAATCTGCTGGCCAGGCCAGATATCTATACTCCTGTTCACAATGACTAAGGGATACACTATACTCGTAACCAAACAGCACATCTTTTTTTGAGACAGATGCAGTGCCGCAGTCATAGCTCATTGCAGCCTCAACCTCTTGGGCTAGAGCAATCCTCCCACCTCAGCCTCCTAAGTAGCTGGGACCACAGGTGTGTGCCACCACACCCAGCTAATTTTTTATTTTTGTAGAGATGGGGGTCTCCTTATGTTGCCCAGGCTGGTCTTGAACTCCTGGGCTCAAGTGATCCACCTGCCTCAGCCTCCCAAATTGCTGGGATCACAGGTGTTTGAGCCACTGTGCATGGCCCAAAGTGCATATCTTGGACACCACTCATATCACCAAGAAAATTTATTTGTAAGATCACTTTGCTAATTAACAAACTTTCTAGTTCTAATTGAGATAGTGTTGGCTGAAGGACTATCATAGCTACCTCTGGGATATAGATCTCGGATTAGGTTCTTTCAGATGCTAAGCAACAACCAACCCTGGGCTGTGGATTCTTGATTAGGACACACCAAATGTTAGCCAATTCCCCACTAGGATATAGAATAAAAATATAACAAATGTATGTAGCCATACTATTTGTTATTGAAGTGTTTTATAGACTATATAATTTGGTTTTTTATGTATGGCTTTGTCTTCTAAGTCCTTGCCTATTAAGCCATCAAGGGACTACCACTGTTCTGAACCACTGTGTTAATAATTTTTAAAAGTTTAAGTTTGTTAATCACAATTATATCATTAACAGTTCATCTGAATTACAAATGTGCTAATCACAGGTAAAATTCACTGAGGGACTCATACGTGGCAACTATAGTTTGTTTGCATAAACTCTCTTGCTTCTCCCACTGATTCTGAGGGAGGCAGAAATTCAGGCCCACAGCAAGGTACAGTCAGGCCTTCTGGTGATGGCAGAGCCGGGAACTTGACTCCAGGCCTCCACCTCCTCTCAGGAAATAATTTCTGTGAGTCCTGGTGTTGCCACTTACTAGCTTGTGGCCTTGACCAAATGATGTAACCTCTCAGGCCCCAGTTTTCCAATCTGTAAAAATGGGTAAAATGGTAGCACCTTTCTAGTAAGGATGTTGAAGAATTAAATGCAAAAGTATGTGTATAGTTCCTAACACAGCATCCAGCAGCTTGCAGACTTAAACACGTGGCATCACTTGATTCTAATTAATTAGAGCTAGGATTCTACCTGCGGACAGGTATGCTTTCCCCTGTTGCCTAAGGGGGCCAAACTTGCCTAATTCAAGAGTCAGATGGTGCATACTGAGGACTGCGGCCTCAGCCTCTCAAGGGGAAAGCCTGGAAATGAGTAATTTTGGCAAGTGCCCAAAGCAATCCTTCAGATTAAACAACTGTCAGAAATGCTCCCTGCTCTGTATTTACTTCTGCCCAAGCTCCAGCCTCTCGTGTGCTTGGTTATCATGCTCTTGGGGCCAAACGTGTGTCATGAGCAGGAAAGCTATTTCTTTGAGCCCTGCCTGGCTCAACAATAACTCTCCTGAGATCCTGTTTCTTGAAATTCAGGGTTCTGCCTTATTTTAACTTGCAAATTTTGTCACTTCTCTACTATGGCTGATCCTTTTGAATTCTCAGTTCACTAGCTATTTTTAACCAGACCAAATGTCATCTGGAAAACTAATGTGCACACTTTGATATCATCAGTGATCGCTAGTGAAAATTGTAAATATCCCAGTCTCAACCCCTCTCCTTCAGCATTTTCTTTGCCTCCAGGTTGAATCTAAATCTCTAGGTTTGACCTTTCAGGCGGTTTTGTGCACAAAAGGAATCGTGGTATGAGCAGGTTTTTTCAGTTAACTTGAATATGTCTTGCCAGATGGGACTGAGGCCATTCCAAGAGGCAGTGACGGGTCTCTTGACTTGGCCTCACAGTCATATCCCCAGGTCATGAAACACAATGCACGTGGCCGGACAAGGCTTGTTCTTGGCTCAGCTCTGCTTATTACCATGTGCTAATTTAGCATCTTCCGTTTATAATGATTTCTCCAGAAGATTTGGTTTGATGTTTTTCCAGGTGTGGAAGTTATGCGGATAGAATCCTCAATGGCAGGCTGCTGCTTTTCATTTGTTCTTCCATCCAGTGTTTAGGGAACACTGACACTGCCTTCTAGCTAGTCTTCCCGCCCCAGTGTGGATCACCTCGAATCCATCCCCCATGTAGCTGCTCCTGGAGTTATCTTTCTAAGACACACATCTGACCTTGTTAGTCAAGGATGAAGTTCCAACTCCTCAGCTCGCCGTACAGTCTTGTCTTTCCACTGTCAGCCTTGCACGTTCTCTTCTGGTAATACAGGCTGCTTCTCATTTGCACACACAGTGTCTCATTTCTTTAAACCATTGCCTCTGGGGCCACAGTGATGGGATGAGGAAAAGCCAGGGAGGGTGCTTAGGACCTGCTTGGTGGTGAGGATGGATGCATGTGCTCTGTCTGAGCATATGGACAACTGTGCTGCCTGCCTGGGCCCGGACTTTGCTGGACTGGATAGGAACAGAGAGCTGTGTCCTTTGTCCCCATCACAGGCTCATTCTGGGGGCTGCTGCCTTCCTGCTTGGTCTACTAGGCTTTTATCTCAACTGGACAGTTCTGTCATCCCCTGAGACTGGGAGTGGGTCCTGTGAGTGAGAAACTCCAGCTTGTTCTCCCCACCTCTACTTCAGGGGGAGAAGCCCTAATTGAACCGTGGACCACGTGACGTGTATTGGACCACGTCACGAGGTCGACGAGGGCCAGGCCCTGCAGACAGTGGGTGCTTATCACTATGAACAACCTCTTTTTTCACACTTAGCTGGCTTACATGATTTTATCTCTTATATATTTGAACAAATTTCAATTGATTCTTCTTTCTCAACCCCGAGTCTTCACACACAGTTCCCACCCTTCTACGTGAAAAATTGTCCCACAGCACTTATGAACTAGAGAGTGAGTCATGATGGTGTGTGTTGGTGCATGCATGCGGGAAAGGGGATTCTGGAAGGTGGGGATGTTCTCCAGAATCTCCTCTCCATGGAGGCCCTCAAGGACCAGGCCTTCCTGGTCTTTGTAGTTCCTGACCAGCCCACTGTGGGCACTATGTGTCAGGGAAGAGATGAGAAGCAAAGATGAATATGATGCAGTTCTTCTTCTCATGGAGCTTAGGGTCAGTGAAGATCTAAAATACATCAACACTTAGATCTATTAGGTGCTATGAGACTGCACAGGATGTGCAGCTTGTCAGTTTGAGGATGGAATGTAGGGATCAGGAAGCCGACACGGAGAAGACAGCAGTAAGCCCACTCCTGAAGAGGGGGAGTACTCTTGGGTAGCCCTGTTAAATTCTGCCTCATATTAAACCAAAATTGGTTTCTTGATGTTCATTCCTGGTTCCATCTGGCATGTCCTCAGCAGATCATCTGTCATCTCTGTTTCCCTTTCCCATCCTCCATGAGTTTAAAATCTTTGATTTGGGGGCTTGAGTTTTGAGGCCCTTGGAAAATCATTTCCCATAAAAAATGGAAATCTCTATGTAAGCATTTCTCAAGCTGTCACCTGAGAATGTCTTGGGAGAATCAATACATTTCTGTTGAATAAATGAAGTGTCCCACAGTTAAATAAATTTGAGGACTTCCGTGTTCCAGTTCCTCTTCTAAGACATATTAGCGTAGTGCAAGCTCTGGTAAGACCTGCAGAAAAGACTCTTTCATGGCTCTGTAATCATTCTGAGAAGGTTTTTGCTGACACTCGATTGAGAACCACTGCTATGAAAGTTTGTCTTGTTTATAATTGACAAAAATTGTATAGGAGGACAACATGTTTTGAAATATACATACATTGTAGAATGACTAATTAGAGCTAACTAGCATCTGAATTACCTCACTTATCATTTTTTGTGATGAAAACACTTAAGATCTACTCTTCTGTGATTTTAAAGTATACACTATATTGTTGTTAACTATAGTACCACGTTGTAAAATAGATATTTTAAACTCATTCCTTCTAACTGAAATTTTGCATGCTTTTACCAGCACCTCCCCAATCTCCTCATGCCCCAGCTCCTGGTAACCAACATTCTACTCTCCAAGTTCAACACCTTTAGATTCCACATACAAGTGAGAACATGTGGTATTTGTCTTTTCATGCCTGGCTTATTTCACTTACCGTAATATCTTCTAGGTTCATCCGTGTTATCACAAATGATGGAACTTCCTTCCTTTTTAAAGCTGAACAGTATTTCATTGTGTGTGTGTATATATATATGTGTGTGCGTGTGTATGTATGTGTATGTATGCATATATATACTGCATTTTGTTTATCCAGTTGTTTGTTGTTCGACACTTAGGCTGATTCCATGTCTTGGCTATTGTGAATGATGCTGCAGGGAACATAGGAGTGCAGATATCTCTTTGACATACTGACTTTATATACCCAGTAGTGGGATTTCTGGATCGTATGGTAGTTCTATTTTTAATTGTTTGAGTTTCCTCCATACTGTTTTCCACAATGGCTATTGTAATTTACATTCTTACCAACAGTGTACAGGGTTCCCTTTTCTCCACATCCTCACCAATGTTTGTTTTTTGTCTTTTTGATAAGTCATTCTAACAGGTGTGAGGTAATATCTCATTGGGGTTTTAATTTGCATTTCTCTGATGATTAGTAATGAGCATTTTTTTCCATATACTTGTTGGCTATTTGTATGTCTTCTTTTGAGAAATGACTATTCAGGTCCTTTGCCTAGGTTTTAAACAGGTTGTTTTCTTGCTACTGAGTTGTTTGAGTTCCTTATAAATTTTTTATATTAATCCTTTTTCTAATGTGTATTTGCAAATATTTTCTCCTGATCTGTAAGTTGCTGCTTCACTGTTTCCTTTGCTATGTAGAAGCTTCTTAGTTTGATGCAATCCCATTTGTCTATTTTTGCTTTTGTAGTCTGTGTTTTTGGGGTCACACCTAAAAGATCATTGCTAGGCTGGGCATAGTGGCTCACGCCTATAATCCCAGCATTTTGGGAGGCTGAGGTGGGTGGGTCACTTGAGGTCAGGAATTTGAGACCAGCCTGGCCAACATGGCAAAACCCCCTTCTCTACTAAAAATAAAAGGGTGAGTTTCCTCTATCTCGTGAGATGGTTTGCCCTTCTGTCATAGGATAACACAGCACAAAGTCCTCAACAGATGCTGGTGCCATGTTCTTAGGCTTTCCAGCCTCTAGAACTGAGAGTCAGATAAACTTCTATTCCAGCCAGGCATGGTGGCTCATACCTGTAATCCCAGCCCTTTGGGAGGCCAAGGTGGGCAGATCACTTGAGGTAAGGAATTTGTGACCAGCCTGGCCAACATGGTGAAACCCTGTCTCTATTAAAAATACAAAAATTAGCTGGGTGTGGTGGTGGGTGCCTATAATCCCAGCCACTTGGGAGACTGAGGCAGGAGAATCACTTGAACAAACCTGGGAGGCGGAGCTTGCAGTGAGCCAAGATTGCGCCACTGCACTCAAGGCTCAAGGCTGGGTGACAGAGCATGAGGCTCCATCTCAAAAATAAAAAATAATAAAAAAAGATCATTGCCAAGACCAATGTCAGAGTTTTCTTCTATGTTTTATTCTAGTGGTGTTATAGTTTCAGGTCTTATATTTTGTCTGTAATCTATTTTTAACGGATTTTCATATATGGTATGAAATAGTCTAATTTCATTCTCCCACATGTGGATATCCAGTTTTTCCAATATTATATATCGAATATATGAGAGTTTAAGAAGGATAGGGAATGAATCTTTTAAGGGAGCTAATCACCCCAAAATTAATTTTCTCTCTTTCTCCTACACAGCCTCTTGATTTTGAAACAGCAGCTGTTTCCAACATTGTGTTCAAAGCAGAAAATCCTGAGCCTCTAGTGTTTGGTGTGAAGTACAATGCAAGTTCTTTTGCCAAGTTCACGCTTATTGTGACAGATGTGAATGAAGCACCTCAATTTTCCCAACACGTATTCCAAGCGAAAGTCAGTGAGGATGTAGCTATAGGCACTAAAGTGGGCAATGTGACTGCCAAGGATCCAGAAGGTCTGGACATAAGGTAAAGGGCAACAGTGCTGGGCAGGCCTGGCTGCGTGGTCACCAAAGCCAATGGGGAGGAGGAGGAGCTGGCCTGCACTGACTCCAGGGCTGACCCTCACAGCATACCCAGCAATGATGAAATTGGCTTTGGTTTAGGAAGCTGTCAACACCCTGGGGGCATTCCAAGGGATGGTGGTTCATCAATAACCATCTAGGCTCAGACAAGTGGGAAGCAGCATGAGGTTCCATTCCAGCCCATGAGCTTCAGGTCCCAGCTGAGAGCTGGATGGTTCAGGAAGTGAGGTTCACCTCTGAGAGACTAGAATAACCAGGCCCTGTGTCTAAGCCTGTTATCTAGGCTAGGGTTTAGGAAAGGGTTCCAGCCCTAAAGGTGTATTGGAGTTCTAGACAGAGACCAAAGCCCAATTGGACAGACCATGCCAACTTACAGGGCTGAGGGAATCTTCTGGATGTAGGATACATAGGTTCCTTGGCTCCAAAGAGCTGATCTAGGGCACCCCTGGAGAAGCTGGTGCTCTGGCTGAGGTGGCTAAACAAAATGTGTAAATATTTCCATCTTAGCAATTCCTTTTTTTCAGTTCAGTAAGACCCACACAGATTTGCCTTAAAAAGTACAATGATGATTAACTTAAGAAATATATGTTTGTATATATCTGTATAATATCTATAAAATCTTTAAGATCATGTAGTTAAGACTTGAACTCAGATCTTTCGCTGCTGTTGTACATTACACCTCCTGTCTATGGCATAGGAAATATTTCAGCATGACTTAAATCACGCGTGTGGCTATGAATGGCAGACAATTCCTTAAGTTTCTCTAAACATCTGGAGGGAGTCTTGCCTCCCATTGAGCTGTCCTTCAGGCACTTGGATTCACTTCTAAGACCTTTATCTGATCATTGAGAAGCAAAGTTACCACCTGCAGTTTTACTCTAACTACTTCTGTAGTTTTACAGAGAAGAAAGAACAGTAGGGGATATACTGTATGGTTTAGTGTAGATACTACTGGGTCAAAAATTATGAGAAGACACAAAATGTTTTTAATCTTTATACCATTTATTTAACAAAAGTTCCTATCTTCTTCATGAAAATGCTATAAAAACCATTGGTCAAAGACGTGAATAAAAAGTTTATCAGTGGGAAAAATAAAGGCATGTAAGAAAATTACTGTGATGAAACAAGGAAAGGATACATATACCATTAAGTTGAGGTCAGGAAGAGGAGGTTAGCAAGGGAGACTGAGAAGAGGTGTTCTGTAAGGTACAATTCCAGAAGACAAATGAAGAAAGTGTTTCAGGAGTAAGGAATAATCAATAGTTCAGACATGAGTAATAAGTCTGTTAAGAATTAAGGATGACTCCAGTGTTGGTCTGAGTAATTTAATTCTCCAGCTCCACAAACTTAAAATCTGTTAGCACCCAATGGATTTGAATCCAATCCTTCAGCAAATATTATAGATTCTTTTATTGAAATATATTCAGAATCCACCTGCTTCTCCCTGCTTCCAGCCTGCTCCAAGGCACCACCATGTCTGTTCTGGATTCGTCCTTGCCCCTGCCGTCCCCCACCCCACTCTGAATCTACTCACTGAATTGCAGTCAGTGACCTTTTAAAAAAGTCAATCAGATCATCTGACTCCTCTTTCAAAACCCTCCAAAGCATTCCATCTCTTTCAGGATGAAATCCCAAGTATAAAGGGTTTCATACTCATTACCCATGTATATAACCTAACACAGTGTTTGGCATATGGAATATACTAAAAAAATACATTGTGGGAAATTAACACATCATACTTTTTTAATGATTCTCTTGTCCTTTGATATGTAGGTTGCTTCCAGTATTTTTTATTATAGAAAATGTTTTAAATAGATGTATGCATGTAATTCTTTTTAAACTTTGATTAAATTGGGTTTTTTTAGGTAGCATTTCCAGGAGTGAAATTATTTGGTCTAAAGATATGGACATCCTCATGACTATGATGTGTTGCTTTTTAAAGGACTACCATTGGTTTTCCTGTGGTTCTAGTCTTGTCTGTCTCAACTTCATCTTCCAAACACCTACCAATGAGCTCCGTTGAAAGCACAAATATGGCCAGGTCACCTTCTTGCTTAAATCATTGGCTGGCTGCCCATTGCTTCTTGTGATCTGGCTCTTCAAATCTCTGTGGCTTCACCTTTTGCCACCTTCTGCTTCCCAAGTATACCCCAGCACTGCTGAAATGCCTGACCCCACACTCACCATGCTGTTCCTTGGCCCTTGGTGCTTTATCTCACACTCTTCCTTCTACTTGAAGCGTCTTCTTCTTGCCTTAAACATCTACTACTTCAGAAAGACTTTGCTGATTCCTGTAAACTTCTCTTGGATTCCATAGGGCCCCCTCTGTTGTGTTTACCACATTTTATTGGAATCAACTGTTTATCTGTCTATCTCACTTGCCTAAGAACACCTTTTTGTGATCTCTTCCCTTGGCCCACTGCCTGATCTTCCTCAGCACTCAATAGATGTTTGTTGGATGAGGAATTCACTGTGTTACCAGGGTCTATGAGTATCCACCCATCTCGCCCAACGTTTCCACCACTGGGTGTTCAAATTTTCTAGGTGGGTGGTTTGCTAAGAGGTTTTAAAAGATACTTCCAGGTTACTTTAATTTGAGTTTTTGATTGCCAGAAAAGTTTAACTACTTTCCCCAGAAGTTGTGAACTATACCCTTCCTAATACAAGCACAAACACCACATTGTAAGGATGAACAAATCCTTTTGAAGACAGATGAAATGCAAATAAAGCATTAATAATATGAGATAATAGATCCTTTAAATATGTTTTAAATAATATACAAGTAATGCTGATAATGATAATCTCAGCATTATCATTTGTATATTATTTACAACATATTTCAAGGATGCACAAACATATTTAGTTGACGCACAAACTAGCTTCACATTTTCATGCAAAGTAATGCAGGCTTTCTTTTGCTCTTTTCATTTGATGAAGCTATTCACTGAGGGGAGACACAAGAGGTTGGCTTAAAATTGACCACGTGACTGGTGAGATCTTTAGTGTGGCTCCATTGGACAGAGAAGCCGGAAGTCCATATCGGGTACAAGTGGTGGCCACAGAAGTAGGTAAGCAAAAAAAAAAAAAAAACAAAAAAAAAGGAACACAGATTATCAGAAGATACATGGGTTGAAATGGGAGGGAGGATAAGAAAACTGACAGGGCCAAAACACCAGAATATCACAACCTTAAAGTGGAAGGATGAGAAGGGTACAAAATATAAGGGAGTGCTCATATCTTCCTTTTTTTTTTTTTTTTTTTTTTTTTTTTGAGATGGAGTCTTGCTCTGTTGCCCAGGCTGGAGTGCAGTGGTGCGATCTCCACTCACTGCAACCTCCACCTCCTGGGTTCAAGCAATTCTCCTACCTCAGCCTTCCGAGTAGCTGGGATTACAGGCACCCACCACCATGCCTGGCTAATTTTTGTATTTTTAGTAGAGACAGGGTTTCACCATGTTGGCCAGCCTGGTCTCAAACTTCCGACCTCAGGTGATCTGCCTGCCTCCACCTCCCAAAGTGCTGGGATTACAGGTGTGAGCCACCACGCCCAGCCCCTTTGTGGTTTTGTTAAAGGTGAAAAACACCTGTGCCCCCAGCAGGGCTGCTGCTCACTCTGTGGTTTCCTGTAGGGGCTATGGCCTCTTCTAGAGAGTTCTGTGTCCCTGGCTGAACTACCTCCCTTCTTCCAATGTGGTTGTGGGTTTCCCCCAGGAGCTCTGAGTGGAATCAAACCACTGACCTGTTCACGTAGACCACCACTTGCTCCTTCAGCCTTAAATTGTAACTCTCATCCTTTTTGAAGCAGAAAATGTTTTATGAAATGTTCTCTACTTTGATGTGTGTGAGAATCCCCGGGGAGCTTGTTGAATAACACTAGGAGTCCACCCCTGGAGTTTCTGATTCCATAGGTTTGGGTGAACAAGGGGTATCTGTGTTTTGACGAAATCAGGTGAACTTTTGAAAGGAAAGACAGAAAAGCCCAGGATGTTTGAGCCATTCCTGTGTAATCTTTGTATCTTATTTATTTTAGTTGTGCTGATATATATTGCCTGCTGGCTCCAACTGTGGAGTTCCAGAGAACTTTTTTAAAATAAAAATAAACACATAGGAATAGTATGTTTACCCAATAATAAGCCTGGCAACTAAAAAAGAGTTTCTTTGCATTTTCATGGAATTTTCAGACATACAAGTAGGAAATCTGTTGATCCAATGTTGACCAGTCTCTAATTAGCTAGTAAATGTATCTGGCAGGTTTACCAAAAAAGAGAATTAAACAAATTACTCAATAAATATGTTTTTAGACTCCCCCACCACAGCCCCGGAAAAAAACTTTCAAAATGTGAGGGCCAGGGTTGAGAGCTGAATTGGAGAAGAGAGACAGGAATCATAAAAACGGCCCCTGCATGTGGAAAGATTAAGAAAAACAAAATTACTTCAGTCAAGTCAAACCAAAAAGGGTAGAATGCAGAACGGTGTGCCAGCTTGGGAGGGGTGTGTGTGAATGGACAGGCCCTCTGCTTCTGTCTCTTGCTTGAGTGCAGCACATTCCACTATCACATTGTATACATTTAACTCTTGATTTAAAACCTCCCAGTGAAGCAGCAGGCAGGTTCTGGCTGAGCCTTTATGCTGTGCACACCCCTTTCTCATACCATGGGGATCAGAACTTCACTCTGGATGTGTCCCAAGAGTTTCTCACATTCTAGAAGTTTCAGAAATCAAAACCAGGGTCCAAAACCCTGTTCTGTTTTTAGTTTCTGGCACTGACATGATATAAATAGATACAATAACTTCGAGAACACAGTGGCCTTTTCTTCTTTGGTTAAGTATAGCCATGGACATAGACGATGTTGAGAAGAAAATCAAGAAAACAGGGTTTACTAGAAATGAGCAAGAAAACATTACTGGAATCAAACAAGGTCAGAGTCAGAAGTTGTAGAAACAATGTCTGTGATTGGTGTTGAGGAGGACATGATAACAGTCAGTGTTTATGTTGCACTGACAGCCCCATACTGAGCACTTAGTGTAATAACTTACTCCTCATACAACACTATAACGTAGGTGCTATTATTGACCACATACTGTGAACAAGGAAACCAAAGCACTGAGAAATTAAGTAACTTGCCCAAGATTACATAGCTACCAACCAGTTATGCTGCAGATCCAAGTTTTTTACTCCTATCATATAGTAAATAATGTCTGTGGAGCCTTTTACTATTTTCCAGAACATTCACTCATATGTGGGATTCTTGCAAAGCCACACAGCTGAAGAAAATAAGCTTAGAAAACTCTACTAACATGCCTAAGGCCTGCTAAAGAGCAAGTGAAGGTGTGAGTGCTAGAGTTAGACCTCTTGGATTGAAAACCTCTCTGCCTTGGGCAAGTTACACAACTTCTGAGCTCAGTTTTCACAATTATTTTGAAGTAATATATGTAAAATATTAGCACATATCTCTTAGTTATTATTATGATGGTCAGTAAGACTTTTTCACCAGTAATGAAACTAGGTCTTTGATTCTAAAAGCTTGTCGTCTTTCTAGCATCTCAGTGTACCTAACTCCTTGAATTTTAAAGAAAGGGAAATCTTTCTTATTAAGAGGAAAATGAGTGAACTGATCCCATGTTTCAATCATTCAATTCCTTAGGGGGGTCTTCCTTGAGCTCTGTGTCAGAGTTCCACCTGATCCTTATGGATGTGAATGACAACCCTCCCAGGCTAGCCAAGGACTACACGGGCTTGTTCTTCTGCCATCCCCTCAGTGCACCTGGAAGTCTCATTTTCGAGGCTACTGATGATGATCAGCACTTATTTCGGGGTCCCCATTTTACATTTTCCCTCGGCAGTGGAAGCTTACAAAACGACTGGGAAGTTTCCAAAATCAATGGTGAGTTGTCAGAAATACATGGAAAAAAACATAGATGGATGATGAAAGTAGGTTTTATTTAACTTGGTGGGTTTGCTGTACTCAGCAAAGAGCTTTCTTTCATGCTTCAGGAAGGAAGTTCATGCTTTGGAAGCTTGTACAGGGAAGGACTCCAGAGGGGAAAAAGCCCCAGGATTTCAAGGGAGGAAAGATTATGACCACACAGCATTCTCTTGGTGTAGATGAACAGTTGGATGACCTAAGCATCATTTGCAAAATTTTCAATGACAGATGGAAAGCAGATTTTATAGAAATTTTTTAAAACTTTGAGATAGATATATATATTCAAAGTATACAATTTTATGAGAATTGATTACATGTAAATACCACTGAAGCCATCAGCACAATCAAGACAATGAACATTTCCACCACCTCCAGAAGATATTTCATGCCCTATTATAATCTCTGCTTCCCACCCATCCCCTCTCCCCAGGCAACCATTGAAGTGCTTTCCATTACTATAGTTTTCATTTTCAATAATTTCATCTAAATAGAATAGTATAGTATGTATATTTTTTTTGGTCTGGCTTCTTTCATCTCAGTATTTTGAGATGTATCGGTGTTGTTACATGCATCAGTACTTCATTCCTGATTATTGAGGGGTAGTATTCCATTGAATGACTATACCTGTTCACCTGTTGATTGTAACTCCAACTTTTGCTATTACAAAGCTGCTGTGAGGATTTGTGAACAAATATTTTGTAGGGACAAAGATTTGCAGTTTTCTTGGTTAAATACTGAGGAGTGGAATGGCTGGGTCATATGGGAGTTATATGATTCAGTTGTTAAGGAAAGGTTGAACTACTTTCCAAATTGTTCTTAACATTTTACATTCCCACCAGTGTGTGAGAGGTCCAGTTGCTCAGCATTCTCCCAGCACTTGCTGTGCTCAGCCTCTTTAATTTTAGCCATTCCAGTGGGAGTGGAGTAGTATCTCATAATGGTTTTATTTGTATTTCTCTAATGACTAGCGGTGTTGAGCATCTTTTCATATGCAATTTGCCATCCATCTTCACTGGTGAAGTGTCTTGTTAGATATTCATTTTTTAAAAATTAGGCTGTTTGGATTCTATTGCTGAGTTGCAAGCATTTTTAATATACATAGATGATGTGCTTTGTTAGATATATATCTT
This sequence comes from Homo sapiens, assembly GCF_000001405.40. NCBI lineage: Eukaryota > Metazoa > Chordata > Mammalia > Primates > Hominidae > Homo > Homo sapiens. Next base: position 94,144,755 of record NC_000008.11, on the reverse strand, counting down.
TTGTAAATATTTTCTCCCAGGCCATGGCTTGTCTTTTCATTTTGCAAGTCTTTTAAAGAGCAAATTTAAAAATTTTGGTATCTATTTTTTTCATGTTTTATTCATGATTTGTATGTTGTGATGCTTAAATTTTTGCCAAACTTAGGGTCCCTAAAGTTTTCTGTTTTTTTCATTTCCCAAATTTTATAGTTTTAGCTTTTGCATTTAGCTCTATGCCTTTTTAAGGTAATTTTTGTATAGGCATACCTCATCTTATTGCACTTTGCTTTATCGTGCCCAATGGATCTTCCATTTTTTTATAAAATGAAGGTTTGTGGCAACAAAGTCTCTTGGTGCCATTTTTCCAACAGCATGTGCTCACTTTGTATGTCTGTCACATTTAGGTAATTCTTAAACTTTTTCATTATTATATCTGTTATGCTGATCAGTGATCTTTGATGTTATTATTATAATTATTTTGGGACACCCGGAGCCATACTCACATAAGACGACAAACTTAATCTGTCAGTGCGACGTCGACGTACGTTCTGACGCTCCACAGACTGGCTGTTTCCCCATGTCTCTCTCTCTCCTTGGGCCTCCCTATTGCCTGAGACACAATATTGAAATTAGGCCAATTAATAACCTTAAAATGGCATGTAAGTGTTCAGGTGAAAGGAAGAGTCACACATCTCTCACTTTAAATCAAAAGTTAGACGTGATTTAGCTTAGTGAGGATGTTATGTTGATAGCCAAGATTGGCCAAAAACTAGGCCTCTTGCATGAAATGCTTAGCCAAGTTGTGAAGGCAAAAGTTATTGAGGGAAATTAAAAGTGAACCTACAGTGAACACAAATAATAAAAAAGCAAAATAGCCTTATTGCCATTAAGGGAGAAAGTTTGAGTGGTCTGGATAGAAGATTAAAACAGCAACAATAGTCCTTTAAACCAAAATCTAACCTAGAACAAGGCCTTAACTCTTCAATTCTGTAAAGGCTGACAGAGGTGAGGAAACTGCAGAATAAGTTTGAAGCTAGCAGAGGTTGATTTATGATGTTTAAGGAAAGAAGCTATTTCCATAACAAAGTGCAAAGTGATGCAGCAAATTGATGCAGAAGCAAGTAATCCAGAAGATCTGAGATCCTTAATGAAAGTGGCTACACTAAACAAACTTTTCAATGTAGATGAAACAGCCTTCTTTTGGGAGACAATGCCATCTTAGACATCCATAGCTAGAGAAGTAAATGCCTGGCTTCAAAGCCTCAAAGGACAGGCTGGCTCTTGTTAGGGCTAATGCAGCTGGTGACTTTAAGTTAAAGCCAACCCTAATTTAGCATTCCTAAAATACTAGGGTCCTTAAGAATTATGCTAAATCTACTTTGTCTGTGCTCTGTCAATGGAACAACAAAGCCCAGATGACAGCACATCTGTTTACAGCATAGTTTACTGAATACTTTAAGGCCACTGTTGAGACCTACTGTCCCCCAAAAAAGATTCCTCTCAACATATTACTGCTCATTGACAATGCACCTGGTTACTCAAGAGCTCTGGTGGAGATGTACAAGGAAATGAATGTTGTTTTCATGCCTGCTAACACAGCATCCATTCTGCAGGCCCCAGATCAAGGAGTAATTCTGACTTTCAAATTATTTAAGATATACATTTCATCAGGTTATAGCTGCTATTAGATAGTAATTCCTCTGATGGATCTGGGCAAAGTAAATTGAAAACCTTCTGGAAATGATTCACCAGTTTAGATATCATCAAGAACATTTGTGATTCATGGGAGGAGGTTGAAATATACACATTAGTAGGAGTTTGGAAGAAATTGATTCCAACCCTCATGGATGACTTTGAGGGGTTCAAGACTTCAGTGGAGGAATCACTGAAAACGTGGTGAAAATAACAATAGAGCTCGAATTAGAAGTGGAGCCTTGATGATGTAACTGAATTGCTGCACTCTCATGATCAAACTGGAATGAATGAGAGTTGCTTCTTACAACTGAACAATGTGTTTTGTTTGTTTGTTTGTTTTTGAACAATGGAATCTGCTTCTGGTGAAGATGCCATGAACATTGTTGAAATAACAAGCAAGGATTTAGAATATTCCATAAACATAGTTGATAAAACAGTGGCAGTGTTTGAGAAGACTTACTCCAATTTTTGAGAGATGTTGTCTTGTGGGTAAAATGCCATCAACCAGCATCACATGCTATACAGAGGGCTCTCTCATGAAAGGAAGAGTCAATAAGTGCAACAAACTTCATTGTTGTCTTATTTTCAGAAATTGCCACAGCCATCCCAGCCTTCAGCAACCACCAACATTGAGACAGGAAATGATTTGCAGCAAAAAGATTATGACTCATTGAAGGGTCAGATAATCATTAGCATTTTTTGGCAACAAAGTACTTTTAAATTAAGGTATGGACATTTAGGGGTTTTTTATTTTTAGGTATAATGCTATTAACAGTCTAGAGTATAGTATAAGCTGTTATTTCAGTAGAAAAACAAAAAATCTGTGTGACTTGCTTCACTGAGCTATTTGCTTTATTGCAGTGGTCTGGAACCAAACCCATATCGCTGAGATATGCTTGCATAGGGGGTGTGGTAAAGACCAAAGTTTATTGTTTTTAACATAGCTATCTAACTGTTCTAACACCATTTGTTTAAAACATCCTTTTTTTACATTGAATTATCTTAACAACTTTGGCAAAAATCAAGTGACCACCTATACATAAATCTATTTCTGAATTTTTCTGTTTCATCAATCTGTTTCTATTTTTATACCAATAACACATTGTCTTGATTGCTGTAGCTGTATAAGGCTTGAAATCAGGTAGATTAATTTTTCCGACTTTGTTCTTTTTCAAAATTCCTTCATTCTATGTCTTTTTCATTTCTGTATAAATTTTAGAATGTAGCCTGTTCCTTTCTACCAAAAAAATCCTGTTGAGATTGTATTGAATCTACTGGGGAATCTGGAGGAGAATTGATATATTAAGTCTTCCAATTCATGAACATGGTATATGTCTCCATTTATTTAGCTCTTTAATTTCGTTCAGCAATGTGTTTTAGTTTTCAGTGTATAGTTCTTACAAAATTTTCCCTAAGCATTTCATATTTTTGATATTTTAAATATTTCAATTTCTAAATATTTCTAGATATAGGAATATAATGATTTCTGTATACTGATCTGTATTCTAGAGGCTTGCTGACCTTATTTAGATTTCATAGATTTTCTACATAGACAATCATGTTGTCTGTGAATAATGACTTCTTCCTTTTCAGTCTGTATGCCTTTTGTTTATTACTGGCTGAAACCTTCAGTGAAATGTCAAATAGAGGTAGTAAGAGCAGAAATACTTGACTTGTTCATGATCTTAGGAAGAAAGCATTTAGCCTTTCACCATTAAATATGATGTTAGCTGTAGGTTTTTTATTGTAGGTCGTCTTTATTAGATTTAGGACTTTGCCTTTTATTCCTATTTGTGAGGGTTTTTTTTTTCCTAAATTGGAAATGGATATTAAATTTTTCAAGTGCTTTTTCTCCATGTATTGACTATGTGGCTGATTTGATTTTTTGGGCCTATTAATTGATGCATTATTATCAACTTTTGAATCTAAAAATCACCTTATTCCTGGGATAAAGCCTACTTAGTGATGAAATATTACCATGTTTATGTATTGTTGGATTTGCTAAAACTTAATTTTTGCATCTATATTCATGAGGGATGTTGGTCTCTCTCTATATTTTGCCTTGTATAATGAGGAAGCATTCCACCTCTTTATCTTCAATTATCTGGACAAGTTTGCATAAAATTGGTATTACTTCTTCTTAAAGTTTGAAAGAATTTGCCAGTAAAGCTATCTGGGCCTGGTGTATTTTCTTTTTAAGAAGTTTTAACTACAAATTCAATTTTATAGATATAGAAAAATTCAATTTATATATTTCTTTTTGGTTGAGCTTGTACCTTTCAAATAATTCATCTATTTCATTAATCTAATGTATTGATATAGTTCATATTTTATTAATATCTGTAGAATATGTAGTGATATCACCTCATTCTGATATTGGCAAATTATCTTTTTTCCTGATAATCTGGCTAGAAGTTTTATTGATATTTTCAAAGAACCAGCTTTTGGTTTCATTGATTTTTTTTCTGTTTTTGTTTTATATTTCACTGGCTAGATCTTTATTGTTTCCTTTATTCTTCCTACACTGTGTTTTTGTTCGTGTTCTGTTTTCATTAAGGTGGAAGCTGATGCCATTAATTTGAGATCTTTTTGTTAAACAGGCATTTAGAGCTATAAATTTATCTTAGGTGTCACATTAGCTGCATTTTTTTTTTAATAGACAGGGCCTCAGTCACCCAGGCTGCAGTGCAGTGGTGTGATCATGGCTTACTGCAGCCTTGAATTCCTGGGCTCAGACGATCCTCCTGCTTCAGCCTCCCAAGTAGCTGGGACTACACGTATGAGCTACCACACTTGGCTAATTTTTTATTTTTAAATTTTTTGTAGAGATGGGGGTCACACTATGTTGCTCTGGCTTGTCTCAAACTCCTGGGTTCAAGTGAGCCTCCCACCTCAGCCTCCCAAAATGCTGGGATTACAGGTGTGAACCACCATGCCAGGCCCACAAAATTTGATACATTGTGTTTTCCCTTTAGATTTCTTTTGTGATTATGTGTTATTTAGAAGTGTGTTATTTAGTTTCCAAATATTCTGGGAATATTTCCTATACCTTATACCTTTCTAACTTCTAATTTAATTACATCATAACCAGAAAACATGACTAGAATACTTTTAAATTTATTTAGACATTTTTTCTTTCAGTACTTTGAAGGTATTTCACCACCCCCCCTTTTTTTTTATTTATTTTTTATTTTTTGGAGACAGTCTTACTCTGTTGCCCAGGCTGGAGTGCAGTGGCACAATCTCAGCCTCCCAGGTTCAAATGATTCTTGTGCCTCAGTCTCCCTAGTAGCTGGGATTACAGGTGCACACCATGATGCCCAGCTACTTTTTGTATTTTTAGTAGAGACAGGGTTTTTCCATGTTGGCCAGACTGGTCTCAAACTCCTGGCTTCAAGTAATCTGCCTGCCCCAGCCTCCCAAAGTGCTGGGATTATAGGCATGAGCCACCGGGGGTGCCCTGCCCACTATGGTTCTTCCTTGTTCCATTGAATGTTTGTATTCTTTTTTCTCTGGGTGCTTTTAAGATATTCTCTTATTACTTTTAAGTAATTTGATGTTCATATTGCCTTGATGGCATTTTATTCATTTTTCTTATTCCTGAAGTTTGATGATCATCTTGGATCTGAGGATTTGGAGTTTTCATCTAACATGGAAAAAATATTAGCCATTGTCTTATCAAAAATGTTTTTCTCTCCACTATCTTTCTTGGCTTTCAGGAATTCGATTACACATGTATTAGGCCACTTGAAGTTGTCTCAAAGCTTATTTTTTTTCTATTTCTTTTTGGATAGCTTTATTTCTATATCTTCAAGTTTACTGTTTTTTCCTGCTATATTCAATGGCTATATTATAGCCATTCATCCAACCTAGTCTATTTTTATATCAAACTTTGTAGTTTTCTTCTATAAATTAACTTGGGTTTTTAAAATGTTCTGTATCTATCTACACTTCTCAGTCTTGTAGCTTCTTGAACATATAGAATATAATTATAACTGTTTTCATGTCTTTTCCCACTATTTATGTAATATGTATAATTTCTGGGTAGGCGTCAATTGATCTTTTCTCTCATAGGTCATATTTTTCTCTTTTACTGAATGTCTGGCAATTTTTTATTAAATGCCAGACATTTAGATGCTGAATATTTTGTATTCCCATAAATATTCTTGAACTTTATTGTGAAATACAGTTAGATCATTTGGAAAAAGTTTGATGCTTTCATGTGTTGCTTTTAAATTTTCTTAGATAGGGCCAGGGCAGCATTTATTCTAGGGCTAATGTTTTCAAACTTGTGAGGTGAAGCCTTCTATGTATTCTACCTGGTAGCACATGAATTATGAGATTTTTAGCTCTAGGGACCAGGAATGATTCCTGGCTCTTTGTGAGCGCTGTGTTCTCTAATCTTTTTAGGTGGTTCTTTCCCCAGCCTTGAGTAGTTCCTTCATATAAATACACTGATCAGTACTCAGCTAAAGCCTTAAGAGACCCCTCTATAAATCTCTTTAGTGTGCATTCTCTTTGCAGCTCTCTCTGGGACTCTGCTCTGTAAACTCTAGTTTCTTAACTTTGCCTTACTCCTGTGCTCCATCACCTCAACTCAGGGACATCACTGGGCTCTGTCTGAGCTCCTGCTCCCTGCAACTGATACCTGGATATTTGCTTTGGGTGGTAAGCTGAGGCAATTATAAAATTTACCTCATTTGCTTTCCTTCTTTCAGAAATCACTGTCCATTGCCTAATATATAAATCTTTAAACCCATGGTTTCACATATTTTTTGTTCTTTTAGTTGTTTTTGGTGGAATGGTAACTCTGGTCCCTGTTACTATATCTTATCTAGGTGGGCCATAATAATTTTTAAATATGCATATTTAAATCTTCCCAAATTTGGGAAAATTTCTTGGCAGATATGAATAGGGAGGGCATAAGTGTGAATTGTAGCAAAATCAAATTTTTGTTTAGAAATTTGAAGTTTAGTGTTTTTGTACTCTCAATTTTCTATTTTAAAAAAGGTGGTAAATGCCCTGAAAACCAGGTATAATATCATGCATACCCTTATTTCTGGACTCAGAGGGATTTTGAGGCCTATAAATGTTATGACTTACCCAATTACATAGCTAACAAGCAGCAGATTTGAAACCCAGAATCAGGTCTACAGAAGCTCAGTCCCAGGTACTCTCCAATCTTCTGACACATACAGTCGATCCCCATTATTTGCAGATTGTGTTTATAAAATAATCTACATGATAAAATTTGTAACCCAAAAGTCAGTACTTACAGGAGCTTTCGCTTTTGCTTTCATGGACACTGGCAGGGTGGTGAAAAATACTGGACACACATATTCCCAGCTCTCACATTGTTAAGTTAGTTAGGTTTTTTTTTACTTTTTGCAGTTTATGTAGTGCGCTGTTTTTCACGTTTCTGTGCTTTTCATTGGTGATTTCATTGTTTAAAATGGCTCTGAACTGGGTGGGGTGTCGCCTCACCTAGGAAGCACAAGGGTGAGGTGATTTCCCTTTCCTAGTCAAGGGAAGCCATGACAGACTGTACCTGGAAAAACAGGACACTCCCACCCAAATACTGCACTTTTTCCAAGATCTTAGCAACTGGCAGAGAAGGAGATTCTCTCCCGTGCCTGGCTTGGCAGGTCCCGTGCCCACAGAGCCTTGTTCACTGTTAGCACAGCAGTCTGAGATCAAATTGCAAGGTGGCAGCCTGGCTAGGAGAGGGGCATCCACCATTGCTGAGGCTTCAGTAGGTAAAGCGGCTGGGAAGCTCAAATGGGGTGGAGGCTACAGCAGCTCAACAAGGCCTACTGCCTCTATAGACTCCATTTCTATGGACAGGGCATAGCTGAACAAAAGGTAGCAGATAACTTCTGCAGACTTAAACATCCCTGTCTGACAGCTCTGGAGAGAGCAGCGGTTCTCCCAGCATGACATTTCACCTCTGAGAACAGACACACTGCCTCCTCAAGTGGGTCCCAAACCCCCATGTAGCCTAATTGGGAGACACCTCCCAGTAGGGGCTGACTGATACTTCATATAGGTGGGTAGCACTCTGGGACAAAGCTCCCAGAGGAAGGATCAGGCAGCAATATTTGCTGTTCTGCAATATTTGCTGTTCTGCAGCCTCCACTGGTGATACCCAGGCAAACAGGGTCTGGAGTGGACCTCCAGCAAACTCCAACAGACCTGCAGCTGAGGGACCTGTTAGAAGGAAAACTAACAAACAGAAAGGAATAGCATCAACATCAGCAAAAAGGACATCTACACCAAAACCCCAACTGTAGGTCACCAACATCAAAGACCAAAGGTGGAGAGAAACCAGAGCAGAAAAGCTGAAAATTCTAAAAACCAGAATGCCTCTTCTCCTCCAAAGGATTGCAGCTCCTTGCCAGCAACGGAACAAAGCTGGATGGAGAATGACTTTGACGAGTTGACAGAAGCAGGCTTCAGAAGGTTGGTAATAACAAACTTCTCTGAGCTAAAGGAGCACATTTGAACCCAACGCAAGGAAGCTAAAAACCTTGAAAAAGGGTTAGATGAATGGCTAACTAGAATAAACAGTGTAGAGAAGACCTTAAATGACCTGATAGAGCTGAAAACCATGGCAGGAGAACTTCGTGATGCATGCACAAGCTTCAGTAGCTGATTCAATCAAGTGGAAGAAAGTGTATCAGTGATTGAAGATCAAATTAATGAAATAAAGCAAGGAGAAAAAAAGAGTAAAAAGAAACAAAGCCTCCAAGAAATATGGGACTATGTGAAAAGACCAAATCTATGTCTAATTGGTGTACCTGAAAGTGACGGGGAGAATGAAACCAAGTTGGAAAACACTCTTCAGGATATTATCCAGGAGAACTTCCCCAATCTAGCAAGGCAGGCCAACATTCAAATTCAGGAAATACAGAGACCACCACAAAGATACTCCTCGAGAAGAGCAACCCCAAGACACATAATTGTCAGATTCACCAAGGTTGAAATGAAGGGAAAAATGTTAAGGGCAGCCAGAGAGAAAGGTCGGGTTACCCACAAAGGGAAGCCCATCAGACTAACAGTGGATCTCTCTACAGAAACCCTACAAGCCAGAAGAGAGTGGGGGCCAATATTCAACGTTCTTAAAGAAAAGAATTTACAACCCAGAATTTCATATCCAGCCAAACTAAGCTTCATAAGTGAAGGAGAAATAAAATCCTTTACAGACAAGCAAATGCTGAGAGATTTTGTCACCACCAGGCCTGCCTTACAAGAGCTCTTGAAGGAAGCACTAAACATGGAAAGGAACAACCAGTACCAGCCACTGCAAAAACATGCCAAATTGTAAAGACCATCGATGCTAGGAAGAAACTATATCAATTAACAGGCAAAATAACCAGCTAACATCATAATGACAGGATCAAATTCACACATAACAATATTAACCTTAAATGTAAATGGGCTAAATGCCCCAATTAAAAGACACAGACTGGCAAATTGGATAAAGAGTCAAGACCCATCAGTGTGCTGTTGGGAGACCCATCTCACGTGCAGAGAAACACATAGACTCAAAATAAAAGGATGGAGGAAGATCTACCAAGCAAATGGAAAGCAAAAAAAGCAGGGATCGCAATCCTAGTCTCTGATAAAACAGACTTTAAACCAACAAAGATGAAAAGAGACAAAGGAGGCCATTACATAATGGTAAAGGGATCAATTCAACAAGAAGAGCTAACTATCCTAAATATATATGCACCTAATACAGGAGCACCCAGATTCATAAAGCAAGTCCTTAGAGACCTACAAAGACTTAGACTCCCACACAATAATCATGGGAGACTTTAACACCCCACTGTCAATATTAGACATATCAATGAGACAGAAGGTTAACAAGGATATCCAGGACTTGAACTCAGCTCTGCACCAATCAGACCTAATAGACATCTACAGAACTCTCCACCCCAAATCAACAGAATATACATTCTTCTCAGTGCCACATAGCACTTATGCCAAAATTGACCATATAATTGGAAGTTAAGCACTCCTCAGCAAATGTAAAAGAACAGAAATCACAACAAACTGTCTCTCAGACCACAGTGCAATCAAATTAGAACTCAGGACAAAAACTCACTCAAAACCACACAACTACATGGAAACTGAACAAGCTGCTCCTGAATGACTACTGGATAAATAACGAAATGAAGGCAGAAAATAAAGATGTTTTTTGAAACCAATGAGAACAAACACACAACGTACCAGAATCTCTGGGACACATTTAAAGCAGTGTGTAGAGGGAAATTTATAGCATTAAATGCCCACATGAGAAAGCAGGAAAGATCTAAAATTGACACCCTAACATCACAATGAAAAGAACTAGAGAAGAAAGAGCAAACACATTCAAAAGCTAGCAGAAGGCAGGAAATAACTAAGATCAGAACAGAACTGAAGGAGATGATAGAGACACAAAAAACCCCTCAAAAAAACAATGAATCCAGGAGCTGGTTTTTTGAAAAGATCAACAAAATTGATAGACTGCTAGCAAGACTAATAAAGAAGAAAAGAGAGAAGAATCAAATAGACGCAATAAAAAAATGATAAAGGGAATATCACCACTGGTCCCACAGAAATACAAACTACAATCAGAGAATACTATAAACACCTCTACACAAATAAACTAGAAAATCTAGAAGAAATGGATAAATTCCTGGACACATACACCCTTCCCAAGACTGAACCAGGAAGAAGTTGAATCTCTGAATAGACCAATAACAGGCTCTGAAATTGAGGCAATAATTAATAGCCTACCAACAAAAAAAAGTCCAGGATCAGATGGATTCACAGCTGAATTCTACCAGAGGTACAAGAAGAGCTGGTATCATTCCTTCTGAAACTATTTCAATCAATAGAAAAAGAGGGAATCCTCCCTAACTCATTTTATGAGGCCAGCTTCATCCTGATGCCAAAGTCTGGCAGAGACACAACAAAAACAGAGAATTTTAGACCAGTATCCTTGATGAACATCGATGTGAAAATCCTCAGTAAAATACTGGCAAACTGAATCCAGCAGCACATCAAAAAGCTTATCCAACACAATCAAGTTGGCTTCATCCCTGGGATGCAAGGCTGGTTCAACATACACAAATCAATAAACATAATCCATCACATAAGAAAAACCAATGACAAAAATCACATGATTATCTCAATAGATGCAGAAAAGGCCTTTGACAAAATTCAGCCCTTCATGCTAAAAACTCTCAATAAAGTAGGTATTGATGGAACATATCTCAAAATAATAAGAGCTATTTATGATAAACCCACAGCCAATATCATATTGAATGGGTAAAAACTGGAAGTCTTCTCTTTGAAAACCGGCAGAAGACAAGGATGCCCTCTCTCACCACTCCTATTCAACACAGTGTTGGAAGTTCTGGCCAGGGCAATCAGGCAAGAGAAAGAAATAAAGGGTATTCAATTAGGAAAAGAGGAAGTCAAATTGTCCCTGTTTGCACATGACATGATTGTATATTTAGAAAACCCTATTGTCTCAGCCCAAAATCTCCTTAAGCTGATAAGCAACTTCAGCAAAATCTCAGGGTACAAAATCAATGTGCAAAAATTACAAGCGTTCCTATACACCAAAACAAAGAGAGCCAAAACATGAGTGAAGTCCCATTCACAATTGCTGCAAAGAGAATAAAATACCTAGGAATCCAACTTACAAGGGATGTGAAGGACCTCTTCAAGGAGAACTATAAACCACTGCTCAACGAAGTAACGGAGGACACAAACAAATGGAAGAACATTCCATGCTCGTGGACAGGAAGAATCAATGTCGTGAAAATGGCCATACTGCCCAAGGTAATTCATAGATTCAATGCCATCCCCTTCAAGCTACCAATGACCTTCTTCACAGAATTAGAAAAAACTGTAAAGTTCATATGGAACCAAAAAAGAGCCCGCATTGCCAAGACAATCCTAAGCAAAAAGAACAATGCTGGAGGTGTCACACTACCTGACTTCAAACTATACTACAAGGCTACAGTAACCAAAACAGCATGGTACTGGTACCAAAACAGATATATAGACCAATGGAACAGAACAGAGACCTCAGAAATAACACCACACATGTACAATCATGTGATCTTTGACAAACCGGAGAAAAACAAGCAATGGGGAAAGGATTCCCTATTTAATAAATGGTGCTGGGAAAACTGGCTAGGCATATGTAGAAAGCTGAAACTGGATCCATTCCTTACACCTTACACAAAAATTAATTCAAGATGGATTAAAGACTTAAATGTTAGACCTAAAACCATAAAATCCCTAGAAGAAAACCGAGGCAATACCATTCAGAAGACAGGCGTGGGCAAGGACTTCATGACTAAAACACCAAAAGCAATGGCAACAAAAGACAAACTTGACAAATGGGATCTAATTAAACTAAAGAGCTTCTGCACAGCAAAAGAAACTACCATCAGAGTGAACAGGCAACATACAGAATGGAAGAACATTTCTGCAATCTACCCATCTGACAAAGGGCTAATATCCAGAATCTACAAAGAACTCAAACAAATTTACAAGAAAAAAACGACCCCATCAAAAAGTGGGCAACAGATATGAACAGACACTTCTCAAAAGACATTTATGCAGCTAACAGACACATCAACATGATCATCACTGGTCATCAGAGAAATGCAAATCAAAACCACAATGAGATACCATCTCACACCAGTTAGAAGGGTGATCATTAAAAAGTCAGGAAACAACAGTTGCAGGAGAGGATGTGGAGAAATAGGAACACTTTTACACTGTTGGTGGGAGTGTAAATTAGTTCAACCATTGTGGAAGACAGTGTGGTGATTCCTCAAGGATACAGAACCTGAAAGACCATTTGACCCAGCAATTCCATTACTGGGTATATACCCAAAGGATTATAAACCATGCTACTATAAAGACACGTGCACACGTATGTTTATTGTGGCACTATTCACAAGAGCAAAGACTTGGAACCAACCAAAATGTCCATCAATGATAGACTGGATTAAGAAAATGTGGCACATATACACCATGGAATATTATGCAGCCATAAAAAAGGATGAGTCCATGTCCTTTGCAGGGACATGGATGAAGCTGGAAACCATCATTCTCAGCAAACTATCACAAGGACATAACACCAAACACTGCATGTTCTCACTCATAGGTGGGAATTGAACAATGAGAACACTTGGTCACAGGGCGGGGAACATCACACACCAGAGCCTGTCAGGGGGTGGGGGTCTGGGGGAGGATAGCATTAGGAGAAATACCTAATGTAAATGACGAGTTGATGAGTACAGCAAATCAACATGACACATGTATACCTACGTATCAAACCTGCACATTAAGTTCTAGGGTACATGTGCACAAAGTATTAAAAAAAACCACACAGGGTCAAACCTAAAAGATGACCCATGATAAAAAAAAAAATGGCTTTGAACTATAGTGCTGAAGTGCTATCTAGAATTCCTAAGCACAGGAAGGCTGTGATGTGTGCCTTACAGGGAAAAATTGTGGTTTGGGACACAAATTAAAAGTAATGTCCAAAACTGCAATTATTTTCCACCAACCTAAATATGTGTGTTTGATAAGCTTTGTTCAGGAAGTTCTAGTGCTGTTAGATGTGAGTTAAATGTTAGAATGAACAATATATGTTAAATAAGATATCTTTGAACAGCAACACACAAAAAGCAAGGTTATGTATTGATCAGTTGGGGAAAATATGACTAGAAGCTCACAGAAACCTAACCCTGTCTTTCCTCTAGGAGCAATGGTTCAGCATTCATTAATTCAGTGTTTGGGGCAACTTTATAGAGCATAAGTGCTACAAATGATAATTGACTATATTTAGTATAAATTTCTACAGAGAAATCATGAATTAAGAACTTAAAGGATGCTTTAGCCCTTTCTTACCTTATGGGAAGATACATGTGGAATGATGTGGATGATACTTTGGGCAGTTTAACTCATATCTAGCCATGTTCCAGTCAACCTTAGTATGTGATACAAAATGAGCTTTATTCCTGCTAATCCAGGGTCTGAAGTTGTATTTTCATTTTTTTTTCCTGTCCTGGCAGGTACTCATGCCCGACTGTCTACCAGGCACACAGAGTTTGAGGAGAGGGAGTATGTCGTCTTGATCCGCATCAATGATGGGGGTCGGCCACCCTTGGAAGGCATTGTTTCTTTACCAGGTAGATATTCTGCTATAGGCAACTCAGGCTAGTATCTGTCACCATGGGCCGTTTGAGGAGATTCTTGTCTTTGATATGGGATTCTGCAACTATTCACTTGAGAATTTATCCTACCAAATACTGTCCTGCTTTTCAGTTACATTCTGCAGTTGTGTGGAAGGAAGTTGTTTCCGGCCAGCAGGTCACCAGACTGGGATACCCACTGTGGGCATGGCAGTTGGTATACTGCTGACCACCCTTCTGGTGATTGGTGAGTGTAATTTCTTAATTCAAAGAGTCTTATCCTGGGCCTCAGAAATGTGAGCTCATCTCAGGGCCTGTCTTCCTGGACTGGTCTGGTGGCTGCTCAAATGGCAACTCAGGCAATAGCCCAGAAGGTAGATCACCAGCAAATTACATCAGACTTTCTTGATTGGAGTTACAGCTTTAGTACTACCCTCTGTCTCTATTGCCTTATTAGTTTAGAAATATAAGGGGCTTTATGGTCATCAATTGTCATATATTATGCCTAGTTACAAAGCTTTTGTGATAAAGAGGGAAGAAATGCAGTAGCTGTGCCATGTGTCAGGCACTGTGCTTGATGGGGAAAGAGTGACATACACAGATCCTACACCAGAGTTTATGGTCTCACCTGCCATTGTTGTTACAGGCAGAAGTTAGCCTTCCAGTGGCGATGCTGAGATATCTGAAATGTGTAGTGCAGAACTTCCCTATGCATAGAACCCTGATTCTTTACTACCCAGAATAACCCATTGCATCATGACCACAGCCTCTGCCATAGCCCCTTGCTTGGCTAGACAGTACAGTCCCCTGATCTAGCTGTCTTTTTCTTTTTTGCAAACAACTCAGTGCCTATTCCAAGTGTTTCCTTACCCAAAATGCTTGAGAGCAGAAGTGTTTCAGATTTTGGGTTTTTTCCAGATTTTTGAACATTTGCAAATACACGATGAGATATCTTGGGGATGAGACCCAAGTCTCAACACAAAATTCACGTGATTCATAAACATTTTATACACGTAGTCTGAAGGTATTTCATACAATATTTTAAATAATATTGTGTATGAAACAAAGTTTTGCCTGCAACCTGTCACATGAGGTCAGGTGTAGAATTTTATGCTTGTGACATCAAGTTGGTACCCCAAAAGTTTCAGATTTGAGATTTTCAGATTAAGGATACTCAACCTATATAGTAATTGCCCTCTTTCAACTGTTGTCCCCACCACAAGTTAAACATTAGGAATAGATACTTCATTATTTCATGTGTACCTGAGTGAAGGGGTTTATGGTTTCATATCCTTTTTCTTTTAAAAGAAGGACTAGGATTATTCTAAGTATTATTGATTGTTCTCTCAGCATCTGATCTTTTCTCCCATGATCCAGTGTGTCACACTGGACTCTGATTCATGCATCTAAAGGGGGTCTCACTTCTTTATACCCTTCAGTCTGGACTCCCTATGGCATGGGAGGGCCTTCATGTCATGGCCACTTCCCATCCTAATGTGTGCATGGTGATCATCTTTCCTCCCTGAGAACCACTATCTACTGCACACTTTTCATGGTAATTGAGCTGTCTTTTTGAGGTCCCACTCACTTACATAGGTCCCTTCTGCCTCTGTGCCTTTTCTTATTCTATTTGCCCTCCCACCTTGAAAGGATTTTTGAATTTACAAATCAGATAGCAATTTTCTTAACGTATCAATTTAATTCCATAATCTTACCACAAGTTAAAGACTGCTTGAGTTTGGGGACATCCAGAAATAGAAGTAATAGGATTTTACAGTTTCATGACCTTATTTTCAAGATAGGGTTGGAATTATAAGTTTCTGAGCATCCAGACTTTTCTGCCATGATTCCTCCTATAAACTTACTAGCAGGTTAATTTCCTTAAAACAACTCCTTCTTCATAGTGGACTCTGACAGTACACAATCAGTGCTGAGCTGCACAGTGTAATTTTGATGTATCAGGTGGGAGAAACCAAGAAGGTTAAGTAGTCTACCCAGGGTCCCACAACAACATAGGCAGGATCCAGGAGGAAGGCGCCCAAGGAAATGCGATAGTTGGTATGGACACGATGAAAATCAGCTTCAGGGAGGTGAACAGGTCAGAGAACAGCTTTCTAGTTGTGCTAATTGGATTGTTTTCTCTAGGAAAGGGGAAGAATAGAATCAATATTAAGTATATATAAAGTTCAGGAACTTTGTCAGGTGCTTATACACTCTATAGTGTGGGACATATACACTCCATAGTGTGGAACATTAGGTCCTATATTCTTACAGCGAGATCCAGTGAGAGCCACCAAGTCAGCTATGATTTGGGACTTGATACATACATACAACAGGATAAATGATAAGCTCATTTCTCCAAGAAGGCCAACGACTAGAGTCCCTTATTCACTAGGACAGTGAAATTTTGTTGAATCACATACAAAAATGAAGTTGAGTCATTTTTTTCCTACCACAATACTACTTTATAACTGAATGTGACAGTACATTTTAAAAGGTCCCATTTATTTGACCCTGGGTTTTTTCTTTTAGGTATAATTTTAGCAGTTGTGTTTATCCGCATAAAGAAGGATAAAGGCAAAGATAATGTTGAAAGTGCTCAAGCATCTGAAGTCAAACCTCTGAGAAGCTGAATTTGAAAAGGAATGTTTGAATTTATATAGCAAGTGCTATTTCAGCAACAACCATCTCATCCTATTACTTTTCATCTAACGTGCATTATAATTTTTTAAACAGATATTCCCTCTTGTCCTTTAATATTTGCTAAATATTTCTTTTTTGAGGTGGAGTCTTGCTCTGTCGCCCAGGCTGGAGTACAGTGGTGTGATCCCAGCTCACTGCAACCTCCGCCTCCTGGGTTCACATGATTCTCCTGCCTCAGCTTCCTAAGTAGCTGGGTTTACAGGCACCCACCACCATGCCCAGCTAATTTTTGTATTTTTAATAGAGACGGGGTTTCGCCATTTGGCCAGGCTGGTCTTGAACTCCTGACGTCAAGTGATCTGCCTGCCTTGGTCTCCCAATACAGGCATGAACCACTGCACCCACCTACTTAGATATTTCATGTGCTATAGACATTAGAGAGATTTTTCATTTTTCCATGACATTTTTCCTCTCTGCAAATGGCTTAGCTACTTGTGTTTTTCCCTTTTGGGGCAAGACAGACTCATTAAATATTCTGTACATTTTTTCTTTATCAAGGAGATATATCAGTGTTGTCTCATAGAACTGCCTGGATTCCATTTATGTTTTTTCTGATTCCATCCTGTGTCCCCTTCATCCTTGACTCCTTTGGTATTTCACTGAATTTCAAACATTTGTCAGAGAAGAAAAACGTGAGGACTCAGGAAAAATAAATAAATAAAAGAACAGCCTTTTCCCTTAGTATTAACAGAAATGTTTCTGTGTCATTAACCATCTTTAATCAATGTGACATGTTGCTCTTTGGCTGAAATTCTTCAACTTGGAAATGACACAGACCCACAGAAGGTGTTCAAACACAACCTACTCTGCAAACCTTGGTAAAGGAACCAGTCAGCTGGCCAGATTTCCTCACTACCTGCCATGCATACATGCTGCGCATGTTTTCTTCATTCGTATGTTAGTAAAGTTTTGGTTATTATATATTTAACATGTGGAAGAAAACAAGACATGAAAAGAGTGGTGACAAATCAAGAATAAACACTGGTTGTAGTCAGTTTTGTTTGTTGATCCGCTCTGCCTCTGTTTTTATTTGTGGAGGGGAAGGACAGAATAACAATTGTTATTTTTTGTGTATAAAAATTGCCTCCCCAGCAGCCCTAGTCAGGGGCTTATAGATAAAACTCCCATCTCCCTAGACAGAGCACTTGGGGGAAGGGGTGGCTGTGGGCACAGCTTCAGCAGATTTAAATGTTCCTGCTTGCTGGCTCCGAAGACAACAGCTAATCCTGACAAGGAGGATTCTCCCAGCACAGCACTCGAACTCTGCTAAGGGACAGACTGCCTACTCAAGTAGGTCCCTGACCCCAGTGCCTCCAGCCTGGGAGATGCCTCATGCAGGAGAGCTCCGGCTGGCATCAGGCCAGTGCCCCTCTGGGACAAAGCTTCCAGAGAAAGGAGCTGCAGCAATCTCTGCTGTTCTGCAGTCTCTGCTGGTGGTACCCAGGCAAACAGGGTCTGGAGTGGACCTCCAGCAAAGTCCAGCAGACCTGCAAAAGACAGGCCTCACTGTTAGAAGAAAAACTAAAAAATAGAAAGCAATAACATCAACAAAAGGGACCCCCACATAAAAACCCCATCCAAAGGTCATCAGCCTCAAAGACCAAAGGTAGATAAATCTATGAAGATGAGGAAAAACCAGTGCAAAAATGCTGAAAATTCCAAAAACAAGAATGCCTCTTCTCCAAATGATCACAACTCGTCTTCGGCAAAGGAACAAAACTGGATGGAGAATGAGTTTGACAAATTGACAGAAGGTGGGTAATAACAAACTCCTGTGACCTAAAGGAACATGTTCTAGCCCAATGCAGGGAAGCTAAGAACCTTAATAAAAGGTTACAGAAACTGCCAACTAGAATAACCAGTTTAGAGAAGAACATAAACGACCTGATGCAGCTGAAAAACACAGCATGAAAACTTCGTGAAGCATACGCAAGTATCAATAGCCGAATCAATCAAGTGGAAGAAAGGGTATCAGAGACTGAAGATCAAGTGAGAAGATAAGATTACAGAAAAATGAATGAAAAGGAACAAAGCCTCCAAGATATATGGGAAGATGTGAAAAGACTAAACCTATGATTGATTGGTGTACCTGAAAGTGACAGGGAGAATGGAACCAAGTTAGAAAACACACTTCAGGATATTAGCACAGAGAACTTCCCCAACCTAGCAAGACCTATCCGAAAGATAACATTCCAATTCAGGAAACACAGAGAACACTACTAAGATATTACTCAAGAAAAGCAATCTCAAGACACATAATCATCAGATTTTCCAAGGCTGAAATGAAGGAAAAAATGTTAAGGGCAGCCAGAGAGAAAGGTCAGGTTACCTACAAAGGGAAGCCCATCAGACTAAAAGTGGATCTCTCTGCAGAAACCCTACAAGCTAGAAGAAAGTGGGGCCGATATTCAACGTTCTTAAAGAATTTTCAATCCAGAATTTCATATCCAGCCAAACTAAGCTTCATAAGCAAAGGACAAATAAAATCCTTTACAGACAAGCAAATGCTTAGGGATTTTGTTACCACCAGGCTTGCCTTACAAGAGCTCCTGAAAGAAGCACTAAATATGGGAAGGAAAAACTGACACCAGCCACTGCAAAAACACACCAAAATATAAAGACCAATGACACTATGAAGAACCTGCATCAACTAATGTGCAAAATAACCAGCTAGCATCATGGTGACAGGATCAAATTCACACATAACAATATTAAGCTTAAATGTAAATGGGCTAAATGCTCCATTAAAAGACACAGCCTGGCAAAGTGGATAAAGAGTCAAGACCCATCAGTGTACTGTATTCAGGAGACCCATCTCGCATGCAAAGACACGAATAGGCTCAAAAAAAAAAAGGGATAGAGGAATATTTACCAAGCAAATGGAAAGAAAAAAAAAGCAGGGGTTGCAATCCTAGTCTCTGATAAAACAGACTTTAACAAAGATCAAAAAAGACAAAGAAGGGCATTACCTAATGGTAAAGGGATTAATGCAATGAGAAGAGCTAACTATCCTAAATATATATACACCCAAAACAGGAGCACCGGATTCATAAAACAAGTTCTTAGAGACCTATAAAGAGACAGTGGGAGACTTTAACACCTCACTGTCAATATTAGATCAATGAGACAGAAAATTAACAAGGATATTCAAGACTTGAACTCAGCTCTTGACCAAGAGGACCTAATAGACATCTATAGAACTCTCCACCTCAAATCAATTTTAACTTAACCCCACATCAATATTAGACAGATCAACGAGACAGAAAATTAACAAGGATATTCAAGACTTGAACTCAGCTCTGGAACAAGCAGACATAAGAGACAACTACAGAACTCTCCACCCCAAATCAACAGAATACACATCCTTCTCAGCAACACATAGCACTTATTCTAAAATTGACCACAAAATTGGAAGTAAAACACTCCTCAGCAAATGCAAAAGAATGGAAATCACAACAAACTGTCTCCGAGACCACAGTGCAATCAAATTAGAACTCAGGATTAAGAAACTCACTCAAAACCTCACAACTACATGGAAACTGAACAACTTGCTCCTGAATGACTGACTGCTGGGTAAATAATGAAATGAAGGCAGAAATAAAGATGTTCTTTGAAACCAATGAGAACAAAGACACGACGTACCAGAATCTCTGGGACACATTTAAAGCAGTGTGTAGAGGGAAATTTATAGCACTAAATGCCCGCATGAGAAAGCAGGAAAGATCTAAAATTGATACCCTAATATCACGATTAAAAGAACTACAGAAGTAAGAGCAAACAAATTCAAAAGCTAAGAGAAGACAAGAAATAACTAAGATCAGAGCAGAACTGAAGGAGACAGAGACATGAAAAACCCTTCAAAAAAAAAAATCAATGAATCCAGGAGCTGGTTTTTTGAAAAGATTAACAAAATAGACCGCTAGCAGACTAATAAAGAAGAAAAGAGAGAAGAATCAAATAGACACAATAAAAAATGATAAAGGGGATATCACCGCTGATCCTACAGAAATACAGACTACCATCAGAGAATACTATAAACACCTCTACACAGATAAATGAGAAAATCTAGAAGAAATGGATAAATTCCTGGACACATAACACCCTCCCATGACTAAACCAGGAAGAAGTTGAATCCCTGAATAGACCAATAACAAGTTCTGAAATTGAGGCGGTAATTAATAGCCTACCAACCAAAAAAAGCCCAGGATCAGACTGTTTCACAGCCAAATTCTACCAGAGGTACAAAGAGGAGCTGGTACCATTCCTTCTGAAACTATTCCAAACAACAGAAAAAGATGGAATCCTCCCTAACTCATTTTATGAGGCAAGCATCATCCTGCTACCAAAACCTGGCAGAGACACAACAAAAGTTTCAGGCCAATATCCCTGATGAACTTTGATGTGAAAATCCTCAATAAAATACCGGCAAACCAAATCCAGCAGCACATCAAAAAGCTTATCCATCACAATCAAGTCGGCTTCATCCGTGGAGTGCAAGTCTGGCTCAACATATATAAATCAATAAACATAATCCATCATATAAGCAAAACCAATGACAAAAACCACATGATTATCTCAATAGATGCAGAAAAGGCCTTTGATAAAATTCAACATCCCTTCATGCTAAAAACTCCCAATAAACTAGGGATTGGTGAAACATCTCAAAATAATAAGGGCTATTTATTGATAAACCCATAGCCAATATTATACTGAATGGGCAAAAACTGAAAGCATTCCCTTGAAAACTGGCACAAGACAAGGCTGCCCTCTCTCACCACTCCAATTCAACATAGTATTGGAAGTTCTCTGGCCAGGGCAATCAGGCAAGAGAAAGAAAGAAAGGGTATTCAAATAGGAAGAGAGGAAGTCAAATTGTCTCTGTTTACATATGACATGATTGTGTGTTTAGAAAACCCATCGACTAAGCCCAAAAACTCCTTAAGCTGATAAGCAACTTCAGCAAAGTCTCAGGATACAAAATCAGTTGGCAAAAATCACAAGCATTCCTATACACCAATTATAGACAAGCAGAGAGCCAAAACATGAGTGAAGTCCCATTCACAATTGCTACAAAGAATAAAATACCTAGGAATACAACTTACAAGGGACATGAAGGACCTCTTCAAGGAGAACTACAAACCACTGCTCAAGGAAATAAGAGGACACAAACAAATGGAAAAATATTCCATGCACATGGATAAGAAGAATCAATGTTGTGAAAATGGCCATACTGCCCAAAGTAATTTACAGATTCAACGCTATTCCCATCAAACTACCATTGACTTTCTTCACAGAATTAGAAAAAACTACTTTAAATTTCATATGGAACCAAAAAAGAGCCCGTATAGCCAAGACAATCCTAACCAAAAAGAACAAAGCTGGAGGCCTCATGCTATCTGACTTCAAACTATGCTACAAGGCTACAGTAACCAAAACAGCATGGTACTGGTACTAAAACAGATATATAGACCAATGGAACAGAACAGAGGCCTCAGAAATACCACCACACACCTACAACCATCTGATCTTTGACAAACCTGACAAAAACAAGCCATGGGGAAAGGATTCCCTATTTAATAAATGGTGCTGGGAAAACTAGCCATATGCAGAAAACAGAAACTGGATCCCTTCCTTACACCTTATATAAAAATTAACTCAAGGTGGATTAAAGACTTAAATGTATAACCTTAAACCATAAAATCTCTAGAAGAAAACTTACGCAATACCATTTAGGACATAGGCATGGGCAAAGACTTCATGACTAAAACACCAAAAGCAATTGCAACAAAAGCCAAAATTGACAAATGGGATCTAATTAAACTAAAGAGCTTCTGCATAGAAAAAACAAAAACCAAAAAAACCAACAAAAACAACAACAAAAACTGTCAGAGTAAGCAGGCAATCTACAGAATGGGAGAAAATTTTTGCAAGCTACCCATCTGACAAAGGTCTAATATCCAGAATCTACAAGGAACTTATATTTACAAGAAAAAACCAACTCCATCAAAAAGTGGGCAAAGGATATGAAGAGACACTTCTCAGAAGAAGACATTTATGCAGCCAACAAACATATGAAAAAAAGCTTATATTACTGGTCATTAGAGAAATGCAAATCAAAACCACAATGAGATAACATCTAATGGCAGTTAGAATGGCAATCATTAAAAACTCAGGAAACAACAGATGCTGGAGAGGATGTGGAGAAATAGGAACACTTTTACACTGTTAGTGGGAGTGTAAATTAGTTCAACCATTATGTAAGACAGTGTGGTGATTCCTCAAGGATCTAGAACCAGAAATACCATTTCACCCAGCAATCCCATTACTGGGTATATACCCAAAGGATTATAAATCATTCTACTACAAAGACACATGCACACGTATATTTATTGCAGCACTATTTACAATAGTGAAGACTTGGAAGCAACCCAAATGCCCATCAATGATAGACTGGATAAAGAAAATGTGGCACATATACACCATGGAATACTATGCAGCCATAAAAAAGGATGAGTTCATGTCCTTTGCAGGGACATGGATGAAGCTGGAAGATATCATTCTCAGCAAACTAGCACAGGAACAGGAAACCAAACACTGCATGTTCTCACTCATAAGTGGGAGTTGAACAATGAGAACACATGGACAAGCAGGGGGAACATCACACACCCGGGGCCTGTTGGGGTGGGAGGCAAGGGGAGGAAAGCATTAGGACCAATACCTAATGCATGTGGGGTTTAAAACCTAGATAACGGGTTGATGGGTGCAGCCAACCACGATGGCCCATGTATGCCTATGTAACAAACCTGCACTTTCTGCATGTGTATCCCAGATCTTAAAGTAAAATAAAAAAATTAATTTAAAAATTGCCTCCCACGGAGAATTAGCCCAAGAGAAGGAGTCTGTAAAAAAATAAATTCACCCCTCACATGATCATGGATTGAACTGTTTCAGGTAGGTATATCAGGAATTTTTAAATTTTAAATAAGAAGCTTGGTGATTTGAAAGCATTTCTAGGCATGGAACTGTTGTCTGGCTCCTGATTTGAGCCTTGGGAGCATTCAACATTACGTGACCTCTCAAATTTTAACCAGGAATAACTCAACTGTGGAAGGTTGCTCATAGAATGGCTGTTGAAGCAGGCCATGGGGTTGGGTTTTTCATACATAATCTTTGTGGTCATCTATTATATTTTTTAAAAGCAAAAAGACAAAATACCCAAACTGTTTTTAAGACCTCCGTATTGCTTTCTTGTACAAGATCACAGGATCCTTAGGGTGTCACTTCCCCAGCTGGAAACCTCTGTGGCTGGCGGCACCTCTGCTTGGGTTTTGCTTGCACCTTTGGGCTTGTTCCACCCACTCGGCCCAGCAGGCTGCGCTTGGCTTGTGCTATGGGCCCAGATCCCACACCTGCCAAGAACGAGCCAGGCAGAGAGAGCCAAGGGGTGTATGAGTGAGCGATCGTGGGGTCTGGCCACTGTGCACCGCCGGGCACACCGGCACAGACACCAGCTCTATGCAAGGCTGCAGCTGGACCAGATGTACCACAATTCTGCTGTGGACATCAGCGTCTGGACAAGGAATGCGATGGTGCCTGAAAGCTTGGAGATGCCAGGGACTGCAGAGCCCCAAAGAGGGTATTACAGCGTGCCACAGCCCTGGCTCAGCCCCGAAGTCTGGCCTCCCAGAAGGGCCACAGCTCTTCTCGTCGTCACCCACAAAGTGGCCAACAGGGGGAGTGTTTCAGCCCTGTTTGTGTTACAGCTTTTTCAGTCCTGCCATTTGGTGGGTCCCGAGTTCTTGTCCTGCATCCAGGAGGAATGAGGTATGCAGACAACTAGAGGCTGAGCAAGGCAAGAGAGGAGCTTCACTGAGTGACAGAACAGCTCTCAGGAGACCTGAAGTGCATAGCTACCTTCTCCAGCAGGTCTTCCCGGTGAGGGTGTGAGTCTGACTGAGTGTGAGGGTTTTCGTGTACGCAGAATGGAGGAAGTGCATGCTGATTGGTCCATGGGTAGCCATGGGCGGGCCTGGAAAAACCACCATCCGATTGGCTGAACCGTCATCAATGAAGCTCTCACTCCAGGCGGCGGACTTCACCTGGAACTGACAGCCCGCGCCCCAGGCTTCAGGCTGTCCCCTACCTGAAGGTGGGGGTTTCACAGAGGACCTGCCCTACCTTGCCTAGGAACTCCTCTGCCTTTAACATGTCCACTCGCCTAGGCTGTCTGCACTGAGAGGTGCCTGCTGGCCTGTGCCAAGCCGCCCTCAGCACCCTCCCCATTCGGCAGCCTCCCTCTGGCGCTTGTTGGTGCCCCAAGTCCGGAGGGGGCCGAGGCAGCAGGGGGCTGGTATGTCAGCACTCCCCTGAGCTCATGCACACCCGGCTGGGTTGCAACAGTGCCCGGGCTTGGCCACAACTTTGCTCCACCCTGGGGCAGGCATTGGGAGTGGGGAGAGGTCAGGGAGCAGGAGCAGGCACTTTCAAGCCTGTGGAGGCAGAGGGCTTTTTGGGCCTCCAGGAACGTGCAGGGACCACAGCAGCTGTGCCCAGGAGCTAAGGGTTCCCACCCAGCCAGCTCGGTGGGGGGCGGGACTCCCGCCTGTGCAGCCCCGGCTGTGCCTCCCCAACTGCAACTGGCCTCCCTGCAGCGGCCGCTCCAGCAGGGCCGCCAACACCGTCAATATTATACTGTGTTTCAAACGATTTGACCTCTTTCCACCTGGAAATGGGTAAGGTTCTCTCCTGTCTGACCTCAAAAGACAAAACCAAACCAAACCAAACCAAACAAAAGCACAAGAGCACCAAAAGCAAATTCAATTCACAAATTATACTCCAAGCACTGAGGAATAGTAGAACTTTTTAAGCAGCTCTGTAGGTTTTTTACTTGTAAGTTTTTAGGCGATGAGTGATGTGATGTTCAGGTCACTTAAAATTGCATTATTGCTTGCCCTGCTTATTTTCAGGAAATCATATCATTACTAGAAGATACCATTACTCACCCGCTTCAACACCATATTATTCTCTGGACCAACTTGTGTCATGCAATAATAGACTGATCACACAGAACTTTTTCATCAAATCATTGATTCGTATTTATATTGCTTGTGCTATTTCTTTCCTGGGTGGGTCCTTTCCCTCAACCCTCTCATCTTTCCATGACCAGCTCCAACCCATTCTTAAAGACCAGTTTAAATACTGGTCCCTCTGGGAAACCTTCTGACTTCTTACAGGACACCAGGCCACATCTAAACTTCCACATTGTAGTGAGGCCAATGGTTTCCCTGGCCAGGCTCTATTCCCTCTTGTAGTAAGAATAGTTGGATCTCACAATGGGAAATGGCTCCCCAGTTCCCATCCAGTCTATATCATTTGAATAGAGCCAACTCCCCATTTTTCTCCATCCCCTCAGCTCTAGAGTTGGGCACTTTATCTCAGCAAGATTCACTTGGAGAATTTTAGTTGGAACTCTTAGAAGATTAAAGTATTCCAGTTACCATAAGAGGTGAGTCTTCCCCAGAATGATGACTACAGAAAATCAAGAAAGGAGAAAATCTTGAAGCTGTTGAATACTTGGATCCAGCTGTTCTGATGCACGGCCTTGCCCTAGACTTTTCCATCCTATGAGCAAAACATTCTTTTTTTTTTTTTTTTTTAATTTAAAACATGATTTTTTGCCCCTTGCAACCAAAAAGGTGGAGATTGACACTTTGCATATGGCCCTTCTCCTAGTCTACCATTAGTGCCTGTTTGATTTCCCCACATAGGCTGAGACTTCTTAGAATCTCTCTCAATGCCACTGTGTGAGCCCAAGTCCTGGCTCATAGTGCTTCCTCCATGATTTTTTGAAGAAGGAATAAATGAAATAGCTGATTCACTTTGGCCACTTAAATGACAACAGCTAAAGTGCCACCCATTTGACAAAGTCTGAACTAAAGAAAACAACTGTCATCCTTTGTGTTCACCTACAGTATACTCAAAGACCCCTTCATCCCCCACCTCACCACACTCCTTTTCTCTACCTGCAAACCCTGATGCTCCATTCAAATATCCTCAGAGCAGGTCGTAGCTGTGAATGAGGCCTGTGAATGGCAAAGCTCTTGATAATTTCTAGATGATTAAGCAATGATTGTGAGACCGAGAGGTCTCAGGGGTAGGTGGGGATAGAGTTGGAGGGTCTTGTGAGCAGTTATGTAGAAAGTCTTGGGGGCTTCTATGGAGCACTAAATCTAAGAGTGGAGATATCAAGGTATTGATCCATGGTATAGCTAATTCACAAGCAGAAAGCAGAGATTACCTCAAGTATCTCATGCACACAGGGATTGATTCACTTCCAGGATTCTCTACAATGCCATATTCATCATGAGAGCTTGGTAAACATGGAAAAAATACAATAGCTTTCAGTATCAACTTTAAAAACCATTGTAACCATTTCAAGTGTACAGTTGAGTGGCATTAAGTACATTCACAGTGCTATGCAACCATCACCACTATCGGCTCCAGAACTTCATCCTTCCAAATGAAACTCTGTACCCATTAAACAATAACTCCGCCCAGTAACACTATTGTAACTTTGTCTCTATAAATTTGACTATTCTAAGTATCTCATATAAATGGAATCATATTTGTCCACAATGGCAACATTTGAAAACAAGTTTTAAAATAGTAATCAAGAGAGAAAGAGAAAGTAGCATTCAAACCTAGAAAAAGTTGCCTCATGAGACTGTCTCAAGATTAATGCTATTTTTTATTTTTTTATGCATTCATATGTGTCAGACATATTGTATACACATAAATGCACATTTTGTACCTGTGAAGATATATCCACATAATATAGACACAATACACTTGTCCTCCCCAAACACCACACACACACTCAGTGCTCCCAGGTTTCTCCTTACAGAAGTCTGTCTTGTTCTGGCTGAGCCCCAAGGAGCAGTCAGCTGTTGGATGACCAGTTGTCTAGTACAGGGGTTCTTGATGAATGTATGTTAGCATCACCTGGAGGAGCTTTTAAAAAATATGCATTCCAGGGCTCCACCCTCAAATCAACATCTCCAGGCATGGGGCCTTAGCCTTAGTATTTTTTTAAAACTCCCCTGGTAGTTGCACTATGCAACCATGGCTGAGAACCCTTGTTCCAGACAATTCTTGGAAGACCAAGTTAGTACCAGGCTGGTGTGGAATATGATTCTTTTTAGTGTCTAAGGACTGAATTATGTCCCCTGCAAAATTCATATGTTGAAGCCCTAACCCCCAACGTGACTATATTTGGAAATAGGGCTTTAGGAGGTAAGGTTAAATGAGGTCTTCAGGGTGGGGCCCTAATCTGAGAGGACTTGTGTCCTTAGAAGTAAAGACAGGCCAGGTACAGTGGTTCACACCTCTAATCCTAGCATTTTGGGTGGCTAAGGTAGGCAGATTGGTTAGTTCGAGACCAGGCTGGGTGACATGGCAAAACCCCATCTCTACAAAAAAAATTACAAAAGTTAGCTGGGATGGTGGTGCATGCCTGTGGTCTCAGCTACTTGGGAGGCTGAGGTGGGAGGATCACCTGAGCCTGGGAAGTTGAGGCTGCAGTGAGCTGTGATCTCGCCACTGCACTCCAGCCTGGGCAACAGAGTTAGACCCTGCCTCAAAAAAAAAAGTAGATCGACATGAGAGCTTACTCACTCTCTTTCCACACATGCAGAGGAGCAGCCACACAGGTACACAGTGAAGAAACCATCTGCAAGCCAGGAAGAGAGGCCTTCCAGAAAGGCCTTTTCAGATCAAGGCCTGACGGACCTTGATCTAGGACTTCTAGCCTTAGAATTAAGATAATTAAACATCTTGTTTAAGCTGCCCAGTCTATGGTATTTTGTTATGGTGGCCTGAGCTGACTGATACAGAATCTGAATCAGGGTCCTCCTTCAGAACAACATCAGCTTCCCAATGCCCTTAACCTCTTGGGCACTTTTAACCCTAACCGGTCCTGCCCAGGCCTTTCTGATGCCCACTCGGACTGTGACCTGGAACTCAGGGAAGATTCCTCAGCCCACAGAGATCCTTCAACTAAGAGCGGCCTGGGTCACTCTGTCACCATGGCAGAACCTTGCGAACCCCAACCCTGAAGCATGAAGAAGCTGGTTCTTGCCTGCAGGAGAGCAGCCTTCCTTTGCAGACCAGAGCTGAGCAATGAGCAGCAGTGCTTCACTTTCACCATAGATACAGCTCTCAAAAATACACATTAGTGTCAAGTGATTCTTTTAAGTATGTGCTTGGAAAGATGACTTAGATAACATCGACAATGAAAAAACAATATTTTTATAATACAATTAACTCTAATTTTATTGACTTTTTTCTTGTTTTTTTTTGGTCTGCCTTGAATGTCAACCATTTTACTGACTTTCCATGTTTTTATGTTTACTTACCAGCATGATGCAAGCTCCATTCAACATCTCAAAACGATTTCCTGTATCTGCTATGTATGAGTCATTTACAAGCCATCTGGGCCCATAAAACAAGGAGGATGGGCTACTGAGATGGTGGGCTACTGAGATGGTGGGCTACTGACTACTGAGATAGTAGGCAATTCTAAAGGGCAAGGGGCTGCCCTGGAATCCGGGGATAATTATGTTGACGGCAAAAGCAAAGTCATGCTTGCGGCTTCCATGTGTGGCCTCCAAATCATCCTTGGTTTCTTTGGACAGAAATCAAAGCATGTTTTTTCACATGTTCCTCTTCCTGGGCAGGGAGGCAGGAAGGTTGAAGAAAGGAGGAGTGGGCTACAGAAGCAAAAGTTCATCTGACTGAGGGAAAGCACATCCATTTTTTCCATTGCGACATTTGGGCAGATGTGCAAGTCTGGGATTTGAAGGCTACATTAGGAAGAGGAGGAGGGTTTGCAAGTGGGAGGTGGGAATAAAAATAGCACGTGTTTATCCAGCAATTCTAGTTCCTCTTTTTAATTAAACACAGGACTGAAAGGAAATGGAATATATTTTTGGTAGCAGAAGACAAATTGGACCTCTCTCTGGCTCCCGGCCAAGGAAAAATCCCAAAGGCAGAATTTCCCAGGGCTCTGTTCAGTCACAACCAAAGTCAGTCATGGCTTGGGTCATGGAGAACACAAAACTAGGGAAAGGGTCTTGACACGGACAGGTCAGCTGTGGGGCATGGGGGGAAAGGCCCCAGCTGAGGGTTTCCCACTGAGGCCTCTCTCAGTGGTATCTCAGGCAGCCTTCCTGGGGCCTACGAGGAGGGGGGCAAGGATTTATTGATAATATTATCTATTATCAATAATAATAGATAATATGCAGCATTAACAATGTGCCAGGCACTATTCTAATGCTTTACAATGTATTTTGTCGCCGAATCCTTGCAACAACTATGAGACAATTGTTATGTCTATTGTTCACATGAGAAGCTGCCACAGAGAAAGGTTATGTAACTTGCTCAAGGCCGCATGCCAAATAAGTGACCCCAGAAATCTGACTCCAAAGCCCATGCCCAAAGTTAATGGCATTTCACCTAACCTAAGGTGTCATCTATTGTAAGATGTATCTTTACTTTATGTGATACCGGGACAAAAAAGAACACTGTCAATTAATTTCAACATGCCATTATTGGCAAGAACATCTTCAATTTCAGAGAGACTAAAATGTAAAAAAAAACAAAAAACAAAAAACGTGGATTGACAGTTTTTACAAAAAGGTACCATGCCTGTTCTCAAAGACTTGGCAGTTGAGTAGGAGAGACAGGCTTATGGCATTGCCATGTTATGTGGTAAGCATCAACTGTCTCCCGAGAGAAGTGTACAAATTACTGCAGGGGCAGAGAGAGGAGCAAATCACTGCTGCCTGAGGTTACCTGGGAACCCTCACGGAGGAAGTGGCATCCAGCTGAGCCTTACAGTTCCTCCGAAGACAGAAGGGAGGAGTGGAATTGGGACATTTTGAGTATCTTAGGGGCCTTGGTTGATTATGCTAATGTTAATAATATAACAGTAGCTAACAACTTACTGAGTGTTAACCACATGCTGAGCACTGTGTTAAGGGGCTTTTTGTGCATCGCCCCATTTAATCCTCATAGAAACCTTGAGAAGACCCCCCATGAGATCCATTTTACAGGAGAGAGGCTTGAGGCTCAGGAGATTAGCTGATTTACCCCAGCACACAGCTGGCGGATAATGGAGCCAGGACGAGAATCTCCAGTAGCATGGCTCTCCAGTCTCAGCTGTCAACCATGTGGCTGGGCCACCTCTCAGAAGGGAGGTTCGGGACAAGTCATGCTCTCCAAAGTCATTCTTGTCCACTGAGCACTTCGTTTTCTGGGAGAAGGCTGAGAGAGGGTATATATGGCCAAACACAAGGATTGAGAGAGACCTTTGGGAGTCCCAACTCATGCTGAAGTCAGGTTGGGGAGGACTGACGGTCAGGGAGGTTCTGGAAATGCTGGTGCAAGACTGGGGCCTCTGAGTCATTTCACCTGCCAAGTATTGCTGAAAATTCACTCTGAGCGAAGGTCTGTGCTGGGCACCAAGGGGGTTATTGATGGAAGTTGTACACTAGGCACCAAGTGCTGAATGAAGTATAACACTGGCAGGCCTGATGGATCTGGCCCCCTCTCTTCCTGCTGGGCCTCATCTCCTGCCTCCTCCCCTGATAAGCTCTTGGCCTGGCCATCTGCTGCTTCCTTGTGAAGGTCAGCCTCCTTCCACTTCTGTTCCTTTACCTGTGCCTCTGCTTGGAATGTTCTCCTACCCTCAGCTCCTTTTTCATGGCTGGCTTCTTCTCTTGCTTTGGGTCTCAGTGTAACTGTTGCCTCCTCTGAGAAGTTCTGCCTCCTCTGAGAAGTTCTGAGAATTTTCCATCATAGCACCACGTTCATTTCCTCCCTAGAACTTTTCATAATGTGTAGTTATGTGTTTTATTGGTTTGCATCTTCAGGGCAGGGACTTTGAAGATGTACCCTGACAGTGGGATTGCTACATCCAGCAGTGAGCATGCTGCCTGCCATGTCGTAGGTGCTTCATATTTGAATGAACAAACAGCTTTGCTTAGAATTAATGAGTCAAGATGCACATAAGACACAGAAAATAATCAGCTACTGAACTGCTCAAAGAATGGAGAGGTTGATGTGCGCTGAAACTGTCAAACAGATGTAAGAGTTGAACAGGGCAGGTGGAAATCACAGTTAGGGGTGGCTAGAGAGTAAAAAAAACAGCTGGGGGAGAAAAAGTAGTCTGTGTGGGGACAAAAAGTTTTCTATTGGCTGCAGGTTTGAAGCACCTTCATGTTCAGTGTCTGGAATGACCTCAGCTTTCTTCCCTCCTGGGTCCCTCCTCCTACTTACCGAAACATGGGGCTGAGACCACCAGGAACATTTGTCCAGTTTCTCCTCAGTGTGTTTTTGTGGGCTCCCTCGGGAGACACAACATGACTTTGAGACTGAACTCTCATAAGGCTCCTCAGTCTAGGAATGAGGCTATTTGGGGAAAAATCACGATGAATGCTGTCTTCATTTTTGGATCATGGACAGAATGACCCCCAGTAACCAGAAAGGCTCTCAGATGACTGTATTTTAGAATCCCTTCAAGGTTTTTAGAAGTGGAACGAGTTGGGTACAATGTGTGTTATTTAGGTGATGGATAACCTAAAAGCCCCAACTTCACCACTACACGATATATCCATGTAACCAGATTACACTTGTACCTTATAAATTTATGCAAATTGTAAGAAGTACAGCCAGACCTCACCAATTACAGTGTGTTCTATCAGCTATTCCTGTTTTGTTTTGTTTCTCACATAGGGAGATAATAGAACACAACATCTAAATCACTGAATTATGTACTTGTATTGCTCTCAACTCATGGATTTCCATACTTTTGAAAGTAACCAAAGGTCAAGACTTGTTACCATTTTATACATGTCCTGATTGATGTTCAATAGGCATTTTAAAAAATATTGTCTAGAGACATATCTGTTTACAGAGTATCAAGTCTTATTTTTGTTCTGTATTCATGAATTTTCCTCCCCCTACCCCACCTCCTGCAAGAACACACTCTGAGCTCATTGAGGCAGGAGATCATGCTTAATATTGAACTCCAATATCTGCAAAGAATCTTCAATAAAACAGCTGCTTGGTAAATATTGAATTAAACTGAAGTGTTCCAAGACCTTCTAGAAGTTCAGTTCTCTGCTCATGCTAGTAGAGCAAGTTGTCTCTATTCATCTGAGCCCAAAGTTGTTGCCTGTTAACCATATAGATCACACTCTGTATCCTACTTGTCAGAAACTATTAAAGAGCAGGAATCTCATTTTAGCTTTAACTGATCTGTGACTTAATTTGGAAAGTCTCTCCTTACCCCAAATTATACATGATTGAATAAGAGTAAGAACAAACTAAAAATAACTTTTTGCTATATAGTGAAACAACAATTTAAAAATTTAAACAAAATCCTTTGCTGCAAACCCAAAGGAAACTTCTAGCTATTTCAGAGTTTGAAGAGAATATTGATTGCCACATTTCAGCCAAGGACAACACCATGTGATGGAGGAAGAAATGAAGTCATCTGGGTACGTGTTTTCTGGAACCCTGCCCTAAATGGCTTTCTCCTTGACATATGTCCAGCTCTTTCATACAGCTTAACATTAGTAATGCTTATAACTTTATTTATAAAACCACATTTAAAATATAAAGGAAGCATGGAAAAATGCTCAGGGTGAAGGAAAGGAGAGAGAAAAGAAAGGAAGAAAGCATTCATTGAGGGCAAGTGAGCATTCACCACGGTAGCGAATGTGAAGCTTGCTCTGTCAATCAGAGCCTTGTCCAAAGAGTCATCTCAATGGTTGGCATGATACTTGCTCCCTGAATTAGGGTTCTCTGAATTTAGCTAAGTATCATCATCTTCAGATTCAGGCACTATTCACTTATTATAACTTTCTACTTATTACTTTTTTAATTCCTAAAAGGCAGACAGAAAGTAATAGCAGCAGTCCCTACAGCCTTTGTTCTTGTAGTTTCCTACCCATTAATGTTCTCGCTCAACAGAACCCTATCAAGTCTTGGCTAGGTGTGGTGGCTCACGCCTGTATTCCTAGCATTTTGGGAGGCTGAGGTGGGTGGATCACTTGAGGTCAGGAGTTTGAGATCAGCCTGGCCAACATGATGAAACTCCCATCTCTACTAAAAATACAAAAATTAGCTGGATGTGGTGGCAGGTGC
Organism: Homo sapiens; assembly: GCF_000001405.40. Taxonomy (NCBI): domain Eukaryota; kingdom Metazoa; phylum Chordata; class Mammalia; order Primates; family Hominidae; genus Homo; species Homo sapiens. The sequence goes on along the minus strand of NC_000008.11, from coordinate 94,110,961 downwards.
CTGTAGTTCCAACTACTGGGGAGGCTGAGGCAGAAGAATCGCTTAAACCCGGGAGGTGGAGGTTGCAGCTGAGATTGCACCACTGCCCTCTAGCATGGGTGACAAAGTGAGACTCTGTCTCAAAAGACAAACAAAAAAAAAACCAGAACCCTATAACCCTATCAGGTCTTCAGAAGGAATTTTCGATGTTCCTAGACTCCAGGCTCAAGGACTCTTCCACCAAATGATTAGTAAAGAAACGCTTGCAGTAATGTTTGCTACCTTCAACCATTTTTGTCTCTGGTATTTTCCCACAATCAGAGCCTGATCCTAATATCGATGGGAAAATATTTAAAGGAAACAAAATGCATGAAAATCTCTCTGTGAGGCCAGATCTGTGGAGTTACAGAAGTACTCAGCAAAGACTCCCAAGCAGCTGGGAACAGTCAGAGTGCTGCAGAATTCCTAAACCATGCTAAGAGTTTTGGTGTCCTGGAAAAAGCTCCAAAATGTTCCAATCATTAAATTGCTCAACTTAAATCACTTTCAGATGAGCAAATTCGGACAAACATTACCGACTTTTTAAACTACATCATATGTTCCAAAAGCAAAATGGGAAACAAAGCTGAATGGTGTGTTCTTTCTCCACTTGCCTTTGCAGGTGATTTCAAATTTAGTAGATGCAAAGTAGAGTCGAAAGAAGTTTTCAGTATGTCTCTCCTAAGAACGAATAATGTGAATGTATATAAACCTTGGACCACTGATTCAAAGGAATTTAATCTTTAAATAGTTCTGCCAATAAGAGTGCTTAATGTCAGGGCAACTAATTCATATTAGATGCTCAGTAAATGTTCATTTAATTCATACTAAATACATGAATAAACAACATCTAATAAGCAGAATAAAGGTGAAGAATAAAGTACTTTGAAAGTTCTACTCAAAGTTTGTCAGAGTATGATGGCCCTGTGAAACAGAATAAAAACAGTGGTCAAAAAAACTAAGATGAAAACTTGCAGACTGAAGTGCTGACAAAAAGTCAGAGAAGAAAATTATAAGAAGGAACAAGTGGTTGACAAGGTGCAATGCAGTAAGAGACCTCAAAATCAGGACCAATGGGCATCAAGTGGATTTCACAACAAAGTGGTAATCTGGGCGGCGATTTACATACATGATTAATTCAGTAGGCAGCCTCTAAGATTGCCCCCAACTCCTGGCATTCATGCAGTTCTGCAATCTCGTACCCTGAGTATGGACTGCATTTAGTGACATAATCCTAGTGAATAGAATCTGGCAGAAGTAATGGGATGTCGCTTTTGATATTAGGAAACAAAAGTTGTCTCTCACTTGCTTGTTCTCGGGGAGGCCAGCTGCTATGTTGTGAGCTACCCTAAGAGAAGCTCATATTTAAAAAAAAAAAAAACCACTGATGTTTTTGGTTAATACCCAGTGAGGACCGGAGACCTGCCAACAGCCACGTGTATCCAAGCACATTCCTGCAATCATTTACTATGTTAGGAATCTGTATTAATAGACATGGATTCCTTTATCTCAACAAGTATTGCTATGTTATTGCTAAAAAGCACATTGTAGCCATTATCTCACCTAATAGCAATGAGCTGTGGCTCTGTGGACTTAAGAAGGAACACAGAAGACATCTTTGCCTAAATGACTAAGCTGAGAAGACAGAAGTCTTCTTAGACTCAGTTTACTCTTTGGTCTGCTCATTCAGGGCCTTAACGTCTGCTTAGAAAATTCCAACCCAATTTGACTGAAGAGACAAAGTAGGCGACTAATGGTCACCAAAACAAAATATTCCCCAAATTGCCATCTTTTAAAATGGGATTTGTTACTTTCTTTTTTAAAAAAGGAGAGATCTGAAGAAAAACATTTTAAGAGGATTGACTTAACACAAATGTCTGGATGTAGCTATTTTGATTTAGGGAATATTTTGATCTAACTGCTTTAACCTCAGTGTTTTGATGCTTCAACAAAATGAAAAATTACTGCTTTTTTAAAATTGCCAAGTGACATAGCCAACAGATTTCTGGATCTCTCTATTCCTGATCCTCCCCCAGCCTAGAACACCCTGACCTTAACTTCCAGGTAGAAGTTGTCATGGGGTGAAATTTAGAAATGGGGTAAAGATGTTAACTTTGTAGGATTACAGAGTGATTTTTAAAATGTAAAATTCCAGTGGGGTAAATTTTTTTGCACATTAAGATAATCTGATTATCAACTTGACATTTCAAAATGTCAAGTACTTAGAGGCACATGGGCTAATATCTTTTGGCTTTTGGGATTTTTACTCAACATGAGCCGTCTCTACTAACTTAACTCCATACAAATGTGGTTTTCCAGCTTTGAATGTTGGTGGACTGCAGTTGTGTAATCTATGTGCCATTCAATAGGCTCCCTAGAATGTGTTATTGAAGTTAAAAGCACAAGATCTGGTGTTAGCATGCCATCTACTAGCAGAATGACACAGGGAAAAACTATTTAATGTCTTTGAACCTTGGGTTTTCCTTTTATAAAATGGATCTAATAATAGTATTTGTGTAGATTAAATGAAATGCTATAAATGAAGTCCTTAGTAGACTGCCTGTACCATATATTATAAACTATTAGTACTGTTTAGTACAGAAATGTTTATTTAGCCAGGCACGGTGGCTCACACCTGTAATCCCAGCACTTTGGGAGGCTGAGGCGGGCAGATCACTTCAGGTCAGGAGTTTGGGACCAGCCTGACCAACATGGTGAAAGCCCTTCTCTACTAAAAATACACAAATTAGCTGGGCGTGGTGGTACTTGCCTGTAATCCCAGCTACTTGGGAGGCTGAGGCAGGAGAATCACTTGAACCCAGGAGGCAGAGGCTGCAGTGAGCTGAGATCACGCCGCTGCACTCTAGCCTGGGTGACAGAGTGAGATTCAGTCTGAAAAAAAAAAAAGGAAATGTTTATTTAAATTGGAAATGTTTATTTAAATTGGACCTGGGAGGGTGATTTCATTAATAACATCATGCTGTTGATAACATATAGATCAAACTAGTGTCAATGTTGTTAATATCAGTGGTCCTCAAACATGATTGCATATCGAAAATTACGTGGAAAAACTTCACCTTTCTCCCATGGAGCAAGGAGGTTTAGACTTAATTTTCTACCATAAACCACTAGAAAACTATACAAAATATGAGCAATTGTTTTCAGACATTGGGCTATACACACCACATGACTGATTCTTGAAGGAAGATAAACAGACAAGGTGAGCCTTGTGAATGCTCCAGCTTGCTGCCCAGAGGAAATTTATGGAGCACTGACACAGGGAGAAGGAACCCAAACAGAGTATGGCAGACTTGTATTAGTCTGTTCTCAAGCAGCTGATAAAAGACATACCTGAAACTGGGCAATTTTCAAAAGAAAGAGATTTAATTGGACTTACATTTCCATGTGGGTGGGGAAGCCTCACAATCATGGCAGAAGGCAAGGAGGAGGAAGTCATGTCTTACATGGATGGGCAGCAGGCTAAGAGAGAGCTTGTTCAGGGAGATTCCCGTTTTTCAAAACCATCAGATCTTGGGAGACTTACTCACTATCATGAGAACAGCATGGGAAAGACCTGCCCCCATGATTCAATTATCTCCCACCTGGTCCCTCCCACAACACATGGGAATTCAAGATGAGATTTGGGTGGGGACATGGCCAAACCATATCACTTGTTGAGTTGAAGAGATGGACAGAAATATTGAGGAGACTGAAGTGGCAGAAACTGTGAGACAGAGCTCCAGAAAGAGGGAGAAACACAGGAAAAAGAACTACAAAAATTTGGATAGGTTTTCCCTTGAATCTTTGCTGAGTACAGTGCTGCATGTGCATAAAATGGGAAATTCCAAAAATCTGGGTACAGAATGACTGGAGAGTTGTAAATTGAACAATTCCCAGAGCTCACACAGGGAGGAGAGAAGTTTCAGCTCTGATCAGTCATACTGATGAGTCCATTTTGATCACCCACAACATTCAGTGGAGAACCTAGAGGTATCACATCATAGAAGATGTGAATGACCTTCTGTGATGATCAGAGAAGATTATCTGATGAATGGCTGCACCATTCTTGGGGTAAAGAATACTCTAGACTCACTGGCTTCAAAGGGATAAAACAGATAAGCAAATAATTGGTTGCAAAATAAAATGCAACACTCCTTAAAGGAATACAATAAAATCCAGCCACTCAACAAGGTAACATTCACAATTTCCAACATCCAATCAAAAATCACTATGCATGGCAAGGTAGAGAAAAATGTGACACATAAGTAGAAGTTGATAGAAACCATCCTGGAAATGACAGATATAAAGAAACTTGTGGAAAAAGATATTAAAACAGATATTATTATATTTAAGTAAAGAAAAAATATAGTAAGGAGAGCAAAAGAAGATGTAAATAAGAACTCAAACAGGAATTAAAAATGTAAAAAACAATATCTGAAATAAAAAACTCACTAGAAGTATTAATAGATAATTAGCCACCACAGAAGATTAATGAACTTAAAGACAGCAATAGATATATCTAAACTGAAGCACCGAGAAAAAAGAATTTTAAAATTAAACAGTTCAAGTGAATGAGATGACAAGCCACAGTCTGGGAGAAAATATTTGCAAAAGACACTTCTGACAAAGCACTGTAATCCAAAATATATGAAGAATTGTTAATAAGAAAACAAGTTGATTTTAAAAATGTACAAAAGACCTGAACAGATACCTTACCAAAGAAGATGGCAAATAAGCATATGAAAAGATGCTTAGCATGGTATGCCATTAGGTTATTGCAAATTAAAATGAGATATCACTACACACACACCTATCAGAATGGCCAAAATCCAACCACTGACAACACCAAATGCTGATGAGGATGTGGAGCAACAGGAACTCTCATTCATTGCTGGTGAGAATGAAAACTGGTACGGCCATTTTGGAAGATGGTTTGGCAATTTCTTATAGAATAAACATGCTTGTACCATAAAATTGAGCAATCACACTCTTTGGTATTTACACAAATGGGTTGAAAACTTATGTCCATACAAAACCCTGCAAACAGATGTTTATAACATCTTTATTCATAATTGCCGAAACTTCAAAGCAACCAAGATGTCCCTCAATAGGTGAATGAATATACAAACCGCAGTACATTGAGAGAATGAAATAGTGTTCAGTGCTAAAAAGAAATGAGCTCTAAAGCCATGAGAAGACATGGAGGAATCTTAAATGCATATTAATAAGTGAAAGATGCCAATCTGAAAAGGTTACATACTGTGTGATCCCAACCATATGGCATCTTAGAAAAGGCAAAACTATGGAGATAGTAAAAGCATCAGTGGTTGCCGGGGTTGAGGGGGAGGGAGGGATGAATAGGCAGAGCACCAAGGATTTTTAAGGCAGTGAAACTATTCTGGATGATACTATAATGGTAGATACATGTCATTATACATTTGTCAAAATTCTTAGAATGTACAATACCCAGAGTGAACTCTAATGTAAACTATGGATTTGGCAGTGGAGAAAGGGAGATGACTCAAAGTAGGTTCACCAGTTGTAACAACTGTATCATTATGGAGCATTATGTTGATAGCTGGGGAGGCTATGCTTGTGTCAGGCAGGACGTACATGGTAGCAGTACTTTTCTGCTCAGTTTTGCTGTGAACTTAAAACTGCTTAAAACTGCTCTGAAAAGTCCTTTTTAAAAATAACAGAGCCTCAATGACCCATGGTACAATACCAAGCACTCTAATATTTGTGTAATTGGAGTCCTAGAAAAAGGGGTGAGGGAGAAAAAATATTTGAATAATGGCTGTGAATTTTCTGAAATTAATAAATACTATAAACTCCCCCAACCCTTCCCTCTGCCCAAAATACACCAAGGTACATTATAATCAGATTCCTGAAAACCAGTAATGAACCTAAATCTTATGAGCAGACAGAGAAAAAAGGCACACCAAGTACAGAGAAACAAAGATAAAAACCACTGCAGACTTGACAGTAGAAACCATACTGGCTGGAAAACAATGACATGACTTTTTAAGAATGCTGAAATAAAACCTATGAATCTAGAATTCTATATCCAGTAAAAGTATAGATAAAATACACAAAATGTTTTGAAAATCTTTTCAAAAATACAGATAAAATAAAACTTCTGCACACAAACAAAAGCCAAGGAAATTTGTCATCAGCAAATACGATCTACAAGAAATGTTAAAAGAAAATTCTTTGGGCAAGAAAAAAATGATACAAGATGGAAATTTGAATGTATGTAAATGAATGGTTAATTTTATGTGTTAAGTTGACTGGGCTAAGGGATGTTCAGAAATTCAGTAAAACAGTTTCTGGGTATGTCTCTGACAGTATTCTGGAAGAAATTAGCATTTCAATCAGACTGAGTAAATTGCCCTCACCAATGTGTGGGGACATCATCCAACCCACTGAGGGCCTGAATAAAACAGGCAGAAAAAAGGCAAATTTGCACATTCTGCTTGACCTGAAACAATCCATCTTCTCTTGCCCCCAGATATCAGTGTTCCTGGTTCTTGGGCCTTTGGACTTGGACTGGGACTAACACCATTGGCTCCCTTGGTTCCCTGGACTTTTTTGAACTAGAACTACACCACCAGCTTTCCGGGGCCTCCAGCTTGCAGATGGCACATCACAGGACTTCTCAGCCTCCATAACTGTGTAAGCCAAAGTCTTAAAGTAAATCTCTTTCTACAGATCTATATATATGTAAATATATATACGTGTGTGTGTGTGTGTGTGTGTGTGTGTGTGTGTGTGTATGTCTGTGTATATCTTATTGGTTCTGACTCTCTGGAGAACCCTAACGTAACAAAAGAATAAAGATACTGGAAATGGTAAATATATGAGTAAATATTAGAGACTTTTACATTTTTATTTGAAACATAGTTGACTGTTTAAAGTGAAAATAATGTATTTTGAAGTTTATAACATGTAGCAATAAAATGTGTGACAAAATAATACAAAGGAAGATATACAGGAAATGGAAATATACTGTTAGAGGATTTTATATTCTGCACAAAATGGCATATTATTTGAAGACAGGCTATCAGTTGAAAATACATATTGTAAACCTTAAACTTTTAAATGCAACAAAGAGATCTATAGAATACATAGTAGAGATAGAATAGAATGCAAAAAATAATCCCAGAAAACCAAAAAAAGAGGAAAATGGTAATAAAGTATAGATGAAACAAATAGAAAACATTTAGTAAAATGGTATATTTAAATTCAACTACATTGATAAAATAAGATATCTTATTAAAGCACAATTAAAATATTATCAGGCTGGATTAAAAAGGTAAGACCCAAATATATGCTGTCTACAAAAAATTTTTTTAAATGGTAAAAAGTAAAAGAATTAAAAACCATATATCGTGCAAACACTAAATGTAAGAAACCTGAAGCAGATATATTAATATCAAACAAAGTAGAATTCAGAACAAGAAACATTACTAGAGAAAGAGGGACATTTAATTATAATGAGTCAATTTATCATATAGAAATAACAATCTTAAGTGTGTATACACCTAAAAGCTTCAAAATATGTAAAATAAGAACAGAAAAATAGAAAAATGTTAATTATATTTGGAGATAAACATTCCTCTCTCAGTAATTTATAGAAGTAGACCAAAAACCAGTAAAGAAATAAAAGATTTGATCTTCTTTAGCAACCAACTTGACCTAGTTGACACTTATAGAATGCTGTACTCAACAGTAGGATACACATTATTTTCAAGGGTGCGTGAAACATTCACCAAGCTAGAACACATGCTGAGCTGTAAAACCAGAATCAACATTTTTAAAAGAATCAAAATATTGCAGAGTATGTTCTTTGACTGTAGTGAAATTAAGCTAGAAATCAGTAACAGAAAGATATATGGGAAATCGCTAAGTCAAACCACATACTTAACTACACAATGTTTTCAAAAAAAGGAAATGGGAAAATTAGAAAGCGTTTTGAACTAAATGAAAAACACAACATTAAAACACACATTAAACACAACATTAAAATGTGTGTGATGCAGCTAAAGAAGTTGTTAAAGGGAATTTTATAACCCCACATGCTTGTATTTTAAAAAGAGGAGGGCCTAAAATCAATGATCTAAGCTTTCATCTTAAGAAACCAGAAAAAGGAGTAAATTACACCTAAAGTAAGTTGGAGAAGGGAAATAAGAGCAGAAAGTAATAAACTAGAAAATGAAAAAGCAATTTTGAAAAATTATGGAAAAGCTGGCTCTTTGAAGGGCTCAATAAACCTTAAGTGAGACTAACGGAGGTGGGAGAGGGGAGAGAGAACACAAATGACCAATATCAGGAACAAAAGAAGAGATATCACTAGATCCTACAAACATTAAATAAGGGAATATTATGGACAAATTTATGACAACAAATTTGAAAACTTAGACAAAATGGACGAATTCTTTGAAAGACTCAAATTACCGAAACTGACTCAAGAATACATAGGTAACTCTTATGAAGCTAATCTAGCACTGATTCACCGAATGCCACTGAAAACCATTGGTTTGGTTCAGATTTTATCTAAGCATATCAGTGAACCAAAGGCATAGAAGATTTGAGTGGGATTAGACTGTCCAAATAGAGCCTAACAACCTACTGAACAATAAAATATACAATTACAGTTGATGGCTACATCACCAAATAAATCTCTGAATATTTGTTCACTGACTTGACTGAAAATTTTGAGTCAGTTATTTAGGAGTTGTATAAACATAACCTTCAAGATTCAGATGTGAAGGCACTGTGGGTGGGCCTTCCCAACACCCATTCCCAATTCCCTTCTTCCTTGCTTACTTTCTGAGCCTCCTTTGCAGCTAGATAAGAGTGGCCATATGCTACCATTCTGGCAAATGAATATAAGCAGATGTTTGCTAAGGGTGGGGGAACATATCTTGATAAAAGGGGACAAATGTTCAGCAACCATCCTGCAAATGAGAAACTGGGACAATCCTGACATCACTGAGCGCTGAATCAGTAGTGACAATAATGGCCTCCCTCTTGTTTTTTTTATTGTTATATGAGAAAAATTCTCATTTCTTTAAATGCTTTTAAGTTGGGTTTTTATTTACTCGCAATCATACACAGTCTTAATAGAAGACTATGACATATTTATATTCCCACAGCTAAGGCAAAAAGGAAAACATCAGTTTAGTTCTTCCCTTGACTATACAAATCTTAGAACCACCTCTTAGCATCAATGCACGTGAGTTTTGTCATCAATAGATAATAATCATAATCATAATAACTATATAGTGAAGATGATGCTGAGGGACAGAACAAACCAGAGGCTTCAGAATCTCTTTCAGCCACTGGAAAGACAGACAGTATGGCAATACAGGAAGTCCTTACACATCAGAATGTTGAAATCTAGGCTGTGATTCTCCTTGTAGCATAATAAAACATCAGTAAGCAGCAGTTTTAGCATGAGTATGAAGAGTCTTGAAATTTTTTAGAGGCACATACACTGAGAGCCAACTCCCAAGAGGATCACGAAAAGTAAATTAAGCACGTTCAATGTTTTTTCCAACAGAAGCCCATGATGATATTTCATATGGAGGAATCTTTGCCTCTGTGATTCATTTTGCAAATCCTATGACCCATGTTTCTTTTCACACGATAAAACACCAGGGTTCTGCAGAAGAACTCCCTGTTCAGCAGATATTTGTGGTCAAAGTTCCGAGAAGATTTTTGCCCATAAATGGCTCACACTCTATCCAGTTAGAAAGAAATGGGAGCTCACAGAATTTCACAGGACAGCTGAAGCCCCAGCAAAACCATGCAAACAAGCTGGGCATGCAAATAAATGGAGCAAGACACAGTCACTTACCACTTCCAGCTGAAGAGGAGTGGCAATGAGATTGATCCACACAACCATGGCATCTTACCTTTCTTTCTTGAAGCATGGAGCCCTGTTAGCTCACCATTCTAACTGATGTCTTGTGTAAGAAGAAAGGACCTAGCATCACCCAGCTCCACCACTTACTAGCTGGCTATGATGACTTTAGGGAGGTAGTTTAAACATGCAACCTCCTCATATGTAAAATACAGATAATGATGACTATGACCTCTTCCTATTGGAAATAAACATTTATTGAGAGCTTACTGAATACAGAACACTGTTTTAAGTATTTTAAATGTGTTAAACTCATTTAGTCTTCACAATTCTGACATATTCTCTATCACTATTTTTATTGCATTTTAAATTGAAGAAATTGGAAGAAGAGTAAGAACTGTTCCTGAGGCTACACAACTGGTATGTGACAAAGATTGGATAGAGGGTTGCTGTCAGGATTGAAAAAGAAAATGCAGGTAAAACTCTGCCTGGCACATAGTAGGTATGTGTCATGATACATGCTAGTTATTGTCTCTCGGTTACCTTCTGCTTGTGATGTCACCTTAGAAACAGCTACAGAAAATCTATTGAGGGTTATGAGTGGGGAAAATGGCACAGATTAAAGTACTGAAGCTTTCTATTGAAAATTGTTAGTGGGGTAGTGACATGCTGCGTAAAGCAGTTATAGGTGTTTCTTAAGAACCCATTGAGGAAAAACAGCCAGCACAAGGCAGATACAGACCCAGTGTAAATGGAGAACTAAAGTTAAGCTCAGGGGAGGAACAAATGCTGAGTTCTCACCCGGGTAGGGGGAGTTATAAATTAATGTAAAGGGATAGCCCTGTAACAGACACTTTCCCAACCCTCCCTAAAATAATCTACAGTGGTCTAATCCTTTTGTTTTTCTTTGCCATAGCTTGAGAGTCATTGGCTATCTTTCTGCCCCACAGATAACCCCACTCTATTAATATGGACTCTTAGAACATTTTTTCCATTCCCCAAGATATACTTAATGCTAATCCTGTTCTTGATTTCATCTTTAGCCAAGCTGAATTTTATGCTTCTTTATTTGTATTGCCTCCAACCCTGTTTAAAACCTTTCACTGTTCTCCTTTTCTTAAAGATGTTTCCTGCAATGAAGAAGATTTATTCTTTAAATGAATGTCCATGGAAATAGTTTTAAAGACTTTCTCTTCAACAACTCTCCAGCATAGCTTTGTGATGTTTTTAGAAATGAGATCATTTGGGACTGTCTTGTGATTTGTAGCATCCTTGGAGAATGACTCCTTTCTTTCCCAGAGCCCCCCCTGCCCCCAACCCCGGCACCAAGTTTACCTGTATCTTAGCTCCATTGTCTCCTTCCCCCTTGATTCTGCTCTTCCTATTCTTTTCCTGCATCATTCATCTCCCCCTCTCCTAGGTCATCTTTTCCTACAACTCTGCAGACTCTGTCTCTTCTCTTGCTAGTCCCTCCAGCTTTCTACCATTTTATTTCCTACAGTGGTCAATTCTCTCCAATAGTGCCCTCATTTGGAGTTTTAGCTTTGTCACAACCTTAGCCCTATTACCCTCTGAGAATCCCCTCTCTAGGGTGACCTAGGACCTCCTATTTATCAAAGTCATAACCTTTCCCTGGTTTCATCCTCCTTGATCTGAGTAGCATTTGGTGCCATTGAGCTACCTCATGCTTCCTGAAATTCTTCTCCTCCTCCTGGAAGAGGTGCTTCCTCCAGGCAGTGATCCCTGATTTCCCAAAACGAGATGTGACCCCCTCCTCCCTGCAAATGCATGTCTATGTTGTCCCTCTCCTCATAGATTATAACCTCCTTGAGGGCAGGAGCCTAGTTTTATGCCTCTCCCCCACCACGCATATACAGCCTGGAGCTAACACAGTGCCAAGTTCATAGCAAGGTTTCAGCAAACATGGTACCAGTACAGAAATAAACTTGGTCTCAGAATGTCAGGATGGAGCTGAACATGGCCCAAAGATGACTTTCATTTGGACAGCCTAGTGATTTTTAAATATCTGAGTTAGTTATCAGCATTTAAAAACTGTGGTATTTTACATGAAAAATTCAGATTTCTTGGTTGTTCTCTTTGACAAATCTGATTTAATCTCATCTGGGTCCCTATTCCTGCATGGCCACAGAAGGCAGGATCTGAGCATCTGCTGTCCCCTTGGGTGAGACTCCTGTCCTGTTTTCTGTTTCATTCATGGACATTTCCTTCATGGCCCCTCTAGGCACTTTAGTCTTGTGAACCCTTGAAAAATGAACCCGTGCAAAGGGTAAAGGCAGGACACACTCATTGGCTCAGTTATCAGTGTTCCTGCCAGCTCTGTCCTCTAGCTACCTGTCAAGAGTTCAGAAGGAATGGGACATTGACCGTCATCTCTGAGCTCCCTGTCACTGGCCTGGACCTGGAGAGAATGCTTCCTCAAGGAAGCTTTCCATGGCTGCTCCTCTTGGAAAACCTCTCCTTCTTTTATGCCCCTACAGCAGGGTGTACAGGTAATACAGGATCCCCCCTGCTCAACATGCATGCACATGCATGTGTGCATGCACACATCAGCTCCTGCTGTATATATGGCTTGACTTTGGCTGCCTGCTGCCAGTGTTACCCCTACATAACACTCAATGCACATTAGGGTTGTTTGCCTTTATTCATAGGTCTGTGAGTGTTTGGGTGGTGAGCAGTGGAGGAGGAAGAACCTAGATAGGGGCATGGAGAGGAAGAAGAGGAAAAAGCAGCCGTGATTTAGAAAGACAGCAGCAATGATTTCATATCTATTATCTTAGGGATGGCCCTATGCATTGAGTGTGGCCTGTGTTGAAGAGAGAAGACCCAAAGCTGACACCACTGTCCAAAGGGGCTTTGACTAGTGCTGCTCTGATGGCCCAGAAGACACAGAGCAGCCAGAGGCCCAAGAGAGTCCTTTCTGGCCTTTGCAAAGAATGTCTGCACCTCCCTCCACTCAGAGGCCTGGAGGGTTTGGATGAGGGGAGATGGCACGCTTGGCCTGGGTGGTGGGCTTCTTGTGATGAGCTGTCACTGTGAAGAGACTTGCTGTGCTGAAGGCAGTGTGGATGGCAGGGAGAAGAAGAGGAAGAACAGAGCAAATGTGCACGGTAGCAAGCTGGTTGGAAGCACTTGTGAAGCACCGCTGGGGGCTCCCAGGGGTAAACTGGGGCTCTCTGCTTAGGTCCCACCACTAGACAGATGGAAGCTACCATGTCATTAGACATTGATTTACAGGTATTTGTGTTCACATCTGTATTCATTGGAATATAAAGTTGGCTTCTTTAACAAAGAGACCTAAGTTAAAGTCATTTACATTAAAAGTTGCCTTCTCTCTCAGGTAGAAGTCCAGGGACATGGTCCATGCTTGCTATGGTTGTTTTATAATCATCAGAGCCCAGGTTCTGCTGCTCTGCCATCCTCACAATGTGGCTTCTACCTCATGGTTCTTCAGGGCATCTCCAGCTCCTGCCGTCATATCTGCTTCCAAGTAACAGGAAGGAAAAGAAGGGGAAAGCATGGGGACATCATTTCTTTTTAAGGCACAACTATATGTTACACAGATCACTTACATCCCATAATCCAGAACGTTGTTATAGGACCACCACTAGCTGCGAGAGAGGCTGGAAGACAGTGTTTGGCTTGGTAATCATATACCCAGTTAAAAATTCTATTACTTTAGAAGAACAGGAGAATGAATATATTAGATTTCAAATATAAGTTTCTTCCAGAGCATCTGTCTCCACTAGACTAGAAGCTCACTGAAAACCAGGGCTTTAGTCAACCATGATTCCACCAAGCTCTAGCATAATATGTACACGTAGTTGACAGACCATAAACCAGAACTGCCATGACGTCCTGTTCTTGCTACTCTGTCACTATGGGCTAGTCACAGTGGGTAGCACACGTACCCGCAATGAAAGCCGAGCCTCACAGAATTGATGCCTTCTCTGCCATTTACTTGCTCTGTGTGTCTGAGCAAGTCAGTCCGGACATAAGTTTCTTCATCAGTTCAGGGGGAATAATAATACCTGCCGTTATAGGGTTGTGAAGATTAAGGGTATGTTTAGTGCCTGGTACTCAGTTGGCATTCAATAAGTGGTTTAAAAAAATTAGACCATCCCATGGCAATGTCAGGGAGAGGCCACATGCAGAATTTCAGTCTCTCTGGGCAGTGCATACAGCTGTTGTTGAGGACAACAGAATAGTTCCAGGTGGGTGTGTACTTGCTTGAGGCAATTATCTGTATAAATGACCAAGGAGAGAACTCAGCTAGTAACCTTAGGAAACCAATAGTCTGAATTTCTCCACCTATTTGTGATAAGACTTTTTCTCAACATGGCATTTTTGCCAGGTACCAAGAGAGATAGGTACTGGGAATCCTTTTCCCTCATGGCCTAAGGGAACTGGGGGGAAGCAAAGAGCATTTCAATTAAAGGTTTCTCTGTGCTGTGGAATTCCAATCCTGCAGGAGGTTTGGCCAAGAGGCTCATTGCATGAGGTTCTCCAGCCCACCCTAAAGGACTTCTCCCTGTTCCAGACAATAAGAATTCTTGGCTCAAGTGCAGCAGACACATAGTGTGGGAACTAACTCAAGGCAGTCACCTCCTTTCTTTCCCTCCAGAAGGGCGAGAATCTAGACCTCTCTCTAAATCACTTAGAGTCATAGTATTGGCCATGCAAGCCACCTTTCCCAAGGTATTGATAAAAATAAGTATGTGGCCTTGAACATGTCACCTGCAGGGACAAGAGTCACACTGACAGTGTGACATGGGAAAAGCATGGGACTGAGGCAGCCCTTGGATCAAGTGTCAGTTTCACCACTTACAAGGGAGATTTGGGGCAAGTCCTGTAGCCTTGCAGAGTCTCAGTTTTCTCCTCTGTAAAGTGGAGGCTACTTCATGCCTCAATAGGATTAAAAAAAACAGAACTGAAGTCATGTATCAAAAAAGCATCTCGTACATGGAAAAGCTCTGAAAATGTTTTCAATATTGTAAACTTGGTCAAGCTCCCTTTAGAGACTTTAGTGCTTCTAAAGGGAAATACAGGGGCCTCTCCCATGCAGTACCACCCATCCTGGCTGCTTAGGGGGCCCTGCCTCAGATTTTTGTTCACCCCCACCTGATGAGGAACACTCAGAGAGCAATTAGATTGCTCCCTTCTGATGTCCCAGCCCCATGAGTATCTGGGCCATTGGTTCCATGGCTCTCCTCCCTGACATGAACAGACCATTTCCAGATTAGTTAGCAGGTTAGAACTTGGCATTAGAGTTGGAGAGACCTGGCTTTCTCAGTCACTTGCTGGAGACTTTGAGTTATTTAGCTGTCTGACTCTTGATTTCCAAGTGGGGAAAATAATAGCAATGTATTAATTAGAATACTTTAGGTTGCAAGTAGCAAAACAAACTCAAACTGGCTTAATCAGTAGGGATATCAATTATCTTACATAACAAGGTTTCTAGAATAATTCAGTTTTCAGGACTGTTTGATTCAGTGGCTCAACTGTGCCATTGAGTAAGCTGGTCTCCCTCTCCTGGCTCTGCCATTCTCATGCTGGCTCTGCCTAATCTGTTAGCTGTATGGCTGCAGCCATCCCAGGCATCAAAGATTAAGGAAACTTCTAAGATCTTCCCCAGGAATGTTGTTCTCTCATCTAACTTTCCAGATAAGAGGTACCTATGCCCATCCCTGAACCAATCACTGGGAAGGAGACAGGTTTAACCTGAGATGAATCAAGCCAGTTGCTGGAGCAGGGGTGCATTTGGTTTTCCCAAGGCCACACTGGGGAAGAATGAAATGGATTTTATTAGAAGTGTTAAATTACATAAGCAGGATGCTATGACCATGATGCTGTCTCCATACTCTGGGTTCCTGGGTAACAAACTGCAACCTAATTTAAAGAAACAGAAACCTCATTTAGGAGCATATTTTACAACAAAGAGCTGAACTTCGGCCATTAACAGACAGCCACCTGATCAGACCATGCTCAAATAAGGCAAATACTTAGCTGTAGCCTATCAAGTAACTTCTCTACTTTGCTTCCGCATTCGGTCCATAAAAGCTCCCTGTTCACATGGCTAGGTAGAGCTCTCTGAATTGCCTTTGGTTTTGAGTGCTGCCTTATTCATGAATCATTCTTTCCTCAAGCTGTTAAATTTGTCTGAAGATTTTCTTTTAACAGAAGAAAGGGCAAAATGGATGCTAAGTGGGCAACCAAGAGTTTCCTCTGCCAGTGACCCATCAGGGTGGTGTCAGGGTTCAAGGAAATGGGGTAGTGAGTGCTTGCTAAATGGCACCTATTAGTATTCTCTTTTTTCATTTTCCCATCAAATTCTATCCTGCCTCCTGCTGCCTCAAGACCCAGATGTGTGATCATGAGGATATTCCAAACGTGGCAGTTCTTAGTATCAGACAGAACTGCGGGGACAAGACAAAGAGCAGAGGGGACTGAAAACAAAAACAAAATACCTTCAAATCATAGCCCTACAGAATTCCCTTTAGGACCATCATTTGTCCTGAATGTCCTCACAGCAGCCCCATCGGCCTCCTGCTACTGTTGCTGTGTCTGCAAAGGAGTGGGCCTGACACACGTTCTCAGACGTTATACTGTAGCTGGGAGAATGTGGCCCATCAGACAGCTCACTCTGTCTTCATCACCACCCCTAGGGCCCTTGCTCCTTTTTATCAGTTAACTCTCTCCAGCACAGGAAGCCATGTGCTTATTGACCTCAATATCCTCTTTGGCAGAGTTATCGCATGAAAAATTGTGAGTGCAACTGGAATATTTTGAAAATATGAATCTGATATAATTTGTTTGTCTTTAGTCTGTGAATTAGAATTTGGAGCCTTAAGCTTATTACTCAGAAAGAGAGGGTGGTTGCTTCTAAAAATAGCAAAAATACTGTTTTTCCATAGCCCATTCTTGAATATTGGTTTCCACATTAGAACATTCCAAAGTATAGAATGTGTTATTTATTTATTTTTAAAGCAAGGCCATCTGGCTCAAATGCCGATGCTTAAGAAGACACATCCTTCATGTTTCCTAGTTTCCTAGTAAAAGAAAACAGCATCACAGAATAAGTGCCCTGCTGAGGGTTCTCTTCTCCACCCATACTAGATTCCTTCACTCTCTTCTCTGGTCTCATTGCTTTTGCTGTACTATTCTTCTACCTATCTTTACTTTCTCTTTGCCTGTCTTTTGTTTTATCCTTCTTTCAAGACCCAGCTCAAAATTCATCTTCAAGAAGCCTTTTGAATGGTTTTTTTTGTTTGTTTGTTTGTTTTTTTTCTGAGACAGAGTCTTGCACTGTTGCCAGGGCTGGAGTGCAGTGCTGCAATCTCGGCTCACTGCAACCTCTGCCTCCTGGGTTTAAGCAATTCTCCTGCCTCAGCCTCCTGAGTAGCTGGGATTACAGGTGCCTGCCACCACGCCCAGGTAATTTTTTGTATTTTTAGTAGAGATGGGGTTTCACCATTTTGGCCAGGCTGGTCTCGAACTCCAGACCTCATGATTTGCCTGCCTCTGCCTCCCAAAGTGCTGGGATTACAGGCATGAGGCACCGCCCCCAGCCTATTTTATAGCTTTTGATTGTACAGAGTCATTTTATATACTGCTTCAGATTCAGGAAGAAGTTTGAAAGATGTTCATTTTATAGTTGTCTAGTTCTGCTATATGCATCTACACCTAGGACAAGAGTAATTGTACATGTGATAAAATAGAAAATAATATGGGTACAATCCAACCTTATTAATTGGACATTTCATTCTAATTAAATGGATGTTACCCTATTAGGTAGATAAATAAAGTGACTGAGAGAGAGGTGGCCAAAAATTAATTGCTTCCTTTTGAAATATAGCAAAACATACCAGTTGTTAGAATAATTAACAGGGAGACCATTAGGCTGAGATGTCTCCAGCACCTTGGGTTCTTATATAAGCAAACCAAACCCCAACTTAATGTAAACAGTAAAACAAAACTTAAGGTTAATCAATCAGAAACCACCAACTACCCTCTAACCAGAGGCTTTACTAATTAGAAGCTACCGAGTAACCTCTAACTAGGGACTCTCCACTTTAGCCAATCAAATAGTTTCATTATCTGGCTTTTACAAACACCTAATAAAATGTCCTCTTGTGCCCCCTTTGGTGGAGCACTGAGCCACTTGTGATCTGGCGCTGCCCAATTCATGAATCACTGAATTCAAATAACTCATTAAAATTTTAATGTGCCTAAGTTTATCTTTTAACACAATCAGCCAACAAACAAAAATTCCATCAAGATACATTGCTTCTAATGGTTCTGTGGGCAGGTCACTCTGACCCTTAAAGTTGATCAACATGGTGATAGCACATCTCTCATCAGTATTCTGAACTGATATAACCCTGACCAAGTAGCACTGGGCATAAAGAAAAGAATCCTCTCTCTTAGCCTAAGAGCAAAACCTCATGCCTGTAGGGGAAAAAGCAGCATATTGTAGGCAAGGCAGCACTGAGAATACATTTTAGTTCTTCTCACATATTAGTTTCCCCTTGGGGTACCTATTTAGGCAAAGTTAATGAACATTTGTCACTCAATAAATCTTCTATACTATATGTCTCCCAAGCATCCAGTTCTCTTCATCTTTTCAATATTTTCAAAACTATGCAAAGATTCCACAAAAATTAAGACATTACCCATTTCAAAAGCTAACACTAAAGACATTATTACATTATTTTGAGAAATTCATAGAATTTAGTCACCAAATTCAAAGGGGCAGAAGGCCATCCTAGAACAGCTGGTCTTGATCACATTGGGGCTCAGAACACAATACCCTAAAGTATGGTGTTTTGGTGTGCTAAGTTCTATGAACTGAAGAAAAATAGAAAAACTCCAGAAGTAAAGTCTTTCTGACTTTCTCCTATCCTTCTGTCTCCTGCCCCTCTTCCCCACCCCAATGCCACCCTTCTCAAAGCAAAGTAAGTCATAGAAACCAGAATTCCTCTTTCCCAAGGTGGGCTATAGAAACTGGAACTCCCCTCTCGCAAAGCAAGCCCCCAAACCTAGAAAAGTCACTCTCTCCCTTCAAGACCCTCATTCCAGAGGGACCCTGCCCCTACAGGAGGCAGGAATGCTACAGAGAGATGCCAAGAAGAATCTAAACAAATTTGCTGGGTTTCACCTGCCCTCCTCTCAGTCTACCATCATTAAACCTACCCTTTTGTCCAATCACATTTCTACAGGGCTGTCCATTCTTCACGGAACCTAACTCTATTAGTCTGTTTTCACGCTGATGATAAAGACATACATGAGACTAGGTAATTTACAAAGGAAAAAGGTTTAATGCACTCGCAGTTCCACATGGCTGAGGAGGCCCCACAATCATGTTGGAAGATGAAGGAAGAGCAAAGGGACATCCTACATGGCTACAGGCAAAGAGGGTTTGTGTAGGGGAACTCCCATTTATAAAACCATCAGATCTTGTGAGACTTAGTCACTATCACGAGAACAGCACAGGAAAGACCCTCCCCCATGATTCAATTACCTCCCATCGGGTCCCTCCCATTATGCATGGGAATTATGGGAGATGCAATTCAAGATGAGATTTGGGTGGGGACACAGCCAAACCATATCACTAACCACAAAAATAGACAGGTTTCCCTGGGTCTTTGGGTCTTTATTTCTGAAGGCTTCTGTGTCACCTAAAACTTTGAATACATTTGTTATGCTTTTCTCCTGTTAATCTGTCTGTTACAGGAATGTCAGCTGTGACCCTTGTGATAAGCGAGGAAAAACATTGCATTTTTTCCGCTGTAATTATGAGATACCGAAGTTCTCAGATAATTGACTTGTGACTGAGGTTTGATAGTGCTTCTACTCCAGACGTTAGTAACCAGACTAGCATTTTTGGATTGGGTCCCTTCTGTTAGAGAGACTTCATCTATCACGCCTACAGGATTTTCCAAATCTTTGCTCATATGCTGGGACTTTCTGAGGTATTTTAAATCTCTTTTTCCTTTGGCCCAACTCTTTGTAGGAATAGTCCTTCTCAAGTTTTAGCATGTTTAGTTTCTTTTTTCGTACATCTTTTATAAGGGGGCACCCTTTTTATTTTTTAAATTTATTTTTAATGATTATGGACACATAATATGGGGTACATGTGATATTTTGATAAAAGCATACAATGTGTAATAATCAAATCGGAGTAATTGGGTTATCTATCACCTCAACCATTTATCATTTCTTTGTTAGGAACATTCTGATTCCATTCTTTTTGTTATTTTGAAATATGTAATAAATTATTGTTAACTATAGCCCATCTTGGGAAAGAGGAATTCTGGTTTCTATGACTTACTTTGCTTTGAAAGCGGTGGCATTGGGGTGAGGAAGAGGGGCAGGAGACAGAAGGATAGGAGAAGGTCAGAAAGACTTTACTTCTGGAAAGTATATATAGAAAATAATTCCCCCCATCCAAATTATATCCCTGTTATTCTTTGTCAAAGCATGCTATTCTATAAGTGCATTTAGAAGAATTCTAATGATGTGGTTGAGTCCTTATTTGTTATATTCATCTCTTTACCCGCCAGGAAGCTCCAAGAGAACAGGAATCACATTATTATTTTTTGAGATATTGTTTACCCACATAAAAGTAATCTTAAGTATACAGGGCAATGAATTTCTATGTAGACACCCATGTATTCATCACCTAGGTTAAGATGGAGACCATTTCTACTACTCCAGAAAGTTCTTTCATGTCACTTTCCAGTCAATATTCCCCATTCCAGAGGTAACCGCTATTCTGACTTGTATCACTATAATTTTTCCTGTTCTTGAACTTCATGTAAATAGAAACAGTATGTATATTCTTTTGTACTTGACTTTTTTATTCAACATAAATGTTTTTGAGGTTCGTTTTTTCTATGTCTCTAACATTTTTTCCTACTGGTTGCTAGTATCCTATTACATGAATACACCACAATGTGTTTACCCTTCTCTTGCTGATAAACATTTGAGTCACTAATACTTTTAACCATCATCAAGAAACCTGCTATGAACAGCCTTACAGAAGTCTATGATACACACCTTCATTTCTTTGGGTATATACCTAGGGTGAATTGCTGAGTCATAGGGTAGACATATATTTAACTTTATTTAACATATATTTAACTTTAGTGTATAGTGCTAAATAGATTTTTCCAAGATAGTTGTACCCCTATACACTTCCTTCAGCTATGATTGAGAGTTCTAACTGCTCCACATTCTCGTCAGCACTTGGTGTTGTCCATCTTTGTGGTTTTAGCCATTCCACTGTGGTATCTCACTGGAGTTTCTATTTGTATTTCCCTTAAGAGTAATTTATGTTAAATGAAAATCTCTCAGGACAATCCTTTTTCTCCCACAATCTGTAAGCATAACTATTTGTTGACAGAGAAGTTAGCATGGTTAAATATAAAGGCAGGTATGATAAAGTCTGTTTCCTATGTTCTACTGGTTTAGTTTTTAAGAGCTGTTTGTTTACTCTAAAAGAAAAGCATGCTGTGCACAGTGACTCATGCCTGTAATCCCAGCACTTTGGGAGTCTAAGGGGGAAGGATTGCTTGAGCCAAGGAGATTGAAACCAATCTGGTTAGCAGAGGGAGACCCTATCTCTACAAAAAAATTAGAACATTAGCTGGGCATAGCGATGTGCACCTGTAGTTCCAAGTACTTGGGAGGCTGAGGCAAGAGGATCACTGGAGCCCAGGAGTTTGAGGCTGCAGTGAGCTATGATCTTGCCACTGCAGTCCAGCCTGGGCAATAGAGTGAGACCCTGTCTCAGAAAAAATAAGTAAAATAAAAGCAAAGCATTTCTATTTAAAGTTTTACCTTTAATTTCCCTGACATGTAGAGAAACAATTTCCTTGGGCCATTGTATTTGACAGTTTGGTTTCACAGAGACCTTCTGTTAGATGATACACTGTGTTGAGTACTATCTGCCCCAAAATTAATGTCTACCTGGAGCTTCAGAATGTGACTTATTTGGAAATAGAGTATTTGCAGATATAATTAGCTAAGTTAAGATGAGGTCACACTGGTTTAGGATGGGCCCTAAATCCAATGATGGGTGTCCTTATAAGGTGCCCATGTGAAGAAACAAAGACCCAGGGGAGAGGAGGCCATGTGAAGATGGAGGCAGAGACTGGAGCAGGGCAGCTACGAGCCAAGGAACTCCAGGGATTTTTGGGAGCCACCAGAAGCTAGGAAGAGGCAAGGAAAGGGTTTGTCCTAGAAACTTCAGAATATGGCCCTGCCAACACCTTGATTTCAGACTTCTGGCCTCCAGAACTGAGAGAGATTACATTTCTGTTGTCTTAGGTCACTAGGAAACTAAGAGATGGCTTTATGGAGAATGCCACATTCAAGGAAACAGCACAGGGTTAGCTAAGTATTCTTGAATTAGCACGCGGTTAAGGAGGCTGGGAGGTCTGGACTGGGCGTAGCAAAGCTGCTGTGGCCAGACTGCTTCTCTAGATTCCTCCTCACTGGGCAAGACGACTCTGAAGGCAATGTAACAGCCCCGGTCAGGGGCTTACAGACAAAACCCCCATCTCCCTAAGACAGAGCACCTGGGGGAAGGGGTAGTGTGGGTGCAGCTTCAGCTGATTTAATCATTCCTGCTTTCTGGCTCTGAAGACAGCAGCTGATCCTGACAAGAGGGATTCTCCCAGCACAGGGCACCGGCTCTGCTAACGGATACTCTACCTCCTCAAGTGGGTCCCTGACCCCAGTGCCTACTGACTGGGAGAGAACTCCCAACAGGGGTTGACAGACACATCATACAGGAGAGCTCCAGCTGGCATCAGGCCGGTGCCCCTCTGGTATGAAGCCTCCACTGGTGATACCCAGGCAAACAGGGTCTGGAGTGGACCTCCAGCAGACTGCAGCAGACCCTCAAAAGAGAGGCCTGATCGTTAGAAGAAAAACTGAAACAGAAAGCAATAACATCAACATAAAGGACCCCCACCCAAAAACCCCATCCAAAGGTAATTAGCCTCAAAGATGAAAGGTAGATAAATCCATGAAGATAAAGAAAAAAGCAGTGCAAAAACGCTGAAAATTCCAAAAACCAGAATGCCGTGTCTCCTCCAAACGATTGCAACTCCTCTCCAGCAAGACACAAAACTGGACAGAGAATGAGATTGACGAATTGACAGAAGTAGGCTTCAGAAGGTGGGTAATAACAAACTTCTCTGACCTAAAGGAGCATATTCTAAGCAAATGCAAGGAAGCTAAGAACCTTGATAAAAGGTTACAGGAACTGCTAACTAGAATAACCAGTTTAGAAAGGAACATAAATGACCTGATGGAGCTGAAAAACACAGCACGAGAACTTTGTGAAGCACACACAAGTATCAATAGCCGAATCGATCAAGTGGAAGAAAGGATATCAGAGACTGAAGATCGACTTACTGAAATAAGGCGAGAAGACAAGATTACAGAAAAAAGAAAGAAAAGGAATAAACAAAGCCTTCAAGAAATATGGGACGATGTGAAAAGACCAAACCTATGATTGATTGGTGTACCTGAAAGTGATGGGGACAATGGAACCAAGTTGGAAAACACACTTCAGGATATTACCCAGGAGAACTCCCCCAACCTAGCAAGACAGGCCAACATTCAAATTCAGGAAACACAGAGAACACCACAAAGATACTCCTCAAGAAGAGCAACCCCAAGACACATAATCGTCAGATTCTCCAAGGTTGAAACAAAGGAAAAATGTTAAGGGCAGCCAGAGAGAAAAGTCAGGTTACCTACAAAGGGAAGCCCATCAGACTAACAGTGGATCTCTCTGCAGAAACCCTGCAAGCCCAGGAGACAGTGGGGCCAATATTCAACATTCTTAAAGAAAAGAATTTTCAACCCAGAAATTCATATCCAGCCAAACTAAGCTTCATAAGTGAAGGAGAAATAAAATCCTTTCCAGACAAGCAAATGCTGAGAAATTTTGTCATTACCAGGCCTGCCTTACAAGAGCTCCTGAAGGAAGCACTAAATACGGAAAGAAAAATCTAGTACCAGCCACTGCAAAAACACACTAAAATATAAAGACCAATGACACTGTGAAGAAACTGAATCAACTAATGTGTAAAATAACCAGCTAGCATCATGGTGACAGGATCAAATTAACACATAACAATGTTAGCTTTAATGGGGCTAAATGCCCCAATTAAAAGACACAGACTGGCAAATTGCATAGAGTCTAGATCTATCAGTTTGCTGTATTCAGGAGACCCATCTCACATGCAAAGACACAAACCGGCTCAAAATAAAGGGATGGAGGAATACTTACCAAGCAAATGGAAAGCAACAAAAAGCAGGGGTTGCAATCCTAGTCTCTGATAAAACAGACTTTAAGCAACAAAGATCGAAAAAGAAAAAGGCATTACATAATGGTAAAGGGATCAATGCAATGAGAAGAGCTAACTATCCTAAATATATATGCACCCAGTACAGGAGCCCCAGATTCATAAAACAAGTTCTTAGAGACCTGTGAAGAGACTTAGATTCCCACACAATAATAGTGGGAGACTTTAACACCCCACTGTCAATATTAGATCAATGAGACAGAAAGTTAACAAGGATATTCAGGACTTGAACTCAGCGCTGGACCAAGCAGACCTAACAGACATCTACAGGACTCTCCACCCCAAATCAACAGAATATACATTCTTCTCAGCGCCACATCACACTTATTCTAAAATCGGCCACATAATTGGAAGTAAAACACTCCTCAGCAAATGCAAAAGAACGGAAATCATAATAAACAGTGTCTCAAACCACAGTGCAATCAAATTAGAACTCAGGATTAAGAAACTCATTCAAAACCACACAACTACGTGGAAATTGAACAACCTGCTCCTGAATGACTACTGAGTAAATAACAAAATTAAGGCAGAAATAAAGATGTTCTTTGAAACCAATGAGAATAAAGAGACAACATACCAGAATCTCTGGGACACAGCTAAAGCAGTGTTGGGAGGGAAATTTATAGCACTAAATGCCCACATGAGAAAGTTAGAAAGACCTAAAATTGACACCCTAACATCACAATTAAAAGAACTAGAGAAGCAAGAGCAAACAAATTCAAAAGCTAGCAGAATACAAGAAATAACCAAGAACAGAGCAGAACTGAAGAAGATAGAGACATGAAAAACCCTTCAAAAAAAAAAAAATCAATGAATCCAGGAGCTGGTTTTCTGAAAAGATTAACAAAATACATAGACCACTAGCCAGACTAATAAAGAAGAAAAGACAGAAGAATAAAATAGACAATAAAAAATGAGCCCATATAGCCAAGACAATCCTAATCGAAAAGAACAAAGCTGGAGGCATCACACTACAAACTATACAAGGCTACAGTAACCAAAACAGCATGGTACTGCTACCAAAACAGAGCTGTAGACCAATGGAACAGAACAGAGACCTCAGAAATAACACCACATATCTACAACCACCTGATCTTCAACAAACCTGACAAAAATAAGCAATGGGGAAAGGATTCTCTATTTAATAAATGGTGCTGGAAAAACTGGCTAGCCATATGCAGAAGACAGAGACTGGACCTCTTCCTATACCTTATACAAAAAGTAACTCAATATGGATTAGAGACTTAAATGTAAAACCCAAAAACCACAATAACCCTAGAAGAAAACCTGGGCAATACCATTCAGGACCTAGGCATCGGCAAAGACTTCATGACTAAAACACCAAAAGCAATGGCAACAAAAGCCAAACTTGACAAATGGGATCTAATCAAACGAAAGCGCTTTGGCACAGCAAAAGAAACCATCATCAGACTGAACAGGCAACCAACAGAATGGGAGAAAATTTCTGCAATCTATCCATCTGACAAAGGTCTACTATCCAGAATCTACAAGGGACTTAAACAAATTTACAAGAAAAAACAAACAATTCCATCAAAAAGTGGGCAAAGGATATGAACAGACACTTCTCAAAAGAAGACATTTATGCAGCCAACAAACATGAAAAAAAGCTCAACATCACTGCTCATTAGAGAAATGCAAATCAAAACCACAATGAGATACCATCTCATGCCAGTTAGAATGGTGATCATTAAAAAGTCAAGAAATAACAGATGCTGGAGAGGCTGCGGAGAAATAGGAATGCTTTTACACTGTTGGTGGGAATGTAAATTAATTCAACCATTGTGGAAGACAGTGTGGCAGTTCCTCAAGGATCTAGAGCCAGAAATACCATTTAACCCAGCAATCCCATTACTGGTTGTAAACCCAAAGGATTATAAATCTTTCTGCTATAAAGACACATGCACATGTATGTTAACTGCAGCACTATTTACAATAGCAAAGACTAGGAACCAACCCAAATGCCCATCAACGATACATTGGATAAAGAAAATGTGGCACATATACGCCATGGAATACTATGCAACCATAAAAAATAATGAATTCATGCCCTTTGCAGAGACATGGATGAAGCTGGAAGACATCATTCTCAGCAAACTAACACAGGAACAGAAAACCAAACACCACATGTTCTCACTCATAAGTGGGAGTTGAACAGTGAGAACACATGGACAAGTCGGGGGAACATCACTCACCAGGGCCTGTTGGGAGGTGGGGGATGAGGGGAGGGACAGCATAAGGACAAATACCTAACGCAAGTGGGGCTTAAAACCTAGATGATGGGTTGATGGGTGCAGCAAACCACCATGGCACATGTATACCTATGGAACAAAACTGCATGTTCTGCATGTGTATCACACAATTTAATGTAAAATGTTTTTAAAAAACAATAAATTGAAAAAAAAGTAGCACCTGGTGCACTGATGTAGAAGCTTCACAGTGGAAACAGCAATGCTTCAGATGAGATATGCTTTTGTAGTTAAACTAAATAATCTGATGGTGCTGATGAAAAGACCAACTTTGATTTTTTTAAGACTTGCTGCATATCGAAGGATTAGGTTCCGTGGGCTCTCAGGAACCAATTCACTACTGTTGAAGACTGTTTCATTTGCCTCAAAGTAGAATGAAAATATCTCAAGGTAGAGCACAGCACAGTGCCCCACACAAAGAAGGAGGTAGCAAATATTGCTCAGTAAACTTTGCAATACACAGGTCTCTCAGTTGTCAAGTGACAGAAACCAACTGGGACCTGCTTTTGTCAGCTCAGAACTGTGAAGACCAGGACACAGCTTGTTTCTGGCAGGGTCAGACCCAGAGGCTCACAAGATACTATCAGGGAATTGTCTTGCCATTTCTCAGCGCCATTCTTGGGAGGATTTTTCCCACCACTCCTTGTAAAGGCAAAGGCAATGACCAGCAGCTCTAGATTTATGTAATCCTTACAGTTAACAATACTAATTTAAAGAAAGAAAGGAAAGAGAGAGGAAAGAAAGAAAGAAAGAAAGAAAGAAAGAGCAAGAAAAGAAAGGAAAGAAAAGAAAAAAGGAAAGAAGGGAAGGAAAGAAAAGAGAAAGATGAGGAGGAAGAGAGAAGGAGGAGAAAAGAAGAAAAGAAGGAGAAAAGAAGAAAAAGAAGAAAATAAGTGCTTCTTAATAGAAAAAGTCCAGTGTAAGTTACTGATTTACCCTGTTTCAGCACCACTGGCTGTGACCTGGGTGGTAGAGAGCTCTGGACAAGCCCAGATCACATGGCTAAACCACGAGGATTGAGAATGGGAAGGAAGGATTGTTTTTCCCCAGACCTTGGCAGACACAAAAACATATCCATCACTCACCTAAGCTGTCACTTGGAGTCATCTTCAGAACGAATTGCCACCGCTGGTCATTGCTCAGCACTTTTTTTTTTTTTAATAGCCTCCCTGGCTGTCTCTAGGAGTTTCATTTTTATGGCATTAAACAGTAAGAAGAGAACAGTCTGTCATCAGCACCAGTCCTTTTCTATAGCAAACTTCCCTGGGCTGACTCCATCTAAAACCCATCAGGATACAGCTACACAATCTAAAAAGGAATAAAGACACTAATAGAAATTTCAAGGAACGAAAGCATTAAGATGGAACCTCATTGGTCTCTAACTACAAAAAAAGACCCATATTAAGATGGGCAGGATGAGATGGCATTGCAAGGAATACCCAAACTTCTGAAACTGAATGAAACGAAATAGAGTGGTTAGTTTAAAAATACAAAGGAATCTATGCCCAGGGTATCAAATTAAGCATTATTTGATAGTTAAGAACTTTCTCTCAGGTCTCCATAGGACAGGAATTCATCAAACTAACTTATAAACTATTCCAAACAAACAAGCTTTGGAATATAAACAGGTTTATGTTTAAAAATGAGAACCAAATTATTAGCAGCTACCATTTATTATAACATGACATGATATATCAGGCACTATGCTAAATGCTTTATATGAAATGTTTAATCCTCTCAACATCACGCTAAGGTGGGTACTCATGCTGTATTTAAGACAGTACTAGGCTTCTCCACTCAACAGTTTACAAGTTTCTTTTTTAAGTTAATAAAAAAATTTTAAACCTCTGTCTCCATGGTCTTTGAGCCTAGAATGGGAAACAGAAGCCACTTGCTCCACACGGATCCAAGAAGGATGAAACCCAATAGCCCACACAAGGAGAGAAGCATCGCCCAGGCCTAACCCAGGGCCCAGAGGGGGCTCCATCCACTTAGTGCCCTTTTGTTGTCTCCTCGCCCATTCTGCGGCCACTCCTATCTCTATATCTGTGTGCCAGCCTTGTAAAAAGTTCATTAGAACAATGACAGTGAGCTGCCACTGTGAAGCAAAAACAGACCAAAAGATGAACACTCTCTCCCAGGGCAAGTCCCAGGAGCCCAGTAGCTGTTGGCTCCAGAGAGTGACAGGAAACAGGCCGGCTGGTGGCTGCCAGGTGTCCTCCTGTGCCATCTTGTTGACATTTTTCTCAGAGTGAATACTGCACATCCAAGTTCTCTCAAAACACAGCATCTCTCTCTCTCAAATGCTTCTCTCAAAACATAGCATCTCTCTCTCTCAAATGCTACTCAAAAGAAGCACAGGGATCCTGGAGCTTCGGATGGTTATAAGAAGTATTCCTGCTATTTGAGAAATAAGTTTTGCATATCTAAATGCCCACTAATTGTTGGGACTTGGGTTCGCAAAGCAATCCTGGACCATGTCATGACTCTGGAAAATTCTACCACAGAGGCCCTTTCCCTGACTCTGTCTATGGCTACTGAACGCTGATTTTTTTTTTAACTTTACAAAAAGATATTGCTTATTTTGCAAAACTAAGACCTCAACAAGTAAAAGAAAACTAGAAGCACTGATAATCTTGTCTGTCTAATACACTAGTTCACGTCCTTTTGTCTCTCCCCAAAGAGGATTCATACAATGCAAACTATTTAGTGGTTTGACTTTTTAATTTAATAATATTCAAGTGAAAGTTTTTCCAAGTCCATAAATATATTGCTGTAACTCAAAAATAATATAGTATGGACACAGCTACTTTTATATTTAAGTAAAACAAAATGAATTTGGTAGATGCTATATATTCTGATAACTCCTTGCTAAAGCTGATATCTAAACAACTGGTTGGAAGAATTCTTAAAAACGTAAAAATGGTTGTTTCCTTAATGGTATATCACAGAATTGCTTTGGTTACTTTTCTCCTGAGAGTGATGACTTTTATTTTCTTATTGCATTAACTTAACTGGCCAGTACCTCTGAGGTTCTGTGTATAGATACTAGATGTCCCTGAAAAGCTAAACAGAAACATTAGCTAAACATCTGATGCAGGTTTTTCTGCCAAGAGATGAGAGTCAGAGCTGTCTGCTTCACTCTCCCTTGGCCTTGTTTACCATCCCATCCACCATGTGATGCCATTAGATGTAGGGGGTGGAGGGGCACATCCAGCCTGCTGTTATGGAGGCACTGTCTCCTCCAACAGACTTTATCTTGTCACTGAAATGGTTGTCATTTGTAAGGCGGCTTCCTGGCAGTAATGTTTAGAGGTGGTGTCTTTCTTGGATTTCTTTCTTATTTTTCAGTATGCTGGTGATGGCCCTTTGCTTATCACAGTATTATGCAGCTGTGGAGGGGAGTGGAAGAGAAAACAGGAAAGAGTGTTTGCTAGAGCTCTGGGCACCTTAGGGACAGCACAATAATTATCATCTTCCCTTTCACGAGACTCAGAATGGCTGTGCTGCCCAAGGCCACATCTCTGTAACTGTGGAACCCATCACACTACAGTGCAGCAATACATCAGCACCGGAGAGGTGTCATGTGCCCTCCACCTGTCACTCACTGGCAGGCCTTCTGGCTCTCATCTCCCTGCCCTTCCGAGGCTGCACCGGCATGGGCTGCCCCCGGCCAGTGGCAGGCAGAGGGGCGGGTTCCAATGTAGGTCAAGATCATCTTTTCTTTGGGGTCAAGATTAGGGGAAACCGCGGCTCCATTTCCAAGGTGCTCTTCAGAAATGTGCAGCCTTGGGAAAGCAGGGAGATGAGCGCCAGAGGGCCCGCCGGCCGGTGAGTGGCAGGAGGAGTACACACAACATCTCCCCCGTGCTGATGGATTGATGGATTGCTGCACTCGAGGCTGATGGGCTCCACAGGGTCTGTCACAGAGGTGAGGCCTTGGGCAGCACAGCCATTCTGAGGCTGCTCTCCACTTCAGATCTGCTAAAGAGCTGTGTCACTAAGTCCTTAGACTTCTTGTCATGAAATAGATGAGTCAGCAGTGGGAGCAGCACCTACTGTCGGAGAGAAAACCAAGACATGGGTAAATTTAGACTGTTGCGGTGCAAGGGGCTGGGCATGCTGGCACGCCTTTAGAGCCACGTTTCCCGCAGAAACCAGCCCCCAGGTCACCGTGTGTGTCCCCAAGGGTGGGAGTTACCCCAGTACCTCCAGCCTGGTCCTCACTCCGGCTCTCATCCTCTCTGCGTTCCAACACCATTCTGGCTTCTCTGGGCTCAGGTGCTCTTGTTTCGGATTCTATCATTTCCCTTGAGGGGAGTGATATTTCCACAACTGGCCCCTGAGGCTTGTGTTTTGACTGTGTCCTTGGCTCTTCTTTGTCACTGCCACCCTAGGCTGCAAGCCCCTCCCTGGGTGGTGTCCTACACCTCCCCAGCCACCTGCAGAGACACCTGACCCTCTGCTGCCCTCTAGTGTCACAAACCATACCGCAGCACCTGGATGCAGAGTTAACTGGCTGTAGAGTTAACAGCCTTTTAAAGGCTGACAAGGAGCCAGTTCCTATACTGGCTCAGCTGCTTCCCACTAGGCTTGTTTAAAATCACCACAGCAGCCTGGTACGGCAGCATCGTGGGGTCTTGGGAGCCTTCCTGCATAGGTGGCTCCTAAGGCTCACTCCACAACCGCTTGCCTCTTTTCCGTATCTGCTTCTGAGTGTGTGAAATAAAAAAGCTGGAGGGCAAATGAATAACCCTCCTTTTCCTATCTCGGCTTTGGTCCCGACAGAGACCATACATAACACAGAAGGGAGAGAAAGAGCCCTTGTTTATTGCGTTTGCCATTTGGGACCAATTATTGAGAAATGGCACATTTACTGAGTGGACAGTTCACTAACTACTGTAGTGATTTCATCTCAAATGATCCAGAGTCTTCCATGAAAAGAGCATGGGAAGCTTTGAAGGGCCAAATAAAAATGAAGACTCCTCATCTGCATTTTTTAGTGTAGTACAAACCCCATACCCTAGTCCAATGCTTTTCAAACTTTAGTGGGCACCAACATCTCCCAGAAGAATTTTTTAAATCCAGATTCCTAGGCCCTGTTTTTAAAGATTCTGCTTTATCAGGTCTGGGCTAGTCCCCGAGGATCTGCATTTCTCACAAGCTCCTGTGTGGTGCTGGTGCTGAGGTCCCTGGACCTCACTCAGAGTAGCACTCCTCCTGTCTGCCAGCATCTCCCAGGAAAATGTCGTGGAGATTAGCATTTATGTAAAAAAAAAAAAAAAAAAAAAAAAAAAAACCCACAAACAGGAACTTAATAGCTTCTGATGTACAAGGTACAATTATGCAATAAGATAGTCTTATAAGCCAGGATTTTTTTTTGAGAAACAATTTTCCATATCTGGAAATCGACCCCTTCTTTTAGCGCATAAAAAGAAAAATCAGACTTGAAACACTTAGCAGAGTGCTAAAAGTATAATTGGAATATTTGTAACACAAAGAAAGGGTAAATGCTTGAGGTGATGGATACCTTATTTACCATGATGTGATCACTATGCATTGCATGCCTATATCAAAATATCCCATGTACCCCATAGATACACCTACTATGTACCCATAAAAATTAATAAAAAAAATAAAGAGCTGGGGGAGGCCAATCCAGCCAGCAAGTGCCACTGGATCCCAGCAAGCTGGGGGAGGTCAGATCGTGACTAGGGGAGCTCTCCAGGCACAGGCTTCTACTGCAAGGGCCAGGAGGGCAGGATGTACCCAGCCAACTAAGGAACAGCCTCCAGAAGACTAGAGAAGTAGAGAATGTTGCCCTGGGCCACTGCTGCTAGCATAGATGATGTCTTTGTGCACATTAGAAGAAGGTACTTTTTTGGGCGGAGGGAAGGCAAAAGGCACCCCCCTGGGGTGGCCAATTAGAAAGAGGTGCCCCTTTCTCCAGGTTGATGCAGCTCTGGCTAGGTCATGGCTTGGCATCTCAATCACACTGTGGCATGTTCAAGACCCAAACAGACCAACAGCAGCTAGACCAAATGCTTCTCTGCCACATCCCTCCCCCTAGACACCATGAGAAAATTAGGAAGAGCAGAGGCTAAGAGCATTTTTATTCCAGAGATTCCATCTACCTAAACAGGCTATTTAAATTACCAGAATGCACTAAGCTTTGAGCAGAGATAGACATATGACTAAAATTTTGTATTTTTTTCTGCTTGGAAAATAGGGGCTCAGGAGAAAGGCCAGGTTGGCGCTGGACTAGAATTTCTGGTAGATTGTTGGTGAAGATGGCTGCAATGATTCCTCCCGCCCCTCTGCACGCCCCTCTGCAAGAGAGCCATGCTGCTCCTCCCAGCCAGAGAGGGAATCTGTTTCTCCACCCCTTGAATCTGGGCTTGGCCATCTGGCTTTCTCTGGCCCAGGAAATATTAGTAAACATGAAGCAAGCAGAGGCTTACAATGTACTTGTGGCTGGGCCTTGCTTTCTCTCTCATCTGGGATGATGACCACGTGCAGAGAAGCCCACCTGAGAAGTGCAGAAGCAATTCGGCCCAAACCCCTGCACTAAGGGAGTCGACTAAACTCTAGCATTGCTTTTAGTAGCCCCCACCGCCCTCTTGAGTTCCTGTCTGAAAAGGGGCAAGGCTGCCAAATAACTTAGTTTGTCCCAGCCAACACCTGGAGACAAGCCCTAGACCTTACTTCTTAGAGCATTTATTTAAAAAAAAAAAAAAAAAAAAAAAGCTTACAATTGTGAATGCCTCCTCTGTCCCTGTGAGATGGATATGTATCTCTACAACCCAAGAGTGTCTTTCTCAGGGACTTGCAGGCCCTTCCTTTGAAATGAAATCATCAGAAAGTCCAGGGCCCCTGCCTCCCAGTCTCGGTGGGAGGGTAGGAGTCTGACTTTGATAAGCCCATTAGCAGACACAGCTGGCCTGATTGCGTTTATGTTGACCAACTCTCTACCTGTTTTTGGTTTTTTTGATTTTGTTTTTTTTGGTAAATTTTTCACCTCCTCACTGTGCTGAGCCCCCACTTGCTCCTTCTCCTTACTCCCTGATTCTCCCTTTAAAACACCCAGTCACCCCTTTGCAAATCTGAATGGAGCTCAGCTCTTGCCCCACTGCAGTAGTTTTTAAATAAAATATCTTGTTACTGCCTTTAACTAATGTCCAGCTCTGTTTGTTTTTGGCAGGCCCCAGCTGTCCCAGAAATCAATTCCTAGCTGAGTGCCCAGAGACCTAAGGGAAGTGATCTTAGACCTTCCAGTTCCAAACCAGCCAGCCAGCCCAGCTCAAAGAACCACTAAACCAGTAATAAATATTTGAGAAATAATAAAACTGCTTGAATCCACTAAATTTTGGGGTAGGCTATTACACAGCAGGAGCTACCGGATAGGATTTTAAAATTATGTTTTTTTCCTGTAAAGTCAGGTTATAGAGCAAGCTAAATTTGTGACTCCATTCCACTTGTTATGATTCTAATAACCCAACTAAAAGCGTGCAAATTAAATCGACTAGGGGAGTTGGATTGCCTAGCAAAATGCAGGGCAGATGGATTTTTTAAATCATTAAGCTGCACTCTGGGCTAAAACAGTCAAGTTTACCAGGGAAAATAAATATCTACCCTCCAGACAAAACAGCCTGGTAGCAGGCTGAGCACTCCGGGTGGCTTAGTACATTTAGGCTGCTATAACAAAATGCCATAAACAGGTAGCTTATAAACAACAGAAATTTTTTTCTCACAGTTCCGAAGCCTGGGAGGTCCAAGATGAAGCCTCCAGTAGACTCAGCATCTGGTGGGAGCTCGCATCCTGGTTCATAGTTGGCACCTTCTCACCGTCCTCACATGGTGGGAGAGTGAAAGAGCGCTCTGGGGCCTGTTATAAGGGCACCAATCCCATTCACCGGGGCTCTGCTCTGGTGGCCTAATTACCTCTCAAAAGGCCCCACCTCCTAGTTACTATCACCTTGGGCGTTAGGATTCCAACGTATAAATTTGGGAGGGACACAAATATTCAGACGATAGTAGTGCCTATCTATTCTATTCAATTATCTTAATATTTCTGGACGATTCTTACGCAGTTAGAACACACTAATGTGTTGCAATCAGTCGCAAGATGGAAAGATGGTCTATAGTAATTATAACTAATTACTATCAGCTTGTTACTAGTGTGTACTAGTACTGCCAATAACTAACTTAAAAATTAGCGTGGTCTCCAGGTTCTCCCAGTTGAATGGCTATCTAGCTCCCTTGCATTTGGAAGTGCTTTCAGGAGTGGGTAAGAAGAACAGAGCTGCAGAGAAGGCAACAGGACTTGCATGCTGCTGCATAGGAGTCATTTGTTTCACATCACATAGAAAAAGATTCAGAACTTTGGTACGGTTTGATTGATTACCATGTCTGCCAACAATGAGTCAAAACGCATTGCCTTGCTACTCCCTAGCTTTGTGCTAATCAATACCTGAGCATGTTTGTCATTTTCTACTAGGCTGAGTATAAGTCTTATTCCTTCACAATGTCCACATTTTACTGTAGCTGAGAGGGCCTTAATTATTTCATTTTTTTAGCAAAATTTACAAATGCAGTAAATTAGCTCCATTTTAAGTTTCATAAAGATTCTTGAAATGTTTGCTCATATCTGGCTCAGCTAAAAAGATGTCATGGGACTGGATGACCAGTTGGAAGTGAGAGAAGGTGACGGGTGATGGATGGAAATGTCTGAACTGCTTTGAAGTTCTTAGTAGGCTTTTGTGAGGGAAATACCTTTACTTATGACCTGGAAGATCAGTATACTGTCGTAATTTATGAAATAAACCAAATTAGAAACCACTTAAATAAAACTAAAGAAGTAAGAATCTTGGACAAAAGCCAAGAATGATTTTCCACTTCAGGAAAGATGTGAACCGCAATCTATAAGGCACACTGATCTGAAATGCTGACTCTATAGATGGGAAATCCCCCAGAAATTGGCAAGGACAGGAGAATATTAATACATTTATGCATTGGCATTAAATGCACAGTTTGTAAACTTGCTTTCTGTTCAGAAAGATTCTTTATGGCATTACTAGAATGTTCACTGCCTTCAAAATTGACAGTTATCTTTGTATAGTGTCATTTTTCATGATTATGCTACTCTGTATGTATTACAAAGGCAATTAAGGTGGCATACATTTATTGAGCACCTGCTATTTTCCAGCAACTGTGCTGAGTGGGAGAACAATTGAAAGGTAATTGTCATGCAGTATAACAAGAGCTAAAATAGAGATAGGTAAAAACTTCGATGGGAGGAAAAAGTGCTTTGTATTCATTTTATCCTAATTTCTTACAAACGTGATCCTATAAAGCAATTATTATTCCATTTTATAGTGAAGGAAATTGAGGCACAAAAAAGCAGATTTTACATCACTAACATTAGAGTCCCACTGTCATCATCATTTATACTTACTGAGCACTTACTAAATGCTTGGGCTTGATATTCATTTTCTCATTTAATGTTCACAGTAACACCCAAGGTTGAAAGAGGTTCATTCATTCAACATTGAGCACCTATTGTTTCCTAGGTAGGGGAATGCAATGATGAATAAGCTGCAGTCCCTGCCTTTAAAGAATGTTTAACCTAATTTATAAATTACTTGTACAAGACACTGGCGCTAGTAAAGGCTGAGCTGGGATTTAAATACAGGTCTATCTGGCTTTAGTACTAGCGGTCCATCCCATACTCACTGACACTCATTCACTCACTTGCTGTGTGAGGTTCCAGGCCAGATAGCCAGGTGACACAGCCAGGAAGTCACCAGGGGATCAAACAGCTGGGAAGTGACCCCAGATCTCCTATATTAGTCCAGTGTCCTTCCTATACCACTGCAGCCCTCATGACCCCAAACTGGGCAAACTCCATGGAAAACACTGGGTGGGGTTGGGATGTGGTCTCACCTGGCTCTGAGGCCCCACTCAAAAATGGCATCCATTTGCCAGTCTGACTGAGAGCCCAACAGCCGCATCCCCTCCCCACTGCTGAAGAGAGGTGTCCACTGCATCCCTCACCCTTTGCTTCTTTTTCCCGGGCTGACTGCACGATGCCAGGGATTTAGTGTAGGCTTTTCTTATTTATTCTTGTCTCCTTGAGGTTTTGCTTATGTGTACTTTTTAGTTTCCAAAGTGCTGAAAGATATATTGTCTTTTTAAATTCCGGGCAGCTCACTGCAGAGCTACTCACAGAAACAACACATTTTTAAAGAAGAGGTTGCTACAGATGTAGCATGCACTTTAATTTAGAGTTGTCCTTGTCACACTGTTGGAGCCATTGGTCTTGACCTCTGGGATTTATCTAGCTTAATGATGGTTGCAGCAAATATTATTTTTGCCTGGATTTTTACATTTTTAGAAGAAGGTTCAGGATTGTTTAAATACAGTTTAAATCTATTTAATTGAGTAAGCATTTTAAAGTTTGTTGAAGTGTAACCATCAATAATGGAATCTCCTAGGTTAGAGGCTAAGAGGATGGCAGGAATAAATTAGGCAGTCTGTGTCCTCTGGGGGGCTCTGATTTAATTGAAAGAGGTTTTTTTTGTTTTTCTTTTTTTTAGAGTAGTGATTGAGAGCAGGGTTTGGTAAACTTTTTTTTGCAGAATCAGATAGCAAACACTTTTGGGTGTGTGGGCCATGTGGTCTCTGTCACAACTACCTAAGTCTGCTTTTTTAGCCTAAGAGCAGCCATAGATGATAGCAAAAAAATGGGCATGGTTATGTTTCAATAAAACTTTATTTACAAAAACAAGCAGTGGGCCAGATTTGCCCATGGGCCATAGTTGGCTGCCTCCTGTTTACAGTAACCTCTCTACCATCAGACTGCCCATTTTACCACCCTGGTTCTGTCTCTCACTGTGGGACTTTGGGAAATCCACTGAATCCCTTCAAGCCTCAGATTTCACATCTATGAAGTGGGGAAGGAATACTGGTTTCCTTGTGGGGTTGTTCTAAGATTGAATGAGAAAGGGCTTACTTAGGGCAGTGGCTGGCTCCTGGGAAGAACTCAATAATGTTAACCATTTCTCCTAAGCCAGGAGCGCAATCAGAAGCCTCTCTCTGGTGAGGACACATAGTAGTGATGACAGCTGTAGAGGCAGAGAAAGGTAAACAATAAATTAAACAATAAAGCATTGTAAACAAATTATCTTTCAAGAGGGGGACTTAAGCAAGGCCATGTTGAAGAGGGCTATAAAGACCAGATAGCCTTTTGAGGCTTTCTCCCATCCCCCAGACAAATATGGCTAGCTTTTGCTCTGTTCCCATCATGCCTTGCACAAGCCTCAGTTAGGATGTTTGGAGGTCCCACCAAGGTGACTAATGGTCAACATCTGTCCCTACTCCATTGGGAATCCTGATGGCATTCTTTTCTTCTGGGATCCCAGGACCCACAGAGCTGGGCTATGTCAGGTGATCTGTAAGTGTTTAGGATTTGATATAGATAAAGAAACAGCAATGCTGTAGCAACCCTAAGATCTACAAAGCCAGTCTAGTTTAGAGGAAGTTTTGGAAGGACTTCCAGAAATGTTGCTAACATCATCCTCCTCCTTTTCACTACAGTTCCTGATTTGAGTCTTCAATATTCTCTGAATGTCTGTTACTTTTCTTTCTGGGGGTTAAGGACTAATCCCTGTAATGTGTACAAGATGTTCTTGAATAACCAATTGTCTTCTGATTATTAAATGAATAATCTTTTACTCACAGAAATAAAAAAGTTATAACTCCAGAGTTGGACAATCTGTGCTTGGCAATTCTATGGTGGATGGAGTCCACACCACTGTGCAGAGACCCAGACAAACAAAGCTTTGGCCAGCCAGCCAGCCAGCCCCACACGGTCACACTCACAGTAGGCACCCTTCAATGCCTTTCTGGCGAAGTGTGGATTGGGAATGCCAAAGGGGGACACAGCTGACAACCACCTCAGTTCTAAACAGGCACCGATCAATGGATCCTGGCACCTGGTTCATCTCTTATTTGAATTGCTTTTGAATGCCCAGGGTAGGGAAAGCCAATAAAGCCTGCAACATAATGTGCTATTGGCCTTGGCCAAATGCACTTCGGCTGTCTGCCTCTTTGCTATGGTGAGTCATCCTAGACGGAGGGAGGAGGGAGAAGGGAGAGAGGCCTCCTTACAAAGAGTGCAGAGGAACTGGGGAACTGGGGCCCTCACATCTTAGTTCTTTGTGCAACCTGGGCATATTTGTTTACTTCTAGCTGTGCCACAGAATCAGAAATGCAGCAGAAGGAAAGAATGAAGGTCTGAAAGAGGAAGAACAAAACTTACATGTATCAGTCCATGGGACAGCATAGTGCTGCATGCTGATACCCTTGAGCACACTCAATCCCCACAAGAAGCCTGAGGCTTTCCCACTAGGGCGCTTTACCCCAAATCCTAGATGGATGGCAAGGATGGCAATTACCAAGCATTAATCAACTTCCACAGACCTCCAAGAGGTTCTGTTACTGGTTCACGCTGTCCTCTAAAGCAGCCAGCGCTTACTAGAGTGGCTTTTATTAAACTCAGCATTTTCTCTTTTGCCACAGGAAATTGACACATGCTAGTTTCTCTACCTGGAACTCTTCTTTCCCTGACTCCTCCTCCCCCAGTCTTTTCTCTAGAAAACTCAATTATCTTAGTTACAAGCTGTATTCCTTCTCTTCAGACTTCTTAGCTCATAATTACATGTTTATTAGTAGTAACCAGTTCATGTAATGAGCATTTCATCCCAGTCCTTGGCACAGTCCCTATCTCCAGAGCCAGAATACTAGGATTTACATCCTATCACCAATACCTACCAGCAGTATGGCTTTGGGCAAATCACTAGATCTCTCTAAGCCTCTATAAAATGCGGCTTAGAATAGTGTCAGCTTCGTAAAATTGTTGGGAGGATTAAATGAATGAACATGTATTCTAAATACCTTAGCACAGTGCCTGGCCCTTAACTGATGTTCCATATATGCTAGTTATCATTATTATGGAAGATACTCCGTAAACATCTTCTGAGGTACTCACGTTGCTGCTTCTCCTTGGTTTTGACACGTGCTTGGATTTCTGCCTTCACAGATGTAGTTGAGACCTTGATTTTAATTGCTCCTGACTTCCTGGTTTTGATGAACCGGTTTTGCTGTCAGATTGATTCATGTCTGTCTGATTTTTCTCTTCAATCCTGGACCCTGTTGAC
The DNA here is from genome assembly GCF_000001405.40 of Homo sapiens. NCBI lineage: Eukaryota > Metazoa > Chordata > Mammalia > Primates > Hominidae > Homo > Homo sapiens. The sequence goes on along the minus strand of NC_000008.11, from coordinate 94,071,189 downwards.
AGCCCCAAAGCTAACTTGGAGATTACTAGCCCTGGGTCTAGTCTAGCGTATGACCACTGCTCCAGAAGGGAGAGAAAGGTGACAGTGATGAGGCAGAGTTGGACCCATCCAGCTCTGATCTGGCGACACCGCCAGCCACAGGCTGCAGGTGAGCTTTTTAGCTTACACATAATTGCATAGCCCATCCCCCTCTGGAATCTCCTCACACTATATTGTGTGTCCTTCAAGAAAAGCTTTTGCTAAATATGCAACTTACGTAAAAATGAGCATCATACATCCCTTTGTACACAAATGATATACACATTGCTCTGCACAACGACATGACTCTTAATAAAGCTGTATCTTTGTCTCATTTTAAAAGATGAATCAAGATGGAAGGAGAAACAAAGACATTCAAAATACCACTTGTCAACCTGTGCTGATTCTTCTAACATTATTGATAGATGACTCATTTTTCCCAAGATAATACAATTCTGTTATTTCAGAAAAGGTCGTCATTTTTAAACCAAAAGAAATCTTTGGTCTTACGCAGGGATTGAATAGCACATGTACGTAGTAGACACCAAATGTTAGCCACTGTTACTGCCATTATCATTACTAGAGTATTTTAGAAGGGAAGGCTTCCCAGAAAGAGCTGATTACTCCTTCTGTGCCACCACTGTTTTTTGCATACATACTATAGTCACATCTATAGTTCTGTATTTATAGTTGCGTGTTTGTATTTATTTCCTTTTGAGTGTTATTTCTCCGTTCAACCCCTACAGACTCTCTAGTACCTGGGAATATAACAGGCAATCAGTCTTTTCGCTCTTACTATGGTTTTAATGTCCCCTCCAAAACTCATGTTGAAACTTAATCTCCACTGTAACAGTATTAAGAGGTAGGGCCTTTTAAAAGTGATTTGGTCATGAGGGCTCTACCCTCATAAATGGACTAATGCCATATCTTGGGAGTGGGTTTCTGATAAAAGGATGAGTTTCCTCTCTCTGTCCATGAGATGGTTTGCTCTTCTGTCATAGGATAACACAGAACAAAGTCCTCACCAGATGCTGGTGCCATGTTCTTGGGCTTTCCACCCTCTAGAACAGGGAGCCAAATAAACTTCTATTCCAGGCAGGCACGGTGGCTCATGCCTGTAATCCCAGCACTTTGGGAGGCCGAGGCGGGCAGATCACTTAAGGTCAGGAGTTCAAGACCAGCCTAGCCAACATGGTGAAACCCCATCTCTACTAAAAATACAAAAATTAGCCAGGTGTGGTGGCAGGCATCTGTAATCCCAGCTACTCAGAAGGACGAGGCAGGAGAATCGCTTGAACCTGGGAGGCGGAGTTTGCAATGAGCTGAGATGGTGCCACTGCACTCCAGCCTGGGCAACAGAGTGAGAATCTGTCTCAAAACAAACAAACAAACAAACCATTTCTATTCCTTATAAATTACTCCATCTGTGGTATTCTGCTGGAGTAGCAGAAAATGGACTAAGACAACTCTCAATCCCCTCGTAAACATACAGTTTCCATTCTTAAATATAAACAGGCAGCCAAGGATCACCAGACTTGACGAAAGCAAAGGCATAGAACCCAGAAAACAGGGAACCCAACACTGGAAAGAGATGAACCAAATAACCAGGATAATGGAAATAACTTCTAAGACAATAGCTCTGCAGCAGACCAAGAAAGAAACCAGAGGATATGGAGCAAGAGGACAGAGGATGTCTTCCAGGAAAAAGTGCAACTAACAGGTTACCTGAAGTATTTGACTACATTGAGGGGAACTTTATAGTTTTGTAAATGAAGCTCTTATAAATTAATGGTAAGTACATAAAAAACTAAGGGAATAAAAAATAGTGCAATCATTAACTCCAGTAAAAAACAAAAAGTTATACAGGAAAGGAGATAAAACAAATAATGAGTGTATAGTCATAAAAATATAAGCACAAAATAGTATTTAACCAAAACTTGGCACATAAATATGATTGAAAGACAATAGATAGGGGAAATTGAGATGACAGAGAAGTATAATAAAAGTTATCTTCCAGAGTATGAAGCTAATAGATAATGTCTATACAACTGAGAAAAAAGTGAACAAGAAATATCTGTAAAAAAAATTACTTAGACTGTACCAAAGTTTCTCAAAAAATTAAAAATTGAATGAGCATATGATTAAGCAATTCTACTTCTGGGTACATATCCAAAAAAAATTAGAAGTAGGATTTTGAAGAGATATTTTCACACACATGTTCATTGCAGCATTATCTACAATAACAAAAAGGTAGAAGTGGCCAGGTGTGGTGGCTCACGCCTGTAATCCCAGCACTTTGGGAGGCCCAAGGCAGGCGAATCACTTGAGGTCAGGAGTTCAAGGCCAGCCTGGCCAACATGGCAAAACCCCGTCTCTACCAAAAAATACAAATACGCTGGGCATGGGGGTGTATGCCTGTAATCCCAGTTACTCAGGAGGCTGAGGTGGAGGATCTAAGGTGAGCTTGAACCTGGGAGGCAGACGTTGCAGTGAGCTGAGATCGCGCCACTGCACTCCAGCGTGGGTAACAGAGCAAGATCCTGTCTCAAAAAAAAAAAAAAGCAACCAAAATGTCCATCAGTGAGTGAATGGATAAAGAAAATGTGGTGTGTGTGTGTGTGTGTGTGTGTGTGTGTGTAAATACACATATACATATGTAGAGAGACAGTGTGTATGTGGTGTGGTGTGGTGTGGTGTGTGTGTGTAAAAATATACATATGCATATATAGAGAGAGTGTGTGTGTGGTGGCGGTGTGTGTGTGTACATAATGCAGTCTTAAAAAAGAAGGAAATCGGCCGGGCCCTGTGACTCACGCCTGTAATCCCAGCACGTTGGAGGCCGAGGCAGGCGGATCACGAGATCAGGAGATCGAGACCATCCTGGCTAACACGGTGAAACCCTGTCTCTACTAAAAATACAAACAAAACAAAACAAAACAAAACAAACTAGCCAGGCGTGGTGGCGGGCACCTGTAGTCCCAGCTACTCGGGAGGCTGAGGCAGGAGAATGGCGTGAACCCGGGAGGCGGAGCTTGTAGTGAGCCGAGATCGCGCCACTGCACTACAGCCTGGGCTACAGAGCAAGACTCGTCTAAAAAAAAAAAAAAAAAAAAAAAAAGAAGAAGGAAATCCTGCCGTGAATGAAACTGGAGGACAAGTTCACATATGCTAAGTGAAATAAGCCAGTCACAAAAAGAGAAATACTACTTGATTTGTGGTTGCCAGGGGTTGAGGGAGGGGAAATGGAGAGTTGTTGTTTAATGGGTATAGAGTCTCAGTTCTGCAAGTTGAAAAATGATAGACTGGATTAAGAAAATGTGGCACATATACACCATGGAATACTATGCAGCCATAAAAAATGATGAGTTCATGTCCTTTGTAGGGACATGGATGAAATTGGAAATCATCATTCTCAGTAAACTATCGCAAGAACAAAAAACCAAACACCGCATATTCTCACTCATAGGTGGGAATTGAACAATGAGATCACATGGACACAGGAAGGGGAACATCACACTCTGGGGACTGTTGTGGGGTGGGGGGAACAGGGAGGGATAGCATTGGGAGATATACCTAATGCTAGATGACAAGTTAGTGGGTGCAGTGCACCAGCATGGCACATGTATACATACGTAACTAACCTGCACAATGTGCACATGTACCCTAAAACTTAAAGTATAATAATAAAAGAAAAAAAAACTTTAAAAAAAAGATGTATATAGAATTGTCAGGTTCGGAAAACAAAAAACAAAAAACAAAAAAAAAAAAGAAAAAGTTCTAGAGATCTATTGCACAACAATGTAAATACAGTTAACTCTGCTGAACTGTACACTTATAAATGGTTAAGAGGGTAATTTTTACATGTGTTTTTACCACATTAAAAAATGTCTTAAACTGTACAGTTAAAATATGAGACATTTATTGTATGTAAGTGATATCTTTAATAAATTTGAAAAGGGCAAAAAGAAAGCATATTGTTTAGAGAAAACACTAGAAAAAACACTTCCTTAAAGAGGTCATCTCTGGTGTTGTGGGGGGTGAAACAAGAGCTACTTTTTCACATTACAAATCTTTGAGTATTAAATCATATTCATGTGTTACTCAGAAAAAATAAACATCGAATGAAAACAATTCATTCAAGGACATGAGAAAACACTAAAGTTTCCATAGAAAAATGGGTCAAGATTATGATCGCAAGAAAGAAATACAAAGAGCTAGTGAAAATGAGAAAAAAGTGGTCAAATATATTAGTAACTAAAGCAATCCAATGACATGCTATTTTTCCTGTCAAACTAGCAAATGTGGATAGAAATCGGTATCATTCAATGATGGTATGGATGGAATGAGATGAACAGTCTCACACGTTGATGTAAACCTTCAAGAGAGCAATTTGGGTATGTGTATTAGGAACCTTCAAGATATTCATACCTTTTTCATCCAATGGTTCTATGTCAGGAAAAAGATTACATTTTTAAAATTACATACAAAAGCATCCATCACTGCACTATCATTTCCAATGTTTTATTATGAAAAATTTCAAACATACAAAAAAGTTGAAAGAAAAGTACAATGAACTCTCATATACCATCCACCTAGATTCAACTATTGATAACATTCTGCTATATTTGAAGGTAAGTTGTCAGCATCACGACACTTCATCCCCAATATCTTCCATGCTGGCACTATTTATCATAGCAAATTTTTGGAAAGAAGCTAACGTATAACAGCAAAGGTGTGTTATATAGCTCACAGGATAATTATGCAGACATTAAAATAATGTCCATGATGCATTTTAATTACCTTGGAAATGCTCATAGTATATTGCTAAATAAATAATGCAAAAGTCAAATTGTACAACCTCAGCAACACCAATAGTTAAGAGTGGTTATGTTTAGGTATTGGGATTATAAGTTATTTTACTTTTTTTCCAGTACAGAGTACGGAGTGCAAATTTTAACTTTTAATATTATAATTTTTTAGTTTTTAGCAAAAACAAATACCAAAAATTCCCAATTAACATTTTAAATTCCCAATTAACATTTTTTTTAAGTTTTCCTGAGACGTGATTTGTTCATTCAACAAATATTACCTAGTGGGTTCTTTCCCATGAGATGTACTGCCATTCTTTACCCCCATTACTAATACCATTTCTAAGAGTGTAGAGTTTCAGTTTCGCAAGCTGAAAAAGTTCTAGAGATCTGTTGCACAATGACATGAACATCATTAACACTGTGGAACAGCATTGTTTGGGTATTTCCTGCAGAGCCTGATGCAATATTCTGCACACACAACTGCTTAAGAATAAGGTTCAGGCACCTGGTGTTCTGTTAGCTGCAAGTTCTTGCTCTCTGGCCTTTGTCCCAGGCTACTCTAACTTGTGAGGCTGCTCAGTACCTAATATAACATAAGGCTTGTTCTACCTCAGTGGCAGGCCAGTTTGGTGCTTTGGGGTAACTTTTTTTCTTTTTAGAGACCGGGTCTCACTGTGTCACCAAGGCTGCTGGAGTGCAATGGCATGATCATAGCTCACTGCAGCCTCCAACTCCTGGCAAGAGAACCTCCTGTCTCAGCCTCCCAGTAGATGAAACTATAGGTGTGAGCCACCGTGCGTGACCTGAGATCACTTTCAAAAGCAGAAAATGGACATGGGATTGAAACCCCCACACATCCTCTATGTTTCAGCCTCCTTCCCAGTATCTTCATGAATGAGCAGACATAAAATCGGGCCGGAAGATCAGACACTATTTAGAAGAGAGCAGATTTATGTAAAGGTCTCTCATAATTAACCTATTTTGAAACATTTACGTCAGGTTGGAATAAGTACTTCTTCTGACAAAATTGGAGAAATAATTACCCTGCAGCTCCCCAGTCAATAGCACCATGGAAACCAAACCAGTGACCTGCTCTGGTAGCCCGTGACTACTGTGAATTTATTTTAAAAAGGCATAATTTTGCACGGACACACAAATCTTGTTTAAAGGCAGGACAATAATAAAATAAAAGTTATTAATGTTTTCATATGACTTTTCTCCCCAAGTGCGTAATATAATTTTTTTTTTTTTTTTTTTTTTTTTGCTGAAATCCAGGGCACAGAGACAAGATCCCAACGATTCAGAATTAATTAAATACCTCCAACTTTGAATATTACCGCTTTGTGACAAAACAGAGAAAAGAGCAAAAGTAGAACTTCGACCTTCATATAGTCATGAAAAGCAAAACAAAAACCATTAATAGAGTGTTCTTACTAGTGCCTTTTATTATAGCCTGCCTGCCTGGCTGCTCCCAGATACGAACTGGCCCCCAGCCCCTAGAAACCTTGAGTACCCCAGAAGTGGTCAGCCCTGCACTGTGGAATAGACGTAGGTCCCTAGTTGGTGCCTTCAAACTGTCTTCCACTCTGATTGTCTTTGACCTCTAGAGTAATTTAAAAACAGATGATGTTTTGCTATGGAAAGTTCTGCTTCTGGAGATAGGCCCAAACTTTGGATTTGGGGAAATTTTGCATCTATTGCTTAATAATTCCCAACACACATCATAAAACCCCCACGATCTGGGCACTTTAGTTCACCGCACTGAAAAAATAAAAATAATAAAAAAACAACAAAGGCAGTTTATTTCCCACAGTAAGTTGAAAGGGAGAGCTGTAGTCCCTGCGGGGGCAGGATAGGCATTTTTCTCCTCTTCTTACCCAGAAGGAAGCCTTTCCTCTCACTCTAGTCCTTCCTTACTCCACAGGAGCTGCTGACCTGGCTGCTCAGATTCTAGGACATTAATTTGGGGTCCTGTTCACCAGGGGGCAAGGGTACTAGGAGTTGGTGGCTCTCTCATCTTCTGCATGTGGCAGTGAATGGATTTGGGGCAGGTGTGCCAGCTTCCTTTCTCTCCTGAAGACTCCCCTGTTTGCCTGAGGCCTCAGCCACTCGCCCCAGTCCTCTTCACTGTCATTTTGCACACAGCAGCAGTCCTCCACATTTAAGGAGCATGCAAACCACAAGACGGGCTTGTTAAGGCACAGACCACGGCACCCTACCTAGAGTGTCTGATTCCACAGGTCAGGGTGGGACCTAAGAATCTGCATTTCTAACAAGTTCCCAGGTGATGCTGTTGCTCCTGGTCCAGGGGCTGCATTTTGAGAACCACTGGCCTAGCGTTTCAGACCTCGTCCCAGTTTATGATAAAGCAGTACATTGCTTTCTTATACAAATTGGGTGTCCCTGGCTGGGTGCGGTGGCTCATGCCTGTAATACCGACACTTTTGGAGGCCGAGGCAGGTGGATCACCTGAGGTCAGGAGTTCGAGACCATCCTGGCCAACTTGATGAAACCCATCTCTACTAAAAATACAAAAAGTAGCCGGACGTGGTGGTGGGTGCTTGCAATTCCAGGTACTCCGGAGACTGAGGCAGGAGAATTGATTGAACCCGGGAGGCAGTGAGCTGATATCACGTCATTGCACTCCAGTCTGGGCGACAAGAGCGAAACTCCGTCTCAGGAAAAAAACAAAACAAACAAACAAAAAAAAACTGAGTGTTCCTGGGACTGTAGATGAATGCCTTCAAAACTTCACTCTGAGGCCTAAGAAGAGTAATAAAATTATTAAATTATCCCAGAAATAGATCATGGGTTTTATGAGGTAATAAGAAGAAACTCAAAAGGGTTTGGAGAGGAAGAGGCCTGAGAATCTCAAGGAGGACTGACCACATGTCCTCCATGAGGCTTCAGAGGCAGGGAGAGAGGGCTCGGCAGACACCAGGAAGTATTTTTGAGCTGCAATGGCAATGAAATAAGCCCTCCAAGGAAGGCTGTGGAAATCCTGTCCCCAGAGGCCTTTAAATACAGGATCAATGACCATTTCACTTTGTCGGCTTGAATCTGGGTTAAAAAACACATAACTGGAACAATCACGATTGATTTGACCCTCACTCTCTTCCAGGAACTATGCTAAATGCTATATATTATTTTACTTTATTCTCATAACAACTGTATGAAGTTGCTGCTAATATCCTCATTTTACAAATGAGACTAAGACCACAAGGGCCTCTTGCTCATGTACCTGGGAAGTAGCAGAACTTAAATCCAAATCCATATCTGTATGATTCCCCATCCCAATTTCAAGTAATGCATGAAGCTATAATTAGGTATTGGCATTATGTACTTTCAGATTAAAGAGTCATTCGTGGCCCAGTGTGGTGGCTCATGCCTATAATCCCAGTACTTTGGGAGGCCAAGGCAGGGAGATCACTTGAGGTCAAGAGTTCGAGACCAGCCTGGCCAAAATGGTGAAACCGCATCTCTATTAAAAATACAAAAATTAGCTGTGCATGGTGGCACATACCTGTAATCCCAGCTACTTGGGAGGCTGAGGCTGGAGAATCACTTGAACCCGAGATGCGGAGGTTGCAGTGAGCCACGATCATGCCACTGCACTCCAGCTTAGGTGACAGAATGAAACTGCATCTCAAAAATAAATAAATAAATAAATAAATAAGAGTCATTCTTGTCCCAGGAGGTTGAGAGGAAGAAAGATCCTTGTAATTGAATGAAAGACACATGATTGATATGTTTTGACAGGTTGTGGGGGAGGGAGGTGGGGCAAGGAGCATTGGGAGCATGAAGGCACTTGCCAGCCAGTGAGGAGCTGGGGGACCTGAGGAGAATGACCCCAAAGAGGGTGGAGAGAATGGAAACAGAGCGTATAGCATTTACAAAAATACTATACTCACAGCATGCATGTCAACACCTGTTTCTTCTTTATTCTTCATCACAACAAATGGCACCACTAGCTACACCTGAGCAGAGAACCTGAGCGTCACCTTCCTGTTCTTCTTGCCCACACTCTAATAGAAAACAAGTTCCATGGAGGTAGAGATGGCCCATGTTATGTTCCTAGCACCCAGTCAGGTGGTGGGTGGGTCAGTCCCTGCTTAAACCCTGTCAAGTCCTTATGGTTCTCAGAATAAAGTTAGTGCTCCTTGGGCGGTTCACAGGTCCTGTGGCCCGCCTCCTGTCCAGCTTTCTCTTCCTTCTCTCTACAGCCTTCTATTTCGCCCCCTGAAACCATTCCTTGCTGCTCTCAATGCCCCACATGTGGCTTGGAGCCTGTTACTGCCCAGAATATCACAGCTACCTGACCCAAACCCATTCCTCAACCAACTATCACGTATTATTCTTCAGGATGCAACTTAGATGTCACCTTCTCCAGAAAATTTTCTTGGATCTACTCTAATTGGAAACCTCCAGGCCCCTCTTCTGTGTTTCTGTATCTGCCTGCACCCTTCTCATTATAGCACTCATCATTTTTCATATCTTCTTGAGGCTGACTTTGTCTCTATTCTCAGAACATAATACCTGGAGAGGAAGAGGCCTGAGAATCTCAAGGAAGATGCCTGATGTGTAGCTTAATAAATAAGTATTTGTTGAGTTGACTTAAAATGGCAAGAATCAAACTGTTCTCAACACTTCCATGTCACGTACCTCTTCAACCAGGGCTGAGTGAAGTGCAGTCAGGACAAGGCTGGCTTCATTTCATGAGCATGTGTTGAGCATCTGCTTCGTGAGTGGGCACGAGCGAGGTACAGAATGATCCTTTCCAACAGGGAGCTCCTGTTCTAGTGGGGAGGACAAGCCACACACACAGCTGGGAATTCTCACAGGACAGATCAGCTCTGAAGGGCCTATTCCCTCCTGCAGGGAATTCCTCCTCCCGGGGCCAGGAAGTGGAGCTTGTGCCATCCTAATGCCCGCATTCCACCAGGGCATGGGGAGGGAAGAAAGTGGGCTGTGAAACTTGGCCTCAGAGAACACCGAGGACTCCTCACTTTCACCGCCACAGCATTTCACACTCTCACCCTCACCTCTGAGGTGAGCTGTGAGTTCTGCCTCTGGCTCAGTACCTTCAAGACATCCCAGGGCCTTTCTTTCTGTCCCTTAACAATGGCCATTAAAGGCGAACAAGGAAAACCTCTCTCCAGCCATCTGCAACTAAAGAAAATGCCCCGAGGCCCTTTAGCTTCAAGTCTGACCACAATAGAGGAGATCTTAGTATTTCTCAGGCTCAGAAAGAACAGGCTTCTCAAATCTGGCAAGAGATCCAAATTGGTGTCCCAACACGTCTGAATTTAAAGAAAAAAGTCACCCTATTTGTTTACTGATATTTGTATAGCGCAGGGTCTGGGCGTTCAGCTTCTGGCTGCCTTTCCTGGGATGGGGGCAGAGCTCGCGGGAGAGAAACACCTCCTATGAAGGAGACTAAGTCTGAGGTCTGAGGCAGCTGCTCTTTCAAATGCATGGCGGGCACTGAGCCCTGCCTTACAGCCAGGTTCCGTGTTGGGCACTCAAGGACAAGGATCCATTCTGATGCGCTTTCACCAGACAGTGTGCAATGATGTATGTCGCAGCATGGTGTTTTGTAACAAAAGTCTGTAGAAAATTTAAATTTAAATGTCCATTGCTAACAGGCCACTTAAATAAATTATGGAACCCCCATAACATGGCATATCAGGCAGCTGTTTAAAAGAATGTATTCGGCTGGACACAGTGGCTCATGCCTGTAATCCCAACACTTTGGGAGGTGGAGGTGGGTGGATCACTTGAGGTTAGGAGTTCGAGACTAGCCTGGCCAACATAGTGAAGCCCTGTCTCTACTAAAAATACAAAAAATTAGACAGGCACGTTGCATGTGCCTGTAATCCCAACTACTCGGGAGGCTGAGGCAGGAGAACCGCTTCAACCCGGGAGGCAGAGGTTGCAGTGAGCCTAGATCGCCCCCACTGCACTCCAGCCTGGGTGACAGAGCGAGACCCGTCTCAAAAAAAAAAAAAAGGCATGTGCTAATATGAAATGATCTCTAAGTTATGTTGATACGTTGTGAGAAAAAGAAGATATAGAACAGTGTTTATAGCTTCTATTAGTATAAAAAAGGGGGATTGCTGGGTGCGCTGACTCACGCCTGTAATCCCAACACTTTGGGAGGCTGAGGCGGGCAGATCACTCAGGAGTTGAGGCCAGGAGTTTGAGACCAGCCTGGCCGACATGGTGAAACCTTGTCTCTACTGAAAATGCAAAAATTAGCCGGGCATGGTGGCATACACTTGTAATCCCAGCTACTTGGGAGGCTAAGGCAGAAGAATAGCTCGAACTTGGGAGGCAGAGGTTGCAGTGAGCCAAGATCATGCCACTGCACTCCAGCCTGGACAACGGAGCCTCCAGAAAAAAAAAAAAAAAAAGAAAAAAAGAAGAGGGGATCTATCTATCTATCTATTGTTGACAGAAAAACCAAACTCTGCAAAAATATTTTAAGAGGTTTATTCTGAGCCAATCAATGCTCATGGCCCAGGAAAATAAACTCAAGAAGCCCTGAGTAAGTGGTCCCCAGGAGGTTGGATTACAGTTTAGTGTTATATTTCAGAGAGGCAGGAGTTACAGGCAAAGACAGAAAGCAATATGTGGAAGGTATACACTGATTTGACCTGAAAAGGTGGGATGTCTTAAAGCATGGGCTTGTAGCTTATAGGCGGATTCAGAGATTTTTAATTTGCAATTGGTTAGAGGAGTAAGGCTCTGTCTGAAACTTGGAGTCAACAGAAAGGAATGCTTGAGTTAAGATAAGGATGCAGTGTCAGAGGCAGCCACAATAAAATGACATGTTTAGCAAGATTGATGGCCTGCAGGCCTGACTCAACCCTTGCCTTGAATAGTACTAGGTCTTGTTTATAATTTGGTGTCTCATTGTCCCAAGAGTCTGTTTTGTCAATCTTATGATCTCTCTTTTAACATGAATGCTGGTCAGTTGTGTCTAAACCCCAAAGTGGACGGGGCATGATGAGGTTCATCCGACCTCTCTTCCCATCATGGCCAGGAACTCAGCCTTTAACGTTTCTCCCTGGGGTTCCCTTGGCCAAGAGGGGGTCCGTTCAGTCAGTTGCAGGGGCTGTAGAATTTTATTTTATTTTTATTTTACACTATCTATCCATCCACATACACACACAAACAAAGGTGGTCTGTTGTGGTTGTTGTTGTTTTTTTGAGACATAATCTCGCTCTGTTGCCAGGCTGGAGTGTAATGGCACAATCTCGGCTCACTGCAATCTTCACCTCCCGTGTTCAAGCAGTTCTCCTGCCTCAGCCTCCCGAGTAGCTGGGACTACAGGCGCGAGCCACCACGCCCGGCTAATTTTTGTATTTTTAGTAGAGACGGGGTTTCACCATGTTGGTCAGGATGGTCTCCATCTCTTGACCTTGTGATCTGCATGCCTTGGCCTCCCAAAGTGCTGGGATTACAGGTGTGAGCCACTGTGCCCAGCACAAAAGTGGTATTAAATGCTTATTGGCTTACTGTTGAAGCTCTGGGTAAGAAACTAGAGAATCTAAGTGAGAAGAAGACTTAACCTTTATTGTATATATTCCAATAATGCCTGAATTTTTTAAAAAAATCTTTAAAATAATGTTCCCTTTTGAATTAAAAGGCATACTGTAAGGAGGGTTTGGGACTCATAATTACTGTCGCACACCTGTTAGGCACTTGGTGGGCATTATCTCATTACCCTGCACAGCAGCCAAATAACAGGTGAAGGAAGACACAAACAGAGCTGTGAGAGCTGACTCAGGCCAAGTTGGTACCAGGCCCAGGGTGTTCAGAGTTGAGTGAGCTCCAGTTTTTTGAGCAAGACAGGAAAGTAAGGACGGGAATGCAGTGCTTGGTGAAGCAAGCCATGATCTGAAGAAGAGGGCGTGGCTGTTCAGGAAGCACATCACAGGGCACCGAGGACGTTTCCTCTGACATCCTGAGCCCGGAAAGTCGAGGAGGATCGGCAGGGGAAGTAGGGGGAAGTGCAAGGGGAGCAGGAACTGCTGGGACAGAGCAGGAAAGGCCAAGGAGTAGAGGTCAGGGGAAATGGCTCCCCAGAGGGGCAGGTACAGGTGTGATGGAGGGTGGAGGAGGCTGTGGACAAGCCTATTCCACACGACAGGGTCCTGCAAGTCCAGCTAAGGACCCAGCTCCATGCCGAGGCTGCAAGGAGCCACCACAGGGTCTGAACAGAGGAGGGGGGTTTGTGCTCACTCCTCACCATCGTCACCATGTTTTCTTCCTTTAACACTTGCTACTGTCTAAAACATTCTGTTTGTAGATTCTTTGTTTATTGTCTTCCTCAAGTACTATATAATCTCTTAGAAAGGAAGGACCACCTGGATCTTGTCTGCTACACCATCCCTGCGCCTAGAGCAGTGGCTGGCATGTGCAGGCACTCAGTGTTAAATCAATAAGTGGATATTGATTGAAGATTTGATGAGCATGTGACATAAGACACGTGCCCTGCCTCCCAGGATGGGAAGAAGACAGCATGCTGGTAGCTTCCACCTGCCTATCTGGATCCACTCCCCCATCTCCCACGATGTGCCCCAGGAAGGTGGGCTTGTAGGAGCTGTGCCCAGCAGCTCCCTTGTGCTCTGGCTTCTGGGAGGGTCTGGCCAATGGGCAGCACTGGCAGGAGATGGGAGAGGTCTTTTTGTGTTCTGTATTCTGATATTTTGCCATCTGGGACGCTGGGGTTCCTTTCTTAAGCAAACCAACCAATCCAGAGTCCATCCTCCCAACTGCCTTCAGTGCTACTCATTGGCCGGACCCTCCCAGAAGCCAGAGCCGCTGGACTCTGCTCCTACAAGCCCACCTACAAGGGAGCCGCTGGGTGCAGCTCCTACAAGCCCACCTTCCAGCAGCACATCAGGAGAGATGGGGGAGTGGATCCAGAGAGGCAGGAGGAGGCCACCCCCATGCTGTCTTCTTTCCATCCTGGGAGGCAGGGCCCGTGTCTTATGTTTTATGCTCTGGGTCACTTCTCTCTGCCCTAATCACCCCAAAGCCAGGTACCTAGGGATAGCCCTGCGCTCCAGAGCCCTCTGAAATTATAAATGAGCCAGTCCTAAGTCTGCTTACCCTGCCTCACCTGTTTCTTCCCAAGGAAACCAAAATAAAGGCTCTTTGCCCACATTTTCTCCTTGCTAATTTTGCCTGCTGACCAACAAGGTGCTTCCCCAGGTGGACCCATAGGTGGCCCCCCTGTGGCATGCCATGCTTCCTGTTGCTAGGGAATTGTGGATGTCAAAACTCCTTCCTTCATGACAGTTGTTTCATGTCTGCCTGCCATACCATGATTTAAACAATTCCTGGTAACCTTAAGACAGGGGCGCGGCGAGGTCGAGATATCTATTCCCTGGACGCCCCATCCAGGCAGCTTCCTTCACTACTACTTCCTGTGTTTGCCCTTACACCTCACCCACTCCTGGGTAAAGAGTCCCTTTATTAAATTCCTCAAATGATCCGACTAATGTGTGCCATCTGCTTCCTGCCAGGACCCCAACTTGTACAGACAGAAATACAAATCATTGTAACACGGTGCCCAGTGCGTACTTAACAGTTACTGAATGAAGATAGAATGAAATGCATCCAATAAGAGGGGCACAAGAGCTGAGAAAACAAAGGGGGCAGAAACCAGTTGTGTTGGGATTGGGGAAGTTTTGAGGCAGGATTTGGCATTTGCGTTGGGCCAGGAGGGATGAAGAAAGTTTCAGCAGGCAAGGATTGGAGACGGAGAAGTATATCCCAGACAGAGAAACCAGCTCAGAGTAGTGATGGCGGGAAAAGGCAGGGGTTGTGTGCAGAACAGTAAGAAATCCAGTTTGGCAGAAGGAGAGCATTTGGAAAAGACGGCACTGGATGAAGAAGCTTGAAAGATGGCTTGGGAGCAAACCACCTACCAGGGGAGGTCAAGCCAAGCCAAGGAATTTGACTTTGTTGCCATTTTGCAAATGTATGGCTATTGGTGGGGGCACCCAAGGGGTTTTAAGCAGAGGTAACATGGTTGGATCTAGAGTTTAGACGACACAAACAGAGCAGGGAGCAGGGGCAGTTGGAGGGAATTCTGCAGGTGGGGAGACCAGCCAGGAGGAAGAATCATGGCAGTCATCCACCCAAAAGTCCCCCAGACGACTAGTAAGCGCAGATTGGTAAAGCGTTCGGGTTTACGAGTCAGGCAGACCAGGTTTGAATTTTGGCTCTGCCACTTACTATGTAACCTTGGATATTAATTTACCTTTTTTATTTCTATTTCTTTGGGTCAAAATGAGGGTAACAATAGTCCACCCTCGAAGCTGTTGTGAGGATTAAACAAGATGCACACAGAAACTGTTTAACACATTGTCACATACTGAGTATGCTGAAGGTGTTAGCTATTATTGTTGTGTATATTCCAGCCATGTCTTTAATAGCATTCTACCATATACCAGCAATGTGTCTATGAAGCAAGTTCTTCTCTGTAGGCTGATGTTTTCCTGCTGTTAGCACACTGAGCACATCACATATCCCTGACAAGTCCTTAGAACTGTCTCCCCAAATCACTGCCTACGGGAAACAAGAAACATAAGCATTAGGTCAGAACTAAACACCAAATACTTCACATGGGCTTAGGGAATTAATTAATTAACTGAAATAGCTGAGAGGAGATTAAATACAGAACTCTTGAGGGAAAAAAATGTGCCACAAGAACAGGCAGAGTTCTATTGTTGTGGTGCTGCTTTTCTGTGATGTTGGTGGTAAGTCAAGTCCCAGAGACAAGGAAGAAAGAGGCTCAAATTCTTAGACAGATAATCTTGTCTTTATTACCCTCAGCAAAACAGATATTACTGAGACTGAAGTGATACAGCATTGCTGTAGAATCTGTGACTGAGGCATTACATTGAAATAACACCCTAAAGGACAGCAAAAGAGAAAGCTATTATCCTCCTTTGGACTCCTGTCCCCCAGCCACCCAGGTCCTCTTCCTAGAAGCAAGCAGTGTTACCAATTTCCTATGAATCTTTTTAGAGACATCCTGTACATAATCCAACAAAAAAACTTTGACCCCCTTTTTTATACAAACAGTAGTATACCAAGTACATTGTTTTGAGTTTTATTATTTAACAGTGTATCCTGATAATCATTATAAAATGAATACATGAGAGCTTCCTTATTCGTTGTACAGTTGCACAGTGTTCTGCCATATGCGTATACCATGATTTAATGAATCTCCTATTGATGGACATTTAGGTTGTTACTAGACTTTTGTTATCATAGCGTGCTATAATAAGTAACTTTATACCCATAACTTCTCCCACCTGTAGAGATAGCATGTTAAATGTGTATCAGCATTAGTATTTTGGGGATGGGGGTCACAGACACTCTGAGAATCTGTGGAAGTGATGACCCTATAGCGGATGCTGTTGGTGCCCTCCCAGATCCCCTTTACCAGGCAAATGCACACAACCCCCAGCTGCTGTGAGTGTGGGCTGCCCATGAGTCACAGCTGCCCCCTTCCAGAGCACCACTGTGATAGTGTGATATCATAAGAAATATGTATTTGGTTTCTGTCCCTGATTCTTGGCACACAGCTCCTGAAACCCTCGTATATGATAGGGGCACTACAAGAATCTTTTGTTCTAATATTTGGTCTTTGACCCCAGTTTCTGACATAGAGCTTCTAAGACCTTTGTAATTTCCTGAGTGATAGAGGAATCTAACCAAGAACTCCTAAATCCCTTGGAATTTTCTGGGTGATGGTACATCTTTTGTTCTAACTAGATGACTGTTGATGGACTCCTGGATAGTGCCAGCATGGGGCCGGTTGCTGGAGAACCAACTGTGCAATTACAGGGTTGGAACTTCTGGGAAAGAGAAAGGGGGTGAAGATTGACCTGTTCATCAATGGACAGTGATTTCATCAATCATGCTTATGTAAAGAAGCCTCCATAAAAACACAAATGGACTGGGGGGAGCTTCCGGGTAGCTGAACACGTGGAGGTTCCTGGAGGGTGGTGCACTGGGAGATGGCATGGAAGTTCAGCGCCCCTCCCCCATACCCTGCCCTGTGCACCTCTTCATCCTGCTGGTCATCTGTGCCCTTTGTAATACCCTTTATAATAAGTGGGCAAACATAAGTTCAGTGTTTCCCCGTTTTATGAGCTTCTCTAGCAAAATAATTGAACCCAAGGAGGGGGTCCTGGGAACCCTGATTCACAGCCGGTCAGTCAGAAGCACAGATCACAGCCTGGGACTTGTGATAGGCATCTGAAACTGGGGACATCTTCTAGGACTTGTAGGTCTGAGCCCTCATCCTGTGGGACCTGATCCTATCTCTAGGTAGACACTGGCAGAATTGAAATGAATTAAAAGGATACCCAGTTGATGTCTGCTGGAGAATTGGTTGGTCTGTCTGCATGAATGGGAGGGTGTCGTTGGGGGAGGAAGATCCCCTCCCATATTTTGGTGACCAGACGTGAAGTGTGTGGACTGTGTAAGAGAAGAAAAAGTGTCTCTCTTACAGCCACTTTACAAGAAGTTGGTCAACAGCCTCCACTGACACAGGAGTATAAAAGCCGGGCCAGTGCTCAAGTCAGTCCCTACTGCAGAACACCATGGGTTCAGGCTGGAGCTGGGTCTCCACTGAGACCGGACATCCGCTGAGACCACATTCTCTTTTGGTCCATTCCCCTGCTCACTCCTGCTCTCCTGAATCCCCCTTTCCTGAGATCACTCTCTACTGCACATAAATTCTCATTTTAGGCTCTGCTTCAAGGGTATTTGACCTAAGAAGGTCTTTCTCTTCAAGAAACAAAAATTTAAAAATACACGAAGGTACCCAGGAAAACTTTACAGATAATTTCAGAGAGTTCAACAGCGTTCTGAGTTCCAGATTGAGGAATTTCACATAGAATTACATGTGGTTCTACTATTAAACATCCTGAAGCATCCCCGGTCTGACAAACAGAAATGCCACCTCATGTGTGGGATTACATTATATTCAACCATTTCTTCTCTACTTCAATTTCTCTATTTCCTTTTCCATGAAAGATGTCAACCTGATTAATTTCCTTTAGAGCTTCAAATATCTAAATCAACAGATGGACTGTCCACAATCCATGAGTAACAACTGGAAATTTTTACTCCCAAATAGGTTTTAGTTCCCAAATGCACTTGCCCAGAATAAAGAATTTTAACTCTTGGAAAAGGGTGGAAATGAGAAATCTTTCCATGTTGCTCAAATGTCCTGATATCATTTTGGGGAGAAATATGAGGAATATATTCTCAATATTTTGAGGTTAAATGCCCCCAATTTCTTTAGAGGTTTATAGAATTCTGGGGGACACATTCTGCTGGAGTTTGCCAATTTCTGTTAACCAGTTTTTAAAAGTTAAAGGAAGACCTCTTTCTTAATAATTGGTAAACACAAATGCTGCAGATTCTGCCAGTCGAGTTTAATGAATCAGATAAATAGGTCATTAAGAATGCCTTTACTTTTACTAACTGTGGCATAATTAATATATATTTGGCCTTTATCCCTGGTTCCTGTTACAGAGCTCCTGTAACCCTTGGGATTTCTTGAGTGATAGGAGTATCTTTTGTTGTTTCTACTGAACCCCTTTCAACCTGAATTTATGCCAACAAAGTGACTCTCAGTGAGCCTGTAGATATGGGGGCTAGTCACCAGAGGAACCAGCCCTGTAATTAGAGGGTTGGAATGTTCAGTCCTATCTCGTGACCCCTTGGAGGGCAGAAGGGCTGGATATTGAGTTCAGTCACCAATGGCCAATAATTGAATCAATCATGTCTACATAATGAAGTCTTCACTAAAACTCCTAAACCACTGGGTTTGGAGAGATTCCTGGTTGGTGAACACATAAGGGTGCTGGAAGGAGGGTTCCTGGAGAGGGCAAGAAAGCTTCCTCCCCCAGGCCCATGCCTTGTCCTGTGCATCACCTCCATTTGGCTGTTCCTGAGTTGTATCCTTAATAATAAATAGTAAGGAAAGTGCTTTCTTGAGTTCCATGAGTCATTCTAGCAAATTATTTGTCCTGAGGTGGGTCATGGGAAACCCTGAATTTGTAGTCAGTCAGGCAGCAAGGTGGGTAGCTTGGGCACTGCCTTTGTGGCTATGTCTCAAGAAAGGGCAGTCTTGTGGGACTGAACTCTTAACCTGTGGGGCCGGACACTAACTTCAGGAGATAGTGTCAGAATTGAATTGAATTGTTGGGCATCCAGTTGGTGTTTGAGAAATGGAGAATTGATGTAGAAAAGACACCACATATATGGTGTCAGAAAGAATCTGAAATTAATCCCAAATGGTATCTAAATACAGCAGCTGAAATTTCCAAAGGGAATTATCAGGTCCTTATCTTTCAGTGCTATCACATATGGAGAGAAGTGACGGATAAGAGGCAGAATAATAAGGACACCATTAATAGCAGAGGTTATTTACTGAGCACCTGATATTAGCAATGTGCTAGGCATTGTGCTAATCAGTTTTCATGAATTATCTGATTTAAATCCTCATAACAACATCATTACGTGGGGCTTACATACGAGGAAAATGAGGTACAAAGAGATGTTCTTTCAACTTCAATGATAAATATGTATATCAAATCAGGAATCTCCAAACGTTTCCTGATGGAATGCACACTGAAGTCTTATAATTGCCCACAGTAGAGATGGGCAGAGGGAAAGAGAAGTCAGAAGTAAAGGGAGATGGGGTAGGAAAGACCTGCTGAAAATTTAAGTTACCCATAAATACGCTGTTGGTGATGCTCCCATCACCCTAACCATGAAGAGGGCTTCAGGGTGGTGATAGCTGACTAGAGGGTCCTCCAGGCCTGTTGAATGATGCTTGTGGGATTTCTTTCCTTCTTCTTCTTTTTTTTTTTGAAACAGAGTCTTGCTCTGTTGCCCAGGCTGGAGTGCAGAGGCGTGACCTCAGCTCATTGCAACCCCCGCCTCCCAGGTTCATGCAGTTCTCCTGCCTCAGCCTCCCCAGTAGCTGGGATTACAGGCACTCGCCACCACACCTGGCTAATTTTTGTATTTTTGGTAGAGACGGGGTTTCATCATGTTGGCCAGGCTGGCCTCGAATTCCTGACCTCAGGTGATCCACCTACCTTGGCCTCCCAAAGTGCTGGGATTACAGGCAAGAGCCACCATGCCCAGCCACTTATGGGATTTCTGAGATACGAATTAATCACAGTTCTCTCCCTTCTGGCCTCCATATTCTCTATCCATTGAGAAATAATTTCCACTTTTTTGAGAGCAAAGCTGAATTGGAGAGCATAATTTGGAACCTCAGACAAAATAGTGGTCCTCCCCAATTCCCCCAACTTAAAATTAGGGGGCTGGGCATGGGAAGCAAGATGGGGAATCAGGCCTGGCCCCACAACTTGTGAGTAAAAGAGATTGAGACACAGGTAGGGGCAGAAAGAGAGCAACTCGCCCCCATCAAAAAGTGGGCAAAGGATATGAACAGACACTTCTCAAAAGAAGACATTTATGCAGCCAAAAAACACATGAAAAAATGCTCATCATCACTGGCCATCAGAGAAATGCAAATCAAAGCCACAATGAGATACCATCTCACACCAGTTAGAATGGCGATCATTAAAAAGTCAGGAAACAACAGGTGCTGGAGAAGATGTGGAGAAATAGGAACACTTTTACACTGTTGGTGGGAATGTAAACTAGTTCAACCATTGTGGAAGTCGGTGTGGCAATTCCTCAGGGATCTAGAACTAGAAATACCATTTGACCCAGCCATCCCATTACTGGGTATATACCCAAAGGATTATAAATCATGCTGCTCTAAAGACACATGCACACGTATGTTTATTGCGGCACTATTCACAATAGCAAAGACTTGGAACCAACCCAAATGTCCAACAACGATAGACTGGATTAAGAAAATGTGGGACATATACACCATGGAATACTATGCAGCCATAAAAAATGATGAGTTCATGTCCTCTGTAGGGACATGGATGAAGCTGGAAACTATCATTCTCAGCAAACTATCGCAAGGACAGAAAACCAAACACCACATGTTCTCACTCATAGGTGGGAATTGAACAATGAGAACACATGGACACAGGAAGGGGAACATCACACACCAGGGACTGTTGGGGAGGGGGGAGGGATAGCATTAGGAGATATACCTAATGCTAAATGACAAGTTAATGGGTGCAGCACACCAACATGGCACATGTATACATATGTAACAAACCTGCACGTTGTGCACATGTACCCCAAAACTTAAAGTATAATAATAATAAAAAAAAAGAAAGAAAGAGAGCAACTCACATGCACGCAAGGGCATTTTACTCATTATCCTTGCCCAACAGAGAACGTGAGCATCCAGGGACCAGTAAATGTCAAACTACTGTCATCTTAGCAATTAGATAAATCACTGCCCCCATAGGAGAAGGGATTGAGAGGTTGGGAGAGGGACTAGAACTGTTTCCTCCAGGGAGTAGAATAGATGTTCCCTCCTCTCTATAAAGATGTGAGAAGACAGGTTCTGCCTCAACCTCCATGTCACCTTGACCTCCTACAGGAACCTCTGCCATAAAGCAGAGGTTCTTACTCAATTTTAATTTGCTTTCCTCTAAGGGATGCTACATATCACAGAAATAGCAAGATCCAGACTCAAATAGAAATAGGTAAAACAAAAACAGAAGCATAAAGAAACAAAATGCTTCAGGCACATTCTCTACCACTGATGAAAGAATAAACACTACCAGCGTGATATGACACTAGATGGGATTCTCTTGCCTACTTTACTTTTTCTTTGGATTTTAAACATTTCAACCTTAAAGAGCATTTTCATAATGCTCTACTCTCACTATCATGGATCCTGTAGGAAAGGGGTCCAAATGGCTATATACATATATACACACATATATATACGTATATATACGTATATATATACGTATATACGTATATGTATATATATGTATACATATACGTATATGTATATATGTATATATGTGTGTATATACGTATATATGTATATATGTATATATGTATATATGTATATATGTATACATATATGTATATATGTATATATATGTATGTATATATGTATATATATATATATATATATATATATATATATATATATATATGTATTTGGGTTATGGCCTGGAACACAGTTGCTCAACTCAAATTTGGTAGAACTCCCCAATCCATGCTGAGATTTTCCCAGGCAGAAATTGAGAAGCAATTTGCATGCTCTTTCACATGTTTGTAAAAAGCATATAAAACAAAGCATAGAAGTGCATTACTCCCTGAAACTAAAATTTAACCCATTGGGGGCGAGGTGGGGGGAAATCTGAATGTTATTCCTCAAATGGGGACATATGAAAATTGTATGCAAAAAACCCATAGAACATATAGCCCTTTGGGGATGGTGAAAATGTTTTAGATAGAAGAAAATCTAGATGACCTTGGGTATGGAGATGACTTTTTAGATACAATACCAAATGCATGATCCATGAAAAAAAATGGACAAGATGGAATTTATTAAAGTTGAAAACTATCTTCTCTGTGAAAGACACCATAAAGAGAATGAGGAGGCAAGCTACAGATTGAGAGAAAATATCTGCAAAAGACATATCTGATAAGGGACTGTGTATAAAATACACAAAGAACTCTTAAAACTTAAAAATATTAACAAACAACCCCATTAAAAAATGGGCAAAAGACCTGAACAGATACCTCATCAAAGAAGATATATTAAAATATACTCAACATGATATGTCATTAGGAAAGTGCAAATTAAAGCAACAATCAGATACCACTATACTATTAGGATGTCCAAAATTCCAGAATACTGACAGCACCAAAAGGACATGGAACAACAGGAACTCTCATTCATTGCTGGCGAGAATGCAAAATGGTACGGCTATGTTGGAAGTTAGTTTGACAGTTTCTTACAAAAGGAGACATCCTCTTACCAGGTAATCTAGCAATTGTGCTCCTTCCTATTTACCCAAGTGAGCTAAAAACTTATGTCCACACAAAAACCTGTACAAGGATGTTTATAGCAGGTTTATTCATTACCATTAAAACTTGGAAGCAGCAAACAAGATGTCCTTTAGTATGTGAATGATGTGGAAATAGGAAACCAACCAAATGAGAAAAGCACAGGCTACTGTATTAGTCAGAATTCTCCAGAGAAACAGAACCAATAGGATATATATATAGAGAGATATATAAAAAGAGAATTATTATGAGGGATTGGCTCATGCAGTTGTGGAGGCTGAGAAGTCCCATAATCTGCCACGTGCAAGCTGCAGGCTTAGGAAAGTCAGTGGTGTAGTTTCGGTCCAAACTCGAAAGCCTGAGAACCAGGGGAGCCAATGGCGTAAGCCCCAATCTGAGTCCTAAGGCCTGGGAACCCCAGAGGTCACGGTAGAAGTCTTGGTCCAAGGATGAAGGCCTGAGAACCAGGAGCATTGATGTCCCAGGGGAGGAGAATATGGATGTTCCAGATCAGAGAGAACAAATTCGCCCTTCCTCCACCTTTTGTTCTATTTAGGCCCTCAACAGTTTGGATGATGACTACCTGCACTGGGGAGGATGATCTTCTTCACTCAGTGGCCAATTCAAATGCTCCTTTCTTCCAGAAGCACCCTCTCAGGTTACCCAGAAATAATGTTTTTCCAGCAATCTGGCTGTCTCTTAGCCCAGTCAAGTTGACATATACAATCAACCATCATAGCTATTTATTCTGAACTTGCTATAGCAAGGGAATCCACCACTGCCGCTTGCATTTTGGCAGAGACTCAAAGGCAGGAAAGAGTGGGGAAGCTTGATAGTGGAGAAAAGGGAAGGCTTCGGATGTGCCCTGTTGGGAGGCTGTTGGAGTTAGGAAGCTACAGGTAGGCTAACTAGAAGCAGAGCATTGTATATGATTGGTTAGGGGTGAATATTTGGCTTTCTCTAGTTGAAATTGGAAGAGGGGACAAAAATTAGGGAAGCCGTCAGTTATTAATCAAGTTCTGGCCATTTGGGGCTGATTGTTACGGAGGTTATTATTTAGCTCCTGAATTGTCACTAGAGATAACAATCTCACTTCCTGCAAGTTGGACTTATATCAGGCTGGCTTCCTGGGTTGTTTATTATAAATAAAAGGGTTGGTCTCCCAGGCAGATTGCTGCAGATTGTGAGTTAAAGTTCTAGTTTTATATATGGTCTGGCCATTGTCCATTTGCATATTCAGTCTCTCAACAAATAAACGATGTGACATCCAAACAATAGTATATAATTCAGTGCTAGAAAGAAATGTGTTATCAAGCCATAAAAAAATGAAGGCAACTTAAATGCATATTACTCAGTGAAAGATGCTAATCTGAAAAGGCTACGTAATGCATGCTGCCAACTATATGACATTCCGGAAAGTGAAAACTATGGAGACAGTAAAAAGATCAGTGGCTGCCAGAGGTTAGAGAGGAAGAAGGGATGAATAGGCAGAGGTCTGGAGGATTTTTAGGGCAGTGAAACTATTCTGTATGCTACTGTAATAGATACACGTCATCTCTTGTGCAAACCCATGGAGTGTATAACACCAACAGTGAACCCTAATGTGAACGCTGGAGTCTGGGTGATAATGACATGTCAATGTCAGTTCACTGACTGTAACAAATGTGTCATGGTGATGGGGTTGTGTGATGGAGGCAGGGTGTACGTGGGAATTCTTTGTACTTTCTGCTCCATTTTACTGACAACCTGAAACTACTCTAAAAGCAGTCAATTTAAAAGGAAAAAAGTTTTAGAACTAGATAGTGTTAATGGTTGCATAACATTGCAAATGTACTAAATGCTAACATAACAAATTACATATTTTAAAATGGTTAATTTCACGTGAATTCTGCCTCCATTTTTTTAGAAAATGGGCATATACTTAAAAAAACACACACATAGTGATCATCCTAGCTTCTGACCAACCACCCTGGTTCATTACTGGGACTCAGAGGAGACCAGGCCTTCTTGGAAAGTGAAGGAAAGGTGAGGCCCCATCTGGGAAAGGATCCATGCCTAAGCGGGGAGAAGGGAAGGCAGGTTTGGTCCAGTGGTCATGAGGAGGGTGATTCAGAAAGTGAACAAGTTTCTGATGCCCACATCTCCCAGGTGTAGCTGTGTGTCTCTTTGTCCTCTTGTCCTACTTCTTGGCCTTTGTCACCCTGGCCTTGAGTCACTGTGCCCTGACAGCAGGATGTCGTGTATGCTCCCAGATAGTGCCAGAGTCCAAGGGATGGATCTACTCACACAGCATGGCGGGTGCCTCTCACCACTTACACCAAACCCTGCCCTGGCTTGTCCTCTCTACACTTCCTGCCAGCCAACTACCTCCACACCATGCCAGCTGCTTCCCAGGGCAGGTTCACAAAACTTTGCCAAAGGCTTTAGTAAGAATGGAATGACACAACTCAACGAGGAATGCAGCTGGGCACCAGGTCTCCCCTTCCTGAAGTCCTGGGGCAAATCTACCCAAGTCAGGTTCCCAGCGGAGGCCTCCCTCTGAGCCTAGTCCATCACCATGCTGTTGGTTCTCTTCCTTCAGAACATACGGCAGTGCTTCTCAAAGGGAGGTCTCCAAACCATCAGCGTCAGAAATTTCTTTAAATGTGGATGTGCAGATCCTTCCCCAGAGCTACTGAATCAGAATCTCTGAGGTGGGAGCATTTTAACCGGCATGTTCGTTAATTCCTCAGGTGACTGATGTTTCCCCACCATCAGGGGCTGCAGGGGCTGCGCTGTGAGGACCACTTGGGCTTTATTTTGCGCCCTCCTCTTCACAGCCTTCTCACTGTGGGTTAGATAGCACCAGGCATCAAAGGGGCCCAAGAATTGTTTTCCAGGCACATTCCAGTGTCAAAACACAAGCTCCTGGTGTCAAAATCCCTTTTAAGAAGCTTTGCTTTGTAGATGTCTTTTGAGCAGGTCGTCAAGGAAGACGTTTGTATCCCTAAGGAGTTGTCATCCTCATTTTTGCTTTAATTGCAATTTTGTGAAACATGAAATTTTGGGTACATCTTAACACAGCTTAGTCCATTACATCCCAGATACTCTTGTGATTTGTCATCTCAAAAATGTATCATAGGAAGGAAGGAAGAGGCAGGGGAGGCAGGGTGCAGAGCTGCAGGCTCCCCCACTCCCTGGCCCACTCCTTAGATGCAGCTCTGCTAGACTTGGGCTCAAGGTCAACTTGGCTTTCAAGATTTATGGTGTTACCTGAACTTTTTCCACGGTCACTCTGTGTATCTCTTCCTTCCCTCATTTTCCTTCCTCAGGTTTTACTATAGAGTAAAATGGTAATAACACAAGAGAGACCAAAAAGAGGATTTTATACATTGGCTTGAAGCTCATGTTACCCATAGTTTGGAATTGTTACCTAGTTACCAAAAGATTCTGGCTTGGACACCAAGAAAATTCATTTGACACTAAAAACTTAAAAATGCCAGATACAATCCAGTGTTTAGACAGGCCTGGCAGATGAAACATTCCAGAGTTGGGAAATGGTACAAGAACAAAACCCACTCAAAATCCACAGGCCTCTGCATTTATGCTTTTTCCCCTAACCCTCCTTTTTTCCCGTCGTCACTTAATGGCCTATAGATTGGCAACACATCTGTGTTCTGCCAAACATCCCTTCGTCTGTCACTAATGATTAATTGTGTCTTTACTTGTGGCAGTTCTACAGTTCTATAAAACCAAAAAATAAATAACTCTGGGCCCTGCTTTAATAAAGAAGGAAGGGGGAATCAAGATCTAGTCCCTCTGCTTTTCTACATATAGAAAAGCCTAGATAAGAAAACATGGCCATTTGTAAATACGTATTTATTTGTACGTCTCCCCTGCTGAACCTGTGTTAACCACAGAGCAAAGTCTGACTCAGGAAGTCTGGGGTGAGTCCAGGAATGTGCATTTCCAACAAGTTCCCAGGTGATGCTGCTGGCCTGGAAACTCCACTTAGAGAACCACTGGTCAAAGCCATGATTCTCTCAACCCTAGCTGCACATGAGAAGCACTGGTGGTGTTTTTGAAAACTTAATGTCTGGGCCCATCTCAGAAGGATAGGTCATTTCAAAGTCACGTGAGCACTTTTGAATCTCTCTAGGTCTGTGCTTGTCAATCTTGGCTGCACATTTGATTACCTGGGGGAGATTTTAAAATCCTGATGGCCAGGCTTCCCCACACCTCAACCCTATCCTCAGACATTAGTAGTTTTCAAAGCTCCCCAGGTGATGCAAATATGTAGCTGGCAGCATGGAGAACTGGAATTCTGGACCTTTATCCCTGAGCAGCTGCCACAGCTCAGTGTGTGGGCTTCAGAGTCACCCCAAGCAACCTCAGGAACAGTTTCTTTTCTGTTAACTGGGTTTTGAAACAGAGGCTCTAAACCCATTTATGTTGAAGCTAGAGGGTTTGGGTGGCATTTTAACATTCGTGCAAGCACGGAGGATCATTACCAACTCCTTCAACGTCAAAGAAGCAACCACTACGTAGCCTGCCTCTTGCTCCTCCCTTCCTCGAGAGGTGGGAGCAGAGGGTGACATTTTAAATAGGCTCAACTGTAGAGCCTCACTGGGAGGGTGACATTTGAGGGACATGGGACAAGATGTGAAGGAGCATGTTGGTGATGATTAATACAAGGTTAATCTGGCCCCACCTGGTGTGACTGCAAGCTGGGAGAGGAGGAGCAGACCCACAAACATCCCAAGAAGTACCTGGGGAGAAAGGTCTGGGAAGGCCTGCTGGGATGCTCAGGACAGCGGGGGCATTCGGGGGCCTGGGGTGCTCCAGGACAAGTCAGGAGGGGACCCACTAGGGACCCAGGGAAGCTTGGAAAACACTATTTGGCTGAGGTCTGGTTGCTAAATATGGCTTTTTTGATGAAGGACCCAAAGGACACACTTTTGGCTGGGTGCAGTGGCTCATGCCTGTAATACCAGCACTGTGGGAGGCCGAGGTGGGTGGATCACCTGAGGTCAGGAGTTCAAGACCAGCCTGGCCAACGTGATGAAATCCTGTCTCTACTAAAAAATACAAAAATTAGCCAGGTGTGGTCGCGGGCACCTGTAATCCCAGCTACTTTGGGGTCCGAGGCAGGAGAATCGTTTGAACCTGGGATGCGGAGGTTGCAGTGAGCCGAGGTCGCAACATTGCACTACAGCCTGGGCAACAGGAGCAAAACTCTGTCCAAAAAAAAAGACACACTTTCTCTTCTAAAGTGGTAGTTTAGACTAAGCCACTTTCGGGAAGAATTCTTGACCACATGGCCTTTAAACCTGAAAGAGACCTGAAAGATCATCTGGTGTCCTTTTCAACCTATGTTTCACAGAGCTCTGGGGCTCCCAAAGTTTCTTTAGGGGATCCAGTAGGAGACAAAGTGGGAGGCAAGAACTGCGGTGGACCCCAGGAGTGGCTTGGGGGGACTTTAACCCCCCATGGCAGAAAGTCTGGTGAGCAGTGTACTAGCTTTGCAGCACCGAGACAATAGACAGCACAGGCTGCCTGCTCACTCCAGCCAGGTACTCTTTTAAGCACTCTGCATGTTTGAGTCCATTTAATACTTAGCAACTCTTTGAGATAATTCTATAGCTTATTACTATTAATAATAAGGAAAGACACCAAGAGAGGCCAAAAACTAGTCTCAGACCACAGAGCTGTAAGTGGCTGAGCTGGGACTCACACTCTGGCAGCCTGGTTCTAGATGCCATGCTCCACCACCATGCTGTGCCCGATCCGTACTGCTGTGCCTACCATACCATCCCAGTAGCAGCCTGTAAGCCTTCTAGCATCCTCTTGGCCACACAAGAAAGGCTCAAGGCTTCCCCACCTACAGTTCAACCAGAGTTCCTCCAAGTTTACCCCAGCGTGGCACGGCCCCTTCTTTTTTATCTCCAAGTGTCTGCCACCATCCATGCCATGACAGATCAGTAGTGTGTCTCCTGATTCCATATGGTGGGGCAGGCAGAGCGATGCAATTCCTTCTCCTCTGGAGCTCTTCCGAACGGTAACTGGTACTGGCAGCATGTGCCTTTCCCAGGTAGCCAGACTCACAGGTTTCCCCTAGGCCAATCAGGCAGAACCACAGTCTAGGGACTCTTTACCAAAAGGCCAAAGGGCCAGGTAAGTGGCAGAATGGAAAAAAGGCAGGACAAAACCTGGCCCTCTCTCTAGCTCAGGTGTTCTCCTGGACTTTGCCATAGAAGGCCCTTCCAACTCCTTCTGTCTGCAAAGAGAAGGCCCCGGCCCCATGGTGTCCACCTCCCTTCCCCACCTCATTTTCTCTCCAGAAGAGAACTGCCCCTTCTTTACCCTCTTCAAATCTTACTCTGGGCCTTACTGCCCCACTTCCCCGACTCTCCATCTTCTGTAAATGGGGAGGATGAGGTTCTGACCCTTGGTTCTACTCACTGGCCCTCAGGTTGCTTTGGATGCTCTGAGGTTTTTCTTGGAGTTTGCAGGGAGAGCTGTGGGGGCACTGAGCCCACTCAGCTGCACTGGGCGCCCCTCTTGCAGTTCAGCCTCCTAGTAGAAAGAGACATTTTGAGGAGGAGGCTGGGCAGTAACCTTGGCAAAAGCACTTTGCTAGTTTCTATTGGAAACCATGCAGCTTCGTATCTAAGGATGCCATTTCTCCTCTTAGCAGACCTTGCACCATTTGGAATAACCTTTATTCTCTAAGTCTGGCTGTGGGCCTTGCCCCTTGGAACCCACTGGGCCCCACAATTATGGTGCTTCTCTGCCTGCCCTGAGGCTGTCTGCCTTGTAGGTGAAATTTCACTCACTATAAATGGACCTTCATTTCTATCCAGGAGGAATGGCACTAGATTCTGTACTTAAACTTTTAAAAAATACTCTGATATTCTTGATTTAGGTGGGGGTGACACAGGCTTTTCATATAGACATACATTTATAGGCATTCCAGGTAAATTTTGGGTTTAAAAAAGAAGCCCATGCTTGGTGGCAGGGCAGGGGAGTGGGGGTGGGCAGAATTCTGAAAACAGATATTGAGTCTTTGTATTTCATTTTATATTTGAGGAAACTCAGCCCAAAGAGATGTCTCTGACAGGGTTACTGAGCTCTCCTTTCACAAAAGAAGAATAAGCCTTATGTTTCCCATGAAGCAGTTTTTACAAAGAATGGGGCTGCAGCTCCTTCTAGAATAACGTGTAGAGTAACGTGTGGGGTCCCAGCCCGTGCTTTGTTCCCCTTGAGCATCTCTCTGACTGGCCATTTCTTTTGCAATAACTTGGACGGAAAGTGTGGCAAGGTACAATTGAATGTTATTATTTCAAGGGTAGAACATGTCTGTGCTCAATCCTTCTCCTTGCTGGGCTGTTTCAAGGCCTGCGCCTCGGGTGTCTGCATTCCTCAAGGCTAAATCTGATCCCTGGGAATGTAGCTGTTTTTCTTCCTAGATTCTGGGCAGTTTGCTTAAGATAAGGAGATGGCAAATAGGCAGAATTTGGAGTTATTAAAGGAAAGATTGGAAAGGCAATTGCACAGTCTATACCTGTACTGGCACAGATGACATCATCCCTGGGGAGGGGACTTCAGGCGTAGGGAGGAGACTGCCTCCAGACAGCGCCTGGTTACTGCCATTATAAAGAGAAATTCAGCCAGGCGCAGTGGCTCACATCACTTTGGGAGGCCAAGGCAGGAGGTTTGCTTGAGACCAGGAGTTTGAGACCAGCCAGGGCAATGTAGCAAGACCCCATCTCTACAAAAACATTAAAAAAATTAGACGGGCATGGTAGTATGCACCTGTTGTCCCCAGTACTGAGGAGGCTGAAGTGGAGGATCACTCGAACCCAGGAGTTTGAGGCTGCAGTGAGCTATGATAATGGCACTGTACTCCAGCCTGGGTGACAGAGGGAGACCCTGTCCTAAATAAATAAATAAATAAATAAATAAATAAACAAACAAACAAGAGAAATCACCCTTCACTTGTTTTCTTTCCTCCTTTGGGAATGTCCCTATATGACTAATTCTTACCCCAAGGCTGCTGTGAGATTGGAGTGGAGCAGAGTGAGAAGCAAGAAATGATAGTGGCTAAGAGCTCAAATTCTGAGTCAAAAACCACCTGCAATCCCAGCTGATCTTCTGCTCCCAGATCTCCATTTTCTCATCTTTATATGGGGTGAGAACAGCATCTCCCTCATATCATGATTATGACAATTCAATCAGATAATGTGACACTTTTGGAAGAAGTTGTCTGTAGTGTGTTTTGCTTCCTTGTCTTGTTGTGTCTCCTTGGCCCTCATCACCTGGTCACTAATGATCTGCACGTGGCAAACCCAGTGGCTGCTCCTCCGTGACAATGATTCTACGTGACCTGTCTGAAATGCTCAACACAGCCGCGGGCCCTCTCCTCTCCTGGCCTCTGCGACAGCACCTTGCCCTCCTCCCCGTTTCTCACTGGCCCCTCCTTGGCCTTTGATGTCTCTTCATGCTCTTTCTCAGGGCTGTGTGCTTCCTTCCCTCCCTTTCATCCTCCCCCAGGGTGATTCTATCCAGTCCCAGGGCTTCAGGTGCCATCTGGAAGCCAACGATGCCCAAATCTGTATCACCAGCCTTGACCTTCTCCAAGAATGTCACACTGAGGTATCCAACTTCCTATTGGACATTGCCACTTAAGTGCCTAATGGTCATTCCATACTTCCTGTGGCCAGAAAAATACCCTGAATTCTTACTCCCCACCCCTCACTCAAAAGAGCCTGCTTCTTGGTCTTGCTTCTAGGAGTTATCTTCAGTTGTTCTTTCCTTTGCAGCCTCCTTCCGCTCACCTCCTGCCACTTCCATCTAATCCATGAGCCTGTCCTGTCAACCACATCTTAAACACTTGCCTTGGATCCACCCATCTCTCTCCATCTCCACTGGTACCACCCCAATCCACGCCCCTTTATCTTGTTCCTGGGCTGGTCACTAACCTCCCTGCTTGCCTTCCTGCCCTGCTGCAATCATGCTCCTTACCCTGGCAGGATCATGTCCTGGCCAGCCCCGACCAGGCCCCCATCCATTCTCTCCCTCATCCATTCCACTGCAGCCATACTGACCCTCTTACTATTCCTCACACTTGCTAAATTCATTCTTGCTTTACAGCTTTTGCTTGACAGGTCTGCTACCCTCTTTGCTCTGACAGGTTGGCTGCTTCTTATCAAGGTCTCAGCTTGTGTCAATTTCTCAGAGAGGCTGTCTCAAACCATCCAAAGTCACCACTGAGTTGTTTGCTATTTCATCATGTTTGCCAGTTCTAATCTACTACATAGCATTTATCAAAATGAGATGGTTTTCTCATCTTTTTAAGTTGCCTGTTTATCACCGCTAGAACATGAACTTCTTCAGAATAGGTGCCAAGGAAACAATGGGGGCTGATAGCCATGTATTTATTCATTTACTGTAGACATATTTATTGAGCATCTACTAGACGCCAGGTACTGAGTGCGCCTCTGAGGATGCAGAGTTAACTGAGCTGGAGCTGCATCCCAAAGGTCCTCACAGCGTGGTAGGAGAGGCAGCCCATGAACAGATGTCTTAATCAGCTTGGGGCGCTGTAGCAAAAATACCATAGACTGGGTGGTTTAAACAACAGAAATTAATTTTCTTTGGGTTCTGGAGGATGGAAATCCAAGGTCAGAGTGCCTGTATTGTAAGGTTCTGGTGAGGGTCCTCTTCCTTGCTTGCAGACAGCTGCCTTCTTGCTGTGTCTTCATAAGACAGAGAGACAGAGTGAGTTCACTAGTGTCCCTTCTTATAAGGGCTAATCCCACAGGACCAAGGCTCCACTCTCAACTTCATCTAAACCTAATGAACTCCCAAAGGCCCTGTCTCCAAAGACCATCACATTGGGAGTTAAGGCTTCACATATGAATATGTGGGTACACAAATCAGCCCATAGTAATAGATTAATAGGTAAGTGGATGATAAGTGGATGGTCTTAACTCTGGGGAGGGAATCAGCAACTCCAGGTGACCTAACAGGGAGGGTGGTACCTGAACAAGAGGTCTTGAAGCATGCATAGGAGCTTACCAGGTAGTCAGAGATGAGATAGGGGAAGGATATTCCTGGTGGATGGATATGTGAAAGGAAATAGAGGTTGGAAATAGCATAATCTTCCTCAAAACGCCAGGTCCCACCCTCACCAAAGCATGGGTGTGAACTTTGTATGCCTCTGTCGTGCCTACTCACCCCCTCTACCATAGCAGCATCCTGCACTTTGGTGGTATATTTTCTGCTACAAGACTAAAGTCACTAGGATTTGGAGCAAGAGGAAATTTTAGTGCACCTTATTTTCTTTACAGATAAGGAAAATTTAACTCAGAGAATCAACAGTGAGCTTCCCGAAGCTGTACTGTTTCCTTATAGCAGAACCAGGCTCAGGCCCCAGACGTCTGACTCTCAGGCAAGTGCTCCTTCCAACATATCATAATGGGTGTTCAGCACATCTCATGTTTATTCCAATATTGCAACTACAGAGAAATGGTGATAGTGGAGACAAGCAATGTTTAATTTTCCCCAGTCCCTGCAATCTCTAAGGCAGTTTTCTTATAAGACATATTTAGCTGAAGTTACCTCTTATTCAAGAGGAACAAATTATTCACTTATCAAAAACATCCTAGTTATCTGTTTGCAATCTGCTTTCTATACTAACTTTCTGGAACAGGTTGAAGGAGCAAGAAAATAAGAGTTGACTGTGCTTTGTAAGCTATGTAAATGCTATTTCATAATAATGATGACTTTGATATTTATATTATGTCATTGGCACCTGTGATGGTCACAGTGTAGAGCAGGCCAGCCTAGCCCACAGCAGTGGGCAGTTGTTGCTGACCTAGAAAAAACTGAAGAGTAGAAGCACAAAATTATCTCTCCCTAAATGCCCTCCATTAATGGATAAGCCAAGAGTGACGGAAATAGAGGAGGGTACAGGGAAGGTGATGGAGGCTTTGGAGGAAGGGACACTTAGAAAGTACTTTTTTTTTAGATGGAGTCTCTCTCTGTCACCCAGGCTGGAGTGCTGTGGTATAATCTCAGCTTGCTGAAACCTCTGCCTCCTGGGTTCAAGCAATTCTCCTGCCTCAGCCACCTGAGTAGCTGGGACTGCAAGTATGCATCACCACGCCCAGCTAATTTTGTATTTTTAGTAGAGATGGGGTTTCACCATGTTGGCCAGGCTGGTCTCGAACTCCTGGCCTCAGGTGATCCACCCGCCTCGGCCTCCCAAACTGCTGGGATTACAGGTGTGAGCCACCACACCCAGCCAGAAAGTACTTACAAATCTCCCCACCACAGACACGAAGCTCAGAAGGGTGATATGTTGCCAGGACCCTTGGTCAAGTGACAGAAACCCAAAGCAAGCTAGTTAAAGAAAAAGGGGAGAACTTATTGGTCTACATAACTGTAAAAATCCAAAAGGATTTACAACTTCAGCCACCCCTGGATCAAGACCCAAGTGAGGTGGTTGGGGTTCCAGCTCTCCTCTCAGGTAGGTGGCTTCCAGGAGACCAGGAGCCACACTTCACCGGATTAGCTACACACCAGCAGAAAACTCCCTGGGATAACCCTGTTTGGCGTGGCTGGGGCCCAGTCCCCAACCCTGAGCTGATCACGTGACAAGTGGGACAGGGATAGTAGTAGGCCCAGAGCTCCACGAAATGGGTCTTCTGCAGGAAAGAGGGGCTCTGCTAACTTAAGAAGAAGGAAAGGATGGTGGGCAGGCTAAAACAAAAGACATCCACCCCCATTATTGAAAGATTGAGCTGCATCTGCTTTGGAGGTTTCCAGCAGAAGTGACTCCACACCGCACCAGCCTCAAGGGCATTCTCAAGTTCTCCTTCCCTGGGGTCACTAGGATTGCACTGAAGGTGCATACTAACCTATTTTTAATATTGGAAAGGAAAATGTGTAATTCAGAAACTCTTAACCCTACTCCCATGCCCTCCCCCAAAACACTCAAAGTTAGAAAGCAAAAGGCACACACAGTTTTAAATTATTTGCCACTTTCGATTGTCCACACCACGGCTGCATTTCTTTAGCTGGGATGATGGGGAGCTGGATGTAATCTCTGTCGAGGGAGAAACACAGACACCCAGTCAAATGCCTTTCCTGTTAATAAGGTGATGGGCTCCAAAAAAGAGGAATTCTATTAAGTGACATGGTCCATGACTCCCAGTGACTCATAGCCCTCCCTGAGTACAAATTGCTTCCTGATGCCAGTGGGAGGTTTCCGTGGGTGATTGAATCAATTGATGTGCGTTACCATGTTATGCCACATCACTTCTTGCTAAGATTTATTTTTTTAAAAAAGTCTCAGTGCAGGCTCCTAAACTTTTTTTTTTTTTTTGAGACAGAGTCTCGCACTGTCACTGGGCTGGAGTGCAGTGGTGCAATCTCGGCTCGCTGCAACCTCCACCTCCTGGGTTCAAGCGATTCTCCTGCCTCAGCCTCCCAAGTAGCTGGGACTACAGGCACCCGCCACCATGCCTGGCTAATTTTTTTGTATTTTTAGTAGAGACGGGATTTCACCGTGTTAGCCAGGATTGTCTCAATCTCCTGAACTCGTGATCTGCCCGCCTCGGTCTCCCAAAGTGCTGGGATTACAGGCGTGAGCCACCGTGCCTGACAGGCTCCTAAACTTTTAGATTGACAACAGGCAACACCTTTAACACAGATATTGTAAGAAAAAGAAAATATGAAGTTTACGAAGGCTGAATGCCATTCTCTTCTCTAAAATGAGACAAAGAGGAAATGGCAGGAAGGACCCACTTCTCCCTGGTATGACAGGCCCACTTGTTCTGTCCAAAGGGCCTCCATCCACACTGCTTCCTCCCAGAGGTGATGGGTGAAGATGCCTTAGACATGTTTGCCATCTGCCAGTGGCTTTCAAGGCTCCCTCTCCTTGGACCCTAGAGTACAAGGTTGCACTCCAGGCTGTCACCAGCAGCTGGAAGCATGCTCACCAAGTCGGGCATTTTCAGATATCTGTGTGTCTGCCCTAGGAAATAAGAGATTGTGGCAAAGATCATTCCTCCACTCCTAGCAGCCTGTGTGGCCAGTGTATTGTCCCACCCAGGGAGAGGCCAGAGACCAACAAAGAGCACAGACTCTTCGAAAGAGGGCACGTGACTCCCTATAGCCAAGGCATTCTGAAAATGTTCATTCCTTTCATCTCGAGCTGTTTCTTATTCACCAGATCACATTACCTTTGCTCTACTTTGCTGACCAAGGAGTCTGAGGCAAAGACCGTGCTGCTGGTGGTTAACAGCACACTGCTCCACAGCAGGATCTTCTGAGAACCAGCTCAAGTGCTGAAACAGCCACGGGAACGACTGAAATTTCAGCAAAACATATAGGCATATGCTGTCCTCAGCAGAGTGGATTTGCATCTACTGTGTGAAGCCCCAGATGTGAATTTCGACTTTTTATTTTGAATTTTTCTAAAGAACAGAAGCAATATGAAAAAAGAGAGTAAAAAGAGACTAATTCCTGGAAGGTTTTTATTCTTCCACTTTGCCACTCTTTTCCCAGCACCATGAGATCAATGACTGATTATGTGGCAGCAAGTTAGATTTGGGGATGAGACTGGAAGGAGAGTCTGCTCAAGGTCGCCAGCCTCCCTTGCATCACATCAGTCCTTCCCTTGCTCCTGCCCTACTCAGCGGAAAACTCGTTCCCCACCTTTCCTAGGAAGAGCCTCTAACGGGCTCTAGACATTCCTTTCCACATCATGAGGACCTTGTCCCATCCATTGTCAACAACAATGGCTACAGCTTATTCATGGTCTGCTATAGGTTTGCCACACTGTTATTACAGGTTTTCTCATCTAAATGCTAATGCTCAAACTATCCCACTGTGACGGGTGTTATTACCCCCATTTAATTGACGCAAAAACAGGCACAGAAAGGAGAGGTACCTCTCTCTAGGTCTATCAACTAGTACATGGCAGTGGGCGTTGTAGGAGGTGGGGTTCTGTGTGACCCCCAGTTCTCTGCTCTGCATTTATTCACATACTCACTGGCATTGACGGCAGGAAAGCCCATCTTTTGATTGCTGGCAGACATGTTTTTCCTAGGTGAATGGGGGATCCCAAAGCCAGGAAAGGTTCATGGTGGTCACATGTGAGATGGTGTCCAAGTGTGATGGAAAATGCCTGGGTCTTTGTGCCCGGGGTTCTACCTCAGAGGGCTAACAGGCCATCTGCACTGACCTTGAAAGCTCCATGTGGGATCTATCCCAACGTCATCCATCTCCCTGCCCAGCCTCTCCCTTGCATGGCAGCCGCACTCACAAGCTCACTTGCATTCCATTCATGGCACTCTGTGATGCTCCGGCCTGACATTCTCACGCATACTCATGTATTTACTTCCTGATTTTCTTTTTTAAATTTTTGAGACAGAGTCTTGCTCTATCGCCCAGGCCGGAGTGCAGTGGTGCAATCTGCAACCCCCACCTCCCAGGTTCAAGTGCTTCTCCTGCCTCAGCCTTCCGAGTAGCTGGGATTACAGGTGTGTACCACCACGCCCAGCTAATTTTGTATTTTTACTAGAGACAGGGTTTCACCATATTGGCCAGGCTGGTCTCGAACTCCTGACCTCAATTGATCTTCCCGCCTTGGCCTCCTATAGTGCTAGGATTACAGGTGTGAGCCACCATGCCCCGCCAACCTTCTGATTTTCATTGCTTAAAACTACAACAAAACAACATTTCACACAGGGTGGAAAACGACAGTATCCAACCAGAGGCAGTCGTGGTGTGATGAAAGAGCACTAGGCTGTGGTCAGACCACTTGGATTCCTATCCTAGCCCCACCACTTACTGGCTGTGCTGTGTGACCTTGGACAGGTCACTAAACTTCTCTAAGCCTCGGTGTCCTTTTCTATAAAGTGTGGCATTAATATGATGATGAAGGTGATATTGGTAACATGTTTAGTACCACGCTCAATAAATGGTGCCTCATCATCATTAGTGTCATTGTTATTTCCCACTTAGTAAAGGAATAGAATTGTTGAAGGTGGGCAGCAGGAAGAAGTGGCCCTTTCCACTTACTGGCCTTGAGAGAAAACATATTAGTTCTGATAAAAACAAATTAGCTGCAACAAGCTACTACAAACTTCTTCCCAATTATTTAAAAAAACATCCCAGGCTGGGAGCAGTGCCTCACGACTGTAATCCCAATAATTTGGGAGGCCAAGGCGGGAGGACTGCTTGAGTCCAGGAGTTCGAGACAAACCTGGGCAATATAAGGAGAGCCTGTCTCTACAAAACATAAACAAAATTAGCTGGGCATGGTGGTGCATGCCTGTGGTCCTAGCTACTCGTGAGTCTGAGGTGGGAGGATCACTTGAACCCAAGAGTTCGAGGCTGCAGTGAGCCACGATGGCACTACTGCACTCCAGCTTGGGTGACAGAGTGAGACCCTGTCTCAAAAAGCAAAAAGGAAAGGAAAGGAGAGAAGAGGGGAGAGGAAGATCCCTGACCATGAGCATCACCACTCCACATTCCTCTGCAAGTGAAACTGTTGGGTCCGTCTTACCTTGTCCCCCTGCTCTGGCCCTTCAGCTTCCTCCTTGCTTTCCCCAGCGCTCTCTGGTGCCAGGAGAGCCTGAGAAGCAGCAGGTGAAAGCCTAGTCTCCCACGCAGCCTCTTCCATTTGCCCCCACCGCCCCTCAATGTTGCTACTTACTAAATTGCTGGCTGGAGAACTCCTCACCTGTGGCAGGCGTTCTGTGGGAAAAACAGGTCAGTTGCTGCCCTGGGGGAGCCCAGCCACAGCAGAAAGGGAAAATGCTGACGGGACAACTTCTACTTTAACTTGCAGGAGGAAAGTCAAGTGCTTCTTGAATTCTTCTGGTGACCCTGAGGTGGGAGGTGAGAAGAGCAGTCCTGGGTGGACTGTGGCCTGGCAGCTACCATCATTGCCCTCTTCAACCACAGGGTCATCAAGGCTACCATTGAGTGGCTGCTTTATCAGTGAAGACAACACAGGGAGAAGATCTCATCAGAGGGGACTTGGCTATTTCAGTGATCAAAACATGCTCCTAAACATGGATAACATCATTAAAAGATGCCACCTTCCTGATTTGGGCCATATCTGCATTCCTTATCACTATGGTTTGAATGTGTCCCCTCCAAAATTCAGGTGTTGCCAATGTGATAGTATTAAGAGGTGATGCCTTTAAGAGGTGATTAGGGCATGAGGCCTACTCCCTCCTTAATGGGATTAAGACCCTTTTAAAAGAGGCTTCTTGCAGCATTTAGGCAGCTTGCCTTCTGCCTTCTATGAGAGTATTGTGTAGCTGAGGAAGCTTGGGTATGTTAGCTAACTTCTGTATAACCTCTCTGTGCCCGAGCTTTCTTATTTATTTATCTATTTTTTAAGACGGGGTCTCACTCTGTTGCCCAGACTGGAGTGCAGTGGTACAATCATGGCTTACTGCAACCTCCACCTCCCTGGCTCAAGTGATCCTCCCACTCAAACTCTTCAGTAGCTGGGACCCCAGGTGTGTGCCACCATGTCTGGCTATTTCTTTATATTTTTAGTAGAGATGGGGTGTCACCATGTTGCCCAGGCTGGTCTCGAACTCCTGAGCTCAAGTGATCCTCCTGCCTCAACCTCCCAAAGTGCTGGCACACCACACCCAGCACATATTTAAATAGGGATTGGCTCGGCAGGTGGCTCATGTCGGTAATCCCAGCACTTTGAGAGGTTGAGGTAGGGAAGGATGACTTGAGGCCAGGAGTTTAAGGCCAGCCTGGGCAACAATGCAAGACCCCATCTCTACAAAAAATAAAAAAATTAGCCAGGTGTAGTGGCTAATTTTTAGTCTGAGCTACTCAGGAGGCTGAAGCAGAAGGATCACTTGAGCTCAGGAGTTCGAGGCTGCAGTGAGCTATGATGACACCACTGCACTCCAGCCTTGGCAAGAGACTGAGACCCCATCTCTAAATAAATTTTTTTTTAAGTGGGAATTATAATAGTGCCTCCCTCAAAGGCCAAATATTTTCTAATATTCATTTTAAAATGTATATTATTAATATATAAAGTGTTTATCCAAACGTCACCTAAAATGATCTTGTAAAATACCAGTTGTCTTCATGCTATGTTTGAGATACACTGATACTACATAAAATAAAGAGAAGGAAGTAAGTGTGCTCAGCACAAGCCCTGCTGCCCCCTGACCCCCGCATCACACACATACCCACTCAATCCACAGAGGAAGGCAGCATTATAATTACGTGACCCGCCAGCATGTTGAGGTTGAGTGGCCTGACACAAGGTGGGGAACAGAGGAGAAACCTGTGCTGTGTCCAAAAGCCCCAGGGGTTTTCCAAGGTGTATGCAGACCTCTGTCTCTCCCAGGCTATCAGGCCCTTTGTGAATGAATTCACAATGACCCTGCCAGAAGTTTAGGCCAAGAATTCCCCTTTGGATAAGATGGATTCTGAGAAATCATTGTATTTCCCTAAACACAAGTCTGTGTTTTTACCCAAAGTCCCATCAAATCTTAAAAGCCCTTGGTCAAGCTTTTAAAGCCTTGCCAATATTATAAAGACGAGACTTATCAGGCTTCTATTAATAAAAACCTAAGCATGAAGAATAAAGGGAAATCTGGACTCTTGGCCACAGGGGAACAATACATTGTAGCTTCCAAATGTATGCATTTTAAAGGCACTAAAGGTATCAAATGTCATATTGCTACAAGTCAGACAGAATTTAACATTTTTTCACCTTCCTACCACTTTTTTCACCTTCCTACCACTTTTTTCACCTTCCTACATGTACATATGTGTAAATTAAGATACATATTTTTGAGAGCTATTGAAAATACTTTTGAGAAGTTTTGAGCTATTTTTGAAAAATGTCTGACGCAAAGTAATGCAGGGACATTTGGATAAAAGAATGACAAGAGCATCCCTGAGAACTGAGAAAGGTGGAGCACCACTCCCCTCACACCTC
Organism: Homo sapiens; assembly: GCF_000001405.40. Lineage (NCBI taxonomy): Eukaryota > Metazoa > Chordata > Mammalia > Primates > Hominidae > Homo > Homo sapiens. The sequence goes on along the minus strand of NC_000008.11, from coordinate 94,030,358 downwards.
TGAGCACTCCCACAGGTCCAGCGAGTTCTTTAGTAGAATGTTAGGTTTGGATGATTAAGCAGGGATGGGATCTGAGCTAAATCAGAGACTGAAGGCCAAGGTCTGCACTTTCTAATTCTGTCTCTGCTGGTAACTCCCTGCAGGACGCTGTGTGCTACCTCATAGGAAAATAGAAATAAAGATTTTACTGAGCTAATTACAAAGTGGCTTTAAATAATAAAAATATTTATGATGGAGAGATAAATATATGGCTATACATATGGAGAGATTTTACACACGTGATTTTAGCAGTAAAAGAGACTTTAGTTCGATCATGTTGCTTTTAACAGATGAAGAAACTGGGGAATTGAAATGCCAAGTGATTTGCTTAAGGTCACACAGTAAATTACTGCTGGATTAGGGATCAGGAAATAGGCCTCCTGATGTGATTCCAGGTGCTTTGCGTGCTAGTACATGGGCGGCAATGTAATGGCATAGTGAAGACAGTAGTTGAGTCTGCAGACAGAAAATAAGTAGATGTGGTTAAAGAGTTCTTATAAATTCTTCTTATGAAAAGTAGGGACAGATAATTTTTTTCTTTTCTTTCTTTGATAAGAATAGAATGGAAAGGAAATTGGTATAGTTTTGAAAGGTTAGGTGATAGTAAAATAATAATTGATATTAAATATTATATTAGTAATAATAATAGCAGTTAATAACATGCATTAAATATCATATGCCAGGCACTATGCATGTGAGCCTCACGTGATCCTTATGACATCTCTATGATATTGAGACTATTCTTAGCACCATTTTAGCAAAGAGAAAACAGAGTTTGATGAAAAATTTCCAATTAGATGGCCTCCATATGTGGTTGATTGCATGAGCCAATTCTGCTGCCTTACTTTGGGCATTAACAGATGGAGCCCACCCTAAGAGTAGAAGGCCAGGGGACTTAAAACCTTAAAACCCATGGGAGAGAGATCTGAAGGACTCCTTGTGAATGTTTCTTACTAAGTTAACATATATATAAACTCACTTAATTCTTTCGGCAACCATAAGACCTAATTACTAAGGTTTCATTAGTTCCATTTTATAGATATGGAAGCTGAGCAAAGACAGATCAAGTAATCTGACGGAGGTGGAGCCAGGATTCAATCCTAGTTTCCTTTACTTCGGAGTCCATGCTGTAAACCACCATGCTCAGCTTTCTCCTGATCCTCCATTTTGTCATCTGTAAGACGTGGGTTATAACACAAATAATGTTTGGAAGACGATGATACCTCACGATGCCAGGTAGATGAAGGCACTTTATAGACTATTAGGTACCGAAGGACACTATTTTTGTGAAGATGAGAAGAGAAGCTTTGTTTGAAACCACCGAATTTAAAACTTAAGAGTTTTCCTAGTAATGTTTACTAATTTTTTTTAATTCTGGAAGCTAAAATTCTAGATGCCTCTTTGCCATTTTCCTTCTGCATACATTACTAAAATATGCATGAAACCTCAAGATGCAAATTGAGCTTTCTAATGAAAACCATCACCAGTTAAAACACTTGGTAAGACTGATGAGGGGAGTTAAAAATCCAAATAGCAAGCTGGCTCCCAAAGGGTTGTTCCTGTTGATCTCGGGATTCTGAAAGAAAATAATTAAAGCAAGGCCCTTGTAAGGTTCCCACCAAGATTTATGGACAGAAACTTAAATATCTCAGCTATTCCGCTTCTGTTTAATTGCTCCACTGTCAGTGACCTCCACAATGGAAAATCTGAGTCGCGGGCAGCCGGGGAGGGATGTGAGCGCTCGCAGCAGCCGGGAGATGCAGCAGAGGAAGTGGGAAACCCTCCCGCTGCAGCGGCGCTGCTGCACTCACAGTAATAGCTCAGGAGCTGAAGTAAGAGGTCAAGGTGGGAGGGAAGCAGATCCAACTGCCCATAAATATTCTTAATACATTGTATATCCCTATGCACATTGCTTTGAATTAGTATTTCTTGTCTCCATCTTGACCACAGGTTGTTCCCCACAAACATATTACGTACTCAGACACACATGGTCAACTTTCCAAAACAGAACAGCTTGCTGAAAGAGAACTCTGGGATGTTTGTTGCTTAAAACGGCATTTATTTCTTAGGACAAGTTCTAATCAAAGCCAGCCATGACTTGATGTCTTATAACCACCACAGTGAAACATTTCCAAATCTAGTCTAGAGGGCATTCCAACAATAGAAAACAGAAAGGCTTCCATCCAACCTAGACTGTCACAGCACAAGTAGTATGTTTTAATGCAGATAACTGGCCTTAAGCTTGGCTAGTGTCAAGTCCTTTCTATTTTTTCCCCTCTGTTTTTCTATTTTTTAAAAATTTGTCCTAGATAGTGCTTACATGGCAACAAATATGAATAACCAACTGTACGCTGAAAGACTTTCCACAAGGGGATATGAAAATGAGGGCACAGGGACACCGCCCTTTTGAAATGATTTATCGATGTACTGAAATCTATGTATTTGTGACATCAACGTACTGAAATCTATGCATCTGTGATCACGAGGACATACACACCAGCGCTCACTCACAGCTGAATCCATCCAAGGCTGAGATCTTTATTGTGTGGAGAAGGGAGACAAATGAAACACTTAGGTCAACTCCTCACAGTCTTCTTCCAGAAGTCAACCTCTTTAGCTTTGGCCAAGTCGTATGTATTTATTAGTGGGTGCAAAAGTATTTGCAATTTTTCCATTAATTTTAATGGCAAAAACCGCAATTTAATTGCACCAACCTACTAAGTGGCAGCCCTAATTCCTTTCATGGAGCTGTAGTTCAAAAAGGTTATTGACCTTCTTAGTGAGTCAGTTGGCAGAGAGTCTTGGGGGTGCAAACAAGCACATTGGTAAAAGGAGCACACATAAAAAATGGATGGTGAGCAGTTACACTCCTAGATATATACCCAAAAGAACTGAAAGCCGGGACTCAAACACAAACTTACACACAAATGTTCATAGCAGCACTGTTCACAATAGCCAAAAGGTAGAAACAACTCAAGTTTCTGTCAACTAATGAATAGGTAAACAAAATGTGGTATGTCTATACAATGGAATATTACTCAGCCTTAAAAAGGAATGACATTGGGTTGGGCGTGGTGGCTCATGCCTGTAATCCCAGCACTTTGGGAGGCTGAGGTGGGTGGATCACCTGAGGTCAGGAATTCAAGACCAGCCTGGCCAACATGGTGAAATCCTGTCTCCACTAAAAATACAAAAAATTAGCCAGGTGTGGTCGTGGGTGCCTGTAATCCCAGCTACTCAGGACGCTGTGGCAGGAGAATCACTTGAACCCAGGAGGCGGAGGTTGCAGTGAGCCGAGATTGCGCCATTGCACTCTAGCCTGGGCAACGGAGCAAAACTCCATCTCAAAAAAAAAAAGGAATGACATTCTGATATGTGCCACAACATGGATGAATCTTGAAAACATTATGCTTTGTGAACAAAGCCAGACACATGTTGTATGATTCTATTTATATGAAACACCCAGAATTGGTAAATCCATAGAGACAGAAAGCAGATTAGAGGTTACCAGAGACTGGGGAAGGGGTAGGGGAATGGGGAATGACTGCTGAGTGGATACAAGATTTCCTTGCAGGGTAAGGAACATGTTTTGGAATTAGATAGAGGTGGTAGTTACACAATAAAGCAAATGGACTAAATGCCACTGAATTACACACTTTAATTAATTTTATGTTATATTAATTTTACCTCAATAAAAAGGGAAGAAGCAAATAGCCAGGGAAGGAGGTCCAGACCCTAACAGAGAGGAGGAAACTTGGCTGATTACTCTCTGTCCTCTGTCTCTAGCCCCAGGGCCTTCTTTGCTTCCTCTCACCAAAGATTCTGCTTATTTGGGTTGCTGTGGGTATGGAGCGCTGCCTGGAAGTTGAGAAATCTCCATGCGACCCACTCATTCAGCCTAGCAGTTACCTTCTAGCCCCTGGTCTACATGCCACCTAGGGCCAGCATCCAACGACAGCTTGTTCTCTGTGTCCTGGATTTCTTCACAATCTTTGCCTTGAACCATTCCACGTCAGGCTACCTTGCACCCCAGTCCCCGCTGTGACAGTGACCTCAGAGCTTTGCCTCATGGCCTCTTACCTCAACCTACACCCCAGCCTTGCACTCACCCTTCACACCTGATCATTGAGTCGGCTCCCGGGCTCCTCAGCTCCTGCCCATCTCAGGTAGGATCATTACCCATTAGATGGTAGCTGGAGACCCCTAAGATAACTGCTTTTACCTGAGAGCCACATGTCCAGATCCACTCATCCAGTTTGCCTCATTCAACAACTTCCAAGGGACCAGTGATTTAAAGGGCATGGTAGGATTTAATGCATTCTTCTTGGAGCCAGAGGATTTTGACCTGTATATAGGTGGGTTTTCTACAACAAGAAAGCATTTTTAGATTCAAGTAATGAAATTAGGTTGCTGTCTTAGCCTGAGTTCTTCGGGAAGCAGAGCCTGAGACAAATGCCTACATGTAGTGGTTTATTTGGGAAATGGACCCAGGGAGGGGTGAGGAAGAGCGAAGAGGAACTAGGAGCTGGGCAAGAGGGAAAGTCAATGCCAGGATGCATTCTCAAGCTGGCCCCTGCTACAGGGGGAGCGGTGCCTGATCTTATCAGAACTTTCTGAGGAGCCTCATACAATGAGTCTCAGATCTTCCAGACCCCATTACTAAAGAGAGAAGCATTTGTCCATTGAGTCCTGTGCCCTTTTGATCAAGAGTGTCCCCATAGTCCCCATTTCTGGGCTGCACATGCAAAAGTGCCCAGCAGGCTCCTGTGGGCATCTCATGCCCTGATGTCAGAGGAGCCCCAGACAGGAAAAGAGAGGTGCTCTTGCAGCTGCAATCTACATCAAACCCTGTCTGGAATCTGTTTCAGCAGCAGCAGTGGGAGCAAGAAGTGAGGTCAGGGGGCCCTGTGTCACTGCATACAAGGTGAGCTTAAGGAAATGAACATGTAAAAGGAAAGGAAATGAGATTGTTGAGCTTAAGGAAATGAACATGTAAAATGCTCACCACAACTTCTGTGAATGGCTTACATATGCCGGCAACTGTTTCTGCCATTCCTCTTTACCCACTGACCAGTAAACCATCACCAAATGAGAGGTGCCTTAAACCTCCATTCAGTCCTCAATTATTGATTGTGCTGGGCAGTATTCTAGGAGCCGGAGCACATAGCAGTGAATAAGATCACAATGTCCTTGCTCCTAAGAGCTCATATTCCAGTAGATAGAAACAGACAATATAAAATAGGAAACAGGAAAATATCAGATGGGGGAAGTGCAGGAAACTAAAATAGGGTGATGGGATGGGGACTGAATGGGAACAGCTTATCCTGTTACCTTGAAAGGTTAGACAGGTGGGTGTTTGGCTTCTGGTTCCTGTCTCCAGTAGTTCTGTGACTCAGTCACATTTTCTTTAAAATCCATTTCAATTGCTTAGTCAGACATAATTGTACAATTTTAAGGTCTCACATTTTAAAAACCATATCATGATTCATATAATCATATGACACATACTAGTGATTAATGGAGTTTCTTAGGCAAAATAGGATTTAGTTATTGAGTCATTCTCAATTCATTGCTCCCCCTTGTATCTCTGTCTTTTGCTCTCTTTCTTACACACACACTCATATATGCAATTAAGGTTAATTCTACTTCCTGCTATTTCTCAAATCCACTCTCCCCTCAAGAAGGTCCGCTCCATCCCCACAGCATGTGTGGTCCAGGCCTCTTGTTCAGACTGTCAGCAGCTTCCTGATGAACTGTCCAAGTTCTGCTTTGCTCCAAAGCCTCATCTTCCGGTGTTTAGAAAAATCTTCTTCTTCATAATTTTCACCCACTCATCCTAATTCTGCCCTCTAGAGATTCAACTAATAAATCTAGACCTGCTACCACACAGCTACCCTCCCAGTGATTGAACAGACTCTTCTTGGTCTCCCCTCCATCCTGCACTTTCCCAGTTCCTTGCCTTTTTCATGTATCATGGTCTCCAGACCCTTCTTCATCCTGGTAACCTTGATCTGAACATAGTTAGATTTATTGTTTTAAAAACTAAACACAGGGCCTGGCACAGTGGCTTATGCCTGAAATCCCAGCACTTTGAGAGGCCCAGACGGGTGGGTGGCTTGAGCTCAAGAGTTCAAGACCAGCCTGGGCAATGTGGTAAAACCCCATCTCTACAAAAAATACAAAAAAGAAAAAAATGTAGCTAGGCATGGTGGCATGCACCTGTAGTCCCAGCTATTAAGGAGGCTGAGGTGAGAGGATTACTGAAGCCCAGGAGGCGGAGGTTTCAGTGAGCTGAGATCGTGTCACTGCACTCCAGCCTGGGCGACAGAGCAAGACTCTGTCTCAGAAAAAACGAACAAATAAAACAAAACAAAAACCCTAAACACAGTATATCAAGTGTGATCTGAACAAAGCACAGTGATGCTATTTCTTTCTTTGAATTAACTTTTTAAAAATACATTTTAAGGACAGGCACGGCAGCTCATGCCTGTAATCCCAGTACTTTGGGAGGTTGAGGCAGGTGGCTCACGAGGTCAGGAGTTCAAGACCAGCCTACCAACATAGTGAAATCTTGTCTCTACTAAAAACACAAAAATTAGCAGGGCATGGTGGCATGCGCCTGTAGTCCCAGCTACTCAGGAGGCTGAGGCAGGAGAATCACTTGAACCCAGGAGGCAGAGGTTGTGGTGAGCCAAGATCATACCAGTGCACTCCAGCCTGGGCAACAGAGCGAGATTCTGTCTCGAAAAAAAAAAATTAAGAGTGCAATTCTATGAGTTTTTAAAATAAATACACCTGTGAATATTTCCATCACCCCAGAAAGTTTCCTCATGCCCTTTCCAGTCTGAACCCACACCAGCAGCAATCATTCTTCTGATTTCTCTTTCCATAGTTTAGTCTTGCTTATTCCAGAATTTCATCTAGGTAGAGTCATAAAGCATACAGTCTTTTGTGACTGGCTTCTTTCACTCAATATGTTTCTAAGATTCATCTATGTTGTTGCATGTATCAGTAGGCTGTTTCTATGGCTGAATGAGATTCCATTGTATGTATACCACAATTTGTTTTAAGTTTGGGGCTATTGTGAATAAAGCTACTATAGATAAATTGTTTTATAAACTTTTGTTATCATTAATCTTTTTAAAATAATTTTTGATTTTTAATTCTTATGGGTACCTATTAATAGTAGATGTGTGTATATATATATATATATATATATATATATATATATATATATATATATATTTATGGGGTACATGAGATGTTTTATTTATGCAGGCATGCAATGCATGATAGTCACAGCATGGAAAATGGGATATCCATCCCCTCAAGCATGTATCTTTTGTGTTAGAAACAATCCAATTATACTCCTTTAGATATTTTAAAATGTACAATTGAATTACTATTGACTATAGGCTCCCTGTTGTGCTATCAAATACTATGCCTTATTCATTCATTCTAACTATTTTTTTTTGTACCAATTAACCATCCCACCTTCCCCAGCTCCAACTACACCCACCACCCCTCCCAGCCTCTGGTAACCATCCTTCTACTTTCTATTGTTAATCTTGAGTAAATATTTTGAAGTGGAATTTCTGTATCATAACAGAAAAAAATGTTTATCTAACATTACAAGAAATTGAAAAATAATTTTCCAAAATGGCTGTGCCAGTAACGTAGGAGAGTTCCAGTTGCCCTGCATCTTTGCCAAACTTTAGTATTATCGAATCCTAGCTATTTTCTTAATCTTAGCCATTTTCATGGGCACGAAGTGGTGTTTCATTGTAGTTTTAATTTGTCTTGTCTTTGTTCAGTGAAGCTGAGTGTCTCTCATTTGCTTATTGGCCTTTTATATATCTTCTATCGTAAAATGCCTGTTAAGTCTTTTGCCATTTATTTCATTGGGTTGCTTGCCCTTTTTATTTTATTTTTATTTTTTATTTTTTGAGACAGAGTCTTGCTCTGTCACCCAAGCTGGACTGCAGTGGCATGATCTTGGCTCACTGCAACCTCCACCTCCCAGGTTCCAGCGATTCTCCTGCCTCAGCCTCCTGAGTAGCTGGGATTACAGGCACGCACCACCTCACCTGGCTAACCTTGTATTTTTAGTAGAGACGGGGTTTCACCACGTTGGCCAGGCTGGTCTCGAACTCCTGACCTCATGATCCACCCACCTCAGCCTCCCAAAGTGCTGGGATTACAGGTGTGAGCCACTGCGCCCGGCCTGCTTGTCTTTTTATTATTGAATTATAGGAGTTCTCTGTATTACCTAGATAAAAGTGTTTTTTAATCAGATATATATATTGTGAAGATCTCATTCAGGTGTGGTTTGCCTTTTATTTTCTTAATAATGTCTTTTGATGAGCACAAATGGTTGATCTTGATTAAGTCCAATGTTTTTCTTTTATGCTTAGTGCTTTTTTTTGGCCCTAAGATTTGTCTAAGCAATCTTTGCCTAAAATATAGTCACAAAAGTTTTTCTAGTCCTAAGTTTTCTTCTAGAAGCTTATGTTTGTAACTTTTGTATTCAAGGCTATGACAGATCTTAGTTTTTGTGTGTGGCGTAAAATAAAGGTTGAGATTTGTTGAAGTTTTTTCCCCATTAGTTATTTTAGCACCCTTTGTTTAAAAGCCTTTCTTTTCCCCATTAACTTACCTTGCTTGTTAATATTTTTCTATTTCCTACTACATGGGGAGCTTCTCCAGACACATGTCCCTCACCATCACCATTTAAAAATGTTTCACAGCCTGGGCACGGTGGCTCATGCCTATAATCCCAGCACTTTGGGAGGCCGAGGAGAGCAGATTATCTGAGGTCAGGAGTTTGAGGCCAGCCTAGTGAAACCCCGTCTCTACTAAAAATACAAAAATTAGCTGGATGTGGTGGTGGGCACCTGTAATCCCAGCCACTCAGGAGGCTGAGGCAGGAGTATCACTTGAACCTGGGAAGTGGAGGTTGCAGTGAGCTGAGATTACCCCACTGCACTCCAGACAGGGCAACAGAGTGAGATTCTGTCTCAAAAAAAAAAAAGTTTCATACACATTCAGTTTATATGCCCTTTAGCCTTTACTGACTGAATGCTCTGTGCTGAGCATTGACTAAGAGGATTAGTGGGTACCTAGAACTCTCGTCCTGGAAGAGTTTCCATCTGTTAGTGGAAGCCAACATATAAGCTAATGATTTCTATATATGTAATGATTTCACATGATGGGACAGGACTTTAAAGGGGTTTGTGGAACTACAGGAGAAGGCATGTGACAAGGAGGCAGCGTGTCATAGTGACTAGAGACCATTGGCTTTGGGCTTAGGCAGACCTAGTTTAAAATCCAGACTTCAACATAACCTAGCTGCTAAGGCAGACCTTGAGCAAGCTACTCATGCTTTCAGAGGCTCTATTTCCTCAGGGTTGTTAAAGTCTTGCATGACACAAAGTATGTAATTATTACATTTGCCTGGAACTCAGTTAAGTGCTCAATAAATGGTTGCTATTTTTATCCCATGGGACTCAGGGAGGACACCCTGAAGGAGGTGGCTCTTCAGCTGAGCCTTGAAGAATGTTGAAAGTTGGCTAGATGAAGAAATGAAGGAAGAGCATTTCAGGCCGGAGTACTGGAAAGAACATAGCTACAGCAGCATCAATCAGCACAGTACAGATGGGAATATTGCTAGATCTTAAAGTGTAAAGAGGTGAATGGCCAAAGAGATGAGGTGGCGCCAGGTCATAGAGAGCTTTATAAGCCATGCTAAGGTGCTTGAGCAGTATTTTCATTCAATCCACCTGTGAGCAATTAGGGGCAGTGTCGGCTCCCTCACCTTTTCTCTAGGATCTAAGTCAGCTGCAGTCAACAATAGACTCACCTGTAGGCTCATATATGAAGCTCACCCAGTCGACAGATGAACCTGGGATGATACACTCCATTGCAAAGCCTTGGGCACCCTGTAATGTAGGATGAGAGCCATGAGTCTCCCAGGAGTCCCAAATGAAGCCTGACACCCACTCCTAATTCAACAGCATAGCCCCTCTTAAGAGCAGAGCCCACCTTACGCTTTGTGCTGTAGTTGTATTTAGATGGCTCTTCCCAGATGGAGAGCCTGCCCCCTCCCCATCTGTCCTCTTATTGAAGAAATCCTACCAGATAGGGACAGATGTCCCTCAACTATGCCGCCTTTCAGCTGCTTGTTAGCATTTTAAGCATTTGTTACATATTAGGCCTCTTGCTAAATGCTTGATGTCTGTTATCTCAATTACTTTAAGCCTCCCAGCAACTTCACAAATAGATGTTATTGTTTCAATTCACAGATGAGAAAAATGACCGTCAAAAATATTAAATAACTTGTCTAGAGTTGCATAGACAATAAATGGCAGGTCTAAATTTGAGTCATCATCTTAACACCTACTATTGCCTCCTGTTTCCTAAGTAGCCACTGAGGAAGGGCTCGCCCTGCATCCCTGCTCAACTGGCCTGATGGGACCTCTCAGTCCCAGTCACTCTGCACTCCTCAGGCACACTTTAGGCTGCCCTCCTGGGACTGGCTTCTCTGCTGAGTCACTTAGCAGGTGCTGGGCGTTGGCAGCAACCCTGGTTCATCTTACTCTGTGTTGACTCCATGGCACTGCTATCCTAGCCTACCTTCAGCCTGAACTGAATGTTTTATTAGCCCCATTTCACAAACTAAATAACCAGGGTTCAGAGAGGGTAAGAATATATAACAGCAAATCACAGCATCAAGACTCAAATCTAGATCCCCTGTCTCTGAGACCAGCAACATCTCATATACTATATTGCTTTTCTGGATAGTTAAGTTGCCTGTCGAGGAGGCATTCCAACAGAAGTGGGAGAACAATCTGATAGAAAAGTTGTACGAGGCCCTCCAAACTCTGAGTTTATAATTCTGCCTAGTAACTAAGAATATAAGACCAAACTATAGAAAAGAGAGAAAACAATGTAGAAAGAACCATATTACTAACAACATAACTCATAGCTTGTCTACTTAAAAAAAATATTTTTTAACGTCTGGCCTATATTTGTTTCTAAGTTTGTCCACTTTTCATTATTGTCTTATCAAGAAAAGAAAGAACAGTAGAGGGATGAGTAGACAAGGCATGGACTCAGCATTAAATAACCCAAACAAAGATAAATGTGAAGAAAACATGGAACCCTGATTCCTATTTGCAAAGGCAAGGATTGTGCAACCAAGTCAACATCTGTTCCCCTTATATGATCAGGATGAAAGCCCATCTCCAAAATGACATCATTTTGGAAAAGAAGTCGTATAACCATGTGAGGCATTACAGAATCACAAAACATGGGTTTGCCAGGAGTGAACCAGAGATAGAACCTGACATTTGCTGTTTTGCCCAATTTGCTGAGTTTATAAAGCAAAAATCAAAATCAAGTCTTTCTTCCACATCTTGTCATCTGTTTCTCTGAGTGTGTCAGCAGAGTTCCAGAGTTCCAGGGCATCATTCCGTTTTGACAGCTTTTCAGCTGTGCCCCATGCATAGGAAAGCTAGAGTGGTGTGCAGTGGTGTTCAGTGTAGTGAGGTATTTAGAAGCTGAAAGTGCTGCTAGGCTTCAGGGCCTCCTGGAATGATGTGTATAACTCAGCAGCTCTTAATGGGGTGTGTCATAGATTTCATCTGCTCCAGCCTTTGACTGGGATCACAGGGGCTCTTATGAGTTTAACCATGAGTCATGAGCATGAGACAGTTAAACGGCCAGAGACCTTCATCCAAATTGATAAATTCTATAAAACTGTCTCCACCATAGTTGCAGAAGGTTGTTTTGTGGAAGGCATTCATGGGCATTTTGCAAAAGTCATCAGCAGTGACATGGTAGAAGAGACATATCCCCAGTACTTCCTGCATTACGCATGTTTATATAATAACAAAAACAAGTGGAAATAACCAGAAACATAGAAACACAGTTGATGAAAGAGAAACAATTAGCCTTTATTTATTTACTCCCCCAATCATTTCTTGATCACTTGCTACGTGCCAAGTACTTCTACTTGCTGAAGATACAGAAATGATACACATACAGAAATGATAAACACATTCCCTTCCTTCAAGGGAGCTCATATTTAATGGGAGAAATAGACATAACTGCAAATACTTGGAATCCTGTTGTGATTATGCAGAAAGCACTTTGGGAGTGGAGAGGAAGAATGGATTCGCTGGAGACTGAGGGTGGGTATCACAAATGAGGCTCCATTTGAACTGGGTCTTAAAGGGAATATAGGAGGTTGTCAGACAGAAAGGTTAGGGTGGGAATCCAGGTAGAGAAATTCCACGTGCAAAGACTGAGAAGAATGGAGAGTTTGGAAAATGGCAAATCATTTAACGCACTTCAGTACCTGAGTGTTGAACCACTGCAGTGAGAACAACAAAAAACCCTTTGCAAATCATATACATATATTCTAATGCTAAAGCTATCAGTCCAAACTTTATCCAGGTAGAGCAGCACGAATCATGGAAATGGAGACAGACTATAGCATGACACACGACTCTAGTAACTCTGGACTAAGGGTTTCTCTTAAATCTTAGTGGGAAATGACTGGGTGTCAATATTAGAATCACACTATATACCATCCTACACCCCATGACCTACCATGTGTAAATAGCTAAACGGTTATGCTGCATATATTAATTCCAAAGTGCAGGTTCAGTTGTTCTCAGCAAATCCTTTTCTTATGGCTATAATGGCCTGAAGTAAACAATGCCTTTAAAATAGTGGTAAGGACAGGTACAAGAAATGAGTGGAGCCTACTGATATTTGCCCAGTGGGTAGAGCAGAGGGGTCTTTATAGAACGGTGTCTGCCAAAGATCTGGCACATAGTAAGTACTCAATAAATGGTAGCTCAATAGTGACAAAGGGTCATAAAAAATAACAAGTGGAAACTCAAAGAGTAGCCCAGAGAGGCAGTTGGTTTGAGCTTGTTTTGAGTAACCAAAAGTCAGTTAAGAACCACTGAAAATACAGGTCTGAACATGCACATTAGAGGCCAAATTTATACTATCTGTTGGGGGGCAGACCCCTCAGCTGAATAAAAATTAGCACAGGGACATCGAAAACCCTGGGGCATTAGTAGATATTGATATAAAACTGCCTTGTGGAGACAATTTACCTCTGCCAGATCCCTAGAACCTCCTCAGGAGGAAAGAACTTTCTAACGATGAGCTCATAATAAAAAATTGCAAACCATATGAAGAGACAAACTATCATAAAAGAGAATTAGGAGGCATAAGACCTGGAAATAACAGAATGGCCTGAAAATAACAAAGGATTCAAAGACAGTGCAGACGAATACTCCTATAACTTCTACCCCCATAAAACATTTAATTGAAAACTTAACGAAAAATAAGGTGGCTCCACCTCCAAATTCTTAATGGCTTCTTTAATGCTTAAATCTTGGTTTTTGAACTGACTCACCTGTCAAATTGAAATATAATTTGAGGCTTGGTGCAGTGGCTCATGCCTGCAATCCCAGCACTTTGGGAGGCCAAGGCAGGTGGATCATCTGAGCTCAGGAGTTTGAGACCAGTCTGGGCAGCATGGCAAAACCCCATCTCTACCAAAAATACAAAAAGTAAGCCAGGTGTGGTGGCACGCGCCTATGGCCCCAACTACATGGGAGGCTGAGGTGGGAGGATTGCTTGAGCCTGGGAGATGGAGGTTGCAGTGAGCCAAGAACATGGCACGGCACTGCACTCCAGCCTGAGCGAGAGAACGAGAGCCCGTCTCAAAAAAAGAACTATAATTTGATACCAATCTCGTTAAAATCTACCCAACCTAGTCAAAACTAGTCCTTTAAAAGTTATCTTGGAAAAGGCAAAGAGGTGGAAAATGCCAAAGTAGTTGAGTTAAAACAGACATCCCATTTTACTCTGTTCATTAAACCAGCTCTGAAATTTTACAAACAATTTCATTTATTCATATTTCAACTGGTGCTTTCATTTTGTTTAGGAGTAGACTTCATATCCATTTACTTTGTTAGCAAGATATGTCAAAACTCCAACAAAAACTAAAAAAAAAAAAATTTCTTGGTCTCTCACTGTTTCATTAGAACAACACCCCAAAAGGGGTTTATATAGTTTATTTTTGCCTATAGAATGTTGAACTCTTTCTAGAAATGACTGCCAAACTCTAGCAGATTGAAGGATCAGACAATGATGCTGAAGCAGGAAACCCAAATTTCTGTATGTCCATCTGGAACTCTTTTAGGATAGTAGTTCCTGAACTTGAGGGTTTAGGGATAAATAAAACTAAAAATATATTGAAAGAGTTATAGATAGTTGCCATCTTCTTATTTGCTAGATAAGGAGATTGAAAATAGATATCTACCGTTAACATAATCTCATTTTTAAAAGAACATATTGAAATCAAAATACTAATAAAGAACATAATCTCAGAAAAAAAGGATTGTCCTCAATTTTCTGTATAAGTATCTTTATGAAAAAATACATTACAGCACCCCGGTTTTCCCCATTTTGCCATTAACCAGTAAAGTACTGGTGATGGTTTCAGATTTAGTGCTCTCCAGCTTGGGGATGTAGGGCATGTGTCCTCTTAACTCTAATTTGGAAGCAGGGGCTGCAGAACTCTAAAATCCACACTCGTTTAGATACACATTCAGCCTTAACATGGGCAGACTCTACACCCCATGACCTACCGTTATAACTAGGTTGACCATGAAACTATTGGAATTTCGAGGGTTCCTTGTGGTTTTCATAGCGCTTACATATGTATTCTCTCATTCAATCTAAAAATCAGAAACTAGAACAAAACCCCTTCTTCAGGGAGAAGGTGTTATATCGATTCTTATCTTGTAGATGAAGAAACTAAAATTCAGAGCAGTCATTCATTTATTTGGCCATATATTCAACAAACATTTATGCAATGTCTTCAGGCCCTGCAGCACTGTGCTAACTCCACTGATGTCAAGATGAATAAAAAGCTGTCCATATTCTTGACTTACTCAAGATTACATGCATAGTTAGTGGCAGAGCTGGGACTGGAGCCCAGGTATTTTGATTGCAAATATTGTGCTTCTCTACCAAGCCTGAGCTGCTCAGGAGAGCTCTCCCTTCACTGTGAGCATTACTGTCCACCACAGACAGCCCTCCTGATCCCCAGCCTTGGACAGATTGAACTCCACATTTGTTCAACATGCATTTAGGGTGGCTAAGCCCTGGAATAGCACAGAGGGTGTGGATGGAAAAAGGGGAAGAAGGTCACTAGAGGCAGTATCCCAGCCAGCAAAACAAAAGCCCTGTAGCAAACTGGGAAGTTCAAAGATGAGGTGTTATTATTTGAATATGAATATGCTACAGGCCCTTAACCCCAACATGCCAAGCAGCTTATCAAAATACTCATTCCAAACATATGATGCTCTCCTCTGGAGAGAAGATCTGATAAGTAACATTTTCTCTAACATCTTATATTCTAGTAATACCTAAAATTAGCATCCTGGATGGGCGTGGTGGCTCACGCCTGTAATCCCAGCACTCTGGGAGACTGAAGTGGGAGGCTTGCTTGAGGCCAGGAGTTCAAGACCAACCTGGGTAATAAAGCAAGACCCTGTCTCTACAAAAAATTTTTAAAATATTAGCCAGGCACGATGGGCATACCTGTAGTTTCAGCTACTGGGGAGGCTGAGGTGGGAGGATCACTTGAGCCCAGGAGTTCGAGGCTACAGTGAGACATGATTGCACCACTGCACGCCTCTGGGTGACAGAGCAAGACTCCGTCTCAAAAAAAGAAAAAAAAAAAAGAGAGAGAAAAGAATAAGTTTAGCTTCCTGGTTGCCTACACCTTAATCTTCCGCTGCGCTGGCTTCTTGTTTGAAACAACCTTTGTTCAGTCCTTTGCCAAAACATATTCTCATTATGCACCACCCAAGTCAAAGCCTTTTCTCTTCAATGAGACTGCACTGATGCATCTAGAACATTTCATCTTCCCAGCTCAATTTCAGTGAGTCTCAGCATCTGAAATTCATATATTCAAGGATTATACCTAGCCTGCCACATACTGATCACCAGTATATGATCAGACCTATGGGTGTCCTGGTCACATGGTTGTTATAATTTTGAATATCACCCTTACATATATTGGTATGCAGTTATTTGCATTTGTAAAATATTTGTAGGTATTCTTGTTTCACATGTCTGCCAGACTAAGACATGTTACAAGTCAGAGGCTACTTACAAATAGATATAGATATCTGTTATGTGTCTGGTGCAATGCCAATGATGGATCATTTTGTACAGTGTATTTGTTTATAAGTTTTGGAGTTAAGAGAAAAAGAGAAAAATTAGCCTTTACTCTTCACTTTATTCTATTATATACTCTGTTTAATGGAATGTTTAAACTCTTCTATTCTTTCTGAAAATAGAAAATAATTGGCACCATATATGAATATGTGAATGAGAAGCTATTGTGTCCACCTTGAAAAGTGCCAGTTCAACAGAAAACATTTGAAAAATCTGTTGCCATCTTCATGCCGTGTGGCCTTTCTATGCATGTAAGTGCTTGGTGAAAAACACCTGGAAGGTGAGAGCTGCTCTAAGATGCACTGGACCTTCTTTCAGTAATGGTACAAGCCTCTCTGTGAGGAAACAGTAAAATACTTTTATAACTCACCGCATTGTGGCCTCCACAACTTTATCAGGGGCAATGAGAGAAAACACTTGCTCCTGATCCATCACAAGGCATAGGAGTACCATTGAAAGTCCTGCAGAATGCCAAGTCACACTGACTAGGTAGTCAAGTGCATGTGACTCGAGGTGTTGTGAGCTCCCACGTAAGTTCCTCGACTTCACCTTAACGCATATTGAACAGGTACACTCTCAAAATAGCCCTAACTCATGTGAAATCTGCAGCTGTCATCTTCAAAAATGCTTTGCACAGGCCAGACGTGGTGGCTCATGCCTGGAATCCCAGCACTTTGGGAAGCCAAGATGGGGGGATCACTGGAGGCCAGGAGTTTGAAACCAGCCTGGCCAAGACAGTGAAACCCCATCTCTACTAAAAATAGAAAAAATTAGCAGGGCATGGTGGTGCACACCTGTAATCCCAGCTACTTGGATGGCTGAGGCATGAGAATCACTTGAACCCAGGAGGCAGATGTTGCAGTGAGCCAAGATCACGCCATTGCACTCTAGCCTGGGCAACAGAATGAGACTCTGTCTCAAAAAAAGAAAAAAAAAAAAAAAAGTGCGTCCGGGCACAGTGGCTCACGCCTGTAATCCCAGCACTTTGGGAGGTTGAGGTGGGCAGATCTCAAGGTCAGGAGGTCGAGACCAGTCCAGCCAACATAGTGAAACCTCATCTCTACTAAAAAGACAAAAAATTAGCTGGGTGTGGTGGTGTGCACCTGTAATCCCAGCTACTCAGGAGGCTGAGGTGGGAGAATTGCATGAACCTGGGAGGCGGAGGTTGCAGTGAGCTGAGATTGTGCCACTGCATTCCAGCCTGGGCAACAGAATGAGAACGAGACTCTGTCTCAAAAAATAAACAGACAAAAAAACAATGCTTTGCACAATCAACAAATATTTGTTGAATAAAATTGAAGAAATCAATGAATTAATTAAACTCTTTGCAGCCCAGGAGTTGCTACCATTCTCATTTATGTACATCAAGTTTAAATGACAATTAGATTGATCTAATCTTAGCACTGGTTCTTGGGAGAGACCTATGGTGTGTGCTTGGGTCCTGTGGATTGTCAGTAACCTGTGCTTCTCTTTAAGCCTTTTCATTTTGCATATTTCAAAATGGAATAAAAGTCCATGGGTATATGAATTCCAGGAAGCAGTTTAATTTGGAGAAACATATTCTCCAAAACAACCATTCTGAAAAGAGCACCAACTCAGATTCTTGGGTGAAAGTCATATTCAATTGCTTATTCAGTCCTTCCATCCTCTGTTAATTCCTGTTCTCTTTCCCGGTTGAATAATAGTAAGTAGAAGGTTAGATATCAAAATTCTCTCTCCTCCCCACCAAAATAACAGGAATCCAAAATAATTGCACTCCAAGGGCCACATAATAAACTTGGTTCCTTGTCTACCTTCCAAAGAAGGAAGTAGATGCTCCTTGCAGGGAGAGCGGCTGGAAGAGGCGTGGGATCCTGACTGAATCCCTGTATCTCCTAGGGAATCTTCCAGGGCCAGCTGAAATTAGGCATAGAGGCAGCTGGTGTCAGGCAGCTCCATTCAACACTTTGAGAAGTACATTTTTGTAGCTTGAGAGGACAGGAGAGAGTTACCAGATGTGGGAGACAGGTGCAGGAGAGTGGGTGAAAGGGCATTACAACTGAACCCGACCTTCCTCCTTGTTCCAAAGGATGAGAAAGCCCCAATGCTGCAGAGATTTGTTTACACTAACAAGCTCTTATTTCAAAATGTAATTACCCATGGGATAATTAAACTTACAGGACTAGACATACACATTAAACTCAATTAAGTCTCCTGCTATCAGAGGCATTATTTTTGGGCAAGGGGGAAAAAAGACACACCTTCCAGTTAAAGAGGGATGAAAAAGAAAATAATCTTGGACAGTGTTTCCCAAATCTGCTGCATAAGGACCATCAGCAAAGCTTGTGAAAAGCACAGATTCCCTATCCCTCTTCCCCACCTCCCCACTCCCTATCCCTTCTCTCCATTCTGATTCAGAAAAGGCTGGAGTAAGGGCCAGGAACGAGTAATTTTAAGTGTCCTGCATCATACAATGCTGCCAGCCCAGGGGTGAGCTTTGAGGGGGCACCTCAGAGGCTGGTTTGTTGACCTGACTGAGCATCACAGTCTGACCCTCAGCTTGATGAATACTGAACTTGATGTTGCACCAGAACTAATCAGGGCTGATCAGGGCTGATTCACTTACAAAGTTCACAAGAAATGTATATATAAATCAGAATGCCAGTTTACTCATTACAGAATGGGGTAGTCCTTCCCAGAGATCCAAATGCTCGTGTCTGCCATGCAGAAAACCTGGACAACCAAATTTTTAATTAGATGGCTGCCTGCTGTTGATCTGTGAAATCAGATCAAAGCGATGCTCCCAAAGGCATTTTCATTCAGACTGCAGAGAAGTGCAGTGAGTAATCTTTGTACAGTATGCCCTAGACCAGATAGCCTTAACCTTGGCCAGACCTGGAGAAACATTGCCAAATTCTTCCCCTCAGACTTTTTTTCTAGAGTCTATAAAGACAACCACTCTTTTTGTTGAGTTTATTCTCCTTTCAAATAGAATACAATACATTTTACTGAATTTCACTTTTGGAGTTGAAATCACATTCCATTCGTACATCCCTGGTCACCTATATGACACTTAATTTGTCCGTATCCTCACCAATATCTTAGGTGACTCCTTCGATGGTAAAACTTATTCTCTATCCCTCTACTCTGATTTGATGCTCAACCTGATGGATACGTACAATAAAAATATCTTAAGTATCAAAGAAATAAGAAAGTGTGAGTGCTTTGAAGAAATTAAATTAGAACAAGGGTGACTTGAGGTGGGAGTTGTTCAAGGAAGCCTTCTCTGAAGATGTGACATTTGAGCCAAGAGCTAGAATCTTGTAATTGTGTTCTCAAAGCAAATTTATTTCCAAGGTCATACAGTGCCTGTATCTCCATTATAAATACTAATGTTGCTTAACTAAAGAATTCAGTATATGGTTTTGTAAGTTTTGTTATGAACAATTATTGGGAAAAAAATACTCACCTAGATAATTTGAAAACTTTTCCATTACTAAACACAAAAAATATTGGACAAAATGAGAAATATTTATAAACTTACCATTTTTGAAAAAGATATATTTTTAATAAAAAAAAGGAGCTCACAATAAAGTCAGAGAAATCCCCAGGTAGCAAAAAATAATGAGGGAAATGAAAACCAGTGAGATCAACATGAGAGCTGAAACTAGCTGCTGCAGGAAAGAGGCTTAGATACTAATCCCTGCGTGGGAATAGGAAATAAAGCCTTAGGCCCTAGAGACAGGAAGTTAGAACTAAAACCACAACATGAAGGCAGGATGAGGCACAGTGGAATTTAAAACAAACAAACAAGCAAACATGCCCACCATCTTTAAGTAGGAGTTTAAATATATATGTATATATATATATATATATGTATATCTGTGAAGATTTACAGCCATGAAACTATCTGATATTCAAATTCATGGCATGGGCATAGTCTAGGAAACTTCAGGTTGAGAGGATGGTATAAACGTGGTGCTTAGCTGCTAATGTTCCTGGAGTAGCAAATATAAAGCCTCTCTTGAAGAACATCCCCTTAACATGGTCTCTGTAGGGATTTCCAAAGATTAAGTTCTAATGAAGGCAAGTTCGCAATCTAAAATTATAAAACATACAAGGAAATAATATGATGAAAAAGGGTCAGCAAACAGTTCCTGGACAGAAGGCAGAATTTGAATGTTAAACACTAAAATTTTTGAATAAAAATGATTTTAAAAGTATCTAAAGGATTAAATATATAAAAGAAGGACTTAAGAAAAAAAATCACAAGAGTCTGAAAAAAGATCAGACATAGCAGGTGGAGCCAAGATGGCCAAATAGGAACAGCTCCAGTCAACAGCTCCCAGCATGAGTGATGCATAAGACGGGTGATTTCTGCATTTCCAACTGAGGTACCAAGTTCATCTCACTGGGGAGTGCCGGACAGTGGGTGCAGGACAGTGGGTGCAGCGCACCGTGCATGAGCTGAAGCAGGGTGAGGCATTGCCTCACCCGGGAAGCACAGGGGGTCAGGGAATTCCCTTTCCTAGTCAAAGAAAGGGGTGACAGATGGCACCTGGAAAATCGGGTCACTCCCACCCTAATACTGTGCTTTTCCAACGGGCTTAACAAACGGCACACCAGGAGATTATATCCACACTTGGCTCGGAGGGTCCTACGTCCACGGAGCCTCGCTCATTGCTAGCACAGCAGTCTGAAATCAAACTGCAAGGTGGCAGCGAGGCTGGGGGAGGGGCGCCTGCCATTGCTCAGGCTTGAGTAGGTAAACAAAGCGGCCAGGAAGCTGGAACTGGGTGGAGCACACCACAGCTCAAGGAGGCCTGCCTGCCTCTGTAGGCTCCACCTCTGGGGGCAGGGCACAGACAAACAAAAGGCAGCAGTAACCCCTGCAGACTTAAATGTCCCTGTCTGACAGCTCTGAAGAGAGTAGTGGTTCTCCCAGCACACAGCTTGAGATCTGAGAACAGGCAGACTGCCTCCTCAAGTGGGTCCCTGACCCCCAAGTAGCCTAACTGGGAGGCACCCCCCAGTAGGGGCAGACTGACACCTCACATGGCCGAGTACTCCTCTGAGACAAAACTTCCAGAGGAACGATCAGGCAGCAGCATTTGCGGTTCACCAATATTCGCTGTTCTGCAGTCACCGCTGCTGATACCCAGGCAAACAGGGTCTGGAGTGGACCTCCAGAAAACTCCAACAGACCCGCAGCTGGGGGTCCTGATTGTTAGAAGGAAAACTAATAAGCAGAAAGGACATCCACACCAAAACCCCATCTGTACGTCACCATCATCAAAGACCAAAGGTGGATAAAACCACAAAAATGGGAAAAAACAGAGCAGAAAAACTGGAAACTCTAAAAATCAGAGCACCTCTCCTCCTCCAAAGGAACGCACCTCCTCACCAGCAATGGAACAAAGCTGAATGGAGAATGACTTTGACGAGTTGAGAGAGGAAGGCTTCAGAAGATCAAATTACTCCTAGCTAAAGGAGGAAGTTTGAACCAATGGCAAAGAAGTTAAAAACCTTGAAAAAAAATTAGATGAATGGCTAACTAGAATAACCAATGCAGAGAAGTCCTTAAAGGACCTAATGGAGGTGAAAACCACGGCACGAGAACTATGTGATGAATGCACAAGCCTCAGTAGCCAATGCAATCAACTGGAAGAAAGGCTATCAGTGATGGAAGACTAAATGAATGAAATGAAGCGAGAAGAGAAGTTTAGAGAAAAAAGAATAAAAAGAAACAAACAAAGCCTTCAAGAAATATGGGACTATGTGAAAAGACCAAATCTACGTCTGATTGGTGTACCTGAAAGTGACAGGGAGAATGGAACCAAGTTGGAAAACCCTCTGCAGGATATTATCCAGGAGAACTTTCCCAATCTAGCAAGGCAGGCCAACATTCAAATTCAGGAAATACAGAGAATGCCACAAAGATACTCCTCGAGAAGAGCAACCCCAAGACACATAATTGTCAGATTCACCAAAGTTGAAATGAAGGAAAAAATGTTAAGGACAGCCAGAGAGAAAGGTTGGGTTACCCACAAAGGGAAGCTCATCAGAATAACAGCTGATCTCTCGGCAGAAACTCTACAAGCCAGAAGAGAGTGGGGGCCAATATTCAACTTTTAAGAAAAGAATTTTCAACCCAGAATTTCATATCCAGCCAAACTAAGCTTCATAAGTGAAGGAGAAATAAAATACTTTACAGAGAAGCAAATGCTGAGAGATTTTGTCACCACCAGGCCTGTCCTAAAAGAGCTCCTGAAGGAAGCACTAAACATGGAAAGGAACAACCGGTACCAGCCACTGCAAAAACATGCCAAATTGTAAAGACCATCAAGGCTAGGAAGAAACTGCATCAACTAATGAGCAAAATAACCAGCTAACATCATAATGACAGGATCAAATTCACACATAACAATATTAATCTTAAATGTAAATGGGCTAAGTGCTTCAATTAAAAGACACAAACTGGCAAATTGGATAAAGAGTCAAGACCCATCAGTGTGCTGCATTCAGGAAACCCATCTCACGTGCAGAGACACACATAGGCTCAAAATAAAGGGATGGAGGAAGATCTACCAACCAAATGGAAAACAAAAAAAAGGCAGGGGTTGCAATGGTAGTCTCTGATAAAACAGACTTTAAACCAACAAAGATCAAAAGAGACAAAGAAGGCCATTACATAATGGTAAAGGGATCAATTCAACAAGAAGGGCTAACTATCCTAAATATGTATGCACCCAATACAGGAGCACCCAGATTCATAAAGCAAGTCCTTACTGACCTATAAAGAGACTTAGACTCCCACACAATAATCATGGGAGACTTTAACACCCCACTGTCAACATTAGACACATCAATGAGACAGAAAGTTAACACGGATATCCAGGAATTGAACTCAGCTCTGCACCAATCAGACCTAATAGACATCTACAGAACTCTCCACCCCAAATCAACAGAATATACATTCTTCTCAGTGCCACATAGCACTTATGCCAAAATTGACCACATAATTGGAAGTTAAGCACTCCTCAGCAAATGTAAAAGAACAGAAATCACAACAAACTGTCTCTCAGACCACAGTGCAATCAAATTAGAACTCAGGACAAAAACTCACTCAAAACCACACAACTACATGGAAACTGAACAACCTGCTCCTGAATGACTACTGGATAAATAACGAAATGAAGGCAGAAATAAAGACGTTCTTTGAAACCAACGAGAACAAAGACACAACCTAACAGAATCTCTGGGACACATTCAAAGCAGTGTGTAGAGGGAAATTTATAGCACTAAATGCCCACAAGAGAAAGCAGGAAAGATCCAAAATTGACACCCTAACATCACAATTAAAAGAACTAGAAAAGCAAGAGCAAACACATTCAAAAGCTAGCAGAAGGCAAGAAATAACTAAAATCAGAGCAGAACTGAAGGAAATAGACAAAAAACCCTTCAAAGAATTAATGAATCCAGGAGCTGGTTTTTTGAAAGGATCAACAAAATTGATAGACCGCTAGCAAGACTAATAAAGAAGAAAAGCGAGAAGAATCAAATACATGCAATAGAAAATGATAAAGGGGATATCACCACCAATCCCACAGAAATACAAACTACCATCAGAGAATACTACAAACACCTCTACGCAAATAAACTAGAAAATCTAGAAGAAATGGATAAATTCCTGGACACATACACCCTCCCAAGACTAAACCAGGAAGAAGTTGTATCTCTGAATAGACCAATAACAGGCTCTGAAATTGTGACAATAATCAATAGCTTACCAACCAAAACGAGTCCAGGACCAGATGGATTCACAGCCGAATTCTACCAGAGGTACAAGGGGGAACTGGTACCATTCCTTCTGAAAATATTCCAATCAATAGAAAAAGAGGGAATCCTCCCTAACTCATTTTATGAGGCCAGCATCATCCTGATACCAAAGCCGGGCAGAGACACAACCAAAAAAGAGAATTTTAGACCAATATCCTTGATGAACATTGATGCAAAAATCCTCAATAAAATACTGGCAAACGGAATGCAGCAGCACATCAAAAAGCTTATCCACCATGATCAAGTGGGTTCATCCCTGGGATGCAAGGCTGGTTCAATATATGCAAATCAATAAATGTAATCCACCATATAAAGAGAACCAAAGACAAAAACCACATGATTATCTCAATAGATGCAGAAAAGGCCTTTGACAAAATTCAACAACGCTTCATGCTAAAAACTCTCAATAAATTAGGTATTGATGGGACATATCTCAAAATAATAAGAGCTATCTATGACAAACCCACAGCCAATATCATACTGAATGGGAAAAAACTGGAAGCATTCCCTTTGAAAACTGGCACAAGACAAGGATGCCCTCTCCCACCACTCCTATTCAATATAGTGTTGGAACTTCTGGCCAGGGCAATTAGGCAGGAGAAGGAAATAAAGGGGATTCAATTAGGAAAAGAGGAAGTCAAATTGTCCCTGTTTGCAGATGACATGATTGTGTATCTAGAAAACCCCATTGTCTCAGCCCAAAATCTCCTTAAGCTGATAAGCAACTTCAGCAAAGTCTCAGGATACAAAATCAAGGTGCAAAAATCACAAGCATTCTTATACACCAATAACAGACAAACAGAGAGCCAAATCATGAGTGAACTCCCATTCACAATTGCTTCAAAGAGAATAAAATACTTAGGAATCCAACTTACAAGGGACGTGAAGGACCTCTTCAAGGAGAACTACAAACCACTGCTCAAGGAAATAAAAGAGGATACAAACAAATGGAAGAACATTCCATGCTCATGGGCAGGAAGAATCAATATCATGAAAATGGCCATACTGCCCAAGGTAATTTATAGATTCAATGCCATCCCCATCAAGCTACCAATGACTTACTTCACAGAATTGGAAAAAACTACTTTAAAGTTCATATGGAACCAAAAAAGAGCCCGCATCACCAAGTCAATCCTAAGCCAAAAGAACAAAGCTGGAGGCATCACACTACCTGACTTCAAACTATACTACAAGGCTACAGTAACCAAAACAGCATGGTACTGGTACCAAAACAGAGATCTAGACCAATGGAACAGAACAGAGCCCTCAGAAATAATGCCACATATCTACAACTATCTGTTCTTTGACAAACCTGAGAAAAACAAGCAATGGGGAAAGGATTCTCTATTTAATAAATGGTGCTGGGAAAACTGGTTAGCCATATGTAGAAAGCTGAAACTGGATCCCTTCCTTACACCTTATACAAAAGTTAATTCAAGATGGATTAAAGACTTACATATTAGACCTAAAACCATAAAAACCCTAGAAGAAAACCTAGGCATTACCATTCAGGACATAGGCATGGGCAAGGACTTCATGTCTAAAACACCAAAAGCAATGGCAACCAAAGCCAAAATTGACAAATGGGATCTAATTAAACTAAAGAGCTTCTGCACAGCAAAAGAAACCACCATCAGAGTGAACAGGCAACCTACAGAATGGGAGGAAATTTTTACAATCTACCCATCTGACAAAGGGCTAATATCCAGAATCTACAAAGAGCTCAAACAAATTTACAAGAAAAAAAACAAACAATCCCATCAGAAAGTGGGCGAAGGACATGAACAGACACTTCTCAAAAGAAGACATTTATGCAGCCAACAGACACGTGAAAAAAAGCTCACCATCACTGGTCATCAGAGAAATGCAAATCAAAATCACAATGAGATACCATCTTGTGCCAGTTAGAATGGCAATCATTAAAAAGTAAACAACAGATGCTGGAGAGGATGTGGAGAAATAGGAACACTTTTACACTGTTGGTGGGACTGTAAACTAGTTCAACCATTGTGGAAGTCGTGTGGCAATTCCTCAGGGATCTAGAAGTAGAAATACCATTTGACCCAGCCATCCCATTACTGGGTATATGCCCAAAGGATAATAAATCATGCTACTATAAAAACACATGTACATGTATGTTTTTTGTGGCATTATTCACGATAGCAAAGACTTGGAAGCAACCCAAATGTCCAACAATGATAGACTGGATTAAGAAAATGTGGCACATATACACCATGGAATACTATGCAGCCATAAAAAATGATGAGTTCTTGTCCTTCGTAGGGACATGGATGAAGCTGGAAACCATCATTCTCAGCAAACTATCGCAAGGACAAAAAACCAAACACCACATGTTCTCACTCATAGGTGGGAATTGAACAATGAGAACACATGGACACAGGAAGGGGAACATCACACACTGGGGACTGTTGTGGGGTGGGGGGAGGGGGGAGGGATAGCATTAGGAGATATACCTAATGCTAAATGACGAGTTAATGGGTGCAGCACACCAACATAGCACATGTATACATATGCTATGTAACAAACCTGCACGTTGTGCACATGTACCCTAAAACTTAAAGTATATATATATTAAAAAAAAGATCAGACATACTTTGAAAATAGAACTTTAAGAAATAAAAAATACAGTGATAAAAGCTAAAACTCAATGGATGGGAATGTATTTGTAAATCATATCTGATTTACAGACTTGTATCCAGAATATATAAAGAACTCTCTAACTCAACAGTATGAAAGCAACCTGATTAGAAAATAGAGAAAAGATGTAATCAGACACTTCTCCAAAGAAGAAAAAGGGATCTGTGAGTATATGAAAAGGGATGTTTAGGTGAAATGTGAAATAGTGTTCAACATCACTAGCCATAAGGGAAAAATTCAAATTAAAACCACTATAAGATACACTACACAGCTATTACGACAGCTAAAATTAAAAAAAAAAAAACAGCAACAACAACAAAAACAAAACAGAACAACAACAACAAAACCCTGACACTGGTTGAGCATTCCTGATCCAAAATTCCAAAGTCTGAAATGCTCCAAAATTCAAAACTTTTTGAGTGCCAACATGATGCTCAAATAAAATGCTCACTGGAGTATTTCATACTTTGGATTTTCAGATTAGGGATGTCGAACCAGTAAGTATAATGCAAATGTTCTAAAATCTGAAAAAAAACCCCACAATCTGAAACGTTCTGATCTCGAACCTTTCAGATAAGGGATACTCAGCTTGTAATGCTAACTGTTGACAAGGATCCAGAGATACTAGATCTCTCATACATTGTTGGTAAGAATGTAAAATTGTAAAATCACTCTGGAAATTAGCCTTCCTGGAAGTTTCTTTAAAAATTAAATGTACAATTACTATATGGTCCAGCAATCACACTTCTGGGAATTAGAAGTAACAACTTTTGTTCACACAAAACCCTGAACATGAATGTTTATAGCAGCTTTATTTGTAATAGCCAAAAACTAGAAACAACATACATGTCCTTCAATAGGTGAAAGATTAAGAAGTCTCTGATACACTCAAACAATGGAACACTGCTCAGCATTACAAAGAAATAAACCATTGATACACACAGCAATTTGGGTCTTAAACGCATTATGCTGAGTGAAAAAAGCCAGTCTCAAAGGGCTACATGCACTGTACAGTTTCATTTACATAAAGCTCTTGAAGTTATAAAATTTTAGACAGGGAGAATAGATTAGTGGTTTTTCAGGGATAAGGGAAGGGGAAGGAGGATGTGACTATAAAAGGCACATGAAAGACTTCTTTTGTGATGATGGAGCAATTCTGTATGTTAATTTTGGTGATGGTGGTTACACGAATCTGTCTTTGTGATAAAATGTAATCACAAGTATATACAAAGACATTAAAAATGTGAATATGTGAAAATACTGTGAAATCTGAGTGAAATCTGTAATGTAGTTAGTGGTATTGCGCCAACCAATTTCCTGGCTTCAATAATTCAATAATGCACTATAATTGATAGGTCACCAATGGGGGAAGCTAGATATGATATGGGAAGTCTATGAACTACTTTTGCAATTTATTGTGATTCTATAACAGTGCTTTCAAAATTTAAAAACATATATAATACATACACATGCATATACACACACAGAGATATATATACATATATAGCCTATATATGTATATATATGTGTGTGTGTGTGTGTATATATATATACATATGCTGTTAACCTGTCCATTGAGATATATATATATATCTCATGTTATCACAACGACAGATTCATGTAACCACCATCACCAAAATTAACATACAGAATTGCTCCATCATCACAAAAGAAGTCTTTCATGCTGCCTTTTATAGTCACAGCCTCCTTCCCCTTCCCTTATCCCTGAAAAACCACTAATCTATTCTCCCTGTCTAAAATTTTATAACTTCGAGAGTTTTATGTAAATAAAACTGTGCAGTGCATGTAGCCCTTTGAGACCGGCTTTTTTCACTCAGCATAATGCCCTTAAGATCCATTCAAATTGCTGCGTGTATCAATGGTTTATTTCTTTGTATTGCTGAGCAGTGTTCCATTGTTTGAGTGTATCAGAGGCTTCTTAATATATAACAGCAGATATGGCAGAAGAAAAAAGACAATTACTGAACTGGAAGATTGATCTGAGGAAATTATCCAAAGCCCAGAAAGACGAAGAGATAAAAAATATAAACATTAAGGGACATGTAGGACAAAATGAGGGGTCCCACTAAATTTAATGGGATTTTCAAAAAGAAAAAAATAGAGAAAATGGAAGAAAGAAAATATTTTAATAGACAACGGTTGAAAAAATTACATGAGGTCATGAGTTTGAGACCAGCCTGGCCAACATGGTGAAACCCTATCTCTACTAAAAATACAAAAATTAGCTGGGTGTGGTGGCAATGCCTGTAATCCCAGCTACTTGGGAGGCTGAGGCAGAAGAATCGCTTGAACCGGGGAGGTGGAGGTTGCAGTGAGCAGAGATTTTGCCATTGCACTCCAGCCTGGGCAACAAAAGCGAAACTCCTTCTCAAACAAAAAAAGAGAAAAGAAAAAATTACAAAATTAATAAAAGACATGAATCTGCAGATTCAAGAAGCACAACCATTTGCAAACAGGTTAAAAAATATATATCCACTCATAGACATATTATAATGAAACTGCAGAATATTAAGAAAAGAGTGATCTGGCTGGATGCAGTGGCTCACATGTTTAATCCCAGTGCTTTGGGAGGCCAAGGTGGGAGAAGCATTTGAGGCCAGGAGCTTGAGACCAGACTGAGCAACAGAATGAGGCCCCATCTCTACAATTTTTTTTTTAAATTAGCCAGGCATGGAGACACAGGAGAATTGTTTGAGCCTGGGGGGTTCAAGGTTATAGTGAGCTATGATTGCACCACTGCACTCCAGCCTGGGTGATAGAGCAAGACCCTGTCTCTTAAAAAGACAGAGAGAGAGAGAGGTCTTAAAAGTAACTGGTATGGCTAGTTTTATCTGTTGCTAACCACAATTCACAATTTTCTTTTCACTGAAAAGCCAATTGCCTGGTGTTTCTCTAATACTTACATTTGAAAACTGCCATCCAAATGCACTGCTACCTAAGAATGTCTAGAGTTTATTGCTTTAGAGAAAAAACTTAAAACACCCTGCATTGTCTAAATTTTGGAGCAATCTCCGTAATAAGAGCTGAGTAAATATGACGGGTGCATGATTCTGGCTGGCCAAGAGTTTAGCAAACAAACTGTAAGTCTGCCTTAGTTTCACTCAATTTGTTCTTCCTGCTATAAGCTGTGAGTAAATCAAAACTACCATTTCTCCCAACCTAGTCTGTGTTAGTAGTTCTTCCTTGGCATAATAGCTCAGTGCAAACACCCTTCAGTTAATTTGTTGAGTGCCAGAGGGTAGAGGGTTAGCCCCATGCATCTCTTCCACCTGGGCTACCAGCGATTGAACTGGAAAAACCAAACTGAGACAGTGAAGGATAATTCACCCTTCTTCTTCCCTTTGCACCCCACCTCCCTTCCTTCCTTTTCCTTTATTTTCCTTTCTTTATCTCCTACACGTAGTGGACATGACTTTTCAGTGTATCAGGCAATTTCAGTTAAAATAACCCTGTAGTGATTTACAACATAGAGTAATGGGATGAGAATGAAAAGTTCTGTTTTGGATGCTTCTGGAAATCTTAAATCTCTGAGTCTTGTTTGTACATATCTCTAAAATGATGCAGAAATAAAAACCTATCACATTGCTTATCTCAGAAGAAATATAGTATTATAGCCCTACACTTCACAAATGTATGTGTCTTATCATGACCACACCCCAACTTAAGCTGGAAGGAGAAGGCATTTTTTCATTCATTTATGTATTTTTCTGTAAATGCTTTGTCAAAAAATTAAAAGACAATCCTTGAGGACTAATTGGGATGATGTGGAAGGATTATCCAACTCTTCCTGCTTGAATTCTTGGTGAATGAGGACATCAGGTCAAGTAGCATTTCCTCCAGAGTTGTACAAAAGTGTAACACATATATGCAGCAGGTTCCTAAAGAAAAGGAGTGTGCAACAAATCTACTTCCACGCACATTTCCTCACACTTGGGATTTCTACGACCCTCTCCCATTGGATACCCTCTCATTCTGTGTCCAGAGTTGGTTCCTTCCAGTGCATTCGTGGTCTCGCTGACTTCAAGAATGGAGCCGCAGACCTTTGCAGTGAGTGTTACAGCTCTTAAAGAAGATGGCAGGGACCCAAAGAGTGAGCAGCAGCAAGATTTATTGTGAAGAGCAAAAGAACAAAGCTTCCACAGCGCAGAAGGGGACCCAACCGGGTTGCCACTGTTGGCTGGGGTGGCCAGCTATTATTCCCTTATTTGTCCCCGCCCATGTCCTGCTGATTGGTCCATTTTACAGAGTGCTGACTGGTCCATTTTACAGAGTGCTGATTGGTCCATTTTACAAACCTCTAGCTAGCTACTGAGCGCCGATTGGTGTGTTTTTACAGAGCACTGATTGGCGCATTTTACAAACCTCTAGTAGCTACAGAGCGCTGATTGGTGCACTTTTACAGAGCACTGATTGGTGCATTTTACAAACCTCTTGTAAGACGGAAAAGTTCTCCAAGTCCCCACTCTACCCAGGAAGTCCAGCTGGCTTCACTTCTCAATTCCTCATATTGCCGATGGCTCTCATTGACTTCGGCAAATATATTTCTATAAGCAGCAGTTAGAAAGGAGCAGATTATAAACTTCACGGTTCTAGGTGTGTGGATAACCAGAATGAATTATACAAGGAGGAAAACTGTACCATCTATTTCCGTGTCAAGATCCTTATATGCACATGGTTGGAAAGGGTTCCCAGGCTGCCATCTTAGATCTGGAATAGAGCTTCTGCTCTGTTCCCCAAGGGCCTGCAGAAGCAGGTCGTGTTGATGTCATGCAAAGATGACTCAGTCTCTGGCCAGAGGTCATCTTGATGTCTCTTGGGTGAATCTTCAATAAGGAAAGATTTGACCTGAAATTCACAGTAGAGGCAAACAGAAGATTTTCATTTCATCTTTACACTTAGGGGCACTCGGCTGTACTGTTTTCTCATCTCTACCCACTCATGTATGTCACATGCTCTCTCCCTCTCTCCCTAGTTCTTTGTTTCCTCACCATTTACTTGAAGTGCTAAAATCCTTTCAAAAATTACTGTTAAATAAAAATAATGAGAAAATGGAAAATCACTACCATACTCTATCTAGGGAGTGACTAGCAATTCTGACAATATCAGATAAATATACGTAGGTTTTATCATCATTGTATATCATACCAGTAAACCACAGCTGGCTAACGTCACACCTACTTTCAAAATGTAAACCTTATAGTAATAAGTGTTCCACGATGACATGGAAATATTTTCATTTCCTAAATTTCCTATACAGATGATGCTCATACAGTTGATATTTCCGTTGTCCCAGATAATAAATTACTCCACCAGGTTACATCCTTCATGTACACAAACTTCCAGGCTGTTTGTCTCAATACTCCCTGCAGCTGTTACTTAGGTTTTTGCTACATAATTACTGTTTATTCAAAATCTCTCACTTATGAGGGGATTTGCCCACAGAGCTCTCACATTCAGCTTTCAAAACGTGATGACGCTTATGTTTGGTTCTTTTTGCTAAATATTGAAGGCAGTTTTAGTCCTGACCAAAATATTTGCACGATGCTAATTACATTTCTGTGGACCATCAAATTGAAGTCTGTGGAAGAATAAATGAAAAATGTGCATCAAACTTCATCATTGCAATTTCCAATTGTTTAGAACAAAGGATCTTGAAATTGGAGGAGGTACAAATATGAGCACCCCCCTGCTTAGCAGCAGTAATAATAAAACCAGCTGACAAATGTTGAGTGCTCACCATGACCCAGGCCTGCTCTGAGTGCATCCACATTTAATCTCCAAACAGCCATATGGCATAGGTAGTAGCATCAATCCGTTTTTAAGATGAGAAAATCGAGGCACAGAGAAGTTAAGTCATTTGCCTAAGGCCCCTCAGCTAATGGGTAATCAGCCCAAATTCAAACCTAGGCATTGCATCTCCAGAGCTCATGCTCTTATGAAAGCGATTTCTCCATCTTGGTATATTTTTAGAAGTTCAACATCCTAGGTACTAGACAAAGGAAAGAAAAAGGAAGACAGAAGCCTCTATTCCTGCCCTGTTCCTAGGTCCCCTTTCATTCACCGACCCCCACCCCCCATTCTTTACTATCCCCTACACAAACGGGGAGAAGTTCCCACAGAGCACGCAGCGCCATAATAGCTGCTTCTCCTACTATAGGTGATAGGAAAGATCTGGTCTCTGTCTTCTAGGAGTTTATAATCCAAGACAGAAAACAATATAAAGAGGTATAAAAAGAACATATGCAGCCTAGGCAACATAGTGAGACCCCATCTCTACAAAAAAGTTTAAAATTTAGTTGGGTATGGTGGCAAGAACCTGTAGTCCCAGCTACTCGGGAGGCTGAGTTAGGAGGATTGCTTGAGCCCAGTTTGAGGTTATAGTGAGCTGTGATTGTGCAACTGCACTTCAGCCTGGGTGGCAGAGTGAGACGCTGTCTCTAAGAAAAAGTGATAAAATAAAAAGAACGTATAGGCATGATGAGGGAAACATGGGAAAAATAGGCAGTTTATATCAAATTTGACAGTAAAGCCATAAGATCTGAGGTGTGTAACTGATAAACAGTTGCTGAAGACAATTCCAAAGCTAAGTTCCAATAGGGTTTCTGCCACTTGTCGTGATAGCTGTGAAATGTCAGCCCCATATTTAGATGATTTGTGTAAAAGTATCTCATTATTTTATACATGCACCTTGAATATTAAATGGTTTCTCCCTCTCTCCTGTCCATTTCCCTGGCTTTCCTGATCTCTCTCCCTTCATCTCCTCTTCTTCCTTCTTGCCTGCTTTTATTCCTTTTGTCCAGGCACTTTAATTGCTCCTCATGGAGTGCTTGTCTTAGAAGACCCTGTTTCAGGCACTCAGAGAGCTACCAAGTGTGAAAAGCAGAGACCCCCCTTCTCAGGGAGCTTACCTGCTGTGCAACCACCTTTTAAGGATGTAAATCTAATCTTGCCCATCAGGTTTAGAACCCTCCAGTGGCTTTCCATTGCTCTTGGGATACAGATCAAAATCTATCAGGCACCTTCTCTAAGGCCCTGCCACCTCTCCTCTGAGTTGCATGCATGCCCCCACTGTTTGCATCTCTCCAACCTTTCATCAGCTGCTTGCATGGGCCAGATCAGGCTCTCAGTTTTATGTTCTGACAGCATAATCTTCTTTTCATTCAGAGTCCTTATTGTAATTCACAGATGCATGCTTGTGTGGTGATGGATTAGTGTTGATCCCCCCACTGGACCGTCAATTGCAAGAGTGTTGGGAGAGGGTTAGAGATAAGACAGAAATGTCAGCTGAAGTCAGATTGGAAAGAATTGCTGATGTGCCAGACTGAAGCTTGGAGGACTCAGGAATGAATGGTTTTTAGCAAGGAAGTAAGGTAATCAGAACCGTGCTTTAGGAACAGAGTTGAGCCTAACAGCAGTAAGTGAGGCAGCATGGAGAAAGAGCAGGGCCCCTTTAGGGGGCCATTGCTGTAGTCTGAATAAGAGGCATGAGAGGTTGCACAAGGGTGATGGGAAAGAGAAGGGGAAGAGAGATTCTGAAGATTAGGCCAAGTCAACAACTTGCTTAAATGTGGAAACTGTGGGATAAGCAGGGTCCAAAAAGATTCCAAGTTTTCTAATCAGGGTGTCTGAGAGCTTAAGTGACTTACTGATTCAAAGTAAGAGGAAGGAGGCCCTTTGAAGAGAGGATGGAATCAGTTCTGTAAGCATTCAGCTGGAGGTATGAAGGGACACAGTGGAGAGGCCTGCTGAATGCTGGATATATGGGAAGGGAGGGCAGAAGAAGGGTCCTGGCTGGTAAAGAAGATGTGGGTACCATGTGCATTGATATGATACTCATTAAGGGGATGAGGGGAAGGAAGAGAGGGCAAGACAAAAAGGAGGAAAAGAAGCTGGAAAGTAAGAAGGGCATACAGATTTATAATCCTTTGGGTATATAGCCAGTAATGGGATGGCTGGGTCAAATGGTATTTATTGCGGCACTATTCACAATAGCAAAGACTTGGAAGCAACCCAAATGTCCAACAATGATAGACTGGATTAAGAAAATGTGGCACATATACACCATGGAATACTATGCAGCCATAAAAAATGATGAGTTCATGTCGTTTGTAGGGACATGGATGAAGCTGGAAGCCATCATTCTCAGCAAACTATCGCAAGGACAAAAAACCAAACACCGCATGTTCTCACTCATAGGTGGGAATTGAACAATGAGAACACATAGATACAGGAAGGGGAACATCACACACCGGGGACTGTTGTGGAGTCGGGGGAGGGGGGAGGGATAGCATTAGGAGATATACCTAATGCTAAATGACGAGTTAATGGGTGCAGCACACCAACATGGCACATGTATACATATGTAACAAACCTGCACGTTGTGCACATGTACCCTAAAACTTAAAGTATAATAATAATAAAAAATAATAATAAAATAAAATAAAAAAAAAGAAGAGCACACAGAGAGAATAGAATTGGGGAAGCCAGGGAGGCAGGGTTTCAAGCAGAAATCCATGATTGTCCTGTGAAGAGCTCAGCCAAGAGCTGGAAGAGGATGAAGCCTGAGCAAAGCCGACCAAGGTCACCAGCTATGGGAAAACTGTGGCAGCAGATTTAGGGAGGACGGTTCGGAGGGTAAAAGCCAAATTGCAGGGATTTTATTAAGACTCGAGGTCATCAGAGATGCTACTGCCCTCTGCTGCTGGACTTGATGTAATTAAACAAGGTAAATCACAGTATTTACTGAGTCCTTGCCATGAACCAGATGCTTCATGCTATTTATTTTTCATCAGTCTTATGAAGAAAATACCTCATTTTAGTATTGATTCCTATATAATTTACAGTTAAAATGGAGCTCAGGGAAGTACTATAACTTGCCTGAGGACATACAGTGAGTAAAGTCATGAGACTGGAAGCTCCACAAGGGCAGGAAGCACAAGTTTTGTTCACCATCATCCATGCCTCACTCACAATGCCTGGCACACAGAATGGATTTTTTTAAATAAATGAAGAAATGAATGGAGTCCAGTGTCATAATCAGGTCTGTGACTTCAAAGCCCATAAGCTTTCCAGGCATATGATGCTGCTTCTCATCCACACTTATTCCAATAGAAGACATTGTCCTGGTGCCAATTTCTTCAGAAACAAGATTTAAGATGTTGACTTTGTGAGAAGTGTTGTTTCTAAATTAAAATATGTGATTATATCTTAGCTTTGCCAATTACCCTGTTGATAAATCAATCAAACAATCAAGTCAGTCAAGGCTAAATTCATCTTTAAGGCAGTTTTGCTTTCTAGATCATGTTTATGTCAAAACTCACAAGCAGCTAAGTATGCATAAAATTTAAGAAACATATTTTAGGAATCAATCAATAAAATATGTGATTATATCTTAGCTTTGCCAATTACCCTGTTGATAAATCAATCAAACAATCAAGTCAGTCAAGGCTAAATTCATCTTTAAGGCAGTTTTACTTTCTAGATCATGTTTATGTCAAAACTCACAAGCAGCTAAGTATGCATAAAATTTAAGAAACATATTTAGGAATCACTCATCCCAAGAGTCAATCATGAGCTAAAT
Organism: Homo sapiens; assembly: GCF_000001405.40. Lineage (NCBI taxonomy): Eukaryota > Metazoa > Chordata > Mammalia > Primates > Hominidae > Homo > Homo sapiens. The sequence continues at coordinate 93,993,967 of NC_000008.11, read as the reverse complement.
TTTTTCAAAGTATAGGAGACAACTTCATATATTTTTCTAGAGAAAATTATTTCCCTAAGGTGACATTCCTTCATATATATTTCAGAAGACAAACTCGTAGGAAATAGTGGTCACACACTTGAAGCGGATTATTGGAATTTGAAAGGAAAAAGACTCAAATTTAACTTCTATAGGAGAGACATTTTTAGTCTTTTTAATGAAAACATTTGGAAGAGGCATTTTCTTAATAAAGCAGACTTAAGCCACACAAATCTATTTATTTCTGTTATGGGAATCTGGCATCATATTGATTTTCAGCTTCTTCTAATTACTCCAAATTAAGCTGTGAGCTGGGAGGCTCGATGGTCCACTAAAAAGCACTGCAAATGGAAGCAAATTTCAGATCCGCCTCTAATTAAACATAAGGCTGAATAATAAACTAGACCTTCCAAATATCATCTGTAAAAAGGAACTAAAAGTGTGTGATTATCTAATTTACAGAATTGTTTTAAAGATGAAAGCAGGCAATATAAATATAAACTTGTTTGGTAAGAAATGTAAAAGCACCTTACAAATGCAAAATATCATCATTGCCTGTTCCCTAAAAGATACATCTCATCCATTCCCATGCAGAAAGAAAAAGTATCTTCAAGCAGTAATAGTTGCTGTTGAGCTTTCTTTGTCTCATTATCTTACTGAAACACAGAATTGAGTGGCTCCTCAAGAATTCCACAGGCAACACTGCCCTTAAGCACCCTGGAAAGAAAATTGTCTTTGGTTATCTTACAAAGCCCTAGAGTTGCAAATGTCTGCCTTCTGAGAGCTTCTAGATGGTCCTGAGGTTGTAAAACTCCCCATGAAGCGTTTGGAATCATTTATCTTCTGTAGATTTGGGCGTTGATTGCCCCAGTTGTATCTTTCCCAAAGTAAAATTCAAGGTAAACATGGCCAAAATTAGCTTCAGGCATAACTTTCAGACCAGGAAGACCCCTGATTCTTGGCATTTGGTCTGTGGCTCTTTTCAGGATGGATTTCAATGGCAGTGTTCTCCTTCTTGGTTCCACCCTGGGCTAAGAAGATGGTGAGAAACAGGCCTGCCTCCCAGAGAGTTGGTTGCCTTCTTCCTGGTTCCAGCACTGAGGCTGCCATCTCTCCTATTGCTAGGAGCCAATCTCCAACCTTGGGCTGAAGTGGATAATTAGCTCTTATCAGGGCCTCTCAATCAGGACACCCCTGGAATGGTTCTGAGTGCAAACTTAGATGTTTAGAGGGTCCGCAGGCAAGGACAGGCAGGGCACAAACAGCCACTACAAAGTCCTTGGAAAAGCCCACGGTGTTAAGTCCCAGATTCGCATCTGAGGATTTCCTGGAGAAAGGGAACAGAGGGCAGGGGCAATGTTTTCCAACACAAATAAATAGAATAAACCATCTATTTATTCGGTGATTCTCATGTGCCAGGAACTTACATGCTTTATCTCATTACCCTTCATAACAGTTAACCCTACTAAGTAAATATTATAGTACCTCTTTTACAGATGAACAAATGGAGGCATAGAATCTCATTTATATAAAATATTTTATTGAGCACCTGTTATTTTTCAGACATTGAGAACTGAGTGATGGGTGTGGCACAGTCATTGTTGTTGAAGAACTTCTGGCCAAGAGGAGGTCAAATAATTTGCCCAATACACTGTCACTGATAGGAATTAAGGGCCAGAATTTAAATATAGGTCTGTTTGGCTTGAAGACTTGGCCTTTATTCATTTATTTGTCATTTATTCAGCCATCATTAAAGTATTGAGCACCTACTATGTGCTGGGCACTTTGCCAAGGGCTGAGGTTAATAAGATGAATCGGGTACAGTTGGTTCCTGCCCTCATGGAACTTAACCCCTCTGTGCTGCCACGTGGACCCCTCGCCAGGGAGGCGCAGCTATCCTTCCTCTGCCGGGGAGCTATAGCCCTACTGCCAATTTTAGGCTGATTCTCTAAGGCCCTAGTTCATTCCTACTGTTACCACAGTGGGACATTTCTAGCTTATTTTTCTTTCCATTTAAAGACAAGAACATTTGCTTTGTTAGAGAAAACGCCGATTCTGGAGAGAAGAGATCACTTATAGACGGGATGAATATAACTGAATAAAATAAAGAAAATAAAAGGGACGGATTTCCTGTGTCTTCCCAAGCAGGCCCCGCCTTTTTCTCCATGACGGGCATCCTGCTGGATTGAAGGTAGAAAGCAGGTTGGTTTTGCCCTGGGGCTGCGTCAGAGTCCCCACCGGATCTGCACACATCACCGTGGCGTCAGCTGCCCACGCTTCACCTGCGCTGAGGTCATATTTCTCCGACCACGTTAGCAGGATCGTGTGTGGCGCCCGTGCACATCTGACGAGCATGTAACTGACGGCGTTGACTCCTGCCCCCGCCGCGGGGAGCCGGGAGCTCTGTGCAGACGCCCAGTCCCTGCTGAAATCAAAGGGGTTAGCAGCCTCCCAGCTCCCTCTGTTGACGACTTCAGCCAACTGTCATCTCTTCTCCAAGAGCCCTCTTCTGCTGCCCTGAGCCTCAGATTCTTTTTTGTTCCACTTTCCTTTAGCTTTTTGACTTCAGGATTAATTTGGGGACTAAATTATGTCTGACTAACCCTTGCATTACAGGCAATGTAATTTCGTTTTTGTCCTTAGTATTCAGAAAGGAAACTGTTGACGCCATTATTTCCTGTTCTATCAAAGAGGTGGGCTGATGTTTGTGTGTCTCACGTTCCTGTTAGGAAAGCTATAGTCTGTATCATGCCTATTACTTTCGTCACCTCTCTGGCTCCTTCTTGTAGGGTCTGTTGCTGTCCTTCCTCCTGGCTTTACCCACCTTCCTGGTGTCCCAAAAAAGCCCATTCATCTCCCATCCTCAGTGAGGGCTGGCTATCCCCTTGTTTTCTGGGGTTTGCCTGGGCATGTCTCACCACAGCACTAAAGTGATCACTTCGCTGTTTACTTGGCCCTTTTCTGTAATTCTCCCAGAGCAATGTCCTGCCTTTTGCTCCGCATGTCACATCTCAAGCCAGTCAAGTGTTTTGCTGCATGGATGAATGGATCTCTATACACCTCACCCACTGCTACTCCACAACAGCTACCAATGATAAAGATGGGATTTGTCTTGAATTGCTTTCAGGTCAAAGTTAGCCTTGATAGTCTAGGTTGCCAGATTTAAGTTTAACAACATAAGGGGAAATTCTTAGCCCACTGCCTGACACATAATGAAATTTAATAAACATCCATTTCCTTCCTTCCTTGGAAGAAGTCATTCAGCCTGAATTATCTTAGAAGGAGTCCATTCTTAGATATGAATAAGCCTGTACCCAAGATTAGAGGAATCAGAGCTCCGCTCATAAACATTTCCATCTTTCCAAAGAACAGCTCTAAAATCCAATATGGCAGAATTTGTGAGCTAATAGAAACCTGGAACTAAACAGCCCTTGGAAATCATCTCTATTGACTCTTAGGCAACTTGGCAGGCTTTAAATAGATGGAAAAAATTAAAATATGCAGATATCACAGCAGCTGCCGAAGATTACCTCTTGGCTTTTTCTTGAGCACAGTCTCCAGTAAGCGGACTATAAGCGGACTACAGTCATTGTGCTACTCCTCCCAAGGAACAGTTCACCTTCCCTGGGCTCATCTGCTTTGATACATTTGTTGCTTTGAAAACATAGCTGGCTGGGCACAGTGGCTTATGCCTGTAATCCCAGCACTTTGGGAGGCCAAGGTGGGCAGACTGCTTGAGCTCAGGAGTTTAAGACCAGCCTGAACAACACAGCAAAACCACATCTCCACCAAAAGTACAAAAAATGAGCCAGACACAGTGGTGCGTGTCTGTGATCTCAGCTACTTGGGAGGCTGAGGTGGGAGGATTGCTTGAGCCTGGGAGGTGCAGGCTGCAGTGAGCCAAGATTGCACCACTGCACTCCAGCCTGAGTGACAGAGTGAGACCCCATCTCAATTAAAAAAAAAATAGCCGCTGACTTATGGTGGTCCTTAAGGAGATACTGCAGGCCCCTTGTGAGATCCCATAAGTTTAAGCTCGGATGACTTCCTTCAGAAGTGACAGCACATCTAAACACAGGTCTGCCTGGAAGGAGATGGTTTGGCCTAGGAAAAAGAGCACAGGCTTTGATGTCAGGTGCACCTGGATTTGAATTCTGAGGCACTTTCTGACTGTGGGGCCCAGTGCCAGGGAAGTCAGTAACTTCTCTGACCCTTGCTTTGCTCATCTGCAAATGGGCAAAATTAATGAGAAAAATGGGAAAATTATGAAAAATGAGAAAATTAATACCTATCGCTGGAGATTGCTGGGAAAGTTAGACAACTTTAGGTCAGGCACATAGTAAGCACCAGACTAAGTTCCTTGTTGCACATTTGAACATCACTGGATCAAACAGGCTCAAAAGACGTTCTTGACATATCATGCCATTGAGAATAGGAAAGGATTCAGGAGAAGGCTTTGCTAACCACACTTACACTATAATTTTTTTAGGATAGTCCATATCTACTGGTAAAAATAGGTTTCCTAATAAATATAATAAAGAAGGCGAAATAATAGCACTTTTTCTGTTGTCTTAATTGATTGAATTCCATTTCTGCTATGTAACAAGATATGCCCGGTGTTGGTCTGTACTATATCCATACAATATTTTCTCTTTTAATTTGCTGTCACTTTTTGAGCACCTATCATATATTTCATTAGGTGCTTTACATAGACTTTTCTCATTTAAGACTCCCAATAATCCTATGGAGGGAGTGTTATTATTCCAATGTTACAGATGAAGCTCAGTGAAATTCAGTGATTTTCCTAAGGCTGCACATGTTTGCCTGACTCTAAGTCCCCTCCTGATTTTAGAGGGTGTGTGTATGTGTAGACCACTGAAACATGGCCTTTTTATGTGCATGACACTGGCTTATATTTATCAGAAATGCACTGTGAGTTCTTTCTCCCATGAGGATGGTACTGGTACTCAAGAGATATTTGTTGGATAAATGAATCTTCTCCTTCTCATCAGACCTTACTTGTAATCAGTCATGTCTTTGTGTTAGTAGCCAGAAACATCCATGGCATGGAATTTCCTCCCTCTGAACAAAGATCTTACTTTTGTTTTTGCTAAGCTAACTATGTCAGATGAAGGTCTGGACATCCACTTGACATTCAAAAAGTATCAGCTATATTCTTTTCTTATTTACAAGCCTTGTCTACCACCCCAGCCTCCATGCTCACTACTTCTCTACATTCTGGTCACACTAGGCTGCTTCTAGGTCTTGAAGGCACCATGTTCCTCCAGCCTTGGGGGTCTTCCCAGGCTGCTCCATCTGCCTGGAATATTAACCCTTTCCTGAAGAGTCAAATTCTGCCCAGTCTTCAATACTTAACTTAAATAGAACTTCCTCCAGAAAACCTCCCTGACTCTGTTCCAGTTATCAATTGCTGGGTAACACACCTCTTCAAAATGTAATGGCTTCAAATAACCACCACTCATTTGCTCATGAATCTGCAGTGTAGTTGGGTTTGATTGGGGACAGCTAATTTCTGCTCCATGTGGCACTGGACCAGCTTAACTGAAAGTGGAGGGTCCAAAGTGGCTTCACACACATGTTTGGTACCTCGGCTGGGATGGCAGACTGGGTCCCATTCTCTTTCTATGAGATTTCTCCAGCTGGACCTCTTTATATGGGTTTGGCTTCCAAGGGGAGAAAACAGAAGCTACAAGGCATCTTAATGACTATGCTTGGAAGTCACAGGGTATATTTTCTGTCACATTCTATTGATCAAAGCAAATCACAGGGCCAGTTCAGGTTCAAGGGGAGGGGAAATAGACCCATCTCTTGGAGTGGCAGGTGCTTAGAGGGTTGGGAGAAAAGGCTGGTGGCCTTCTCTGCAGCAATCTTTCACATGCTCCTAGACTAGGCTAGTTCTATCACATAGAGAACTGTTCCCTTCTCTGTAAAACTAAGTGCACTTGTAAATACTTATTCAATGTCTATCTACATTCTCCTATCGCCTCCCACATCAGCCTGAAAAATCGATTAGAACAGGAATCCTGTTTATGTTAATTGCTGATTAGAACTGTGGGATGAATGAATGAATGAGTAGGTGAACATGCATGCTATAGTCCAGGCATACGGTGCAGCTACCACTCATGTAATGTATGTAGTTTTCCTTTGTTGGTAATCATAAGCTTGATACTTAAAGTCATGTGGCACTTCCTCTCCTCTGGAAATATTGACCAGTATCTAATGAGGATTAAAGTTTGATGATTTGTAAGGGCACAGAAAAGCTTACAGTCCTTAAGAGTGCTTGGAAAATTCTTACTTCTCTAGGAGGAAAAGACAATGATTATGTTATCAGCAATTTGTCTTAAAGTTATTGCAACATGCCTTCTTTTTTGGTGCCTGGAAGTCATTACTGCAATATTAGAATAACTGGCCTTGCTGATGTTTGACTATAAGTGGTTGTTCTGAAAACACATTGGAAAATCCCTGCCCCAGTCCCCGTCTATCTTTTGTGTGTGTGTGTGTTTTTAATGTTAACAAAAACCAGAAGGGGAGTTTAAGAGAAAAGCAAAACCAAACATGGTTATGCAGCATTCATGGGAGTTTGTTTCAGAAGCTCACATTTCAAATGCTGAATTAATTGCAGGCTTATAAAAGTAAGAGTGAAAAAGAAAATTTTCAGAACCAGGAAATAAAAAAAGAGCAAGTCTGGGAAATCAACCAATGTGCTTTTCTTTTGAATTTTTTTTTCCATGAAAACAGAACAGGATGTGAGGCACAGGGAAATTGGGACTTTTTTTAGCCAGAGCAGGGTTTGAAAAACCTGGTTTTGACCTATGAGTCGTCTGATGCACAGATGCCAACCCTGGAGCCCTTCTGGTTGCTGCCCATCTCCTCGGCCTTCATCTGCATGACCAGCTGAGCTGAGCCAAGGCCTGTGACAAGCAGGAACTGGATTATCAGCCACCCTTGCATTGTGTCTCATATGTTCCTCTCTATATTAATCATGCTTAGGTGCCAGGAGTATTTGCTAGCATTCCTAAGATGAAATGAGTTCCTGTTGGCAATAAGTAATTGTTCATTTAAAAGACAACTTAAAATGTTTAAAATATGTGTGTGTGTGTTTGGGAGGAGTATATATATGTGTGTGTATACATATGTAAAACTTCATCAGCAGATTAAAAAGAGAGTCTTAAATTAGAAGAATTCAGGCAAGCATGGCCTCTTATCCTCGTAGAGCAAACACTCCACATCTCAAAGCTGAGAATGACATGTTTTTCATTTGGATTTCTAGGCCTAAGTTCAGCATTTATTTCTTTATAAATACATATAAACAAAGTCTCCAGGCAACCATCATGAAATAAAAGCAACTAGTTCTGAAAAGCAGAATAATGGCTTTCATTTTAGTCTTCTTTTTTGCTACTTGGGAAATCTCTCCCACTCTACACCACTCCCACCAATCGCCCATACACATTCCCCAGTAAAAACAATAGTAGTTTATGGGTTTTTTCACCACCAAAGAGGGAAAAATGTCTTGAGCCTCAACATATTAAATATCAGAGTTAAATGGGTTCACAAAATTCCATTGGTTAGTACCCTAAGTTGGCTGATCTTAGCTAAAACAAACATCAAAGAATGCGGGAGTGCTCACTGGCTTCTAGGATCATCTGCCTCATGCAGGTTGCTTTTCTTGCTGTATGGCTGCCTAGCAACCTGCCACCAGCCAGTCTCACTCCTTCCTGCTCATTTCCTTACACTGGTCCCCAAAGGCTTTCCTACTTGTTTGTCCTACAGTAGCAGGATCTAAACACCCAATGCCCGCAAGAGTGGCTTGGAAGTTGTTTGGGATAAGATCGTGGCAGTCCTTGAATGCCAAGCCCTGGAGTCTCCCACTAATTTGAGAGATAATGGAGAGCCACTGTCACTTGGAAGCAGCAGACCAATGTGATCAGAGCTGGCCCCTGTTTAGGAGGCTGTGAGGTAACAGACCACAGTGACAGCCACAGGGATGAAACAGGATGCAGAAAAAGAGCTGCATGCCTGTGGTAGAAGACACGTTGGCTGTGGGAGCCCTGGAGATACCAAAGGCGCTGCCATGCTTCAGGTCTGGGGTGGGGCCATCTGCAGATGCAGTGAGTCAGGAAGCTACACGGAGAGAACTGTAAGAACCACACTGCACTTAATGAGTCTGAAGGGTCAAAGGAACAGAGAGGCTGAGGTGCCCACATTCTCCCCAAAGCTTCCTCTAGGAGGAAAATCACCACAGAGACTATTCGAGGAGCTATGTGACTGTGTGGCTTCCTTCAAATCACAAAAGTGCTGTGAGGGAGTGGACAGGTTGGGACAACTTGTAGTGATTTCCCCAAAGCCTCACTATGCCACTACCGGCCCACAGGGCTGTCCCATGATGCAGGCTGAGCCACGTGTAGTACCTCCTCCCACTGGCCTGTGATTGGCCTAAACTGGGCAAGAGTCTGTGGCTAAGGAATCAGAGTCATTTCTTGGAAATGTCTACAGAGGTCTCCATCTGGAAAGATTTGAGCCTAGAACATGTTCCTCACCAGTGAATGCAGCCCATCTTCAAAAGGAGAGAATAAAACCCTTTTATTATTACCACTTTTATTGCTATTTATTATGAAAATTACCTTTCCAGAGGTAAGCAAAGACAAGAACTTTACCTGGTAGGGATCCAGTCCCTGAGTCCAGCCAACTCTGAGGCTAGGCTTTTTCTTGGCTGGGTCACATGAGCTAATAGATTCCCTTTTTATGGATTAAACAAGTTCAAGTTGGGTTTTAGTCACTTGTAACTTAAGAAACCCTGCATAATATTGCACTGCCATCTTGATTATACAGACAAGGGAACTGAGGCTCAGAGGTCAACTAAATCATCATAGAAACGTATATTAAGGCACAAGGTTTTGAAGCTGGATTTGTCTGGACTCCAAAGCCAGAGTTCTTTTCTTATACCATTTTGCCTCCCAATTGATCCCACAATTGCTGTTCTCAAGAGAAGGGGTAAATAAACAGACATGTTTGGATCTCTTCATGTTGTCCATAATCCCCTAGTGAAGCCATCTGTGACACTGTTTAATGCCCAGTGCCACGGAAAACAGGAGATTTGTTCATTTTGCAGATGTTTTCCATTCTCTCCAGATAGTAACTCTTCTCCCTGCTCCAGCTTTACAAGCAAAAACCTACTTCCAGCTTGGGAAGAAATACAAGACAGGTATTTGCCACCTACCACTTAAAGGGAGTGGTAGAGAACGCTGTGCTTTGATGCACAAATCCTCATTAAGGACCAAGGGTAGAGAAGGGGAAAGGTGCACTGAATGGGGCAAGCATCCACCCTCCAGCTCTCTAAGAAACAGGAGCTGACTCAGAAGTTGGGGAGAGCATGGTTGGAGATGTGGCCATTGCATAAGCTCACAAAAACTTCTCCAGCTACCGTCAACTTCTGAGTCTGTTTCTTCCAGGCTGCAGATTCACAGCAGACCCATATTGCTTGGCACAGCACAAATCAAGGGCCAACTCCAAAATTAACTTCTCATGGTGAGGACTGGGGTCATATAGATCAGTTAGGACCACGGGAGCGAGCCAGAAGAGGGAGGGTGGAGGTGAGTCTACCAGTCACCCCAGGAGATGTCAAGCATGATGGTGGGCCCTAAAAGCAGTGAAGAGGTCCATTACCTACTCTGTAGGCAGGACCACAGGAGATCAGGGAACCGAGTGATCATGGCAGATGCCACTTGTTTGTGAGCAAATAGGAGACACAGCCTGGGGACCCAGGAGGACATGGTAAACATGAGTACAGTAGTAACAAAGATCAGTTACTCAGTCTGCATGGGCACGGTCCTATCTGAGGCTCTTTACCTGCACTCACTATTTAATCCTCACCATCAGCTTATACAATAGACATCATTACATTGCCCAGATGAATAATCAAGCGCAGGGAGATTGAGCAACTTACCCAAGGTTCCACACAGGGGAGAGCTGGGTCTCAGCTTTGAACCCACAGTCTATGACCCAGATGTCCTGTGCTTACCAGTATTTTACTCAGCAGGTGGGGTAATGAAATGTGGGTTATTGTTCTTATGGTGGCCCCATTTGCAGCCACAGGTTATAGTCAGGCCTGATGGGAACATTTGGTTTGTATTTTGTTGCTGTTGTTTCAGATCAGCCTTATTCACCACTTGACAAAACACGTCCAAGGATTAGTTTCAACAGAATGACTTAGAAAGCCTTAACTCTTCAGGCTCCACGTATGTCCTTACATAAGAACCTGTCCACTCTCTTGTAGCTGTAACATTCTTTCCCTATTACAACCCCATCCTGATAATACCCATACCTGATAATCCCATAACATGCAATCAAATAATCCGTTCCATGTACAGATGCTCAGCTGCGACACTCGGCATGGGGCTTGTCTGAGGGGCACTGGAGTCTGGACATGTGTGTTCACATTACCACCTCGTCCTTTCTAGAGGATGGCATGGTGTACACCTGCTGGGGGTTCTTGGTTATTTGGAAGTTGCTGCTTTTGTTGCTCTGCGTTCTTCCTCTGACATTCTTCCTGTCAGTCCAGATGGCATTGACTTTTGAGCCGGACCTTAGGCCATGCTCATATACGTCTGCCAGGGGCATTTCTAAGCCAACAGATATGGATTTTTATACATTTACCCAGAATGGGGAATGGAGCTGGGGTGAAGGAACAGCGTGTACAAGCGGGTTTTTAAAACAGATCAGCCACTAGAGGGAGCGATAGAGGACGGTCTTCAGGGAATGCAGCAATTCACTGTGGGAACCATCCCACCTGAGTCAGTGAATAATGTCTTTATCCGAGAAGGAATATGGTCTGGGCTACATTTCTGTCATGAAGAAGATTTGCCATCTCCTTCCTGCATGTTTGGCTAATTACATTTTCTCAGCTCCCCTTAATTATACAGACCAGATGCTTTATGACTAGAAATAGCATCAAAGACAAATAGTCTGTGACGAAGAGTCATAAATTGGAAGAAAACAACAAATTAAGTAGTCTAGTCATTGTCACACTTCAGTCACTGCAGTCCATCTTCTCTATTCAATTAGTTTTGCATTCAATGAGTGCAGCGGTAAGCATCTCTGAAAATTGGAGCAAAAGTATTTTGGTTGTTTTCATGCTTTCCTTTTTTGTTTTTTCTTTTGTTTCTTTTTTCCTTTCTTTTTGGAATAAGCAGCAAAAAAAAAAAACAGCATTTCAAATCGTTTAATGTAAAAATTCATCAGCTGAAGAGTGCAGTACAGAAAAATCCCTTGGCAGTGCTCATTTTTTAAATTAGTTTTTAATTATTCAAAGAATACATGAATATATTCTCCTCATTTAAAAAAAAAGAAATTACAGATATGTTCCAGTCCCCCACTCCCAGTCCCCCTAACTCAGAAGTTGAAGAGAGCATGGTTGGAGACATGGCCATTGCATAAGCTCACAAAAACTTCTCCCTAAGAGCACTCCTCCCTCTCCCAGAAATAATCATGATTTCTTCCTCGTGTGTTTTCTCCCAGACATTACTCTAATTATTTATTTAGATTTCCCTTAATCCCTTTGAATAGCCAGGCTTATGTCAGGCCTTATAAGATACTAGAAAGAGCACCAGACGTGGAATTGGTAAGCCTGCTTTTGAGTCCTAACTCTGCTCCCTGTTATGTGGCTGACTTTAGGCAAGCCATGTAAGAGCTCTACAAAAGGGGTTAGCAAAACCTCCATTTGTTCAGACATTGGTTCATTCATTTATTCTACAAATATTTATTAAATTCCTCCAAAGGACTAAGCACCTGGGCAAAGCCCTGGCCTAAGGAGGCTTGCAAAGAAGTGAAGAGATCATTGTGGGCATGTACGATAAGGGGCATGTCATGGAAGTCCCAGGACGTGGAAGTCCTCCTTTGGGAAAGGCTTCCAGGAGGACGTTATGGCTAAGCTGCAATCTGAGGAATAGGAAGGAATTAGGCAAAGAGGAATTGGGGTGTAGGTCAATGTGTGAGTGCAGGAGGTGGGTAGAGAAAATGTTATGTTCAAAGGTTCACTGGCAAAAGAGAATAAGTATACTTCAGGCATTTTTTTTTTAAGTCAAAGAGCTAAAATATGATTGAAGCAGAGAATTTGAAGGGGGCATAACTAGAGAGGAGGTGGGAGAGCTTGGCATGGACCATCATAACCACGTAAGGAGTAGGGGCTGGAGCCAGCAGATAGCAGAGAGCCATTAACTTTAACCAGGTTCGTGCATGTTCAGATTTGCCCCGTAAATGGTAAGTGCTAATGATATTAGCTATGATTAATACATTACATTCCTTTAGGCAATACAACCAGTGTTGTCATTAATAGCGGTCACTATCTAAGAAGCAATTTCCAAGGGAAAAAGAAGAAAGAAGAGGCTGGCTGGGGTGGGTGGTGTGACCGTGGCCAATGGTCCTTTGCAATCAACATTCTTTCACCCCAAACCCTCCATCCCAGTTGTATCTTTGTAGTCCTACTGTAACTTTCATCTTTTTTCTTCCCTAAACCAGAGATCTGAGAAACGAGTAAAATAAAAAAGACAGGGAAATTTCAGGAACACAGAATCCAGGGACCCGGGAGCTGCAGGTCATCGGTGGGCCTGTCCTGTTGCCTATTGTGTGAACTCATGCTACTCAGCTGAGCCCCTGGCCGTCGCATGAGTGGGAGCATCTAGCTAGGGAAGCTAGGCTCCGTCAGGCTCACACCATGGGGTGCCCGGAGCTGTGCTGCTCTCGCTGGGTATGTTTCAGCCCAGGCACAGGCAATTGGAGGGGGAGCAAATGGCCCGCAAATTAGGCTGTGTGCTGTTGACCAGGCCACTCCTCATTTTTCCTCATTACCCTCCCCAGGTCTTGTCTCCATTGTTAAACCAAGTCAGGGACAAGGGGGTCAGTGAAAAAGATGCTGGGTATGATCATCTTTTCCAGCTCAAACATTCAGTGATTCTTGCATTTTGGTGAATCTGGCCAAAACCAGCTCCATAGGAGCCAAGGTCTCTTTGCTTACCTTGGGGAAAAACGCTCCACTTGCAGGGGTTTGGAGAGTTCAGTGCCCCAGACCTGGCCAGGCATCTGCCTGGGGATACAGCCACAGAGGCCACCAGCAGAAAACCAGAAGGAAAGCATCATGGGACCCTTCTTATTAAAACCAAACCAGACTTGCTGTGCTAGGAAAGGGAAGACACAAATGAATCCCATGAGGACAGCTGGCTTTGAGTTCCTAAAGTGTCTTGAAGTCACCATGGCTTTCCGTCGCAAAACCAAGGACCAGGGTGGAAGCTGGGGAGAAGTAGATTTCTTTGGATTCAAAAATCTTAGCCGTAAATATCTAGTGTCAAACCTAGAGGATTCAGAGCCTGGAGCAGAGGTGGGCAAACTTTTTCTGTAAAGGGCCAAATAGTAAATATTTTAGGCTTTGCAGACCCTGTAGTCCTTATCTCAATTACTCAATTCTGTAGCAGGCAGCTCACAGACAGTAAGTAAACAAATGGGTGTGACTGTTCCAATAGAACTTCATTTACAAAAACAGGCTGTAGCCAGATTTGGCACACAAATCATAGTTTTCCAACCCTGCCTAGAGTGATTTCGAGAAACCAGAGAGCAAGGAAGAATACAATCCTTTTGTGGGCTGAGAAAAAAAAATCTTGGATGAAACTGGAAAATGAAAGCAAGAAAGTTTAAATGCTAGTGTGGCAATTACCCTTTGCCTTCACCTCAGTGTTGAAACTGAGTGGAAGATAAAGATGGTAATAAAATCCTGGATATGCTTCGAGATTTATGCTTGGAATAGAGGGTCTTTGTGCCCAGTGCATGCTGCCTGCAACTGTAGGAGGAGACAGATGCAAAACACACCTCACATCCACACAGGATGGCCAGGGGAGGTCAGAAAAGGCAGTGTGGTGAGTTTAGCAAAGGAGGATCTGAGCCAGCCCTGCCACAGCTCCAGGCCTTCCTTGGCTCCCATAGGGCAGAGGAAACCTGGACTTTCCACACACCCAAGTAGAGGTATGGAAGGTGGCTCTGGAGAGCGCAGGGTTGGCCAAGAGGATGGTGAAGGACAAGGTACGCAGACCCCATAGCTGAGCCAGGTGGTGGACAGCACAGTGGGAAATCACTGTGGCTGGAGCCAAGTGGATGCATGGTCAGTAGAGAAGCCCAGCTCCCACAGCAATGGCCAAGACTGTCCTCACGAAGAGAAAGGATATGTGGCATCCATTGTGGGTGCCTGGGGACAAGAGCCCATGAAGAACCAATGCCTTTTCCCTGACACCACAGATAATGATGTTTGGTGATGCCCAAACCCCTTGGAGCTTAGATGACTGCTGGGCAGGAGAGGAAAAGAAGAATGCAGAGATTGCCTGAGTATTGGACCCAAAGACACATACAGTCTAAACCAGAATTGATAGAATGACCTTGAACTAGCAAGATTAGCTTTTCTACCACAGGCTAGAAAGGGAGTCTCTGAGAGCTACGCTGGGTTCAAGCACAAAAAAATAAAGTTATATCTAGGAGCTCCAAACTTTCTGTCTGTGAATTTGAACACAAGTATGTAGGAAAAGAAGGGGGCAATCAAAGGAAGACTATGAAAAGGTGGGCTGACTCCTTAGATGGACAATGTCTGAACCTCAGAGATACATACTCAAGTCTGTTCTGGGCTTCAGGTTACACTGTCACCCCAAACCCATCATTGAGGCTCAACAGAGTTTGAAAACAGCACGGTTTTTGAGGGGGAGGATTGCAAAGCCTCAGAGACTAAGGCATAGGGTCTTTCCTAAGCCCAGAGGGGTGGCTGCCCTACAGATGTGTCATCACTTCAAAACAAGCAGGGACACCTCTGGGGTGGAGGTGAGGGAGTCCTGAGCACGTGTGGCCTAGGGTTTCAAACAAATTTCCTTCCACAGCTTCATATCATTCACAAGGTGAAGAATCATCCAGCAACTGACACAGTGCTTGCATGGAGTAGTATGAATTAATGCATGCCATTACCAGCTCCTCCTGGTTCAGTTACATGCTCATGTCATCATTGTCCCATAGCAATTTGAACATGCTGCATGATAATTATTTCTTGAGCCGCTTGTCTCCCCTGATGAATGCAAGAGCAAAAGCAAGGACTGTGCTTTCTGTTCTCATGGCTCCAAGTTTATGTAAATAGATAAAATGTAAAATAAATTTCAAAATCATCAATCCCCACTTCCTGAAAGAGCAGCAGGAGCACAGGGAGATGAAGGGGCTGCTCGTCTTCTGCCTGCCATGTCACGCTGCCTTTTCCTAGCACTGTCAAAAGCCTGTTTTAAATGCCTAGGCCATAATCTAAAACACTGAAGGCATCTTCAATGGAGTATTTGAAGTAGGTGGAATATTTACTGCATTTTACTCTTTTTGAGAGAGACAGAGGGTCTCACTCTGCTGCCCAGGCTAGAATGCAATGGTGTAATCATGGCTCACTGCAGCCTTGACCTCCCAGGCTCAGGTGATCCTCCCACCTCATCTTCCCAAGTAGCTGGGACTACAGGTATGTCCCACCACGCTTGGCCAATTTATTTACTTATTTATTTGTAGGGACAGTGTTTCCCCATGTTGCCCAGGCTGGGCTTGAACTTCTGGGCTCAAACCATCCTCCTGCCTCAGCCTCCCAATGTGCTGGGATTACAGGCATGAGCCATTACACCCGGCCTTTCTATTTCATTTTATTTCCCCATGGGGACTTTCAAAATTTGGGCCGGTGATTAACACTGGACTTAACACAGGAAATGCACAACTGACATGAACTGGATGGGGATAAATAACCTGCCTCATCACTGTGAAAAGGAAGTGACTCTTTTCTGCTCAGAAAGAATATATCAGAAATCCAGGGCAGTTACCACATTGTGATAAGATGCCTATGTGAAATCAAATAAGGAACACACAAAAGGAAGAAGCAGCAGTATAAAAGGCACAGAAAAAGACAAAACTCAACCTCACCCAAAAGTCATGATGGGTTTTGTTGAGACCATTGACCTGTTTCTACAATCTGAGAATCATTTCCCCTAATTACAGGAGTTATAAAACTGGATGATATATCAATGGTCTGCCTGCATTCATTTTCTATTGCTGCTGTTACAAAGTACTACAAACTTTGTGGTTTAAAACAAGACAAATTTATCTTACAGTCCTAGATGTCAGATATCCTAAAATCAAGGTGTCAGCAGGGTTGCATTCCTTCTGGAGTTCCAAGGGAGAATCCGTGTCTTCACCTTTTCCAGCTTCTAGAGGCCACCTGCAATCCTTGCCTCGGAGTCCCTCCCATCACCCCAGCCTCTGCTTGTCATCACACCTTCCTCTCTGACTCTGACACCTTGCCTCCCTCTCCTAAGGACCCTCCTGTTGCCTCCCTCTCCTAAGAACCTTCATGTTTACATTGGGACCACCTGAATAATGTAGAATATGCTCCTCATTTCAACATGATTAACTTTTTTTGATTCTTTTTCATTTATTTATTTTTTTCTCATTCTGTCACCCAGGCTGGAATGCAGGGGCATGATCACAGCTCACTGCAGCCTCAACTTCCCAGGCTCAAATGATCCTTCCACTTTAGCCTCCTGAGTAGCTGGGACCACAGGGATGCACTGCCACACCTGGCTAATTTCTCCGGTTTTTTGTTTTTTTGTTTTTTTTGTAGGGATGGGTTTTTGCCATGTTGTGCCAGCTGGTCTTGAACTCCTGGGCTCAAGCCAGCCTCCCACCAACATCATTAACTTAATCAGAGCAGCAAGTGTCACATATGGTAACACAGTCACAACTCCCAGGATTAAGATGTGGACAGTGGACATCTTTGGGGGGCCATTATTCAGCCTGACCCTGACTCAAGGTCTGGACCAACAAGAAAAATGGGCAGCCAGCACTTTTTTCCTCCTTTCCTCTCCTTTCATCCCATTTTCTACATTCAGTCAGAGATTGTCAGAACACAATTAAAAAAGAAGCAAGATTGGGGCTGGGGACTGACAGAGGTGCATTGCATGCCAGGAAATGTGCTTTCTAAAATCAAGGGCTGTGGATAGGGCCAGTGACCAGAAGAACCCTGGTAGAAGTGCATTCTGGGAGTTGCAGATTGTCATGCCCTAGCTCTGTTACAGTATCTGAAAGCCAAGTAGTGGAGACAGGGACACAACCTGCCTTAGCACAAGAGAAGTGCTCCAGACAAATGACCGCCAGACAGGGTACTGTGCACATACCCTGCCATCCATCTAAGGAGCTGAAAAGGGGCTTTGGTTTCTCCTTCTGGCTTGGCCTCTTTCAGCCTCAGAGTGCATATATACAGTCCAGAGAGATCTTTTCATATCTGAACTGCAACCCAGAGCTAAAATTTTCTCCCTTGGCATTCCTAGAGCCAAGGAAAATAGGAAATAGCTATTTCCACCTCTGGCATGGAAAGTAAAGTGATTAGGATCAATCCAGCTTCCTAGGATAACTAAAAAATCTGGATTACCTTTTAAAGCATCAAACATCAAAACACACTAGTGAGAAATTACTGAGCTCTAATCTAAGAGAGGTTAAGAACCTAGAGAGGTAAGCCCAGTGCTCAGAGGTAAGCCCACTGCCTTTATTCTGAGTGTATTTCATTTGTTGATCCAAAGATACAGTTGAAAACTTAATCTGGCAAATTCCCAAACCCAAGAAGACAAAGACAAAATGCAGAGCCCACCAAAAATAGGTACGGTGGTAGGACATCCCCTCTCCAGGTACCCAGAAGGACACAGCCTCAGAACAAAGTGAATTGGAAGAAAAATCCCACAGTGACCTGCAGCCTGGTTTTACCGTGCCTCGGTGGCCAAGGGAAGCTCAAGAATTGAACTTAGATTAAGGAAGGCCTAGGCTAATAGCACCTCTAAGCACCTAGCAGAAACAAATGAAAATGCTCTCAGGATGAACATGTCCTCACCTTAGGCTTCATATCACTACCACAAACAACTTTTCAAACACTACAATGAATGCATAGTGAAAGATAACCAGGTGCACTCAGAAACCAAATGCTATATGCAAAAAAGAGCAGAAAGACCAAACAACAGAAATAGATACACAAAGACCTACCACTAAGATTATCATATGCAAACTATACAACAACTATGCTATGTTTATAGAAATAATACAGAGGCTTAAAAGTTTTAGTAGAGACCTGGAATATATATTTAAAAGTAGCATGATGGAGCTGAAAAAGAACCAAATAGAAATTCTAAAATTTTAAAATGCAATAACCAAAATCAATAGCTTGCTACAAGATGACTTAATAGTACATTATACATGGCTGGAGAGAGAATTGGCAAACTGGAAGATGGGAGAGAAGAAACTATTAGAATGCAACACAGAGAAACAAAGAGATAGAAAATACAAAAGACAGAGTCAGAGACCCTGAGGATCCACGGAGGAGGTCTAACAGGCTTTTTGAAATCCCAGAAGAATCAAGAGGAGAGTGGATGAGGCAGAGGCAACATTTGAAGAGATCATTGGGATATGGCTGGCATCAGGATCCCTAAATAGCCATCAGTTATGTTCTGCAAGCATTCCAGGAGATAGCCAGCTGGTTGGCTCAGAGCATGCAGAGCTCCTCAAGGGGGCGGTGTTGCCTAGCGCCAGACGCCAGTCTCAGCATCTCAGCTCTGACAAAGTCCAAATGCTCTTCACTGATGGAAGAGAAGGCGGTTAGCTAGAGTTAGAGGAAGAAAGTGAATGGTCCAACCTCAAGAACTTGTATGGCGCAGATATCAGGAGGCAGAGAGAGAGGAAGAGACAGAGACCAACAGAGAAAATGAGTAACTCCTAAAAACAGAAATAAGTTCAGTATGCCTGGGGCATAGAGGCAGGTGATGAGATGATAGAGAAGACCCCAAAGGAACAGGTAGAACTGGGACATGAAGAACCTCATGAACCGTAAAGACACTGAGGCCTCATTCTATGGGTTATAGAAGCTATTAAAAGATTTCAAACAGGGAAGGGATCAGATTCACAAGTTAGAAGAAACACTTTGGGTAGAGCATGAAGAGTTCATTGAAGTGAGGAGTGTGTTGACTGGGGCACCATTAAGAGGCCATTAGATGTCATCCAGATCAGAGCTGACAGTGACCTGCTTTACATAATGGCATTTAATAAATGACAATACCTAAAATCAGACAAAAAAACCATCTATTTGCTGCCGAGTGGTCGAATCAACATGTGTGGCTTAACCACATAAAATCTAGATTATGTGGCCACCTCCATCTGTGAAACAGTCACCAAAATCCAGTGAAGAAACACCACCCATCCAGTACCACCAAAGCAGTTCTCTGTCATGTGTGTTCCCTGCCTGCACAAACCTACATGTACGTATCATGGGATAGAGACTCCTGAAGGACTGAAAGGCTGCTCTGGTGAGGCGGCCTCTGTTTAAACCAGCCCCAGGTGAAGAGAACATCCCTTGAGACGAATTTGGAGGCCAGGATTAAAGTCTTTTGGAGGCCAGAGCAAATTAAGGTTTCTATGTAAGAATTAAAAAGTACTTTGATCATGAGACATGGGTAGCTTGTCTCCCTCACTAAGAAGCAGGAGTGTTGCTCGTGGGGCCCACGTGCTTCTACGTGGTGTTTGACTCTGTATAAAGTCTAGTCCCAAAGTTCAAGGTGTCTGAAGAAGCCAAAGTATGAATATGTGAATATTGACTGTGCCAATAAACTCATCATCTCAACCCAGGAAAAAAAAAAAAAAAAAAAAAGACAGTACCTGATGTTGGCAAGGTGCCAAAAACAGCCACTCCCAATCACTGCTGCTGAGATAGTGAGATAGTTAATTGATGCAACTTTTTGGAAAGCAATTTAGGAATACGTAACAAATGTTTAAAGATGGATATACCTTTTGACTCAGTTATTCCATTACTTGGATTTATCTTAAATAAATAATTAAGAATGTGCAGTCCATTTCAATATTAGTTATAAGAAGAAAATATTGGCCGGGTGCAGTGGCTCATGCCTGTAATCCAAGTACTTTGGGAGGCCGAGGTGCGTGGATCACCTGAGGTCAGGAGTTTGAGACCAGCCTGACCAACATGGTGAAACCCCACCTCTACTAAAAATACAAAAATCAGCCGGGCGTGGTGGCACATGCCTGTAATCTCAGCTACTTGGGAGGCTGAGGCAGCAGAATTGCTTGAACCCGGGAGGCAGAGGTTGCAGTGAGCCAAGATTGTGCCATTGCACTCCAACCTGGGCAAGAAGAGCAAAACTCCATCTCAAAAAAAAAGAAGAAAATATTGAAAACACCCTAAAATGTCCAACATTGGGAAACAATCAAATATATGTGCACAAATAATATTTATGGTTATTAAAAATTATATCATAAAAGATTCATTTTCTCCTTTGTGCTTTTATCTCTTAAACTTTTCTATAATTTACAGGGATTACTTCTGGAATTAGGGGAAAAAAATCAACGGAAAATGTTTAGAGTTTATGAAAACATTTACAAAACTTCACAAAATAACACAAGGAATAAGTATCAAAAATAAAAATTATGCAAGGCATATGCTTTGGACACTATGTAACAAAATTAAAAAGTAATATGGTACTGTATGTATAAACTGCTCCAGCCAGGAGGGATGCAAATAATATCACATTTTCAATTAACTAGAACTGGTTTGAGACCCCACATTGCAGACTGGCAGGAGTCATGGACTTCATTCTTGGGGCTTCCCCTTTTCCACTGTGGGTCTCTTGCAGTCATCAAGGAGTTTACCAAAAAGGAAAATCAACAGGCTTTTATCCTCAAGCAGAGAACAATCTGGATTTATTCAGTTGCTGCTGCATTTGCCATAGTTGTTCCTTGATACACAAGGCACATTTTCCAGCCCAGGTTTCTTCTATCTATCCCGCACTTCTGGTCCCTGTTGTCCCAGAGTTGCCCTATCAGTCACAGTCCTTCAAAGGGCCACAGGGTTGTCAGCAAACCCATTTCTTTGAGGTGAAACTTCCTTCTCCTTGCATGGGCCCCAGGATCGCAGCTCTTGGTATGTGGACCAGTCTGTCACCCACAGCTACTTTTCTCCAAGGTCCTACCACTCTAGAGATGTTTTGCAAAAGGGGGTGCCATCCTCCTCTCTTCCTAAAATCTGTCTCTCTTCTAGGACCTGGGGACAACATCAAAGGCTGGGGAGGTTTTTTTTTGTTTTTTTGTTTGTTTGTTTTGTCCATTCGTGTCGCCCAGGCTGGAGTGCAGTGGCACAATCTCAGCTCACTGCAACCTCTGCCTCCCAGGTTCAAGCGATTCTCCTGCCTCAGCCTCCTAAGTAGCTGGGATTACAGGCGCCCACCACCATGCCCAGCTAATTTTTGTATTTTTAGTAGAAACAGGTTTTCGTCATGTTCGTCAGGCTGCTCTGGAACTCCTGATCTCAGGTAATCCGCCTGCCTCAGCCTCCGAAAGTGCTGGGATTACAGGCATGAGCCACCACACCTGGCCGGGAGCTTTATTTTTCATCCACCATCACATACTCCCACATCCTTCTCTTGAATTAAACTGTCATAACATTCCTTTCTTTTATAATGCTCCTTGATTGTCTATCATGAAATGTCAAACTTTAGAAATGCACACAAAAACACAGGTGACCAAATTTTTAAAAGCGAGCAAAAGATTTTAAGTAACATGTCACAAAAAAATATTCAGATGCTCAATGAACATATGAGAAAGTGCTTGCTTTCCTTAGCCATTAAAGAAATTGATTTTAAAACCACATCCATCAGAATGGCAAAAATGAAAATGAAAGTACCAACTATTAGAGAGGAAACTATTAGAGAGAGGGCAGTCATAACTCTCTGAGACTATTGTTGAAAGTATAAATTAGTTACAACTGGGTGCAGTGGCTCATGCCTGTAATCCCAGCACTTTGGGAGGCCAAGGTGAGCAGATCATTTGAGGTCAGGAGTTCAAAAACAGCCTGGCCAACATGATGAAACCCCGTCTCTACTAAAAATACAAAAATTAGCCAGGCGTGGTGGTAGGCGCCTGCAATCCCAGCTACTTGAGAGGCTGAGGCAAGAGAATCATTTGAGCTCAGGAGTCGGAGGCTGCAGTAAGCCAAGATCGCACCACTGCACTCCAGCCTGGGAGACAGAGCAAAGCTCTGTCTCAAAAAAAAACAAAAACAAAACAAAAAATTAGTTACTAACCGCTTTGGAAAACTGGCAGTTTCTACCATACATGAACATATGACCCACTAATTCCACTTCTAGGTGTATACTTAACAGAAATGCAAAAGTATATTCACCAAAAGACGTGTACTAAAATTTTCATAATTGTACTATTCTCTTTTTTTAATTAAAAACTTTGTTATAATAGAGATAAGGTCTCGCTTAAGTTGCCCACACTGGTCGTGAACTCCTGGACTCAAGCGACCTGCCTGCCTCGGCCTCCCAAAGTGCTGAGATTACAGGCATGAGCCACTACAATCCAGTCATGTACTATTCTTAAAAGCAAAAATGGGCCCCCTCCCCCTCCCCCTCTCCCTCTCCCTCTCCCCGGTCTCCCTCTGATGCCACCAAAGTTGTGAAAGCCGAGGCTGGACTGTACTGCCGCCATCTCGGCTCACTGCAACCTCCCTGCCTGATTCTCCTGCCTCAGCCTGCAGGGTGCCTGGGATTGCAGGCGTGCGCAGCCACAACTGACTAGTTTTTGCATTTTTTTGGTGGAGATGGGGTTTCGCAGTGTTGGCTGGGCTGGTCTCCAGCTCCTGACCGCGAGTGATCTGCCTGTCTCGGCCTCCCAAGGTGCCGGGATTGCAGACGGAGTCTCTCTCACTCAGTGCTGAATGTTGCCCAGGCTGGAGTGCAGTGGCGTGATCTCGGCTCGCTACAACCTCCACCTCCCAGCTGCCTGCCTTGGCCTCCCAAAGTGCCGAGACTGCAGCCTCTGCCCGGCCGCCACCCCGTCTGGGAAGTGAGGAGTGTTTCTGCCCAGCCGCCCATCGTCTGAGATGTGGGGAGCGCCTCTGCCCCACCGCCCCATCTGGGATGTGAGGAGCGCCTCTGCCCGGCCGCGACCCCGTCTGGGAACTGAGGAGTGTCTCTGCCCGACCGCCACTCCATCAGGGAGGTGAGGAGTGTCTCTGCCCAGCCGCCCCGTCTGAGAAGTGAGGAGCCCCTCCACCCAGCAGCCGCCCCGTCTGGGAAGTGAGGAGCCCCTCCACCCAGCAGCCGCCCCGTCCAGGAGGTGGGGCACAGCCCCCGCCCGGCCAGCCGCCCTGTCCAGGAGGGAGGTGGGGGGCAGCCCCCGCCCGGCCACTGCCCCATCTCGGAGGTGGGGGGCACCTCTGCCCAGCCACCCCATCTGGGAAGTGAGGAGCCCCTCTGCCTGGCCGCCACCCCGTCTGGGAGGTGTACCCAACAGCTCATTGAGAACGGGCCATGATGACGATGGCAGTTTTGTCGAATAGAAAAGGGGGAAATGTGGGGAAAAGAAAGAGAGATCAGATTGTTACTGTGTCTGTGTAGAAAGAAGTAGACATGGGAGACTCCATTTTGTTCTGTACTAAGAAAAATTCTTCTGCCTTGGGATGCTGTTAATCTATAACCTTACCCCCAACCCCCTGCTCTCTGAAACATGTGCTGTGTCCACTCAGGGTTAAATGGATTAAGGGCGGTGCAAGATGTGCTTTGTTAAACAGATGCTTGAAGGCAAAAAAAAAAAGCAAAAATGGAAAATTATCCAAATGCCCATTAATCAAGACTGGATAAATAAATGGTAGGATATTCACCCAATGGAATACTATATGGCAATGAAAATAAATGATCTGCTTTAACAAAGTTGACAAGCAATGGGGAAAGGCCTTTCTATTCAATAAATTGTGCTGGCATAACTGGCTAGCCAAACATAGAGGAATGAAACTGGACCCCTACCTTTCACCATATACAAAAATTAACCCGAGATAGATTAAAGACTTAAATGTAAGACATAAAACTAGAGATCTGTTCCAAGATGGCCGAATAGGAACAGCTCCAGTCTGCAGCTCCCAGTGTGATCAACACAGAAGACGGGTGATATCTGCATTTCCAACTGAGGTACCTGGTTCATCTCACTGGGACAAGTTGGACAGTAGGTGCAACCCACGGAGGGTGAGCTGAAGCAGGGCAGGGCTTCACCTCATCTGGGAAGCACAAGGGGTTAGGGGACTTTCCTTTCCTATCCAAGGGAAGCTGTGACAGACTGTACCTGGAAAAATGGGACACTCCCACCTAAATACTGCACTTTTCCCAAGGTCTTAACAACTGGCAGACAAGGAGATTCTCTCCCATGTCTGCCTGAGTGGGTCCCACACCCACAGAGCCTTGCTCACTGCTAGCACAGCAGTCTGAGATTGACCTGCAAGGCACGAGCTGGTGGGAGGAGGGGCGTCCACCATTGCTGAGGCTTGAGTATGTAAACAAAGCAGCCAGGAAGCTTGAACAGGGCGGAGCCCACCGCAGATCAGCAAGGCCTACTGCATCTAGACTCCATCTCAGTGGGCAGGGCTTAGCTGTACAAAAGGCAGCAGACAACTTCTACAGACTTAAACGTCCCTGTCTGACAGCTCTGAAGAGAGCAGTGGTTCTCCCAACATGGCATTTGAGTTCTGAGAATGGAGAGACTGCCTCCTTAAGTGGGTCTCTGACCCCCATGTAGCCTAACTGGGAGACACCTCCCAGTAGGGGCCGACAGACACCTCATATAGGCAGGTGCCCCTCTGGGACGAAGCTTCCAGAGGAAGGATCAGGCAGCAGTATTTGCTGTTCTGCAATATTTGCTGTTCTGCAGCCTCTGCTGGTGATACTCAGGCAAACAGGTTCTGGAGTGGACCTCCAGCAAACTCCAACAGACCTGCAGCTGAGGGACACGACTATTCAAAGGAAAACTAACAAACAGAGAGGAATAGCATCAACATCAACAAAAAGGACATCTACACCAAAACCCCACCTGTAGGTCACCAACATCAAAGACCAAAGGTAGACAAAAACAAAAAGATGGGAAGAAACCAGAGCAGAAAAGCCGAAAATTGTAAAAATCAGAGCACCTCCTCTCCTCCAAAGGATTGCAGCTCCTTGCCAGCAACAAAACAAAGCTGGATGGAGAATGACTTTGATGAGTTGACAGAAGTAGGCTTCAGAAGGTCAGTAGTAATAAACTTCTCCGAGCTAAAGGAGCATGTTTGAACCCATAGCAAGGAAGCTAAAAACCTTGAAAAAAGGTTAGATGAATGGCTAACTAGAATAAACAGTGTAGAGAAGACCTTAAATGACCTGATGGAGCTGAAAACCATGGCACGAGAACTTCGTGATGCATGCACAAGCTTCAATAGCTGATTCGGTCAAGTGGAAGAAAGGGTATCAGTGACTGAAGATCAAATTAATGAAATAAAGCAAAAAGACAAGGTTAGAGAAAAAAGAGTAAAAAGAAATGAACAAAGCCTCCAAGAAATATGGGACTATGTGAAAAGACCAAATCTACATTTGATTGGTGTACCTGAAAGTGATGGGGAAAATGGAACCAAGTTGGGAAACACTCTTTAGGATATTATCCAGGATAACTTCCCCAACCTAGAAAGGCAGGCCAACATTCAAATTCAGGAAATACAGAGAACACCACTAAGATATTCCTCAAGAAATTGTCAGATTCACCAAGGTTGAAATGAAGGAAAAAATGTTAAGGGCAGCCAGAGAGAAAGGTCGAGTTACCTACAAAGGGAAGCCCATCAGACTAACAGTGGATCTCTCTACAGAAACCCTACAAGCCAGAAGACAGTGGGGGCCAATATTCAACATTCTTAAAGAAAAGAATTTTCAACCCAGAATTTCATATCTAGCCAAACTGAGCTTCATAAGTGAAGGAGAAATAAAATCCTTTACAGACAAGCAAATGCTGAGAGATTTTGTCACCACCAGGCCTGCCTTACAAGAGCTCTTGAAGGAAGCACTAAACATGGAAAGGAACAATCAGTACCAGCCACTGCAAAAACATGCCAAATTGTAAAGACCATCGATGCTAGGAAGAAACTATATCAATTAACAGGCAAAATAACCAGCTAACATCATAATGACAGGATCAAATTCACACATAACAATATTAACCTTAAATGTAAATGGGCTAAATGCCCCAATTAAAAGACACAGACTGGCAAATTGGATAAAGAGTCAAGACCCATCAGTGTGCTGTTGGGAGACCCATCTCACGTGCAGAGAAACACATAGGCTCAAAATAAAAGGATGGAGGAAGATCTACCAAGCAAATGGAAAGCAAAAAAAAGCAGGGGTTGCAATGCTAGTCTCTCATAAAACAGACTTTAAACCAACAAAGATCAAGGAGACAAAGAAGGGCATTACATAACGGTAAACGGATCAATTCAACAAAAACAGCTAACTATCCTAAATATATATGGACCCAACACAGGAGCATCCAAATTCATAAAGCAAGTCCTTAGAGACCTACAAAGAGACTTAGACTCCCACACAATAATAATGGGAGACTTTAACATCCGCTGTCAACATTAGACAGATCAATGAGATAGAAGGTTAACAAGGATATCCAGGACTTGAACTCAGCTCTGCACCAAGCGGACCTAATAGAAATCTACAGAACTCTCCACCCCAAATCAACAGAATATACATTCTTCTCAGCAGCACATCACACTTATTCTAAAATTGACCACATAATTGGAAGTAAAGCACTCCTAGGCAAATGTAAAAGAACAGAAATGACAACAAACTGTCTCTCAGACCACAGTGCAATCAAATTAGAACTCAGGATTAAGAAACTCACTCAAAACCACACAACAACATGGAAACTGAACAACCTGCTCCTGAATGACTACTGGGTAAATAACGAAATGAAGGCAGAAATAAAGATGTTCTTGGAAACCAGTGAGAACAAAGACACAACCTACCAGAATCTCTGGGACACATTTAAAGCCATGTGTGGAGGGAAATTTATAGCACTAAATGCCCACAAGAGAAAGCAGGAAAGATGTAAAATTGACACCCTAACATTACAATTAAAAGAACTAGAGAAGAAAGAGCAAACACATTCAAAAGCTAACAGAAGGCAAGAAATAACTAAGATCAGAGCAGAACTGAAAGAGATAGAGACACAAAAAACCCTTCAAAAAAAATCAATGAATCCAGGAGCTGGTTTTTTGAAAAGATCAACAAAATTGATAGGCCACTAGCAAGACTAATAAAGAAGAAAAGAGAGAAGAATCAAATAGATGCAATAAAAAATGATAAAGGGGATATGACCACTGATTCCACAGAAATACAAATTACCATCACAGAATACTATAAACACCTCTATGCAAATAAACTAGAAAATCAAGAAGAAATGGATAAATTCCTGGACACATACACCCTCCCAAGACTGAACCAGGAAGAAGTTGAATATCTGAATAGACCAATAACAGGCTCTGAAATTGAGGCAATAATTAATAGCCTACCAACCAAAAATAGTCCAGGACCAGATGGATTCACAGTTGAATTCTACCACAGGTACAAAGAGGAGCTGGTACCATTCCTTCTGAAACTATTCCAATCAACAGAAAAAGAGGGAATCCTCCCTAACTCATTTTATGAGGCCAACATCATCCTGATACCAAAGCCTGGCAGAGACACAACAACAACAAAAAAGAGAATTTTTTTTGTTGTTCAATATCCCTGATGAACATCTATGCGAAAATCCTCAATAAAATACTGGCAAACTGAATCCAGCAGCACATCAAAAAGCTTATCCACCACAATCAGGTCAGCTTCATCCCTGGGATACAAGGCTGCTTCAACATACGCAAATCAATAAACGTAATCCATCACATAAACAGAACCAACAACAAAAAACCCATGATTATCTCAATAGATGCAGAAAAGACCTTTGACAAAATTTAGCAGCCCTTCATGCTAAAAACTCTCAATAAACTAGGTATTGATGGAACATATCTCAAAATAATAAGAGCTATTTATGACAAACCCACAGCCAATATCATACTGAATGAGCAAAAACTGGAAGCATTCCCTTTGAAAACTGGCACAAGACAGGGATACCCTCTCTCACCATTCCTATTCAACATAGTGTTGGAAGTTTTGGCCAGGACAATCAGGCAGGAGAAAGAAATAAAGGGTATTCAATTAGGAAAAGAGGAAGTCAAATCGTCCCTGTTTGCAGATGACATGATTGTATATTTAGAAAATCCCATTGTCTCAGCCCCAAATCTCCTTAAGCTGATAAGCAACTTCAGCAAAGTCTCAGGATACGAAATCAATGTGCAAAAATCAAAAGCACTCCTATACACCAATAACAGACAAACAAAGAGCCAAATCATGAGTGAACTACCATTCACAATTGCTACAAAGAGAATAAAATACATAGGAATCCAACTTACAAGGGATGTGAAGGACCTCTTCAAGGAGAACTACAAACCACTGCTCAATGACACAAACAAATGGAAGAACATTTCATGCTCATGGATAAGAAGAATCAATGTCATGAAAATGGCCATACTGCCCAAGGTAATTTATAGATTCAATGCCATTCCCATCAAGCTACCAAAGACTTTCTTCACAGAACTGGAAAAAACTACGTTAATGTTCATATGGAACTAAAAAAGAGCCCACATTGCCAAGACAATCCTAAGCAAAAAGAGCAAAGTTGGAGGCATCACGCTGCCTGACTTAAAACTATTCTACAAGGCTACAGTAATCAAAACAGCATGGTACTGGTACCAAAACAGAGAGAGAGAGACCAATAGAACACAAGAGAGGCCTCAGAAATAACACGACACATCTATAACCATCTGATCTTTGACAAACCTGACAAAAACAAAAATGGGGAAAGGATTCCCTATTTAATAAATGGTGCTAGGAAAACTGGCTAGCCATATGTAGAAAGCTGAAACTGGATCCCTTCCTTACACCTTATACAAAAATTAATTCAAGATGGATTAAAGACTTAAATGTTAGACCTAAAACTATAAACACCCTAGAAGAAAACCTAGGCAATACCATTCAGGACATAGGCATGGGCAAGGACTTCATGTCCAAAACACCAAAAGCAATGGCAACAAAAGCCAAAATAGACAAATGGGATCTAATTAAACTAAAGAGCTTCTGCACAGCAAAAGAAACTACCATCAGTGTGAACAGGCAACCCACAGAATGGGAGAAAATTTTTACAATCTACCCATCTGACAAAGGGCTAATATCCAGAATCTACAAAGAACTCAAACAAATTTACAAGAAAAAAAAAACAATCCCATCAAAAAGTGGGCAAAGGATATGAACAGACACTTCTCAACAGAAGACATTTATGCAGCCAACAGACACATGAAAAAAAGCTCATCATCACTGGCCATCAGAGAAATGCAAATCAAAATCACAATGAGATATCATCTCGTGCCAGTTAGAATGGCAATCTTTAAAATGTAAACAACAGATGCTGGAGAGGATGTGGAGAAATAGGAACACTTTTACACTGTTGGTGGGAGTGTAAACTAGTTCAACCATTGTGGAAGACAGTGTGGTGATTCTTCAAGGATCTAGAACTAGAAATACCATTTGACCCAGCCATCCCATTACTGGGTATATACCCAAAGGATTATAAATCATGCTACTATAAAGATACATGCACACTCATGTTTATTGCAGCACTATTCACAATATCAAAGACTTGGAACCAACCCAAATATCCATCAATGATAGACTGCATTAAGAAAATGTGGCACATATACACCATGGAATACTATGCAGCCATAAAAAAGGATGAGTTCATGTCCTTTGCAGGGACATGGATGAAGCTGGAAACCATCATTCTCAGCAAACCATCACAAGGACAGAAAACCAAACACGACATGTTCCCACTCATAGGTGGGAATTGAACAACGAGATCACTTGGACACAGGGTGGGGAACATCACACACTGGGGCCTGTCAGGGGGTGGGGGTGCTGGGGGAGGGATAGCATTAGGAGAAATACCCAATGTAAATGACGAGTTGATGGGTGCAGCAAACCAACCTGGCATATGTATACCTATGTATCAAAACTGCACGTTGTGCACACGTATCCTAGAACTTAAAGTATAATTTAAAAAAAAGAAAAAAAAGACATAAAACTATAAAAATTCTAGAATAAAACCTAGGAAATATCATTCTAGACATCAACCTTGGCAAAGAATTTATGATTAAGTCCTCAAAAGCAATTGCAACAAAAAAATTAACAGGTGGGACCTAATTAAGCTAAAGAGCTTCTGCATAGCAAAAGAAACTATCAACAGAATGAACAGACAACCTACAGAATGGGAGAAAATATTCACAAACTAATATGCAGAATCTAAAAGGAATTTAAATAATTCAACAAGCAAAACACAAACAACCTGCTTTAAGAGTGGGCGAAGGACACACACACTTCTCAGAAGACATACATGTGGCTAACAAACATACGAAAAAATGCTCAGCATCACTAGAGAAATGTTAATCAAAAACATAGTGTGACATCTCATACCAGTCAGAATGGCTGTTATTAAAAAGTCAAAAAATAACAGATGTGGGCAAGGTTGCAGAGAAAAGAGAATGCTTATACATTCTTGGTAGGAATGTAAATCCACTCAGCCACTGTGAAAAGCAGTTTTGAGATTTCTCAAGTAACTTAAGACAGAACAACCATTCAACCCAGCAATCCCATTACTGGGTACATACCTAATGGCAAATAAATCACTCTACCAAAGACACATGCACTTGTATGTTCATCACAGCACTATTCACAATGGCAATGACATGGAATCAACCTAGATGCCCATCAATGGTGGACTAGATAAAGAAAATGTGGTACATATACACCATGGAATATTACACAGCCACAGAAAAGAACAAAATCATGTCCCTTGCAGCAACATGGATGCAGCTGGAGGCCATCATCATAAGTGAATTAATGCAGGAACAGAAAACCCAGTATCACATGTTCTCACTTATAAGTGGTAGCTGAACACTGAGTATACATGGATATAAGGATGGGAAAAATAGACACTGGGGACTACCAGAGAGGGGAAAGAGGAAGGGAAGCAAGGGTTGAAAAACTATTAATACCTATTAGGTACAATGCTCACTACCAGGGTGACAGGATCATTCACACCCCAAACCTCAGTATCACACAGTTTACCCATGTAACAAACTTGCACATGTACCCCTGAACCTAAAAGCTGAAATAAAAAAAATTAAAGTTGCTCCTGCTTTGCCTTCCACCATTAGTAAAAGCTCCCTGAGGCCTCGCCACAAGCAGATGCCACCACGTTTCCTGTATAGCCTGCAGAGCTATGATCCAGTTAAGCCGCTTTTCTTACAAATTAAAATCATAATAGGCCGGGCGCGGTGGCTCATGCCTGTAATCCCAACACTTTGGGAGGCCAAGGTGGGTGGCTCAAGAGGTCAGGATTTCAAGACCAGCCTGACCAAGATGGTGAAACCCCATCTGTACTAAAAATACAAAAATTAGCCCGGCACAGTGGCAGGCACCTGTAATCCCAGCTACTTGGGAGGCTGAGGCAGGAAAATTGCTTGAACCCAGGAGGCGGAGGTTGTGGGGAGCTGAGATAGCACCACTGTACTCCAGCCTGGGTGACAAAGTGAGACTCTGTCTCAAAAAAAAATAAAGAAATGCTGATATTGTCTGTTTCTTGACCTGGGTGCTGGTGACATGAACGTGTTCACTTTGTTAAAATTCACTGAGCTGCACATCTTTGATATGTGCACTTTTGGGTATATTATACTGCAATAAATTTTTTAAAATGTTACCTCATTTTGTGGTCACAATCATATGATAGAGCTATTATGTCTACTATACAGATGAATACGTTGAGGCTCAAAGAAATTAAATAATTTACTCAAGGTCATACTGAAAGTATGTGGTAGAGCCTGAATTGGAACTAAAGTCTGTTGAAATCCAAGGTCGTGCTGAAAGATTACTCTGGCCTTTCTTAAGGTTCGATTTGATCCTTCCCAAAAATCTTCATAACTGTGTCTTTTCTCTACCTGTCTGCTTTCCTAGAGGTTCCATGCCTTTTTATTTTACCAAGAAAATTCCTATCAGTTTTCAAGGATCAGCTTAATTCCCCTCCTCTGTGAAGTCTGCCCTGATACCTCTCCCCATCCCCAGCTGTTTGCAATAGGGATCCAAAACTCACACGCCAGCAGAGGTGCAGCAGATATTAAATGGGGAAAGCAGCTGGATGTGTCACAGGGGGAAGTGAAGTCTGTGACAAAATTGCAGAGGGCAAACCCCACCTGGAGGAAACAACAGCTACTCAGTTTCAGCCAATTGCTGCAACTCAGGAATGCAATGTCAAGATGGCAGAAGTCTGGACTGGTATATAAAATCTTCCTTTTAAATGCTGCCTTTTAAAAATTAAAACAAAAAGTACCATCCGTGTCAGCGAAACATAGCATGTCTGAGGCTGGATTTAGCTTATGGATCCAAAATTTGCAATCTCTGCTTAGAGCTTGGCAAGATTAGACGAGACCCAGCTGATTAAAAACTGACCAACCTCTTCCCTTGAGGTTTGCCTTCTCCCTGCTAGAAGCATTCTTTACATATGGCAGATGGGAGCTGTCTATTAAAATTCCAAGCTTTCATTCTTATCTTCACTTGTAGCCCCCAAAACCTGAGAGGAAGAACTGACAGAAGCATCGTGGGTCCCCCCAAAGCCACCACCATCCCTTAATGTCCTACGATGTACTCGAAGAAGCATGAGAGAAAAAAAGCAGCATTTGAAATAGAATGAAAACTGCCACATTGGGGCAGTATAACTACATCCTGCTGGCAATTGCCAACCACCTGGGCTTCTCAGGCCCAACCCCAAATCCCTGGAGGAGCCTGCCTGATAAATAAAGCAGGCCAAGAGGTGGAGGCTTATAGAGGGTGAAGTATCAATTTAGGACACTATGTTCTCTAGTTTAGAGCAAAAATTGAACTTGAAAATAGCTGGATCCATTTGGTGAGAAAGGATCAGGAAGGGGATTAGAGGAAAACACATTATGAAAGAATCTTACTGGTGTTTTTCCCTTGGGGATTCCTTGCCACTTGCTGTTGGGCTTTGGAAACAACCCAAGTAGAATTTGCTTTTATTAGCAACAAAAAGCCAATTTCTTTTTCCTATTCAATGGAGGGGGAAAATGAATAAACAGACCTGGGCCTACAAAAAGGTCAAAAATTTCCAAAAGTGTACTGTTAGGCCAATCGTTTGAAAGTTGGAATGCATTTTTGCACAGAACCAAAGTGTTATCTAAGAATTAGATTTTCATGAATGTGTCAAAAGAACCTAGTTAGCCCATAATGAAACTAAAATATTAATTTTGCAATTGAGAAGAAAAGAAAGTAATGTCTTAAGAAAGAAGAAAACAGAGCAAACATATTGAATAATTCAGTAATCATTTATTAAATATTTGCTTTGTGCAAGATGCAGTTGATTTGAGCGTGATGTTTAGGAGATCAGCTGTGGCCTAGCAGAGCAGGTTTAGTGGATGAGAGTAACAGAAGCCTGCTTAAAGTGGGTGAAGAAGGAGGAGGAGGTGAGAGAGCAGAGCCAAGTTCTTTATAGGACCTCCATTGGGGAAAAAGAATGTTCTCCTGATAGCTGGAGGAAGATTCAGGTCCAAGGTGTTAAAACTGTTGGTATTCTCTGTTATGCTTTTAGGCTGCTAGAAAGAAGTAAACATAGAGGGAAAGGCAGAAATACAGGTAAAATAGGCAGTATCAACTGATATATGTCCTTGTGCAAAGACTATTAGTTATTCCCTACGGTCTGATCTCTGCCTCCCTTCCTTAGGAAGAGAGCCCTTATTTCAATGCACCTAGCTAGAAGACTACTTCCCCAGCCTCTTTTGTAGCTATGTGTAGCCTTGTGACTAAGTTCTGGCCAATAAGTTACAAGCAGACATTTTAGGTAGACATTTAGGGAAATTACTGACTTGAAGAAAGCCCCTTTGTCTTTCCTACTGTCAAAACATACAAATATTAAAAATATAATTTCCACACATTATCTGAGCACATCCCAAAGTATAATTAATCATTGATGAGGGAAGCCAGTAAGATGACAAAGCAGGTTCAGTAGAAACAAACAAACAAAAAACACCAAAAACTCTGAAATAACAATGCTAAGTTAGATGCAAAAGTGACAAATGTTCTGCAAGGTTAGAAAACCATCTCTGCAGGTTTTCATCTGCATCTAATCAATTCTTCTAAGTTAACATCTAACTCTCCAGTCTGAACTCTAATCAACAGTACCTAAAGAGTAGTTCATTTCCCAAGAGTGAGATGACCATTAGGGGAACTGGACAATGCTTTAGTATGACATTGGCAGGATATGAAGTCATCCTTTTGCATTATTTCCAAGTTTCGGGTAATTTTCCTGAACACCACCTTCCTTCCTCCTGCTGACTGGAATGTAGACACAGTGGCTGGAGCTTCAGTAGCCACGAGGATGGAAGCCACAAACCAGGATGGCAGAACAGAAAAGGAGAAGGAGACCATGTCCCTGGTGACCGTGGAGCCACCGAAACAGCTCTGCACCACCTAATTCTGGATTTGTTTTATAAGATAAAAAAAATAAAGTTATCTCTTATATAAGCCACTGCTATTTTGGATTTCTCTTAGATGTAGCCAAGTCTTATCATCTAATGAAGCAGGAGGGAGATAGAGAGAAAGAGAGAAAGAACTGTGTAAATAATGCTGGAAATTCAATGGGCAATTGCCCTCAATGAGGTTGCCTACAGGCAGACAGAGAGGACTTTTAGTGAAACCTACCGAAGAAGGTATGGATGATTTAGGGGTTTCCCAACCATAGACAAATAAGAGAAATGCATTGTTCATACTAGTGGGTAGTGAAGGTTTTACTACAATCTTGTGAAAGAAACTGAAGAACTAACTAAAGACAACGGAGAAACTGACAAAGTTATCCACAAAAACTTAGGCGATGACACCAAATGGGAAATAAGAATATTCTCAGCCTGGACAACATGTTGAAACCCCATCTCTGTCAAAAAATCCAAAAAGTAGCGGGCGTGGTGGTGTGTGCCTGTAGTCCCAGCTACTCAGGAGCCTGAGGCATGAGAATCGCTTGAACCGACCAGGAGGCAGAGGTTGTAATGAGCTGAGATGGGGCCACTGCACTCCAGCCTGGGCAACAGAGTGAGACTCCATCTCAAAAAAAAAAACAAAAAACAAAAAAAGGAATATTTATAAATTTGCTCAAGTGTTACAAAAAGCTAGCTTGTTTTATTTTCTCAATATAATCCTCCTTGGAATTGTATGCTATATATTATAGTATACATTATATAGTATATATACCTTACACCTATAAATACTATCTACTTGACATACTCACACCTGCATATTACTTTACAGTATTGTATTCCTAAAGCTATGTTTGATCTACTGTTATGGGTGACTTAAGAAAACTTCTGAGTAATTCTGATTATATGTGACTCTTGCCTATGGGCTGACTAAAGAATCTAATCTCCATCTTAAGATGTGATTTAAGTCCAGAGAAGCTGAAAGGTGATCTGATCAATAAGACTGGTAGAGAGATGAGCCTTAAAACCACAGAGAAGGAGGGAGGTTGAAAGCAGGTCAATCTGTTGGCTGGGAAGGAGGAAAGTAAACAAGTTCTCAGCTGATAGCCTCAACATTCTCAGTATGCGACAAGCCATCTGTTGAGAACAGGTGGGCAATGGGAGAGGAAGACTTTCAAGATGCTTGGGAATGTGATGCAGCTTTGGAATCACTGAATAGGGAATGGGTTTGGGAACTGACCAGAAACTTGTAAGGTGACAAGCAAAAGTACACGCCTAAGCATTGTACACGACTCAGCTCTAAATTGGCATCCTCTTCCTTTCCCCCTGTTTCCAGTCCCTGCCAGGGAACCTGGGGGATAGGGAAGGGAGAAGATCAAGCTGTTTTCTATTAAGCCTCATCCACTCAAAGTAAATATGGTCCAATCGGTAAATCAGATAACATGTAGCAAGTTGTGCAATTTGGTTATATTTGTCTAGGAATTGAAGTTTTAGTCATGTGTTTCAAGCTTATTTTAGAATTAAACTCTGTTCCTTGTACAATGTGGACACTTAATAAATGGTGAATGATTAGCCAAACGCAAGCAATTGAGGCTTTTATAGCTGTCCAAGTTCTGCAGAAGTCATTGTTTAGAAGAAAATTTGTCAGGGGACATTGTCTGCAGGCACTCAGAATAGTCCAGCATTTGGCATAGCGACGTAGGCTTTCCTACAATACAGCTTCTAACAAAACTAGGCTGTCCTGAACCCCTGGTAATAGAATTGTTCACCTTTATACCAAGAAGGTTGGGAAAGCACCAAAATCTGCATGTGGTGTGTACCCAGGCCGACTTCGAGGGGTTCGTGCTGTAAGACCTAAAGTTCTTATGAGATTGTCCAAAACAAAGAAACATGTCAGCAGGGCCTATGGTGGTTCCATGTGTGCTAAACGTGTTCGTGACAGGGTCAAGCGTGCTTTCCTTATCAAGGAGCAGAAAATCGTTGTGAAAGTATTGAAGGCATAAGCACAGAGTCGGAAAGCTAAATAAATACGAAACTTTTTTGAGTAATAAAAATGAAAAAAAAGGAGAAAATTTGCCAAGAAGAAAGAGTCCTTTAAATGGCAACAAATTCACCTGTACCCCACCTGTGAAGACCTCTAGGATCCGAGGTCCCTGTTGTTGCTGTTTCTTCTCTCTTCTGAGGTCATACCCTCCTCTTTCTTAAACGGTACTTTCCTTTGAAGTGAAAAAGAACTGGGAAAGGAGTCCTGAGAGAAAAGGGCTGAGCATGAACACTACAACCTTACATAACAGACATTTTTATCTCACGACTTAAACCTAATACTGTTTTCCCTTTAGTGGCTATATTTATTTTTGAGAGCACAGTATTTAAAAATGGCATGCCGTGCTGAATTGCTCTCCACCAGTCCAGTCCGCCATGGGACTTTGTGATATCATCGGAGTGGTTGGCTATGTTTATGTTTGATGGCCACGGGCTAATGAAGCAGTGCAGTGTCTTTTATGGATAGACAGTGGGAAGCGCTCTTCGTGTCCTTCTGGGTTTTAACAACAGCCAAATTTTTAAAAGGCAGGAGGCAGAATCTGGCAGAGACCTTCTAGCATTGGCCACCTCTTCTCATGAACATGGGGCTCAATGTCTTAGTATTTAAAGGGAGAGTGAGCCCAGTTTGCCATGCAAGGAAGGAAACCATTTCTTTCTGAAGAAGGTAAACTTCTCCAGTACCTAAAGAAATTTAGTTGAGCCAAGAGGGTGGCAGACTTACTCTTCGGGACAGAGGCAAATGTGACCCTGAATGGAGAATAGACTGGGTTTAGAACAAAGTTAGCAGACTCAGAGAACTTGGTTTGAACTCCCTCCCAAAGTGACCAAATAGGAATTTTGTACCCAACTTGTGTGACAGTAAGCAGCTTTCATCTTCCTTACTTTCCCGGCCATTGTAAGAGAGCTGTTGATACAACAAAGAAAAGGATGGCAATTTTGCCTCCGGGCTACAAATGCAGAGCCAGATCATCTTTACTGTGTTCCTACTCTGTGCCAGACAGAAACCAACATATAAAGAAAGGACACCCCATGTTCAAAGTCAGTGACCTCAGCTGGACATGGTG
Organism: Homo sapiens; assembly: GCF_000001405.40. Taxonomy (NCBI): domain Eukaryota; kingdom Metazoa; phylum Chordata; class Mammalia; order Primates; family Hominidae; genus Homo; species Homo sapiens. The sequence continues at coordinate 93,956,257 of NC_000008.11, read as the reverse complement.
GCTCACACCTGAAATCCCAGCACTTTGGGAGGCTGAGGCGGGTGGATCACCTGAGGTTAGGAGTTTGAGACCAGCCTAGCCAACATGGTGAAACCCCCTCTCTACTAAAAATACAAAAATTATCTGGGCATGGTCATGCAAGCCTGAAATCCCAGCTACCTGGGAGCCTGAGGCAGGAGAATCACTGGAACCCGGGAAGTGGAGGTTGCAGTGAGCCGAGACAACACCACTACACTTCAGCCTGGGTGACAGAGCAAGACTCCATCTCAAAAAAAGAAAAAGAATACAAAAATTAGCCAGGCGTGGTCGCGCACGCCTGTAATCCCAGCTACTCGGGAAGCTGAGACAGGAGAATTGCTTGAACCTGGGAGGCGGAGATTGCAGTGAGCGGAGATCACACCACTGCACTCCAGCCTGGGCGACAGAGCGAGATTCCGAGATTCCGTCTCAAAACAAACAAACAAAAAACCACAAAGTCAGTGACCTCAGAACAAGCCCTGGAGCAGCCACAACAAAGTCAGGAAGCAGCTGTCCCCGTGCCTCCATGAGGGTCTTTGTGTTGCTGCCAGTAGACCAGGTTGGGGAGCTGGACATGGGAGGTGAAGGGCTGGCCTCTTTCTCAAAAAGGGATGCATTACCAAAAAACGTGCTAGAGAAAACCATAATGCAGCAATGATCAAACTCACATGCGGAGGAGGAACAGCATGAGGGGGCGTTGGCGAGGAAAGTACAGCCACTGTCCGTAGAAAGAAGATAACTTGCTAGGAACATAGCACACTTTTACAAGAATTCTTTTACAAACTCTAATTTTTAAACACGCACACCACACACAAACAGTAAGATAAAATCTGAAACCTCAGAAATTTAATGTGACTGAAATACATCTGGACAAAAATCACTTGGGTGTTGCGCTCTTCCTCCATTACCTACGCTGCTAACTGCAGAAACGTGGAAGAGAAGGGAGGGAAGGGGTGTTCATGTCAGATCAGATGCACTAGAGAGGACACAGCCAAAGGAGAAGCAGAGGTGAGAGGGTGGGAGAGGGCAAGACACTGGCATTTACAAGGCGCTGCAGAAGTGTTTCTAGCAGAGGATTTTTTTTTTTTTTTTTTGAGATGAGTCTCACTCTGTCACCCGGGCTGGAGTGCAATGGCACTATCTCGGCTTACTGCAACCTCCACCTCCTGGGTTCAAGCGATTCTCCTGCCTCAGCCTCCCAAGTAGCTGGGATTACAGGCATGCGCCACCATGCCTGGCTAATTTTTATATTTTTAGTACAGACAGGGTTTCACCATGTTGGTGAGGCTGGTCTCGAACTCCCAACCTCAGGTGATCCGCCTACCTCAGCCTCCCAAAGTGCTGGGATTACAAGTGTGAGCCACCACACCCAGCCAAGGCAGAGGATTTAAATATTAACCGTGAATTATGACTTAGAGCCTTTCAAATTTTTAGAGCTCTGAGTAAAACTGAAACGCCTGTTTGAGCAGTGCTTCTTCCAATATGAGCCATCCTGAGACTGGACCATGCAGGCTGTGACTCCATCAGTCTTGTCTAAATGAGATAATGAGGCTCTTATTGCCCTTCTGTGAGCAGGTTAAATTGAGAAAAATGAAATCTTTCCCTTTGACTATTTCAAGTACTTTCTTTACCACCCCAGCCCAATCATGTGCCAACCTCTTCATAATCTACATATTACGGTAGCAGAATACATCGTACTTATTATCACCCATTTAAAATTAAGCATTTGTATGCAAAGCAGTTTTCCAAGAATATAGTAATAAGGAATATAAAGCTGTACCCTAAGGGCTTAATTCCAAAAGAGTTTTAAAGTAGCAGTCAAAAGAGAGATACAGATCACATAGCAAATAAACCAGATGTGCATGTATATCTCATATCTTAAAAATGCTGCAGTTACGACGGGTGCAGTGGATCATGCCTGTAATCCCAACATTTTGGGAGGCTGAGGTGAGTGGATCATTTGAGGTCAGGAGTTTGAGACCAGGCTGGCCAACATGGTGAAACCCTGTGTAAAAGAGTTATTTTGTAAAAATACAAAAATTAGCCGGGCATGGTGGCTCACGCCTGTAATCCCAGCACTTTGGGAGGCCGAGGAGGGCGATGACAAGGTCAGGAGATCGGGACCATCCTGGCTAACACAGTGAAACCCCGTCTCTACAAAAAATACAAAAAATTAGCTGGGTGTGGTGGCATGTGCCTTTAGTCTCATATACTCAGGAGGCTGAGGCAGGAGAATTGCTTGAACCCGGGAGGCAGAGGTTGCAGTGAGCCAAGATCATGCCACTGCACTCTAGCCTGGGTGACAGAGCGAGACTCTGTTTCAAAAAAAAAAAAAAAAAATTAGCTGGGTGTGGTGGGGGGCACCTTTAGTCCCAGCAACTCAAGAGGCCAAGGCAGGAGAATCACTTGAACTCAGGAGGTGGAGGTTGCAGCCGAGATTGTACCACTGCACTCCAGCCTGGGTGACAGAGCGAGACTCTGTCTCAAAAGAAAAAAAAAACGGGGGGGTGTGCTGGCAAGATGACCAAATAAGAACAGCTCAAGTCTGCCACTCCCAGTGAGACCAACGCAGAAGGCAGTGATTTCTGCATTTCCAACTGAGGTACCTGGCTCATCCCATTGGGACTGGTTAGACAGTGGGTGCAGCCCATGGAGGGCAAGCAGAAGCAGGGTGGGGCGTTGCCTCATCGGGGAAGTGCAAGGGGTTGGGGAACTCCCTCCCCTAGCCAAGGGAAGCCTTGAGGGATTGTGCCATGAGGGATGGTGCTATCTGGCCCAGATACTACACTTTTCCCATGGTTTTCACAACCTGCAGACCAGGAGATTCCCTCGGGTGCCTACACCACCAGGGCCCTGGGTTTTAAGCACAAAACTGTGGGGCCATTTGGGCAGACACTGAGCTAGCTGCAGGAGGTTTTTTTTGTACCCCAGTGGCACCCGAAACCCAAGCGAGACAGAACTGTTCACTCCCCTGGAAAGGGGGCTGAAGCCAGGAAACCAAGTGGTCTTGATCAGTGGATCCCACCCCCATGGAGCCCAGCGAGCTAAGATCCACTGGCTTGAAATTCTCAATGCCAGCACAGCAGTCTGGAGTCCACCTGGGAAGCTGGAGCTTGGTGGGGGGAGGGGCGTCTGCCATTACTGAGGCTTAAGTAGGCAGTTTTCCCCTCACTATGTAAACAAAGCTGCTGGGAAGTTCAACTGGGCGGAACCCACCACAGTGCACCAAAGCCACTGTAGCCAGACTGCCTCTCTAGATTCCTCCTCTCTAGACCAGACATCTCGAAAGAAAGGCGGAACCCCCTGTCAGGGGCCTATAGATAAAATTCCCATATCCCTGGAACAGAGCACCTGGGGAAGGGGTGGCTGTGGGCACAGCTTCAGCAAACTTAAATGTTCCTGTCTGCTGGCTCTGAAGAGAGCAGTGGATCTCCTAGCACGGCGCTTGAGCTCTGCTAAGGGACAGACTGCATCCTCAAGTGGGTCCCTGACCCCCGCGCCTCCTGACTGGGAGACATCTCCCAGCAGAGGTCGACAGATGCCTCATACAGGAGAGCTCAGGCTGGCATCTGTCAGGTGCCCCTCTGGGACAAAGCTTCCAGTGGAAGGAGCAGGCAGCAATCTTTGCTGTTCAGCAGCCTCTGCTGGTGATACCCAGGCAAACAGGGTCTGGAGTGGACCTCCAGCAGACCTGCAGAAGACAGGCCTGACTGTTAAAAGAAAAACTAACAAACAGAAAGCAATAACATCAACATCAACAAAAAGGATACCCACACAAAACCCCATCCGAAGGTCATCAGCATCAAAGATCAAAGGTAGATAAATCCATGAAGACAGGCCAGGCGTGGTGGCTCACGCCTGTAATCCCAGCAGTTTGGAAGGCCAAATCAGGCGGATCACCTGAGGTCAGGAGTTCGAGACCAGGCTGACCAACAACCAACATGGAGAAACCCCATCTCTACTAAAAATACAACAAAATTAGATGGGCAGAGTGATGGGCACCTGTAATCCCAGCTACTTGGGAGGCTGAGGCAGGTGAATTACTTGAACCTGGGAGGCAGAGGTTGTGGCAAGCCGAGATCACATCATTGCACTCCAGCCTAGACAAGAGCGAAACTCCATTTCAAAAAAAAAAAAAAAAACTGCGAACACGAGGAAAAACTAGCACAAAAATCCTGAAAATTCCAAAAACCAGAATACCTCTTCTCCTCCAAAGGATCACAACACCTCGCCAGCAAGGGAACAAAATTGGACAGAGAATGAGTTTGACAAACTCACAGAAATAGGCTTCAGAAAGTGGGTAATAACAAACTCCTCTGAGCTAAAGGAGCATATTCTAACCGAATGCAAGGAAGCTAAGAATTTTGATGAAAGGTTACAGGAACTGCTAACTAGAATAATCAGTTTAGAGAAAAACATAAATAACCTGAAGGAGCTGAAAAACACAACACGAGAACTTTGTGAAGCATACACAAGTATCAATAGCCAAATCAATCAAGCAGAAGAAAAGATATCAGAGCTTGAGATCAACTTGATAAAATAAAGCATGAAGACAACATTAGAGGAAAAAAAATGAAAAGGAATGAACTTCTCCAAGAAATATGGGACTATGTGAAAAGACCAAACCTATGATTGATTGGTGTGCCTGAAAGTGATAGGGAGAATGGAACCAAGCTGGAAAACACGCTTCAGGATATTATCCAGGAGAACTTCTCCAACCTAGCAAGACAGGCCAACATTCAAATTCAGAAAATACAGAGAACACCACTAAGATACTCCTCAACAAGATCAACCCCAAGACACATAATCATCAGATTCACCAAGGTTGAAATGAAGGGAAAAATGTTAAGGGCAGCCAGAGAGAAAGGTCAGGTTACCCACAAAGGGAAGTCCGTCAGACTAACAGTGGATCTTTCTGCAGAAACCCTACAAGCCAGAAGACAGTGAGGGCCAATATTCAACATTCTTAAAGAAAATAATTTTCAACCCAGATTTTCATATCCAGCCAAACTAAGCTTCATAAGTGAAGGAGAAATAAAATCCTTTACGGACAAGCAAATGCTGAGGGATTTTGTCATCACCAAGCCTGCCTTACAAGAGCTCCTGAAGGAAGCACTAAATACAGAAAGGAAAAACTGGTAGAAGCCACTGCAAAAACATACCAAAACATAAAGACCATCAACACTATGAAGAAACTGCATCAACTAATGTGCAAAGTAACCAGCTAGCATCATAATGACAGAATCAAATTCATACAAAACAATATTAGCCTTAAATGTAAATGGGCTAAATGCCCCAATTAAAAGACACAGACTGGCAAATTGGATAAAGAGTCAAGACCTGTCAGCGTGCTGTATTCAGGAGACCCATCTCATCTGCAAAGACACACATAGGCTCAAAATAATGGGATGGAGGAATATTTACCAAGTAAATGGAAAGCAAAAAAAAAGCAGGGGTTGCAATGCTAGTCTCTGATAAAACAGACTTTAAACCAACAAAGATCAAAGAGACAAAGAAGGCCATTACATAATGGTAAAAGGATCAATGCAACAAGAAGAGCTAACTATCCTAAATATATATGCACCCAATACAGGAGCACCCAGATTCGTAAAACAAGTTCTTAGAGACCTACAAAGAGACTTAGACTCCCACACAATAATAATGGGAGACTTTAACAGCCCACCATCAAGAGTAGACAGATCAAAGAGACAGAAAATTAACAAGGATATTCAGGACTTGAACTCAGCTCTGCACCAAGCGGACCTAATAGACATCTACAGAACTCTCCACCCCAAATCAACAGAATATACATTCTTCTCAGCACCACAGCGTACTTATTCTAAAACTGACCACACAATTGGAAGTGAAACACTCCTCAGCAAATGCAAAAGAACGGAAATCTTAACAGTCTCTCTGACCACAGTGCAATCAAATTAGAACTCAGGATTAGGAAACTCATTCAAAACTGCACAACTACATGGAAACTAACAACCTGCTCCTGAATAACTACTGGGTAAATAATGAAATGAAGGCAGAAGTAAAGAAGTTCTTTGAAACCAATGAGAACAAAGAGACAATGTAGCAGAATCTCTGGAACACAGCTAAAACAGTGTTAAGAGGGAAATTCATAGCACTAAATGCCCACATGAGAAAGCAGGAAAGATCTAAAATCGACACCCTAACATCACAATTATAAGAACGAGAGAAACAAGAGCAAACAAATTCAAAAGCTAGCAGAAGACAAGAAATAACTAAGATCAGAGCAGAACTGAAGGAGATAGAGACATGAAACTGAAGGAGATAGAGACACAGATTTCAAAAAAATCCGTGAATCCAGGAGCTGGTTTTTTTAAAAAATTAACAAAATAGATAGACAACTAGCCAGACTAATAAAGAAGAAAAGAGAGAAGAATCAAATAGACACAATAAAAAATGATAAAGGGGATATCACCACCGATCCCACATAAATACAAACTATCATCAGAGAATACTATAAACACCTCTATGCAAATAAACTAGAAAATTTGGAAGAATGGATAAATTCCTGGACACATACAACCTCCCAAGACTAAACCAGGAAGAATTCGAATCCTTGAATAGACCCATAAAAAGTTCTGAAATTGAGGCAGTAATTAATAGCCTACCAACCAAAAAAAGCCCAGGATCAGACAGATTTATAGCTGAATTCTACCAGAGGTACAAAGAGGAGCTAGTACCATTCCTTCTGAAACTATTCCAAACAATAGAAAAAGAGGGACTCCTCCCTAACTCATTTTATGAGGCCAGCATCATCCTGATACCAAAACCTGCCAGAGACAAAACAGAAAAAGAAAATTTCATCCCAAAATCCCTGATGAACATGGATGTGAAAATTCTCCGTAAAATACTGGCAAACTGAATCCAATAGCACATCAAAAAGCTTATCCACCACGATCAAGTCAGCTTCATCCCTGGGATGCAAGGCTGGTTCAACATATGCAAATCAATAAATGTAATCCATCACATAAACAGAACCAATGACAAAAACCTCATGATTATCTCAATAGATACAGAAAAGGCCTTCAAAAAAATTCAACATCCCTTCATGCTAAAAACATTCAATAAACTAGGTATTGATGGAACATATCTCAAAATAATAAGAGCTATTTATGACAAACCCACAGCCAATATCACATTGAATGGGCAAAAGCTGGAAGCATTCCCTTTGAAAACCACCACAAGACAAGGATGCCCTCTCTCACCACTCCAGTTCAAAATAGTATTGGAAGTTCTGTCCAGGGCAATCAGGCAATAGAAATAAATAAAGCGTATTCAAATAGGAAGAGAGGAAGTCAAATTGTCTCTGTTTGTAGATGACATGATTGTATATTTAGAAAACCCCATCGTCTCAGCCCCAAATCTCCTTAAGCTGATAAGCTACTTCAGTAAAGTCTCAGGATACAAAATCAATGTGCAAAAATCACAACGTTCCTGTACACCAACAACAGACAAACAGAGAGCCAAATCCTGAGTGAATTCCCATTCACAATTGCTACAAAGAGAATAAATTACCTAGGAATACAACATACAAGGGACATGAAGGACCTCTTCCAGGAGAACTACAAACCACTGCTCAAGGAAATAAGAGAGGACACAAACAAATGGAAAAACATACCATGCTCATAGGTAGAAAGAATCAATATTGTGAAAATGGCCATATTGCCCCAAGTAATTTTTTTTTTTTTGAGATGGAGTTTCACTCTTGTTGCCCAGGCTAGAGTGCAGTGGCGCAATCTCGGCTCACCACAACCTCTGCCTCCCAGTTTCAAGCAATTCTCCTGCCTCAGTCTCCCGAGTAGCTGGGATTACAGGCATGTTCCATCATACCTGGCTAATTTCATATTTTTAGTAGAGACGAAGTCTCCATGTTGGTCAGGCTGGTCTCGAACTCCCGACCTCAGGTGATCCACCCGCCTTGGCCTCCAAAAGTGCTGGGATTACAGGCATAAGTCATCGCGCCTGGCCCCGTCCAAAGTAATTTATAGATTCATTGCTATTTTCATCAAGCTACCATTGACTTTCTTCACAGAATTAGAAAAAATACTGTAAATTTCATATGAAACGAAAAAAGAGCCCACATTGCCAAGACAATCCTAAGCAAAAAGACCAAAGCTGGAGGCTTTTGTCTTTTGACTTTGGAGTCACGCTACCTGACTTCAAACTACACAACAAGTCTACAGTAACCAAAACAGCATGGTACTGGTACCAAAACAGATATATAAACCAATGGAACAGAACAGAGGCCTCAGAAATAACACCACACATCTACAACCATCTAATTTTTGACAAACCTTACAAAAACAAGCAACAGGGAAAGGATTCCCTATTTAATAAATGGTTTTGGGAAAATTGGCTAACCATATGCAGAAAACTAAAGCTGGACCCCTTCCTTACACTTTATACAAAAATTAATTCAAGATGAATTAAAGAGTTAAACATAAGACCTAAAACCATTAAAACCCTAGAAGAAAACCTGGGCAATACCATTCAGGACATAGGCATGGGCAAAGACTTTATGACTAAAACACCAAAAGCAATTGCAGCAAAAGCCAAAATTGACAAATGGGATCTAATTAAACTAAAGAGCTTCTGCACAGCAAATAAACTATCATCAGAGTAAACAGTCAACCTACAGATTGAGAGAAAATTTTTGCAGTCTATCCATCTGACAAAGGGCTAATATCCAGAAACTACAAGGAACTTAAACAAATTTACAAGAAAAAAAAAAAACTCCATCAAAAGGTGGGTGAAGGATATGAACAGGAACTTCTCAAAAGAAGACATTTATGCAGCCAACAAACATATGAAAAAAAGCTCCTCACCACTGGTCATTAGAGAAATGCAAATCAAAACCACAATGAGATACCATCTCACGCCAGTTAGAACGGCGATCATTAAAAAGTCAGGAAACAACAGATGCTGGAGAGGATGTGGAGTAATAGGAACGCTTTTACACTGTTGGTGGGAGTGTAAATTAGTTCAACCATTGTGGAAGACAGTGTGGCGATTTCTCAAGGATCCAGAATCAGAAATACCATTCGACTAAGCAATCCCATTACTGGATCAGAAATACCATTCGACTCAGAAATCCCATTACTGGGTATATACCCAAAGGATTATAAATCATTCAACTATAAAGACACATGTACATGTGTATTTATTGCAGCCCTATTCACAATAGCAAAGACTTGGAACCAACCTAAATGCCCATCAATAATAGACCGGATAAAGAAAATGTGGCATGTATACACCATGGAATAGTATGTAGCCATAAAAAAGAATGAGTTCATGTCCTTTGCAGGGACATGGATGAAGCTGCAAACCATCATTCTCATCAAACTAACACAGAAACTGAAAACCAAACACCGCATGCTGTCACTCATAAGTGGAAGTTAAACAATGAGAACACATGGACACAGGGAGGGGAACATCACACACCAGGGCCTGTCAGGAGGTTGGGGGCTAGGGGAGGGATAGCATTAGGAGAAATACCTATTGTAGATGACAGATTGATGGGTGCAGCAAACCACCATGGTACATGTATACCTATGTAACAAACCTGAACATTCTGCACATGTATCCCAGAACTTAAAGTATAATAATAATAATAAAAAGTGCTGTAGTTGATATGCAGACATTAATATCATCAAATTCAATACATAAAAAGTATCAAACAATAATACAGGATCTTGTAACCTCTCTGCAAGAAGATATTCTAATGTAACATAGCACTGCTTGAAAAGAAAAAAAAAGCTTCATGGGATAGATGAGTCTTTACATGTGTCAAGAAGAGAGTACAAGGAAACTAATTAATGTTGCTCCTGTCATATCAGCAGCATTGAGAGAAAGACATAATTCAAAAAAAATCATTGGCCAGGCTCAGTGGCTCATACCTGTAATCCCAGTGTTTTGGGAGGCTGAGGCAGAAAGATCACTTGAGAACAGGAGTTCAAGACCAGCCTGGGCAACACAGGGAGACCCTGTCTGTACAAAAATTTTTTTTAAGTTAGCTAGTCATGGTGGTGTGTGCCTGTAGTCCCAGCTACTCGGGAGGCTGAGGCAAGAGGATCACTTGAACCCAGGAGTAGAGGCTGCAGTGAGTTATGATCGTGCCACTGTACTCCAGCCTGGGTGACCAAGAGAGACTCTGTCGATATCTAATAAATACAAGTCATTTACCATATATATGATTTATAAATATCAATTCTGTGGATGTCAAATTAGAAATATTTTATCCAATCTAATGATGTCCATTGAAGCCCAAAATTTTAATATTGATGAAGTCCAATTTATCATTTACTTTGTCACTTGTACTTCTGGCATCAATCTAAGAGGGCTTAGCATAATGCAAGGTCACAAAGATTTACTCCTATATTTTCTCCTAAGAATTTTATAGTTTTATCTTTCACATTTAGCTCCATGATTCATACTGAGTCCATTTCTGTGTATGAAGTAAGAAAGGATCCAACTTCATTGTATTGCATGAGGCTTTACAGTTGTACTAGCACGATTTGTTGAAAAGACTGCCTTTCCCCCAACTGAATTGTCTTGGCACCCTTGCTAGAAATCAATTGACTATAAATATGAAAGTTTATTTCTGGACTCTCATTTAAATTCTATTGATCTGTATGTCTATCCATATGCCAGTATCACACAGTCTTGATTACTATAGCTTTGTATTAAGTTTTGAAATAGGGATGTGAGTCCTCCAAATGTGTTATTCTCTCACCAGGTTGTTTTTCAAGATTAATGTTTTACATCAAATTTGGGAACTTTTAAGCCACAAGTTTTTTAAATGTGTTTTTTCTGTTACTTTTTCTCTCTCTCCTCTTATTCTGGTACTCCAGTCATGCATATTTTGGTGCATTTAATGATGTCCAACATTTCTCTAATAATCTGTTCATATTCATTATTTTCTTTTTTTTTCCTTCTCCACTCTTCAGGCTGCCTTATCTCTATTGATCTATCTTCAAGTTTGCTGATTCTTTGTTCTGCCAAATCTACTCTTGAGGCCCTCTAGTAAATTTTTCACCTTGGTGTTTTACATTTCAACTCTAGAATTTTGATTTGGTTCATTATTTACATATAAACATACATACATATATGTATATGTACATATATACACATTTATGTAAATACATAAACTGATATTACATATATACATCTTTGCATATGCTGCACTATGTGTAATATAAATTTATGTATTTAAATAAATATATATGTGTATGTGTGTGTATGTATGTATATGTATATATATATATATACACATATGCATGTAAAGAACCAAATGAAAATTCTTGAGTTAAAATGTGTAACAACCAAATTATTGGTTGACATATATATCTTTATTGCTAGTCTCTATTTGATGAGATTGTCATCATATTATTCTTTACTTCTTTAAGCATAGTTTCCTTTAGTTCTTTGAACATATTTATTATAACTAGTTTGAAGTCTTTGTCAAGTCTGACATATGGGCCTTCTGACAGGCAGTTTTGGTTGTCTGCTTTTTTTCCCCTCTGTGTGTGAGTCACAGTTTCCTGATTCTTTGCATATCTTGCCTTTTTTTGTTGAAAACTAGACAATTGAATAATATATTTTAAGAATGCTATATACTGATTCTTCCCTACAAACCTATAGAGCTACTTTTTGTTGTTTTCTTATTTTTTAGTGACATGTCAGGGCTATTTCAGGAAAGTCTATTTTCTCCACAGTGAAGCCTCTGAAGTTGATCTTCAGAGGACATGATCTTGGACATTTGCACAGTCACCCAGAAGTGACAGTGATTTTAGCAGGGCTTTCTTTGCGTCTTTCCCTGATCTCTCTGTTAAGCTGTCTGCCTCTGTTGGTATCACATCCAGCTGTTAGGCTCCACTAATTGCATGTTGATTGCTCTATTGTTTTTGATAATGTCCTGGATGTCCTGCAGCATAAATTACCGTTGGATCCAATTAAATCTGGGCCTATTTGCAGGAGTGGTTTTTGAGGCTAGTCTTTGAGGTTTGTTCCAACCCCAGGAAGGATCTTCTTAGCTTTCTCCCCTACCCCTCCCCTTGTCTCTTTGGTAAATCAGCTGACCTGTGTTAGCTCATAGCTCCCCTGGGGCTACCAGCCTCCTCTTAATTGCTTATCACCTTAACTTCCATTGTTTTCCAGAGAGCCCTCAGGCATCAACTTCCTCACATTTTGCTTAAGATAAAGTCAATTTATTTAAAGATAGCTCAGAGCTCATGCTCTCTCTCTCTCTTATTTATTTATTTAGAGTCAAGGTCTCACTTTGTCACCTAGGATGGGGTGCAGTGGTGTGATTGCAGCTCACTTCAGCCTTGACCTCCTGGGCTCAAGCAATCCTCCCACCTCAGCTCCTCAAGTAGCTGAGACTACAGGCATGCACCACACACCCAGCTATTTTTTTTGTATTTTTTGTAGAGGCAGGGTTTTGCCATGTTGCCCAGGCTGGGCTTGAACTCCTAAGGTCAAGCAATCTGCCTGCTTCAGCCTCCCAAAGTGCTAGGAGTGCTGGCATAAGCCATCGTGCCCAGCCAGAGCTCTCTCTTCTTATGGCCTGCTCTCCCTGGGCAAAACCTCTGTACCATTGCTCCGGAGCTGGGGGTGGGGACAGTGGCACACTTCTTTCAAAATGACACCCTTGTTTTATGAGCAGCATGCTGGACAGGAGCAGTAGCATCTAGTTTTCTTGGCTTGGTTCTTCCAGTGAGCAACATCTGCCCTAAAAGCAAGCCGGGGCAAAAGCAACTGGGGCCTAGTGTTTTCAACCTGTCATGTCTAGGGTAGCAGTAGAGAGCTGAGTGAAGGACAGGAGTCCCCACCTCTTTGGCTGTACTCACTGAGAATTTAGCCTCTGCCACATGGAGAAGGGGATGAGAGAAATGCTGGCAGCCTGAACTCTGGGAGAGACTGGGAGCTGGGTCTCCATATTCTTGGCCACCCAACCTGCAGTGGATCTTCCATCACATGGAGTTTGAGGGTAGCGGGAGGCAGGGAGCAGATCAAGTGTCGCAGACTCTCACTGTCCAAAATTTAGTAGATTTACTTGAATAAATATTTATTCATTTGCTGTATGTTCTCTGGACAATCTCCAGTGACTCTAAGTGTTGGGGTTTTTCTCCTAATAATTTTCACCAATTACTGATGTTTCACTGGGAAGCAGGTCCGAGAAACTTCTCACACTGCCATTCTGGAATTGGATCTCCAGTACTTGTGTTTGGTATTTTGCACAGAGGCACGGAGGGAAAACACAGTTAAAGTCAGGTTGGGAGCCAGAGAAGAAAAGTGAGGGGATGTGCTTTGGCTCTCCAGGTAAAGATGGCAGAGCACAGGTACAGCTTCTTGCTGACTACACTCAGCCCATCTGGTACACTTGTCCACACTGAATATGCTTTAGCTGCTGTAGTGGGAGGAGCCCCTTCAGTGGGAATTACAGCTGCAAATGGTGTGGTATTAGCACTGAGAAGACACAGAAATCCATTCTGTATGATGAGCAAAGTGCACACAAAGTAGAACCCATTACCAAGCGTAGCGGTTTGGTGCACGGTGGTGCGGATCCAGATCAGAGTGCTTGTGCATGGAATTCAAAAACAGCTCAGCAATACTGTAATATCTCCGTACCAATGATAACGACAGGAAGCAGCCAAATGCCTAGGCAGATAGGGGCGGGTCCCCAGTGAAACCCCACCTTTAAACCAAAAACAGCCTAAAGGTTGACAGACCAGACTGCTGGTCCCAGATGAAACCCACAACTCAGAGTGAAAACTTCTGTTCTTGTTTGCCTGCCCTTTCCCAATCGATTCTTTCTGAATAATGCCTTTTAACCAATCAAATGTTGCCTTTTCCAATACTACCTATGGCCTGCCCCACCCCTATTCTGAACTCATAAAGGCATTGGACCTGGCCATGTGGGGAGGAGAGAACCGCCCGACTGCAGGGCTGGGGGCCACCCGCCGTGTCTCCTCTCCACTGAGAGCTGTTCAGTTGCTCAATATAATTATTCTCCCCTCTCCTTGGGCACAGTACAAGAGCTCAGGAACCGCCAAACGCAGGTACAAACTATAACACAGGTGAGCTGGGGCATGCCAGCATGGTCGAGCAAGGACCGGGTGGGGCATCACCAACTGGGGGTCCCTGGCTTGCAAACTGACTGAAAAGAAAAATCCTACATCATTTTGGGGAATAACCCAGGATACCTGAAGGGTGAGTAAATGCGGACGTAGACACTTCACTTTTTTCCGAGGCTTCTTGTCCTCAGACTCTTTTCTGAAGGCAGATGAAGCACCAAACCTCTGGTGAGCCAATTAAGAGCAATGGCGCAACTAAGAGGACAGGATGCTGGAAAGGACCTCGACATCCCCACCTCCATCATCTCTGGGGTTGGGAATGTCAGCCTCATTCCAATCCAGTTTTTCCTATAGCATTTTCCTTCTTTTTTTTTCACAGATGTCATGGCATTATCTCCCTTACAATGTTAAGGGTGTTGTTGCAAACTACAGAAATATTACTAGGTGGAAAGAGCATTTGGCCCAGCCATCAGATATGCAATTCAGAACAATGCAGTTTCTGTCTATTCTTAGAGGCAAAAAGGAAGCACAGATTAAGAATTTCTCTCCCTTTTGGAGGAACCCAATTGCATAGATCAAGAGGCTTTTTCCCCCAGGCACCTTCCCCACCCTGCACTTAAGCTGTTTTTTTCTTTTCTCCACCATGTCAGGAGTTAACACAGTCCTGCAAATACAGGGAGCTTTTTCTATGCTAGAGGATTTTTTTCCTTTTGAAAGGCATCTTACTAGGCCAGGACCCCAATTCTCCCTTTCACTCCCTTGTTTGAGGAAGACCCGGTTCCACGCGTTACCTTAGCATTGGGTTTATGATAAGGAAGCAGTGAAGGAGCAGCCCCACTGGCTGCTGGCTGCAGTCTGGTGAGGGCCACATAGGACTTAATTTAATGCATCCATGAACCCTCCTAAGGCACCTTCTTGCCCCAAACTCAATTTGGAGCTTCAGGTTGAATTCCTAGAAAGGAAAACTACATCGGAGTGATCCAAAGGCAGGTGATAACAGAAGTCAAGGGGCACAGCGCAGGTGAGCATGACTAATTCCTGCTGGTTAGCTCCCCCCACCCATTTCATGGATAAAGGTCATGCTAGCATCCATGGAATAGATGAGGTTACCAAGAGGAGGGAGGACAGGACAACGTGTAAGTGAATGCGATAATTCCTACCCACTAGGCATCCCTGTTAACATGGGTAAAAGCTGCATTGGCACCAATGGGTGGCACCCTGCTGAGGGCGCCAGGACCTGGGGATACAAACCCCAGTAAAATCTCACCTTCAAGCCAAAAACAGCCTGAAGGCTGAAAGACCAGACTGCTGGCCCTGGATTAAACCTGAGACTGAGTGAGAACTTTTGTTCCTGTTTGCCTGCCCTTCCCAATTGATTATTTCTGAATAATGCCTTTTAACCAATTGAATGTTCCCTTTTCCAATACTACCTACAGTGTGCCCCACTCCTATTCTGAGCCCATAAAAAGCCCTGGACCCAGCCACGCAGGGAGGAGAGAACCACCTAACTGTGAGGTGGTGGACCACCCCGCGCATCCCCTCTCCAATGGGAGCTGTTCCATCACTCAATAAAATTCTTTTCCACCCTCCTCACCCTTCAATATCCAGCATATCCTCATTCTTCTTGGGCGCAGTACAAGACCTCGAGAACTGCTGAACACAGGTACAAGCTATAACACACGCAAGCTGGGGCACGCCATTGTGGCCGAGTGAGGGCTGGGAGGGGTGTCACAAGCTGAGGATCCCCTGGCCTGCAAAGTGACCAAGAAGAAAAATCCTACATCACCAAGAACCCATTTCCATAGCTTGGCTGGTACGGAAAGTAGTTTCTGTAACCCAAGAATACACTCACTCAAGTGGTGTTTGTCCATTTGGAGTTGATTTATCTGTGGTTGGAATGAGGGATGACCATGTTTATTTCAGTCAGATCCATCCAGAGCTTACTTTGCTGGAAAACCACAGCAAAGAACTATGTGAATGGGAAAATGCTGAGAAAAGATATAATGAAAATCTGGAACTTGAAGATGCATTCATATAGCTGTAAACCAAAAATAAAATTTTGAGGCCCCCCCCAACCATCTAAATGGACTTCTTCCTCTGTTAGGGCACTCCTAACCTGAAAGACTGCTTCATGCCATGATGGAAAGTCGGGGTCGGACAGGCCTCATTATACCTCTGTGGCATTAACATCAATACAGACCCTAAGTTTGATAAGAAGCATTTAGAGTCTATTCTCTCTGAAGCCTACTACCTGGAGGCTTCATCTGCATGATAAAACTTTGGTCTCCACAACCTCTTCTACAACCCAGACACTTCGTTTCTATTGATCCTAGGTCTTTAGATAAACTCAACCAATTGTCAACCAGGAAATTTTAAATCTACCTATAACTGGAAGTCCATCACCCCAACCTTCAAGTTGTCCTGCCTTTCTGGACCAAACCAATGTATTTCTTAAATGTATTTGACTGAAGTCTCATGTCTTCCTAAAAGGTATAAAACCAAGCTGCACCATGGGCACATGTTCTCAGGACCTCCTAGGGCTGTGTCATGGGTCCTGGTCACTCATATTTGGCTCAGAATAAATCTCTTCAAATATTTTACTATTTTACAGTTTGATTCTTTTTTTCAATACAGCCATCTTAACACCTCAAGGAAAGCTTTGAAGGGCAAATGACAGAGGATAACATAGAAGTTGGAATCTGCAATGAAGCTGATTTGGGAGGATTACTCCAACTGAAGTTAAGGATTACTTGGCTGTCATAGCACAACAATGAAATGACTGAACAATCTGGAATTTCAGATAATCTATCTACTTAAACATGTTTATGGCCAGGCGTGGTGGCTCATGCCTGTAATCCCAGCATTTTGGGAGGCCAAGGCAAGTGGATCACCTGAGGTCAAGAGTTCGAGACCAGCCTGACCAGCATGGTGAAACCCTGTCCCTACTAAGAATACAAAAATTAGCTGGGCTTGGTGGCAGACGCTTGTAATCCTAGCTACCTGGGGCGCTGAGGCAGGAGAATTGCTTGAACCCAGGAGGCGGAGGTTGCAGTGAGCCAAGATCGCACCATTGTACTGCAGCCTGGGCGACAGTGAGACTCCGTCTCAAAAAAAAAACAAAAACAAAAAACATGTTTAAAATATGTTTTGTTTTTCAGACTTTTCGAAAACTTATTTCTACATGGTTTAAATGGACTAATGTTTTTAAAATGACACTTGTAAATCATAATAAACTATAAACCCCTTCCCAACAAAAAACAAAGAAGTAAGAACTTGGCAGCCCAAATGAATCTGTTGGTCATGGTTACTGACCTCTGGGGGACTTTGTGGTTCAGCTCACTCTGGAATTAGATCACTTCTTGGCTGAACTTGCACTGGCAAAGCTGTGAGCAGTGATGCATGACAGCCTAGCCCCACTGGGAAGCATGTGATGGCATAACCAGCTTATTCTTCGGACCAGAGATAAGAAAGGCAGTGGGCTAGTGAGAGACAGCCAAAGTGGGGTGGGAGGGAGCTGAGAGAGAGTCTTGGCAGGGCAGGAAGCTCAGCAATAGATGAACTAGGAAGGGTCAGGGGCTAGGTCTCAGGCTGGTAGTTTTTGTTTGTAAAGTATTAATCTGCCTACTTAAAGACTCCATAAAGTGGAAGTATCACATAGTCATATTCTGTAAATTTCCACTAAAAAATGGAAATTCTCTCTGCTACTAAGAAAAAGAGCAAAAAGCATTAAAAAAATCAAAATCCAGTCACTTAAATTATTACTACTTTTTTAAATATTAAAACTAATTCAGTAAAAAAGAAACCCAACAACTAAATATTAACTCAGGTTATTACCATAAAAACATTGAAAAAATAAGATACGGCTGGGCACGGTGGCTTGCACCTGTAATCCCAACACTCTGGGAGACCAAGGCAGGTGGATCATGAGGTCAGGAGATTGAGACCATCCTGGCTTACCTGGTGAAACCCCGTCTCTACTAAAAATACAAAAAATTAGCCGGGTGTGGTGGCGGGTGCCTGTAGTCCCAGCTACTTGGGAGGCTGAGGCAGGAGAATGGCATGAACCTGGGAGGCGGAGATTGCAGTGAGCCGAGATCATGCCATTGCATTCCAGCCTGGGCAACACAGCAAGACTCCATCTCAAAAAAAAAAAAAAGGAAGGATAATAGTAAAAAGAGCTTCTAGAGCATTTTTGTCTGTTGCCAAGCCTTTCATATATACATTATTCCATGTAATCCTCACAAAAAGCCCATGAAGAAAATACCATTGTTAGCCCCATTTTATAGATGAGGAATCTGAGGCAACAAAAGGTAAAAATGTTTCCAGGAAGTGGTCAACTTGAGACACAAATCCAGGTAAACTTGTGGGTAAGCCACTGTTAATTCCACTCTCCTACACTGTCTCCTGATATACATGGAATTGTATACAATTGTCATCACTGGATAGCAAGATAATTGTTGACTCTGATTATCTATTAATTATGTTTGCTTACATGTATTTTCTAATTTTCTACAATCAACACTTAGGGTCTGTCTACATGATAGAAATAAAGCCTAAAATTTCTTTTTTAAACAGGCTGAGAATAATCAATCACATTCCACCTGGAAATTAAAATAACATTCATGCCCAAATCTAGACTTTATTTTGAGCAATCAAAAAGACGGACTCTTATGCCTCTCTTTTTAACATAAAAGTCTCCATTGCTGGAAATGTTGACAATTTAAACTTATTTACTTAAATTTAAAGTAAGAGGAGAGACTTTACTTCCAGGAGAAGTAAAGTCATTATTTACTTCTGGAAAGAAAGAACAATTAATACTAAAACTATTTTAAAAATTAGATAGTTGCTGGATCATACCTTTAAGAAATTGTAGGGAGGGAATATCCATTAGGAAAAATGTTAATAAAACTGGAAAGTCTTTCAATTTGGTAGGCGTGTTCTGCAGCCCAATTAGAGCTCAGTGTATAGAGCACCTTGGACATAATTATGTAACTCCATCTTAGAAAAAGACTCAATTTGCTTTTTTTTTTTTTTTTTTTGAGATGGAATCTTGCTCTGTCATCCAGGCTGGAGTGCAACGGTATGATCTCAGCTCACTGCAACCTCCACTTTCTGGGTTCAAGCGATTCTCCTGCTTCAGCCTCCCGAGTGGCTGGGATTACAGGCGTGTACCACCAGGCCCAGCTAATTTTTGTATTTTTAGTAAAGACAGGGTTTCAGCATGTTGGCCAGGCTGGTCTCGAACTCCTGACCTCAGGTGATCTGCCCACCTTGGCCTCCCAAAGTGCTGGGATTACAGGCGTGTACCACCAGGCCCAGCTAATTTTTGTATTTTTAGTAAAGACAGGGTTTCAGCATGTTGGCCAGGCTGGTCTCGAACTCCTGACCTCAGGTGATCTGCCCACCTTGGCCTCCCAAAGTGCTGGGATTACAGGCGTGAGCCACTGTGCCTGGCCTCAATTTGCTATTCCATAGGGGACTTTGTCAACAAGGATAAGATGTTTTGCTTAATAAACAGAAAATAAGAACTACATTCAACCAGATAAGGACATAACCAAGCATACTATTCCACTATCAGTCGTCACTAGAGGACTCTGGTCATAAAAAGAGCAGGCCTTCAGCAGCTTCAAACAGCCATCTTAACTGACACTGTCTTGCTGTCACTCATAAGAACTCAGAATCTGCCACTGAAGCCTCTGCCACATGAAAGATTCTTCCTTGAAAGTCCTACGAACCACCCAACCCAAACCAGGAGATTCTTTGCAAC
Organism: Homo sapiens; assembly: GCF_000001405.40. Classification (NCBI taxonomy): domain Eukaryota; kingdom Metazoa; phylum Chordata; class Mammalia; order Primates; family Hominidae; genus Homo; species Homo sapiens. The sequence continues at coordinate 93,936,361 of NC_000008.11, read as the reverse complement.
TTCCTAGCACTCCCTGGAGTGGTTTGTTAACCAGTCCTAGTTCTTTTCCAGTCCTAGTTCTCCTACTTCTTTTCTCTTGATTTTAAAAAATACTTTGTGGAATGTTTAATCTATTCATTTATATATTGATTAAGTGTACTATTATGTACAGTCTGCAATGTTGACTGACTTGTGAAATGGCTTGAGCCTGTGTGCCCACAGCTCTGACTCACGACTGAACAGGAAATACTAAGGAGACTCACCTCTTTGGGAACTCCATGCCGCTTGTGGCTTTTGTGATTGAAATAGCATCAATAAAAGTCTTACACTGTGGGAAGACACAAATGTGCGTGAACCTGGTTGTTTCTGACCTTGCACCACACATGAAACTCAAGCACTGGGCTAAGTGCCAAGAAACAGAGAGCGAGAGAAAAAAAAAAAATCTGGCGCCTGACCACAGGTGCTTCTGATCTGTGGCTATTATCTACTGACTACAGAAAGCTGAATTAGTAGCTTCAATTCCATTCCCTGTTACCAGATATTTCCAGGACAGGAAGTTGTAGAAAGCTTATTAAATGAGTAATTAAAACTAGATTTAAAAAGATTAAGACTTTTTTTCTTTCATGGAAAACTTTCTGTCAGTGGAGGCCTTTGAAACTGGATAGATGCCCATATTTCTGGGATGCAATTCATCCTACGTAAGTTGTTACTTTTAGGTTGTGTCTTCCTAACACTGATTTTAATTTGCCTTTCAAAGAAAGTAAAAGAAAAACTAATGACTCAAACAATTGTCATACATATAATGTGATGAAACAAGTTAAATCGGGGTTGGTGATGATAGGTAAGCTAGTGCTGGGGAAATGAAGAAGAAAAAATGAGGAAGCTTGGAGTCCATTCTGATGCAGTGGAAACTACAGTGTGCTTTAGTTTCCCAAATTACCAGGGAGAGGGAACAGATCCCTGTAACCAGGCAACAGATGACGCACTCACATCCCACCCAACCCCCACTCCCGCCTACCCCACCCCATTTATAGGCACAGAACCCTGCCTACCCCACCCCATTTATAGGCATAGAACCCTGCCTACCTCACCCCATTTATAGGCACAGAACCCATAATGGGAAACATCAAAGAGGACATAAGGAGCCTTGAATGTTAAGGAGCCTAGGGAATAAAGGGAAAGGTTGACTCGCACCCACTGACTGACTTGTGGGAACCTGTGAGGTATTGCCTGCATCCGGCTGGAAAGAACTGGAAGACACCAGTAGAAAGAAAGCTAATTTGCAGCACTCAAGTTCAGATCATCACACTTCAGGTATAAAAATGATACATGAGAAAATGTGCTCAACACCTTTGGTTGTCACAATGAGATACCACTTTATACCCACTAGAGTGGCTGAAATAAACAACACGAATACCACCCAATGTGAATGAGGATGTGGAGCAATGGTAAACTCTCATATATTGCTGGTGGTGTTGTAAAATGGCTCATACATTTGGGAGAACTGCAGTTTCTTTAAAGTTCCACGTACAACTACCCTATGACCCAGTAATTCCACTTGTAGGTATTTAGCCAGGAGAAATGAAAACATATGCCCACAAAATGACTTATGCAAGAATATTATAGCAGCCTCGTTCATAATAGCCAACAACTGGACAACCCAAATGTTATCCAGAGGTGAGTGGATAAACAAAGTTAGTACAGTCAAACAATGGAATATTACTCAACAACAAAAGGAACAAATTATTAAGATACACATGTATAAATCTCAAAAATATGATGCTGATATAAGATTCCATTTATATGAAATCTAATTTCTATGGTGATGAAAATCAGCATGTTTGCAGTTGCAGGGAAATGCAGTGACTGGAAAGGGGCACAAGGGAACTTTCTGGGACCATGAAAATGTCCTGGATACTCTGGGCACACTGCTTGTTGAGAGAGCCCTGCTCTACAAGGAGCAGTAAATGAAAAAGACAACAAGAAATTGTCTTATATATTATTTTGATGGTGGTTATACAGGTGTATGACATTGTTGGAACTTATCAATCCTCTAAGATCTGGGCTTTTTATTGCATGTTAATCTTACCTCAATTTAAAAAATTATAATGACATGTGACCTTATTTTACAGTCACAGGCCAGTGAGGCCTGATACATTTACATTATATATCACTTATTTATTAACCATACTATTAATTCCTGTAACAAAACTTTCGCCTAAAATGATTTTGAACAGTGTTAAACAGATGTGTTTTCAAATATCGAATTTTAATGTGTAAATATACCTGCTGAGAATCTCAAGGATTAGTAATAGCAAATTAGCAGAAATTACCCAAAGTGAAAGTGACTTGCAGGGGGTCATGGGTTGGCTTGTCAGCTGCTCCTCCCCCAGTGGAATTCCCTTTCATTGACAATCTAGAAAACTGGAGATGCTTTTTTTAAAAACATAAATAAGACCACAGGGCCAGGCGCGGTGGTTCACACCTGTAATCTAGCACTTTGTGGGGACGGGACGATCACTTGAGGTCAGGAGATCAAGACCAGCCTGTCCAACATGGCGAAACTCTGTCTCTACTAAAAATATAAAAATTAGCCAGGCGTGGTGGTGCACACTTTTATCCCAGCTACTCGGGAGGCTGAGGCATGAGTATCACTTGAACCTGGGAGATGGAGGTTGCAGTGAGCCAAGACTGCACCACTATACTCCAGCCTGGGTGACAGGACTGTCTCAAAAAAAATAAATAAAAATAAAGACCGTATTATACAATTTGACTTGTTCTACTACATATGTCTCAGAAGTCTTTTCATGAGAGTATGTATAGATCTACCTCCATTTCTTTGAACCCAAGTGACCTTTAAATATGTGACTTATTTGGTCATTGCACATCTTGTTTACCAGGTAATCCAAGTTGGAGACACAGTCAAATAATCAGTGTCTGTGTGACCAAACTGTAAAATTCTCAAAAGTGTAACAAATTAACTCAAATCTTAGCATCTAAAACAACAAAGTTATTTCTCACGCAGTTTCTGAGGGTTTAGAACCTGATAGCAGCTTTTCTAGCTCAAGGTCATTCATGAGGTCACAGTCATGCTGTTGACTAAGGGTGCAGCCATGAAGACGTCACTGGGACTGCAAAATCTGCTTCCAAGTTCACTCATGTGATTGTTGGAAGAAGGATTCAGTCCCTTTCTCCATGGGCCTCTCTAGAAGGCTGCGCACAGCATGGCTCTTCCTAGAGTCAGTTATCCAAGAGCAAAGCAGTGTCCAAGACAGAAGCTGCAGTGTCTTTTTACAATCTAATATCAGGAGGGCCATCCCATTTCATCTGCTATACTCTAACCCAATCCTAGGAGTGTATTGACTACGCAGGATGTAAATACCAGGAGGCAGGGGTCACTGAGAGCCATCCTGAAGGCTGATTACCACGTATCCCTAGTACCTAAAACAATGAAGGAACCCAATACACACTTGCTAGATTGGACTGAACCAGCCTGTGGCTGGTAATTCAATCCAGCTATCATGGTCCAAGACTTTGATGGATGGCTGGTAGGTTACTCAGGTTCAGTGGCTTTTAAGTTGCCCAATACCTGAGTAGTGTTCAGTAAGTGTACTATAGTAGCCAAGGAACTGAGGGGAACAAAAATATGCCTATGTTTGAATTAAACACCAGGTTACTAAATTTGACTGCAGACCCACGAATGACTAATGGCAATATGCAAATCACACGGATGTTCTCTTGTTTAACCATCAACACTTCCTCACTTAAATCCGTCTAGGCTCCTATCTGTGAGTGGCTAGAAGCCAGATCTCAGCCTGGCACGGGTCCAGCTGACCTTCCTTTGTCCTTCTTCCTCCCACGCCTGCCTCCACCAACTCTTGCATCCCATGCTTGTCTTGGTTGACCTCTGCCTTCTCAAGCAGTTCTGTCTCTAAAGTTTTGCTGGCTGCAAAAGTGCTCCAGAGTGACTGTGTATTTGCTTAGGGCTCTTCTGTGCTGTTTCTACCTTTCCACCTCATCACCCACCACAGCTCCCCACCAGTGCATGTTCTACCCATATGAAAGGCACTCAGAGCTCTTCAAACACGAGTTCTGCCTTCTTCCAAGAAAGTCATCCCTCAATTCTCTTCTTTTTTTTAATTGTTGTTTGTTTGTTTGTTTGAGACACAGTCTTGCTCTGTCACCCAGGTTGGAGTGCAATGGCACAATCTTGGCTCACTGCAACCTCTGCCTCCTGGGTTTAAGCGATTCTCCTGCCTCAGCCTCCCAAGTAACTGGGATTACAGGCATGTGCCACCACACCTGGCTAATTTTTGTATTCTTAGTAGAGAAGGGGTTTCACCATGTTGGCCAGGCTGGTCTCAAACTCCTGACCTCAGGTGATCCACCCACCTCGGCCTCTCAAAGTGCTGGGATTACAGGCGTGAGCCACCAAGCCTGGCCCCTGGATTCTTTTCTGCCTGGCAAACCCCTTTTCCCCTTTAAAATCTCTGCTCAAGCACTGTCCCTTCTAATGAAACTTCCCTGACTCTCTAGGGCCTGCCTTGTCACTATGGCACATCAGGACAGAGTCACTCTTTTTTCTGGATTATTGTTGAAATTTTGTATTTGTCTCAGTTTCTGAATCATCCCTAATTACCAAAGGGTAATTATTATTTTATGCAATGGTAATTTTCCCTCCAAACTGTGAGCTCCTTGAAGGCAGACCCTACCTTTTAACCACCTTTCACCCCTAACACCTATCCTCAGTGCCTGGACAATTGAAACAAGGCACTAAGAAACATGTACCTGTGTATGCAATGCACTGCTAAGTGAGAAACAACTGGTTCTAACCTATAAAACCATAATTCTGTTTTTTCTGCACCCAGCTCACTCCTTCCATCTGTGTGGGGCTCCATTCCTTGTGTGCTATGTTAACTGCTGGGCTATGTCAATCTTGGTTTCTGCTTCTCAAGGAATCACTTGCTTATTGGCCACTTAGGCCTCAGGCTTTCTCGATTCCAAAGGAATCATTCTGGTTACATGGAGAGGCCAGGCAGCATGCTGTGTTGATTAAACATGCCGGCTTTGAAAAACACAGACGTGAATTTGTTTGGTGTGTGATGCTGGACGTGTTACCTAGCCTCTTTGTGCTGGCTAAAATAGAGGATATAATACTTCAGCTTGCTTTGAAGCTTATGTTGGTCAGGTCTCAGCAGGAAACTGACTTCACCCTAGATGTTTCAAATGAATGGATTTCTTACAGAGATTTGAACAAGAGTAAAGGAACAAACAAAGGATGGTGGGGCACCAGGAGACTAGCAACAGTAGAAGTCATTACCCTCCCTAAGGCTGAAAGGACAACGGAAGAAAATAATGTTACCTGGGCCCACTGAGGCTTGGAATCATGGAAGACGAGCAGTACAGTGTGAGAGTTACAGCTAAGGCTGGAGATGCAGCCCACAGCATGGAGGGAATAAGGAAGAAATATCCCAGCCTCTCTCTCATCCCACCCTCTGATCATCTGCTGGTGTTACCTGTTGGTTGAACTGAAATGGCAATCAGGAGGCAAATGAGCCCTGGGAGCTACAGCCTGTAGGGTCTGGCTTCCTGGTCCACAGAGCAGGGCAGGGACAGCCAGAGAAGGGATTGAAGGGCCAGACACTACCTGGCACAAGGATAAAATGAGAACATGTACACAGTGTACTTTTCACAGAACCAGGCACATAGTAGGTACACAAGAAACAACGGTTGTGATTACTGTTAGTATTAGTATGGCTGCAACATCAGTGTGTTTTCTGGTTATGCCCAGAGCCACAGGGCTCTGACTTTATGGTCAACAAGGCCCTGCTTTAATAAACCTCATTCTCTCTGGCCTGCTCGGTCTCACAGCTCTGTCTCTACTGACACCAGGGCCTTAATGATCCCATCTCTGTTTTCATCAGGCTAAATTAGGCTATTTAACTTATCTACAGGTTTGGAGCAAAGAAAAATAATTTCTAAGCAAAGTTCTTTGGAGAAAACTATCCTTCTGGGTACCACAGATCCCTCTCCATGTGGTCAGTTTCAAAGACTTTCCTTTTTGCTTATCTAATGGACCAGGACTAAATGGCCATGCTAATGTCAATTGCTGCTGCCCTACCATAAAATATGTGCACATAAGGGTTGAAAAATGATTGTTTTTTTTTTGAGACAGAGTCTTGCTCTGTCGCCCAGGCTGGAGTGCAGTGGTGTGATCTCAGCTCACTGCAAGCTCCGCCTCCCGGGTTCATGCCATTCTCCTGCCTCAGCCTCCCCAGCAGCTGGAACTACAGGCGCACGCCGCCACGCCTGGCTAATTTTTTTGTATTTTTAGTAGAGACGGGGTTTCACTGTGTTAGCCAGGATGGCCTCAATCTCCTGACCTTGTGATCTGCCCTCCTCGGCCTCCCAAAGTGCTGGGATTAAAGGTGTGAGCCACCGTGCCCGGCCTTTTTTTTTTTTTTTTGAGACGGAGTCTTGCTCTGTCACCAGGCTGGAGTGCAGTGGCACAATCTTGGCTCACTGCAGCCTCCGCCTCCCGGGTTCAAGTGAGTCTCCTGTCTCAGCCTCCCAAGTAGCTGGGATTATAGGTATGCACCACCATGCCCAACTAATTTTTTTGTATTTTTAGTAGAGATGGGGTTTCGCCACGTTGGCCAGGGGGCTCTTGAACTCCTGACCTCAGGTGATTCACCCACCTCAGCCTCCCAAAGTGCTGAGATTACAGACATGAGCCATCGTGCCTGGCCAAAAATGATTTTTAAAGTCCTTTACCTTGTTACTATTTAGCTCACTGCTGTCTTTCCGGTGCTTTGCTCTCATCCTTGTCACTGTTCCAAAGTATTAGGATCTGGTGCTCCCTGACCCCATTACTGCCTCTGTAATCACTACAGCAATTGCCAATACCATTCTTTCCCTTCCCTCACTTTTCTTGTTTTTCCCAGCTTAGGTCTCTTGTCACATTTCCCATTCTTCTCAGTGTTCACGCTGGAAGGCTGGTCTCTGAGGCAACACTGCCAGCAAATAAAACAGTTCCTGGCCTTCAAAAAGACAATCTGGTTCATCGCCACAGATGAGATAAAATCTTTAGTTGACTCTTCTTGACTGCTTGTTGCTAGTGCCCAGGGTTTAAAGTTTCTGAAAGGCTGAATGTGATCACTAACCTCACACTTTAGTATTTGTGCACTTTGAGCATCTGTTACAGGCAGAAAGTCAGTGAACCGGGTATATTTTAGAAAAGCAGGGAACTGGCTGGGCACAGTGGCTCACGTCTGTAATCCCAGCACTTTGGGAGACCGAGGCAGGCAGATCATCTGAAGTCGGAAGTTCGAGACCAGCCTGACCAACATGGAGAAACTCTGTCTCTACTAAAAATACAAAATTAGCCAGGTGTAGTGGCACATGCCTGCAATCCCAGCTACTCGGAAGGCTGAGGCAGGAGAATCGCTTGAACCCAGGAGGCGGTTGTAGTGAGCCTAGATTGTACCACTGCACTCCAGCCTAGGCAAGAAGAGTGAAGCTCTCTCTCAAAAAGAAAAAAAAAAGAAAAGAAAAGAAAGAAAAGCAGAGAACTCATGAGTCTGGGCAGGATCCTGGATAGAAAACTGTCTCCTCCACCCGCCTTTGGGTAGGGGTAGTAAGGTAAACTAAGATGAAATATCCAGTCCTTTTGGAGCTGGGTACCTGATACTCACAAATAGCAGCTACAGTTCCTGGTGGACCCTCAAAGGAACGCTTCTCTCATTCTGTGCATAGGGAGCTTCTGGGAGTCAAGGGTTGGATGGGGACCATTTATGAACCTAAATATTGGCTAAATAACTGAGCCTAAATTGTGTGGACCTTAATATACATGCATTGGATAACCCTTTTTTTTTTTTTTTTTTTTTTTGAGATGGAGTGTTGCTCTGTCTGTCGCCCAGGCTGGAGTTTAGTGGTGCAATCTTGGCTCACTGCAAGCTCCGCCTCCCAGGTTCACGCCATTCTCCTGCCTCAGCCTCCCGAGTAGCTGGGACTACAGGCGCCCACCACAACGCCCGGCTAATTTTTTGTATTTTTAGTAGAGATGGGGTTTCACCGTGTTAGCCAGGATGGTCTCGATCTCCTGACCTTGTGATCCACCCGCCTTGGCCTCCCAAAGTGCTGGGATTACAGGTGTGAGCCACCATGCCTGGCCATGGATAACCATTTTTAATGGCATATGGAGTATACAAATTTCATCATTCCTAATATATTTGTTTTGAAGACTTGTAATTTGAGAGCTATTTAGAAAATAATGCTATGCATTATGATTCAATCCAGGGTTATAAACTGCATTGTCGTAAGAACTGGACAGACAGGATTTAATAGGTTTAAGCTTGCCTTTTAAAGTACATTCTGAAAGGAAAACAGGAAATGATTTTCATACTGTAACAAGCCAATTCTGATGCCATAAAACGTCTTCATTTATTCAGCTTGTTTAGGTAGTAAAAGCACCACTGCATCAATTTTAACAGAATGTAACTTTTGAAGGTCTGAAAAACTCTACAATGAATAGCTATTGCTCTAGTATTTATGAAAAAGGTCAGAATTAAATATGTCAACCTATAGAGAGAATAACAGTTACCTAGATCCTCTTGCTATACCCAAGGACAAATGAACAACCCACATTCAGGTATTTGTTTGACTAGTGAACATGGAAGCTCATTCTAAGCAGTGTTAACTTTGTTTAATGAAAGCAGAAATACTCAAGTCAGTCACCCCATCCCCAACAGTCAGCACTTCATCCTCTTCCTTCCTCATCCCTAGTCATAGCTATGGCCAATGCAGTGATAAACCCAAACCATCAAAAACCAAGCTATATGAGCTTAGGAGGTTGAGGTTGCAATAAGCTGTGATCACACCACTACATGCCAGTCTAGGTAACAGAGTGAGACTCTCTTAAAAAAGACAAAAAACCCACCAAGGTATAATTTGCCATTTTCTCAATTTGTCATTAACACAATCATCTACCAAGCTTAATGAACTCAACAAACTTCTCAGTGGGAGAGGAACAAAGAGGCCAATAGCAAAGGGCCACGCCTTAATCCCACTGAACTTTTCACCATGAAAAATTCCCACCATTTGTTTTAAGGGCATTAAGGGTCCTATCATCAAAGCTTTAACAGAAAACTTACCTGTAATCATTATTTGCAAAGTTAAAGCTACACCTTAACCAAACAGCATTTCTGAGAATTATTAATCTAAAAATTATCTTTAAAGGGGGGCAGGGGGAGACTGACAACATCCATCAATAGAGAATGGATAAATTGTGATACATTCAAACACTGGAATGCTACCCAGTAATAAGGAACAGACTATGAATACAATCAACAACATAAGTGAATCTCCAAAAATTGAGCAAAAGTAAAACATAAAAAGTACATATGTGGGCCAGGTGCAGTGGCTTACGCCTGTGATCCCAGTACTTTGGGAGGCTGATGTGGGCAGATCACTTGAGGTCAGGAGTTTGAGACCAGTCTGGCTAACATGGTGAAATCCCGTCTCCACCAAAAATACAAAAGTTAGCCATGTGTGGTGGCACATGCTTGTAGTCCCATCTACTTGGGAGGCTGAGGCAGGATGATTGCTCAAACCCAGGATGCGGAGGCTGCAGTGAGCCGAGATCATGCACTCCAGCCAGGGCGACAGAGCAAGACTGTCTGAAAAAAAAAAAAAGTACATGTATGATTTATATAAATTTCTAGAAGCAAAATTATGGTGAGAGAAGTGGAATGATACTTATGAGGGGAGGGATTAATGGAAAGGGGCATAGGGAATTTTCTGAAGAAAAAGTTTTATATCTTTGTTGGGGTGTTACCAAATGTTACATCGCAAATTTTAAATCTGTGCATTTTGTTTAAATTATACCTCAATTTTGGCCAGGCATGGTGGCTCACACCTGTAATCCAAACACTTTGGGAGGCCGAGGCGGGTGGATCACAAGGTCAGGAGTTGAAGACCAGCCTGGCCAACATGGTGAAACCCCATCTCTACTAAAAATACAAAAATTAGCCAGGTGTGGTGGCCCGCACCTGTAGTCCCAGCTACTTGGGAGGCTGAGGCAGAAGAACTGCTTGAACCCAGGAGGCAGAGGCTGCAGTAAGATGAGATCGCACCACTGCACTCCAGCCTGGGTGACAGAGCGAGACTCCATCTCAAAAAAAAAAGAAAAAAAATTTTACCTCAATTTTTACAAATTTGAAGTACTATGTATCTACTGGGTCCTAAAATTAAATATAATCTACCACACATAGGAAGCATCTAATCAATCTTGTTATTAAAAACCAACACAGGACATTCAGAAAGCAGATATGAAGCTTTAATTCACCATAGGCATTTCTCCAACCATTCTGTACATTAAACTTTCATGTCTTCACACATATACATCTTTTATAAGACAGTTTTCTTAGCAATATGGTACTCTGTACCATACCAACATTCCATTTAACTAGTTAAGGGTGTATTATATAACATGAACCACTGATTAAATATAAATACAGAAGTTGAATACATAGGTTAGAAAGTTTAAATTTTAAAAAAATTTAAGAAAGGCTAAATACCATGAAAGTTTACATGTATTCTTTAATTCTAGACACCGTACAACAGTGACAACCAATTACAATAAAATCACAATTGCTTTTAGATGACAGTACTTTCAGATTTCTAATACCCAATTACTTTCATTTCCACAATGTCAACTTCATGCTGCATTTTCATTTCTATAGAGCAGACAAGCTTCCAGACTGCAGACCAAGTTTCTTGTGTAATAATACTACTATCTTGATCATGACCACAGGAAACCAATTTTATATTCCCTGTACTATAGAGATGAGACATTATTTGGTGTATATGAAACTCTTCAGTGGTGGTGTTCAAGAATATTCAAATAGTAGCTGAAAATAGGGTTTGCTAGAGCAGTCCACATATTTCATTAAAAGAAAAATGCCCAGTCAAAACATTTAGAAATAAATATATAGTACAGCCTTTCCCTCTCCCAAATACTACCCAGGAAAAAAGTTCCAAGCTGACTTAAAAAAAAAAAAACACACAAATAAAAACAAAAACACCTCAAAAAATAAACATTATATGATATTCTGAGCAGCAATCTTCCTGAGTCTATTTTCAATTGAAACAAATTCTGCAGCCAATAGTACACTGATTCAGTATCCACAGTCCAGAAGGAGTTCTTGAACATCTAGTTCATATCCCCAAAAAATGTGAAAAGACTCCTAAACACCCAAGTTATTACACAATGGGAAGCTGATATTGGCTTGTATTAAAATCCAGGTGAATATCAAACATAATCACAGCCTTAACAGTGATGCTAGAATAAGTGATGACAATATGTGCACAGCTGTATACAGATCACTATTAAACACAGGAACAAAATGCCACTTGATGCATATCAAAAAGCCAATTTGAATATATTTATTTCATTTACATTGATACAGTATTAGAAGGGACTGAATATAATTATGGAGACTGCTGCAAACATTTGATGCCACTAAGTATTCTATTAAGCATCAGGCATGCACAGTAGTTACCTTTTAAAGTTTCTCATGTATATATCTTAACACATATATCTTAAGCTACAATATGTTTAAAGCATTTAGTCATTTTAAACCCAAATATTTTAATTGACCTATGTCTAAATGGAGAAAAACAGAAACTTCCTCCTGTCTCAATACCCGATGGCAATATTAAACCTTACTCCCCAAATTGATATTTAAACTTATTTATGTCATCTTTAAAATTCCAAAAATAATGAAAAGTCTTATCATTACTAAATAAGAAGTACGATTCCCCGGCAGCAGTCTACCCACCACACACTTACGGCATGCCAAGCCTTTGGGGATTACATAAGAGTGATGTGCTGGTGGCTACAGATGACAATAATTGAAGAGATCAGTCTCTTCTTTTTATTCTGGATCTCCTTATTTTAAACTAAAGCTTTTCATTAATACAAATAAAAAAATCTTTTTTTCTTTCTTTAACTTCAATAGAAGAGTAGATAAAACTAAAAACCCTTATTGTCTCCAAGTGTGTGGCAAAATAGAAAATCTTTCAATTACATTAGGAAATCGGGTGGATAACGGAGTATAGTTATTCCACTTAAGAAGCATTCCAGTCAAATAATCACAAAAACAAATTCAGATTGCTTGGATCTTGGTCATTTATGGCTTGAAGAACTGGATTTGAAAACCACTTTAGGCTAAAATAAATGTATATGAATAATGCATAGACTGTGTATCTAGAAAATCATGCAATAAATATATGTTCTCATGTACACTGGAATCTCAGTGAAGAAAGGTGTGAACAGTACTGTTTCTTCACTTTAACCAAGAGACTACACACAGCAAGATACTTGCTTTTGGCCTATTCAAGATCTTATTTGCCAGGTCATCCTAATTTTCTCAGGTTGGTAAAAGAAGCTAATGTTTCAAGACACCTGTGATAAAGAAGTGACTTGCTTCAAGTGCAGGTGCCATGAAATCTGAGCTAGGCAGGACCAGACTCTCCTGACCCTGCCACCCTGCTGCAAAGTCAATTTGGAGTACCTGACTAGCTAGAGTATCAAAAGGGTAAATGCTTAGAATGACCAACTGGAAATGTTTATTATAGTAGTATCTTTTTAAAAAATCTGCCCTTTAAATGTATATCATTTGAGAATTGCCAGTGAAAGAGCCACTCACTATTCTTGGTTTTGATACGCCCCTACAACATGAGAATTGAACTGAACTACAATGATTGTAATGTCATCTCTGTACATTCGAGCAAGCTCTTCAGGAAGACTAAGCATTTTAGAGAGGCGCTCATGATCAACAGTCCCAAACTCGTTGTTGCCCACAGCGTGGCGAATGAGATGGGTTGCTGCGTTCTGATCCTCAAATACCGAGGACATTTTGGTTCTCCTTTCTGTTAAAAGGCCATGCATCTGTCCCAGAGTCACCTTGTAGCCACCAACAGCTATTGGCTGTTGGTGATGCATGCCAGTTAGGTACTCACCCACAATCCTAACCACATCCTGCCTATGCATAGTCTCCCACAACCCATCAGTAGCCAACACCAGAAACTTATCCTGTGGCCTTAATCGGTGGTAAGTTACCTCTGGCTCAGCAGTGAGATAAGGAGGTGTGTGATAATTAGGAGGAATAAACTTGGTATATTCATTGTCATTCAACTGGTCTGGGCCAGATTCTATCACTCTCTTTTGAAGGTCAATGCTCCATTTGAACTTTACATCTCCAAATGCCCTAAATGGCATCAGCAAGCCAAGCAGCCGATCCTGTTTCACGACACTCTTGGCCTCACTCTTTGGATGTTCCAATTTCAGCCGTTCTAGTTCTCTTTCATTTTGAGCATTGTGGTCATTAGACAGCGTGACTGCTGACCATGAGCCGTCCTCTTCCTGCACACCCAGCATGGCTCTGCTATCGCCAGTATTGGCCACATGAAGGTCAACACCATCCACATGGGCCACACAAGCAGTGGCTCCAGAAAATGCCACTCGAAGCACCAGGTAGTTGAGAAAAGAATTAGGATCACCAACTTGCGCCTCCAAGGAGATGTCATTATCAAGCCTCTTGAAGGCATTAATTAGAGCCTCCTTAACATCAATATCAGTCGACTCACCAGTGTTGAGGTCTATAAGCTCTTGCCAGTAAGTCCTCAAGCTGTTAAAGTACAATTTGGATGCCTCCTTACTAAAGTAATCATTGGGGTGCTTGTGCCACTGGAGAATGGGTAGCAGTGCCCGGCCGCTCTCCACTGCATTTTCAATCTCTAGCAAAGTCTCATGGGGTAACAAAGAGACAGCAATATAATAAAAGAGTCTTTCACTGACTGCCTGGGAACAAGCACAACCTGCATGGCCATCAAAAACCCCCAAAAGCATCCCTCTGGTCTGCAAGCAGGTTGCTGCACTTCTCCGGTCCTCAATGGGTGCATTTGCAGGCAGCTGATTGCTGTCAAATCCAAGGATAGAACTGACATTTTTGCCGTCAAATTCTGGCACTTTGAAACTGTATTCATTAGCTTTAAGGATGCTATTGACTTGTGGAGGTGTGAGGTAAAATTTCTGTGGTGTGGAAGCATATCTCCTTCCTTGGGTGTACTGCCACCAGTTCTCCTTTGGCCTGCAAAAGGTAGCATATGCTGGATGAGGTGTGTATCTCAGTCGACTCTGAGGAATGTACGATGAGGAACAACAGAGATGTTTGTGGTGGCAGTAACATGCAGTGCCATAGATCCTGCTCAGTTCACAGTTACGGATGAGAGGAAAAAACAGTTGAGTTGGTGCTGGCATGGCATCAGAGAACAGTGGCAGGCTGGAACTTCTGACTGGGATTCCTAGACAGCAAATTAGACAGATGTACACAAAGGAAAGAGTTACATTTCAGGATACTTAATCTAGCTTTGCCTTTATAACAAATATTAAGCAAGTCAATCTACATGTTAAGCCTTTGCTAGAAGGTACTACATTTTATACACACATCATGTACTATTTCTACAGGGTATATTCTGGCAGGCACAACTCCCAATCATTCGTGGAACCACGACTGAACTCCTGGCTCCTATACTCAAACTTCAATTTTCTCTTTTCTTTGTCGTCCTTTGTGCAGTACAAACTGTGCAGAATGTACAACAGATTTGGCTGGGGAAAGCTGAGGAGATGAAGGTTATATAACATTATGCAGTAGCCGTCTACCTGACCAATCATCCTTCTCCCTCCCTATTCTTAAAAAATGCCTTGAAATCTCCCATTTTACACAGGGACTTCTTCCATTTATGAAGACCCTTTACATAGACCTGTGGTCAATTTTTGGCATGATTACACATGGCTATGACCAAAAATGTTAAGAGGCAGCCAAACATATGTGTATTTATGAATTACGTGTACATCATATACATATATGACTACAGTAATATGCATTGTAACATATATAGAAAAATTTCTACATAATTAAATAAAAAAAGAAATTCCAGTATTTCTCTCCTGTACCCCAGTAGATGGTCTTGCAAAACTTGCTTCTCTAGTCCACTGTGGCAATTTGCCAGGCTAACGGGCATAGGTCTGCCACCAACTCCCAAATAATCTTGGAAAAGTCAGCTCACATCTTTGAGTCTCACTCTTCTAACCTGTAAAGGAACATCAACAGAGCAGATGCTATCTAAGGCTCTTCTAGGATTCATGCCTTTATGCTTATGGAAGTGAGGTTTTTAAATAAAATTCAGGTTTCATTTATTCACTGTTGAATTCTACCGTGCCCTTCATGATTAAAAAAAAAAAAAAAGTTTAAGTATTGCAGTAGCTCTAAAGCTTTGTTAGTAACATAAATGGTTTCAGTCCTAGAACTTAATTTACCTACTAACAATGTTCCCTGCTTAGCAGCTATAAGGAAAACCCATAGAAGTATTTTCATCTACTATGGATCCAAAGTAGAATTAACCCCTAGAAAAATGTTTTCTTGGATATGGTAATCACTCTGATTTGATCATTACACAATGTCTACCAATATATACATGCACTGAAACATCACATTGTACCCCATAAATATATAATATTATGTGTCAATTGTAAATTAAAAATAAATTTTAAAAGACCAAAAATGTTTTCTCTCACATTAAAAAAAAAAAAAAAAGGTATTTACTTGCTCCAGGGAAGCAGTATAGTCAAATAATAGTCTAAGGTTTGGATTGAAAAGGTACAGCAATATAATTACAAACTTAAAAAAAATCCTATCACTCACTATGTGCGCTGAAAATAATTTCTGGGCATTTATTTGGGAAATTTAATGAATATATCATTAATCTAGATAATTTGGGCAAGAAAAAAAATCCCTCTTCTTCCTCAATAACATATATTTTCCCTGAATTCTTGAGATACTGCTTCAAAATAGTCATTTGTACTATAAAGAAACACTTTGGAAATACTTTAAATAAACAAATGCAATAAACAAAAAGGAACACAGAAAATAAAACCATCTGAGTTAATAGCAACTATTCCTTCCCACGGCTAAACAAATATCATAGCATGTGTCAGCCATATATTATTTTCATGTACCTTTTTTGAAGAATAATTTGAGAAAAAGTAATAAATTGGGGTAGAGGGAAGCAAAGAAAACTAAACACTGAATAATCACTGATTCTTGTTTGTTTCTGTAATAAGCACTGCATAAGCCAGCCACACAGATTCTCTTCTGCAAGTAGTAGAAAGTACCATCATTTTAACTGCACTATCTAAGAAGGGATTTGTTTACGAAAATGAAGACAAGATCAGGCAATAGAAAGTAATGGCTAAAATTTTGGAAATAAGAATCCGTAACTAAAAAAGCATTCTGAAATGCACTAATGAAAAACAGAAATTCCAGAAAAACGGGAATCCATCAGGAGTAACCATTTAAATAAAAGAAATTCAAACTGAATACCTGAAAGTCATCCAGAGGTTAAGTGTACATGACTGAGCCAGAAGATGTGCTCAAATGTTGGGCCACATGACAGTGGCTTCCATACTTAAACCATATCTCTTTTTAGGTTTGCGTGCAGAAAGCATATCAACTCATTTTGTGCTTTGAATAAAGGTTTTCTATCATTAAAAATGTAAACTAATGTAATCTTAATGAATTTTTCTTCATAATTTTATGACTGCATTTGCTCTTTCTTTAAAACTTAAGAATCTTACAGAAAAAAACAATGAAAATGTGCCTGTATGGAACGTAAACTGACTCAAAATACTATTTGTGTGGGGGGGAGGGAGGGTTGATAGATGCATAACAGGGTTTGATTGTTTAATTAAGGAATAACAAGTCCTGGAAACCTGCACTTTCCTTAAATTCCTTTGCTTCGACATTTTTTTGCCGGGGGGGGGGAGGGAGGGCAGCGGGGGGAGGAATTTTGCTCTTGTTGCCCAGGCTGAAGTGCAATGGCGTGATCTCAGCTCATCGCAACCTCCGCCTCCCTGGTTCAAGCGATTCTCCTGCCCGGCTAATTCTGTATTTTCAGTAGAGATGGGGTTTCACCATGTTGGTCAGGTTGGTCTCGAACTCCTGACCTCAGGCCATCCACCCGCCTCAGCCTCCCAAAGTGCTGGGATTACAGGCATGAGCCACTGCACCCGGCTTGGTATGACATCTTTTCTACTTTTGTAATTGACTGCAAAATGAATGAAATCTAGTGACAAAAAGCAATGATTGACACAGCAGGTGCTTTTAACAATACTTACGTTCAAACATCAAATTCTC
Source organism: Homo sapiens (assembly GCF_000001405.40). NCBI lineage: Eukaryota > Metazoa > Chordata > Mammalia > Primates > Hominidae > Homo > Homo sapiens. The sequence goes on along the minus strand of NC_000008.11, from coordinate 93,919,124 downwards.
CACTACATTTTTCCTTCAAGGCAAAAATTCTTGAGATTAAAAACAAAAAATGAGAGAGTGAATTTTATTGACTCTATCTTTCAGTTATGCAGAGGCTTAGTACATGGACTGAGATTATATCCTAATGCCCCAACTTCCAACATGCCTTCAAAAGACAAAATTCCTAGGGAAGTTGGAATTTATGAAAACTGTGCTGTAATTAATGAGCGTTCTATCCGCATCGGTACAAGTGATACATTCTCTCCATCAGATCAGATACCCTTGGGAGTCAAAGTACTTTCAAATGCTTTCATAAATAAGTAAGCAATGAAAAACTCTTAATATCCTTCAGATTATCCACTGATTCAACAACAAGAAAACACTCTACATCATAACTTTTGCTGACAAGCTTGTTAAATTAGTGTAGAAGGCTCTTGATCAGGCAATAAGAACAGCATCCAGGTACAACTGTTGGTAAAACAGAGCAGTGTCAAATTTGCAAGTTATTCTTGATCACAATTTTCACGGAAAATTTCCTATTCCATGATCTAGACTCAGCCACGTTGTATGTAGCATCTTCATCCCAGGCAGATTGGGCTGATTTTGCCAATGACTAATAAAGAAAGATGCACTGCAACCAGAAACAGGAAAGAGAGCCGTCCATTCTTACTGATGTGCTTAGCAGAGCCTGTGCCAAGACATTTTTTCCACTCCATCAATAGACCCACGGACCAAATTAATTAGCAAATGCTATTAAGGCACCGACTCCAGAGCCCTTTAGCTTTGCAAAGCTTCTGATGTAAATGAAAAAGAAAAGCTATGCTAATCATTTAATGTGTCGGAACCCCAGTTTATGTAATCCGATTGCATTAAACACTCTACATAAAGACCATCCGCGATTTTTCAACATTTTTCTGGAAATGCCTAGCCATTTCACAGCTCCTGCTATCTTTTTACATAAATGAAGAAAGATACGAAGCACCACACGCCAGTATTTTTTTGATTAGTTTCCTTTGTCGCTACCTGAAAAACTGCACTCACAAAGACATCAAAGCTATCTCAATCCAAGACGCGTTTGTCCCTTTTTCCAATCTATCTCATCCCTTAATACCACGCTGATTCATCTAAAACCATCCATACACAAAAATCTGTCACCATCCTTCCTGGGTACCCAACGCAGGTAGTTAAGTGAATACCTACCAATTCGTCTGGGCCCGGGACACACACACATTCTCCTGTCATCACAACACGGAGCCGACAACATCCACAACCCGCGCGGGCAGCAGCAGCGACAGCAGCACCGGCCCATTGAAAGCAAGGCAGAGATGCTCATTAGAGGAGGCGGCGGCGGGGAGGCGGGAGCGGAGGAGGGGCGAGGTCTCGCTCCAGCCCGGTGAATGGGCTGGGAGGTGGGGGGGAAGAGGATGGAGGAGGGATAAAGGGGTGGAGAGAACAAGGAAGCCAACCAAACCAACCCACCCCGCCGGGGAGGCAAAGCCACAGCCCAAGGCAGCGGGGCCCAGGCGCGAGCAGGGGTGCGCCCCGAGGGCCAGCCCCTCCATCCAGCCGGGGCGCGAAGCCCATGGACTGCAGCCCCGCCCGCTGCCCGCCCCGCCCTGCCCGGCCCGGCCCCGCCCCAGGGGTGCCCGTTTCAGTCCAGACGAACAGGGGCCGGCCGGTGTCAGGCTGCCAGCGGGGCCAGCCCTGACCCGGGGTGCGTCAGGGAGACCCTCAGGCAGTGCCGCAGCCCTACAGCCTCCCTGGAGCTCACTCTGCCGCCGGCCCCGCGGCGCCCTTCGTGCTGACAGCTGGAGCGCAGGGGCCGGAAGACGCTAGGGCTGCACGGCGCCCCCGCCCCCGCCCCCAGCCCCCCGACGGCCCCCAGCGCCGCCACGCCCGCCCCACAGCCCGGACGCCCGGCGCGCACCTGGCGCTCCAGGGCTCGTCCAGCCCTCCGCACGCCCGCGGCCGCCGATCCGCGAGCACGCCCGGCGCCCCCTCACAACTTTGGACGGGTGGAGGATCCCGGACGGGGCGGCTCGTGGCAGGGAGTAGGGAATACGAACCGGGCACGGCAGGAGACCAAACGATTCTTCCCGACGAGGAGGGGGCGACAACGACGCCACCGCTCGGCGCTCTTTCCACGCAGCCCCGTGCAGCTCCCGGAGCGCGAGCCCTCACCCCCGGCCTGCCCACTCTGCTCCCCTACCGTGCGGGGCCGCCACCCTGCCCCGCCCGCACGTTCGGGCCGGAGTGCTTCCCGCCTGCCGATTGGCTGCGCAGTGACGAGTGGGAGGGGAGGCGGAGAGGGCTGCGGCCGGGGGTGGGGCGGGGGCGGAAGAGGAGCGCGCTCCCCGCCAGCTTTGTGACGTCACGGGGGTCAGACAATCCCTTCCATTCGGCGCGAGCCGCCCATTGGTTCCCCGGGCCCGCCTCACGTGACCCCCCCCCCCCCGCCCCCAGCGAGTGGAAGGTGTGGCTGCGCGGCGCTAGGGAGCGGTGGTCTGTGGAGCTCGGCGGTGTTGGCTGAGCAGGCTGCGGGGTCGGGAGAGGGGAGGCGCCTGGGCCGGCTCCAATGTCTTCGCGTGCATGGGGCCCGAGGAACGGGCTGCTCCCCTGTCGTGCAGGCTTCCTAGAATCTCTGGCACCTCTGCGGGGATGCGGTGGTGTGGGTGGCCGGCCCAGCGGCCAAGCCTCCCCTGCGCCTCGCGGTTGGGTGCGGGCTTCCCAGGGTAGGCTGCGGGAGCGGCTCCCAGCCTCACGGGAACCTCAACTCCCTGCGGCTCACCCCAGCCTGCGGTACAAGGCGTAGCAAAGAACCTCGAGAGTAGCTGTTGCTTCGTTCGTTTGATACGTTGCAGATTTTAGGAGCATTAACGCCCATCATGTTTTCTATCGCCCCAGGGAGAGGAAGCAGGTGTAGACAGCAGCAAGAGGGAGTTGTGATGAGGGAATTATCTCTGTAGCGTAGATGTGTGCTCACGTTCTCTGAGGAGTTTTGAAATCAGTATTGTTTCCGTTGCCCTGAATGGTTACAAGGAGAGAACACTGGACTTGGAGTCAGAAAACTTTCATCCAAGTCATTCCCTGCTCTAAGTCCCATTTCTGTTCCATGAGATTGTTTCCACCTCAGATGAGATTAGACTTAAGGTGGCATTGGTATTGTCTGTGGTAAAACAAGATATCTTCGAGGGCTCTTCAGTGACTTACATCCATACATCCCTTTTATGGGATAGTGGCTTCTGAAAGCTTCCTTGGCAGTGGCAGATAGAGCATTGCACTTATCTTCCCTAGTGTTCACCAATAAGTTGACTTTGATTTATTACACATAACTTCTTACTAGCCAGTCAGGTTCACAAAATGATGTGGAGTGAATTTCTTTTTATGTAATAAAAAACGTTATATACCCAAACTGGTCCTTTATAACTCCTGGATCTTTCAAGTTGCTGTATTCTCTGTTCTCTAAATAAACTAGAGGAGACTGTTTTTGCCCATCCCCAGGTTACCCATGGAACTTTTGTGGCTAGTCTGTCTGGCCTTCATCCCAGTTTTTACAGGTCCATCTGCCTCCCTTCATCCTCTCCTTTTTGCTTCTCAAATGGGCTTCCCATAAATTGCAAATATTCTCCACTACTCTTCCTGTCATTTAATTTAAGTATCTGGTTTCTTCTTCATAGATGCATAGGATGGTGTAGCCTAGTGATTAAGAGTGCAGCTGGAGCCAAGCTGGCTGGGTTCCATTCCCAGCTCTGCAGCTTTCTGTGTGGTCATGGGCAACTCTGCATGCCTCATTCTCTCACATATAAGATAAAAATGTAAAAAGTAATAGCAGGGCTGTATTAAGAGAGTTGACATATATAGCTTGCTAAGAAAGTACATAGCATGTAGTGTTATATAAGTGTTAGCTATTCTTGATATTATCGACATGTCCAGGTCAGTGTTTTAGATTAAGAACTCCTAGCAAGTAGGAGACCCAGGCCCCCAAGTGCATTATATTCTATTGTTAGGTACTAATAAGTTATTAATAGAATGGAGAATCTTTGAACCTTAGAATATCAGTTTAAATTCATTTATATAGAGGATCTCTGCCTCTTAACCCTTACTTTGTGGACATAGAGACCCACTTAACTGAAGCTGTGAGTGGAATTTTAAGAGTTTCTGCTTTATGACCCAGAAATGAAGTACATACTAGACTTCTCTGTTGTCTTATCAACTTTTTCCTGGCCAGGCTTGGTGGGCTCCTGCCTGTAATCCCAGCACTTTGGGAGGCCGGGGCGGAAGAATTGCTTGAGCCCAGAGACCAGCCTGAGCAACATAGACCTCATCTCTACAAAGAATCTAAAAAGCAATTAGCTGGGTGTGGTGGCGCCTGCCTATAGTCTCTGCTACTCAGGAGGCTTGCCTGATCCCAGGAAGCTGAGGCTGCTGTAAGCAGTGATGCATCACTGCACTCCAGCCTAGGCGAGTAAGCAAGTTCCCGTCTCAAAAAAAACAAAAAGCTTTTTTTTTTAATGGTTGTGAAATAGAGTAGTAAGAATCCAACATCCAGGCCAGGTGCGGTGGCTCACACCTGTAATCCCAGCACTTTGGGAGGCCAAGACAGGTGGATTGCTTGAGGACAGGAGTTTGAGACCAGCCTGGCCAACATGGTGAAACCCTATCTCTACTAAAAATACAAAAAATTAGCCGGGTGTGGTGGTAGGCATCTGTAATCCCAGCTACTTGGGAGGCTGAGGCAGGAGAATTGCTTGAATCTGGGAGGTGGAGGTTGCAGTGAGCTGAGATTGCAGCACTGCACTCCAGCCTGGGCAACAGAGTGAGACTCCATCTCCAAAAAAAAAACAGAGTCCAACATCCATATCAAATGACCTCTTCAAAGCTGTTACCTTAGTAGCAACCCTTATTCCACACTGACATTGCCATTATTCAGAGCACTTTTAAAACTCCCTTTTCAAATTGTTTTCAGATCTGCACAGGAAACTCCAACTTGTTTTACTATAACCAACACTTTGGTTTTATACCAGAATAGTATTGATTCCCATCTTATTCTTCTTAGTTCTGAATGACCTGGATATTTCTAAAAATAACACCCACTCTCAAAAAAACTGGTATTTGCCACCACTAAATATAGTCAAAAGAATTTTGACATAAGTATTGAATGCCAAGGTGTTTTTGAAATCAGAATAAAGCCTTCCTAAAGTGATAGCTTTGAAATAATCTCATTTACAGGTATAAGTTTTGTCCTCTGGTTGTAAAGTTGTATGGTTCAGTGAGAGGTATATTATAAATAAACTACCCTTCTGCAGAGGTACCAACTGCTGGTACAACTGGAGGAGATTCTTTAGTATCTCAACCTTGATTCTCCTCTGGCCTGGCTTTGTTCCTGTTTCTAGATGGAGCTCCATTTAGCCACCCACTGGGCTTGCTTCAAAAGTGCTGTTTGTTATCACATGGCCAACTGGCCAGGGCCAGAACAGGTCCTTGGGTTTACTGCGTTGACCCCAGACTGTTTTAGCCACCAGAGCACTTGTTGATACTTCAACATTGGAAAGTGTTGGAAAGCAGCACTGAAACAACCCAGGAACGTTGTCGAGAAGGTAGGGAAGGAGAGAGGAAGGGGCTTCAAAAATAGTATGGTACTAAGAAAGCAATGTGCAAAATCACCTGTTTACACAAATGCTTTCTGTGATAAACAAAAATGCAATGACATTTCCTGAATATGAACCTTAACATTTAGTCATCCATTTGCCCTAGGATGGATTTGAAAATGAGCAATGCTTGATCAGATTGGCCTGATGTTCTTGGGGGCAGGTGATAAGACCCTTAGGGGTATTGGAGGTTAGCTTTGACAACATGGAGATGATCCAGCAGTCTCAGTGGTGCCAGCCAAGAAGCTTAAAATAAACCTGCATGTGGGTCTGAGATGCCCTCACCCTGATGGTTACTGATTTACTGTGGCCTTTGCCAAAATCAGCAGTCACAGGGGAAAGAGGCTGGTTTACCATACTCCTCTAGCACCTGTTTCCCTACAGGTCTTGGCTAGGAAATCAGCAAGAAATTGCCAAGTAACTAAAGAATGGCTACCTGTTTTATTACCATGTCAGTGTCGGGAGTTCCTTCTTTGAAATTAAGTTGTTTGGAGTTAGCAGTGAGATTGACGAATCATCTATACAAAAGAAACAACACGTACTGTGGTTCATCTCCTTTGGACCAGAGACTGTTCTAGATGCTTTCACATTTGTCTGATTTTATATTTGGAAAGGAATCCATTCTCATCAGAATTCATGAGACAATAGAATGTTCAAGGGGGGAAAAGCTTTATTCTCTTACAAAATGAGAGACCAAAGGCTCTTGGCTGGCAGGCAGTAAGTTTCTGTGTACTAATTGAACATGACAGAGAATACAAAAAGTAGGTGTCTGGGGTTGCGTAATGATAGAATTCAAGTGCTTTACCAAGAGTATTGCATACCTGTGGACCTGAGATTGGCACATACTTCAAAAATTCCTGTTAGTTAGGCTATCTTCAAATACTAAAGGTGACATGTATGGGCAAGAGGGGAGAGATGAAAGGGGAGGTAGGTGTTGGTGTTAGTATCTGGCCATCAGGCAATTTGGCAAGATTAATTTTTTATTCAGTATAATTCTGTAGGTGGATTCCCCAAAGCACAGAGGGTATGAGGTGGAGGACAGGCTTCCGGGGAACTGAGACATTGGGGTGTGTCTAGAGCACTTCCTACAATAGGTGCCAGTCATGGCTGCCCCGAAGCAGGTCCTGCCAATCTACAGACTTCAGTAGGAGTCCCCAAGCTGTGAACTCAAAAATAGTAGTGGCTGATTTGCATACTTTTTAAAAGCTATAATTCTTTGCGTATCTGAACTACTTAGAGTATAAGTTTTTCAAGAACAGGGAACATGTCTTTTTACCCACCAATACAAACCCATGGCCTGGCATATACTGAAAACTAACAGGTAGCAGATGCTTCCTTTCTACCATTCTCTATTCTAAGTGCACTGACTCCTTATGAGGCAGGCATTTTTCTTATATCCATTTCACAGGAGAGGAAACTGAATCTCAATGAGGGTAATTTGCCCTAGGATCACATAAGTAAGAAGTTGTGGAGCCATCTACTCCAGAGCTTGACACTAAGGCACTATGTTATAGTATAGTGATCACTACGTGTAATAGGAGCTCAATGATGAATAAATGGACTTGTTTTAAATGAAGGAAAAGAAAATGACATGTTTCAACGGGTGAATGAAAATACTTCATGAATGAATAAATGAATATGTCACCTTTTATTATGTTCCTTAGGTTTCAAAAGGGCTTATGTCAGGATTAGGATTTAATTAATTCTAGCTTTGTGAAAACTAAAGAAAGTTTTACGTTTTCATTATGGGTTTGAGGGAAAACTGCATCCTTATAACTGGAGAATTTACACCCATGCTTATTGTGTCTATAACCAGCAGTAAAGTTTGCACAGCTAAGTGTATCACCACTGAATAGCCACTCTTGTTAGAGAGCTGCAGGGTTTGAATATAGTTTATCAGGAGAACCAATCATACCTTATAAAAGCATATTTTCCTTAGAAAACAGATACTGTATTTGTAGGTGAATACCTACTGTATTCAACTCACATTCTAATATAACTATAGTTGATAATATGATTTGAAGTGAACAGTTTGATTTGTTAAAAGCAGTAAGTTAATATTCAGTTCAAAATGTTACTTTTATGTTTAAGCAGTATCAACTGGAGAGAGAAAAGTTTAAGGAGAGAAAAAAAAAACAATGAATTAAAGAGGAACAATAGATATTGAATTATACATCTAGTTTCTGCCAGAAACGATGGGCTCTGGGATTCTAATCAGAACATTCAGAGAAATACTCAGGTGCAATATCTGCATTTTGATTTTATCCCTCTTTAAGGCATACTGGTTTTGTGGAATGAGTATGAGTTGGAGTCAGAGACACTTGAGTTCAAACCCTACCTCTGCTTCTTATTTTCTGGGTTGATCCTTCAAAATTTACCCAATAACTTCAACTTTTTAAAAAATCTAACATGTGTTGTAAGGATTAGGAATTAGCCAAATGATAACTGGCAAATAACGCCAAATGTTAGTACTTAAAAATGAATTTCCTATTGCTGCTGTAACAAATGACCACAAATTCAGTTGCTTAAAATAACACACATATTATCTTTCAGTTCTGAAGGTCAGAAGTCTGAAATGGGTCTCACTGGGCTCAAATCAAGGCATCAGCAGGGCTGTGCTTCCTTCTGGGGGCTCTAAGGGAGAATCCATTTTCTTTCCTTTCTCAGCTTTGAGAAGCTGCCCACATTCTTTGGCTCATAACTCCTTTCTCCATCTTCAATGTTGGCAGAGTAGCACCTTCCAGCCACTCTCTGACTTTGACTTCCTCCTCTGTCTTCATTTTAAAAAGATCCTGATGATTACATTGGGTACACGATGATAATTGAGAATCATCTCTTTATTTTAAAATCAGCTAACTAGCAACCTTAATTCCATGTGCAACCTTAATTCTCCTTTGCCATGTAACATAGCATATTCACAGGTTCTGGGATTATGATGTGGACATCTTTTTTTGGGAGAGAGGGAGCATTATTCTGTATACTGTGGCATTTTTCTCCCTTAACACTCATGTATTTATTAATATATTTATTAAAGGAAAATGAATAATAAATATTTTTATCCTCAAGAAACTTAATATTTAGGTGGAGAGCTTAAATATATGCAAAAGACATTAACCAACAGTACAAGGCAGCAAGCAACAAGCTCCAATATGAGCCATTCAAATTTGTGTCACAGGCTGGACCTGGTGGCTCATGCCTGTAATCCCGGCACTTTGAGAGGCCAAGGTGGGAGGATTGCTTGAGCCTAGGAGTTCAAGACCAGCCTACGCAACATACTGAGACTTTGTCTCTACAACAAAATTTAAAAAATTAGCCAGGCAAGGTGGCACACATCTGTAGTCTCCGTTACTTGGGAGGCAGAGGTGGAAGGATCACTTGAGCTCAGGGGCTCGAGGCTACAGTGAGCTGTGATTGTGCCAGTGCACTCCAAAACAAAAAGAAAAAAAAAACCAACAACAAATTTTTGCTACAGGATTTTAGAGATCACTTAGTTGTGTGAGAGAGGGAAAAAAGAGTCACTAGAAATTTTGATTGTCTAAAAGCAGCAACGTAATGAGAATGCCCCCTTCCCTCTTCAAAACCTAAATGTGATTTTAGGTTGAGTTAGGAACAAAGGAGGTGATAGACTCCCTCCATTCTGCCTTGTTGAGTCCCCACCAAACTTTGAAGGGCATAAAAAATCTACAGTGTAGCAAGAGGAGGGCTACCAGCAGGATAAAAAGTTTAGAATCAGAACATATGAGAAGTTTAGAGATATTCATGGCATGCTCTTCAAATACTTTAATGATAGTCATATGAAAAGATAGCTAGCTTTGTCTTTGAAAACACCAGAGTTTGAAAAAACTAGGCCAGGTGCGGTGGCTCAACACCTGTAATCCCGGCACTTTGGAAGGCTGAGGCAAATGGATCACTTGAGGTCATGAGTTCGAGACCAACCTGGCCAACATGGCAAAACCCCATCTCTACCAAAAATACAAAAATTAGCCAGGTGTGGTGGTGTGTACCTGTAATCCCAGCTACTTAGGAGGCTGAGGCATGAGAATCGCTTGAACCTGAGAGGCAGTGGTTGTAGTGAGCTGAGATCGGCCACTGCACTGTAGCCTGGGCAAAAGAGTAAGACTCTTTCTCAAAAAACAACAACAACAAAACGGCAAGGCGTGGTGGTTCACGCCTATAATCCCAGCACTTTGGGAGGCCAAGGCAGGTGGATCACCTGAGGTCGGGAGTTTGAGACCAGCCTGACCAACATGGAGAAACCCCGTCTCTAATAAAAATACAAAATTAGCCAGGCATGATGGCCCATGCCTGTAATCCCAGCTACTAGAGAGGTTGAGGCAGGAGAATTGCTTGAACCTGAGAACCAGAGATTGCGGTGAGCTGAGATCGCACTGATGCACTCCAGCCTGGGCAACAAGAGCGAAACTCCATCTCAAAAAAAAAAAAGGAAAACAAAAAAGAAAAAGTTAGAATTAAGTGTGTGGAAGTCAGATTTAAACTCAATACGATAACTTTAAAGTGGTTACAGTTTTCTGAAAATGAATGAGTTACCCCTTGAGACAATGAGTTTCCTGTTACTGGAGGTATTCAAATAGACTGTTGTTGTGGGAAGTCAGGGACCCCGAACGGAGGGACTGGCTGAAGCCGTGGCAGAAGGACATAAATTGTGAAGATTTCGTGGACATTTAGTAGTTCCCCAAATTAATACTTTTATAATTTCTTACTCCTGTCTTTACTGCAATCTCTGAACATAAATTGTGAGGATTTCATGGACATTTATCACTTTCCTAATCAATATTCTTGTGATTTCCTATGCCTGTCTTTACTTTAATCTCTTAATCCCGTCATCGTAAGCTGAGGATGTATGTCACCTCAGGACCCTGTGATGATTGCATTAACTGCACAGATTGTTCGTAAAACATGTGTGTTTAAACAATATGAAATCTGGGCAACTTGAAAGAAGAACAGGATAACAGTGATGTTCAGGGAACAAGGGAGATAACCATTAGGTCTGGCTGCCTGAGAGCCGGGCGGAACAGAGCCATATTTCTCTTCTTTCAAAAGCAAATAGGAGAAATATCGCTGAATTGTTTTTCTCAGCAAGCAACGGCCCTGAGAAAGAGAATGCATTCTCAGGGGTAGGTCTCTAAAATGGCCGCTCTGGGAATGTCTGTCTTTACGATTGCAGATAAGGGATGAAATAAGCCCCGGTCTCCCGTAGCACTTCCAGGCCTATTAGGATGATGAAATTCCCGCCTAATAAATTTTGGTCAGACTGGTTGTCTGCTCTCAAACCCTGTCTCCTGATAAGATTTATCAATGACAACGCGTGCCCAGTGGTACATGAAACTTCATTAGCATTTTTAATTTCACCCTGGTCCTGTGATCTCCCCCTGCCTCCATTCGCCTTGTGATATTTTATTGCCTTGTGAAGCATGCGATCGCTGTGACCCACACCCTATCCATATACTCCCTCCCCTTTGAAAATCACTAATAAAAACTTGCTGATTTTGTGGCTTGGGGGGCATCACGGAACCTGCCGACATGTGATGTCTCCCCTGGACACCCAGCTTTAAAATTTCTCTCTTTTGTACTCTTTCCCTTTATTTCTCAGACCAGCTGACACTTAAGGAAATAGAAAAGAACCTATGTTGAATTATTGGGGGTGATTCTGCCGATAGAATGTAGACAACAAATGACAAAGAATGTGCTCTCAAAGCACTTTGTTTGTGTCTTGAACTTTATACTCACATTATCATCATTTGCAGGCCAGTCTCCCTATATAGATGTGACCTCTTCCTAGGCTGAATCTATCATATATGTTTTTAACTTGGCTTAGGAGGTAGCTAACAAATGTTGGCTAGGTAAATGGATGATGCATGGGTGAGGTCGAGAGTTGGAGAGAGTGACCATCAGAGTCCCTCCAACTCTGGGACTCTCAATTCTCTGAGCTGGGATCTGAGCTAGGTGTAGTGAATTTAATTGAGATCCAGAAAGGGGGTGAGGGTGATGGCGCATTCTAGGTGGGAACCACAGTGCAGAAAGGCCAAGAGGAGAGCAAATCTGAGTCAAGGAGCTATGTTGGGTGAAGAGTGGGAATTAAGAGTTGGGCAGAGTCTGGGTCTTGATTCTTGAAGGTCTTTAATTTCAAGGATGTTGGACTTCCTCATTCTGCAGTTGGGATGCAGATTGACACTTGACTGAATTGTGATCAAAGAAGAGAAAATTGCCCTGACAATGATATGCATCATAGCTGATTGGCAATAACTGGAAGTGACTGCCTAAACATGGGTGTAAAGAGTTAAAATGCAGAGCTAGACGATGGCAGCAAGGATGTAAAGGACGGAACAGATAGGAAGATATGTTGCTAAAAAATCAGGACTTGTTGGCGAGGTAAATGAGAAAGGGTGAAAAGGGGGAAGGTATCAAAGAGGCCCAAAGCTTTGTGCATGGGTGGCCATGAGGATGGACATGTATGTCAAACTTTCTTATTGAGATGGAAGTAATATGGAAAAATATTCAAAATATCCAGGATTTTTCCCAAACTGTTTCTATTAAGTTCATGGCTGAAGTGGGCTGTTTTGAATATGTATGAGGATAGAAAGTCAAGAGTATTGCTGAGCGCAGTGGCTCACACCTGTAATCCCAGCACTTTGGGAGGCCAAGGCGGGCAGATCACAAGGTCAGGAGATCAAGATCATCCTGGCTAACACGGTGAAACCCCGTCTCTACTAAAAATACGAAAATATTAACCAGGCGTGGTGGTGGGTGCCTGTAATCCCAGCTACTCGGGAGGCTGAGGCAGGAGAATGGCGTGAACCCGGGAGGCAGAGCTTGCAGTGAGCTGAGATCACGCCACTGCACTCCAGCCTGGGTGACAGAGCGAGACTCTGTCTCAAAAAAAAAAAGTCAAGAGCATTAGCCTGTGAAGGGCAAACATTTTTAAGAGGTGAGCTGTTACACTGGCAAAACCTGATACCGAATAGTAATAGTTATAGTAGCACCTTGTATGAGCCCATTATGAGCCTGCATGATATGAGACACTTTGTATGTATCATCCCATTTTGTGCAGTTACCCATGAGCATGAAGGCATCAGCTAGTAGTCCACACAGTGTCTGCTTTAGGGCAGCTCCCAAGGGAAATTCCCACCCATCTTAGTACTAAGGATAATTATAAGTCTCAGAAGTGATTGGATTCTTTTAAAAATTCTTGGACTCTGAACTGAATAAATAATTCTATATCTGTGTGTTTGAAGGGGTGGAGGAGGTAAAAAGAATTATTCAAAGTTTTAGAGCCAGAATTGTGACTCAGTTATGGAATGTGTGCAATATATTGTTTTTTAAACCTATTTCCTGTTTCTGTTTCATGTCCCCACCCTTGTTTTTCTGCCTCTCTTCTCACTTCTCATTTAACTTACGCTGTCTTTTATTTTATATATCCCTAAAAGTAGTCATAAATTCATTCTGGAATAAAGGAGAGTAATAGAAATGTATTTTTTATTTATATTAGTCCTTGCTTTATAGATGAGGAACAGGGGCTTAATTTATCTAACTTGCCCAAGATTACAGCGGGTGTATTATCTATTGCTGGATAACAAATCACCACCAAAATTAGCTTGAAACAACAAATATTTCTGATCTCACTCTGTTTCTGAGGGTCAAGAATCTGGGAGCAGCTTCCCTGGGTGGTTCTAGCTCAGGGTCTCATGAGTTTGCAGTCAAGCCATCAGCCAGGGCTGCAGAGTCACCTGAAGGCTTGGCTGAGGCTGAAGAATATGCTTCCAGCTCACTCACATGGCTGAACATTTTCATTTCTTGCCACATGGGCCTTTCTATAGGGCTGCTCACAACATGGCAGCTGGCTTTCCCCAGAGTGAGTAATCAGAGAGACAGACAATGAGAGAGAGAGACAAAGACGGAAGCTACAGCATCTTTTACAACAATCTTGGAAGTGACATACAATTACTTCTGTACCCTGGTAAAATTTGAGAAAGCATTCCACAGGGGTATGAATTCCAGCAGAAATCACTGGAGGCCATCTTGGAGGCTGCCAACCACAGTGAGTACATGACATAGCGGAACCTACATGATGCTGCTTTTGCAGAAGTGTTGGATTAGAAGAGCCTCAAGTTTGGTTCTCAGAGCTGTTCCCATTCCTTTCATCTTGAAAAGTAGGGAAATAAGCACCAGCAAGTGCTGATGTTCTGGGTTTCTAGTTTTGTTCCTCTGACCCTGGTTACAATTGCCAGTGCTGCCACAGTTTCATCCATAAAGTTTTGTGTAGCCTCACATCTCCGTTTAATCACTACTAAAAGTAAGTCCAAATTTGAACCTCCAGTCAACACTAAACAACTGAATGTTTGGATACCACTAAGGAGTTAAAATAATAGCTAATGGACCAGGTACAGTGGTTCATGCCTGTAATCCCAGCACTTTGGGGGGCCAAGGTAGGGAGATGCCTTGAGTCCAGGAGTCTGAAACTTCAATGAGCTATGATCATACCACTGTACTCCAGCCTGGGTGACAGAGCAAGACTCTATCTCTTAAAAAAAATAAAAAATAAAAAATAACATAACACTATGTATGCTTACATTCTCTGAATTTAGTAGTGTATGAAATGATTGATTATAATTTTATTCCTTGTACTTTTTATGTTCATGGGAAATGTATGCATATAGAGGATACAAGTTTTTGGTGATTCCACCCCCCATGAGGGGAAATTGTCAATGTAATGAGAAAATCCATAAGGATTTTTTACTGCATTGCTGAACTGTAGCCAGATTTTGTCAGGGAAATAAGAACTTATTGTTTTCCTAGTTTCAGGGAACTGCTGGCTCAGTGTTCAGTTTTCATTCCACAAATCCATGACTCACGAATAAATGACCTGGATAAATGAACACTGAGGATCTCAGTTGCAGCTGGCAATTACCCTACCTTTTGATGGCACTTATTCTATTCTGCATCTGGAAATTCCATTTCCACTTGAAGTATGTATAAATGGATGTCACCCTTAAGGTTTAAACACAACCCCTATTACTTAGCCAAGACTGTTCTGAACAATGGTGTTTACTAATTAGCTCAATTTCAATTTCAGTTTCAGTTCTTGAGCCATTACTATGTGCCTGTGGTATTTTAATGTTCTTATAACTTTCTTTACATCTTGGGGCTTCCCTTCAGGGCCTGTTGTGGTATGCCAGTTTGCAAAAAAGGTGATCAGTTTTGTCTAGGGAGAGAAACTTCTCTTTACATTTGACTTAGTTATATGCAAACTAATTGGATAAACACTCTTTGAATGTTTGTGTTCTAGGGTTTTTGCTGTGTTCTGCAAATGGAGAAAAGCGTAAGACATAGTCTTTATGCCTTTAAAAATTTGGCCGGGCATGGTGCCTCACGCTTATAATCCCAGCACTTTGGGAGGCCAAGGTAGGCGGATCACTTGAGGACAGGAGTTCAAGACCAGCCTGGCCAACATGATGAAACCCTGTCTCTACTAAAAATACAAAACAATTAGCCAGGCATGGTGGTGGGTGCGTATAATCCCAGCTACTCAGGAGGCTGAGGGAGGAGAATCGCTCTAACCAAGGAGACGGAAGGTGCAGTGAGCCAAGATCATGCCATTGCAATCCAGCCTGGGTAACAAGAGTGAAACTCTGTCTCAAAAAAAAAAAAGCAGGCTTTTTTTTTTTTTTTATTTCTTGCAAATTAATTTCCCCTTAACTCAGATGTGGTGAAGCCACTGACAAGCAAATTGCAGGAACTCCTTTATATAGGAGTGTGTCTCTTCCAACTCCAGCTTAAATGTAATCGTTTATAACACGGCTCCTAACTTTTTGGATTTCAAAGACCCGCCTTGGCCTCCCAAAGTGCTGGGATTACAGGCGTGAGCCACCACACCTAGCCTATGCTTGCTTTTTAAAACTGGTTTTCGATGCTTTTCTTGTATGTGTCTGGGGGAGTGGGGGCCAAGGTGAGTAGTAGGAAAGAAAACTTGTACCCACAGTGGTAGAGAATGTGAACTGTAGTTGTGGAAAGCAGCTGTTGCCTACATGGAAATGAAACTGGTTTGGGAAGGATTCCCTCCGCATAAAATCTTAAACAGTTTAGGTAAAATTAGGCCTGATGAATGTAAACCTTCTACTTATTTCTAGGTGTTAGGCTAAAAAATAAAAAGGACCTTTGTATATATGGGTCTTTTTTCCCCTCTGATATTTTGCAAGGGAAGGAGAGAAGGGACAAGCCATTGGATTCGTGTGTCTAAGCAAGTCAGCAGTAATAGAATATTTAACTTGGCCATGATGAAGGCTGACTGCCCAGTGTTCTTCATTCAATGCACCTACAATAGCAGAGCTTTTCATGGATTTGCACATAAATGCCTCTCTGGAATTGAACTATATCCATACTTTTCTGGAATGTGTCATCTTTGAAGTGCGATTCAAGGAGAACCACAAAGATGATAAAAGGACTAAATAATCAAAAAATTCTTATGAAGAGTATAGGGATTCCTCTATCTGAACTCTGAGGCAGTAATCTAACAGGAGTTTATCTGTCCTGGGTTTCTCCCAACATAAGCATTTTAAGAAATGATCAAAGATTTCCTTGAAAACTTGCCAGACAACAATAGTAAATAACAGGCTTCTGTCTCTACCATGCGCTTGGACACATTTCTCATGTGTGTGGTGAAGCAAGGGCTCTGAGGTCAGACCCGCTCCATCAAATACTTGCTCCACCCCTTGCTACTGTCAAGTCACAGCCTTGCTAAGCCTCAGTTTCCTGCTCTCTATAATGGGAATAATGGTTCTTATTTCACAGGGCTCTTGTAAACAGAAGTATTATACATGCACTAGCACTAGCACATGATACTACTTTTTATATTTTAAGTGATATTATTGCTATTTCTTCTGGAAGGAGTGCTTCTCTCCTGACCCCTCTGTCCTCTACTGTTCACTGGCTACCTACCATCTCTAAGTCTGGAGGGTCCTGATTCATATGCACTGGTTGGTTCTTTCAGGTTCCTTGAAACAAAAGGCATCTACACATGAACGATAAATATGCTAATCGTCAAAAGGCAGATAATTTATTTTGTTTAACTGTCACATATTTAAGCAAATTAAAATTTGATATTGGACTATTTCTAGACAAAGTCATGCTGAGAAATAATATGAAGTTTTAAACAAATTACACATTCTATCAACGATGCTCAGGGTGCCCTCTCCTCATGACCTTTAGCAACTCAGCAATGAAAATATTGGAAGGAGGTGAGCTCACCAGTGAGGATGGGTGAGTCCTTCCTGGTTCCAGCTTTGCAAAGAAAAGAAGATACATGGCCTCTAGGAGAGCAATCCTAACCTGATCTGGCACACAGGGCTGTGCCTTGAAGCCTGTCTTGCCTGAAATGACTAGCTGAGCTGTTGGAGGTTGAGAGAGAGAAACTGAAAAGGGCTCCTTTATTCCCCTTTACACACTCCCCAGAAACAAATTTTGTAATTAAGTTAAAAGGGAGTGGAGGAGACAGAAGGTTACATCTCTTGCTTAGAAAGTCTAGGGAAAGGTTGAGTTGACCTAACTTTGAAGAGCACTACTTTTAGTCACTAATTCATCCAGCCAATAATTATTTGACACCCAATGTGTGCCAGACAGTGTTCTTGACACTGGAGATAAAACAGGACAAAGATCCCGTTCTCATGGAACTTGCAACCTAGTGGGGAAAATGATACAAAAAGAATTCCACAGGAATCCCACAGCAGATGCAGCCCCACAGTGGCATAGGAATGCTCTGAGGGTGGGCTTGGTGCGTTTTCGACTCTGAGCACTGTGTTTGAGACTCACTCAGAAACAGGTGTGTGTTTTTAATGTTGTTACACTGATTACCAAAGCAGTAACTTCCATTTAAAGCAGAGAGTATTTTCGACCTCTCAAAAATGATTGACATGGCTTTGGAGATCTATTTTTGTTCTGCATTCTCAAGTTCACATCCTTTGTGGTAGCCAGCAAGGAAAAGATCACCCTGCTGCTAGTGTCACAGAATAAGCTCTATGTTATCCGTGATACTTCGGCCTTGACATGCTGAGAAGCAAAACTTTGATTTACATAATGTCATTTTATGGTTTAAGCCTTGGGGTTACCTATCTAACATTTTGCTCTTTGATGTACTTACCTTTTTATACACATAACTTACCTTTAAAGATACACTTTACCTTTTATGCCGTCTTAAGCTTCCACACAAATTTTAATAGGGGTCAGAAAGCTTAGATGAGGCCAAAACCTGGATAATATTATACATGTACTGATAAAGACATGAGAATGACCTTCAGATGTCTGTAGGCTGGTGGTTTATAAAAGAGGAAAGTTAGTTTTAACCTTAACCCAACCTCCACCCCTGGTAAAACACACACACACACACACACGGTAAAAGGACATGTTAGGGGTTGCGTTTCAGCTATGGAGAGATATCTAATATCAAGTCAATATTGTTTTTAACCCTGGATGTACTGTATTAAATGAGTAAGAACAAGTCTTCTCTCAAATATCCCACACAGATTATTGATTAATTACAACAAGGAAAAAGATACTTTTACAATGGGAATATCTGACAGGTCCCACCATAACCAATGAATCCAACATCGTTAATAAGGGTGATGATTGACTGACACCCTGTTCTTCCCAGTGAGATGCAATCGCCTAGGTAATCAGCATCACCTAGGTAAAATTCTTACCAAAGAATATCTAATCTGAATCTAATTATGAGGAAACAAGCAGACAAATTCAGATTGTGGGACATCACGTAGGGCAAATGTCTTGGACCCTTCAAAAATGTCAATATTGTAAAAGACAAAAAGAATAGATAAATAAACATAAGGTGGGAGAATGCTCCACATTAAAAGAGACTAAAGAGGCATGATGGCTGGGTGGTTTGGGTGGCGGGTCTAAAAATGAAGGAAAGGAAAGCAGAGGGGAAGAAATGGAAGAAAGGAAGAAAATATCTACAAAGGATATTTAGGGGACAATTGGAGAAATGTGAATATGGTCATTTTATTAGATAATGATTTTGAATTGGTATTAAATTTTCTGAATCTGATTGTTATGAGAGTGTCTTTGTCCTTAGGAGATGCATGCTGAAATATTTTAGATATGAAATGTCATGAGATCTGCAACTTTCAAATGGTTCCAGAAAAAAGTAAATACACATGGGAGAAAGTAAAAGGGAAACAGACGTGGCACAATGTGAATCAGTGAATCAGGGTGAAGGGAGTGTGTTCATTGACTTATTCTCTCAATTTATCTTAGGTTTTAAATTTTTCCAAATAAAAAGTTGTATGCAGCAGGGGTCAGAAGACAAGAAAAGTCTATTTGAAGGAAATTATTTTAGAAATCCAGAACAAAAATAAAAGATGGAGAAAACTTACACAGACAACACAGACAACTGATGCATGAAGCCTCAGAGGAAGAAAGCCCTGGACAAAGGACAGAGCTCTGGAATGGGGATGGCAGGGCCTACACGCGCCCGTCTCCTCTGTCATCACAGGCTGTGTGATCGTGGACATTTGCCTAAGCTCTCTGTCTTCATTTCTTAGGGCTGCCATCACCAAAACAACAGGTATTTATTAGGCCGGGAGCAGTGGCTCATGCCTGTAATCCCAGCACTTTGGGAAGCTGAGGTGGGTGGATAACCTGAGGTCAGGAGCTCCAGACCAGCCTGACCAACATGGAGAAACACTGTCTCTACTAAAAATAAAAATAATAAAAATAAAAAAAAAATTAGCCAGGCGTGGTGGCGCATGCTTGTAGTCCCAGCTACTCAGGAGACTGAGGCAGGAGAATCACTTGAACCCGGGAGGCAGAGGTTGCAGTGAGCCGAGATCGTGCCATTGCACTCCAGCCTGAGCAACAAGAGCGGAACTTCGTCTCAAGGAAAAAACAACAACAACAACAAAAACAATAGGTATTTATTGTCTCACAGTTCTGTTGGCCAAAAGCCCAACATGAAGGTGTCCGATGGCCCTTCCCTCTCTGAAACCTGTAGCACAAGATCCTTCCTTGCCTCTTCCTAGCTGCTGGTAGTTTTCCCGCAATTCTTGGCACACCCTGAACCGCAACTGCAATATTCAGCCTCTTTTTCTGTCCTTACCTGGAGTTCTTCCCTCATGCATTTCTGTTCCAGTGTATCTTCTCCTCTTTTAAGGACACCAGTCACATTAGTGCCCACCCTAATGACCTCATCTTAACCTTGATTACCTCTGCAAAGACCCTATTTCCAAAGAAAGTCACATTCATGGATACTAGGCGTTAGGACTTTAACATACGCTTTTGGAGGGCACAATTCAACCCATTCCACTCTACACCAATTTCTCCAACTCCCAGACCGGCATGGGGAATCCAGTAGACGTGGTGAACTGAAATGAACCCTGAGGTCCCTTCAGCTGTGAGTCTGAGGTTCTGTGTATCCACCTGTTCTAAGTCCATACCTCTGTTAACCTTGGGCTACTAAGGAGCCCAAGAGAGACTTGATGAGGAGGAGGTTCCAGGTTATTATAGAACAGATAAGCAATGTGGCCTTTGGAAAGCATGATTCATGTTCAGTTCTTGGCATAGCAGGCTGTTCTATTTTGCTTGTCACAGTCATCCTTTTTGTCCTCATTTTTATTTGTCTGAATGATCGTTGGTCAAAATGTTTTCTAAGCTAAATTGCCATCCTGTTATCCCATAAAATTACATAAAATGGGATGTTAGTGTTTTAAAAAAATAATTGTTACATCACAGATGATTTCAAATGTTGGACAGGCTGCCAGCTGGAGCAGATTAACAAGGAAAATCGAGACTCCTCTCTCTTTCTTTGTCCTTCAGGCTAAAAAAAGGCAAGATAAGAAGAGAGGACATTCTGTAATGAATAAGGGTGGCTGCACCTTCAAACTTTCCCGGGCCCCTCCTGCTGGGTCAGCTCTCAGTATCTGGAGGAGGATACCCTTTGAGGTCCTCGGGGGACTTGCAAGCAGAGCAGGGGGTATGGGGAGAGCATAAATGGAGATGAGACTCTGTTCACACTCTTTCCTGATATCCCTGTGTTTTCAAAGAGAAAACTGTGTCAAAACCAGGGAAGGGGAGGGGGGAGGTGAAAAAGGACATTTTCCAAGAACTCCAGGCCTACAGTCCTTAGTGCAACAGTACCTGTTGTTTACAAAGATTCATCTGCCTCTGTCCTGCATTTCCCTCCGTGGACACCAGGTATGTAAACCAGGACAGGGTAGGGTCTTATCTGAGAAACCTCTCACTTGGGAGCAGGAAGCAAAAACCTCAGCAAAATGAAATCTTATCCCAAATTAAATACAGCACTGTTTTTCTTGACTTTCAGAAATTATTTAGACAAACAATTTGTAATTTAATTATAATGTTATTATGAAAGCCTGTTCCATCACTTGCTGCCAACACTAGGTAAAAATACTGGGGATTCTAAATGTGTCATTATTATTCTAGTCTTTCTTTACCATTCCTTAAGCAGTGGGAGTTATGGATATGTCAGCATTTCCATTATTGCCGCCCATTTTCAAGGCCTCTGTCTTAGTCCTTGAAAATTGCATCATACTGGATGGAAGCCTAGAGGTAATTTCCTTTAATGTTATGGCAGCTGCATTCTTTATGGTTGTGTGTGACTTTGCAAGTGATCTCAATATCTTTTTATTTAAAAAATTAATTCATACATAAGTCTCAACTCTTTTTATGTATGTAGCTCTTATTCAAGATTAGGATATGAATGATGCAAAGTTAAATTTTACAAACAGTGCACACTTAAGAAAGGTTGTGTACTTGGGGTACTTGGTGGCAACAGAACAAGGCATGGCCAAGAAGTAATAAGATCCCGGTGTAGATAATCAGTCACATATCTCTGAGATTGTAAACGTAAAAGATAGGAGAAGAGAGGAAAAGTTCTTAAATTATAAATTTAAATTACATGCATTACACTTATTGCAGACATTGGGATTTTCTCATCAAATCATATAATTTCAGAATCTGAAAAGGACCTTAGGTCTTATCTCCTCAATCAATTATGGATGCTTATTCCATCAATTCCTCTTCTGCCCACCCAACAGTGTATCATTTATCTGTTTCTGCCTTACAAACCAATCCAGAATTTAGTGACTTAAAACAATAATTACTGAGCAGCTCATGATTCCAGGTGTTGGCAATTTGAACTGAACTTAGCTAGGTGGTTATTTGGTTGGTACCGCCTGGGCTCACACATGTGGCTGCAGTCAGCTGGCAGGTCAGCCAGAAGCTGATTGATCAGAGATGGCCCCACTCACACATCTGGTAGTTGGCTATGGTGCAAAAGCAACTGGGCCCTGTGTCTGCAGCATCTAGCACCTACCTCAGGCTACTGGCTACTGTCTTCCAAAAGAAGAAAAGAAGGCAGCTCCCATTGTAGAACTGTTTCCAAGACTCTGTTTGTGTCGCATTTGCTAATGGGTCATTGGCCAGAGCAAATCACATGGCCAAGCTCATAAGCAAGGAGTTGAAGATATAAGACTCTCTCTCAGTGGAATGCAGTAATGTAACTTGAAGTCTGCATCCATTTATTTTTATTCAGAAACTAGTGTCCCATCCTGATAGCTTCAGCTGGGATCTCCTCGTAATTCAGTTGTGCCTCAAAAGAAACAGAAGGGGAAGCAGTTATGGGTGGCCTACTTACATGAAGGAACAAAAAGCCTTAGTTCTTGGACTGTCTTGCAACTCTCTTCTCTTTCCTCAGGATGAACTGAGAATTCATCCTGAGGAAAGAGAAGAGAGTTGCAAGACAGTCCAAGAACATTGAGTCAGTGATAAGGGGTGGCTCTATCAGTACAGCCCTAGTCTGTCCCATAGGTGGCCCCAGTCTTGCCCCCATGAGCTGTACCCAAACCTTGAAGAGAAGAGGCTGCAATCGAAAGTACAAAACAGGAGGCCAGGTGCAGTGGCTCACACCTATAATCCCAGCACTTTGGGAGGCCAAGGCAGGCGGATCACAAGGTCAGGAGTTCGAGACCAGCCTGGCCAACATAGTGAAACCCCGTCTCTACTATATATATATATATGCAAAACAGGGTTTCAGTGAAGTTTCTAGGGAAAACATGGGGATTTAGAGGACAAAGGGAACATTCCTCATTCGGGTCTTAGAACTCGGAATGGGCAAAGCAGCTGAGCAGAGGCATGGGCTGAACCAAGCCTACATCTGGACCAGAGATGGCATGGGAGAGGAAATCAGCTCCAGGCAGGCATCCAGACCTTGCGGGCATGCCCAGGAGAAACTCACAGCCTCAGCAGGTCAAGGAGGGAGAGGATTCATTCTCAGACGTGCACAAGACATCGTCTAATGCCTCCCAGAATGAAGTGGAGGAAATTGAGGAACTTCAGTTCTATAGAGCAAACAAGCCTGGGGCCAGAGAATTGTGTTTTGATGACCATGATCTTGACTCTATTTCTAGGTTCTGGCTGTTATCCCTTGAGGAACGGGGATTAGAGTTATTCCCTATAGATAAACCGTACTTTTTTAAGGTTTAAGCCAGGTCTCAAACACCTGGCTCTAGGCAAAACTGTATATTGTGGTTTGGCTTTGACATGTCTTAGCCTCCTACATAGATTCTCTCTTTCTCTTTCTTGTCCGTATATTTTATTTACTGTCACAAAAGACTCTGCTTTCCTTTATTTGACAAGTAAGTCCCCCCAGGTTTAAATTACTTCCCTGACCTGGGAATATTTGCATATTGATAGGAGATTTGTGATGACCTAAACTCCCTCTAGATCTAAAGAAATAAATGCTTAGTAGAAACCTTCTGTTGTGGCCAGGCGCTGTGGCTCACGCCTGTAATCCCAGCACTTTGGGAGGCCGAGGTGGGTGGATCACGAGGTCAGGAGATCAAGACCATCCTGGCTAACACGGTGAAACCCCGTCTCTACTAAAAATACAAAAAAATTAGCCGGGCGTGGTGATGGGCACCTGTAGTCCCAGCTACTCGGGAGGCTGAGGCAGGAGAATGGCGTGAACCCGGGAGGCAGAGCTTGCAGTGAGCCGAGATCATGCCACTGCACTCCAGCCTGGGTGACAGAACGAGACTCCATCTCAAAAAAAAAAAAGAAATCTTCTGTTGTGACTGGTAGGAGAAGGAGGTGAGGGGGGATGCTGAGCAGAGATGCCTTCTGGAGTCCCTCAAATAGCACTGCATGGGTAGCTGTAGTCGCAAGGCTGTCTCTGCCTCCAGAAACCATGAGAACCAAAGGAAGTGTGAACAGGAGGATGTACCAGTTTTGGAGGATGAAAGAAGCTAATGAACTTATATCCAATATAAGTTATGAAGATTTTCAGAAACACAGGATTTCAGTGGAAGAAAATATGGAAGAATTTAATACTAAACATTCATATACCCACCACCTAGATTCTATCACAGCATGTTACTATACTTGCTTTATCACATATTTACCTATCTATTCATCCCTATCCATCCATCAATCCATCTAATTTATTGATACGTTTCAAAATGAGTTGCAGACATCACTTCTCCCTAAATACTTCAGCATACATTGCATTAAAGTTTAGTTTTATTTATAGTTATTGTTAAGTTATGCATAACGATATGTACAAATTTTAAGTGAACATTCTCTTTTTGACAAATCCATACACTTATGTAACTGAGACCCCTATCAAAATAACAATGATCACCCCAAAATGTCTCATGACCTGTCTCAGTCAGTCTCCATTCTAACTACCCCAGAAAGAACCACTGTTCTGGCTGGGCGTGGTGGCTCACGCCTGTAATCCCAGCACTTTGGGAGGCTGAGGCGGGTGGATCACCTGAGGTCAGAAGTTCGAGACCATCCTGGCCAACATGGTGAAACCCCATCTCTACTAAAAATACAAAAACGTTACATGGGCATGATGACACATGCCTGTAGTCCTAGCTACTCAGGAGGCTGAGGCAAGAGAATCACTTGAACCTGGGAGGCGGAGGTTGCAGTGAGCCAAGATTGCACCACTGCACTCCAACCTGGGAGACAGAGTGAGACTCCATCTCAAAAAAAGGAACCACTGTTCTAATTTTATTCACTATAGATTAGTTTTGCCTGTTCTAAAACTTCATAGAGTTGGAATCATACAGTGCAGACTCTGCTCATTATGCAAGACTTCTTTCACATTGCACAATTTAGACATTTGTTTATGTTATTGCATATGTCTCTGGTTTGCTCCCTTTTTGTTGCTAAACTGCATTCCAATTGTTAAAGTTGCTACAATTGGTATATCTATTTTCCCACTGACGATATCTGGGCTATCTCCACATTTTGGCTATTATGAATAAAGCTGCTATGAATATTCTTATATGTCTTTTGCAGACATATGTTGCTATTTTCTTGGGTAAATACCTAGTAATAGAATTGTTGGATCATAGGGTAGCTGTATCTTTAATTTATAAGAAATTGCCAGGCCTTTTTCAAAAGTGGCTGTATCATTTTATCCCACCAACAATGTATGGACATTCCAGTGGCTCTATATCCTCATCCACATTAAGTATTGGCAGTTTGTCTTATTTTAGTCATTTTGGTAGATGAATAATGTAAAAATTAATGAACATTTAAAAATCAATTTTAAGAAAACCTTAGGAGGACAATGAAATAAGCCATTATGTTTTTTTTTGTTTTGTTTTTCTGGTTTGGATTTTTTTTCGTTTGTTTGTTTTTTGCAGAGACAGAGATCTTGCGATGTTGTCCAGGCTGGTCTGAAACTCGTGGTCTCTAGCATATGTGATTAAGAGGGAGAGTATCCCAAAGAGTAATCAAAGGAAAACCCATGAGGGTAGACTAATGCTTTACTGAGAAACCTGCTCCTTTACTTTTGCTGGGCACTCATGCTTGTTTTACCAACACTTTGTGAGGCTGAGGTGGGCAGATCACTTGAGTCCAGGAGTTCAAGACCAGCCTGACTATCATGGCAAAACCCTGTCTCTGCAAAAAATACAAAAATTAGCTGGGTGTGGTGGTGTGCACCTATAGTCCCAGCTACTTGGGAGGCTGAGGCAGGAGAATTGCTTGGGCCCAGGAGGTCGAGGCTGCAGTGAGCCAATATGACACCACTGCACTCCAGCCTGGGTGACAGCGAGACCCTGTTTAGTAAAAAAAAAAAAAAAAAAAAAAAGCTACTTTGTCTTAGATCACTGTGGTTGAGACATAAGAGAAACTGTAGGATCACAAGAACTTGGAGAGGAGAATGTTCCCATGTGCCCCTAGAGTCTAAATATTCAGAATCACTAGAGAAATCAAGCTACTTTAGCAATGGCATTGGTGAGTTGTTGTCAGAAAGTTCATGAGGGGATACGTGTGTGTGTGTGTGTGTGTGTGTGTGTGTGTGTGTGTCTGAAATGGGGGCAACAAAAAGCGAAAGAAGATGAAGTCTCGAATACAACAATGTATGATGTATAACATTTATTGATATGTGTTTATACATACTCTATCTTGTAGAGACAAGATTGGATGACTTAAATGGATGCATGTAATATAACTAGAAAGCATCACTTTAAGGGTGAAACAATTTTTCCATGAATTTTTTTTAAATGCAGCACTATATTAATAGCTTTGCACTTGTAGGTACATTTGGATGACACATCCTTCTACCTATATAAAAGAAGCGGGTGTCTGTGGTGTAAATTGGGTCCCTTCCGAGTCACCACCTGGTATGCAGCCATTGAGTTCTACAAGCTCACCTAGTTTGGGTTAAGAAATAGGCTTTCCTGGGGAAAGGGTAAATCTATAAGGTAAGTTACAGTGCTCTGCAAGACATGTAGTGTGAGTCCTTATTCTAACAGAGGAACGATATCCCCCCGATTCTACCTTTTCTATAAAGCAAGCTTGAGAAAGCTGCCTTGTCAGTGAAGGGATGCCTAGGCATCTTGGTTCAGGCAGTCTAGATTTGGGGGCTTGG
Organism: Homo sapiens; assembly: GCF_000001405.40. NCBI lineage: Eukaryota > Metazoa > Chordata > Mammalia > Primates > Hominidae > Homo > Homo sapiens. Next base: position 93,892,565 of record NC_000008.11, on the reverse strand, counting down.
CTGCTTACAGGAGTACCTTGGAAAGCCAGCTGCCTAGCATCTGGGGACCTTGGGGTCCAAAGGATGCTACAGTCCTGCAGTGGGGAGGACACCACCAGTCCTTTGGAATATTGCACTTGAGTGCAGCCCCTTCTGCTGGGAGAAGAAGTTCTTTCATCCCTTCTAGCTCATGGTACTGGTAATCAGAGTGAGCTGCCAGGGTTGTTTTCAGGTCATTATGCGAGACTTCTTTCTCGTATAATGAGCTGTTTTGCTCATCACACTACACTTAGTGAGAAGTCTGCAGCTAGGAAGCCTAAAACTTGCTATGTGGCCTTAGGAGAGTTACTTTACTTCTCTGACCTTAGTTAGAAGTTCTAGTACTTACCCTACTTTGTAGATTGTTATGGAATCAAATGGAAGTGACCGATAGCCAAACAACTAAAACAGGAGGCTGGCAGTGCAGTCAGCAACATTTTTCAGCACACTACTTTTGGAATTAAACAGTAAATCATAGCCAAAGAAACAAATGTTGATCATTTGCCCAAAATGCACCTTCCAAAATACATGTTAGTAGCCAATAAAAATTCAGCCCATTATTCCAAACCTCCTAATCCTACAGCCCATTATAATGAAAAATTGATGCTCACAGTTTAGTGAGCTGAGGTTATTTCAACATCTCCAGTTATCAGAAAGGCAGAATGTGGACCACCACACATGAAAGGAAGATTAGCCAAACATTTGAACCAAAAAAACAAAAAAAAAAAGGATGCTTTTGACAGATATTTTTGGTTGACCACCCACCAGCCAGCCCCCTTTGTTCTAGCTAATAGAACCCGAATTTTGCTTAATCTTCGGGTTTAGGACAAGGCCACTCTGAGCCTAAGGAATAATTCTTGGTTATTCTAAGCCAATCATGGCTTGTGATGTGATTCTGGCCAAAGAGACCTGAGAGGTCTATGGGGACTTCTGGGGGAAGTGTCTCCTTGTTCTAGATAGAGGATGACTGCGTAAATGCCTTGAGACTTGCTGTGTGATGAGGGGATACCTGGGCTTGTGTCACATTTTGGCAACTCAGGAAGCTGCCACTGCTGCTGAAGCCAACTTTCTGAGGATGTTACAGTAAAAAGATACAAAATCATTTGGATCTAGGTGATAACACTGAACTGCTGAAACTCTGACACCACCCAACTCTGGGCTCACTATTACATGGAACAATAGTCTTTATTTTTTTAAGTCAGTTGAGTCAGGGTTTCTCTTACTTGTAGCCAAATATATTTCTAAGTGATGCACTGGTTCAGGTTTGTTTACTTTTTAACCAGATAATGTGAGTAAAATACTTCATTCTAGTTAAATAAAGGTTTTATTGTAATAGATATGAAAGAATCTTTTTAAGAGCTAAAGAAGTACTCTAAGATTTAATTTACTATGATTATCTTTTTTGAAATCTGGGTCTTGATATATTGCCATTTTTTTGGAAATTATTTTTAAGCACTTCTTTTTGCAATATATTGCCAAATTAATTCAGTTTGGTGAGCAACAGAAAAATATTAAACACAGATTAAATTGGAGCATTTTGCTAGAATCCAACTAGGTTCTGCTGCAGTAGAAGTATATTCAATTATGCATGTTCAGAATTCTTGAGATATCCCCCCATGCCAATGGGTGTAGTGTAGCCTAAACTCATTGAGAGGAAACCCAAAGTGAAGGTCATCTGTGTTGTATTTCATTTATTTTTTCTAGTTTAGAGGTGGCCTCAAAAGCACATCTGGGAGGTATGCGTAAATGGTTCACCACAAGCTCTAAGACAGAGAAGATGCCGAACATGGTAGGAGAATATAACTGAGATAGTACATGAGAGCATGAGCAGCAGCAAGAGCCACGAGCTTTGAAATAGGTATGACTACCGCTGGGCCACAGCTTGAATGTTTTGGAAGAGGGGCCTATGGAAACAATGGAGTCCTCTGCTAGATTAAAGGGAAAGCCAAAGTCAGAAAGGGCCTGTGCCTCACTTACAGTTGGAAATGTGAGAGGAGCCCTCCTCACCAGGGAAGGCTGCAAAAGAGCAGAAAGGGCGACGTGGCATGGTCAGGCAGAGAAGGGACCTGTGCGTGGTGTGCAGATGGTCCAGAGATTGCCATATGTCCTGCTGGGACTACACAGAAGTCCCAATGGGCAAGAAGTTGGTTTGGGATGAGGAGAAGGCTCAGTACATAGGTAAATGATATTGGTGCACATTCAAAGGCTAGATGGGAACAGCTGTATCACCACTGACCCAGAGGATGTACATAGACCAGTGATCTCTCTTCTATGGATGGGTTAGGCTTTTCTAATACCTCACTAGCCAAGACAATGTCATTCCATTTGTGCATTGCTGCCCAAAACAAATTGAGAGGTTACTAAGAGAGGTGGAGGGGAGGGATATCGGAGGGCAACCCACCACCGTGACGTCAACACAAGCTTCCTATGCTTCCAGAGTAAAGAAGCAGGGGAGGAGGAAGGACCAGGGGAGGAGGAAGAATATTGAAAGACCCTTTTCCCCAAATATAGTTCTGCTTTAAATAGGACAGTGACTGAAACAATCACAGTTGAATGGTACTGGGAAAAAACAAAAACACTAGTTTAGAATGATAATAGCAGAATGAGATAGGCTTAGTAGTCTGCCTTAGACCTGCATTGTGCATTCGGGTGGTCACTAGCCACATGTGGCCATTGAGTACCTGAAATGTGTCTAGTGCAATTTAAATTTTGTTTAATTTTAATTAAAACAAAAATTTAAGCACTGATACTTGATTCCATTACTGGAAAACTTTGAAGCATGCTTGAGACCACTTAGGTTTGTGAGTCTACTTTTTTCATTGTAAATTTTATGAAATCTAAATACAATATTTCAGAAGAAAATGTAGCGTTCAGATTGAGATGTGCTGTAAGTATAAAATATACACGGAATTTCAAAGACTTAGCATGGGAAAAATGTAAATTACCTCATTAATAACTTTTTATATCAATTACATGCTAAAATGATACAGGTTGATTATTCTTTATTTTAAAGGGATACTTTAGAAACACTCCAGAAGTGTTTCAGGTTTTGAATTTTCTCTGATTTTGGAATATTTACATTACCAGCTGAGGATCCCTAATCTGAAAACACAAAATGCAAAATGCTCCATTGAGTATTTCCTTTGAGTGTCATGTTAGTATGTTGGTGCTCAGAAAGTTTCAGATTTTGGAGAATTTTGGATTTTGGATTTTCAGATTAGGGATAGTCAACCTGTAATATTTTAGATACATTGGTTTTAATAAAACCTAAGATATAATTCACATAATATAAAATTTCACACTATATAAAAATCACCCTTTAAAAATGTTAAATGCAGTGGTTTTTAGTATATTCACAAAGTTGTGAAACTATCACCACTGTGGAATTCCGGGACATTTCTGTTTTGTTTTGTTCCCTGCCCCCAAGATGGAGTCTGGCTCTGTCGCCCACGCTGGAGTGCAGTGTGTGATCTCGGCTCACTGCAACCTCCCACTCCCGGATTCAAGCGATTCTCTTGCCCCAGACTCCCAAGTAGCTGGGATTACAGGCGCATGCCACCACTCCCGGGAATTTTTGTATTTTTAGTAGAGACGGGGTTTCACCCTGTTGGCCAGGCTGGTCTCAAACTCCTGACCTCATGATCTGCCTGCCTCGGCCTCCCAAAGTGCTGAGATTACAGGCGTAAGCCACCATGTTCGGCCTCCAGGACATTTCTACCGCTCCAAAAAGAAACCCCATTGCAGGTTAGCAATTACTACCAGTTTGAGCCTCCCCTCAAACACTGGCAACCACTAGTCTACTTTCTGTCTCTATAGATTTTTCTATTTTGGATATTTCTTATAAATAGAATCATACAATATGTGGACTATTGTGTCTGGCTTATTTCAATGAACATAATGCTTTCAAGGTTTTCCCATATTGTAATATATATTAGTACTTCATTCTTTTTTATAGCTGAATAATACTTCCTTTTATGGATATACCATATTTTGTTTATCAGTTCATCAGTTAACATTTGGGTTGCTTCTGCTTTTTCACTACCATGAGTAATGCTGCTATGAATTAGTGTACAATTTTTTTTTTTTGAGACAGAGTCTCTTTCTGTTTCCAGGCTGGAGTGTAGTGGCGCAATCTCGGCTCACTGCAACCTCTGCCTCCCGGGCTCAAGCGATTCTCCTGCCTCAGCCTCTTGAGTAGCTGGGATTATAGGAACGCACCACTGCGCCCAGCTAATTTTTGTATTTTTAATAGAGATGGGGTTTCACCATGTTGCCCAGGCTGGTCTTGAACTCCTGACCTCAGGTGATCCACCCGCCTTGGCCTCCCAAAGTGCTGGGATTACAGGCGTGAGCCACCATGCCCGGCCAAGTGTACAAGTTTTTGTATGTACATATGTTTTCAGTTCTCTTGGGTGTAAACCTAGGACTGGAATTGCTGGAATATATGATAACTCTATGTTTAACTTTTTGAGGAGCTACCAAATCATTTTTCACAGCATTTTACATTCCCACCACCAATGTGTAAGGATTCCAATTTCTCTACATCCTCATCAACACTTGTGATTTTCTGTCTTTTTCTGTTTTTAAATTATAGCCATCCTAATGGGTATCAAGTGGTAGCTCATGTGGTTTTTGACTAGCATTTCCCTAACAACTCATGATGTGGAGCACCTTTTCACGCAAGTATTGGCCATTGGTCTATCTTCTTTAGAGAACTGTCTCAAATCCTTTGCCCATTTTAGAAATTGGGTTGTCTTTTTATTGTTTATTTGTAAGTGTTCCTTACATATTCTGGATACAAATACTTTTTCAGTTATATAATTTGTTAGTATTTTCTGTGGGTTGTCTTTTCACTTTCTTGCCAGTATTCTTTAGTATACAAACGTTTTAAATTTTGATGAAATCCAATTTATTTTTCCTTTTGTTTTTTATGCTTTTCGTGTCATCTCAAATAACCTGTTGCTTCATCCATGGTCATGAAAATTTACACCCATGTTTCCTCCTAAGTGTTTTATAGTATTGGCTCTTACATTTAGGTCTTTGAACTGTTACAAGCTAATATTTTTAAATACGGTATGAGGTAAGAGTGTAATATAAAAAATATTCCCCAAATTACTTTTACCTAATCTTTTAACTATTTTTTAATGTGGCTACTACAAAATTGAAAATTTACAATTCAATATAGCTTAATTACTTTTCTATTGGACAGATCTGAAATAGGCCAGTGACAATATTGGAATCATAGCTATAAAGTCTATAAAAATGTATTAACCACTTATCATGTGCCAGCTACCATTCTGAGCACTTGGGATTTGAGACAATGAGGCACAAATTCTCCTCTCAAGGACTTGCAAATGTTTTATGGGAAACAGACAAGTAAACAAATTCACCATAGTAAAGGATCAAGTTCTCAGCTTTTTTTTTTCTTTTTTTTTTTTTTTTTGAGACAGAGTCTCGCTCTGTTGCCAGGCTGGAGTGCAGTGGCATGATCTCGGCTCACTGCAGCCTCCACCTCCCGGGTTCAAGCAATTCTCCTGCCTCACCCTGCCGAGTAGCTGGGATTACAGGCATGCGCCACCAAGCCCGGCTAATTTTTTTTGTATTTTTAGTAGAGACAGGGTTTTGCCATGTTGGCCAGGCTGGTCTCGAACTTCTGACCTCAGGTGATCCTCCCACCTTGGCCCCCCAAAGTGTTGGGATTACAGGCATGAGCCACTACGCCTGGCCCAGAAACTCAATCTTATCAGTCTCATAGGAAAGCACACCCTTGAAGACCGACTCACACTTACCATCCTCATGAGAGACTGATGTTTTATATAACCACAATGCCACCATTTATCAGGTGGCAATGAGATCTGTAATAACAACATTCATCATTTATTGAGCGTCTACTACTTGCCGACACTCTTCCAGGTGTCTACATGCATTTTGTCATTTGATTCTTACAATGACCCTTTGAGAGGGTACTATTAACATCCTTATTTTACAGACAGGGAAATTGAGTTGCAGAGCTTTGAAATAACTTGTCCAAAGCCACACAGCTGGAAAGTTTCAAACTCAAGCATGTTGGCCCATGCTCTTCACTGACACACTCTACTGCCTTTTGCCAAATGTGCTGGACATTCATGTTGGCTGCTCAGAGGTTTCTGTTCCTCTGTAGGAGGATCTATATAAAAAGGAGACTTATAATCAATAGATGGCTTGGTGAGTATTAAGTCAGAGCAAGGAGAGTCAGTGATATAAATTAAAAGGCTAATGACATCAAGACCCACACTTGGGTCAAAATACACTCACTTCAGGGATGAGACTGCTGAATTTGGGGGTCATGGGGCACCTTCCCCTGGAGCTGCCAACTTCTGCATCTCTGTGCTTGTGTTTATTTTCTTTTTAATTGTTTCGGCAATGGCAGTTCCCCCTCCACGATACATTCCTTCTTTTGACAATGCAATACCTACAGTCATGTTTTTGCACTTCCTGTTTTGGGCCTAGGAAATATTTTGTGTTCAAGTTGACTGTGATTTACTGTACTCCTCCACTGGGTGCTGGCTTGATTAATCAACATAGCAGAGCTCTGACTAGACCCTCTTAATCTCCCCATTCCTTCTCGTATCTAACCTATGTCCTGAGAATTTTATACCACCACTACCATCTCTGTCATAGTAACTGAGACTGACCTGGATTAAAATGTTAGACTTAGTCTGGACACAGTGGCTCATGCCTGTAATCCCAGTGCTTTAGGAGGCTGAGGTCAGGAGTTTGAGACCAGCCTGGATTACATAGCAAGACCCCATCTCTACAAAAAATTTAAAAATTAGCTGGGCATGGTGGCATGTGCCTGTAGTCCCAGCTAATCAGTAGGCTGAGGTGGGAAGATTGCTTGAGCCCAGGATTTCAAGGCTGCAGTGAATCCCATCTCTTTAAAAAAAAAAAAAATTATGGACCTTCTTGGTTTTCCTGCCTGAAACTTTCCTCTCTCCTGTCCAGCCTCCACACGCATGCTGCCACCCAAAATAGCTTCAATCTTGACCTACCTTTTAGGTGGTTCTATTTTTACCTTCAAAATAAAGCCCAAGCTGCTTACCATGGCATTCTGGGCTTTTCATGTTCTGGCCCACCATGAATCCTACGTCCTTCAGCCCCTCTGCCTTTGTTCATGTTAGTCTCACCACCTAGAAATGCCTTTTCCTACCTTCTCTACCTATGTCCCTTCCTCCAAAATCTGACTCTAATAAGGCCACCTACTCTTATATGGACTTCTCCACTGCTACCCCATCCCCTACCCTGTATCAGAATTACTCTTTCTCTCCTCAAATGTGTCCCATAATCTAGCAGGAAATAATCTAGCTTGAGTTGTGATCAGTACAGTAGTGGTGGAAAAAACATGGGCTCTGGAGACCTGCCCCCAGGGGCGCCCCAGGACCCTGCCTGCCTACTTGGATACCTTTATCCCACTATTCCATAATTATCTGTTTACCTGCCTGTTTCTCCTTTTCTCTGTGCCCCATCTGCAGGGCACTGTCTGATCATCTGGTCTTCTCAGTCCCCGGCAAAGTTCACGGACCCTGACACACCCTGCAGCTGTCTCCTGAAGGAGTCAGAGTGGACCACTGAATCCCAGCTGCTCTTCTTTCAAACGATGTGACCTTGGGAAAGTTACATAACCTGTCTGTGGCTTTGTTTTCTTCCTTATAAATTGGGGTAATAACACCTACGTGTAAAGGTTATTCAGGTAATGTATGTTTAAAAGAAAAAAAATGTAAAAGGAGGAAGTGAAAATGAGGCAGAGTTTGTGTCCTGTGAAAGGTAAGGAACCAGTCACAACATACTGATAATATTAATAGCTAGAACTCTCTCTGTAGCTGCCCCTGCCGAGTGTTTTATACCATTATCTCATTCACTTCTCCCAACTCTTTGAGGAAGAGACTGTTGTACCCATCATATCATCATACAAATTGCTATACCCATCATACACATAAGAAAACTGAGACTCAGGAAGTGAAGTACTGGTCCGAGTGGCAGAGCTGGAATTCAAAGCAAGCCTTAGAGGCTAAGCACTGGCATTTCTGTACCCATCTTGGGGGAGAGCTGGTAGCTGGCTCCAGGGAAGCATCCAGCGGAAGACCTGGTCTTGGCTGTCCTCGTTTGACACCTACTCTTAGTAACCCAGAAGAGTGCAGGCACAGTGGGTATTGCAAAGGCCGGAGAAGGAAACCAACACAGACATCCGAAAAAGCTGGTGCAGAGCAGGAGAGAGGAAATGGGATTCAGTTTGGGGAAGTACAGACCAAGCTAGCCACACAGAGCTAATCCACAGCAAGGATAGAGAGGTCAGGAGAGAAAAAAAAAGAGGAGAGCTGGGAGCTGAAAGCAGCGAGGTGGGGTGGCTGGCTGTAACTGAGATGCTGCTCTGTAAAGTGATGAGGCCGGGGAGGCCACATCTGCTCTGGGCAGCACTCGCAGAGCTGTTGCAGCACAGAGAGGTCTTGCTCTCCTCTTCACGTGCACAGTGGGGAGGCCGCATTCGAGGCTCAGTGCGTGTGCGTGCGTGCGACACACACACATGCTTTGATACTGAGCCCCATGAAACCCCCATGAGTCTTTTTTTTTTTAACTTTCCTCCTTTCTAAGTTTGACCTATATATTTCCAGATGCCTCTAAGGGAAATTATGGGGCTATTGCATTTATCGAATATGGAGTATAGATCAGAGTGGATGTGGAGGCAGCAAGGAAGGAACTGAAAAAAGCAGCACTCAGCCATGCTGATGAGCTAGTCCCAAGTTCCAGATCTCTCTTTAGCCTGAAGCTCCGTTCCTTCCTGTCCATCTAGAAGGCAATGTTGCCTAAAGGCAAGAGCCTGGATTTATGTACGGCTCCTGCTTTTACTGCCTATGTGAACTTAATTATTCTACCTTATCTGGTTCAATGTCCTCAACTTTGAAGTGAGAACAGTAGTAATACCTACCTCCTAGGGCTTCTGAGAAGATGAAAGACCAAAGTGCCGCTCCTATGCAAAACCTATCCTTGGGAAGTGGAGATCATTATTGCCTTTAAATCTGTCCAAGGGTTTAATAGGAGTGCATTCACAATTTGTCTGTAGGCCTTTTATTCAGATGCCTTTAGATTTTGCTAAATCAGACATTGTACAGATTGACAGATTGAAATCCATAGTGAAAAAAAAAGCTAGTTTGAGGGCTTTCTTCTGGAGCTGAAATAAAGCAATCCTAACCTTTGGGAAGCTGGTTAAATGGGTTCAGAGTAGAGCATTTCTATGTACCTCTGGGGCATTTCAGGCCTGGCAGCATCAGGAGGGTTCTCACATGTGGCATGGGCAGCAAAGCTATGTGGGGATTCTGTCTTTCCCAAACCTCACTGCCTTCCATGTCTCCTAAGACTTGGTAGGATATTCAAATACGACACACCTGTCTCTCCCAGCACACAGATTATAGCTGTAGGTCTTCCCATGACAAGGTGTGGGGGAAATCAAGTGAGGGATTCTGGGAGTTTTATCTTTCCCTTGATTTGGGGGGCATAATGCCTGCTGGGAATAGAAGGACGGATTTGGACACTTCAGCTGGCTGATTCCTGGGAGGGGAAAAGGACATCTCTGGCCTTCTAGCCAGAAGGGGCCTCTGGATCACCCAGTCCAGCTTCTAGAAGGCTCGAGGACTAGCATTGTGTGTTTGTGGTCCCTTGTCAGAGTAAGTGATAGGAGAGCCTACTCAACACCCCAAGACTCCTCAGCGAGTGCACTCCCACTTCATCATCCTGAGTGAACACGATGCCTCCAGGAATGTGGGAGACAGAAGCCACAGCGGATTCTTTTTTCAAACCCAAGCAAGGAAAATCAGAGAGAAGCAAGTCAAATGCCATTATCTTCTCTCTGCAGAACTGACTAAGCAAAATTATGAATAGGCCAAGAATGACTTTTCTACTGATTGATGAACTTGAATCTGTTCTTCTAGGATTTGATTATTCAATTAATAAAATATTTACATGCTCTGTTTTTTTCTTTACAATAAACAGATATGTTTCTCCTTAAAATGTCTTAAATAACTGTACTTTTGAATTGAATGTTGCCCTTCGTAGGTGATTTTTTAATGCATATTTGGATGACTATAACTTAACAGCCCTTTTAAAAGTGTTTATTGATAAGGATTATATGGAGCCTCTTGATAGAGAATGAGGGTGACATCTCCCCTCTCCTTAGCCTTTCTGCTTATTTGGCCAAACTACTGCCCTCACAGACCCTTCTTTGAAATTTTTTCTTTGCTTAATGTTATCTGATGGAGATGCTGAGACATTTTGCCAGTTTCCAGGGAAACCAGTGGAGAAGGCGAGTTCCTGCTATTCAGACACGGTGTTAGGAGGTGTGTAGGTGCCCCACATAGCCAGTAAGCCCAGCATCTCTGGCTTAGCACATGCCCTTATGAGCTGTGCAACCCCAGGCAAGTCACCAACCTCTCTGAAGATCCACTTCCTTATTGAAGCAATGGGGATATTCATAGCTGCCCTCCCTACCTTACACAGTTGTTGTGGGGATGGAATGGCATAATGTATGACAAAGGGATTTGTAGAGGCAACAAACTATACAGATGCAAGGGGTAATTATTATGCTGTTATGGTTGCCTGCTCTTAACTGGAGCCAGTCTGGGGAATTCTATCTCCCCAGGTGAAAATGTCTTTGTTGTCAAATTAAAATGGTTAAATTCCATCAAGGTCTATGGGACAAAGCCATCAATCTTTGCTCTCACAATGGAACAGTATCTCCTGGAGACAAGTCCGAACTTTATCTGTGTACCCACTAGTACCAAAAGACACTTCTAGACATTATGTCCTTGGACTTAGAATTCATTTCCCAAAAAAGTCCTTCCTTCCGCAGTGCAGAGCTATTCTGCACCCACACAAAGCTGGCCAGTGTGCAGCTCAAGCTCTCCTCCCAGAACGCCAGACACAAAACTTGCTTGTGGTTGAAGAATATTATTTCAGGAAAGACGCAGGGACTTGAAGGGGTGCAGCAGAGAGGACTTCGCCATACTGACCACCAGTTATTCGTAGAATCATAAATACTAAAGTTAGGAAGTTATCTGGGCCAAACTCCTTCTTTGAAGATGAGAAAAATTATGGCTTAAAATAGACTCAGTAAGCAAAACAGGTTAGGCAACGGGTTAAATAATTACTTAGAGAAAACAGAGCCTTTTGATGTCTAGGCCAATGTTTTTCCCATTGCATTATTAATAATACTAACTATGTCAACATTCACAACAGCTACTGTTTATTGAACAAAGAGTATGTGTCAGACATTGTACTAAGCTATTCACATATATTCACTTATTTAATTCCCACAACAAACCAGCCAGGCAGATATTATTCAAATTTTACAAATGAGGAAAATAAAACTCAGCAATAATCATTGCTTCCCAATATCAGGGCACTGATCTTTACAATCAGCCAGATCTTTATAATCAGTATAGAAAGCAAGAAGGGGAGTGTGTGTTGTGGTTACTGCTATTGTTTGCATATGACATTATATCTACTTTTTTTTTTTGAGACAGAGTTTCGTTCTTGTCATCCAGGCTGGAGTGCATTGGCAGCGATCTCGGCTCACTGCAATCCCACCTCCCGGGTTCAAGCGATTCTCCTGCCTCAGCCTCCTGAGTAGCTGGAACTACAGGCGTCCACCACCACACCCAGCTAATTTTTGTATTTTTAGTAGAGATGGGGTTTCACCACGTTGGCCAGGCTGGTCTCGAAGTCGTGACCTCAGGTCATCTGCATGCCTCAGCCTCCAAAAGTGCTGGGATTACAGGCGTGAGCCACCACGCCCAGCCTATGTCTACTTTTAGAAAACATTTAGAGATGAGAAATCATTCCTTATTCCAAATACCAAACAGTCCTAGAAAATATACTCTGAGTTGAATTGTCACACGATTTCATCCTAAAGTGCAGCCCAACTTTATACTGACAGGGGTTAACTGGAAATGAAGATGTGAGGCTTTCATGCCCTTCCGCATGCCAAACTTTCATAATTCAGACATGAGATGAGTCATAAAAGAAATATGCAGGCTTTTGGCCACAATAGAAACACTCATTTCCCCAATTGCTCAGCAGCAAAACATCAAGACCAACTATTTTTATGTGCTAGGAATGTTAAAAGCTTTTTCCGGTCTTAGGGTTGCTTTTAACATAATTAAACCAACCTTTGCTGCTCCTGCTGTGGCTTCATTCTAAAGATCCTACACTCAGGCTTTTTCTCCTCTTGCTTAATGGGTTGTGATGGGAAATTCACTAGGCCTAGGATCGTCAGCTGCCAAAATAAATCTGCCTGCTCTTTAATCTTGACATCATATTCTGCCAACTTCCGTTAAAAAGCATAACATCTCTATAGTCTTTCCACACTCTGGTACAAGCTATAGTGCTTGAATTTTTAACACCCTGAATATGTATTTAATTATAATTCCAAAGATCCAAGAACATTGTTCAGAAATTCTATCATCCCTAAAATGTTAATTTTACATTAAATGATGCTATGAACAAATGTTCTGGAAGCACCAGAATAATTTCCTGAAATTTCTCCAATACAAAATAAAAGACAGAGGACAGCAGTCTCTGAAATTAGCCAAGGCTCTTCAAGCCCAAATAGAAATGAAACCATCCCTATGGGGTTGATAAAAATTGCATGCCTGATTCTGGATAGAAATATTGTTATGGTTAAGCATTAGTAGGCTGCTGTCCACCCCACTTCCTTGTTGCTAAAAGTCAGGTAGCAATAGATATTGACCATTTGCATTCCCATTCTTCCTGTAGGTAGGATTCCTGACATCAGGGTCATAAGACTGCTTAAGATTTGGTTTGCATCCCCATTGCTCCTCTCTTTTGATACAGGACTTGCTCCAGCTTTCATTTCCCATCCTCTGCCTGCTTCGAGCTATAAGCAAGCCTTTGTTTAAGGATCTTAAGATAGTTTTCAGACCCCCAAATTCTAGCAATAGTTTGAAGAGCCCCACAGAGGAATGGAATCAGCATGAGAATCCAGCTTCTTTCTCTCCCTTTCACATGACTCCACCCTGCACTCTTCAACCAGTCAATCACCTCCACACTTTGGCCCACTTCAAAACCCTTCAAAACTCTATCCCCAGACACCTCTGGGAGACAGGTTTAAGGCTCCCTCCCATCTCCTCATTTGGTGGCCCTCTTTCTCTGCTGGTGTCTCTGCATATTGACTTGCTGTTTGCATCGGGCGATGAACCTATTACAGTTACAGAAACTGAATGAAACTTCGCAAGACTAAAAGAAAAAAAACTTTTGTAAACAATTCCATAGTTGATTATTGCCTATTATTGGAATGCAATGTCTACCATTGCTGGGGAAGAGAATCATAATGTTCATTTAAGAGGACATTTAAAGAGGAGCATGAGCTGTGACCAGTGGGGTCTAACCACCACTCCTGCTTTCTTTGTCTCTTCCATCCTTCTGTCCATGTTTCTGTGTATGTGTTTATGCTCAGCATTTCAGCACTTAGGACTTGAGTCCCTACTATATGGTAGGCCCTTAGGATCCAAAATGGAAACAGCAAGACTCATTTTAGGCCATTCTTCTATTCTAGAAAAACCTTCCCTGAAATCACTTCCCTGCCTGGTCTAGGTTAAGAACCATGCCCATGTGTTCCAAAGCATCCCCTGCACTCACCTATTTGACTCTTATCCCCCTGTACGTGCTGGTAACAGTGACTGCTCATCATCATTGACCATTCACTATCTGCCAGGGTCTGTGCTAAATGCATTAGAGGCCTCTCCTATAATCCTTGTAATGACCATTGGTGGTAGGTACTGTCAGGCCTCTAAGCCCAAGCCTGCACGTATACATCCAGATGGCCCAAAGCAACTGAAGAATCACAAAAGAAGTGAAAATGGCCAGTTCCTGCCTTAACTGATGACATTACCTTGTGCAATTCCTTCTCCTGGCTCAGAAGCTCCCCCTCTGAGCACTTTATGACCCCCGTCCCTGCCCCCAAGAGAACAACCCCCTTTGACTCTAATTTTCCACTACCTACCCAAATCCTATGAAACTGCCCCACCCCTAACTCCCTTTGCTGACTCTCTTTTTGGACTCAGCCCCCCTGCACCAGGTGATTAAAAAGCTTTATTGCTCACACAAAGCCTGTTTGATGGTCTCTTCACATGGATGCAAGTGAGAGGTACTGTGAGGAACTCCATTGTGCTGATGAGAAAACTATAGCAGGAAGAGGTAATTTGCCCTAGGGCATAATTAGTAAGTAGTTGAGCGAAGATTCAAAGCCAAGTGGTTGGACTTTTAAGTCTGTGCTCCTAACCACTGTCATATACAACTTGAATTTCTTTCCCCAAGACTGTGTGCATTATAAGAATAGGAAGCACCTTATCTTTGTATCCATAGAACCTAGCAGAATGCCCGGTGTGTGTATGTGTATATATGTACATATATATATATATATATATATATATAAAGTTTGCTGAATGAATGTAAATAAATGAATGAGTGGTAGAGGCAAGGAGTGAATGGGAGGTGAGAAAGTAGGCACAGCCATCCCAGAAGAACCTCATGAATTTTGGCTAAGTAGAGAGGAAGAGAGAAAAGGAACCATGTTTTCCATGATCAGCCTTCTGCAAACTCCCCACTGGGGACAGGAGCAGCCTGAGGAGGGACAACAGGAGGGCACAGTGAGCCCACATGCTTGTGAGCCCAAGTAGGAGAAACTGGGGCTTCAGTAACTTAAGAGATTTGGGCATATGATTTTTCAGGTCCTCTGGGCCCTAATATTGCATGGTCTAAAGACTCCCTATGTTCCCTTCTTCTGTCACAGGCACTTGTTTGTTCATTGTCCCCATTATATTCCTGCCCTGCCCTTGCCCAGGGTCATGGGAGAATGTACAAAGCCACTGTGGCTATATTTCCTCTCTTGTGATACAGGATTTGCTCCAGGTTTCATTTCCCAACCTCTGCCTGCTTCAAACCTTCTCTTGTCCGGAACTTCCTAGCCTCCACTCTATTGACAGCACTCCCAGATTCTTCTTCCTTTTTGGCTTTCATTTAGCTTCTTCTCGGTGCAGTATTTTTGAATCAACCTCTTTAGCACCAGGCTCAACAGCCAAGGGCAACTAAAGGCCTAGTCTTGGGAACAACCCAGTGGCCAGACCTAGGTCAAACCTAGTGCCCATGCTTTGGGGGAGGTAGAAGGCTTTTTCAATAATATCTAAGTTTTGTTTCTGCAGCAGCCAGTGTCAATGCCTTCAGTTCTCCCCCTTGCCACCCACCCCCACCACTGCCTATCCTTTGTACCCTAAACTTTCAGTATCTGCATCTTCTGTGCCTGAGAATTTTTGGCCCCTTTTTTGCTCAGAAGTGCCACAGCCCCCAGAGCAGCTCTTAACAAAAGCTGATGGGGAGGTGGTGTATAAATACCCCAGCTCCCCGACCCCTCAGGTGGTATGATTCTGAGGAATGTCCTTCACACCAGGGTTCTCCATGGGTTAAGGTCTAATCACTCCCTAGGGTGACTGGTCTCATAATTCACACATTGTCGGCTGCCTTCCCTTCTCTGTCACTTTCCCACTTTCCTGCCAGCAGCCCTTGCATCTCCCCAATAAACCATCTGTACTCAAGTCTCTACCTCAGAGTCTGCTTCTACAGGATCCCAAACTAAGACAGTTTCAAAGTTTTTTCTTTGGTGGAGACTTGGAAACAGGGCCAGGACTAGGTGCTCACTCTCTGGGTGGTGCAAATGCCAACCGTGCATTCACATGGCCCTGAGACTAAGTGCCTCCTTAAATATGAAGCCTCAGCAATTCACTCACCCTTACCCTAGTGCCAGAGGTATCCAATTTTTTGGCTTCCCTCATCCAGATTGGAAGAAGAAGAATTGTCTTAGGCCACACATAGAATATACTAACACTAACAATAGCTGATGAACTTTTTTAAAAATTGCAGAAAAATCTCATAATGTTTTAAGAAAGTTTGTGAATTTGTGTTGGGCCACAGGTTGGCCAAGCCTGCCCTAGTCCTATCAGATAACTAACTCTTATTATCTACAATAGTCTCACCAGCCTGGAGTTGTTTGATCATTTTATATCCATGTGTTTGTTGTTTATACAGGTATCTTCCCTTTCTAGTGGTAATCTCTGAGAGGGCTTATGCTAATTTGGATTGTTTTTACATTATGCAGAATAGTATAGTTATGGATCAAATTGTGTCCCCCTCAATGCCCCAAATTCATATATTGAAGCCCTAACCTCCAATGTGACTGTATTTGGAGACAGGACCTTCAAAGGGGTAATTACAGTTAAGTGAAGGCATAAGGGTGGGGCCCAGATCTGATGGGACTGTTGTCTTTATAAAAGGAAGGGCCCTCCCCACCCCCAACACCTGCACAAAGAAGTCATGTCAGTATACAGCAAGGTGGTGACTGTCCACCAGGCAAGAGAAGAGGCCTCAGTTTGAAACCTGCCTTGCCAGCACCACCTTGATCTTGTACTTCCCAGCCTCTGGAACTGTAAGAAATAAGGTTTTTGTTTTTGTTTTTTGTTTTTTTGGGATGGAGTTTCACTCTTGTTGCCGAGGCTGGAGTGCAATGGTGTGATCTTGGCTCACTGCAATACCAGCCTGTGGCCTGTTATGAACCCAGGCCACACAGCAGGAGGTGAGCAGTGGGCCAGGGAGCATTACCACCTGAGCTCCGCCTCCTGTCAGATGAGCAGCATTAGATTCTCATGAGAATCGAATGAGAAGCCAGCTGAAACTGCCGAAACCAAGATGATGACAGTTAGATTCTCATGAGAATCTAATGCTGCTGCTCATCTGACGGGAGGCGGAGCTCAGGTGGTAATGCTATTGTGAAATGCGCATGAGAAAGATCTAGATTGCACACTCCTTATGAGAATCTAATGTGTGATGATCTGAGGTGAAGCAGTTTCATTCCAAAACCATCACCCACCACCATCCCACCTCTACCCCGCTACTACCCTCCTTAGAAAAATTGTCTTCCACGAAACTGGTGCCAAAAAGGTTGGAGACCGCTGGTTTGAGCCATCCAGTCTCTGGTATGTTGTTGTGGAAGCCCTAGCAAACTGAAATAGATATGGAAACCACCTTCGCAGAAATTATAACAGTGAGAAAATTATGGCAGTGAAAGAGATGGGATTTAACCAACCCTCACCTTTCCTTTAGCTGCCCTTAATTATCCCTGGGCTTGGGCCAAGCTAACTTTGTGCAGTTTAGCCCTTCCCCAAAACTCAACTGCCTTTGTAAACCTAATGAGAGACCACCAGGCTAGGAGGATAGAGGAGCCTGAATTCGGCTAAGCTGTAGACCTAAAGGATTGCCAGCCACTACTCCAGAGGTGACAAGATACGCAACTTCCTCTGTTGGGAACAGGCTCCCCAAAATCTGGCCATAAACAAAATCTCTGCAGCACTGTAACATGTTCATAATGGCCCTAACGCCCATGCTGGAAGGCTGTGGGTTTACCGGAATGAGGGCAAGGAACACCTGCCCGCCCAGGGCAGAAAACCACTTAAGCCACAAACAATAGCATGAGAAATCTGTGCCTTAAGGACATGCTTCTGCTGCAGTTAACTAGCCCAACCTATTCCTTTAATTCAGCCCATCCCTTCGTTTCCCATAAGGGATACTTTTAGTTAATTTAATAGCTATAGAAACAATGCTAATGACTGGTTTGCTGTTAATAAATATGTGGGTAAATCTCTGTTTGGGGCTTTCAGCTCTGAAGGCTGTGAGACCCCTGATTTCCCACTTCACACCTCTGTATTTCTGTGTGTGTGTCTTTAATTCCTCTAGCACCACTGGGTTAGGATCTCCCTGACAGAGCTGGTCTCGGCATTCCTCAATTACTCCTGCAGATGACATCACTCTTGTAAATCCTAAGATTGGTTTTTTGAGCTATCTTTTCAGGCTTTTTGTATATCTGATGACTGATGGCTCCACTTGGACCTGCCACCTGCTCCTGTGGCCCCACCCTGAAGTGGCTCAATGAGCAGGAGGACCATTTCCCACACCTGTATAATTGCACCCCCCAACCAATCAGCAGCAAGCACCCATTGCCTAGCTACCTCGACCCCTTCTCCTAAACTACCTTCAAAAACCTCTAGCCCCCAAATTCTTGGAGAGACTGATTTGAGTAGTAATAAAACTCTAGCTTGCCGTTTAGATGCTCTACATGTGTAAAACTCGTTCTCTGTTGCAGTTCCCCTGCCTTGATAAATCAGCTCTATCTGGGCAGTGGGCAAGAAAAACCCACTGGGTAGTTATGCCAGAGGCATCTGAACTAGAGTGACTCCATCTTGAATAGGGGGTGGATAAAATGAGGCTGAGACCTGCTGGGCTGCATTCCTAAGAGGTTAGGCATTCTTAGTCACAGGATGAGATAGGAGGTCACAAGATACACCTCACAAAGACCTTGCTGATAAAACAGAATGCAATAAAGAGGCCAGCTGAAACCGCCAAAACCAAGATGATGACGAAAGTGACCTCTGGCTGTCCTCACTGCTCATATACGCTAATTGTAATGTATTAACATGCTAAAAGACACTCTCACCAGTGCCATGATGGTTTACAAATGCCATGGCAATGTCCAGAAATTACCCTATATGATCTAAAAGGGGGAGGAACCCTCAGTTCTGGGAAATCCCTGCTCCTTTCCCAGAAAACCCATGAATAATCCACCCCTTGTTTAGCATATGATCAAGAAATAACCATAAAAAATATACAGCTAGCAGCCCTCAGGGCTGCTCTGTCTATGGAGTAGCCATTCTTTTGTTTCTTCCCTTCTCTAATAAACTTGTTTTCACTTTATTCTGTGGACTCACTCTGCATTTTTTCTTGTACAAATTCCAAGAACGCTTTCTTGGGATCTGGATCAGGACCTCTTTCTGGTAACAGTTACAATATCCTATGTTTAAAAATCCAATACAAGGCCAGGCGCAGTGGCTCATGCCTGTAATCCCAGCACTTTGGGAGGCCGAGGTGGATGGATCACGATGTCAGGAGTTCAAGACCAGCCTGGCTAACATAGTGAAACCCCTTCTCTACTAAAAAATACAAAAAATTAGCTGGGCATGGTGGTGGCACCTGTAATCCCAGCTACTTGGGAGGCTGAGGCAGGAGAATCGCTTGAACCCAGGAGGCGGTGGTTGCAGTGAGTGCCACTGCACTCCAGTCTGGGTGACAAAGTCAGACTCCATCTCAAAGAAAAAAAAAATCAAATACTATTATCTTCATTCACATATTCATTCATCCATTCATTTCTTTTCTTTTCTCTTTTCTTTTCTTTTGTGGAGACAGAGTCTCACTCTGTTGTCCAGGCTGGAGTGCAATGGTGCGATCTCCGCTCACAGCAACCTCCGTCTCCTGGGTTCAAGTGGTTCTCCTGACTCAGCCTCCCTAGTAGCTGGGATTACAGGCACCCACCACCACACCCAGCTAATTTTTTCTTTATGTTGTTACTAGAAACAGGGTTTCACTATGTTGGCCAGGCTGGTCTCAAACTCCTGACCTCAAGAGACCTGCCCAACTCGGCCTCCCAAAGTGCTGGGATTATAGGTGTAAGCCACTGTGCCTGGCCTCATTCATTATAGGTGTGAGCCACCGCGCCTGGCCTCATTCATTTTCATAAATGTTTAAGAAACTTCTACTCCGTATGAGTAAAGGTCTAATGATGCTAAAGATGCTCTCTGAGGAGCACATAAATGAATAAGATACTTTCACAACCCTGACTCAAGGGCCATATCATGGTCAGCATCGTTATTTTAAAATGCACATTTGCACATGCTACTCCACTGATGTAGGAAAGATGATAGGACCTGGCTCCTGGACCCTTTCCAGATTTATCTCCTGTCATTCCTCTTCAAGTACCTTGTATTCTAACCACACAGGATTATTTGTTGAACTCTTTCTTTATTTTGGGACTTTGCTTAGTCCCCTGTGGAAATCCTACTTATCCTTCCAGATTTCAGAGAAGTAGTGTGACTTCCATGAAACCTTCTGGATTCTCCCATGCAAAATTAATTACTCTCTTACTGGTCCTGATAGCACTTATATACCTCTATTGTATTACTATTTACTATAGTTCACAGTTTAATTTTTAACACATCTCTTTCTTCCTTTTTTTTTTTTTTTTTCCCAAGACAGAGTCTCACTCTGTCGCCCAGGCTGGAGTGCAGTGGTGCGATCTCCAGTCACTGCAAGCTCCGCCTCCTGGGTTCCGCCATTCTCCTGCCTCAGCCTCCCCAGTAGCTGGGACTATAGGCGCCTGCCACTGCGCCCGGCTAATTTTTTGTATTTTTAGTAGAGACGGGGTTTCACCATGTTAGCCAGGGTGGTCTCAATCTCCTGACCTCGTGATCCACCCGCCTCGGCCTCCCAAAGTGCTGGGATTACAAGTGTGAGCCACTGTGCCCGGCCTAACACATCTCTTTCTAAAACTAGAGTGCAGGTGCCTCTAAAGCAGGGGCATTCTTTCTTTTTTTTTCTTTTGAGATGGAGTCTCCCTCTGTTGCCCAGGCTGGAGTGCAATGGCTCGATCTCGGCACACTGCAACAACCTCCACCTCCCGGGTTCAAGTGATTCTCCCACCACAGACTCCTGAGTAGCTGGGATTACAGGTACCCACCATCATGCCTGGCTAATTTTTGTATTTTTGTAGAGACGGGGTTTCACATTGTTGGCCAAGGTGGTCTTGAACTCCTGACCTCAGCTGATCTGCCCGCTTCGGTCTCCCAAAGTGCTGAGACTACAGGCATGAGCCATCGCACCTGGCTGCTTTCTCTTCTTTAATTTCTTCCTTACATCTAGTACAGAGGCCCTCTCAGAGCAGGAACTTAATAAGTATGAAGAAATGAATATGATGCCTTTGGGAACTTCAGGCCTACTAGAATGAGCCACTCACAAAATTAGTTCATAAGTCAATCAACCGTCACTCATTTTTTAAATAAATATTTTAAGGGGAAATAGTGCACAAAGAATTTCGTTCCTTGGCAGGAGCACAATTTATATAGATTTCTAAGACATATCAGGAATAGTCTTGGATACCTAAGAAAACGAAACAAAAATTTCCAAATAACAGAGATTTCAGGAAGATAGAAGTTTGATTTTTACTCGTATAGAGGGGTTCAGATAAGGGTGTCCACAGCTGATACAGCCAAACCATGATCACCAAGGGCCCCAGCTCTTTTTATCTTGCTTTCTCACCATCCAACATAGCCATTGCATCTACATTCCAGCTAGCTGGCAGGAGGAAGAGCCAGTGTGGGGCATATGTGTTCACCCCACCCCAACACTTTCTGGAAGTTGCCCATCACACCTCCATTTCTATTCCATTGGCCGCAACTTAGTCACAGGAGCACACCTGGCTGCAAGGTATAAACTGTAAAATTCTGGGCACGGTGGCTCACTCCTGTAATCCCAGCACTTTGGGAGGCTGAGGCGGGCGGATTGCCTGAGCTCAGGAGTTCACGACGAGCCTGGGCAATAGGGTGAAACCCTGTCTCTACCGAAATACAAAAAAAAATTAGCCGGGTGTGGTGGTGGGCACCTGTAGTCCCAGCTACTCGGGAGGCTGAGGTAGGAGAGTCGTTTGAACCTGGGAGGTGGAGGTTGCAGTGAGCCAAGGTTGCGCTGCTGCACTCTAGCCTGGGTGACAGAGTGGGACTCTGTTTCAAAACAACAACAACAACAAACAAGGAAACAAACAAACAAAACTGTAAAATTCTGGAGTGGGTGGAATATCTAGAATATCAAGTACCAGAATAGTGAAAGTTCCATTTCTAAGGAAGAAGGCAGGAAATGAATTTGAGATAGACAATTAAGTTTCCGCTCTTCTCAACTTACATATTTCCTGGACCTTGTTTCCTTAGGCAGATAGAAGCTACTGTACCTGTACAATGTAGGGTACCCAGAGCCCTGTGTTTAGCTAGTTCACCAAAGCGGTAGATTTCATATGAGAACATGTGCTCTGTGTTTCGTCCTCTGGAATGAACTTGACATTTACTAAATAATAATAATTAAGAAGAAACCTTTGAAATTGACTTTGGACACTGCATTTTCCTCATTCATCTGAAATATCTCCTCCATAAAAGTCAGCTTTGTTATTCAGAAAGTACAACTTGATACATATTTTCCACTAAATGAAATGCCTGGTGCCACGTTGCCAGTGACTTGTGGGGTTTTTGTTTTTTTCGCGGGTATTAGACCCATATTTTAGTTCAAAACAATGACTGAATAAACCAGCAAACTCAGATTAGGTAGGAGTATAAATTCCCTGCCCCAGCATTGGTTTCTTATTTGTAATGGAAGAACGATACCTTCCTCCCAGAGATTTTATGAGAATTAAGTGTGTGTGTGTGTGTGTGTGTGTGTGTGTGTGTGTGTGTGTGTGGAAAACCTTTCAATTCTCGAAGTATATTACTATTACAGGACTTTGGGGGCAGTAAGCAAATATCAACCTATTTGATGTAAAAGATAAAATAGAATACAATAGCAACCATGCTGGAACTAACAGAGTGGGGGAGCTTCAAAAATAGAAGGTCCTGTTGCATACTGTTTGAATCTCAGGGCTGGACAAGCTTCACAGAGCAGGCACATTTCCAGCATGCCTGGCCACTGGGCAGAACTCCTGGGAGTTCCACACCGCTGCAAGTCCTCTCAGAGATGAGCTGCATCTGTTTCTCACCCTGAAGGGAAGAAGGGAGAAGGGGAGGCCGGCAGGGCTGGGCTGGCCAGACGCCGGCTGAGCGTCCCAGAGCTGGTCTTGGATTGTGGAAGTTGAGGCTGAGAACATTCCCACCCCAGCCAAGGTGTCAAGCCACAGTACCCAGGAGAAAGCCTCAAGCCCCAAATCAGGAAGTGTGTGAGCCTACAGTAAGTGGAGAGGGGCCAGCAATGGAGGCAAGTGAAGGGGTCGCACAGAAGAGCTGGGAGTTGAAGAGGAATGAGATCAAAGCAAAAGGAGAGGGAGAACAGGACCAGGAAAGAGAAGTAGGGGGTGGGGGGACAGGCCTGGGAATCTCCTCAAATACCTATAGGGCCTACAGAGTACAAAGGAATGACCTAACTTCAAAAGCCACGTGGCCGGCGTAGAACACATCAAAGCTGACCTGCCTTGAGACCCTCCCCTTCCCACAATTCTATTACTGTCAGCAGGATTTGCTGCTACAGTGGAACAACATGGAGTTTGATTACAGATACCACTGGTTTCCAATCTGCGTTCCCTGGACCGGCGGTATAGTTTATGTGCTGCACAAAGGTATCCCAGAGGTGGGAGCACACAGGGGAGGGGAAACCCAGTCCATATCTCGGTCACCATGCCCAGGTGTGGGGCTTCACCTGCCCAGAGGGAAGAGGAGGTTCACTCTTTGCTCAAAGGCACCTGCAGGGCTGCTCCCCTCACAAAGTCCCAACATGGAACTGTGGGAGTCCTGGCCTGCCCTTGCATGCTGCAAATCCCCAAGAACTGCAATTTAATTTCATTTCTAAAATATTTTAAACTAAATTTAAAAGTATACTCCCCAAAATGCACTTAAGGGAAGACCATCAGACCGAATTATCTTGTTTGGGGACAGAGACATCTTAGAATAAAGCTTCTTGCAATCTCTAAGCATATATCTGAACTCACTGTCAATGTGTTATTTACTTTGATCATCATCGCTCTGCACTGAACTTAATAACATTCAGGCCTTCATGTAATTGAGTAGTGACCTGGGAGTGGTCTGCACAAAGCTAGAAAAAGGAACCTATGCCCCAAGCGGTGGCTCACGCCTGTAATCCCAGCACTTTGGGAGGCCAAGGCAGGACAATTGCTCGAGCCCAGGAGCTCAAGACCAGCCTGAGCAAATGGCGAAACCCTGTCTCTACAAAAAAATACAAAAAATTAGCAGGGCGTGGTAACACATGCCTATGGTCCCAGCCACTCTGGAGGCTGAGGCAGGAGGTAAGACTCAGTGAGTCACGTTCACGCCACTGCACTCCAGCCCGGGCAACAGAGAAAGACCTATCCAAAAAAGAAAAAAAAAAGAAAAGAGAAAGAAACTCATAGGCCAAGATGGGACACTATGTCTCCGGCCCTGTGGAGATGGGAATGGAGGGGATGGGGTGGTTGCTGATGCACAACTGTCTTGTTCTCAGGAGAAGGGCATTTCTCTTATGGAGGGGAGGGCCTTGGACAGCCAACACCATTTTGGATTTAACTCATACAGTCGTATCTCCTTGCTCTGATTCCACGCTCACTGTATGGGCTTGCTAGGATTGCCATAACAAAATACCACCCACACGTGAAAAGTCTACTGAGTGGCTTAAATAACAGAAATTTTTTCTCTGGCAGTTCTGGAGGCCAGAAGTCCAAAACCAAGGTGTCAATAGGTTTGGTTCCTTCTGAGGGCGGTGAAGGAAGGACCTGTTCCAGGACTCTCTAGATAGCTGTGGATAGCTGCCTTCTCTCCGGGTCTCTTAATATCATCTTCCCTCTATGCATGCCTGACCCTGCAACCAAAATCCAAATAGAGACATCAGTTAAGGCCCACACTAATGACCTCACTTAACTTGATTACCTCTGTAAAGAACCTATCTCCATGTAAGTTCATATTCTGAGGTACTGGGGGGGTTAGCACTCTAACATACTTTTAGAGGAACACAATTCATCCCACAACACCAAGGAATCTTCTAGAGACAATTTGGCTTCCCTGAAGATTCTCCTACATGGAGAGAATCCAGGGACCAAGCAACGAGCACTTCTCATTGTCAATGAATGATTTGTGTTAGTGAAATATTACTAAAAACAAAACTTCCTGCCAACCTAGAAAACCTTTCCACAAAAGTAGAGAAGAAAGGAAACTGTCTTATTATTCAGCAAACATTAAACCAGAATGTAATACACATCACAGGCAAACTGCTAAAAAGACAGCAGAGACAGACAGAAGCCTTAACCTTTATACAGATGAGAAGATACAACCCGGTCCATGCATGTTCTCAAGACGAACAGCAACTAGTCCTCAAGTAAGAGGGCTTGACAGCACCATTTGCCACACAGAGTTCATTGTAAACTCACCTGGGAATTAGGGTGACCACTTTCTTTCTTTCCCACTCTGAGATGTATGTAAACTGCTTTAAAAGCTAAAGAAGCCTGTTGTCAGCTTTTGGCCTTGGAATGACTTTCCCAAGGAACTGGGAGCCATCATTTTAAAATGTAATCATTGTTTTGGCTGGGCACGGTGGCTCATGCCTGTAATCCCAGCACTTTGAGAGGCCAAGGTGGGTGGATCACCTGAGGTCAGGAGTTCAAGGCCAGCCTGGCCAACATGGTGAAACCCCGTCTCCACTAAAAATACAAAAATTAGCTGGGCGTGGTGGTGGGCGCCTATAATCCCAGTTACTTGGGAGGCTGAGGCAGGAGAATCGCTTGTACTGGGAGGCAGAGGTTGGCAGTGATTCGAGATCATGCCACTGCCCTTTAGCCTGGGCCACAGAGCAAGACTCTGTCTCAAGAAACAAACAAAAAAAAATGTAATCATTGAGAAAAATAGTGCCCCTATCTCCAAGTTTTTGTGGGAAAGTAGAAGCCTACATTTCTATTGGTTTTTTTTTTTTCTCTCTCTCTAATAATAGAGACAGGATCTTGCTCTGACACCCAGGCTGGAGTGCAGTGGCATGATCATAGCTCACTGCAGCCTTGAACTGCTAGGCTCAAGCGATCATCCTACCTCAGTCTCCCCAGCAGCTGGGGCTACAAGTGTGTGTCATCATGCCCAGCTAGTTTTTTCTTTCGTTTTTGATAAAGATGGAGTCTCACGATGTTGCACAGGTAGATCTCAAACTCCTGGCCTCAAGCAATCCTCCTGCCTTAGCCTCCCAAAGCACTGGCATTTCAGGCGTGAACCACCACGCCCTGCTGGCTTATTCACTTTAAATCGATTTTTAGAAGTTTTAAAACATATTATGAACACTATTCCTTTATATTTTACAAACATTATTTTCTTTGTCTTTTCTACTTCTATTTATATTGTGTTTTTTTCCTATACAAACCTTTTTGTTTTTAACAAGCTTGTTAATCTTTACTGGTTTTTGTATTTTTTGTTTGTTTGTTTCCCTTTGCTGAGACAAGTCAGTCTCTGGGTTGGGATTTTGTACTGTACGGCCACAGACAGCAGGAATGCCCAAAGCATTGGCTCCAACAACTGTGACCTGGGACGTTCACTGCCATGGCCTGTGACTGTTTGGTATCCTTTTTTTTTTTTTTTTTTTTTGATACTAAATCTTGCTCTGTTGCTCAGGCTGGAGTGCAGTGGAGCAATCTCAGCTCATTGCAACCTGCAACCTCTGCCTCCCAGGTTCAAAGGATTCTCCCGCTTCAGCCTCCCAAGTAGCTGGGACTACAGGCATGCACCATGATGCCCAGCTAATTTTTGCACTTTTAGTAGAGACGGGGTTTTGCCATGTTGGCCAGGCTGGTCTCAAACTCCGATCTCAATTGATCCACCTGCCTTGGCCTCCCAAAGTGCTGGTATTACAGGCATAAGCCACCGTGCCCACCTGACTGGCCAGTATTCTTGTAGGAAACATGCTGAGTCCCTGTGAGTCACAGAAGTAAATTCAGAGATTGAATAAAATGGCCTCCAAGTTCCTTTGAGGTTCTCAGATTTAAAGTCCTTTCTCCTAGCTAAGCCCCAGCCTAGACAGGAATATTAGTCTGGGTTTACACTAAATAAATGATATCATTATCCAAGCCTCTGCTTCTTTGAATCAATTAAGTTATGCTTTTTTCCACCTTGAACTATCTGCATTTCAAAGAAACTCACTGTCAGGTTACTGAAGCCCAATAACATTTAAAGAAAGTTTCTGGACCATACCTGATGTAATTCAGAAAAAATTCAGGCAATATCCAAAAATACAAAGGAATGAACAATAATAAAGCTTGGCAGACCACTCAATGAAATGTCATTTATTATCTTGCAATTTACCTGAAACCCAATGGCACGGGCCCTTCCTAATACTTCATTCCTCCGCTTCCCACAGTAGATCCTCAAGGTTTTCCAACCTTGCTTGTAAAAATTCATCTTTTATTCATCTTCACTGCCCATTTATAATTCTACTTTCTCTTCTTAGCTTTCCTGCATCCTCACTGTCTTCTCTAGGCCTCAGGTATACCAATGCCTTTTGTTTTCAGTATGGACTTCCTAACAATTAGGATGTGGAGGTCGGGGAGACTGGAACAGGTTACCTTGGGAAGCATTGAGCCTCCTCCCAGATTGAAAGTGTAAAATAGAGGCTGGATCGACCGGGCACAGTGGCTCACGCCTGTAATCCCAGCACTTTGGGAGGCTGAGGCAGGCAGATTATCTGAGGTCAGGAGTTCGAGACCAGCCTGGCCAACATGATGAAACCCCATCTCCACTAAAAAATACAAAAATTAGCCAGGTGTGGTGGCAGGCGCCTTAATCCCAGCTACTTTGGAGGCAGAGGCAGGAGAATTGTTTGAACCCAGGAGGCGGAGGTTGCAGTGAGCCGAGATAAAGCCATTGCACTCAAACCTGGGGGACAAGAGCGAGACTTCTCTCACAAAAAAAAAAAAAAAAAAAAAAAAAGGAGGCTGGATCCCACTCAGGAGATGGTGGGGCAGGAATTCTAATTATTACTGGAGTTTGGATTATATGATCTGGACTATTCTTTTCGAAACGAAGACATTGTCTCCAGTATGCCTTAGTGCAGGCACACACAGACTCAAAGACTCAAAACCTACTCTGTAGAGGAGAGGAATGTCTAGGTTAGAGACATTTCAGCTTAATGATATGGACCAGGCCACCTTCAGTCTCTAGTTTAATTCAGCATCAGATAGATGTGCTTGCTACATTTGAAAAGCCTAATGATTAAAAAAAAAAGAGGCTGGAAGGAAATATCTGACTTTATATGCATAGAAGAAATCTGGAAGGGCATACATCAAAATGTTTCAATGTTTCATCTCTGAGATTGGCTGCTATGACTGTGATCTGGGATGTCAGATCCAGATGGATGATTTCAATGTTTAATTTTTGTTATTCACTATGTTTCAGATTTTCTGCATGAAAACAAGAATTATGTTTACAAACTAACTAGTACCCACCCACCCCATCTCTATCTCTATCTTTTTTTTCTCTTTTGACAGGCTGGAATACCAGTGGCATCAGGACTGACTGGTGGAGGGCAAGTCAGAGATCCTGTAAGCAGCGTATAACTGGCAGAAAAAGATGCTAAGGAACACAGAGCGCTACAGACATTATGCTGACACCCAGGGCTAGACCCACAAGGAGTTGTCTGGGGACATCAGGTATGGCAGAAAGACCCAAGGGGAATCCAGGCATGGTGGCTTATACCTGTAATCCCAGCAGTTTGGGAGGCTGAGACTGAAGGATCACTTGAGCCCAGGAGTTCAAGACTAGCCTGGGCAATATGGTAAGACCCCATCCCTACAAAAAATTTTTAAAAATTTAGCCGGGCATGTTGGCACACACCTGTAGTCCCAACTACTCGGGAGGCTGAGATGGGAGGATTGCTTGAGTGCTGGAAAGTGAGGCTGCGGTGAGCCATGTTTGCACCACTACACTCCAGCCTGGGGAACAGAGAGACACTCTGTCTCAAGGAAAGAAAGAAAAAAGAAAGACTCAAGGCCCATGGAGGTCATATCAGAGAGGGAGCAGACTGGCTGTCTATCATACAACTTGGTTTTAACTCAATGAAAGGAAGAGCTCTCTCACCCTCAGAGCTTGCAGAAAACCAAATGTAGATCCCTGTAAAAAGTGATATCCTAAGGGAGCCAGGACGCGATGATCCACTGGGGTACACGAGAAGCAAATAGGTCTTTTTGTCCCTTACACACTTGAGGTGTCCCAAGGGAAGAGCAGGGGTTCCACAGTGTGGAGGGTTGACAAAGACTGCTGCACTCCTTGGCTGGCTTTCAGAGTAATTGTGATGTGTGGCAGGCTTAGTGGACCCAGTGAGGATATTGTCTTGATTTAACTAAAGTAGTTCCAACAAAATGGCTAAACGTCTAAAAACTGATGACTGCAAAACATCTAAGCACAAGACAGCAGCAAGGAAAAGGCAGAGCCGGCATGTCTCCAGCACTGAGAATTAGCTCTTTGTCAGCCACATTATGAGATAAATTCAAATCTGCTTAGAAGTTGGCTGAACACAGTTGAAGTGAACAGGAAACTATTTGAACTATGAATTTACATCTGCTATCATTAGCAATAAATCAAGCTGGAAGGGAATATTATGTCTTGAGATATTAGCCCATCATACTATGAGGCCATCATGATTAAGCATTTAGAACATTATTAATAATAGTATAATTATACTGAGGGCAAAGGGGGTGGATAATGTTAGCAAAATAAAATTTGATACCATTTCATAAGTATTATATATTTCATCTTTATCTCATCATTTCAATTCTGGGTTTTTTTGTTTGGTTTTTTGTTGTTGTTGTTGTTGTTGTTATTGTTTTGCGATAGGGTCTCACTCTGTTGCCCACGTTGGAGGGTAGTGGCATGATCTTGGCTCACTACAGTCTCCGCCTCCCGGCTTCAGGTGATTCTCCCACCTCAGCCTCCTGGGTAGTTGGAACAACAGGCACATGCCACTATGCCTGGCTAATTTTCGTATTTTGTGGTAGAGGCAGGGTTTCACCGTAATGGCCAGGCTGAAATTCTGTTTTTTGTTTTTGTTTTTGTTTTTGTTTTTTTCTTTTTTGAGATAGAGTTTCGCTCTTGTTGCCCAGGCTGGAGTGCAATGTACGATCTCAGCTCACCACAACCTCAGCCTCCTGGGTTCAAGCAGTTCTCCCACCTCAGCCTCCTGAGTAGCTGGGATTACAGGCATGCGCCACGTTGCCTGGCTAATTTTGTATTTTTAGTAGAGACGGGGTTTCTCCATGTTGGTCAGGCTGGTCTTGAACTCCTGACCTCAGGTGATCCACCCACCTCGGCCTCCCAAAGTGTTGGGATTATAGGCATGAGCCACCTCGCCCAGCAAAATTCTGTTTTTGTAAATGTTTTGATATTACTTATATAGAACTCTAGACATATATAGAAGAAGTATTCCTGCATATTAGCATGTAATAGATTACTGACAGGTGTGCCCAGTGCCACATAGGAAAGGACAGTGGATTGCCCCAGTAATTAGACATGGGATCTCACATGCATCAGTTGATAGGAGAAAAATACACAGCTTAGAAATAGGAGGCTTGGAGATAATGAGTTCCTGTCATGGGAGCTGTTCAAACATAAGCTATGATACATGCTCGTTTGATGTCATGGTAGAGGGGATTGTAGGAATCTTTGGAGACTTGGACTGGAGGACTTTTAAAGACTTTCCACCCTGAATTCTACATTTCTATGATTCTTCTGTGTTCTCAATGTACTTCGGTCAACTTATTTCATGGAATTTATCTCATTCTGCCTTTCATTGTGTTAGATTTATATATTTATTTGTCTCTTCTGGTAGATTAAGTTTTTTGAGAGAAAAGTTTCTTTTGTGTGTCTCTTTGTAACCCCAAGTTACCTGAAACCATGCTTTGCACATTGGAGGCATTCAATAAATGCTTGTTAATGTAAATAGTAAAATGTCATTATTTTTAATAAAGCAAATAGTATTGTCTGACTTCTTGGAGAATAAAATTATATATGAAATACCGGGGAAAGAGTGGAGGAAGTTGTTCACAGATTACTTTAAAGATTATTTTCGGTATTGAATGCAGATCATTTTCAGTATTGAATGTACCACCACTTATTAAAATGTTGTTTTTGTGCAAAGATGGTGGGACGGCTCCATCATAAGTAAGTTGTGGCGTCACACGAAGTTTTACTCTCCCGACAAGAATAAATCCACATGTATTTATGGAGCAGTTATCCTGTGTCTAGAGCTGTGTTGTTCACTTTGAGGATTACACAATAAACATCAATATGGCTTCTGTCTCAAAAAGCCCAGGATTCAATTCAGAGGACAACAGAGAAGAGGCATACATGAGCCAAGAATGTTGAGATACCAGGCATTACAACATCATAAACTGGTTCCAACTGAATGTTCTAGAAATCAAGGGACAAGAGGATCCCTGCAGATCAGAACAATTGAGGAAGAATGACTTTAGCATGGCAGGACTGTCAGGACGGCATCCCATGTGTGGGACCACCCCTTTCTTTGTGATCCATTCCAGACATTTGTTAGGATGCTGGGTAGAATCTGAGCCACAAGTCAGAGAGCTTCTTTGTTGTCAGAATCATCAACGATAGCCTTTCATTTGCTGCCACGATTAAGACCCTAACCCAATGTTTGTATCTATAAATGTGGCAAATTGTGGTTGGGATGATGCTGAAAATTCCTTCCAGCTATTAAAAAAATCTGCAATTATGTAAGAAAAGATAATTTCCTGAGAGAGGGACAGATCCCAGAGATCTTGGCTTGCCAGATAGGTCTGTCAATGTATTTTCTTCCTTGCCTGAGGAAGGAAACCAAGCCTGACAGCTACGTGGAAGAGAACACAGCCAGGCTGTCTTCAGGACAACTTGAGCTGCTCTGTGACCCTCGTGAGCCCCCTCTGTCCTTGCTGTGCTGTCGGTGTCTCCAGGATGGGTGGCCCTGCTGAGGCTGTCCTTGCTAACTTGGGTTTGGTAGCTGGCTCTGCAGTAGTGGCAGTGCTGCAGACACAGCGAAAATTGATTTTGTTCCATCCTTCAGTCAATTCCATCCCTGCTGCTAAACATAAGAGCTCAGTTCTTATGGCAGAGACTCTAAAATGACAGTTTCTGAAGGGAGGCTTTGCCATTAATGGATTCAAAGAGCAAGCTATCATGAGCACAGCAGAACTAGAGCAAGTAGAGCTCAGGCAAGCAAAATCATTTTTCTATTTGTTAATATCAGGGATGAGAATGGTTACATAGAAAACCAACTATCAGAGCCACTTGTGTTTTGTTTCTTGTTCTTCCATTTAACAAGTACTAATTGGGCAGTACTTATTTGTTTATGTAACTGTTCATTGGCTCATTAATTCAACAAACTTATTGCTGCTCCAACACATCAGGCACTGTGCTACATGTTTGCAATGTAGAGACCAATAACATTCTGTCCTGCCCTCTTGGAGACACCAGTTTATGGGAAAGGCAGGAGAGAACAATGCACTGTGACAAGTGAATGTCAAGGGAATACAGGGAATGGGTGGTGGCAGCTCAAGGTTTGTAATCAGGGAAGAATCCCAGGCTGAAGCCTTTGTTAAACCTGGAAAGTCTGAAGGTGAAATAGAATAAGAGAATTGAGGCAAAAGGACCAGCTTAGACAGACACAGAGACAAATATAGTGAGTTCTCATATGAAATTCATTCATTTAGCAAACTTGTATTGTGCATCTATTATGTGCCAGACACTGTTCAAGGTACTGGGGATACATCACTGAATCCAACAAACAAAGATTCCTGCCTTCATGGAGCTGATATTCTAGCAGAGCAGACAAATAAGAAATAATAAACATAATAAGTGAAGAATGCAGCATGCTAGGTGTGAAGTGTCTGAAGAAAGGGAATAAAGAAAAAATAGAGCAGGGTGTGGGGTGGGGAATGCCCAGGATAGGATCAGGCCTCTAAAGGGCAGGATGCAAGGGTCAGGGAGAGCACTCAGCGTTGCCGCTATCCTTAACCTTCCAAGTCCTCCTCCCCAGTCCTTCTTCCAACTTGTGCCTGAGCCATCTTGCTGAAATGGATTATGTCCCTCCTCTGATTCGAATCATTCCGTGGTTGTCCTCTGGTTTCAGGCTCAGCTCTAAGCCCCTGAGCATGGCTCGCGTGATCTAACCTCTGCCAACCTCAAGCTTCTCTTCTGGGTTTGGAGACACATGTTGACTTCCTCCCCACCATCTATTTCTTTCTTTCTGTTTTTTTTTTTTTTTTTTTTTGAGACAGAGTTTCACTCTTATTGCCCAGGTTGGAGTGCAATGGTGCAATCTCAGCTCACTGCAACCTCCACCTCCTGGGTTCAAGTGATTCTCCTGCCTTAGCCTCCCGAGTAGCTGGGATTACAGGCGTTAGCCACCACTCCCAGCTAATTTTTAGTAGAGTTGGGGTTTCATCATGTTGGTCAGGCTGGTCTGGAACTCCTGACCTCAGGTGATCCGCCTGCCTTGGCCTCCTTAAGTGCTGGGATTATAGGCATGGGCCACCACGCCCGGCCCCCACCATCTATTTCTCCCTCCATGCTTCCCCTTGGGATCCAGTGGTTCTAGGGAAGTTGGAGGCACCCCCAGCACCAAGCAGAGGCCAATCCACAGCCTCCACACCTGGCCAGGGTAACTAGTTGAAACGGGCTTCAGAGCTAAAGTGATCTAGTTCGGCTTGTTCCAGGAATGCTGGGGATGCAGGGCATTTCTCCTGTTCTAGACAATGTGGTATGCAGAGGTGAGACCTGGAGCTGGGGCAGACACTTCAGCTCTTGTGGGGATAATCAGCTTGCCGGTAAATTGGAAGATGGAGGGGAGAAGCAAGAGACTGGGGAAGCAGAGCCCCAGACCCGTGACACATGCGCGTTCCAGGACACAGGGCTCTCAGAGCAGCCACAGCGTCCCACAGCAGTGGCTGCAAAGCCAAACCTTCGTGTCCCACCCCAGCCCTCCTGAGTCAGAAGCATGGGGTGGGGTCCAGCCAGCTGTGTTTTCACAAGCTTTGCCTGCTCCTTAAAGTTTGATAACCACAGATCTAGAGCAATTGTCTCAGCCAATAAATTCACTTTATAGTTTAAGCCCGTTTGAGTCAGTTTTTCTATACTTGTGTCACTTGCCCTTTGAACCAGTGGACTCAGGTGCTGTAAAGACAAATGGGACTTCACTTGTGTCCCTCATGTCCTTGTAAACCTGCTCAGTGCGGGCCGTCCTCTTGCCACAGGGTGAAAATTTGGGCAGGCTGCATCACTTTTCCACCCTTTCTTTTTCTTTCTTTCTTTTTTTAAAATTATTTATTGTGGTGAAGTACATGTAACATAAAATCTATCATCTTAAACATCTTTAAGTGTATAGTTCCTTTGCACTAAATATATTCACATTCTCATGAAACCATCACCATCATCCATAAGCAGAAATTTTTCATCACCCCTAATTTAAACCGTGTTCCCATTAAACACTATTTCCTTCTCTCCCCACCCCTGGAAACCACCATTCTACTTTCTGTCTCTGTGAATTTGACTACTTCAGGTACCTCATATAAGTACCTACAATAGGTACTTACAGGAAGCATGCAACATTCCATACAACATTCCAAGTACCTCATATAAGTACCTACTCTAGGTACTTATAGGAAACATATTTTACCTTTGTGAGTGGCTTCTTTAGCAGCATAATCTGTTCAAGGTTCATCCATGGTGCAGCATGTGGTAGAATTGCCTTTCTTTTTTAAGGCTGAGTAATATTCCACTGTGCGTACATTCCACAGTTTGTTTATGCATGCAGGCGTCAGTGATCACTTAGGTTGCTTCCATATTTTGACTATTGTGAATAATGCTGCCATGAACGTGGATATTCAAGTACCTGTTCGAGTCCCTGCTTTCCCTTCAGGGAAATTCTTATCACAGATTCACTTCCCCAGTTCGCTCTCACTCTCTTCTCTCTCCCCTTGGAGTGAGAGGTGTCCTGAAATTGGTTCTGGATACTTGGAATATTTTCTCTTGCATCTCAAAGCCTCAGTTGGAACAAGCAACTCAGTATCCTGTTATACAACTGAAAACCCATGAACTGTTGCTAATGTGATCGCTCTGCAAGTCTGAGTCATAGCCTTACCCTCAAAGAGGAAAGAAACTCACATGTAGAGGCTGCCAAGTACTCTGGAAAGGGCTTTACATGTTTTTATCTCATTATACTGTGTAACGACCTTGTCAAATAAGAATTCTTATCTTCTTTTACAGATGAGGAAACAGCTTCAAGAAGGCAAGTAGTGTGAGTTCCCATAGCCAGAAAATAGAATCAAAACACAGGTCTGGGACGGGCACGGCGGCTCATGCCTATAATCCCAGCACTTTGGGAGGCCAAGGTGGGTGGATCTCCTGAGGTCAGGAGTTCAAGACCAGCCTGGCCAATATGGTGAAAATACATCTCTACTAAAAATACAAAAATTAGCTGGGCGTGGTGGCGGGCGCCTGTAATCTCAGCTACTCAGGAGGCTGAGGCAGAAGAATCACTTGAACCCAGGAGGTAGGGGTTGCAGTGAGCTGAGATCACGCCATTGCCTCCAGCCTGGGTGACAAGAGTGAAACTCTGTCTCAAAAAAAAAAAAAAAAAACAACAACAACAAAACCACAGGGTTTTGTTTTTGAGACAGGGTCTCGCTCTATTGCCCAGGCTGGAGTACAGTGGCACAATCATGGTTCACTGCAGCCTCAAACTCCTGCCCTCAAGAGATCCTCTCACCTCAGCTTTTCTAGTAGCTGGGATTACAGGCACAAGCCACTATGCCTGGCTAATTTTTGTATTTTTTGTAGAGACTGGGTCTCACTATATTGTCCAGGCTGGTCTCAAATTCCTGGGCTCTAGCGATCCTTCCATCTCGGCCTCTCAAAGTGCTGGGATAACAGATGTGAAGCCATTGCACCCTGCCTATTATACTCTAGTATCATGTCTAACTGGAGAGACAAAACTGTGAACAAATAAAGTGTGGAGGACTGACCACATGTTAACTCTTAGAAGAGAGAATACCAGGGTGGAATACACTGCTTTGAGAGTAGCCTGTGGTGAAGGTTGAACTTGATCAGAACCTTGGAGAATGAGTAACATTTAGATAAACAGAAGGTAGAAGGAGAACATTCCTGGGGTGAGGGGTACACTAAGGCAAAGTTAGGGAGGACAGCACTTGAGAGACGCACACTGGACCTTCCTAAGTAGTAGGTGCCTGTCAGAGAGCAGTAAGCAATAAGGTTAGATCAGAAGGTTCTACTCACATTTGAACCAAACTGGAAATCCAAGCTTTTTGAAAGCAACATGGCATAACACATACAGTATGGGGTTAGACTTGGACTTGGAACTCTGTCCTGTCCATGTGGAATCTTGGGCAAGTCATTTAAACACTCCGATGCTCTGTTTGCTTCCCTGTGAACTAGGGATCATCATAGCTACTCCGTGTGGCTTTTGTAAAAATCCGTGATGGTGTGTGTATAAAGTGTCTGTCCCAGGCCTGGTACAGAATGCTCAGACGTGGTAGAGGTTGTTGCTGTCATCACTTGCCATCACTGTTATTGTTATCCTCAGCAGTGCATTCGTTGGTAGAGAAGCACTGGGAGTTCCTAAAAGCAGGAGAGGCTGACTAGGAAAACTTGTCTAGCGACAAAATGTAGTCCGGATGGCTTAAGGGTAATGTGGGAGGCAAAGGAGACTAGGAAGAAGTTCTTAGGTTATTGGGACACAAAACCACAAGGGGCTGAGGCAGGGTGGGAGGAACTGGAATGAAGAGGGAGAGATGGCGGAGCTCGCTGGGGCTTGGAAGTAAAGTGTTAAGCAGAGGAAAAAGTCCAAAACAACGCCAAGCTTTCTAGTAAGAATGATGAGGAAGAGGATGGTGTCTACTGGTGTCAGACACTAAAAATAAGGAGGGAGAGCTGATTGTCTGGGAAGTACAGAGGCCCCAGGGAAGCTGTTGGGCTCAATTCTGGGCATGTTGAATTTGGTAGGATGATAAGACATTAAAATAAAATAAAACCCACTTTGTTTTATACATGGGGTGAGTTGGAATTGACCCAGAGTATATGGGGAAAAATCAGAGTGCTCGAGAGAACATAGCAAGAGTGGATTGGGGAGTGAACTGGCAACAACACTCTTCATATAAAAAGTTCTCATTGCCTGAATTTAGTGGCAGAAAGACCGTGCACTTGTTTGACTAAGAAGGAAGCCACAGAGCCCCTGGCACCACGAGACCTGAGTGGCTGTCCTTTCTTACCTAGTCCTTGGATAGTACTGCACCAGGCAGAGTGGCTCATGGTCCATGCTATGGCTGAAGGAGGGAAGCCCATGTTTATGGAAAGTTGCATGTCTTCACTGCTGGGGAACTCCGATCTTTTGTCTATATATACCTCATGTGTCAGTTAATATAATGCAAAGTTAATACAACAGCACTGATCCTCGTGTGGCGATGCTGGCATTCAATATATATTCTATTGGAAATTTCCTGAACATTTCTAGGTTGCTAGGATACTATTCAAGACCACTGCAGTATATATTACTTGAAAGAGTTAATGTCGGTCACCCAGTACTTTTAACTGTGACCCATTGCTTTAGAAAATTAAAATGGAATTAATTTGGTTTAACAATCACATGATTTTATCCTTCTTAGCTTTTTAGAAAAAAAAAAGCTTATTTCAGCAAAAATTACCTAATGCAAGAGCTGTTCTGTGAGTGAAGATTTTCTTTTGATTTCAAATCGTGTCTATTTCTATGTAAATCACAGTGTTGATAATTTCTCCAAAGAGCCAGAACATCAGAATGTGGTCCATTTATTATTTAAATGAAATGGCATGCATCATTAGTTGAATCCTTGAGATAGGTTCCATCTTATTGCTATTCTGAGTTCAAGCAGATTGTAAATGAAAGTCTAAATTTTATACAAGCAATGCAATATCTCTAAAAGTGCCTTCCGGGTAGGAAGGGGGTGAAAGGAGGGAATTTCATTCTTGCTTTTGTTTTGGGGCTACACAGATGTCCAGTGTCAACTTGAGCATTTATTTGTGTGTACAGACAGCAAACACAAACCTGAAATTTTCAAACCTCTAGCTTTTCTTTTTGGCACATGTTGCATTATCATAAGCTGCTAGACCAGGTAAATAGAATACCAACCATACAGAAGGATGTTTTGATTTTTATTTAGAGAATTTGAATAATACAATTTAAGATTTACTGAGGATGCCCCTTCTATGTACTCCCATTTTACCCTAACGATCTCCGGCATAGAAACACTGGGGTGTGTTTATTTAACTCTTCTTCCATGAGATTGTTGGTTCTATGAGAGGAGACCACATCTGTCTTGCTCACCATCAGATCCCCAGTACAGTTCTTGTGTCAAATTGTAATATGCATGCAATACAGATGTGAATATCTAAATCCATGAATGATGGCAATTAAGCTGTTTCATTTAACTAGTTGCATGGAATGCTAAGGTATCTTTCTTGATTATGTCAATACAATATTTTACATGGCCTATTAGAATCATAGAAGTGGCTGGGCGTGGGGGCTCATGCCTGTAATCCCAGCACTTTGGGAGGCCGAGGTGGGCAGATCACTTGAGGTCAGGAGTTCGAGACCATCCTGGCCAACATGGTGAAACCCTGTCTCTACTGAAAATACAAAAATTAGCTGGGCATGGTGGCATGCAGCTGTAGTCCCAGCTACTCGGGAGGCTGAGGCACAAGAATCACTTGCACCTGGGAGGCAGAAGTTACAGTGGGCCGAGATTGCACCACTACACTCCAGCCTGGACAACAGAATGAGACTCCATCTCAAAAAAAAAAAAAAAAAAAAGAATGACAGAAGCTTACAGCTATATAGGCCTTATAAGGGATTTAGTGCAGTGGTTTTCAACTTCAGATGCATATATATATATATATTTTTTGAGATGGCTGCAGTGCGGTAGCATGACCTCAGCTCACTGCAACCTCTGCCTCCCTGGTTCAAGCAATTCTTCTGCCTCAGCCTCCCAAGTGGCTGGGACTACAGGCGTGTGCCACCACACCTGGCTAATTTTGTATTTTTAGTAGAGATGGGGTTTCACCATATTGGCCAGGCTGGTCTCGAATTCCTGACCTCAAGTGATCCACTTGCCTGGGCCTCCCAAATTGCTGGGATTAAAGGCGTGAGCCACTGTGCCTGGCCCACTTACTTATTTTTATTCATTTTTAGAGTATATATTTGTTGCGTACAATATGTTGTTTTGAAATATGTATACATTGTAGAATGGCTAAATCGAGCTAATTAACATATGCATTACTTCACGTACTTTTTTGTGGTGAGAACACTTAAAATCTACTCTCTTAGCAATTTTCAAGAATGCACTCTTCTTACCTATAATGACCATGTTGTACAGTAGATCTTTTGAATTTATTCCTCCTATCTAACTGAAATTTCGTACTGTTCGACCAATATCTCAGCCCCGCTCTCAACCCCTAGGACCCACCATTTTTTTCCTGCTTTTATGAGCTCAACATTTTTAGGTTCCACATATAAGTGAGATTATGTGGTATTTGTTTTTCTGTGCCTAGTTTATTTCACTTAACACAATATTCCCCAATTCCATCCATCTTGTTGACATAATTTCCTTCTTTTTTCAGGCTGGATATTATTCCATTATGTATATATGCAGTCGACCCTTCATATCTGTGAGTTCTGCATCTGTGGATTCAACCAACTATGAATTGAAATATTCAATTCATATTCAAAAATGAATAGTTGCATCTGTATAGAACACGTACAGACTTTTAGTCATTGTTTCCTAAATAAGACAATATAATAACCACTTACAGAACATTTACTTGTATTAGGAGTTCTAAGTAATCTAGAGATGATGTAAAGTGTGCAGGAGGATGTGTATAGGTTATATGCAAATACCACACCATTTTATGTAAGGGACTTGAGCATCTACGGATTTTAGTATCTGAGGAAGGTCCTATGGATACTAGGGGATGACTGTACCACATTTTCTTTATCCATTCATTTATTCATGGACACTTAGGTTGATTCCACATCTTGGATATTGTGATTAATGCTGCAGTGAACATGGGAGTTCAGATATCTCTTCAATATACTGATTTCATTTCCTTTGTATATACACCCAGTAGTGGGATTGCTGGATCCTATGATAGTTCTATTTTTAGTTATTTGAAGGACCTCCATACTGCTTCCCGTAATAGCTATACAAAGTCACATTCCCACCAACAGTGTGCAAAGGTTCCCTTTTCTCCACTCTCCAATAGTTGTTATCATTTGTCTTTTTGATAAGAGTCATTCTAACAGGTGTGAGGTGATATCTCTTTGTGGTTTTAATTAGCATTTCTTTGATGACTAGTAATTTTGAGCATTTTTTCATAAACCTATTGGCCATTCATTGTATGTCTTCTTTTGAGAAATGTCTATTCAGATCCTTTTTCCCATTTAAAAAATCAGGTTATTTGTTTTTTCCTGTTGAGTTGTTTGAGTTTCCTATAGTTTGGCTCTGCCAAGTCATATGTTGAAATTTGATCTCCATTGTTGGAGGTGGGGCCTGGTGGGAGGTGTTTGGGTCATGAGGGGTCTCTCATGAATGGCTGGATGCCATTCTCAAGTGACTGAGTTCTCACTCTTAGTTCCCAAGAGAACTGGTTGTTGAAAACAGCCTGGCACCTCCTCCTCCCTCTCTCTTGTTTTCTCTCTCTCTCACTATGTGATCTCTGCACACACAGGCTCGCCTTCCCCTCTGCCATGATTGTAAGCTTCCTGAGCCCTCAGATGCAGATGCCAATGCCATGCTTCTGGTACAGCCTGCAGAACCATGAGCCAAATAAACCTCTTTCCTTTGTAAATTATCCAGCCTCAGGTATTCCTTTATAGCAACACAGAGAGATTAAGACAGCATTCCTTATATTTTGGTTTTTGTTTGTTTGTTTGTTTTGAGACAGAGGCTCGCTCTGTTGCCCAGGCTGGAGTGTAGTGGCATGATCTTGGCTCACGGCAACCTCTGCCTCCTGGGTTCAAGTGATTCTCCTGCCTCAGCCTCCTGAGTAGCTGGGATTACAGGCATGCACCACCACATCTGGCTAATTTTTGTATTTTTAGTAGAGACGGGGTTTCACTATGTTGGCCAGGTTGTTCTCACACACAATAAATTGTCCCAACACAATTTATTGAAGAGATTTTCCATTCCCCATTGTGTGTTCTTGGCACCTTTGTGGAAGATCGATTGACTATAAACACGTGGATTTATTAATATTTCTGGACTGTCTATTCTGTTTCATTGGACTCTGTGTCTATTTTTGTGCCAGTACCATGCTGCATTGATTACTATAGCTTTGTACTGTATTTTATTTTAAAATATATTTTACTGCTCCTTGTGAAGCAGGACTACCCCATAGGCAGCATGCCCAGAATAGCAGCCTGTGGTGTATTTTAAAGTCAGATAGTATGATTCCTCTATCTTTGTTCTTTTTGCTCAAGATTGCTTTGGCTATTTGGGGTCTTTTGTGGCTTTATATAAATTCTAGGATTTTTTTTCTATTTTTTGTGAACAAATGTCATTGGTATTTTGATAGAAATTGCATTGAATCTGTAGATCACTTTGGACAGTATAGACATTTTAAAAATATTAATTCTTCCTTTCCATAAACTTGGGATATCTTTCC
Source organism: Homo sapiens (assembly GCF_000001405.40). Lineage (NCBI taxonomy): Eukaryota > Metazoa > Chordata > Mammalia > Primates > Hominidae > Homo > Homo sapiens. The sequence goes on along the minus strand of NC_000008.11, from coordinate 93,851,160 downwards.
ATTTATTTGTGTCTTCCTCGATTTCTTTCATCAATGTTTTATAATTTTCAGCGTATAAGTCTTTTGCCCCCTTGGTTAAATTTATTCCTGTTTAAATTTTTTGGTAGCTATTGTAAATAGGATTTTAAAAAAATTTTAAAATTTTACCATAAAGTTTAATTATGGTTCAGAAAAAAATGAACAAATAACTTTCTCTGAAAAAATATATTGACACTGTATAGATCACAGTTATTAGTGGGGAGGGGCTGGTAGGTTTAATTACCCTGTTTTCTTTTTCTTTTTTTTTTTTTTTTTGAGACAGAGTCTTGCTCTGTCGCCCAGGCTAGAGTGCAGTGGCGCAATCTCAGCTCACTGCAACCTCTGCCTCCGAAGTTCAAGCAGTTCTCCTGCCTCAGCCTCCTGAGTAGCTGGGATTACAGGCCCATGCCACCACGCCCGGCTAATTTTTGTATTTTTAGTAGAGATGGGGTTTCACCATGTTGGTCAGGTTGGTCTTGAATTCCTGACCTTTGGATCCACCTGCCTTGGCCTCCCAAAGTGCTGGGATTACAGGCGTGAGCAACTATGCCTGGTTTCTTTCTTTTTTTTTTTTTTTTTTGAGACGGAGTCTCGCTCTGTTGCCCAGGCTGGAGTGCAGTGGCACAATTTTGGCTCACTGCAACCTCTACCTCCTGGGTTCAAGCGATTCTTCTGCCTCAGCCTCCCAAGTAGCTGGGATTACAGGTGTGCACCACCATGCTGGCTAATTTTTGTATTTTTAGTAGAGACCAGGTTTCACCATGTTGGTCAGGCTGGTCTTGAACTCCTGACCTCGTGATGCACCTGCCTTGGCTTCCCAGAGTGCTGGGATTATAGCCATGAGCCACCGTGCCTGGCCAATTACCCTATTTTCTATTCTGAAAATGATATTAATAGAAAGTCCCATTTCCAGTCTGAGTATAAAGATACAGGTGCCCCAAATGGCTGAGAATAAATACAACAGGAAATGCAAAAGCTGTAAAGCTAAGGGCATGCAAGAGAAAAATCTCAGAAATACCCCAAGTGGCAACAAGGAATGTTTGGCTGGAACTTGAAGTTCTTTCAGTCATCTTCGTCTTTTGCTCCATGTTTTAGGATGCATGTGAACTCAATATAATTGAAATTTCCCTTTTTGTCAATAGGATCTTCTCTATACAGCTCATCCACTTCCTCATCCATGAACCCATCCCCCCATGGTTGTCAGCAGCTCTCACAGGTAATCTTCCTGAATGGTGCCAGTTGCTTCTTCATCAAAGCAAGCAAAAGCATGTCTGATGACATCTTCAGGATCTGTGCCATTTAACTTCTCACCAAACATGGTGAGGAACACGGTGAAACTGATTGGGCCTGGAGCCTCATTCATCATGGCATCCAGATACCAATCAGTTGGACTCTTCCCGGATGAAGCAAGCATATCCTGCAAATCTTCCTTGTCGATGAAACCATCTCTGTTCTGATCAATCATGTTGAAGGCCTCTTTGAACTCCTGAATCTGTGACTGATCAAACACAGCAAACATATTGGATGTCGTGTGCTGAGGGCACTTCTTGGTGGTCTTGGTGTTTGCTCTTTTGCTTGACATGGTGGTTAAATCCCAGCACAGCTACGAGAATCCAAGCACGTCAGCGAGCCCCTCGCTGCCGCTATCTGTAAATAGGATTTTTAAAAATTTCTTTTTCAGATACTGCATTGTACTACATAGAAACTCTACTGATTTTTGTATTTTGAATTTCTATCCTGTAATTTTACTGAATTTGTTTATTAATTCTAACATTTTTCTGGTGAAGGACTTAGGGTTTTCTATATATAAGATCATGTTGTCTGCAGAGACAACTTAAGTTCTTCTGTTCTAATTTGGATGCCTTTTATTTTTTCTCTCACCTAACTGTTCTGGCTAGGACTTCCAGTACTATGTTGGACAGAAATGGTGAGAAATCGAGTATCCTTTTCTTGTTCCTCCACTGAGTGTGATGTTAGCTGTGAGTTTGTCACATATGGCCTTTATTGTATCGGGGTACATTCTTTCTATATCTAATTTGTTGAGAGTTTATATTATGAAAGAATGTTGAATTTTGTCCAATGTTTTTTCTTCATCTATTGTGATAATCATATGATTTTTGTCCTTAATTCTTTAAATATGACGTATCACATTTGCTGATTTGTGTATGTTGAACCATTCCTGCATCCCTGGGATAAATCCCATTTGATTATAGTGAATGATTCTTACGATGTACTGTTGAGCTCGGTTTGCTAGTATTTTGTTGAGGATTTTTGCATCTATGTTTATCAGGAACATTGGCCTATAATTTTCTTTCCTGATAGTGTCCTTGTCTGGCTTTGGTATCAGGGTAATGCTGGCCTTGCAAAATGAGTTTGAAGTATTCCCTCTTCTTCAATTTTTTTGAAAGAGTTTGAGAAACATTAAGTATTAGTTCTTCAAATGTTCTTCTTTATATGAAATTGAGTTTGCTTTTTGAAGAGATTAACAAAATTGACAAACCTTTAACTAGACTAAGAAAAAAAGAGAAAGACTCTCTCTTTAAAGAAGACTTTCTCTAAATAAATGAAAGAGGGGATATTACAACTGATACCATAGAAATACCGAGGATCATAAGAGATTACTCTGAACAAATTATATGACAACAATTGGATAAGCTAGAAGAAATGGATAAATTCCTCAACACATATAACCTACCAAGACTGAATCATGAAGAAATAAAACATATGGCCAGGCGCAGTGGCTCATGCCTATAATCCCAGCATTTTGGGAGGCCGAGGTGAGTGGATCACTAGAGGTTAGGAGTTCAAGACCAGCCTGACCAACACGTTGAAAGCCCATCTCATCTAAAAATACAAAATTAGCTGGTGTGGTGAAGCATGCCTGTAATCCCAGCTACTCAGGAGACTGAGGCGGGAGAATTGCTTGAACGTGGGAGGCGGAGGTTGCAGTGAGCTGAGATCCCGCCACTGCACTCTAGCCTGGGCAACAAGAGTGAAACTCCGTCTCAAAAAAAAAAAAAAAACAAGAGAGAGGTGAGAGAGAATATATGAACAAATCAATAACCAGTAAAGAGATTGAAACGGTAATAAAAAAAGTCTCTCATCAAATGAAAGTCCAGGATCTGATAGCTTCATTGTTGAGTTCTATAAATCACTTACTCTTACCATTTGATATTTTCCTTTAAAGTGACTCCCTTTTAAGCATTATAACTATTTTATAAGAAAACTGTGTATCATTTGATAACTGGGCAATCTGTTTCACCTGCTATACATAGATGAAAAATAAAAATAAAAGTAAGGAGAATAAAATGTAATTAAGTTCGAGGTAGATAAAATTGTCTGCTGATGATGCTCAGCCTGAAACTTGTCTCATTAAAAAGAGCTTGGAAAAATGTCATTAAGTTGAAACTTTCTCCTTGACAAAAGGATTCAAAGAGAATTGAAACAGGGTGACTTTTCTGTTATATGTGAGTCATATAATAAATTCTGGAATAATTAATTCTGTTATTAATGAATACATTCTGCATTCACATAGCACCTATAATTACCTCGGGAACCATGGTGTTCTACTTAACATACTCCATAAAATACCATGCTGCAGGCACAATTGGAGAACTGCTTGTTTTATGGATATTTTTGCAATGGCTGTCTAATCAGAATGATTATAGATCAAAATACATTAAGGATAGAATTCTGGCATTAAAAAATCTGTATAAAATGGGGAAGAAAAGAAAAAGACAACTTTCTTTTGATATGCCCCCAAAAGGAAACATCTACCAAGACCTTCTTTTACTGAGTTTAAAGCTCTTTACAAATTACTAAGTAGTCAAGTCTGATGCTGATTACAAACCAATACACATTGTTTCAGTGCTCTCTTCAAGCAGAAGAAGCAAAAACACTGAGTGCAATTAAAAAGGTGACAAGAAAGAGATGGAAGACAAATCATGAAGAGGCACGAAACTGATGTGTGCTTCCTCAAGCATTACTCTATAATGAGAAAACATTTGCTGGAACAAGCCTTATACTCTCCACAAAATGCAGACTTGGCACTCATTCCATTTCTTTTTTGGAGGCTGAAAATGTCTTTGTCTACTGGTGCTGTTTAAAAGTTGTCTAATCAACATCATCATAATGCTCTGTCCCTCCTGCGAAAGCCAGCTGGGATCTCTGTTTCTATCAGGGAGCAAGTTTTAATACAGCCACTTTCCTTTCAACATATTGGCTGGGAAATCTCCCCTGCTGGGAAGTAAAAAGCTTTAATTTTGTGAATCATCAAAGCTTTTTCTTATACATGGTGTAGAATAACCTTTCCTTTTCAGAAAGTCTAATCCAATAGCCTCCCAGACCTCAGGATGTCACCAAATGGCATGTGCGTGCAAGAAGAACAAAGGAGGAAGCCATTCAAAGCCCAGCTGCATATTGCATAACACCTTGAATTAGAAAATCCACGACCCACAAAACGCTTACCTACTTTGTGCGGTTTAAATAAAGCAGAGTGCTACTCCTCTTTAAAGAACTGCTTTACAGTTATCTTCCTGTCAGAATTCCAATTATTCTATGACTCAGTGGGTAAGTGTTTAGCTTTTTGAAAACTTTTTTTGGGGTAAGAATGTGAACAAGTTTTTATAAGTTTGTAAAGGAAAAGTTTATATAATAATGCTCAGCTGCATCAAATACAAATATATTTTATTTCATTATTTGAAATAAAATATTTTCTTAATGTTTTAAGAATTGGATTTTATCTATAAAATTGATGAACATTTTCTTTGGTACATCTGAAAAACATAGTAATTCCCTCCTATCTAGGAATTAACTGATATTTGTGACAGGGTTGGGAGTATTCAATATGCACCTCTCTCAGACCTTGGGACTAAGGTTTCCATATAAGAAGAATCCCAGGCTGAAAATTTTTATGTACCAGGGATTCATTTTTCCTAATTTTTACAAAACCTGTGCACGGGCACTTTTTGTTTCATCTGTACCAAAGACTAGCTGCTGCTCACTTTCTCCACTTCCATTTAGCTCTGGGGACACAGCTAGATACTTCTCAACTCCCCTTGCAGATAAGCATGGCTCTGTGGCTCATTCTGGCCGAGGGAACTTACACAGAAGTGATGCGCCCACCTTCAGCCTGGCCCATAGAAACCTCTCCCTTGCCAGTCTTCTCGTCCACAATCTACTCGCTGAGTGGCAAAGGATCCAGGCAAAGAAGTAGAGGCTCTAAAAGGGTACCCAAGTCACAAAATGAACCATCACATGCCAATCATAAATATCCACAACGTTGAACTTTGAGTGAGAGATAAATTTTTATTGTGTTAGATCACTGATATGTTAGAGTGCTATTGTTTTTGTTTTTAAAGTAGCTCTTAATATGATCACCCGATGTCCTTGCTTCTTTCTTTTGGCCTCCCTCTGCTCTTTTTTCTTGCTCCTATTATCTTTCCTTATCATATGATTAGGTGTTTCTGATTTAATACCTTAGTGGATTTAGGATTAAACCCTCAACGGTGTTGAAATAATAAGCAGACTCAATTGATTTAATTCGGAGAAAAGGTTTCACCAATTCGACTTCTTAAAAAGCTTACAAGTTAAATATTTGAGATAACTTTTATTAAACAACTGCTTGAGTGGATGAGCATTTATCTAGTTTAGAGATCACATAAGAATCATGGTAATTGGGACAAACGTGGTGATCTCAGCATGAATGACCCAGCAGATGTGTACAAGACAAGCCTCTGCTGATAAGAAGGAAAACTAATGTGCATGAACTTTGAAGGAGAGACTTGGAAACTCAGCCAACTGTCTTTATTTGAATGGCTCTGCAGCTTCTGGTGGGCACATATAGACATTGAAATACAGGGTCAGACATCCGTAAGAGCAGGCCAGGATGAGTGTTAGTACCGCGAATAACTGGGTGAAGTTTCCAAAATCATTAAAGTTTCAAAAAAGCTCTTCACAAACAATCTAAAACTAAAATTCCAGTCTGATTTTGCATGAGCTGCTTTCTTTCAGACTCCATTTAGTGGTTAACTCACCCTCTTCTGTTCTTCATGTAGGTGGTTCTCAAACTGGGCTCAGTTAAACCTGTTCAGAGGCTGTCTCAAGAAGTGGGCTCCAGGCAATTCACTCTGGATTTAACCAGAAAAGCTTCATTTTGAGCTGTTTTGCAAACTGGGTTTTAGCATAAGCATTTATTTTGTGTGTGAGTGGAAAGGTTCCTTGGCTTTAAAGAGCTACAAACCATTGCTTCATGTCTTACCTGGACATCACATCCACTGTCAGAGGTTTAGTCTCACAAATGCCCAGTGATGTCCAAATCTGAATCTATGGCACATTTCTTTTCTGAGCACCCCCCTCATAGTCCCACTCACATTTCACATCTCCGCTTACTGGATGTCTCATAGACACCTCGTCACAATATTCCTGAAATAGAACGTATTATCCTACCTACTCTTCTTCCTTAATTAATGACATCACCATTCACCCGATTACTCAACATAAAACTCTGAATCATTCTGACCCCCTTTCCTCTCTCTCTCTCTATATCCAATCTGTCATTAGGTTCTGTTTTGTAAAGCGTCCTAAATATCCTTTAAATGTGTCCTTTCTCTCCGCCCTCACTGTCACTGCCTTGGCGTAGGCCCTTGTCATCATCCTTCATCTGGATCATTAAAATAGTCTCCAGATGGCTCTCATATCACTCTGCTTCGTGGCTGCCCTGAGGGTTTATATAAAATACAGTAGAACGCATAACAGTTAACATTTACGTTTAGCTTTGTAGTCAACCGATGCTTTCATGTACATTGTCGTATTTAAGTCTCACAACATTTCAAAAGACATTGTTATTATTCTTAATTCAGAACAGGAAAATGATGCCTAAGAAAATTGAACAAGGAGTCTCACCAAGTCATAGGACTGTGATTTGAACTCAGATCCAAAGACTCTAAAGTTTACTCTGATGACATTAAGCTATACCTCCAAACAGGCATCACCATGCCTAAAAGAGAAAGTGCAGAACTTGTAGTCTGAGAAAGCCTCTTTATAGTCATGCCCCACAGAGCATATTTAGTAGTTAATAATAGAGCTGTGGAGTTAGAACTCACATTATAGTGTGAAACCTTAGAGAAATTATGTAAACTCTCTAATCTGCAAAGTTTCTTAGTTTCTTAATCTGTGAAGTGCAGCTAATAATAGAGTTTATCCTACAAGGTTGTTGTGGGGCTTAAATAAGGTCGTGAGTGTGAAGCCCTTCACACTTGGCCTGTCCCGGAGAAAGTGCTCAATGAATGTTGGTTGTTGGTACCGATTTACCAGCCTCATCCTGCACCATTTCCTTTCTGTCTTCCACCCTTCAAACAGACCAGACCATATTCTCTGCTACTTCTTCTTTGAAGCCTCAAAAATTCAGGTTGATGACTCCCCGACCACTTTATACCACCCCTACAGTTAGATACTTGGTTGGTGAGTATAGCCTTTAAGTCAGCAGTGGATTGTTTCCTGGGGTTGGTCAATAGGGCCTTGAGAAAGTCCCCCACACAACAGAATGTTCTTCCCACAAACTCTCGCTGGCCTCCTGCTTTAGGCTTCCCATTTCCTTGCTCTGCCTCTCCCCCATCCCCTGCCATTTCTGACTTCAGATGTGTCCCCTAGGCTTGCCCTGGCTCCACTTTCCAGCCAGCTGCCTGGCCCCAGCGTCGTGGCAGCTATCTGACCTCAGCTCCACACCAGTGCTGTGCTTCTGGGCAAGGCTTTGGCATCTTGGTCCTACTGTCTCTGGCATCTGACCTCAGTCTGTCCTGTTTCTAGCTTTCCTGGAGCTGACAACTCCCAGAGACCAATCAACAATGGTTCAGATGGGACGATAATAGCTCTTATCACACTGTTTCGTGTTATTTCTTTGTCTTTCTCGTCCATTAGGCTAAACCCTTCCAGGACAGAAAGACCTTGTCTTTGATCTTAGTAGATCCTTCATAGCATCAGGTTTAGAATAAGTGAGTGCTTGTTGATTGAATAGACTATTCTTTCTCCACATAGAGGCATCTGATAGCACAATCTTCTGAAACTGCTGTTGTACAACCACATTCAGATTAATGGGAGGTACATACAACTGTGGTCATATGTGAAGTTTTTTTCCCCACCAGAATAATATAAAAAAAACACCCCTAAAATAGTCTTAAAAAATTATTTTCCTGCCAGGCGCAGAGGCTCACACCTGTAATCCTAGCACTTTGGGAGGCCAAGGCAGGCGGATCACCTGAGGTCAGGAGTTCAAGATCAGCCTGGCTAACATGGTGAAACCCCGTCTCTACTGAACATACAAAATTAGCTGGGCATGGTGGCGCATGCCTGTAATCCCAGCTACTCAGGAGGCTGAGGCAGAAGAATTGCTTGAACCTGGGAGGTGGAGGTTGCAGTGAGCCACAATCGCGCCACCACACTCCCACCTGGGAAATGGAGTGAGACTCTGTCTCCAAAAAAAAAAAAAAAAAAAAAAATTTCCATTATATGCTGACAAGTTTCTACAAATTCGACTATGTCATCAATTGTCCTCATTAATTTAGTTTCATTCTATACATTTTCTTTGTTAACCCTTTGCTTTTCATCAAGCACTTTGTTGATATTAATCTCTTACTTCTGTACATAGAGTCCTTGAAAGGAGTTTTATCTTTGTGTTTTCTTGCTGCACCTTGTTGAGTAACTTTTTCCAAGTACAGTACATGCTACATAATATTGTTTAAATTGAAATATACAGAAATTTTTGCAGCTACAAAATAACCTCATTTTGTGTTTGATTAAACTATCACAGCTTTCATTAAGATACATTTTTGTTTAACCACTAGACCTTTTATTTATTTATTTATTTATTTATTTATTTATTTATTTATTGAGATGGAGTCTCACTCTGTCACCAGGCTGGAGTGCAGTGGCATAATCTCGGCTCACTGTGACTTCTGCCTGCTGGGTTCAAGCGATTCTCTTGCCTCAGCCTCCTGAGTAGCTGGGATTACAGGCATGCACCACCACGCCCAGCAAATTTTTGTATTTTTAGTAGAGACAGGGTTTCACCATGTTGGCCAGGATGGTCTTGATCTCTTGACCTCATAATCTGCCCGCCTTGGCCTCCCAAAGTTCTGGGATTACAGGCATGTGCCACCACGCCCGACCTATTTTTATTTTTATTTTTTATTTTATTATTATTTTTCTGAGACAGAGTTTCGCTCTTTTTGCCCATGCTGGAGTGCAATGGCACGATCTTGGCTCACCGCAATCTCCGCCTGTCAGGTTCAAGCAATTCTCCTGCCTCAGCCTCCCGAGTAGCTAGGATTACAAGCATGCACCACCACGCCTGGCTAATTTTGCATTTTTTAGTAGAGACAGGGTTTCTCCACGTTGGCCAGGCTGGTCTCGAACTCCCGACCTCAGGTGATCCGCCTGCCTTAGCTTCCCAAAGTGCTGAGATTACAGGCGTGAGCTACCGCGCCCAGCCTTATCTTTTTAAATCTGTAAAACAGTAAGGTTGCTTAGATGAGCACTTTCTTTTCAACTCCACCGCCTGTAGTGTGTGGTTGTGAGATGTGACTAAAAACTCTGCTGTCTTCTTGTCTCAGGTGATCTTAGAATTAATAGAGGAAATTTTAAAATTCTATTGGTTTACTAAAAAGAAAAATGTACTTTGAAATTATTAGTTTTTAAAAGAAATAAGCTTTAGAAAAATGCAAATTCATGCAACAACAAGATACCACTTTTTAATCTATTACCTAAAAACATATGGGTTAGGGAAATGCACATTAATGAAAAGAGATACCACAAATTGCCTACCAAAAATATGATTATCCCTGGTGTTGGGAGGCATTATTGTACACCACTGGTGGGAATGTAACTTGGTGCAATTTTCATGGAAGACAATTTGACAGTATGTATGCACCAGACTTAAAAATGCATATAACAGCTGGGTGCGGTGGGTCATGCCTATAATTCCAGCACTTTGGGAGGCTGAGGTGGGCAGATCACTTGAGGTCAGGAGTCTGAGACAAGCCTGGCCAATATGGTGAAACCCTGTCTCTACTAAAAATACAAAAATTAGCCAGAAATCGCTTGAACCCAGGAGACGGAGGTTGTAGTGAATCAAGATCGTGCCATTGCACTCCAGCCTGGGTAACAGAGTGAAAGTCCGTCTCAAAAAAAAAAAGAAAAAAGTATATAACCACCCATCTGACAATGGGTTAATAACCAGAATATACAAGGAGCTCAAACAACCCTAAAGGAAAAAAATCTAATAATCTGATCAAAATATGGACAAAATATTTGAATAGACATTTCTCAAAAGAAGACATACAAATGGCAAACAGGCATATGAAAAGCTGCTCAAGTCTGGGCACATGCCTGTAATCCCAGCACTTTGGGAGGCCAAGGTGGGTGGATCACCTGAGGTCGGGAGTTTGAGACCAGCCTGACCAACATGGAGAAACCCTGTCTCTACTAAAAATACAAAAAAATTTAACTGGGCTTGGTAGCACATGCCTGTAATCCCAGCTACTCGGGAGGCTGAGACAGGAGAATCATTTGAACACAGGAGGCGGAGGTTGCAGTGAGCTGGGATCATGCCATTGCACTCCAGCCTGAGCAACAAGAGCAAAATTCCATCTCACAAATAAAATAAATAAATAAATAGAAAAGCTGCTCAATATCATTGACCATTAGAGAAATGCAAATCAAAACTACAATGAGATGTCATCATTGATAGCAATGAGATATCAGCTAAAATGGCTTTTATCCAAAAGATAGGCAGTAAGAAATGCTGGTGAGGATGTGGAGAAAAGGGATCCCTGTACGCTCTTAGTGGAAGTGTAAATTTGTACAACTACTATGAAGAACAACTTGGAAGTTCCTCAAAAAACTAAAAGTTGAGCTACCATTATGATCCAGCAATCCTACTGCTGGGTATATACTCAAAAGAAAGAATATCAGTATATTGGTGAGATATCTGCACTTCTATGTTGCAGCACTGTTTACAATAGCTAAGATTTGGAAGCAAACTAAGTGTCCACTGACAGATGAATGGATAAAGAAAATGTGGTACATATACACAATGGAGTACTATTCAGCCATAAAAAAGAATGAGACCCAGTCATTTGCAACAACATGGATGTAACTGAAGATCATTATGTTAAATGAAATAAGCCAGGCACAGAAAGGCAAACATCACATGTTCTCACTTATTTGTGGGATCTAAAAATCAGAACAATTAAACTCCTGGACTAGAGAGTAGCAGGATTGTTACCAGAGGCTGGGAAGGGGAGTGGGGGCTGGAAGGGAGTTGGGGATGGTTAATAGGTACAAATAAATAGTTAGAAAGAATGAATAAGACCTACTATTAGATAGCGCAGTAGGGTGACTGTCGTCAATAATAGCTTAATTGTACATTTTAAAATAACTTAGAGTATAATTGGGTTGTTTGTAACTCAAGGGATAAATGCTTGGGGGATGGATACCCCATTCTCCACGATGTGCTTATTTCACATTGCATGCCTGTGTCAAAACATCTCATGTACTCCATAAACATATACACCTACTGTGTACACACAAAATTTAAAAAATAAAAAGTAAAATTGTTCTCATTAAAACAAAATAAATAAATAAAAATGCATATAACCTTTAAGCCAGAACTTACTCTTTTAGAATGTTCTCCTAAAACCATCATTGAAAATAGATGCAAAGCTTTAGCTAAATGGTGGTTCGCAGCATTTTAATTAGAAAAGAAAAGCTCTTTGAATGCTTGCAAACTGAATGAAGTACCATTTCCCAAACAAGCAAGGACAGATATTTGAGCCTACTGCTCTGTAAAAATTGTGTGGCTGGACACACAATAGAGAAGAAACATGTAATCACTCCTCTCTGAGGCTGAACCATTGGCGGGAGGGAGGTAAAGGCCACTTTTCTTTATCCCTTCCCCAGCTCCATTTCAGGACAAACCAGAGGAAACTGAGCATCTTGCAAGCTGAGCAGTAAAAAGCTAGAAGGTAGAAAAGGAAGAAAGGAGGCCAGGTCAAACCTACTCCCAGACCCCATCTGAAGGGGCAGGTTCCAGAACACCAAGAAGACTGGGGGCAAGGAAAGCTCTCTTGTGTCACCTTGTAATCCCCATGTGTGTATAAATCAAATAGAAAGGCTCCCTTCTGCTCATAGGCTGTACTGATGGTTAGGATTTATTTTAAAGTTTATGACAGAAAATAATTTAAAGGTCCAACAATGGAAGATGGATAGAAAAAAATGCTTATAGAAGATTTTACTAACATGAAATTATATTTACAATATATAGATGAGTGAAAAAAGCAGGTTACAAAAAATGTATGCAAAGTTATCTCATTTCTGTAAAAAACAATACATACACACATATATATGTACAGCCACAAACAGAAAAAAATATGGAATGGTGATATGGTTTCAATCTGTGTCACTACCCAAATCTTATGTAGAACTGTAATCCCCAGTGTGGGAAGTGAGGCCTGGTGGGAGGTGATTGGATCATGGGGGTGATTTCTCATGAATCATTTAGCACCATCCTCTTGGTGCTGTGCTCGTGACAGTGAGTGAGTTCTCATGAGATCTGGTTGTTTTTAAAAGAGTGTAGCACCTTTCTTCTTCCCTCCTGCTCCTACTCTGGCCACCTGCTTCCTCTTTCCCTTCCACTGTGATTGTAAGTTTCCTGAAGCCTCCCTGCTTTCTGTACAGCCTGCAGAACCATGAGCCAATTAAACCTCTTTTCTTTATAAATTACCCAGTCTCAGGTATTTATTTATAGCAGTGTGAGAACAGACTAATACTAATAGTATACTTTGAGGTGTTAACAGAACTCTAGGTACTGGGGCTAGATTCAGTAGCTAATAAGACAGACAAGACCCCTACTCATGGTGCTTTTATTCTCATAGGGAAATAGATAACATAAACAATAAGCTAATAAATAAATATATAATATATGATACATATTGTTGTCAGTTCTGGGGATACAACTTTGTGAACACACTAGGCAGTTATGGTCCCTGTCCTAACAAGTTTTCTTGTCTGCTATGAATAGGGAAGTGAGGAGGCTGTGGGGACCTAGAAAAGGGACACCTGACCTGGTCATGAGGGATCCGGGAAGGCTTCCCGAGGAGGGAAGTCCAGGCTAACAGCCAAAAGATGAGTAAGGAGTAAGGCAGTTGCAATAAGAGAGAGCTTTCCAGAGAGAGACCAGGGTAGGTTTTCAGACCTCAAGGAGAGAGGGAAGGAAGGAGGGCAGACAGACACACGGACTGGCTGAATGACCAACTGCTTTATTACAGGAATTCATTCTGGTATCTGTGGCACTTAGGGTTTGAGCATGGATGGAGCAATGAGGAGTAAAGAAGCCCGGGAAGTAGGTCATGAAGCCATGTTAAAGAGGGCTTGGCCTTGACCTTGAGTGATCTCTCAAAGGTCATTACGAGTAGTTCAAGGGCTCAGTAAATGAACTTAGCCCTAGTGTGTACTTCTTTAGGAAGGAACCATTTTTTAAATAATAGTATCTTTAAAACCCATTTGTGAAGAATATTTAATTACAGGGAGATATACTTATGCTGTGGTGCTTAAAGAGCAGGCTACAAAACAATGTGTATAGTATACATGGTAACCCCCTTATGGAAAAAAGTATAAATATGTTATATGTTATTTATAATGCAAAGAAAATGTCTTAGGGAAATATGCTAAAACCAAATGTAATCTGTGGTTACCTCTAATGATGGAATTACAGGTAGTTTTTGTTTTCTTTGGTTTTCCGTGGTTTTCAAAATTTCTACAATGAAATGAATATATACTCTTTTTATAATCAGAAAAAAATACTTAAGTGTGCTTTAGGGACAGAGAGCAGTGCCCTAAGGGTTATACATCACCAAGTGTCCTTGCCTATAGGCAGTTATTCAGGGGATAAAAATAGGCTCAACACTGAAGTCTGTCCAGGCATGGTAGCACATGCCCGTAGTCCCAGCTACTTTGGAGGCTGAGGTGGGAGGATCGCTTGATCCTGGGAGGTCAAGGCTGCAGTGAGCTGTGATTGTACCACTGCACTCAATCCTGGGCATGGGCAACAGAGCGAGACCCTATTTCAAACAAACCAAAACAAATAACAAAAAACACTGAAGTCTGGATGGGACTCCAGGACTCAACATTTTTTACTTGCATGAGATTTTACTCACATTTTTCTGGAACAGTTTGAATTGTAGTGTGAACTGCACTAAAGGAAGCGCTATTTTTTGACAGCATGACATAAATTTCTCTATTGGCAGATAGGTTTCACCAGTACAATCAATATGTATGCACATATTTTTGCATGCCTAAGCATGTCATTTGTATATGCTTTAAACTTTTAAGTCCTGTTTCTAAGAATTCTGTGCCACATTCGTCGTACTTGACAAGCCAGGTGAACCACCTAAATTAGATCATTTCTCCATTAAACTATTCTCAGCCTGGCTATGGCTGTCCTGAGGAGACTTTAGCGCTAGCTCTCCACTGAGGGGCTTGCCAGTGACCTTGGACCTACCACAAAACTGCTTTGGGCTCCAATTTTCTGAATCACAAATGAGCGAGGTAAGCTACGATTGCTAAGGTTGCCTAAATTCTATGATTTCGGGACTTATTTCCCATCGTAAAACTTGACAACATCCTAAAAACAGAGTGAAGACCCAACCCTCTTTGAATACTAATAATTTTCATTTCATTTGTTGACTAAAGAAAAAGCATCAGGCATTTTTTTTTTTTTTTTTTTAGATGGAGTCTCGCTCCGTTGCCAGGCTGGAGTGCAGTGGCATGATCTCGGCTCACTGCAACCTCCAACTCCAGGGTTCAAGCAATTCTTCTGCCTCAGCCTCCTGAGTAGCTGGGACTACAGGCGCGTGCCACCACGCCCGGCTAATTTTTACATTTTTAGTGGAGATGGGGTTTCACCGTGTTGCCCAGGCCGGTCTCGAACTCCTGAGCTCAGGCAATCTGCCCGTCTCAGCCTATCAAAGTGCCGGGATTACAGGCATGAGCCACTGTGCTCAGCCAACCATCACGCTTTTAAAGAATTAAGGCTAGCTTTATTTAGAAGTCTTCCTGAGGACTATGGACCAAGGTCTAGAGCCTGGGAGCAGTCTCGGCTCTGGTACAGTTTTTCATCTCACTGCTTATATACAGGTGATGGGGGTTCAGTACATGCAAAATCACATCAAACTTCCTCAGAAGTTACATTAAAGCAGAATCACATCAAGGTTTGGGTGTAAGAGTACATCTGGTTAAAAATTACAGAGGCATAATCACTAACCCCATCTGACATTATCTTATGTGTAGGACAAGGCAAGGACCAGGTCATTTATCTTTTAAGCAGTATAGTGACTCAGGCAAGAGATGTGGGGGGCCTATGTGCTCTCTCCTGTTTTGTCTTCAAAGCATCTTTCCAGAGAGCTGCCTGTCCCACAGAGTCAGTGACTTTTTGAAATTGTGGTGCCAGGAAGAAATGAAGAAATACGGCTTCTTATGTTTGCTACTTTGTCCCACATATTTTACAAGTTTTACAGAAATTGATCAAGTGCTATTTTATTATATTTAATTTTATTAATTTTTTATTTATTTATTTTTTGAGACAGAGTTTTGCTCTATCGCCCGGGCTGGAGTGCAGTGGCGCCATCTTGGCTCACTGCAACCTCTGCCTCCCAGGTTCAAGCAATTCTCCTGCCTCAGCCTCCCAAGTAGCTGGGATTACAGGCGCATGCCACCACACCCAGCTTAATTTTTGTACTTTTAGTTGAGACAAGGTTTCAGCACATTGCCAGGCTGGTCTCAAACTCCCGACCTCCCTCTCCCTCTCCCTCTCCCCCTACCTCTACCTCTCCCGTCTCCCTCTTTCTACGGTCTCCCTCTCCCTCGTCTCCCTCTTTCTAAGGTCTCCCTCTCTTGCGGAGCCTGGACTGTACCGCCATGATCTTGGCTCGCTGCAACCTCCCTGCAGTGGGCGATTCTCCTGCCTCAGCCTGCCCAGTGCCTGGGATTCCAGGCACGCGCCGCCACTTCTGACTGGTTTTTGTATTTTTGATGGAGACAGTGTTTCGCCATGTTGACCGGGCTGGTCTCCAGCTCCTGGCCTCGGGTGATCTGCCCGCCTCGGCCTCCCGAGGTGCTGGGATTGCAGAGGGAGTCTCGCTCACTCAATGCTCAATGTTGCCCAGGCTGGAGTGCAGTGGCGTGATCTCGGCTCGCTACAACCTCCACCTCCCAGCCGCCTGCTGTGGCCTCCCAAAGTGCTAAGATTACAGCCTCTGCCCGCCCGCCACCCCGTCTAGGAAGTGAGCAGCGTCTCTGCCTGGCCGCCCATCCTCTGGGATGTGAGGAGCGCCTCTGCCCGGCCGCCCCGTCTGGGAGGAAGTGAGGAGCGCCTCTGCCCGGCTGCCCCGAATGGGAAGTGAGGAGCACCTCTGCCTGGCCACCCCCTCTGGGAAGTGAGGAGCGCCTCTGCCCAGCTGCCCCATCTGGGAGGAAGTGAGGAGTGCCTCTGCCCAGTTGCCCCGAATGGGAAGTGAGGAGCGCCTCTGCCCGGCTGCCCAGTCTGGGAAGTGAGGAGTGCCTCTGCCCGGACACCCCATCTGGGAGGTGAGGAGCGCCTCTGCCCGGCTGCCACCCCATCTGGGAGGTGAGGGGCGTCTCTGCCTGGCTGCCACCCCATCTGGGAAGTGAGGAGTGCCTCTGTCCGGCTGCCACCCCATCTGGGAGGTGAGGGGCGTCTCTGCCCAGCCGCCCCGCCTGGGAAGTGGGCGCCTCTGTCCGGCCGCCCCGTCTGGGAGGTGAGGGGCGTCTCTGCCTGGCTGCCCCGTCTGGGAGGTGAGGGGTGCCTCTGCCCAGCTACCAGCCTGGGAAGTGAGGAGCGCCTCTGCCCAGCTGCCCTTTGTCTGGGAGGTGGGCAGCACCTCTGCCTGGCCGCCCCATCTGGGAAGTGGGCACCTCTGCCTGGCCGCCCTGTCTGGGAGGTGAGGGGCGTCTCTGCCCGGCCGCCCCATCTGGGAGGTAAGGAGTGCCTCTGCCCGGCCGCCCCGTCTGGGAAGTGGGCGCCTCTGCCCAGCCACCCCGTCTGGGAGGTGAGGGGCGTCCCTGCCCAGCCGCCCCGCCTGGGAAGTGAGGAGTGCCTCTGCCCAGCCACCCTTCATCTGGGAGGTGGGGAGCGCCTCTGCCCGGCCGCCCCGTCTGGGAGGTGAGGGGCGTCTCTGCCTGGCCGCCCCGTCTGGGAGGTGAGGGGCGCCTCTGCCCGGCCACCCCACCTGGGAAGTGAGGAGCGCCTCTGCCCAGCCGCCCTTCATCTGGGAGGTGGGGAGTGCCTCTGCCCGGCCGCCCCATTGGGGAAGTGGGCGCCTCTGCCCAGCCACCCCGTCTGGGAGGTGAGAGGTGTCTCTGCCTGGCTGCCCCGTCTGGGATGTGGGGAGCGCCTCTGCCCGGCCGCCCCGTCTGGGAGGTGGGGAGTGCCTCTGCCCGGCCGCCCATCGTCTGGGAGGTGAGGAGCGCCTCTGCCCGGCTGCCCCGTCTGGGATGTGGGGAGCACCTCTGCCCGGCCGCCCCTTGTGGGATGTGAGGCGCACCTCTGCCCGGCCGCCCCATCTGGGAAGTGGGGGGCACCTCTGCCTGGCCGCTCTTCGTCTGGGAGGTGGGGAGCGCCTCTGCCCGGCTGCTCTTCGTCTGGGAGGTGGGGAGCGCCTCTGCCCGGCTGCCCATCGTCTGGGATGTGAGGAGCGCCTCTGCCCGGCCGCCAACCCATCTGGGAAGTGAGGAGCGCCTCTGCCCAGCCGCCCCATCTGGGAAGTGAGGAGCGCCTCTGCCCGGCTGCCCTGTCTGGGAAGTGAGGAGCGCCTCTGCCAGGCCGCCCCATCTGGGAAGTGTACCCAACAGCTCCTAAGAGACAGCGACCATCGAGAACGGGCCATGATGACGATGGCGGTTTTGTTGAAAAGAAAAGGGGGAAATGTGGGGAAAAGAAAGAGAGATCAGATTGTTACTGTGTCTGTGTAGAAAGAAGTAGACATAGGAGACTCCATTTTGTTCTGTACTAAGAAAAATTCTTCTGCCTTGGGATGCTGTTAATCTATAACCTTACCCCCAACCCCCTGCTCTCTGAAACATGTGCTGTGTCAACTCAGGGTTAAATGGATTAAGGGCGGTGCAAGATGTGCTTTGTTAAACAGATGCTTGAAGACAGCATGCTCGTTAAGAGTCATCATCACTCCCTAATCTCAAGTACCCAGGGACACAAACAGGGCCAAAGGCCGCAGGGACCTCTGCCTAGGAAAACCAGAGACCTTTGTTCTCGTGTTTATCTGCTGACCTTCTCTCCACTATTATCCTATGACCCTGCCACATCCCCCTCTCTGAGAAACACCCAAGAATGATCAATAAATGCTAAAAAAATAATAATAATTAAAAAATAAATAAAAAAAATAAAAAGAAAACTCCCGACCTCAAGTGATCCGCCTGCCTTGGCCTCCCAAAATGCTGGGATTACAGGTGTAAGCCACCCTGCCCGGCCCAATTGCTATTCTAAAAAGAAATGTCTGAAGTTGCTTTCACATTCTGGAAGGTGGAAGAAACAAGTCTGCTCTTTTGCTTGAAAAATACCTAGAGGGGTCTTTTGATTATAGAAGGTGATCTCTCCAAGGCATATTCTGGAAAGAGGAGGTTCTGGCAGATAAGGAAATTGTTCTGTAGGTAAAGTAGAGAGATGGTGGAGTTGCAATGCTAAAATAAGGGGTGGTTGTATCAATGGAAGTGGCTTAAGCTCTTTCCTGTAGCCTCCATGGGTACCCCTACCCAATCCAAGTAGCATACAATCTAAGTAAAAACAGTGTGCTTCAAAGCAAAGCAGACTTTGAGATAAGACCTCTAGCCCCAGTTTCCAATCAGGCTGTTCTCACTGAGCTCCTCCTTCTGTATAGAGAGTTTTTGAGTCACTGCTGGTGAAGGAGAAAGGTACAGGAACCCTGGGGACTCCAAGAAGATGATACAGAGGAATGAGGGTAGAGAGGAAAGTTGGCCCTAGGAGCACAGCAGCAGGCCAGGGCCTAAAAGGAAAGACAGTAATGTAAATTTCCTGTGCTGGAGAGTTGGCTGAAGGACTTGGAGGATGGCAAGACCTGATGTCCAGCTTGAAGTTGTTTTCCAAGCAGTGCCCCTCTCCATTACTCCCGACTTTCAGCAAAGGTTAAAACTTGCAGTTGTCTAATGTTAATGGTGCTTTGGAAAATGAAGGAAAGGTGAAGTGGTAGAAGAACAATAGCTGCAGGGCAAGAGAAACAGGAATTCAGCAGAACCATTCAGAGGGGGAGGTGACTTGACGAACAGAAGCCACCATGCCTTCTGCACATTCAGCTCCTCTGCTGTGACGTCCACCACACACACAGGCACACAAGCACAAACACACACACACACATGCACACACACACAAGCACATGCATGCACTCATGCACACCTTCCCAGGAATCCTCAGAAACCTGGAAGGAGGCAGGGCTTTTCATAATATTTGGGTTGGGGACTAGATACTCACCAGTTCACTTGGATATTACATGACAGGGTATTCTCAAAAGGTTGGAAGATTGGCGAATGGCTTTCACTTGAATGTAAATGACAGAAAAAAATAGTCCTGTTATATTAGTAATATTAAACCATCGTCAGCTGTTATTTTTCTTTAAAAGAGAGTCAAAATGTCCATTGTAATAGAAATCTTTTGCCCAATTGTTGGCAAAATTTTCAACAAGTTCCATGTCTGTTTTAATCTCTTGCTTCATCAGCTGAGCTAAATGCAAACCTTGTACTCACATGTGCTTGTTAACCTGGCCATTCTTTCATTCTCCAGGCCCCCTGTCTTCCCTGGGCCTTTTCTAAGATAACTTTCACTTAAAGGGGCTCAAAGAAAGGCCTGGTCCACTCACATGGGTTGTCTCCTCTTACTTGTCATAGTGATTTTAAAACTGGAAATGATTTTAGTGCTGGGTGCTTTCTATGCTCCCCATGTGGCGTGTGTGAAAGTGGGAGCACCGAACATGTGAGTGTAACAGGAGTGAATATACCAGATGTGCTGTGGGTCTCAAGGACCTGGCTTCATCCAGATTTACTGTTAGTGTCCGTGATCATCACAAGCTGAGGAAGGTCCAGACCCTCACTGTACTATCACTTCTAAAATCAAAGTACGAGATCATGAAATGATTCTGCGAAGGCAGAACTTTCTTTGATTATTCATGGAAATACGTGGGCAAATGCTTTTGTGCATGATGATTATAACAAGAATTCCTACCAGGGAGAGCTTTGCCTGTGTTAGGAAAATACCATCTTGTCTGAGGTAAAAGCTGAGTCTACAGAAGCTGGGCTTGGCTTGTTATATTACAAGAAGCTCCTGGGTGAACCCAGAGGGAGGGTCTAAGTGTGGATAAAATAACACTCAGTGTGCTTTTTCCTATTCTCTTACAACAATCAACACACAAGATTTCTGTGATCAAATGTGTGGGAGTTTCTCCCCACCACCAAACAAGCAATCAGTTCTGCAGCGGACACCAACCTGGTACCCCAATTCAATTCTGACACTATCTATCTGGAGACAGTGTCAGATCCCACGGGTTGAGGGCTCAGTCCCCAAGATCACCCCCGCTCCCAGATACCAGTCACATGTCAGGGCCTCCAGAAGTTCTGACAGACTGGCTTCAATTTGGGGTTGCTACAACCACTCTTTGGGTTGGGTTAATTTGCTAGAGTAGCTCACAGAACTCAGGGAAACACATTGACCAGTTTGTTATAAAGGATATTACAAAGGATACAGATGGAGAGATGTGTAGGGTGAGGCATGGGGGGAAGGGTGCAGGGCTTCCACAGGCACTCCACCCTCCAGGAATCTCATGTGCTCAGCCATTTGGAAGCTCCCCAAATGCTGTCCTCTTGGGCCTTTTATGGAGATGTCCTCGGATAGGCATGATTGACAACCATGTAGAAATGTGTTTGGACAAAGGGATATGATCTAATGCTAATAGACTGAGTGGGGAGACCCAGCAAGGCTTGTCTGTCCAGGTTCTCCTTGGCTTCTTGGTGCAGTTTTCCTTCCTCCAGGTTATAGGGCAGGACCCCTTCTGAAATGGGGGTCTTATGGCCTACAATCAGACAAGGTAGCTCAGGGAATTTATGGTCAGCTCCAAGACGGAAAAGTAGGGGAAGATTCCTGTCTTGGGGAAAGAAAGAAGGGTGGGGGAAGGTCAGAGAAAGATTCTATTTTCTGAGGCCTGATTCTGAGGCCTAAAATGCCCCCCAGGATTATAACAAAAGACTGTAACAAGGGCTGTGGGAGTTATGAGCCAGGAACTGGCTCATCCACCATATATTAAAAATACCACGGAGAGAAGGGGAGAGAAAAAGAGAGAGAAAGAAAGGGAAAGAGGAGATGTTGTGCTGTTCCATAATGGGGCCTCCCGAATTCTCAGAAAGTTAAAAAAAAGTCACAGAACGCTTGGTGAAACTGCATTTCTTGTGGGAACCACAGAGGATCTGAGGAGCCAACCAGCTCTAAGCCTATGTGATCGCAGGGAGAAGAGGCCCCTGGCTGCATTTGAGGGATATGGCCATGCTTAGAGGTAGTTAGAGGAGTAGATCCAGTGAGCAGGAGTGGAGGTGCTGTAGCAAGTGTTAGTGCTTGGGAAGTGAACACGGCTGATTAGTGAAAAGATACACACACACACACACACACACACACACAGAGAGAGAGAGAGAGAGAGAGCACTCATAAAGGAAATCTCCTGATTTTGAGGAAAGACTTGAGTGAGAGAGTTCAAGAAAGTAGTTTATTCTGTCCATTCGGGACATACGGTGACAAATCCTTACAGGAAGAAGAAAACTATGCCTATTTCTGCCCTTGAATGGAGTGCAGGCATTCCTGGAAAGTGCGACCGACAGGTGTACTACCGCAAAGAAGAGCCTATTTTCCTCCTAGGGCAATGATGATAACAGAGTGGCATCCTGACCAACAACTCAGCATCACATAAGCCATAAATAGAACCAACCGCATGTCATAAAAGCAAAGGTAAGTATTAACTTATATAGTTACCTCAAATTGTAAAATTATTTCATAATGTCTATAAAATAGGCATAAATGTAATATACACATAATGTTACAAGAAACTCCAATATGCTATAAAATGAATAGCCATTAAAACAACTAGTGTTAACATAAATATAACATGAAATATGTTATAATAAAAATGAACTAAACACTTGACTAACAATAGTCTTGTTTGCCTTCTTAGCAGTTAAATATAGTTTTATGGCACAACATATAGGTATAACTCTTAAAAGGGCTATTCAAGAAAGTGAGTTAATACTTTTTTTTTTTTTTTTTTGAGACAGTCTTACTCTGTCACCCAGGCTGGAATGCTGTGGTGTGATCTCAGCTCACTGCAACCTCTGCCTCCCAGGTTCAAGCGATTCTCCTGCCTCAGCCCCACCCCCCGAGTAGCTGGGATTACAGGCATGTGCCACCATGCCCAGCTATTTTCTGTATTTTTATTAGCGATGGGGTTTTGCCATGTTGGTCAGCCTGGTCTTGAACTTTTGACCTCAAGCAATCCACCCACCTTGGCCTCCCAAAGTGTTGGGATTACAGGTGTGAGCCACTGCCCCTGGCTTCTTTTCTCTTGGTAAGTGTTCCTGAATTAAGTAGTGCTGCTTGAAGTCAATTAATCAAGAGTTCCTTAAGACACATTGTAAATACTTACTACTTGCTTGTTGTTCTTGTTGTTGTTGGGGGTGATGATGATGATGGTGGTGATGGTGGTGGTGTCTTCTCTGAAAACACTGAATGCATATGGCTACATGTTCTTTTAAGAGGTAGGACCTTCCAGAGGGTGTCAAGTGAAATAAGTTCATACTATGGCACCTGACATGGAACAACTGGGGAGCGGTGGTTTGGAGGTACTTTATGAGTCAGGATTGCATTAAGCTGCATGGAATAGAGACTTGTCTGTAAATAGGGCTTTGTCCTTCCCAATAACAAGAAGTGGATGCAGCCTGGGGCTGGCACAGCTGCTCAAGATAGTGGTCAAAGACCCAGCTTCTCTACCTGCCTGCTGTGCATCCTCACGCTCCTGCATCTCCAGGCATCATGAACACATTCCAGGCAGGAAGACAGAAGGGCAAAAAGTGTGTACCAGTATGTTTATTCCTTTTTATGAGGAAATCAATAGCCTTCTCAGATGCCCCATCAGCAGACTTCTGCTTGCCTCTCATTGGCCACCATGAAACAGGGTTTCTTAGCCACAAGGGAAACTTAGCAGATTCCATCCCAAATGAAACCAGTGTTCCATAGTAAAAAAAAAAAAGAAGGGAAGCCAGGCACGGTGGCTCATGCCTGTAATCCCAACACTCTGGGAGCTGAGGCAGGAAGATTGCTTGAGCACAGGGGTTCAAGACCAGCCTGGGCCACACAGTGGGATCCTCATCTCTACAAAAAATACAATAATTAGGCAGCCAAAAAATTAGGCAAAAAATACAAAAAAAAAAAAAAGAAAAAATACAAAAATTAGGCAGGCATGGTGGCACATGCCTGTAGTCCCAGCTATTCAGGAGGCTGAGGCAGGAGGATCGCTTGCCACCCTCCCAGGCTGAGCCTGGTAGGCTGCAGCTGCAGCGAGCTATGATTGCACCACTGCACTCCAGCCTGGATGACAGAATGAGACTCTGTGTCTTTTTTAGAAAATAAAATAAAATAAAATGAAGAAGGGGAGAATGGATATTCCACAGGCAACTATCAGTATCCTCCTACAGGTTGATTTATTTTGAGGTAATAATTCAGAGCTTTGCTGCAGCATAATTCATACTATGGGTCATGTTCAAATGGCAAGGTCATAACAATTTTTTCGTATATGTTGTCTCAGTTTAAACTGATGTACTTTTTATAAATTCTGCCATGCTCACCTTCTCAAGATTATCTGCCATTTAAAAATATATAAAACTGGCCAGGTGGGGTGGCTCACGTCTGTAATCCCAGCACTCTGGAAGGCTGAGGTGGGCAGATCACCTGAGGTCAGGAGTTTGAGACCAGCCTGGCCAACATGGTGAAACCTTGTCTCTACTAAAAATACAAAAAATTAGCTGGGCGTGGTGGCACGTGCCTGTAATCTCAGCTACTTGGGAGGCTGACGAAGGAGAATTGCTTGAGCCTGGGAGGCAGAGGTTGCGGTGAGCCGAGATTGCACCATTGCACTCCAGCTTGGGCGACAAAAGCGAGACTCTATCTCAAAAAATAATAATAAATAAATAAACATAAAAATATATAAAACTAAATTTTAGGATAAATGACATGTCCAAGAACAAGTGGGCTCTAATTAACATTAATCATCTTCATCCAGCATTTACTTGTAGAAGGTTATCAATTGTGGATCATGACATTAGGGAAAGAAGAGGACTTAGAGATCATTGGGCTTATAAATGAAACAGAAGCCTAGAAAGTGTAATTGATTTAGCCAAGGTCTAGTTATCAACAGAGATAGGACTAAAACCTAAACTTTTGAACTTCCAGTTCAGTGTACTTTCCACTACCCAATTAAACATGTATCTAACCTTGGAGACCATTTCTTTTGGGAGGAGGAAGAATTGAGTCACACAGCTTTCACTTTATCCCCATCATTTCAGATTCTTTCCTAACCCACTTATTTACAGAGTCCCTCAAGGCCTGATTAACTAATCCCAGCACTTTGGGAAGCCGAGGCGGGCGGATCATGAGGTCAGGAGATCAAGACCATCCTGGCTAACACGGTGAAACCCCGTCTCTACTAAAAATACAAAAAACTAGCCACGCGCGGTGGTGGGCGCCTGTAGTCCCAGCTACTTGGGAGGCTGAGGCAGGAGAATGGCGTGAACCTGGGAGGCGGAGCTTGCAATGAGCCGAGATAGCGCCACTGCAGTCCGGCCTGGGTGAAAGAGACTCCGACTCAAAAAAAAAAAAAAAAAAAAAAAAAAAAGACATGATTAACAATGCTTGTTACTTAAGGACTTACTGAACACATCATTATGGAATAAGTTATACTTCCCAAGATAGCACAACTATAGAAATGAGTCTATTATGATCCGGTTATTCTGCCTGTAAGGCAGTTAGCTTTAAGGTTTCTTATTTCAGTTCTCAGAGCTCACCATCATAGGAGGCCAAGTAGGCAGCCTCCTTCGATGTTGTAACTTTGTATGAGAAGGCTGTATGTGTACACCCAAATGGTCAATTGGGAAAGGATGGTGCAATCCATGTGGTCTGTCCCTCCCCCAAGAGAGATAACCTCTCTCAGCATCCCTGTCTCATTTCTACAACGCATATGCAGAAGGACCTAAATGTCACGAAGCCACTCATATTTGAGCAGCTCTAAATTATCTGAAAATTCTTCCCTCTTGACCTGAAATTCACCACTTCATCGCTTTCATTCATTGAGCCTAGTTCTGCAGTTGGGAGCTATATGGATATCAACTCCTTCTTCCATGGGACAATGTTTGAAGGACACCATCATGGTTCTGGTTAATTTTTTCTCCAGTTCCTTCTATTATGCTTCATGGGCATCTCAGCATCCTTCACCGTCCTGATCACCATCCTCCCAATAAAATCCAATTATCAAAGTACTTAGACCCAGACATGTTCAGAAAAAGAAACAATACCATGAATAAGGTGTGAATAGCACCCAATGGGGCCATTTCCTCCTTTATTTTGGACACTCAATTAATGTGGCCTTAAATTACATTAACAATGTCATCCCAGTGTTGTTCCATATTGAGCCTGTGGTCAGTTGAAACTATTACTGTTTTTTCTGGAGCACTGTCCTTGCGCCAGCTCTCCTTCTCTGGAATGTCGCACCTATACTCACCTCAGACATACCACAGAAGCAGTCAAATAAGTAAATGTGTCACATGAATTTGTTTTGTGGCTGTCAAATTAATAATTCAGTCATAATGACGTACTGTATTCTTTGTACACTGACCTATTCCTGGCACCGTGCTAACAACTGTACTTCTATTATCTCCTTCAATCCTTATGACAACGGTCTTGAGGCAGATATTACCCAGGTTGACAGATAAAGAAGAGGCTCATAGGCTGGGTGTGGTGGCTCATGCCTGTGATCCCAGCAGTGTGGGAGGCCAAAGTGGGTGGATCATTTTTGGTCCAGGAGTTCGAGACCAGCCTGGCCAACATGGTAAAACCCCGTCTCTACTAAAAATACAAAAAATTAGCTGCGTATGGTGGCACATGCCTGTAATCCCAGCTACTCAAGAGGCTGAGGTGGGAGAATTGCTTGAACCCGCAGGCAGAGGTTGCAATGAGTCGAGATTGTGCCACTGCACTCCAGCCTGGGCAACAGAGTGAGACCCTATCTCAAAACAAACAAACAAAAACAACAAAAAAAGAGACTCATAGAGGTGGGAGAGTTTGCTTATGATCATATGCAAAGGAAATAGAGAAGTTGGGAATTCAAAGCCAGCCCTGTCAGAATTCAAAGTCTTTGCTCTTAGCTATAATTCTACTGTGCCTCTTTATCCTAAGCATACAGAAAAAAAAAAGTGATTAAATGATGGCTCTTCCTGCAGCTTTATAACCGAGGAGAGCAGACAGAATAAGAGGAATGGGTTTGGAGTTCCATTTTCTTTAGAGAACAGGACAGATACTCTTGTGCACAAAATCTTCTAGCCTTTTACCCTCCGGGAGTTAAAGCTAAAATGTTCTAGTAATTTACAGAAATATTTAAAATGTCAATTTAATGAGTCTCCCTGGCAGCTGGCATTGTTGTGCTTGTGTGATACAAGGTAGCTAGAAAGAATATATGGAAAGCCATCTAAGATCTTATTAAAATATCAAAAATCAAAGCACCATGCAAACACTGGCCATGATTATCTCCAATCAGCTGGCTTGAGTTTCAAAGCTCAATAAGTGACATAAGAGGAAAAGAGCTCTATTATTCATTTTAAAATCTTTTTTTAAAAGTCCTGGTCTGCTACAAGCTGTCCCTTAACTCCTCACAATGAGAGCAGCTGCAAAAGAAAACTGCCAACATGAAAACAAGATCAGAATAACAGCTGACCCCAGCAAGGAGCAGACCTTTCCCAAACAGGATTAGATCATTGACTTTGGCTTTGTGTTCTGAGCTTGGTCTGTCACCCTTCTAGGTAACAATCCTTTGAAAACTGTGTGTAATGATGGCTTTGAGAGAGGCTCTAAAAAATGAGAACTGTTCAGTGGATTGAAAGACATTCAGCTAGCTAAAAAAAAAAAAAAGACAAAATCTTGTTCTGTTTGCTGTAATGGGAAAAACTGAAAACCCAAATAAAATGGAATAAGGCACTTAATTTTCTTCTAATTTTGAAACTATATTCTTGACTCTAAGTAAATCCCTTTTCGAATCTGGTCAATTCTGTCAAATGGTCAATCTAGACCCACTGTAGACAAGGATGCCCCCACATCAGGGCCTTTGCACATGCTGTTCCTTCTATCTGGAAAATTTCAGCCTCATTACCATCCTATAGTCCTGGCCAGCTTCTGCTCTTGCTTTGTCTCAGTTAAAGTATCCCTTTCACAGGCCTTTGCAGACTACCCAAACTATCGTTAAGTATGCTAGTTTTATGTTCTTGTACCCTACAGATAGATAGTGTTCTATATTAGGCAAAATAACGCCCCCACACACCCCTACCCACCCACACAAAAAAAAAAAATCCAGGTCCTAATCCCCAGAGCCTATAAATATGTTACTTTACACTGCAAAGGGGACTTCACCAATGTGATTAAGCTAAGGATCTTGAAATGGGGAAAATTATCCTGAATTATCCAGTGGGCCCAATGTAATCACAGAAGTCCTTCCAAGTCAAAGAGGGGGTCTTCCTTAGAGCCTCCAGAAGAAACCCAGCCAGGCTGACAAGTTGATTTCAGTGCAGTGAAACCCATTTCAGACTTCTGCCACCCAGAATTGTAAGATGATACTTTTATGTTGCTTAAAGCCACTCAATTTTGGTAATTTGTTACAGAAGCAATAGGATAAGAACACAGTACTTACTATGCTTTTATTGATTTGTTGTTCTGTCTTTTAACTATAAGCTCTGTAAAAGTAGAGGCAATGTCTTATCTACCTCCATATCCTTAGCACCTAGTGTCCCATTTGGGGAAATTGTATATAGATAAAGGGCATTATATACTTTAGATAAGAGTTTGATTTTTAAAGAGATTTTAATGTAATATGTATTTCATTAAAATGAAGGAAGATTCCTGAATCATTAGATAATTCGTTCTTAAATTTTTTCTGAAGCATGACCTGTTTTGTGATCCCATTCCCTAGGAGATGGATGAAAGTATATCATCTTTATTTTAGCATTCAATTCCCTAACCTGGGTTTTAAAAACTCAGCACTAGATTTAGAATGCACTGTAGTCATCTGAGCTGCCCAGCACTCTGATGCAGTAAAGGGAGAGACGACAGAAGTTAGGAGGGGGACAAAGAGTGAAGTGGAAGATGGGGAGAATGGCGTTCCTCTTGCCTCCGCCGTCCTGTGAGCACACCTACCTTTGAGCTACAGTCAGAAGGGCCCCAGCCTGGTCCTGAAAAGGTTACTGTGCACTCCACTGCCATCTGCTGTCAGCCATGGGTTTGGTCAAATACAAACTTGAGTCTTCCTGTCTTTAAGATTCAGGATAGTCCAACCAAAAGTTACAGATTAACGCGAATCCCCTCACTTTACATAGTAAACAGTATGAAAGTTCTTTTGCTTCACACATTCTTGCCCACACATGGTATTTTAAGTTTTTAACTTTTAGCCATTTTGTTGGTTTTGTAGTGGTATCACACGGTTTTATTTTGCATTCTTATGACTAACAAGGTTGAGCACTTTTCACAGGTGTTTATTGGTCATTTGGAAACCTTCTTTTGAGGGATGGCTACTTGAGCCTTGCTCATTTTTCTATTGTGTTGCCTGTCTTCCTTATTGATGTGATGAGTTCTTTATTCAGGACAGGAGTGCTTTGTCTAATCTGTTTGCAATTTTTTTTCTCAGATTGAGGTTTGCCTTTTCATTCTTATAATGGGGTCTTCTGATGTACAGTGTTCCTGATTTTAATGTAAATTCCAAATTTACACATATAAATTTACAAAAGTATAAATTTACCACAAATTGTAAAGTCCAATTTACCAATCTTTTATTTTATGGTTCATCTTTTTTGGGTCTTATTTTGAGACAGACAGGGTCTCACTGTGTCACCCAGGCAGGCTGGAGTTCAATGGTGTGATCTTGGTTTACTACAATTTCCACCTCCCTGGGCTCAAGTGATCCTCCTTCCTGAGTAGCTGGGACTACAGGCACATGCCACCATACCTGGCTAATTTTTTGTATTTTTGGTAGAGACAGGGTTTCACCATGTTGCCCAGGCTTGTCTTGAACTCCTGAGATCAAGTGATCCACCCGCCTTGGCCTCCCAAGGTGCTGGGATTACAGGCATGAGTCACCATGCCTAGGCTTTTTGGGGTCTTAAGAAATCTTGGCAGGCTAGGTGCAGTGGCTCACACACAGGTGTGTAATCCTAGTGCTTTGGGAGAATGAGGGTGGAGGATCGCTTGAGGCTAGGAGTCTCTGAGTCCAGCCTGGGCAACATAATGAGACTCTGTCTCTACAAAAAAATTTAAAATTATCCAAGCATGGAGGCATGTGCCTGTAATCCCAACTACTCTGGAGGCTGAGGTGGGAGGATCGTTTGAGCCTGGGAGGTCGAGTCTACAGTGAGCCATGATTGTGCCACTGCACTCAAACCTGGGCAACAGAGAGTGACCCTGTCTCAAAACAAAATAAAAAACTAAAAGACCTACATGAAAGTCATGAATATATTCCCCTTTTATCTTCTAGAAACTTTACCATTTACCCTTTCACATTTAAATTTAGCATCTACCTGAAATTGATTTTTGTGTAAGTGTGACATAGAGGTATGCATTTTTTCCACTGGGATATTCAATGGCACATCTAAAAAACACCTTTCCCTTACTGCACTGCATGCTACCCTTGTCATGTGTGTGTATATACATATCCACACACCCGTGGACTTGTCCCTGGACTTCATTCTACTGATCATCTGTGATTATTTATTTATCCTTGGGCCACAGCCATGTATTCCTTGTAACAATAATAATTACAATGGAAGCAATGATTATTATAAAAATAACAGAAGCAGTTATTTTTTAAAACCCATAGACAACTGTGTGGCAGGCAGTTTGTCTATTGCTACTTCTAGCACACCCAGCAATGAGACAGTGTCTTAATGTAGTCTCTAGTGGGTCTAATCTGGGTCTCTCTTTCTGCACTAAATATTAATGGGAACTACTACTACTATTACTACTACTACACAGCTTATATTCACATAGCATTTACTATGTGCCAGGCACTTTTCTAAGCACTGTACACAATAACTCATTTAATCTTCCCAATAAGTCTTTGAGGTAGGTACTATTTATCTCTTTTACAGATGAGACAATTTAATCATGACTTGCCCAAATTGCACAGCCAGTAAGTGGTGCAGCCGGGACTTGAACACAGGCCAATCTGGCTCCAGGGTCTGTGCTCTCAACTACTACCCTTGGTGCCTCTCTTATGGGCAGTGGGGCAATGTATTTTCTTGCAAACCACAACATGCAGCCAAGGAACAGAGAGCAGGAACACTTATCTCCAACTTGGTTAAACACTCCATGCACGTGATGGAGATGTGGCCCAACATAAAAACCTTTAATGATGTGACTCCTGTTTTCCTTTCCAACCTCATTGCCCTCCAAAGCCCCCAAACATACTGTTCTGTGTCCTTTTATGTAGTGATGAGTGAGGAATGACAAGGGGAGACAGGAAAGTTTCTTACACTCACAGGTCCTAGAAACAGATGGCACGGCACACCATGCACAGCCATGGGGGAAAGCACCAGTCAGGAGGCAGGAGCACCAGGAGCCAGGGCAGAGCCTGGGTGCTTACTGGAGTTTCTGAGGAAATGGCAAGGCAGGGTGGGGTCAACAGTTTGGGATCGGCTCGTTGGAATAATTTCAGTGTGCTCTAAACTACAGAGACTATCCCTAGTTGCCCGTTACCTGGTCCTGGGATGATTTAAGGAAGAGGAACATTGCCTCCTAGGGTTTCAGGGCCAGACAGAGGAGGTGTGGCTCAGGTCTATAGTTTGTATATCAAAGGTATGCTCCCACCTGAGTTCTTTGCTGTCTAAAAGAACTGGGGAGCCCCAGGAGGGACAATCACTCCCCAGAAGGGAAGGTTTCTTAAAATGACAAAACATCTTATACAGACAACTTTTAAAATATAAACAGTACATGTACTCTGATTCAAACTGCCCGTAGTGCCCCAAACTGCCATGTGCTGCTTTGTCTCTGAGCACATACTGT
The DNA here is from genome assembly GCF_000001405.40 of Homo sapiens. Taxonomy (NCBI): domain Eukaryota; kingdom Metazoa; phylum Chordata; class Mammalia; order Primates; family Hominidae; genus Homo; species Homo sapiens. The sequence goes on along the minus strand of NC_000008.11, from coordinate 93,819,707 downwards.
TCCATGCTTTGGTTGCACTTGTTTTTTTTTGTTTATCTTAAAATCTTAGATCAAATCCACTTCTCTGAGGTCAAAGCCCTGATGACCCAGAAGTACAGTTAAGAGCTTTCCTTATATCACACCCCGGTACTGCAGCACGTTTCATATTGCTGTAATTACTGGTTAATTTACCTCTTTCTCTTACAAATTATAAGACCCTTCTGAGGGGCTGGGGAGTGGGAAGAGGTAGAAACATTGTTGGAATGAATGAGCAAATGAAAAAAACCCTCCCTCCCAGAGACAATACTCCACTCTTCCTGTTCTCTCCACCCTCTATCACAAACTGTGTCTCCCACAGGGGTGTTGTCTTCTTTTATGTTTTACATCTATCGGTGACCTCTATCTGGGCCTCTTCCTGGCAGAGCTGGGGGTGGCTGAGGAAGAAGGCAGGCTCAGAATTTTCATTGGTCAGTTATTGAGATCAGTAATCTGAGTTTTAATATCATATTATTAATTTATTAGCAAGAAAAAAATATATTTTGGGGCAGATATTTTAAACTAAAAATAAAAATTCCAGCATTCATAGTTTACTCAATGTTAAAAGCACATTCTAAGAAACTAATCCTGGCCATGTGTAGTGGCTGACACCTGTAATCCCAGCACTTTTGGAGGCCGAGGTGGGTGAATCTCTCGATCAGGAGTTCAAGACTAGCCTGGGCAACATGGTGAACCCTTGTCTCTACAAAAAAAATACAAAAAATTAGCTGGGCATGGTGGTGCACACCTGTTGTTCCAGCTACTTGGGAGGCTGAGGTGGAGGACTGCTTGAGCCTAGGAGGCAGAGGTTAGAGTGGGCCAAAATCGTGCCACTGCATTCCAACCTGGGTGATAAGAGTGAGACCCCATCTCTCTCTCTCTGTCTCACACACACACACCCACGAAACTAATCCTTACAACAAGTGGTAAGCAAAGGATATTATTTTCATTGCAGAGATGTAGAATGAAGCTCAATGATGGCAAATGACTTAGTTCAAGATACCAAAGCTTATGAGTGATGGGCAAAATTCTAATTTGAATCCAGGGCTTCTTTTGCTAAATTTGGAGCACTTTCCATTAAGCCACACTCCTCACTGCTCCTTGACTTACAGTTATTTCCCCTCAGCTTATATTTGTCAATATTTACAAAAAAAACACATGCTTCATGCTTGTAAGTGCTGAGTTAATGATCATTTTGAATGTTCCTCAATGTAGGTCATCAGCAAAGCCTTCTGAAAAGGCAGTTAGGACAGCAATGCCAGAGAAGGAAGCATTTACAAATCTCCCATAACAGAGGCACTGGTCTACAGAAGTATTTTAGGGGCCTGTATGTTTCTAAGGAGCATCCAAAGTACACAACAGCTTATAAAGAACCTCTCTAGGTTTTGTTTCATTATGAAATGAAGAGAAATCAAATGTTTCTAGAAAATCAGTAAAATCAGGGATATAAGAGTCAAAGTATAGTGATTGGGTACTACAGAAATAGACAAAGGGTAATGAATCTAGTGAATAATTATGCACATGATCAGGAAATGTAAATTGTGACAATGTGAACAAAGGAGTCGACAGTGTATGAAAATCTGAACACATTTTTATGCACCTAGCCAAAATAAAAATATCATACAAAATTTAGAATGATTTTAAATGTTTTCTGTTTTAATTTATCAGCAAGTAAGCCAATTGATCCTTTATTGTGAAATTTAATACTTAAAAACTTTTGCACTAAAATTAACTTCTTCTATGTTGAATGATGGTTGAATTTCTTTCATATGCTTCTGAGTGAGTGGTTTTAAATATCCATGCCATATAAGTACATGTATTTATCTCTGCAGCTTTTATAAAGGCATTCCTGTACTGTGATCCTTCAGAAACTGCAGTTTCAAAGACTTCCTTTTCAGTCATCCTCAAGATTCAGGGAAATGTAAAAGATTCAACTTTGGCAATGGCTGGGACCTCTGCCCCAATAATGTTATATTCCTAAATGGTACTCCATCAGATATACATTAATGAAACAGAAAACAGAAATACCAAATGTTTTAGTATATATTTTCATCTGAGAAAATATAAATAATATTTATACAGTATTCCATTTTAAGTATTTACACAGCATTAACATAGAAAGCAGTGAGAAACATGATACATTTACAGTGTTTTGTTTTTGTTTTTTCTGAGACAGGGTCTTGCTCTGTCATCCTGGCTGGAGTGCAGTGGTGCTATCTGGCTCACTACAGCCTCCACCTCCTGGTTTCAAGCTATTCTCATGCCTCAGCCTCCCAAATAGCTGGGATTACAGGCCACCACATCCAACTAATTTTTGTATTTTTTGTAGAGATGGGGTTTTCCATGTTGGCCAGGCTGTTCTTGAACTCCTGACCTAAAGTGATCCACGTGCCTTGGCCTTCCAAAGTGCTGGGATTACAGGCGTAAGCCACAGCGCCCAGCCTTACTGTTTGTTATTTACAGTCTTTAAACGTAATTGAAAAGCAAAACTCTGGAAGAGAACTCTTAAAACATTAAGTAATTAAAATGTATAAAAAATGATATTGGGAAAAATGTCATACGTTATAACTTAATAAATGTAAACTATATTAGAAATGCAAATATATTTCATGGAAAGCGTATACTGACCTAATACAGGTATACAAAGGAATGAAAAGATATCATTTCATGAGATGCATATTAACCCAACAGTGAATTAATCCACTGCCAAAGAGGATGAGCAATTAGAATGATGCAAATTGAATCAGCAATAATACAATTTAAAATTTCTAAGTAAACTTGAAAATATCTTTCAACATTTATTTAACCATAAGCACACAAAACATGAAAATATCAAACTGAAAACTAGTCTTAAACTTGGAATCAAATTACTTTGTCAATGTGAGAAGATTCAGGCAGCTCTCAGTTTATAAAATAATCTACAGAGACAAATGATGGGGACTGTTTTAATTAGCATTAAAAAGTATTATGCTGAAAGCAACATTTAGATTTTTTTTGGCCTCACTGTCAGTATTAATTTATTATTTACTGCATTAAATACTACACACAATGGGAAAACAGTATTTTCTATTATATCAGGTTATATATTCCCAAGTTATAAAAATAAATCTTTCTGCAAATAAAAAACAAAAACAGAATAGTCTGCATTATAAGTTTTAAAAAATATGGCAAACTAACCTGATATCATGACTTTTTTTTGGCCATGATTATACTGAGTCTTTAAGTTATTTATTCAGGAAGTTAAATCAAAAATCTTTGATCCACCAATGTTTTGGATGCCAAATTCTTTTGTCCTACTGTATTACGGATATATCTAAAAATCTGGAAAATTAAAACAATTCAGAATGAAAAGAAATATAAACAGAATTAAATATGCACGTCGATTAAAATATCTAGATTAAATTAGCTAATTCTCTCAACTATTTTCATGTATCAGGTATCTGAATCCCATAGTGATACATAAAATTATTTCAAGATGATAATTTCTTTCATAGTTTCATAGTATGTTCCCATTTAGAGTAAATTCTTATGAATTAATAATACAAATTCTCTCATGTTCACAGAAATACACTTTAAAATATATAGAAAGGCAACTTTCTTCTAAGTCTAAAACTACGGAAACATCAAAAGAATCTACTCACTAGAGATAGAATTTCTTCACAATTCTAGATCACTGTCAAGGACTAATAAATTGCATCTTACTTATATATACTTCTTTGACATAGTGGAGAATATTTAGTTGATAATAACACCATTTCAAGAACAGATTTGCCAATTCTTGAAATCTCTATTTCAGGGTCCACACTCATACATGAAGTTGCTTTTTATCCACACAGGTGGGGGAGGTGTCAAAGCTGCAAGCTTTGGTGCTGAGCCCTGAGCTAGCTCTCCAGTGCTTGTTTTTTTGTTACTTAACGTCTGGAGAGGGTGGATGGGACTCTAATTACTGTTCACTTGTAGCATCTAGGAGACTAGCAGTTAAGTGTCTTCCTATAGGATTCCTCTTCCATGTATAATCAAGCAACTTATGCCCTCCACTAGACCCCAGTATTTCATTGACCCTAAAGGACAGAGTACAGTTGGTTGAAATGTTATTCCTTCTTTTGGTGGGGTTAGTCATATTCTAAACCTTTACAAAATTGTAGTAAAAGTAGACATTGTTACTCTCTGCTATGAAAATATCTACTTCTAACATATTTCTCTCAAGAAAATGAAGGAAAATGTAGAAAAATTTTAAAAGTTTACCTCTTGTTGTAGATATGTAAGGAAGGATGCTAAAATAAAATTTTGGCAAGCCAAATCCACAACACAGAAGAACAGCAGATCAAAAATAAGAAGAGTAGCTTCATTTCCATAATACAGGACACTGCTGAAAGAATAACCTTCATCTATTAAAAAAATTTAGAAAATATAAATTAGAAATTTAAAAAAGGAACAAGTCTGTGATAAACTTCTGGTGACAAAATCTGGATGTTTAAAAACAGCACATTAGAAACATACTGTATACAATACTTCATGGCTTACACAAAAATAAACAAACATTTTAAGATTTGTTCATCTAAAAGAGGTTAGTTAAAAACTCATAAAAACTTCTAAAAAGCAGTTTTAACATTAGGACCAATGGTTGGTAATTGCTAGTAGTGTAAGTTTCAAAGACCATTTAATAAATAGCCTTTCTCTATTTCTTTATACAACTAAAAGCTAAATTAGTCTTACAAACATTCCCTAAGATACAGTAAATCAGAGAAAAAACCAGCAAGGCATAGAGTAAGTACATAGTGTTCAAGAGTTCAAGAATTTATCTCAAATAGTCCCGCTGAGGTTTTGCTCTAAGACCTCTTCTCACTCCACCAGCGAGTTTCATCCTTATTGGGATGTGAACACCCTTTTAAAAAGATTATGATGAGGCCGGGCACAGTGGCTCATGCCTGTAATTCCAGCACTTTGGGAGGCTGAGGCAGGAGGACTGCTTGAGGCCAGGAGTTCAAGACCAGCCTAGGCAACATAGTCAGACTCCATCTCTACAAAAAAAAAAAAAAAGAAAGAAAGAAAAGCTAGGTCTGGTGGGTCTGCTGGTGCACACCTGTAGTCTTAGCTATTTGGGAAGCTGAGATGGGAGGACTGCATGAACCAAGGAGTTTGAGGTTATAGCGAGCTATTAATATGATTGCACCACTGCACTCTAGCCTGGGCAACAGAGCAAGAACCTGTCACTAAAAAAAAACAAAAAAAAGCCCGATGAAAGCTATAGATCTTTCCATTAGGAAAAAAAAAAAAAAAGTATACATAAACTTGGGAGGCCGAGGCGGGCAGATCACGAGGTCAGGCGATCAAGACTATCCTGGCTAACACGGTGAAACCCCGTCTCCACTAAAAATACAAAAAATTAGCCACGCATGGTGGCGGGCGCCTGTAGTCCCAGCTACTCAGGAGGCTGAGGCAGGAGAATAGCATGAACCTGGGAGGCGGAGCTTGCAGTGAGCCGAGATCGTGCCACTGCACTCCAGCCTGGGCAACAGAGCAATACTACGTCTCAAAAAAAAAAAAAAAAAAAAAAGTATACATATACAACTCTTGCAAACAATTAAACAATTTCAGGGAAATCCAGAGAACCACTGAAGCAGCCCATGGACACCCAGTTAGGAACATCTGCTTTATACAAGAGGGCATGTGGAGTGCTGGTAATGTTCTCTCTTGAAAGGGTACTAGTTACAGGGGTATATTCAGTTTGTGAAAATTCACTGATCTATAAGTTATATCCTTACAAAATATGCACATTACACTTGCATATATAATCTTAAAAAACCTGTTTTACATGCTCTCTCTTGGTGATTTTCTACTAACATTGCTCCAGCAATGACTTCATATGATAGCAACTCCTCAATTTATTGTGTGCTTCTACTTTCTCCTACAACCTGGTCCCTTATATTTAATGCCTACTGGATACCTCTTCCTAGATGTCCTGAAGTACCTCAAGATGCAACATACTGAAAACTAAATTCATCCTCTTTCCCTCAAAACCTGATCCTCCCTCTGTATTGCCTCTGTTATTGAAAAGCACCACCACCCACTTAGTCACACAGCCAGAAGTCTGGATAATTTTTGACTACTCTTTTCTCTTAACATTTCTGGCAATCCTTTCTTCTTCTCTAGCCCCACTGCTACTGCCTTAGCTCATAGTCTCATCATCTCTTGATGAAGACGAAGGTAGTGAGATCGGGCACAGTGGCTCACACCTGTAATCCCAGCACTTTGGGAGGCCGAGGTGGGCAGATCTCTTGAGGTCAGGAGTTCGAGGCCAGCCTGGCCAATATGGTGAAACTCCATCTCTACTAAAAATACAAAAATTAGCCAGGTGTGGTGGCAGGTGCCTGTAATCCCAGCTACTTGGGTAGCTGAGGCAGGAGAACTGCTTGAACCTGGGAGGCGGAGGTTGCAGTGAGCCGAGATTGTGCCACTGCACTCCAGCCTAGACAACAGAGCGAGACTCCATCTCCAAAAAAAAGCAGATAGAGAAATGGAAGAACATACTTAGAAAGAAGAGGAAGATAGGAGGAAGAGGAAGGAAGACTGCAGGAGAAGGAACAAAGGAGAAAGGAAGAAAAAAGCAGGAAGAAGGAAGAAAGAAGGTGATGATTGTATTATTAAAAATAATAGGGCCAGACACGGTGACTCATGCCTGTAATCCCAGCACTTTGGGAGGCTGAGGCGGGTGGATCACATGAGGTCAGGGGTTCAAGACCAGCCTGACCAACATGGTGAAACCCCGCCTCTACTAAAAATACAAAAATTACCCAGGTGTGGTGGCACACGCCTGTAATCCCAGCACCTGGGAGGCTGAGGCAGGAGAATCGCTTGAACCTGGGAGGCAGAGGTTGTAGTGAGCCAAGATTGCACCATTGTGCTCCAGCCTGGGCAACAAGAGTGAAACTCCATCTCAAACAAAAAAAATAATAACAATAATAACATTTCCTTTCTGAGTGCCTACCCATAACAGATACTTTACTGGGTTCTTTATATTAACACATAATAACCCCACAAAACTTTTAGAGGATTGTAACCAATTTTACAAAGAAGGCACTAAAGTTCAGAAACGCTAGGCAAGTTTCTCAAAGTTCACAAAGCCAGTAAATGGTAGAGTCAGGTTTTGAATCCAAGACCAGAAGACTTTGAAAGCTACAATATTTTTGTTTGTTTGTTTTTGTTTTACAGAGACAGGGTCTTGCTCTGCCACCCAGGCTGTAGTGCTATGGCATGATCATAACTCACTGCAGCCTCGAACTGCTGGGGTCAAGTGACCGCCTGCCTTGGCCTCCCAAAGGGCTGGTATTACAGATGTGAGCCACTATGCCCTGGAGGAAAGCTATAATCCTAATGTCTAAATTATGCTGTTACAATTTTCCATCTATTCAACTCAACTTGTAACCTACTGACAGAGTAATTCTTCCAATTTACAAATCAGATCTGCTTAGCACCCTTCAATGATATCCATGTTCATTGGCAGTGGTTTCTTTTTCTTTTCTTTACTTTTTTTTTTTTTTTTGAGACAGAGTTTTGCTCTTGTTGCCCAGGTTGGAGTGCAATGGTGCGATCTCAGCTCACCACAACCTCCGCTTCCTGGGTTCAAGCGATTCTCCTGCCTCAGCCTCCCAAGTAGCTGGGATTACAGGCATGCACCACCATGCCCGGCTAATTTTGTATTTTTAATAGAGACAGGGTTTCACCATATTGGCCAAGCTGGTCTCGAACTCCTGACCTCAGGTGATCCACCTGCCTCGGCCTCCCAAAGTGCTAGGATTACAGGCATGAGCCACCGCACCTGGCCCCATTAGCAGTGGTTTCTTCTTTTTTTTTGAGACGGAGTCTTGCTCTGTCCTCCAGGCTGAAGTGCAGTGGTGCGATCTCGGCGCTCACTAGCAGTGGTTTCTAAATCATTTTGATCATGCATCTCTATCAGAATAAGATGTTGAGCATGCAACCCGTAATAGATATAATAGAAATATTTTATTAATTACTACTCTATATAATATAAACTTAAAAATAGATTAAGGGTGATTAAACTGCAAATATACAAATAGACATTTTAATATTTTCTTTTCACACCTCCGTGATCAACTTATATACATCTTGTGGGGCAAAAAAATAAAAAAAAATTTTTTTTGGAAACAACAGGTTTACAGGATAGAGTGAAATTCCTTAGTGTATCAGGCAAGGACTTTGGAATTTGGTCTCTGCCTTCTTTATCTTTCAAGTACTCTCTTCCACTGTGTCCCACTTCATATCAGACTTTATAAAGTTTGTAAGTGCATAATGCACTTTGCGCACTGTTTTTGAATCCCCTTTTCCCTGTCTGCATGAATGTCTTTGCCTCTTTCTCTTACCTTGATCCTCTTGATTGACAAACAGCTACTGATTTTTTAAAATCCAGTTCAAACTTCTCCAGGTTGCCTCTTCTGGCTTTACCTCATATCTGGTTAGATTTTCTATGCTCCCTTCTGTCCCTGGCATAACCTGTGCCTGCACAGACTTCTGTGGCAGTACCACCCTACTTATTCACATGTCTGTCTTCCATAGTCTGTTAAACAAGATACCCAAGGTAGGGATCATTCGTCTGTGTATCTCAGACTGACACAATATCTGGCATGCAATAACATATGGGTAAATGATATCTAGGCCAGGGCACTGGTTATACCACTTCCATTCTTACTCATACAATAGGTTATCAGTCATACTACAAATGACATGTATACTATCTTTTTAATATGAAACCAGTTTTAATCACTACTCCTGTCACAAATAATAGTGATTTTTACAAACTTGGATAAGATAAAAAATTAAATGTTAAAGATTAATCACAAATGTTATTCTTTTAAGTGTTTCATAGTTTGGCATTAAACAAACAGTCCAATAAAATCTGAATTTTATTTGTTTTACTATCTCTTCCATGTGGACTGTTGATTCTGAAATTCACCTGAATACTTTCTTATAGAATCTTGTATGTATTTGTTTCCTGCTACACGACATAATAAAATAGAACACAGAAAAGAATTCATGAGGTTAACTGAGTTCATTATGTTTCCTTTGTTTTTATGTAAAATTATTATTATTATTTGAAACAGAGTTTCACTCTTGTTGCCCAGGCTGGAGTGCAATGGAGTGATCCCAGCTCACTGCAACCTCTGCCTCCCAGGTTCAAGCCATTCTCCTGCCTCAGCCTCCCAAGTAACTGGGACTATATGTGCCTGCCACCATGCCTGGCTAAGTTTTGTATTTTTAGTAAAGACGGGTTTCACCATGTTGGCCAGGCTGGTCTGGAACCCCTGACCTCAGGTGATCCACCTGCCTCGGCCTCCCAAAGTGCTGGGATTACAGGCATGAGCCACCGCACCTAGCCAAAAAATTATTAAACCAAAAGAAAAATATCAGCTGGGGGTGGTGGCTCATGCCTGTAATCCCAGCACTTTGGGAGGCCGAGGTGGGCGGATCACGAGGTCAAGAGATCAAGACCATCCTGGCTAACACAGTGAAACCCGTCTCTACTAAAAATACAAAAAAAATTAGCTGGGCGTGATGGCGGGCGCCTGTAGTCCCAGCTACTTGGGAAGCTGAGGCAAGAGAATGGCATGAACCCGGGAGGCGGAGCTTGCAGTAAGCTGAGATCGTGCCACTGCACTCCAGCCTGGGCAACAGAGCAAGACGCCGTCTAAAAAAAAAAAAAAAAGAAAAAAAGAAAAATATCTACAAGCACTTTTTTCTCAAACTTTGAAAACAGTTATCAAGTTCTACAAAGGGATTTAGAAGATACCATTGTAAAAGATGCTTTTTTCCATTGGTTCCATGAATTCCATTCCAAGAATTCTTTCAAGAAGCAACTTATCTTTTATAAAGTAATCCATTTCCTTATGAACCTAATAAAGAAAAAGACAGCATCATTTCACAAACAGTAGTGAAATAAATGCTTTGCAATTAATGTAAAATCAGCAGGAGAGAAAATGAAAAATGAATAGTATATAAAGAAAATCTGTTCTTCAAAAAGACTGAAGTTACTACATTGAAACCTATAACAAAATTCTCTACAGGAATGTTTTAAATTTTAAATGTCCTTAGTAGTATTTAGGGCTAGATATAGTGAAAATCAATTTATAAAATGCTTTTTAGAAATACAATCATAGCATAACACAAGGATTTCAATAATGAATAATACAGTAATATTTTGGTAACTGGTAACAAAATTCCAGTGCAGACATAGTTTAAGGGAATCATGATTATGTTAACAGACACATAAAATTTCATTTTACTTTTGCGTAACCTAATTCTATCCCTAAGCCATAGTTTGTTAATGGCTAGAAATGTCTTTTAAAAATATATTATTCCTAAGTATTGAATGTGACAGACAAAAAAAGGGAAGGTCTTAAGGTGGGGGTTCTAAGTTTACTGACTTGGTTGACTTGAAGAAATAATTGACATTCCCACTTAACTTTTTAAAAATTGCATTTGATCCCAGCTTAAATATAAATGTTGACATACATACATGGTCAATGAAGGAGCCAAGAAATTTATTCATCATATGATATGCTTTTATACTCTGCTCAAAAGTACTTGCTGATGAACTCAGTAGTCTAGCAGGACCATTTTTCTAATGTAAAAAAGAGAAATGAATACAAAGTGTTATGTTCTTGGTATCTAAAAAACATGAAATATTGACAGAATATATCTGAACTGTACTTTATACAAACCCTTATTAGTGTCTCATGAATTCTGTCATAATGTTGTCTCATCTGGTTAGAAATTGCAATCTCAAAAGTCTGACCATCTGTGTTGGGTACCAAACCTCTCTGGCTACACAAATTTTCCTGAAAAGTTAAAGAATTTAAGTTAAGATCAAAATTATAAAAAATTTCCTGCCTCAAAAAGAAAATACAGAACTTTTTTTTAGCTGTTATCACATATTACAAGATTCAGGTGCTAAGTGAAATTCACTGAAACTGTATTTGAGAAACAGATTCTACCATTATCCAAGGTTCCCAGATTTTGCTAATTTCTACTTTATTCTAATTCATACTCCCTTGCAGGTCTTTATATCATCTCCTTTGCTCTACTTAAATATATATATATATTTATCTATAATAGATATATTATAGATATATATAGATTATAGATATATATAGATTATAAATATATATATTCATCTATAATAGATCTATTATAGATAAATATCTATAATAGATAAATATATATTTATATATAATAAATATATAATAGATAAATATATATCTATAATAGAGAAATATATTTATATATAATATATAAATATTTATAGTAGATAAATATATATCTATAATAAATATATATATTTATTATCTATAATTTATTGTCTATAATATATATGATAATATATATAATCCATAATAGGTATATATATTTATATATTTATCACATATATTTATATATTTAAGTAGAGCATATATATATTTTTAGGTAGAGCATATATATATATTTAAGTAGAACAGAGTAAAGGAGATGATATAAAGACATATATATGTTTATTGTATATTGATATTCTTAGCTTCCTTTATAATTGACCTTATTGCTCTTTTAATGTATGCTGAAAGGTCTTGCTTTGGAGTTAACTAGTCTTATAATTGCAAATGATCTTTTTTGTTTTCTAAACATTTTTAAGATGCTTCCTTAATTAATTCCAATAAAACATAGTGATACATGACCAAACAGTTAATGTTATGAACCAGATATCCATATCCATTTTGGGTTTCCCTGACACAACTTGGATCCTGACAACCACAAATATGTAAAAAAAATTTTGATTTGATTGATGCTTCAAGGTTCGACTCAAGTTCTCTGGCCTTCATAAAGCCTGTCTACCTACTCCACAGGTTAATATTTTCCTTCTTTGTCTAAATCTAACCCGAAAACATAATATGGCACTTGGCTTTCTATACACTTAAAGGAAGAATACATGTAGTGAACTTCTCTATTTAAAAAATTTTTTTCTTGATTAAAAATATTCATGCCATTGCAGAAAATTTACAAAATAAAGAGAAATACAAAAAAGAAAATAAAAATATTACCTAAAATCTCAACACCCAGAAATATAGATATCTTAAGGAATTTCATTTCCAGTATTTTTTATAAGGCATGTACATATAAATAGCATAAAATTGGGATCACAATGACTCCTTTTTCACTTAACGTTATAGCCTGAGCAATTCTCCATGTCATCAAATATTCTACAAAATATGATTTTACCATCTGCTTAAGATTTCACCGCAAAGGTAAACCAATTTATTTAATATTCTCCAATTTTTACATACTTTTCCCCTTACAAATAACCTCTGTGATAAAGATCCTGAATTTAAGTAGCTGTTCATATTGTTAATTTTTCCTTGAGTTAACATTCATAAAATCAGTGAATCAAAGATTATGAACCTTAAAAAGCTCTTGGTATATACATTGCCCAAACACTTTCCAGAAGGTCTGCATAAATTCAACCTGCCACCAGTAGCTTTGTGGTTGCCCATTTCACTGTGTCCTTGATGCTATTAAGTATTAGCTTTTCAAAAAAAGTTTGCTAATTTGAAGAGGGGAAAATCATTATTTTTATATTCAGTTCTTTGATTATGAGTTAAAATATTTTTAGAGCTTTATTAGTGTCTATTGGTCATTTTTCCATTGAGATTTTAATTTAGTGTTTTCTTGATTTGCATAACTTTCAATATTCTTATCAATTTCTTTGTCATATTTGTTAAAAGTATTTTACTCTAATTCACTTTTATAATGGCTTGATATGCAAATGTACTATATTAATAAAGTAACATCAATTAATATTCCCTTTTTGATGATTTCTATTCTTTATCCTTAGAATATCATCTCCCAGTCTGAAATATTCTTTTCTAGGTTCTCATGGCTTCATGTTTTACATTTAACTTTTTAATCACAAGGTAATTTCTATTGTTTAATCAAGTGATCCAGCTCAATGTATTAAATAAATTCTTCTCTGAAATGCCATTATCATGTGTCAAATTCTTACAAGTCACAGGTATGGCCCCTTAATCACTAAATCCTCTTGTTTTTTCCACTTAAGCACATCTTATTATTTAAAAAATTTTATTATGGAAGTTTTCCAAATGTACATAGTAGAGAGAATAGTAAACTACTCATTACCTAGCTTCAGCAATTACTAATATTTTATCAATTTTGTTTCATCTATCCTCCCAAATTTTCTTTTTTCTTAGAGTATTTTAAAGTAAAACCCAGACCATGTCATTTCATCTGTAAATGCTTTGTATGTATTTCTAATAAGGACTTTAAAATAAATAACCATCATGCCATTTTCATACCTAACAAAATTAGTTATTCCTTAACATTTAGTCCACTAAAAATCTCCCAGATTTTTTTAATAGTTGGTTTGTCTGAATCAGGATCCAAATAAAGTCCACACATTGTACCAGATTGGTTTTTCAAACCTTTCTTATAATGTAATAGTTCGTACACTGCCACCATTATCCTTCCTTTTCTTTTCATGTCATTGATTTGTCTGGAGACACTGAGTCATTTATCCTGTGAGGCAGCCTATACTCCAGACCTGGCTAATTACTTCCTATGGTGCTATTTAATTTGTCCCTTTATCGCTTGTATTTCCTATAAACTGGTGATTAGAGCTAGAGGGTTGATTATACTCAGATTCAGTTTTTTAGGCAAAAATACTTCATTGGTGAAATTATATACTTCCTACTGCATCATGGCAGGAAGTGTTTATGTCAGTTTTCCTTATTTTTATTTACAGTGTGTCTAAATTACGTCAACCTGATCCCTCATTATAAAGTTCCCTGTCAACAATCACTTAATCGTTTAGCATCCACTGATAATGGCAGCTTACATTCATCAATCCATTAGTCATTGCAAAATGGTAATTTTTCTAACTTAGAATTCCTTCTACTTTCTTCTATAAGGAGGAACTTTCCCTCATGAATTATTTGATTACTGTGATACAGTTCATACAGAAACTACAGGATAAAATTAAAATTAGATTCTTTCCCTTTATGAATGTTCAGGGTGAGTTGGTCCCTAGCAACTTTCTTTTTTTTTTTTTTTTTTGAGACGGAGTCTCGCTCTGTCGCCCAAGCTGGAGTGCGGTGGCGCAATCTCGGCTCACTGCAAGCTCCACCTCCCAGGTTCATGCCATTCTGCCTCAGCCTCCCAAGTAGCTGGGACTACAGGCGCCCGCGACCATGCCCGGCTAATTTTTTTGTATTTTTAGTAGAGACAGGGTTTCACTGTGTTAGTCAAGATGGTCTCAATCTCCTGACCTCGTGATCTGCCCACCTCGGCCTCCCAAAGTGCTGGGATTACAGGCGTGAGCCACCATGCCTGGCAGTCCTTAGCAACTATCAAAGTGATAAATAGGCCAGGTGCGCGGTGACTCAAGCCTGTAATCTTAGCACTTTGGGAGGCCAAGGTGGGTGGATCACCTGAGGTCAGGATTCAAGACCAGCCTGGCCAACATGGTGAAACCTCGTCTCTACTAAAAATACAAAATTAGCCGGGTGTAGTGGCAGGCGCCTGCAGTCCCAGCTGCTCAGGAAGCTGAGACGGGAGGATCACTTGAACCCAGAAGGCAGAGGCTGCAGTGAGCCGAGATTGCGCCACTGCACTCCAGCCTGGGTGACAGAGGGAGACTCCATCTCAAAAAGAAAAAAAAGTTATCAATGAAGACTGTTTTTTTTTTAAAACAAATCCAGCATTTATAAGAATCCACTTCTCAACTTAAAAACAAAAAGATGTAAAACATTTTCATACCGCTTCTCTTTTAAGGTTCATATTCATTTCTTCCATATTAGTATCTGCATGCCCATGTACTGATCTACCATGAATGTAATATCCAAAACATTTGTGGGATAACAGAAACACTGATATCTATAAAAAGAGAATAAAAAGAAGCAAATAGCAACTCATCTGCAAAACAATAAAAAATTAAGTTTTCCTTAAAATTGCTTTCTTTTTCCCAAAATAATGAAGATTGTATTCTTGGGAAATATATAAAGAGGATAATAAAGTAATGAAGGATAATAAGGTTTGTGTTTTTTTTTTTTTTAAATGTTTGAAAAAGAGATTGAAGATATTTTCCAAGAAAGGGAGAAACAAGTCTGGGCAACATAGGGAAACTCTATCTCTACAAAAAAAAAAAAAAAAAAAATAGCTGAGTGTTGGTGGTGCACACCTGTGGTCCCAGCTACTTGGGAAGCTGAGGTGGGAGGAAAGCTTGAACTCAGGAGGTCAAGGTTGCAGTAAGCTACGACTGCACGACTGTAGTCCAGCCTGGGTTACAGTGCGAGACCTTTTCTCAAAAAAAAAAAAAAAAAAAAAAGAAAAGAAAAGAGAAAAGAAAAGAAAAGAAGAAACAGGGTTGACATAGAAACAATTTTCAGGGGTACTGGAATGAATGAACTACTTGGTAGCATAAGAAATTCATAATTAAGAAACTGCAAATAAAGATGAAAAAAACAGGCTGGGCACAGTGGCTCACACCTGTAATCCCAGCACTTGGGGAGGCTGGATCACCTGAGGTCAGGAGTTCAAGACCAGCCTGGCCAACATGGGGAAACCCCATCTATACCAAAAATACAAAAAAAAAAATTAGCCCAGCATAGTGGTGCACACCTGTAATCCCAGCTACTCAGGAGGTTGAGGTATGAGAATTGCTTGAACCTGAGAGCCAGAGGTTGCAGTGAGCCAAGATGGTGCCACTACACTCCAGCCTGGGTGATGGAGCAAGACCGTTTCAAAAAAAAAAAAAAATGAAAAAATGAAAAAACTAAGGCAGTTTAAGTATTAACTTGTAGCTCATTATAATTATCTCTGGAATTAACAACCAGTGGAAAATTGGCCCAAAAATTCAATCATACCAAATCACTTTTAAAGTCTCTCTTAACAAACTCATGACCTTTAAAAAGGGAAAGTAACAGTTGCAAGATGAAGTCAGAAAGTACTTACATTACTCATAGAGCATAAATCAACGAACTGTCGAATTTTATCTTCTATAAATCTCTCATAAAAGACAGCAAAGAACACGACCTGAAACATTAAGTCAAGTTTATGCTTATTAGCTTTTAGGATTTTAATTTTCTTTTACAGCCACAGTGTAGCATCTTAAGAAAAAAAAGTTCCAACCAAAAGCACAGTGGCCTTTAACAGTTCCTATGTGATAAAGTCCTACTTGTCATTTCTGACTCTTCTGTCAAAGGGAGGAGGATTTTAGAATTGTGTTGAGTCATTGAGGGAGCCTATTTTGAGTTCTGAAAACTGTTGTGTGTCATTAAAACAAGCTATGACAAACACGTGGGAAGAAAGAAAAAGTCTTTTAAAAATGTAGGATATATCAATGCATCGATGGTCAGATTTATGTTTGGGTTTGCAATTTTGCTCATCTAAATTTCAAGACATGAGAAAATGCTCTACTTTTCAAATGAATTTTCTCTGCCAGAACAGCACATAAAAAGCATATATCTAGTATTCTGACTACAAAGTATTAAAAATTCATATGGAATGGTTTCCTGTGTTTTCTTAGATTTAATACTAGAAACAGAAATTTTATAAATAAAAATTTTACATGGTACATCTTTTTAGACATGTTTCAGGAAAAGATAAAACTTCCTAACTCCCCTATTTAAAGCTGTCCCCACTGTCCCCCATTCCTATCTTCCACTCCCCTCCCTTCTAGTTACTCTCTATCTCATGTCCCTGCTGATTCTCTTCACAGCACTTGGCACAATCTGTCATTTGTTCCTGTAACAGCAGATCCATAAGCTCAGCACAGCATCCAATACATAAAATGCACTCAAATATGTGGATGAATAGATAAATGAATCTACACCAGCCGACTGCTGAAAATGTTTTCCTACATACTCTATATACATATTTTAAACCTCTTTAAAGGATGTGAAAAACAGCAATATTCAAGGTTTAAAAATTAAAAGACACCACTTAAAAGCTGAAGAGGCTGGGTTTAAGGAAATAAAAGGAGTGAACAATTATTAGAATCAAGGAGAGTTTAGACAAATTTATGAAACTGTAACAGGTTGTTAAAGGAACCCTTAAGGATTCTTGACAAATATATAAACACTGATCATTTTAGAATATTACCATGGAGAGAAATGCTTTACTATCCAGCTAATGGCAAAGTGAGAAGCAAAGAATGAAGTTAGATGGTGGTGTCTGAGATTGCTAGGTGCTGTCCCAACAATCCTTTCTCTTTAGTAACAGATCCCTTCCTTGAGCAGGATATACTGCTGCCCAGCTGAAAGAGTCTAGTGCAGCTAGGTGTGGCCATGCAATTAAGTTCTAGCCAAGAAGATGTTGAAAGGCACCTCTGAAAAGGCTCTTAAAGAAAAGGTGAGCTTACCTACTTCAATTCCCTCCTGTAACTTCATTGGCTATTATGGACCATGAAGGGACTGTGGAGATGGAAGTCCCTTGTGGCTGGGCAGAAGGACAGGCTTCTGGGTCCTGACAGTAGCACTAAGCCACCATTCCACTCCAGCCCTGAACTTTGGACCTCTGCTTATCTTTTTCATGGGAAAGACAAGGTTCTCTTTGATTTCAGTCACTCTTATTTTGATTTTGGTTGTGTTATATTCAACCAAATATGAAAAGCTTCAGATGATATTGCTTTAGACTCTCTACATCCAGATGAATCTGATATACTCACAAAATATATCGGTATATTGTACAAAATATTTCCTTAACATTGATGATAAACATCAAACCCTATACTCTTTTGATTCTATCTTGTTTCCAATTCTAATATATTTGTCTTCTTTTTCTGGTTGTCAGCTGTCCTTTACTAACTCTATCCCTGTAGTTTCAAGTTTGAGTAAGTCTCATCAATTTAAAATAAGTATATATTTAAAAAGTTAATCCACAGATTACTGAATACCACCACCTGGACCTAATTCTCTAAGAATAAGCTCTCTTAAAAATATTTCAATCTGGCTCACACGTGCAACCCTGGCACTTTGGGAGGCTGAGATGGCAGGATAGCTTGAGCTCAGGAGTTTATGACCAGCCTGGCCAACATGGTAAAACCCCGTCTCTACTAAAAACACAAAAATTAGCTGGGCCTGGTGGCAGGTGCCTGTAATCCCAGCTTCTTGGGAGGCTGAGGCAGGAGAATCGCTTGAACCTGGGAAGCGAAGGTTACAGTGAGCTGAGATCACGCCACTGCACTACAGCCTGGGCAACAAGAGTGAAACTCTGTCTCAAAAAAAAAAAAAAAAAATTGCTGGGTGTGGTGGCATGTGCCTGTAGTCCCAGCTAATCAGGAGGCTGAGGCAGGAGGATTGCTTGAGCCTGGGAGGTTGAGGCTGCAGTGAACTATGATTCCATCACTGTACTCCAGACTGGGAGACAGGGGAAGACTGTCTCTAAAAACAAAAACCAAACAAACAAAAATCTCAAAAGATTCTTAAAAATAGGCTGTTTTAGGTAGATAGCTATTAGCCAGCTATAGGAAGTTAAAACTGCTCTCTAGAGGTCCTATCTTCATGTGCTGATTATAAAAGTTAAGGAAATTTTAAAGTAAACAGAAGGACTCTTTCTGTTTATGAGTATCTGAAAGTTAGATGCTTGCTGCTGCTTCTTTCTTTTTCTTTTCTTCCTTTTGTCTTTTTTTTTTCTTTATGGCCTCTACTAGATACATGGGACCTGAGGCTAAAAAGACTTATTTTTACTTTCAGTCATTTTAATAAATATTTCAAGAAAAACTCCACAAGGGGTACGAGCAATCTGAGTGAGGTTTCATGATATAAATAAATGTAAACAATAAGTTATGTTTCAAAAGAAAAGAACATATTTAGGGTAGCTTATCTGTCCCTGTATTTACATATAAACTAAACAAAGAGTCTGTCCTATTACTATAAAGCTGAGGACTCTCAAAGGCCCTTCAGAGCCCCACTATTGACAAGAACGTGAACTCTGAAATCAGGCTGCCTGAGTTCCAATTCCAGTTCTGTCAGTTACTAGTCACATGACTTCAGGCAATTTTTTTAGCCTTCCTGGGTCTCAGTTTCCTCATCTATAAAATGAGGATAATAACAGAGCTTATCTCCGAGGGCTATTATAAAGATTAAGACATTATTAGGTATAAAGCAATTACAATTGTCCTTATAGTATGTTGGGATTGAGTCCAGAACCCCCAAGTATACCAAAATCCACCCATATTCAAGTCCCATATTCAGTCCTGCTGGAACCCATCTATACAGAAAGTTGGCCCTCTACAGATGCAGAATTTGCATTCTGTGAACACTGTATTTTCTACTCTCAATGAGTTCAGTCAAACAGTTCAACATGGGGTTGAACTATTTGAGGATCAACAGTAATTACACTCGATCTTAGCCTAAAGGCCAAGAAGTGATGGACCAACAGTAATTAATTAGCACAGTGACTAATACAATATAAGAATTGACTACTGGCTGGGTGCGATGGCTCATGCCTGTAATCTCAGAACTTTGGGAGGGTGAGGAGGATGGATCACCTGAGGTCAGGAGTTCAAGACCAGCCTGACCAACATGGTAAAAACCCATCTCTACTAAAAATACAAAAAGAATTATCTGGATGTAGTGGTGGGAGCCTACAGACCCAGCTACTCAGGAGGTTGAGGTGGGAGAATTGCTTGAACCCGGAAGGCAGAGGCTGCAGTGAACCAAGATCATGCCACTGCACTCCAGCCTGGGTGACAGAGCGGGACTCTGTTTCAAAAAAAAAAAAAAAAAAAAAGAACTGACCATTAGCTATTGTTCTTGTCACCTTCTTTCTGCTACAGAAAGAAGGATGTGGTCAATATTTGATGATAATCAGTAATTAGGCAGAGTTATAAAGAAGCAATGTTACTTAGAAGTAATATTACCTGTATAATTCCTTACCTGTATAATTCCAATGGCTAGCCAAAGAGCAGCAGACACTGCATATCTCAAAATGCAGCTATAAGGAGCTATGTAGCTAGGTGGGTTTCTAGAAAGACTAGAAGATGAGTCCATTAATGCTAAGTTCTTGAATCCCACAACCTGGAGTAAAAAGGAAAAGTAGTAATTTAAACGGACATGGATAAAGAAAACTACTCTAGACTGAAAACAGAAAACCTCTCCCTACTCACCTTGAAAAACTAAAATATCTAAGTTTGTATAAACAGTAGAAAATCTAGATAAAAATAATTATTATATAGTATTTTAACTACAAAGTATTTATTACACAATATTTAGTTAGCTCATTTGGCATTCTTCTCAATATGACTAAGGGCCAAATATAACCTTATTGTCATACACACTGACAAGACTAAAAATTTAATTAAAAGGATAAAACTTTCATCAGTAAACTACCAATGAGTGAAACCAACAAGTAGTATTTCATGAGTATTTGACATGTGCCAGGCACTGTACTAAACATTTTTATACTTTAAAACAGTATATTACAAAATGTCTTCTAAAGGACATAAGTTCTTGAAAAAAGAATCTATGTTTAAATACTTTTGGTCCATCCATTACACTCACCTCCATGCCTCCCACCCTTGTAGAATAAAGGCTCTGAGAAGTTTTACAGTAAAAGGTGCTACATGATTATACTGAATCCAATATTTTCCAAACTTACTTGACCATAAAACTTTTTCACATAACACCTTTTAAAGCTGAGGAAACTCTTAAACACACACACACACACACACACACACACACACACACACACACTACTTTAGTACAAAAAGAAAAGATGTGAGGTAACAGATAAACTAGCTTGATTTAGCCATTCCACAATGAATACATATATCAAAACACTGTATTGTAAACTATAAACATATGTAATTTTTATCTGTCCATTTAAGAAAAACCAAAATACCACTTCAAGTGAACTTTGGAAGTCTTGTTCATATTATTTTAAAGCCCTAGGGATACAAACATTCTTCTACTAGTTTTATAAAAGGAAAGGAAGGGAAAGGGGAAAGAGAATGGAAAGAAAGAAGAAAAAAGAGGGAAGGCAGACAGACAGACCTAAGAGTTAATGATTTATATTCAATCTTAATTAAGCAGATAATTCCTGAGAAAACCTATTCCCATATAAACTGTTTCCATGTTCAGTCTTATACTCAGTACTGAATACTTCCTTTAATAATTCCAACCAAATCCATGAAATAACTGCATATGTATCACAAACATGTTGTGTTTTGTTCAGTGTAGCCCCAGCTCTTAGCACAGAACATAGTCTACAGTAAGTGTTCAATACAAATTTGTTGAAAAATATCAAACTTATAATAGTGATTCTAATGCAGGGGAGAATATGGATCGGGGGTAGGGAGCTTTTTCAAAATATAGATACCTGGAGTTACCTCAAAGCTACTAAATCAACACATAGTCTCTAAGGGTGAGCCTGAGCATAGGTATTTTACAAAAGATCCCCAAGGGATTCTGATACAAACCAGTGGTTTTAAAGCTACTCCTTACACCTAGAGCAGTCAAACACACAGAGACAGAAAGTATTATAGAATGGTGGTTGCCTGGGGTTAGGTGTAGCAGGGAATGGGTACAGAGTTGTTTAAGGGGTATAGAGTTTCAGTTTTGCAAGATGAAGAGTTCTAAGATGAATGGTGATGATGATTTTGCGTGGCAATGTGAATGTACGTAACACTACTTTTTGTTTGTTTGTTTTTTTCTGAGATGGAGTTTTGCTCTTTCTGCCCAGGCTGGAGTTCAATGGTGCAATCTCGGCTCACTGTAACCTCCGCCTCCCGGGTTCAAGCAATTCTCCTGCCTCAGCCTCCCGAGCAGCTGGGATTATAGGCATGTGCCGCCATGCCCAGCTAATTTTGTATTTTTTGGTAGAGACGGGGTTTCTCCATGTTGGCCAGGCTGGTCTTGAACTTCCAACCTCAGGTGATCCGCCTGCCTCAGCCTCCCAAAGTGTTGGGATTACAGGCATGAGCCACTGTGCCTGGCCAACTTAACACTATTAAACTCTACACTTAAAAATGCTTAAGATGGTAAACTTAAAAAAAGAATTGTGGTAAAATACGTAACATAAAGGTACTCCTTTTTAATGGCTTCACAACAATATTTCAACCTTTAGAGAAATCTTCCACTGTCATGAAAACTTAGTTGGAATTATATTAGTTTAATATTTATAAGGTACATGTAAGTCGCATATAATCACATCAAACAGTTTATACCTCCAAAAAGAAGAGGACAGTAAGTACTTGAAAGAGTGAATTAATTTTTCTCACAGTCTGAATTTCATTCCATTCATTTGCTACAAAATATGTTCTCCATATGCTTACAGGAACAGTGGCACTTCGTACACCACCCTCACCTGGTCAGGAAAATAAAATGAGTAAAAGAGTTTTACCTCCTTTGCTCTGCAAGGGTAGCAAAAGAATTTTGGTACAAATATTTTTTATTTCAGTTACCTTCAACAGCTTTAAGAACCTTTCCTTTAGGTCGCTCCCAATCAATAAAGAATACATCTATTGTAATCTGGGATATGAGCTTATGCAAAAATTGTAGTGCCTGAGAATGACATATAATAAAACACCTGAAAAAGTACCAGCGTTAAGTCTGCTTATAAAACCAATATTGACTCTTTAAGAAACATACTGTTATCACAAGAACATATAATTTTATGAGTGAATTCACATGAAGTTATAATACCACTAAGGAATCATTAGAAGCTCATCAGATAACCTGGAATCATCAAATTCACAGAATTTTCATATACATCTTAATTTACCTTCCCTTTTTCTTTCTTTCTTTAAAATAGGAATATGAAAAGAGGAGACATTTTTCCTCCTCCTCACATAGGGACTTATATAATTGACTCTTTCCCAAAGATTCTAGAAGCACACTTTGTTTTGTAGATCAGCTGACTTCTTTATAAGTAAAGATATTTTCAACTATAGTTTGTTTTTCCTAATTAAAGTTTTCGAATGCTCTTACTGTCTTTTTTTTCTATTTCTGCTATTCAGATTTCTGATTTTTAAAGAATGTGCTGTTGAAACACATCTTTCTTATTTATACAAGCAATATGTTTAAACTGAGGCATTCTTTCTAGTTGCTGCATTATTCATCAAATAAAGGATAAAAATCTAAGTATGAGATACTTCACCTCAAGAAGCTCCCAGTCAGTGGAAAAAGCAGACACTTAACACTCACAGTAAAATAGGATAAGGACTACCAACAGGCATATAAAGAGATTCACCTACATTGATGGAGAACACTGAGTTGGGGATTGGGGGGCCATAGGAAGAAAGGAGCAAAGGAATCTGGAGACAGACAAAACAACTTTTAAGATCTCAACACTTTATCCAGAGTGGTACCTTTTACCCTTGATTAATGGAGACAAAATTCATGCCTGAAGACATTTTGTCCCATTGTGAATGTATCATCAGACTTTAAAGAAAGTTATATACTGAAATATCATTTTATCAAATAAGCCATACAAATTCATGGCTTCTTTGAAAAAAATATTTAAGGCAGAGTTTCAGACTGAGCATCTACTATAAATAAAAGTAAATTTACCACATAAAATAATTAATGCTTTCTTTCAAAACCAAAGTGAATTTCACGCCAAAGATTTTTGAAAGCATTTTAATTTTAAAGACTTGTTAGTTCATTAGCAGGCCTTTTAAATTTGGTAACCTGTCCTTTAAAACTTACCTTCAGAGCAAAGGCACATCCAACATAAGTGACAAAACGTTCTTCCTGAATTGGCATTGGCAGCAAAACAGACACAGACTTCTGTGCCTATAATAAAAATTACTTGATTAAATATTATCACACACAGTTTTTTTTGTTTGTTTGTTTGTTTTTTGTTTTCGTTTTTGTTTTTTTTTGGGAAAGGAGGGTCTCAGTATGCTGCCCGGGCAGGACTTGATTCTGGACTCACAGGATCCTCCCACCTAAGTCTTCCAATTGAACAAGGTTTTTACTAAGCACAATTTATAAACCAAAGAAAGCATAAAAGAGGAAGATAGTGATGTAATCGATAAGCTCAGCACACTCAAGGAATGGGGAGTTGGGAACTTTTCTTAATACTGTTGATCAAAAATTCTCTCAAATAAAAATAGTTCCTTTATAAAGAAAGCTTTTCAACTATTCAGATATTGGCAGTTGGGGAAAATTCAGAAACTCACTCACTTTGAAGAAAATAAGCCAGTAAAGACCTGTTCCCACTGTGATGATAAAGAAAACATTGGCCAGATCACCAGCATAGTACACCAAGAATTTCACAACTGTCTGCAATTTAAAAAAAAGAATTACAGCTGTTTAAGACTCCATGTATATACCACTTTTAGTAACACTACCACTTTTATACATCATCCACTCCATTTCTTAAGCCTGAAGCCTTGTTTCACATATCCCCATATGATCCAGCTATAAAGACCACCTGCTTCCTCCTCCTTGCTACCTTTTGGCTCCTTACCTTTCTGGCCGTTCCTGGTAGCCTCTTCTTTCAACTCTTCTCATCTTTCACTATCTAAGAAAATTGAACTGCTTCCTAATTTTCTCTTAGTTGGGAATCCTCCCCTCTAATCTCTCCTCCACACTACCACCAGAGTTAGTTTTCTAAGATGTAAATTGGATTGTGTCACTCCCCTTGTTAAAAATGAACAACTCCTCATTGCAATATAAATTCCTGATCCACAAGGTCTTTCACAATATGGGCCAAAATTAACTTTTTAGCCTCATCTGCCAGTTCCAGCCATGTAGTCAATGACTAACCACTCCATACGTTCATCTCAAATACTTTCTGGAATAAAATGGGCATTGTTTTACCAAATATTCTTCTCTTCCCCTCTCTGGTAAGTTCTCATGATTTCTGAGAGCACAGACTATGTCTGTCTTTGCTCACTAACACATTCTCCAGCTCCTGGTAGAGTGCCAGACACTTAGACAATAGAGCCTCAGTGACTATTATAGAATGAACAGATAATCCCACTTAAAGTTCATTTCTCTGGGAAGCCTTTCTGGACTATCCCAAGTAGTAAATCAAGTACCCCTGCTGATTCCTTAGCCCACTGGCTTTGGAATCAGAAAGATACTTTGGTTAAAGCTACCATGTAACCTTTCTCATGTTCTTCATCAACAAAACGGAAATACCTATTACTGAGTTGCAAAAATCAAGTGAGTAGAAAATTTAACCTTTACCTCAATTTCATCACGTGTAAAACGCAAATAATAATAATAACCTAACTTCAAAGAGCTACTGTGCGGATTCAGAAAATTACATACATAAAGCTTTAAAAAGTGCCTGGTACATGGTAAATATTTTTTAAATGTTTAATAAAAATAAAAGGTTAACCATGAAGTGAAAGTATAAAGTTAATAGAATAAAATGTGGACTATCTTTGTGATCTTGATATAGGGACGGTTTTCCTAAACAAGATCCCAAAAGCACGTATCATAACATGAAAAAAAATATTCAGATATGATGATATCAAAACCAAAAGTTTCTGGCCAGGCGTGGTGGCTCATGCCTGTAATCCCAGCACTTTGGGAGGCTGAGGTGGGCGGATCATGAGGCCAGGAGTTCAAGACCAGCCTGAACAACATGGTGAAACCCCGTCTCTACTAAAAATACAAAAATTAGCCAGGCATGGTGGTGTGCGCCTGTAATTCCAGCTACTCAGGAGGCTGAGGCAGGAGAATTGCTTGAACCCGGGAGGCAGAGGTTGCAAGTGAACCAAGATTGTGCCTCTGCACTCCAGCCTCAGCGACAGAGTGAGACTCCGTCTCAAAAAAACAACAACAAAAAAAAACAAAAATGAAAACAAAAACAAACCTGAAAGTTTCTGTTAAACAAAGGACTACATGGATAAAAATAACGGATGGGTCACATATTTATTTGGTCATATATTTCAACATCAGAAACCAAAAAGGGGTTACTATTTAGAAAATACAAAAAAAAATTCTTCAAATAAACAATAAAAACTGGAAACATAATAGAGAAATGGGCAAGGGATATAAACAGGCAGTTCACAGAAGGAGAAACCCAAACGATTAAAATGTATATGAAGAGTACAGAGAAATGAAAATGAAATCAACAATGACATACTACTATATGCCATGAGGTTGGCAAAAAATGAAAAGGTTGGAAAAATATCAAGTGTTGCCAAGTATGTGCAGAAATAAGAAGAGCATTGCTGGTGGGAATATAGACTGGCATACAGTATGGTGGGAAGAAAATGAGGTACACATATACCATATGACCCAGCAATACTTACCCTAATTACATATCCCAGAAAAATTCAATGCAACTTTTTTACTTATTCTCTAGCTGTGTCTTATGAGAAGGATCCAGAATGGTCAAAAGATAAAAATATTCTTAAAAAACTCCTGAGATTATACCTGTAAATCAATCATGGGACTCCCAATGCGCCTCTTCCATCCTGCTGTCTTCAAAAGAGATGCTAAAACAGCTAGCCCACCCAATACACCCAAAGCAATCTAAAAAACAAAAGAACAATTGAGAATTTATGTAATTTCTGTCATCGGTGTTCAAAAACACTGTGAACAAGTAAGGAAGTGCTCAAAAAAATGGTGGGGTGGGAAATGTTGAAAGGACACAGGAGTCAGCCGGGCACAGTGGCTCACACCTGTAATCCCAGCACTTTGGGAGGCCGAGGCAGGCGGATCATGAGGTCAGGAGATCAAGACCATCCTGGCTAACACGGTGAAACCCGTCTCTACTAAAAATACAAAAAATTAGCTGGGCATGGTGGTGGGTGCCTGTAGTCCCAGCTACTGGGGAGGCTGAGGCAGGAGAATGGCATGAACCTGGGAGCGGAGCTTGCAGTGAGCCACCAAGATCGCGCCACTGCACTCCAGCCTGGGCGACAGAGTGAGACTCCATCTCAAAAAAAAAAAAAAAGAAAGGACACAGGAGTCAAGTTGGAGGAACTTGTAATGGCCAAATCTGGGACAATTTGAACAAGAAAACAAATAATAATATATTATAATTACTAGAATAAAATAAATATGAGTTCACACTGATTTAAAAATAAATAATTGAATAAATAATGTGAGCAAAGGGAGTTTCTCCTTATAGTAAAGTTCCAAATTAATAAATAAAAAAGTAATTAGGGAAACAGAAAATCACCATCAGGCAAATATCACAGTGAAACTTTCTGCAGGCAAAATCATCAATGGATGCTATTTAATAAAATTAGAGGGCCGGGCACCGTGGCTCACGCCTGTAATCCCAGCATTTTGGGAGGCCGAGACGGGCGGATTGCCTGAGGTCAGGAGTTCGAGACCAGTCTGGCCAATATGATGAAACCCTGTCTCTACTAAAAATATTAAAAAATTAGCTGGGCGTGGTGGTGTGTGCCCGTAATCCCAGCTACTAGGGAGGCTGAGGCAGGGGAATTGCTTAAACCAGCTAGGTGAAGGTTGCAGTGGGCCGAGATAGCGCCACTGCACTCCAGACTGGGCGACAGAGTGAGACTCCATTTAAAATAAAATAAAATAAAATTAGAGGGCCGGCTGGGCATGGTGGCTCACCCCTGTATTCCCAGCACTTTGGGAGGCTGAGGCAGGTGGATCACCTGAGGTTGGGAGTTCGAGACCAGCCTGACCAACATGGAGAAACCCCATCTCTACTAAAAATACAAAAATTAGCTGGGTGTGGTGACACATGCCTGTAATCCCAGATATTCAGGAGGCTGAGACAGGAGAATCGCTTGAACCCGGGAGGCAGAGGTTGCGGTGAGCCAAGATCGTGCCATTGCACTCCAGCCTGGGCAACAAGTGCAAAACTCCGTCTCAAAAAAAAAATGAGAGGGGGAGAATAAGAAGAATAAGAAGAAGCAGGATGTTTGCATAATTTCAAAGAATCTCCCCCATGAGATACTTATTTTTATTTATTATTATAGCATCACTTTGGTGGCATCTTTGCCAAAACTATATGAACTCAATTTGATCATGGGAAAATACCAGACAAACCCAAATTGAGGGCCAAAATAATGGACCAGTACTCTTCAGAAGTGTTAGGGTCATGAAAGACAAAGAAAGACTAAGAATCTGTCACACATTGTAAAACACTAACGAGATATGACAGCTAAAAGCAATATGTGACCCTAGATTGGGTCCTGAAACAGAAAAAAATTCAATAGTGAAATTCAAATAGTATGTAGTTTAGTTAATAGGACTACATCAATATTAATTTCCAGATTATGATCATTGTACTAAGGTTTTGTATGCTAACATTAGGGGAGTCTGGGGAAAGAATAGCTGGCAAATTTGTTTTAGCAACTTCTTGCACATCTGAAATCATTTAATTATAAAATACACTGTATATATTTTAAAAGGTTAAAATAAACTTACATCTGTCTGGACATGTGCTTCTCCATGATCCATTTCATATGTGACTGAGAAAGAAACCTGATATTTAAAACAAAACAAATTAGCTATACTGAAATTATATGATACAAACTTATTTTTGTTATAAAAATACATTTGTAGCTGGGTTTTACCATAAACACTATAGTTTTTAACTATCAATATTACTAGAGTTGACCTTTAACTTACACGTAAATAGATATGCTTTTGAGAATTACTTGTGCTGCTTTAAATATCCTTTCACATACATTAAAAAAGGGGCTCATTAGGAGATAAGTTAAATTCATGCACAAACTAATCATATTTCATTTTCTGATAGACTTCTGTAACTGAGGAATTTGACTAAACTTGTGCATCAGGAATTTAGCAATTGGGTAAACCACCAGTTGCTAAACCGCAGATTAATCAAAGGTCTGAACAAAATCTTAAAGATACCACTACATTAAGAGACAAGAGAAAGAAGAACCTAGTAAAGGGTCAGAGAAGAGGACTGTGAGGGGTAGGAGAGGAAGATACCTAAGTCTTACCATGGTCACAGAATAGGGAGTTTCAAGAAGGAGGAGGAGGTTGAGTACAGTGTCAAATGTTGTATAAATGTCAAGGTAAAGAAAGCCACTATATGTGGAAATCATTGCTGACTTTCATGAAAGAGGTTTTCAAAGAAGTAAATGGCAAGAGCCAGACTGCAAATGATGAAAGAATAAATGGTTGGGAAATGAAGAAGAGATATAATAGCAAGCTGGGCAGCTGGCAGAACTGAGTAAAATGTTTGTTTGTTTAGTTGGTTGTTTTAGTTTGTTTTTAAGATAAGGCAATCTCAGAGTTTTTATAAGCAAAGGAAAGGGACTTGCAGAGAGACTTGGCTGAATAAGACATTAGGGATGGAACAGGATATTGGAAAAGGTACTGTAAATGAGTTTAGATAGAAGATTAGTTTAGGAAGAGAGGAAGGGACCTTCTTTCTTAGAAACAGGAACAAGAAATGGGAAGGACAATGAATCAGAGATTCTGAAATATTAAAGAGGAAATCTTAAGGAATTCATATTAGATGGTCCTGATCTGCTCAAGACCAGATAAAGAGCAGAGACATAGCTGGATGTTTACAACTGATGTAAAATTTTGCAACAGCTGCCACGAGAAATTAAGAAATGATGAAAGAATTGTATATTTTATAATTAGAATAATTTGAGGTGGACTTCATCAATGTAGTTTCATGACTTGACTTTTTTTTTTTCTTTTGAGACAGAGTCTCACTCTGGTGTGCAGTGGTGCAATCTTGGTTTACTGCCATCTCTACATCCCAGGTTCAAGCGATTCTCCTGCCTCAGCCTCCCAAGTAGCTGGGATTACAGGTACCTGCCACCATGCCCAGATAATTTTTTTTGTTGTTGTATTTTTAGCAGACAGGGTTTCACCGTGTTGGCCAGGCTGGTCTCTAACTCCTGACCTCAACTGATCTGCCTGCCTCAGCCTCCCATAGTGCTGGGATTGCAGGCATGAGCCACTACGACCAGCGGACTTAACTTTTTTCTATTTGTTATTTTTCAATTTATCAAGGCTTAGTTTAGAATTATTTTGGACAAGAATAATATTTAAAGAAAAAAACTCAGAAGTGTTTTACATTAAAAAAAAAATATATATATATATATATATTTTTTTGAGACAGAGTTTCACTCTTGTTGCCCAGGCTGGAGTGCAATGGCGTGCTCTCGGCTCACTGCAACCTCCGCCTCTTGGGTTCAAGTGATTCTCCTGCCTCAGCTTCCCAAGCAGCTGGGATTACAGGCAAGCGCCACCATGCCTGGCTGATTTTGTATTTTTAGTAGAGACAGGGTTTCACTATGTTGGTCAAGCTGAAAATAAATACATTCTTGATTACCCATAATATCACTCCAGGAAGTTTTAAACCAGGCAGTCTTTTGTTGTTACCAAGCATGTTTTGGATTTTCTTCTCCTCTCATTACAGTGTATACAAGCTCAGTCAACGGAAACTAATTTTAGCATTGGATTAGGTAATACAAATGAGGATGGAAAGTCTTTAAAAGTTATACTACATGTGTATTTTTGCTTAATTAAAGTTTGAATCCAATAGCAGTCAAGTACAAGTAGAAGCACAACAGAGAGGCCAAAAGCACTGGCTGAAGGAACTAGAATATTAAAATACAGAAGTAAAATAGTAGAAATTCAAAGCTCTTACAGAGTTTGGAGGTAAGAAATGCTTATGCTCTACTTCTCATGTTTTTAGAGAAAGAAGAGAATAGCCACTTAATCTCTAGGAGGAAAACGTACAGAAGAATTACCTCTGTTTTTTTTTACCTCTATCCCTCTCTCATTTACCCCTCCTCAAAGCAGGGATGCTTTATCTGACTGGAGAAGTTGAGAAGAGGAACTGAGCATGTGTGGCTCAACCTTCTTTAGGCTCATTCTCTGCAGTGCAGCCTAAGAGGTCTCGCTTCCATACGTAGGCCCTCCCAGGCAGGAGAGGCCTTCTGTCCTGTAGTTAAGTTTAATTTAGTTGGTGAAGTAGTGGGAAACCTATTTGGCTGCAGGTCCAAACTACATCCTCTAGTTCATGTTAGCAATACTAGTTATAAAGCTGATAATCATCATCTCTTTCTGCCTGTTGAAGTATGTCTCTATTAAGTGGGTCATAGATTGGTGAGCACACATATGCCCACTGTAAAGTCTGAGTTCCTGGCTTAATTGGGCAAAGACACAAAATCTTTATTTATTTATTTATTTTGAGATGGAGTCTTGCTCTTTCGCCCAGGCTGGAGTGCAGTGGCGCGATCTCGGCTCACTACACCTTCGCCTCCCAGGTTCAAGTGATCCTCCTGCCTCAGCCTCCTGAGTAGCTGGGATTACAGATGTGCGCCACCACGCCTGGCTAATTTTTGTATTTTCAGTAAAGACGGGGTTTCACCATGGTGGTCAGGCTGGTCTCGAATTCCTGGCTTCATGATCTGCCCGCCTTAGCCTCCCAAAGTACTGGGATTACAGGCATGAGCCACTGTGCGTGACCCACAAAATCTTAACAAAAGCAAGGTGGCCAAAAAGAACAGGAGCAGACATTGAACATCTCAGCATATCCCAGGATCCCTAACAAGGATACTCAACTGCTGGTGAGGCTTCTACTGAAAAACATAATCCATTCTTACTTTTTTATACTCAGGATCCATAAGAACTCACCTCTTACCATTATTAGTAAAGAATAATTAAGACTTGACTATATGTAGAGAAAGGTTTATTTAGAACTTAAAAAAAAAAAAAAGACTGTCTTTTGACCAAAATGTAAACTGAATCAGTATTATACTCTATTTATACATACAAGGGCACTAATAAGTCAGGAACTCACCTTCACAGACTGGCTGTTGGCATCTTTGATATCAATGTCACTGTAGGCAATGGTGATTAAGGGAGGGTAGATGTTTCCATTTATTGTGTTGGGTACAAGGTGGACACTATTTAAAAGAAAATGCATTTATAGTAATCAGTATATCCGGGCCTTTAAACATACATTTAACTTACCATTTCTTTTGAATTTAATATGAATTGTCTGATGATCTCAGAACCAAGTAGTTAACAAGGACTAAGGAAGGTTACACATAAACTAATGATGACAACAAAAGCTATCTTCAGTGATCAAGACTTGAACATTAAAATATACCATCTGATGGTGTAAGATTAAAGAAAAAGCAAACCAAAAATGTACCATCTGAGATAAATTAGAAGCTCAATCCAAGTCCTGTGAAGTTTACAAATGAAATCACTGAAGAACTATAAACTATCTTTGAGGAATAATCAAAAGTACAGTGCTACATGAAGCCTAAAGAAAGGCAGATAAGATCTTGATTTTCAAAAGAGAAAGATGAATTCTTAACAAAATAATATGTGTCAAGCCAGGTGCAGTGGCTCATGCCTGTAATCCCAGCACTTTGGGAGGCCAAGGCGGGAAGACTGTTTGAGCCCAGGAGTTCAAGACCAGTCTGGGCAACATAGCAAGACCCCGTCTCAAGATAAACAAATAAATAAATTTTTAAATTAAAAAAAAAAAAGTGTCAGCTGTAATATGGTTATGGCACAAAGTGAGGTTCATTTTGCCAAATTCGATGCATTAGTACTGCACAGTTTGTGAATTCAAAAAGGAAAGTGCCAATCACTAGGGGCCAGCATGGTTTCATCAAGAACACATCAAGTCTGACTAGGTGCATTTTCATTTTTACTAGGAACACCATATTAGCAGACTGAAGAAATGCTGAAAAGACAGTACATTTGGATTTCAGCATGATAAATAACAAAGTTTCTGCACTGTTTATAAGATTATGAGAATCAAAATGAAATAACTGAAAAATAAGTATATTGAAGTACTTCAAAGTACCAAACTACTGTGAGATGATGGTGTTGATTTTCATCAGTGTATTCAAGGTACACATCATAAAATATTATAGTGGGAAAGTCACTAAGATTTTAGAGATCTCACACTGGAAAAGAAAGAGAAATTTAAGTGGCGAGGTACTATCCTAACGTAGGATCATAATGAGATTATCCTAGGAAGAGGGAGGTGTTGAAAATTAATCTGGGTAAACCTAGAACAAAAGCCACTGAAAGAAATGAGGACAGGGGAGTCCTAAACATTAACAATCATCTGGCAAGCTCTTCCTGAAACACCAATTTCAGCTCACTGGTATTTACTTAGCTATTCGCAACCCATTCTAATTCAGCAGGTCTAGAGTGGGACCTATAATGTGCATTTTGACCTAACTCCTCACACTCTTCTGTTATAGTTTTCCCCCTTGGCTATTCACTTTTACTGGTCTATGCCAATCTACACATACACCTAAAATAACCCGACCAACTGTTCCAATTCAGTTGTCCTTATTGTTTTCATCTACTAATGACTGGCAAACACTTCCATTATGATATTTTCCCATAAATAATATCATTAGACATTTGTTTACCTCAGTGATATTTGAGTAGCAACTCGAATTACTCTTGGCTGAGTTCCTAAGTCATTTTCTCGTCCACTTACTGCATCCACTAAGAAAATGCGCCGAGTTAGAAGCCACTTTCCAGAGTTGCTGTCTTTTATTATAAAAAGAAAAAAGTTTACTGCACAAATTTAAAACATGAAATTATTGTTTTAGATAAGATGGCTGCAAAAAGCTACTAGTATAAGAAACACCTGACAATGGCGTTCTCTAACTCATGTGAATGTCTTCTTTTGTTTTTTTTAGACAGGGTCTCACTCTGTTGACCAGGCTATAGTGCAATAGCATGATCATGGCTCACTGCATGCATTCTCAACCTCCTGGGCTCAAGTGATCCTCCCACCTCAGCCTCCAGAGTAGCTGGGACTACAAGGGTGCACCATCACACCAAGCTAAATTTTTTTTTGTAGCAACCAGTTCTAATTATGTTGCCTAGGTTGGTCTTCAATTTCTAGGCTCAAGCAATTCTCTCGTCTTGGCCTCCCAAAGTGCTGCGATTATAGGCGTGAGCCACCGTGCCTTGGACTTGAATGTCTTCTGATTGAACTTTTCATAAATTTGGAAGGCTTTCCCCTGCAAATTACCTGAAAAAGCAGAATTTTATAACATGAATAACAACAAAAGAAACTAATTTGTCCAAAAAAGCATATTCGGGACAGCTTGACGAAAAAGCCCCAATTTACGGTTCTACTAATGTTTCTCAGGATATACCCTCAGCAACAGTATAATTTCTTAACAATATGTCTGGCAATAAAATTAGCAACAGTTTCTAAGTCCACCAGCAATTTATTGTTTCATTTTTTGGCACACTGTATAGAACCACATAAGAGAGAATTCATGACCTTTCTTATAATCAGTGGTTTATTAAATTATCATGTAGGTTAACTTATTTGTTGATTTCTGCTCAGGGAAAAGAGTGGTATGTATGGATGTCTTACCTTGGTTCACAAATATCTTATTATGTTGAAGATTTAGGTTTAACACAGGCACAGCCAAAATATATTGATGTTGATTTTCATCAGTATATTCAAGGTACACATCATAAAATATAGGAGTGGGAAAGTCAATTAAGATCTTAGAGATAGGAATCTCACACTGAAAAGTAAAATTAAAAATAAAAGCACATAAAACAGCAACTTAAAGTACTAAAAAGTAAAAAATAAAATAAAAGATCACAATTGAAAATTAGCAAGCATATTTATTATCTTCAGAGTGTTTTTCTAGTTTTGCAAAATGTCTTTATACTACCTTGTTTATATGCATTTTCATTTGTCTTCCAAAACATGAATACTATGATTATTTTATAAGGACCAAAACCACTAACAGTAAAGTACTGCTTTGAGAATTTTGAGAACTTCTTGAGCTTCAACTCAGATGAAGGAGGTATACCTTCATTCTCAATATTAAGGGTACATCAGTGAAAAGGTTTAAAACTACTGTCCTACGGGATAAATTCCCAATTTTTTCTCCTGCTGTACAATGATGTATATGATCTGGCTTCCATTAACCAAGCCAGGCTTATCTCTCATTACTCCCTATCAGTCTATGGTGGTCCATTCATACTAATCTACTTGTAGTTTCTAAATATGCCATACTACTGTATGTCTCTCTGTCATTACAAATGTGATTTCTGTCTGATATTTCCTTCCCCACTGTGTTCTTCTGGAAAACTCATATTCATTATACAAATCCAAGTATCACTTACTTTGTGAAGCCTTTCTATACTTCCCCAGGAATCAGTACCTTGTACATACCTATAGAATGACACTTATCACATTCTTTGCAATTCTTTGTCTATATAACTGTTTTGCCCACTAGTCTATGAAGGACTTGAGAGTTAGCCAGGTTCAAAGAAATAAAAATGCTTTTTAAACCTGATGATAGAACATTGGCTCCACAGTTTATGTGACACAAGTCTTTGAGTAAATTACCTAATTACACGGCATAATTTCCTCATCTGTGAAGCACAGATACTATGTATCTCATATAGTTATTTTATGAATCAAATGGGATAATAACGATAAAATGCTGAGCACACAGATAGGCATTACATAAGTGTTGATCTTTCTGGCCTATGTTAGAAGCACAATAACATTTATTTTAACAACAACAGCAACAACAACGTGTAAATCATTTCTGACAAAAGAAGTAAATTCATGTTCATGGTAGAAAATTTGGAAATTATAAAAAAGAAAAAAATAATTTCTAACCCCACTATCCAGAGGTAACCACTGTTAGTAGATTCTTCCAATCTACTTTCCATAATGGTATTTTTTGTTATGGTTTTGTTCTATGGTTGTGCGTGGAACTTTATCAAGATGTACTTTTACAGACTAATGAATTGATATGGTTTGGCTGTGTCCCCACCCAAATCTCATCTTGAACTGTAGTTCCCATAATCCCCATGTGTCATGGGAAGGACCCGGAGGGAGGTAATTGAATCATAGGGGCAGTTACCCTCATGCTGTTCTCATGATAGTGAGTGAGTTCTCATGAGATTGATGGTTTTATGAGGGGCTTCTCCCCCTTTTGCTCAGTACTTCTCTTCCTGTCACCACGTGAAAAAGGACATGTTTGCTTCCCTTCCACCATGATTGTAAGTTTCCTGAGGCCTCCTCAGCCATAGTGAACTGTGAGTCAATTAAACCTATTTCCTTTGTAAATTACCCAGTCTCGGATGTGTTTTTATTAGCAGCGTGAGAACGGACTAATACATGCATGTTTTTCAAGTATTGAATGGCTCATAATATTCCTTAGTAAAATAATGTAATTTCAAAATAGGTATCAAAGTAAGGAAAGTCAGAGAAGGAAGGAGAAAGAAAAGAATGGAAGAAGATGAAGGAATTATTTTTATTTGTTATGAGCGGGTAGAAGAAGGGAGTAACTTTTTATTAGTCATTTAAAAAAAGTAGTATTTTTACTTTATTTCAAAATGCTCAGAAGTAAGCATTACTTTTTAAGACCTATAAGCCTAGAAGCAGATAAACAATTTATTATGAAGATGTAATATTATATGATGTTTAAGACTCTAGGCCGGACGAGGTGGCTCACACCTGTAATCCCAGCACTTTGGGAGGCCAAGGCTGGTGGATCAGTTGAGGTCAGGAGTTTGAGACAAGCGTGGTCAACACAGCAAAACCCCATCTCTATGCAAAACACAAGAATTAGCTGGGTGTGGTGGTACATGCCTGTTGTCCCAGCTACTCAGGTGGTTGAGGCACGAGAATTGCTTGAACCCAGGAGGCAAGAGATTGCAGTGAGCTGAGATTGCACCACTGCACTCCAGCCTGGGCAACAGAGCGAGACTCTGTCTCAAAAAACAAAAAACTCTATAGATAACAAGGTGCTCTGTTTATGCCACTTAAATTAAGCTTTTATGTACCCAGGTAATAAAAAATTATATTAAATAGTGAAATTATTCTTCACTATTAAAAACATTTCCGGCCAGGCACGGTGGCTCATGCCTGTAATCTCAGCACTTCGGGAGGCTGAGGAGGGCAGATCATCTGAGGTGGGGAGTTCAAGATCAGCCTGATCAACATGGAGAAACCCTGTCTTTACTAAAAATACAAAAAATTAGCTGGGCGTGGTGGCACATGTCTGTAATTCCAGCTACTCGGGAGGCTGAGGCAGGAGAATCACTTGAACCTGGGAGGCGGAGGTTGTGGTGAACTGAGATTGCACCACTGCACTCCAGCCTGGGCAACAAGAGCAAAACTCCATCTCAAAAAAAAAAAAAAAAAAACCAAGAATAAAAAATTTCCAATCTCAAAAATTTAAGTATTATTCCAATTACTGCTGACATGATATTTTGAAAAATAAAGCTAAAATATAGACTAATATCGTTCAAACTTACATTTTGTTGGTAGGTTGTTCCAAATGAATAAGCAGCATTTAGCCTTGTCTCTGTGTCTGGACAAAGCTGCAGCAAAATAATACAACAGATAAATCTCACAAATGTTTTCTATTCTTATACTCAAGAGTTCTCAAACCCGAACATGGATATATGCTCTACATAATACTTATTTAATGTATCAAGGATATGAAAAGTTAAGGGAACATCTGTTATAAATGAAAGTCATAACTTTAAAGAAATAAAACTTAGCCAGGCATGGTGGCTCATGCCTGCAATCCCAGCGCTTTGGGAGGCCAAGAAGGGCGGATCACGAGGTCAGGAGATCAAGACCATCCTGGCTAACATGGTGAAATCCCGTCTCTACTAAAAGTACATAAAAATTAGCTGGACGTGGTGGCAGTCGCCTGTAGTTCCAGCTCCCAGCTGAAGCAGGAGAATGGCGTGAACCCGCAAGGCGGAGCTTGTAGTGAGCTGAGATCGCGCCACTGCACTCCAGCCTGGTTAAGAAAGCGAGACTCCATCTCAAAAAAAAAAGAAAAAACAAACAAACAAACAAACAAACAAAAAACTTAAGAAAGTCTAATTTAAAGCATCAGAAAAAAAATCAACTGTAGTATGTAACTGATGCTTTATTCATACAATAATCTTTTCCTCTTGGCTTTGTCTCAGGCAAAAATAATGCATGTTATTAATTCTTTAACTAGAATCATGCTTACCTGTAAAACACCTCCTTCTAAAGTTTGCCACTTGAGAAAATTTCCTCTTATATCATAGGAAGCAGCAACAAACTTCAGTTTTGTATTCTGATTAAAGAAAACGAGCAAAATCAGGTCAAATACTCTGAAAGTAATACAATATCCTATAAAGAAATTTTCATTGTTGACTGATCTTTTTTGTTGAAAAATTACATTCAATTATCTTTATTTTGAGGTTCAATTAATCTATTTCTATGACTAAATAGACCTGAAAGAATTAGACTGGTTTTTTGCATGAAAATTATTATTCTAGAATTGAGAGGCAGCACTAGTGACAGATAGCCTCCTTTTGAACCTGTTAAATAGGAGGCAGTGTGGGAGAATAGTATCTCCTCATTCTGGAAGGTCAAAAAGTTACAGGTAGGAATTTGGCCCTGTGAAGTGCTGAGCAATGTCACAGAGCCCCAATCAATCTTTGGAAGCACTTCTTTAAGGTGTGGAAAAAACAGGACAGAGATTTTTTGCATTTGGTGATGAAAACTGCTCTTCCCAACCCTACAAGTACAACTTCTTGCCATAACCACACAATCCAGAAGTATCCACATATTCAGTAAGATAGCTAAACTCTATACTATTTAGTTCTTATGAGTTGTTGACATTTATATTTAGTTTAGTAACTGAGTTTGTACCAACAACCTAAAAAGGCAAGAATTGTAACTTTATTACCTTTTAAAATTATAAATCAAAATGTAGTTATCCTCTAATGATATTAGACACTTTTACCTGGTTTTCTCCTTTAAAACTGAAATTTGTAGGAAGAGAGGTAGAACTGAGCACTTGAGGTGCTAATCCTAACTGGTCTCCATAAAACAGCCAAGGAAGATTCTGTCTCCTATAAACAGTTACAACTGTTTTAATAATGGAGAATAAATATTTCTTATTATTAGTATTTGTGAATATATTAATAACTGCACTGAATTCAGTCAAAATAACATTTCATCAATCAAAATATCCTTACCAAAATGAAATAGAATGAACAGTGCTCAGTCCAGCAGTATTTTCAAAGATAAACTGAAATAGTCCACATGCATCAAATGTGGCAAAGTCGTAAGAATTCATGTTCATCACACACATATTTCCAAGAGCTTGACAAGATGTTAGATTGGCATATACCTACAACAGAACAATGGCAAAGAAAAGTAACATGAACCTGAACAGTCTATGCAAAAGTTGATATAAAAATTTTACTTTGTGCAGGTCTGTTCCAAGATGGCCGAGTAGGAACAGCTCCGGTCTGCAGCTCCCAGCATAATCAACGCAGAAGGCAGGTGATTTCTGCATTTCCAACTGAGATACCTGGTTCATCTCATTGGGACTGGTTGGACAGTGGGTGCAGCCCATGGAGGGCAAGCTGAAGCAGGGTGGGGCATCACCTCACCCAGGAAGCGCAAGGGGTTGGGGGATTTCCCTTTCCTAGCCAAGGGAAGCCGTGACAGACTGTACCTGGAAAAATGGGACACCTCCACCTAAACACTGCGCTTTTCCAATGGTCTTAGCAAACGGCACACCAGATTACATCCCACGCCTGGCTCGGTGGGTCCCACGCCTACAGAGCCTTGCTCACTGCTAGCACAGCTGAGATCAACCTGCCAGGCAGCAGGCTGGCAGGGGGAGGGGTGTCTGCCATTGCTGAGGCTTGAGTAGGAAAACAAAGCAGCCGGGGAAGCTCCAACTGGGTGGAGCCCACCGCAGTTCAGCAAGGCCTGCTGCCTCTGTTGACTCCACCTCTGGCAGCAGGGCATAGCTGAACAAAAGGCACCAGAAACTTCTGCAGAGTTAAACATCCCTGTCTGACAGCTCTGAAGAGAGCAGTGGTTCTCCCAGCACAGCGTTTGAGCTCAGAGAATGGATAGACTGCCTCCTCAAGTGGATCCCTGACCCTGTGTAGCCTAACTGGGAGACACCTCCCAGTAGGGGCCGACAGACACCTCATACAGGTGGGCGCCCCTCTGGGACGAAGCTTCCAGAGGAAGGATCAGGCAGCAATATTTGCTGTTCTACAACCTCCGCTGGTAATATCCAGGAAAACAGCGTCTGGAGTGGACCTCTAGCAAACTCCAACAGACCTGCAGCTGAGGGACCTGTTAGAAGGAAAACTAACAAATAGAAAGGAATAGCATCAACATCAACAAAAAGGACATCCACATCAAAACCCCATCCACATCAAAACCCCATCTGTAGGTCACCAACATCAAAGACCAAAGGTAGGTAAAACCATAAAGATGGGGAGAAACCAGAGCAGAAAAGCTGAAAATTCTAAAAACCAGAGTGCCTCCTCTCTTCCAAAGGAATGCAGCTCCTCACCAGCAACAGAACAAAGCTGGATGGAGAATGACTTTGACAAACTGACAGAAGTACGCTTCAGAAGGTCGGTAATAACAAACTTCTCTGAGCTAAAGGAGGATGTTCGAACCCGTCGGAAGGAAGCTAAAAACCTTGAAAAAAGATTAGACAAATGGCTAACTAGAATAAACAGTGTAGAGAAGACCTTAAATGACCTGATGGAGCTAAAAGACATGGCACAAGAACTATGTGATGCATGCACAAGCTTCAGTAGCCGATTTGGTCAAGTGGAAGAAAGGGTATCAGTAATTGAAGATCAAATTAATGAAATAAAGCGAGACGACAAGGTTAGAGAAAAAAGACTAAAAAGAAATGAGCAAAGCCTCCAAGAAATATGGGACTATGTGAAAAGACCAAATCTATGTTTGATTGGTGTACCTGAAAGTGATGGGGAAAATGGAACCAAGTTGGAAGACACTCTTCAGGATATTATCCAGGAGAACTTCCCCAACCTAGCAAGGCAGGCCAACATTCAAATTCAGGAAATACAGAGAACAAAACAAAGATACTCCTTGAGAAGAGGAACCCCAAGACACATAATTGTCAGATTCACCAAGGTTAAACTGAAGGAAAAAATATTCAGGGCAGCCAGAGAGAAAGGTTGGGTTACCCACAAAGGGAAGCCCATCAGACTAACAGCAGATTTCTTGGCAGGAACTCTACAGCCAGAAGAGAGTGGGGGCCAATATTCAACATTCTTAAAGAAAAGAATTTTCAAGCCAGAATTTCATATCCAGCCAAACTAAGCTTCATAAGTGAAGGAGAAATAAAATCCTTTACAGACAAGCAAAGGTTGAGAGATTTTGACACCACCAGGCCTGCCTTACATAAGCTCCTGAAGGAAGCACTAAACATGGGAAGGAACAACCAGTACCAGCCACTGCAAAAACATGCCAAATTGTAAAGATCATCAATGCTAGGAAGAAACTGCATCAACTAATGGGCAAAATGACCAGCTAACATCATAATGACAGGATCAAATTCACACATACCAATATTACACCTTAAACGTAAATGGGCTAAATGCTCCAATTAAAAGACACAGACTGGCAAATTGGATAAAGAGTAAAGACCCATCAATGTGCTGTATTCAGGAGACCCATCTCACGTGCAAAGACACACATAGGCTCAAAATAAAGGGATGGAGGAAGATATACCAAGCAAATGGAAAGCAAAAGAAAGCAGGCATTGCAATCCTAGTCTCTGATAAAATAGACTTTAAACCAACAAAGATCAAAAGAGACAAAGAAGGGCATTACATAATGGTAAAGGGATCAATTCAACAAGAAGAGCTAACTATCCTAAATATATATGCACCCAATACAGGAGCACCCAGATTCATAAAGCAAGTCCTTAGAGACCTACAAAGAGACTTAGACTCCCACACAATAATAATGGGAGACTTTAACACCCCACTGTCACTATTAGGCAGATCAACAAGACAGAAGGTTAACAAGAATATCCAGGACTTGAACTCAGCTCTGCACCAAATGGACCTAATAGACACCTACAGAACTCTCCACCCCAAATCAACAGAATATACATTCTTCTCAGCACCACCTCGCACTTATTCCCAAATTGACCACATACTTGGAAATAAAGCACTCCTCAGCAAATGTAAAAGAACAGAAATGACAACAAACTGTCTCTCAGACCACAGTGCAATCAAATTAGAACTCAGGGTTAAGAAACTCACTCAAAACCACACAACGACATGGAAACTGAACAACTTGCTCCTGAATGACTACTGGGTAAATAATGAAATGAAGGCAGAAATAAAGATGTTCTTTGAAATCAATGAGAACAAAGATACAATGTACCAGAATCTCTGGGACACATTTAAAGCAGTGTATAGAGGGAAATTTACAGCACTAAATGCCCACATAAGAAAGCAGGAAAGATCTAAAATCGACACTGTTAACACCACAGTTAAAAGAAGTAAAGAAGCAAGAGCAAACAAATTCAAAAGAGAGCAGAAGGCAGGAAATAACTAAGACCAGAGGAGAACTGAAAGAGATAGAGACACAAAAAACCCTTCAAAAAATCAAGGAATCCAGGAGCTGGTTTTTTGAAAGGATCAACAAAATTGATAGACCGCTAGCGAGACTAATAAAGAGGAAAAGAGAGAAGAATCAAATAGACGCAATAAAAAATGATAAAGGCGATATCACCACCGATCCCACAGAAATACAAACTACTATCAGAGAATACTATAAACACCTCTATACAAATAAACTAGAAAATCGAGAAGAAATGGATAAATTCCTCGACACATACACCCTCCCAAGACTAAACCAGGAAGAAGTTGAATCTCTGAATAGACCAACAACAGCATCTGAAATTGAGGCAATAATCAATAGCCTACCAACCAAAAAAAGTCCAGGACCAGATGGATTCACAGCCGAATTCTACCAGAGGTATAAGAGGAGCTGGTATCATTCCTTCTGAAACTATTTCAATCAATAGAAAAAGAGGGAATCCTCCCTAACTCATTTTATGAGGCCAGCATCATCCTGATACCAAAGCCTGGCAGAGATACAACAAAAAAAGAGAATTTTAGACCAATATCCCTGATGAACATCGATGCAAAAATCCTCAATAAAATACTGGCAAACCAAATCCAGCAACACATCAAAAAGCTTATCCAACACGATCAAGCTGACTTCATCCCTGGGATGCTAGGCTGGTTCAACACATGCAAATCAATAAACGTAATCCACCACATAAACAGAACCAATGACAAAAACCACATAATTACCTCAACAGATGCAAAACAGACCTTCGATAAAATTCAACAGCCCTTCATGCTAAAAACTCTCAATAAACTAGGTATTGATGGAACATATCTCAAAATAATAAGAGCTATTTATGACGAACCTACAGCCAATATCATACTGAATGGGCAAAAACTGGAAGCATTCCCTTTGAAAACTGGCACAAGACAGGGATGCCCTCTCTCACCACTCCTATTCAACATAGTGTTGGAAGTTCTGGCCAGGGCAATCAGGCAAGAGAAAGAAATAAAGGGTATTCAATTAGGAAAAGAAGAAGTGAAATTGTCCCTGTTTGCAGAAGACATGATTGCATATTTAGAAAACCCCATTGTCTCAGCCCCAAATCTCCTTAAGCTGATAAGCAACTTCAGCAGTCTTAGGATACAAAATCAATGTGCAAAAATCACAAGCATTCCTGTACACCAATAACAGACAAAAAGAGAGCCAAATCATGAGTGAACTCCCATTCACAATTCCTACAAAGAGAATAAAATACCTAGGAATCCAACTTACAAGGGATGTGAAGGACCTCTTCAAGGAGAATTACAAACCACTGCTCAATGAAATAAAGGAGGACACAAACAAATGGAAGTACACTCCATGCTCATGGATAGGAAGAATCAATATCGTGAAAATGGCCCTACTGCCTCAGGTAACTTATAGATTCAATGCCATCCCCATCAAGCTACCAATGACTTTCTTCACAGAATTGGAAAAAACTACTGTAAAGTTCCTGTGGAACCAAAAAAGAGCCTGCATTGCCAAGACAATCCTACACAAAAAGAACAAAGCTGGAGGCATCATGCTACCTGACTTTAAACTGTATTACAAGGCTACAGTAACCAAAACAGCATGGTTCTGGTACCAAAACAGATACATAGACCAATGGAACAGAACAGAGGCCTCAGAAATAATACCACACATCTACAACCATCTGATCCTTGACAAACCTGACAAAAACAAGAAATGGGGAAAGGATTCCCTATTTAATAAATGGTGCTGGGAAAACTGGCTAGCCATATGTAGAAAGCTGAAACTGGACACCTTCCTTACACCTTATACAAAAATTAATTCAAGATGGTTTAAAGACTTAAATGCTAGACCTAAAACCATAAAAACCCTAGAAGAAAACCTAGGCAATACCATTCAGGACATAGGCACGGGCAAGGACTTCATGACTAAAACACCAAAAGCAATGGCAACAAAAGCCAAAATAGACAAATTGGATCTAATTAAACTAAAGAGCTTCTGCACAGCAAAAGAAACTGTCATCAGAGTGAACACACAACCTACACAATGGGA
This sequence comes from Homo sapiens, assembly GCF_000001405.40. Classification (NCBI taxonomy): domain Eukaryota; kingdom Metazoa; phylum Chordata; class Mammalia; order Primates; family Hominidae; genus Homo; species Homo sapiens. Next base: position 93,775,286 of record NC_000008.11, on the reverse strand, counting down.
GAAATTTTTTGCAATAACCCATCTGACAAAGGGCTAATATCCAGAATCTACAAAGAACTTAAACAAATTTACAAGAAAAAAACAACCCCATCAAAAAGTGGGCAAAGGATATGAACAGACACTTCTCAACAGAAGACATTTATGCAGCCAACAGACACATGAAAAAATGCTCGTCATCACTGGTCATCAGAGAAATGTAAATCAAAACCACAAAGAGATAGCATCTCACACCAGTTAAAATGGTGATCATTAAAAAGTTAGGAAACAACAGATGCTGGAGAGGACATGGAGAAATAGGAATGCTTTTACACTGATGGGAGTGTAAACTAGTTCAACCATTGTGGAAGACAGTGTGGCAATTCCTCAAGGATCTAGAACTAGAAATACCATTTGACCCAGCAATCCCATTACTGGGTATATACCCAAAGGATTATAAATCATGCTACTATAAAGACACATGCACATGTATGTTTATTGCGGCACTATTCACAATAGCAAAGACTTGGAACCAACCCAAATGTCCATCAATGATAGACTGGATTAAGAAAATGTGGCATATTATACACCATGGAATACTAAGCAGCCATAAAAAAGGATGAGTTCATGTCCTTTGCAGGGACATGGATGAAGCTGGAAACCATCATTCTGAGTAAACTATCACAAGGACAGAAAACTAAACACTCTGTGTTCTCTCTCATAGGTGGGAATTCAACGAGAACACTTGGACACAGGGCGGGGAACATCACACACTGGGGCCTGTCTTTGGGTGGGGGACTGGGCGAGGGATAGCATTAGGATAAATACCTAATGTAAATGACGAGTTAATGGGTGCAGCACAGCAACATGGCACATGTATACCTATGTAACAAACCTGCATGTTGTGCACATGTACCCTAGAACTTAAAGTATAATACAAAAAAGAAATAAATAAAAAGAGAAAAAGTTTATTTTGTTTTCATTTTGCCTATTCTAAGCCGGGCATGGTGGCTCACGCCTGTAATCCCAGCACTTTGCGAGGTCAAGGCAGGCAGATCACTTGAGGTCAGGAGTTTGAGAGCAGCCTGTCCTATGTGGTGAAACCCTGTCTCTACTAAAAATAGAAAAATTAGCTGAGTGTGGTGGCATGCCCCTGTAGTCCTAGCTACCCAGGAGGCTGAGGCAGGAGGATCTCTTGAGCCCAGGAGGCGGAGGTTGCAGTGAGTCGAGATTGTGCACTCCAGCCTGTGCAACAGGGTGAGGCTCCGTCTCAAAAAAAAAAAAATTTTTTTTAACCTATTTTACTAATAATTTTTTTTATTATTCTTTTGCTTGTTAAAACCTTCCCTCTAGCTTAAGGAGAAAATAAACTTTCCACTTGGGAAGAGAAATAACACAAACATTTTAATTGTAAATTTTAGGTTAAAATATAAAGACAAGAAACTGAAAGAAGAACTAAGGAAAAACTCATAGCATGACATTAAAAAACCTACTAGACTATTTTTGAAAGAACAATAATTTGTATGTTAGATCTTACACATAAAATCTAATCCATTTTGTTTAAGTAATCTGCTTTATAAACAACAAAATGAGATCATTTGTTGAGTTTGCCTGTCAACCATCTTTCTCAGTTTTCCCTATTAGGAAAAGGCAATTCCATTTTTACAGTTATTCATGTGAAAAACTTTGAACTTTTTTTCTCTCTTGCCCCTTATCCAGCTCATGAGTAAATTCTGTCAGCTAAATCTTCAAAGCATAGCTGAAGGTAAATGCTTCTCTCATTTCTGCAGGACCACCCTTGTGCAATGGTCCACTATCTCTCACTCAGATTACTGTAATACTCTCCTAAATGGTCCCTTACCCCAACAAATTCTATTCTCCATGCTACAATGATCCTTTCAAGAACTGAAGTTCTATCATGTCTTCCTTTGCATGAAATCCTCCTATCTCCCTTAAAATAAGCTCCAGGGCCTTGCCATAGCCACTCCCTACATCCCTGACCTCATCTCCACTCCACTTTCCCTGCTCACTCTGCTCCAGCCACTCCAGCCTCCTCCTTCTCTCTTAAGCATGAATAAGCCAGTAAACTGCTTTGAGATCTTTGCTCCTGCTATGGTTTCTGCTTAGAACACTCTTCTCCTTGATGTTTACATGGCTCACTCTCACTTTTTTCAGTTCTTTGCTCAACTATAACCCTCTCAGAGATGTCTGTCCTGATCACTATATAAAATAGCACCCCCCACCCCATCTATGTACTTTACTCTTAACTATTTGCCTTCATAGCACTTAGCACAACCTGACATTTACTTAGGCTGTAACTCCATGAAGGACTGTTTTTTTCTTTTTCTGAAATATCTAACCTGATTTAAGAATTGGGCCCGGCACACAGTAGGTCATCAATAAACATTTACTAAGTGACAGTCAGTTTCCCCTAACACTCCGTTTCAGCTAAAAAAGCTTGGAGACATTCAATTTGTGTATACTAAATAACATCTTCTTCATGTATTCTCTTTCAGCCCACAAGAAAGAGTTTATTCTTCTTATAAGATTATGACCAAGAAGCTATAGCTACTTAGAAATAAAACTTTTATTATCTGGGTAAATAAATGGTATAATTCTTCAAAATAAAATGAAATTTATTTAAAAAATTCAAACTTACCCAACATGCAGCTGCTGATGATTGCAAATACTTTGCAAACCATTCTGAAGTTAAAGACATGCCCTGTAAACAAAAAGATACATTTTATTTTTAAGTTCAAATGACTCCAATATGCATATTGTTGAATGGGAAATGTCTCACATTACTTTCACAATGTTAGTAGAAAAACAGTTACTAATAGGAATACAAGAATTGATTTTAACCAATGTCAGTTATTATAAATAGGACCGCATTACAAAATAATCACACTTAGGCAAAAGATATAACGAGACAAAATGTGTCTGTAATCAAAAAATACTACATGCCTATTTCACTAACATAAAAAATAAAGTGGCAAACAAAAGAAAAAATAACAGATCCTGACTTAGTATTGAGTGGTTAATATTTACTGGTTTATAATTATTATAAATACTGTACCAAATTGGCAAGCAATAAAAAAAATTGGGGGGAAATAATTTCAAATCTCCAAAGTGGTGGTTCTCAAACAATGGTGGACATCACAATCACCTGCAGAACTTTCTAAAAACAAAAAATGCCTGGCTTCATCCCAAACAAAAACGAATCAGTATCTCCAGATGAGACCAAGGCAATTACATCGGTTTTGAAGGCTACAGATAACAAACCTCTGGCTAAAAAACATTACTTTAAAGCTTATCTGTACATCTTGCTAAAATATGAGAAACTAAGAAGCACCATTCAGAGAAAATCGTCTGGGCACACACGTAAGTGATATAACTAAATTATATGAACATGGCACCACAGTGATCAGAGAAATCTATAATAAAACTATGAGGTACTATTTGTGTATATTTAATAAGCAAAAATTATTTTGTAAGAAAAAATATGCATAGAAGGCTGAGGAACACATGCACACAAACTGGTAAAAAATGAAATGCAACACAACAGTACTGACAAATGCATGTAAAATGGAGCCACATACAATGCCACTGATAGTGTGAAAGTTACATGATACTTTTATAAAGCAATATCCATATACTCTAACCCAGAAATTTAGGAACACTTAGGAAATTTATCTTAAAGCAATAATCCCTCTAAATGGGAAAACATATTTATGGTTGACAGCAATATAGTTAATAACTGAAAACCTAAATATTCTCTGGAGATACCATTATACAAATTTTAGTGCATAAGCCAGAATATTATGGAACTATTAAAAATATAATTATACAAGGTGAGTCTGGAACATGGTATAGAGAAACCAAAGAAATCCCTAAAGTCTAAAGTCACGTCAAAACAACACAGGAGCTATGCTGAAAGGAAGTTCAAATTTGGTACAACTTGAACTTCGAAAAGAAGAATAAAAAAAGTTAACAGATTATAACACAATGAGTAAACAAAGATTCTACAGTTCATAATAAAGCTTTTTTTTAAAAAAAAAAAAGCACAGAGAAAAAGTAAAGTGCTTCTACAGAAAATTGCTAGCTAATAAATCTAGAGGGAATAATAGAATTGTTATTAGAAGTGACCAGTTTAGTAACTGATACAGGCAAGATTCATTAATTGCTAAAATGGATATTTACATAGTCTCAGACTAACGTATTAATCACAGTACCTTTACAATGGAGAGAAGTGGCAGACACAACTATGACCAAGAAATCAATATTTTTTTTTTTTTTTGAGACGGAATTTCGCTTGTTGCCCAGGATGGAGTGCAATGGCGCGATCTTGGCTCACTGCAACCTCTGTCTCCTGGGTTCAAGCGATTCTCCTGCCTCAGCCTCCTGAGTAGCTGGGGTTACAGGAGCCTGCCGCCACGCCCAGCTAATTTTTGTATTTTCAGTAGAGATGGGGTTTCACCATGTTGGCCAGGCTGGTCTTGAACTTCTGACCTCAGGTGATCTACATGCCTCAGCCTCCCAAAGTGCTGGGATTAAAGGAGTGAGCCACCGCGTCCAGCCTAGCAATCAAATTTACTATCACCAATAACTGGACAACCTGACAGACATTACATACCTCTTGTTGTGATGCAATGAGCTGTATACAACATCTATATAATATCTTGCGAAAATATGTTTCACTGAGTCTAATCATGAGAAAACAATCAGAAAAATACAGAGGGGAAAAACCACAAAAGCAAAGTGAAGCAGGGATATGTTCTAGATTAAAGGACACTAGAAAGACTAACTGCAGTGTGAGATCCTTGATTGGATCCTAGGTATCCCTTCCCCCAAAAAAGGAAGGGAGAATAAAGAACATTTTTGAACAACTGGGAAAATTTGGGTATGAATGGATATCAGTTAATTCTATTATGTTAATTTTAAATTCCTTGGGTGTGATTCTAGGAAAATGCCTTATTCTTTGGAGATCCACCCTAAAGTATTTGGAGTGCAATGTCATTATGTCTACAACTTATTTTCAAATGGCTCAGGGGGAAAAAAACATTGTGTTTGCGTATATATTTACATATATACAGAGAGATAAAGCAAATGTGGCAAAACATTAATAATTCTTTAAACCAGGTGAAAGACATAGGCATAGTCATTGTCTAATTCTTTCAGCTTTTCTGCAATTTTGAAATTTTTCAAAATAAAAGTTGGGAAAACCAAAAACCATGAAGCTATTTCACTATTAATGTATTTGAGGGAAAGGGAATGGGGAGACACTAACTCATGTATGTGAAAATTTTTTTCTGATTGGCAAGTATATTCCAAGAGTAGGATGAGTAGGATTGGATGCCTTGTTATAAAATTATACAAACAAAATTATGTACCAATTTTGTTCTCTAAGAAAACTTCCAACCTTAACGTTCAAAGTAGACTTTTCCAATTAGGAAGAATGTATGTTATGGAGTCAATACAAATATTTCAGTCTAATTGGCAATTACAGTCTCAACATAAACTAATAAACATGTATTCTGGTTTATCAATTAATCTAATCTCGTCTAAGTTTAATTACTTTAAACAAGCCCTTAGAATCTGACTGACTTACAAGTACATGGATAAAACTGAGTTCTTATTCTTGCAAACTGAGACTAGGCAAGGGTAGTCAAACCATCTTAACTAGATTTTGCTTACACGTTTTATACACTGGCTACACGGAACCAGTCTGAAAAGCAGTTGCAACATGACTTTAAATCAGGAATTCCAAATCTGTCCTTAGGAAAGAATCAGTGTTCAGAACTGGTATGTTTAGCACACAATTGCTGTGGTGATGTCATGCTCTCCCTGGCCAGGTCTGAGCCGCGACAGATGAGGGACAGACATTCATGGCAAATGGAACCGCTCTTCTCATTCCTATGGGCCCCTCGCCTCTCCTCCCTGCCCTTGGGCAGTATGTGGGATGCAGGGATATGGAATCCGGCTGACCTCGCTTCCTCCACCCTCTGCCTCATGGCATCGGCAGGACTGGGGGGTCCTCTGAGGCAGCAGGTACCCCTTGCTCGCCTCCTATGGCCGTTGCCTTGCAGGCAGCCCTTCTTCAAGGTGGTGGGAGCTGCCCCACGAGCCCATCAGGCTGCCCTTCCCTGCCCGCGCCAGTGTTGGTTCTGCTAGACCTTTGCAGTGCTCCTGGAGTGTTCCAGGTTGTCCCTCAGGTGCCCCAGGCTGGGCAGTGGTGTCGTTCCTGTTCCCAGTGCCCCATCCTCTGGTCACGGTTGCAGTGTCTGCGTGTGGGACCAGGAAAGTTTTGGGAAGGGTCGAGGTGGTTTTGTTTTTTTTTTAATTTAGTTTTATTATTTTTAATTTTAAAAAAATCTGGTATGTTTAAATGAAATACATTAACTGAATCAGAACATTAAGGATGGAACAGTTCCTCCCTACCCACCTATCAAAGAAGTCTATAATGGGTCAACTGCATGGTGCTAGCAGAGGAGGGAGAATGTGGAGGTGGAATAGAAAGTGAGGGGGTTGGAAGATTGGTCACATTGAGCATATAAATAAATTGAGGATAATGAACCCCAGATTCCTCACCCCTGGAGAAGATACTTAAAACTTATCAAAGGGAAAGGTTAGAAAGAACCCTGAAGTATTGCTTAAGAATTAAAGGGATCAGTATGAGCTATTTTATTTTATTTTATTTTTTTGAGACAGAGTCTTGTTCTGTTGCCCAGGCTGGAGTGCAGTGGCGCGATCTTGGCTCACTGCAACCTCCACCTACCAGGTTCGAGTGATTCTCCCGTCTTAGCCTCTTGAGAAGCTGGGTTACAGAGGGCACCACCACACCCAGACAATTTTTGTATTTTTAGTGGAGATGAGGTTTTACCATATTGGCCAGACTGGTCTCAAACTCCTGACCTCAAGTGATCCACCTGCCTCGGCCTCCCAAAGTGCTGTGATTACAGGTGTGAGCCACCACGCCCAGCCCTTTTAATATATATACACAGACACAGAAATAGTCATAGATGTGTGTGTGTATGTATGTATGTGTATATTTCCTAGCTACGTTTGGTGAGAGGACATACTAAGTGTGTTAATCTTGGTTTCTAAATATTTATCCTACAAAACTGATTAAAGAAATGGCTGACTCCAGTCGGGTGTGGTGGCTCATGCCTGTAATCCCAGCACTTTGGGAGGCTTAGGCGGGTAGATCATTTGAGGTGGGGAGTTCGAGACCAGCCTGACCAATATGGAGAAACTCTGTCTCTACTAAAAATACAAAAATTAGCCAGGTGTGGTGGTGCATGCCTGTAATCCCAGCTACTTGGGAGGCGGAGGCAGGGAAACCACTTGAACCCGGGAGGTGGAGGTTGCGGTGAGCTAAGATTGCGCCATTGCACTCCAGCCTGGGCAACAAGAGTGAAACTCCGTCTCAAAAAAAAAAAAAAAAAAAGAAAAAAGAAATGGCTGATTCCAGGGCTGAGGCAGGAAAATTACAAGATTAGCCTAGATTAGCCTAGAAATCTTGTTGTACCATAAAGTAAGCAAATGTTCAAAGAATGATGGGGACATGTCAAAAAAAAAAAAAAAATCACGCAGAAGCCAACTTGAAGGGACTTTTATTGGCCAGATATAGGACAATTTGAGCATCAAAACAAATAATGAGTATGCTGGATTATAACTAACTGAATAAATTAGGAACCCACAAATCCACATGGACATTAATTTTAAAAAATAAGTGTATGAATGGGGAAGAAGAGATAGTTCTTCCTTACAATAGAATGTCAATTAATAAATATGGAAGTAATCAAATGTGGATGGAAATCCAAAATTAACCTTTGGCAACCATCACAGTAGTGGTTCAACAATGGAGACTAATGCTAGTGAGTTAAGGGTTAGTGAGGAAGTGTAATCTCAGAAATACTCCTCACAAAATACTAATCAATTACAAATGGAAAATGGTAACTTTATGGTAGTCATGGTGACTTTAAAGCAGGTGATCAAGGTTAACAGCATCAGTGGTGGCACAGGTAGACACTGTGTGCCCCTGGATGTGATGCAGTCCACTGAAAAGAACATGACATCTTTTTTGTGGCTTTCATCTAAGCAGGTACAAAGTGTGAGGAAAGTATCTGTAGGATGGTAAGGCCTGTAATATTCAAAACTGTTGCATTCATGAAAGACAGGAAAACACTGAGGACCTAGTTCCAGATCGGAGGAAGCTAAAGGGACATGACCATTAAATGATTGGGGATCTCAGACCAGAAAGAACAAAGAGTCATTGTTGGGACTTTCAGCAAAATTATTTCAACTTAAATTATTTGAAAAAGGAAAAAAGGAAAATTAAAGGCCTGCAAATTTAATAATCATATACAGATATTCACTCCAATCTGGAGAAGAATGCCCCAGAAGACATGTATCTTGTTACAGATGAGCCAATTTTGGGATAATCCCAGAGCTACCTATGTATTTTAGCTTTTATTTTGTTGTCTGGTAACTACTTGGTACTTGCCTGTCTTCCTCACAAGACTATACTGAGTAGAGGAATTTTTGCCTCATTCATCAAGATCCTAGATCCCACCCTCATCATTGCTATCCTCACAGTCCTCTTAATCACTCTTATATTCAATAATAATATTAACAATAATGATATTAACAACTAGATCACACCCTGTCCACCCCAAACTCTGGCATACTAAGCATCTTCAATGTTCATTCAGTAATTCCTATTGTAACTCCTAGTCATCTAACTCTTATTCTCTTGGATTTGTTACCTCTTTAGTTCCAATTCATCTACTTACTTTCCATTTTATACCCTAGAAGTGGTTATCACCAGCATCTGCTGCCAAAGCTCTAACTCTAGGCCTCAATGCTCTCATCCACAAAATAAGAAACAACTGGCTGGGCGCAGTGGCTCATGCATGTAATCCCAGCACTTTGGGAGGCCAACGTGGGTGGGTCACAAGGTCAGGAGTTCAAGACCAGCCTGGCCAACACAGTGAAATCCCATCTCTACTGAAAATACAAAAAATTAGCCGGGCGTAGTGGCAGGTGCCTGTAATCCCAGCTACTCGCTGAGGCAGGAGAATCGCTTGAACCTGGGAGGCGGAGGTTGCAGTGAGCCGAGACTGCACCACAGCACTCCAGCCTGGGCAACAGAGCGAGACTCCATCTCAAACAAAAATAAAATAAAAAAAAAAGGAAAAATCTGGCCAAATAAGAATAATCCTGATTTCTCTAATGATTACCATGTACAGGCACTGTGGTAAAGGTATTTTTATTATGTCCAACTTACAGACAATAAAATGAAGTTTTGAAATCTTCTCAAGGTCCAAGGATACCAAACTAATGACTTGCAAATCCAGGGTTCAAATCTAGCGTTTCTGGTGCCCTTAAATGTATTATACTGCATCCTATACAGAACATATACCAGATATTTCTGGTGTAAACATTCTGTAGCGCACTGAAAAACAAACAGGCTACGGTACAGACTGAGTACTGTACTTAGAAATTATACTGCTGAATTATTAGACTAATGTTTCTTAGATTGATTTTTTTCTGTTTTAAAATGATTTACACAAAAGGGTTTCTCATTCTAGCCTGAAATTACTAATGGATGAAATGTAGAAAGTTTTTTAACAACAGAACAAAAAAATTGAAACATACTCACAACTTCTCCATAACGTGCAGCTGAAATTCTACGTAGAGGAAAATTCCCTGTGCTGCTGAAACATAATCCCCCTGTCTTCATAAATAAATGAGGGAAAAAATAGAAGCTTATGAAAAGGCATAAGCAACTGAATTAAAAATATATATACTTTATCAATTTGGTTAGCCTTACTAAAATGTTAGGTTCTGAACATGCACAGGACCTGCTGGTATTAACAAATGTTGGCTCACATCGGACGCACCTGTTCAATATAACAAAAATAATTTTAAAAATGTTAATAAATTATACTAAACCTAATAGAAAAGCTGTCTTTCTAAACAATGGATTAGAGTAGATTCATTCAGTAAGCAATTATGTAAATATGTTAAACAAATTTAAAATAACACTGATTTGAATAGTTTTAGGCCATTCTGTGTTACAAAGTATAAAGTAAGTAAAACTAATCAATAATAGAAGAGTATTTTTTAACTACATGGAATGTACATAATGAATAATTCTGAGTATGAAAGATAATTAAGTCACTCAACTAACAAGAGAGCAACAAACTCATATAAATGAAACCCAATTTTTACAATTAGTTATATCAAATATACTTTCCTTATTTTATGTGCCACAAAGTAAAAAGGTAGCATAACCCGAAGAGAAATGTATCTCTAGCTCCTATCAAACCTACAGCCAACACTTTTAAATAAATTCTATTTACCATCTTTGTTTATTTTAGAAAAATACTTCATATTTTTCATTAATGAATGAGACAGAGGGAGGGAGGGTACTGGTCCAATGAGGACAGTGATGAGTGAATATATGGGTATTCATCACTTGCAAAATAGAGCAGGTAGGAGTCGGGCTGGGGCATGACATAAAACACACTAGGCTTGGGGAAATATTGGGCAAAAAAAATTGGTATTTGGATGCCATAACTCAGGTCAGCCTTAGAGAAAAGATGATCCAACACTAAGTAGCCCTCAGAAAAGCTGCTCAACTATTTTCCATATTAAACTTGGAAACTAAAGAAAAAACTGTGCCCGGAGGGAAGTCATGATGTAGGCCTCTAATAAATTAAAGATGCTGAAATTGGTATAATGTGCTTAAATTAGAGGGAAGTATATAGGCAGGCAGGGGTGTGTGTGTGTGTGTGTGTGTGTTTCACAAATACATGCACAAAGGGGGAACAGGAAGCAACAGAAAATGGGACTATAAATCAGGGTACCTGGGCTATTATTAGCATACATTTATGTTTTTCTATGTAACATTATAATACATAAGGGCTTTAGTACAGTACTTAGCACATAATTATATTACAGATTATATACAAATTATGTAACAACAAACAAAAATAGCTACCCTGTACAGAGTGGTTACTATGTAGCACTATACTAAGAACTGTATCTATTTACTTTATTACTTATTATTTCTGAGCCATTACAGCCTATGAAGTGGGTGGTAACATTACCATTCTAAAGACAAGGGATTGTGAAGTAGTGAGCTATCCAAGGTCAGACAACTAACAGACTGGACCAAAATTTGAACCCTAGTGTGTCTCACGCTCTGGGCCTCAGCTTCTGTATCTGTTAATGTCTACTTCTATCCTTCCTTGGGTTATTGTGAAAACTAAGTGATATGATAGGAAAACACTCTTAAAAGTACAAATTATACACTAATATAAGATGATATTAATGAAGTTAGCCCCCATCACACTGCTTACCTGTCTCCTAAAGCATTTACTACCATAAAAGAGTTTTCATTTCCATCACAGAGCTCACAAGTTGCTTGAGACAACAATGTTCCATTAATGTCTCTTTCCACTGAACAGTTTAGAAACAAAATAAAGATGTAACTCATAGTAAACATATAAGCTTCTACATATTCAGAAAATATTTAACAAAACCCAATTGTAACTATTATTCTATTAATTCTCAAAACACTTTATTTGCATTAAAGGCATAACAAGTATCTCCATAATAAAGTGTAGAGAAGTGATCCCTTCGTACCCGTCCATGCCTCCAAAAAAAAAGAGAAGTGATGCCTTCCCTATTCTCACATAGTAAAATATAGAAAATCATTTTCCAAGTCATCGTAACAATTAAGTCAGTATTTTTTTCCTCAAAAATTTTCTTACCTCTTATCTATACATTTCTGTCACACTAGGATGGGGAAGCAAGTATTTTCATAGATTACTGATAAGTTTCTGCAACTTAGAAGGCTTTTAGTAGTATCTATTAAAGTTTCAAATTCACATCCTTATAACACCACAATTTTGTTTTTAGATACCTAACTTACAGAAACACTTGAACATGTATATAAGGATATTCACTGAGGCATTATTTGTTAGAAACAACACGAATATTTAAAATAGCAGAATGATGGTATATCCATGCTACAAAATACTATGGAATATATTAAAAAGAATCAGGTAAGGCCAGGTGAGGAGGCTTATGCCTGTAATCCCAGCCCTTTGGGAGGCTAAGGTGGGTGGATCACATGAGGCCAGGAGTTCAAGACCAGCCTGGCCAATATGGCAAAACCTTGTCTCTACTAAAAAAAAAAAAATACAAAATTAGCTGGGTGTGGTGGCACGTGCCTGTAATCCCAGCTACTCAAGTGTCTGAGGCATGAGAATCACTTGAACCTGGTAGGTGGAGGTTGCAGTGAGCTGAGATCACACCACTACACTCCAGCCTGGGCAAGAGTGAGACCCTGTTTCAAAAAACAAACAAACAAAAAGAATCAGGTAAATCTAACAGAGCATCAGAGCATACCGTTAACTGAAAAAAGTATGCTAGAACAATATTTGTGTATGAAACATTTATGCAAACATACCACTTATGTTTCCTGTGGCTATATAGTGTAGATCCTTATAATAAAACAGGGAAAAAAAATTCTGAATGTGCACACACAGAGACACACACACCAAAATTAGTACATCATGAAGTGTAATAAATTTCATATTGCCATCCAACTCATAAAACTTTCATTAGTCCCATCCCTAAGAATACACCCCCCAAATACCGTGAGAATCAAGTTAATATTTTCAATGGAGGCAACAGTGCCAATGAAACTACTAAGAAGCTGGGTGCAGTAGATTGCTTAAGCCCAGGAGTTTGAATCCAGCCTGGGTAACATAACAAGACCACGTCTCTGAAAAAATAAGACCAGGCATGGTGGCTCACACCTGTAATCCCAACACATTGAGAGGTCAAGGCAGGAGGACTGCTTGAGGTCAGGAGTTCAAGACCAGCTTGAGATATATAGTAAGACCCCCATCACCACAAAAAAAAAAATTGTTAAAAAGTAAAAAAAAAAAAAGGTAAAGATAATTAAAAAATTAATCTTTGGGTAATATATGAAATATAAAAATAAAAGGCACAAAAGGATTTATTTTATTTTATTTTTTGAGAGAGTTTCGCTCTTGTCATCCAGGCTGGAGCACAGTGGCGTGATCTCACTCACTGTAACCTCCACTTCCCAGATTCAAGTGATTCTCCTGCCTCAGTGTCCCAAGTAGCTGGGACTACAGGCACCTGCCACCATGCCCAGCTAATTTTTCTATTTTTAGTAGAGACAGGGTTTCACCATGTTGGCCAGGGTGGTTTTGAACTTCTAACCTCAGGTGATCCACCCACCTCGGCTTCCCAAAGTGCTGCGATTACAGGCGTGAAACACTGCACCAAGCAAAAAAAGATTTAAAATGAAAATTAAGTCTCTTTCCCACTATTCCCAGGCACTCAGTTCTTCACTCAGGAGGCAGCATTGTTAACAGTTTCTTATGAGTCTTTTCAGAAATAACCTGTGCATATACAAGCACATATGCATATATAATGGTCTTTAAAAAGCTAAATAGTGGAATACCAAGTACATAAAATAGTGCTGATAAATAGCAGGTACTCAATAAACATTTGTAGATGAATGAATAAATTATTCCAAATCTTGCTTTTTTACTCAATATATCTTAGATTTCTTTCCATAGCACTATGTGTAGAACTGCCTCTTTATTTTTCCACAATTGCATTCTATACCATTGTATGACTATATCATAATTTAATTGATTGATCTCATCTTGATAGAATCTTATTTTGTTTATAATCTTTTGTCTTAGGAATAATGTTGCAAGAAAAAAACATTCAACACTTCTTCAGGCATACAGTTAAGTGTATCCAAATGAGAAATTTCTAGATGAGAGCTTTCCAGGCAAAGATAATCTGTATTTTTAATTTTGATAAACACCATAAATTTGCTTTCCACAGAGGTTGCACCAACTTAAAATTTTTCCCATTAATACACGAATAACTATTTCCCTGTATCCTTATAAATACATTGTCAAAGTTGAAAAAGTTTCTTTTTTATTTTGAGATGGAGTTTCACTCTTGTTGCCCAGGCTGGAGTGCAATGGCGTGATCTTGGCTCACTGTAACCTCCACCTCCTTGGGTTCAAGCAATTCTCCTGCCTCAGCCTCCAAGAAACTGGGATTACAGGCATGTGCCACCATGCCAGGCTAATTTTGAGTTTTTAATAGCGACTACATTCGTCAGGCTGGTCTTGAACTCCTGAACTCAGGTGATCCACCTGCCTCGGCCTCCCAAAGTGCTGGATTACAAGCGTGAGCCACTGTGCCCGGTCGAAAAAATTTTATAATAAAATCTGGTAGGTTAAAAATAAAATCTCATTTTAGCTTTAACGTACATTTTCTTACTCTGAGTAAAGTTGAACATTTTTTTCTCACGTTAAAATATTTTTTTCTATGTGAACTTTATTTATGACTCTTGGCTATTTTAAAAATTGGGTTATTCATCTTACTTTTATTTATCTGTAGGAGCTTTACATTTATTGAAGAACTTCGACCTCTGTCTATTGTATGCATTAATATTTTTCTTTAGTTTGTAGTTTGGTTTTTGGTATTATAATTTTTATGGCATTTTATAAATTTACCAATTTTTTCTTCTGTGGTTTTTCTTTTTTTCTTTTTTTTTTGTAGACACAGAGTCTCTCTATATTGCCCAGGCTGGTCAGGAACTCCATGGCTCAAGTAATCGTCCCACCTAGGCCTCCAAAGTGACTGAGTATTTTTGGTCATACTTAGGCCTGTTAAACCAAAACTATACAAATTTTTCCTGCATTTTCTTTAAGAACTTTCATATATTCATATTTAGTATTTGACTCATTTGGAGTTTAATTTTCTCAGAAATAAGGTAGAAACCCAACCTGGGTGTTTTCTCAGTTTTCCCAGCATCATTAATCAGTTTTATCCCCACTTATATGAAATGCCACTTTTTTCACATACCAAATTCCTATATGAATTGAATCTATTCTGATTGCCTGTTTTAAGTTCCATCAATCAGTCTGTGTATCCATAAGCCTGTCATATATGTGATTATAGTAGCTATATAACATGCATATTATCTGATGGGGTAGTTCCTTCTTTCCCTTCCCAGAATTTTCTTAGCTTTTCATATAACTTTCCTGTTAAACTTCAGACTCTATTTGTATATTACCCCAAAACAAACAAATAATATCCTGATAGAATTTATTAGGGTCCTTTAAAATATACAGACTGGTAGAAGAGTTGCATCTTTCTAATATTTAATCTTCCCATCCAAAAATAAAGAATGCATTTTCACTTAAAAGCCTGCCTTCATATCCCTCAGTAATACTCACAAATTTCTTCAATTATGTTGTACATTCCTTCTAAAGTACATGCCAAGGTCAGGTGCGGTGGCTCAAGCCTGTATCCCAGCACTTTGGGAGGCTGAGGCAGGCAGATCACCTGAGGTCGGAAGTTCAAGACCAGCCTGACCAACATGGAGAAACCCTGTTAGCCACTAAAAATATAAAATTAGCCAGGTGTGGTGGCACATGCCTATAATCCCAACTACTCGGGAGGCTGAGGCAGGAGAATCGCTTGAACCTGAGAGGGAGGTTGCAGTGAGCCAAGATCACACCATTGCACTCTAGCCTGGGCAACAACAGTGAAAACTCTGTCTCAAAAAAAAAAAAACAAAAATAAAAATTAAAATTAAAAAAAAGGATATGCCTACTTATTTTTTCTTTTTTGTTGCTACTGTATATGAGGTATTTTCTTCCATCACTGTTTATAATAATTTTTAGTCATTCTGTTGGGTGTTTTAAACATACAATCAAATCATCTGTAAACAATGATATTTTACTTTTTTTTTTTTTTTTTTTCATGAGACAGGGTCTTACCCTGTCGCTCAGGCTGGAGTGCAGTGGCGCCATCTCAGCTCACTGTAGCCTTGACCTTCCAGGCTCAAGCGATCTTCCCACCTTTGCCTCTCGAGTAGCTGGGACTACAGGTGCATGCCACCGTAACCAAATAATTTTTTTTTTTATTTGTAGAGATGCGGTTTCACCATGTTGCCCAGACTGGTCTCAAACTCTTGAGCTCAAGCAATACACCTGCCTTAGCCTTCCAAAGTGCTAGGATTAACAACGGCCTACCTTTTCTTTTCCAATGATAAATATTTTTTTTCTCTTACTTAAGTGCATAGTTTGCATCCTTTTCCAGGTCCTGACATTAACAGGAATGCTTACGCTTTTTCCCTATTAAGTATCAAGTTGGCTTTTGAGTTGAGACATATTTTGTCATGTTATGTTAAGGAAATAACCATCTAATCCTACAATATTAAGAGTTTTAAAAAACTCAGACAAAACTTTGTATTTTCTTCTCAATGCCTGCTGATGTTTTAAGTATCATTAATTTGTACAAAAATAATTTTTATAAACACTATTAAGGGCTGGACACAGTGACTGATGCCTATAATCCCAGCACTTTAGGAGGCTGAGGCAGGAAGATCTCTCGAGGCCAGGAGTTCAAGACCAGGCTGAGCAACATAACGAGACCCAGTCTCTACAAAAAATTTAAAAATTAGCCAGCTGCAGTGGTGTTATGTGTGCAGTCCCAGCTACTCAGGAAGCTGAGGCAGGAGAATTGCTTGAGCCACTGCAAAAATATTAAGTAATCACTTAACTATTTAAATTAGTGCCCTTTTCAAATAAAAACAAAAACAAGAATGAAGATTTATCACTACTTCTTTATAAGGAATCTAATTCTTACCTAAAATATGGCCAATGGGACAGTGACATTTTCCTTCGGCAGTTAAGTCACTAGGGCAAGAAATGCAGTTCCAGCCATCTTCTGTAACACCTTTCTAAATTAAAAGAAAAAAAATGCTTTTCTCTTTTTTAATTAACTTTCTTCTTCTAATCATGTAAGTTCAAAATGCCATAAGAGTATGTAACTACAGTGAATATTCAAATAAATCATACATATATGAGCCACATAAAAATTCCCTGGAGAGATAATTCATGCTTATATTCCAAAATGAAGCTCTATATTATCACTATGTCCTGAAAACTATTAAAGGATTAACTCCGGATAATAGTTCTCTCTTCTTCAGGATCTTTAATTCAAATGGATGCCTCTTTCATAATTATTTGTCATTTCGTTTTTCCATTTACAAATATAAAACACAACACAACACAAAAAGATTGAATCAACGGTCAGTTAATAGGTTAATCTTACCTGTTCTAAAACTCTATTCTAATTTTTAAAAATTCAAATACCTAAAAAATTTAGTCCAGGCACAGTGGCTCACGTCTGTAATTCCAGCACTTTGGGAGGCCAAGGTGGGTGGATCACTTGAGGCCAAAGCTTGAGGCCAGCCTGGCCAATGTGGTGAAACCTCGTCTCTACTAAAAATACAAAAATTAGCTGGGCGTGGTGGTGTATGCCTATAATCCTACTTGGGAGGCTGAGGCACCAGAATGGCTTGAACCAGAAAGGTGGAGGTTGCAGTGAGCTGAGATCGTGCCACTGCACTCCAGCCTGAGCAACAGTAATACTCTCTTTCAAAAAAAAAAAAAATTCATTTATGATTCAAAATGGGTAAATTTTATGAAATATATAAATTATACACATAGTTGTTAAAATTGATTTATGAGAATATTTTCTTCTATCCATTTATGGCTTGTACTAGTAAAGGTTTTTTTTTTTTTGAGACAGAGTCTTTGCTCTGTTGCCAGGCTGGAGTGCAGTGGCACAATCTCGGCTCACTGCAAGCTCTGCCTCCCAGGTTCAAACAATTCTCCTGCCTCAGCCTCCCGAGTAGCTGGGACTACAGGCACGTGCCACCACGTCCAGCTAATTTTTGTATTTTTAGTAGAGATGGGGTTTCACCACATTTGCCAGGATGGTCTTGATCTCTTGACCTCGTGATCCACCTGCCTCAGCCTCCCAAAGTGCTGGGATTACAGGCGTGAGCCACCGCGCCCGGCCTAGTAAAGGTTTTTGATAAAGTATGACAGCATTCAAAATTGGGCTTATTATATCATATGGTTTAGGAAAAGCCTGGGGCAAAAAACACAATAATTACAAACACAGATGTAACCAAAGTTTATAAAGAACAAAAATAATGCCACAAATTATTTTAAATTTTGGTTGAAAAGACTGAATTTATCAAGAAATACTCCTATATTTGGCAATACATTTATACAGGACAATTTATTTATTTATTTATTTATTTATTTATTTATTTATTTATATTTTATTTATTTTTTTGAGACAGAGTCTCGCTCTGTCACCCAGGCTGGAGTGCAATGGTGCAATCTTGGCTTACTGCAACCTCTGCCTCCTGAGTTCAAGCGATTCTCTTGCCTCAGCCTCCCAAGCAGCTGGGACTACAGGCACGCGCCACCACAGCCAGCTCATTTTTGTATTTTTAGTAGAGATGGGGTTTCACCATATTGGCCAGGCTGGTCTCAAACTCCTGAGCTCATGATCCACCAGGCTCAGCCTCCCAAACTGCTGGGATTACAGGCATGAGCCACTGTGCCTGGCCTATACAGGACAATTTAAAAATTACAATAACTTAAACAATGTCACTGAAAAAGAAATCTGCTGCGAGACCACTTTTTATTAGCAGCTTTTTATCATGGGTAATTCAGCTAGGATCAATATTTGCAAAGATATAAAATAAATGGTAATCTATTATAATCTATTATAAAGATATAAAATAAATGGTAATATAAAAAGTGGTAATCAGACTTACAAGTAATACAGATAGCTATAAATTGGGACAATTGATAACTTCACATTAAATTCCCAGAATTAATATTTTTTATATGACAATGAGAAGAAACATTACTGTAAATGTCACAACTGTTACACAGACTTTTAATTATCCAACATGATTGAAAAATATATTTATGTTGAGAATTATATATAGTAACTATTTACTAATTTTTTTTAAATTACGATACAATGAAATTACTAACAAAACAGAAACAGACATTATTTAATCTATTAATGCAATTGGTATTTCATGAAATAATTACACCTTAGATATCATTATGAACATCAATAATCATATAAACTGTTGACATGGTAGGTCTAAGACAACTCCACTTGCATCAGTCAAAAGAATATACACATCCCAAATTGCACACATCCCAGACTGCTCTATATATGCCTTATTCATCTAATTTTCTTCATAACCGAGTTATTCTACGAGTAAAAACAAAAACTTAAATTTTTACAGCTTTGTGGTTTTTGGATTTCAGATTTTAAAAGAAATACATTTCTGTTTTCTCCAAGTTTGCATGAAATTTCGCTGATCTCCCAAAACTTACTCTAGTAAAAATAAAATTAGCATAGTAATTTTAAAGTCTGTGGGGAAACATTAAACATTAAATTATATTTTGAAAAATAAAGATATTTAACTTACTACTTTTTACAGGTAAGTTATTTTAAAATAAATTATGCGCACCATGTTTTCTGGGCACTTTTTACAAATAATAGCAGGTCCTCCATTATTAGAGATCATCTGAAATCCTGGTAGACATACACATGAAGTTCCTAAAAAAAAAAAAAAAAAAAAAAAAGCCAATTTTATCCTTGATAAATAAAAATAAAGTTCCCAGATAGTGAAACTTTTAATAAGTCTGAAGATCTTGAGAAGCAGTATAGTGATTAACAGCAGGATTCTGGAGGCAGTACTGCCTGGGTTCAAATCCAGAAATACACTTCTTGAGTTCCAATCGTAGTAATCCTACTCAGTTGCATGACCTTGAACAAGTTACTAAACTCTCTGCCTTGGCTTCCTCTACAATAAAATGGAGAAAAAAAATTGGTACCTACCTCACAGGGTTAGTATGAGTACAAAATTAGTTATTATACGTAGAGGTCTTACACTGGCACACAGCTGGTATTATGCTGCTACCATTTTAAGTGCAAGTATAACTAAACTATTAAACTACTTAACTGCTGCTGGAAATTTTACATTTCTACGTCACTAAACAATATACATGTATTCGGGCCAGGCGCGGTGGCTCACGCCTGTAATCCCAGCACTTTGGGAGGCGGAGGCGGGTGGATCACCTGAGGTCAGAAGTTCGAGACTAGCCTGATCAACATGGTGAAACTCCATTTACGGGGACTAGGGGCCGACCAAGGCGGGAGTGTTACTTTTGCCAGGGCCCACCGCAAACCGTCTTACCTCGGGCATCTTGCCTCTGGTTAGCTCCACAAGGAACACACGAGAGGGCGGAGATATCAAAGTACTGGTTGTTGTCGCACTTCTCCGGCTGCTGGAAAGGGAAAGAGAAGGTCTGGGCCTGTAAGAAGCGAGGGAGGAACAACAGAAGGAACGCGGTCACGGCCCGGGCGGATAAGAGGGACCAAACCGCCATTGCCACCCCAGCCCCACCGCGCGTCGCCATGGTACCGACGCTGGAAGCCTCACAGCCTCCAGCCCCCCATCAGCCTCTGCGGCGGCTTCGCTGAGCTGATTGGACAACCCAAGTCCGGGTACCGGAAGTCACTGCTCGTGTTGCTTGGTTGCTAGGTTACCAACCCTGCGCGAAGTTGGCAGGTCCAGTAAAGAATGGGTTAGAGACCGGTTAACCCTGGAGCCCAGCGATATTTTCAAACGTGTATAGAGTTCCTCTACTTACGATAGGGCTGCCCCCTCCCCGCAATAAACCCATCGTAAGTTGAAAATATCATAATTTGTCGAGTTATAGTTACATCAGAATTTATTCAGACTAGGTAATTTTCACGTTAAAGGAAACATGACTTGTAGTTTAACAATTTGATGTCAAAAAACCCCACTGACTTAAAACCCAGTGAAGGATTACTATAGCTCAAAGACTGAAAAAATAAAAAAACTTTCCTGCCAGGTTTGAGCATAGGAAATCATGTATGCGAGACAAAGTACGAAACGGAAGAAACCATGTTTGCTCATTCTGTTGCCAGCGAAATTTCACAAAGCCCCTGACTCAGTGACTGAACGCAGTCCTCCAGAAGAATGCCCTGAAGACAATAAGTAGGATAGAGCACAAGTTTTCACATCTGTTGCTTGAATCACTTCATTTTTTAAAAAGATACAGTCAGCGATCCTAGCTCTTGCCTCTTCCTGTACGTAAGATAACGTGTGACAGGATTAATGATTATGCCTCTGTAATCTATAACCAGATGTAGTCTCCAAACAAAACTTTGATGAGATTTTGCTCCAACGTAACTTCTGAGCACGTTTAATGTAACTTTTGAGCACATGCAGAACTCCATCCCTTGATGTAGAAACTGGGGGCAGAACAGCTGCTTTGGACCAGTATAACATAAACTCTTTGAAAGACTCTCCAGGGTTGCATTCCTCAGTAAGACTCCGAATAAAACTAACTTTGAGTCTTTAAAAGCCTGATTTTTTTCTTTAGTTGACATGTATATAAAATGAGATCACCTTTACACCTTTTGTGAATAAAGGAATCTAAGCCTGGTGCTGTGGCTCACACCTCTAATCCTAACATTTTGGGAGGCCACAGTGGAAGGATTGTCTGAGCCCAGGAATTCAAGACCAGCCTGGGCAACATAGTGAGACTCCACCTCTACAAATAAAATTTATTTTAATTAGCTGGGTGGGTGGCACATGCCTATGGTCCCGGTTGCTTGGAAGGCTGAGGCGGGAGAACCACTTAAGCCCAGGAGGTCAATGAGCCCAAAGGCTGCAATAAGCTATGATCGTGCCACTGCACTCCAGCCTGGATGTCAGAGACCCTATATAAAAAAAAAAAAAAATCCTGGACAAAAATATGGAAACGTTTAGAGTTAGAGACCACTTGCGAGGCTAAGGTAGAAATCTAGAGTCTAAATTGGAGCCATGGAGGAAGGGAGAGGCAGAAGAGGATGAATAAAGGAGCTATTCAGGAAGAAGAATTATAAGAATTTTATTATTTGGACATAGGAAGTAAACAAACAGAATCAAGGATAACTTCCAGGTTTCTGATTTGGGTGGCTGGGTAGACGGTTGTGATATTAAAGGAAGATACCTGTGGTAGATAGCTTCTAAGCGAAAACTTATTGGATAAAGAAAATTTTAAGGTAGAAATGAAAGTTATAGGAATATTTAACATGGTGGGAGCTAGAGGTATGGATAATAATAGAAATAATAGGTATTAATAGCTTGTTTTTGTTATCAAGCAAATGAGCTCTCTATCCAATGCATGCACAGAAGCCAATACTATGTGGCACAAGCTTTTGAGGAAAAAAAGTCTTTATTTGCACAACTGGTCAGCAAGGAGATAGGAGTGCATTCAAATCTGTTTCCCTGATTTAGAGTCTGGGGTAAACTTATGGGCTTGGAAAGCCAAGGGAAGAATTTAGGAATGTGTCTTGGCAGGCAGAATGGAGGACTTGAAATTTGACCATTTAGAAAAAGGTACGTAGAGGCCGATTTTAGGCCTGATCCTCCAGGCAAATGGACCCAACACTTTTGAAAGAGTTCCAAGTTCAGGTTCCAGTCATGTCCCGGTCTTGGTTCCAAGGAAAGGATTCACTGGTTTTGGGTGTTGTTAGAGGTCCAGGCTTTTTCTATTGCACATGACTGGGCTACATGACTTTCAGTTTTTGGCTCTGTTACATCTAAAAGGTAACACGACATTTTGTTATCAACAGAGTAGGCTCAGTTTGGGCTAGTCCCATGGAGACACTTTTAATGTGTCCGGCATTGCAATATCTCATTTGATCCTAAATTGGGACTGTTATCATCACCTTTAATTTACAGATGAAATAACCAAGGCTTAGAAAGTATAAGTGACTTTCTAAGGTCACACTTAATTCATGGTTCTAACCCTGGTAATTTGACACCAGAGCCCATACTTTTCTTCGGGTTTTTGTTGTTGTTGTTGTTGTTTTAAACTTTAATTTAGGTTCAGAGGTACATGTGCAGGTTTGTTATATAGGTAAATTGAGTGTCTCGGGGGTTTGGGGATCAGATTATTTCCTTACCCATGTGATAAGCATAGAACCCAATAGGTAGTTTTTTGATCCATACTCTCCTTTCACCCTCCACCCTCAAGTAGTACCCAGTATCTATTGTTCCCTTCTTTGTGTCCACCTGTACACAATGTTAGCTCCAACTAATAAGTGAGAACACACAGTATTTTATTTCTTTCCTGTGTTAGTTTGAGATAGGAGGTTGGCAGGACTGATTTCACAGGATAAGATCATAAAGACCTGGCTGATAAAACAGGATAGGTAAAGAAGAGGACTGAAACCTGCTAAAACCAAGATGGTGACCAAAGTGACCTCTGGCCATCCTCACTGCTCATTATATGCTAATTACAATGGATTAACATGCTAAAAGACACTCCCACCAGCACCTTGACAGTTTGCCCCTTGCCATGCCCACTTAGAGAAGTTACCCTACATGGTCTAACAAGGGAGGACGCTCCGTTCCAGGAATTCCCCACCTTTTTCCTGGAAAACTCATGAATAATCCACCCCTTGTTTAGTATATGATCAAGGAATAACCATAAATATACTCAGTCTAGCAGTCCTTGCCATTGCTCTGCCTATGAAGTAGCCACTCTTTATTCCTTTACTTTCTTAACAAACTTGCTTTCACTTTATTCTGTCAGATTGCTCTTGAATTCCTTCCTGCATGAAGCTGAGAACCCACATGGCCACTCAGGCTGAACCCTGATTTTGAGGTTTTCTCTGTGACAAGTTTGCTTTGGATAATGCAGAGCCCACACTCTTAAGCCCTGCTTTTTATTGTTGCCTTTGAATCTCTGGATGTGCTTTTCTGGGCAGGAATAAAGAAAAGCTAAAGGCAAGTAAGTTCAAGATGAGATTAATGAATTAAAATATTACAAAGAAGGTGAAAAACAGAAGTGGAGGTTGTGGTGAGAAAGGGGAATTAGTGAGGTTCAGATCTTACATCTGGGGCACTTTGTGTGGTGAACCCTGTGTTCATTCCCAATCTCCAGACACTTAGTGCCCTTTTGATTTGTTAATCTTTTGTGTGTAACTTGTTTTTTACTTTCTTGAAGTCTTCAGGATGTTCCTCTCTGTGCCCCACCTTCTCATTTTTCTTAATTTTACAGTGATGTGTCTGGGCATGTTTCATTGTCATCTTTTGTGTGGAACACCTGTTGTAACTTTGCAATTCAGCAAAGAAACTCATGTCCTTTAACACTGGGAAATGATCTCTTCTACTAATTATTCCTTTGAAGACTTTCTCTCCGTTTTTTTTTTCTTCTGGACACCCTATTTTTCAGATACTAGACTTCCTGGACTGTTCCTCTAATTTTCTCAGATTATGTTTTCATTTTTCTTTTCTTTTTTCTTTTTTTTTTTTTTTGAGACGGAGTCTCGCTCTGTCGCCCAGGCTGGAGTACAGTGGCGGGAGGCGGGATCTCCGCTCACTGCAAGCTCCGCCTCCCGGGTTCACGCCATTATCCTGCTTCAGCCTCCGGAGTAGCTGGGACTACAGGAGCCCGCCACCTCGCCCGGCTAATTTTTTGTGTTTTTAGTAGAGACGGGGTTTCACCGTATTAGCCAGGATGGTGTCAATCTTCTGACTTCGTGATCTGCCCGCCTCGGCCTCCCAAAGTGCTAGGATTACAGGCGTGAGCCACCGCGCCCGGCGTGTGTGTGTGTGTGTGTGTGTGTGTGTGTGTGTCGGAGTTTTTTTGCTCTTGTTGCCCAGGCTGGAGTGCAATGGCACGATCTCTGCTCACTGCAACCTCCACCTCCTGGGTTCAAGTGATTCTCCTGCCTCAGCCTCCCGAGTAGCTGGGATTACAGGCATGTGCCACCACGCAGGGCTAATTTTGTTATTTTTAGTGGAGTCGGAGTTTCTCCATGTTGGTCAGGCTGGTCTCAAACTCCCGACCTCTGGTGATCCACCCATCTCGGCCTACCAAAGTGCAAGGATTACAAGCGTGAGCCACCGCGCCCAGGCTTCATTTTTCATTTTGTTTTGTTTGGTTCTACTTTCTGGAAGATTTTCCTGCGCGTATCTGTCAAACATTGAATTGAACTTTTCATTTCTTCTATTATAAATTTAATTTCTAAGAGCTCTCTTTTGTTTTCTGGCTATAGCTTAATTATGGCATTCTTGAATTCTTCCATGCTGCAATATCTTATTTCCTAGAATACATTACTAGTGGTGTTTTAAAGTTTCCCTCTGTTGCATAATCTGTTTCTTCAAAGTTATGTTTTGTATAAAAGGCTTTCCTCCTAAATCTTGGGACCTTTTGCCATTTACATACATACAAAAGTGGGTGGCCAGGCGCGGTGGCTCACGCCTGTAATCCAGCACTTTGGCAGGCCAAAGCAGGTGGATCACCTGAGGTCAGGAGTTCGAGACCAGCCTGACCTAAACGGTGAAACCCCGTCTCTACTAAAAATACAAAAATTAGCTGGGCGTGGTGGCCATGCCTGTAATCCCAGCTTCTCAGGAGGCTGAGGCAGGAGAATTGCTGGAACCCAGGAGGTGGAGGTTGCAGTGATCCCAGACTAC
The DNA here is from genome assembly GCF_000001405.40 of Homo sapiens. Lineage (NCBI taxonomy): Eukaryota > Metazoa > Chordata > Mammalia > Primates > Hominidae > Homo > Homo sapiens. The sequence continues at coordinate 93,749,830 of NC_000008.11, read as the reverse complement.
GACATTACACTCCAGAATGGGCAACAAGAGCGGAACTTTGTCTCAAAAAAAAAAAAAAAGTCGGCACACTGACAAGCTAATTAGAAGCTCTACAAAGATAGGAAGGGCTTGTTGACTGGGCTACAATGTGTGGAGTGATTTGCCTGGGTTGTTTCTTAGGGCAATCCCTCATTCTTCCTGTCCCCTTTCCCTATCCTACTGTGCTGATCAAATTTCTCAGAAAGATTCTTCTCCTTGGAGATTTTAAGCCTGGGTGTAATATTTAGAGGGTGTGAGTTTCATCGTTCACATAACGCCCTTCTTTTACATATATTAAATAGAATCCTTGTTCTTTTGCATATATTAAATAGAATCCTTGTTTGCAAATGCACTGAGAATAAACCTTCAATCTTCTGTTGGAGTTGGGGAGAGACAGGTTTCCAGGTATTGGAAGGAAAGTGCTTTGAAAGTTGATGTTCAACCACTTCTCCTGTTTTCACTCCCCTCCACAAACAGAAGATACTGTCTCCTAAGCCTTTGAGGACTTCTTTGGTGCATGTAAGATTGCTTCTTAGCTCTTCCCACTGTTAATGCAGGATTCAGCTCCCTTGGATCCATAGAAGAAATGGTCACCTATCCACTTGCTTCCCGCTTGCAAAGTTTTATTGCTGTTCCTCTTACCCTATTCTCTTTATTCCTGTTAGTTTTTGTCTTTTTAAAAGTTGCTTCCCTGTTATTTTATTAGAATTTCTGGAAGGAGTGGAGATAAATACCTGTGTTTAAACTGTCACATTAAACTAGAAGCCAAAATAACCTGTTAACCTGTCTTCACAAACATACTCTTGCCACTCTCTACTCCATTCTCCATACCTCAGCTGGAGTACTCTTTTGAAATGCAAGTCCTAATATGTCATCTGCCTGCTGGTTTTCCGATGGAAAGATCAAAGTCCTTAACATGAACCCTAACCCTCAGCATGGTCTGACTTCTTCCTGCAGCCCTGCATTGTCCTGTGTGCTCCTGTGCTCTGTACCTGCACTGGCCTTATTTTCCTTCCCTGGATGCTGCCAAGCCTTTTCATTTCTCTGCCTGGACCACTCCCTCCCCTTCCCAGCAATTTCCTTTTATCTTTTTAACTCCTACTTTCCAAGCAGCTCATTCATTACTTCTTCAGGGAACATCTCCCACCCTTCCTGACCAGGCCAGGGTCTCCTGTGAAATACTTTCACAGTACCATGGACTTCTCGTCCATAGCACTTATCCCTGTAGTAAATTCACATTTAGTTGGGTAATTCTTTCATTGGTTTTACTTTTCTGAACTGCAGGCTTTGTAAAAGCAAGGACCGTGTGTGTGTGTGTGTGTGTGTGTGTGTGTGTGTGTGTGTGTGTGTGTGTGTGTGTTTTGGTCACCACTGCCTCCTCAGCATAGCACTGTGCTTGGCACATTGTAAGCATTTATTTCTATCATTATTTTATTTTTATTTATTTTTATATTTACTTTGAGAAAGGGTCTCACTCTGTCACCCAGACTGGAGTGCAGTGGCACGGACACAGTTCACTGTAGCCTCGGCCCCCTGGGCTCAAGCAATCCTCCCACCTCAGTCTCCTGGGTAGCTGGGACCACAGACAGGCACTAGCATGCCCACCTAATTTTTGTATTGTTTGTAGAGACGAGGTTTTGGCACTTTGCCCAGGCTGGTCTCAAACTCCTGGGCTCAAGTGATCCTCCTGCCTCAGGCTCCCAAAGAGCTGGTATTACAAATGTGAGCCACCTCCCCTGGCCAATTTTATTTTGTTTTCTTATTTTTTCTTAGAGATTGGGTCTCAGCCTGTCACCTTGGATGGAGTACAGTGATGCCGTCATAGCTTACTGAAGCCTTGAACATCTGGGCTCAAGCAATCTTCTTGCCCCAGCCTCCCAAGTAGCTGAGACTACAGGTGTGCATCACCACACCTGGCTATTTTGTTTTTTAAATTTTTTGAGAAGGAGGGTTGGGGGTGTCTCACTATGTTGCCCAGGGCTCACCTCAAACTCTTGGACTCAAACAAACCTCCTGCCTTAGCCTCCTAAGTAGTTGAGATTATTGGTGCGCACCATCACAACTGTTTTACATTGTAAGCATTTAATACACATTTGTTGCAGTGGAAAATAAAACGTGTCTCATTCCTTTCCTTCTTTAGTTTATTGTTGACTTCCAAACCCTGAGGGGAACTTGATGTCTTCTCCTCTCATTTCATCACAAGGAAGAGGACAGAGGACCAATGTGGGTTTGGGTCCAGGACAACAGAGCCTCTGAAACTGCCTTTGCAAAGATTATGACAGTGAGAGAAATCTAACATGGCTTCACCCCATCTTGCTTCTAGCCTCACAGGCTGGGGGTGCTCATTCCTGGGTGAAGGCCAAGCTAACTATGGGAGGAATTTAGTTTCTAGTTTAACTTGAAAGCAAGGATGATAATAGCCCTTTCCTAAAACTAACCCCCCTTGCTCAGGGCCCAAAAATTGCCCTTGTGAAACTAATGAAAGGCCACAAGATTAAGATTTTGAGAGGGGCCTGAATTTTGCTAAACTGTAAATGTAGTTTCTATAATCCCTAATTGCCCAGGAGTCATGTGGCCAGAGGTCACAAGATTTGTGACTTCCTCAATTGCTCCCATAGAAAACATCACTATTGTAAAACCTAAGATTGGTCTTTCGAGATATTTTTCAGACTGACTCCATCTGGATTCATGACTCATGACTCAATTGGTCCTATGCCCACCCCCCAACCCCTCCCCCACCTAGAGGTGGACTCAGTGCAAGAGGACTGTTTTCCATACCTCTATGATTTCATCCCCAACCATTCAGCTGCACCCATTCCCTAATCACCTGTCCACCAAACTATCCTTGAAAAACTCTAACCTCCAAGCCTTTGGGGTGACTGATTTGAATAATAACTCCATCTCCCACATGGCCAGTCTTGCATAATAAACTCTTTCTTTACTGCAATACCATGGTCTCAGTGAATTGGTTTTGTCTGTGCAGTGGGCAGTAAAAACTTTTCAGGCGACCACATCTTGGCCACTGTCCTAAAGGACAGAAGTTTTTTTGTGTCCATATGACATGGTCTTTGTCAGACAGAGTAGGAACAGGACATGGTTTCAGCTCACCCTCACTTAGAGTATTCTTTCATGCATTCCCACTGATCACAAAATCCATACCACTGTCACAATGCTAATAGTCCTTTTACTTAAAGAATTCCAGGAACTGGCCTTAGGAGATAAGCAAGGTTGTGGAGTGCCCTACCTTGGGAAGGAATACTAAACAAATTATTTATAGCCTTGTTGCCTCAGGCCAATCCACCAGGTGGCCCATTACTCAAGATAAGCATTGCAACCAGTAATGCTGACCTGCATACCCTATCCCTGATGACAATTCCCACGCTTTGTCTAATAAAAAAGCCCAACTGACTCTTTTCTTTGGAGAGTCAGTCAGGGAATTCTCTCCCTCTTATGCCTTGGTGTAAGCTCCAATGAAGCCTTGCCTGGGAAAACTTTTTTGGCCTCATGTCAATTTCTATTGCATTGCATTGGGAGCCCAAGAACCTATCGCTGTTAACATTTGAGTTTACACTTTTTGGTCTTCTCCTTAAATTCTCTCTCTCTTTAGAGTTTGTCTTTAGATCCTTAGGTCTTCCTCTTGCTGCTTCCTTCTGTTTTATATACCTGGGATTGGATGGTACCCAGGGGGAAAGGAACACTAAGCAGAAGGACATCCTGTTTTACATGGGGTCTTGCCCCATTTACTAAATGGATTCTCCTGAGATTTGTGATCCAAAGCTCCAGCAGTAAACCAAGAGATTTTATCCAGTATTCTTTCTACATAACTCCTTTCTGAACCTACAACTTTGACAGATTGTCAGTCAAGACCCCAGAGACAAGACTCCCATTTAACTCAGGCAAAAAACTATCCAAGTTGGAATTTGGAGGTCCTGTTCAGTTCTATTTACCATAAATCATTTAATTCTGTTGAGTCTCTTGAATCTAACTTCTGTCACACACAACTGACCAGACCAAGCTCCCTTATTTGATCAGCAGTGTCCAAACTGTGCTCCAATAATCCCTAGGAGTTTTGTAGTTGCATCTCTGAAGACCACTGCAGGGGACAAGTTGGCAAAGAGCATGAGGGACATCAGGGAAACATGCTATCTGGCTTTCTTGGTGTTTTACTACATGTCTTGCTTAATGTTTATATGTATATGTATATGTGTGCTAATTTTTTCTACACAACATCCCTACTATTGTCATCTTCATTTGATACATGACGAAATTAAGGCACAGAGAGATTCAGCAACTAAAGTGATATAGCTGGCAAGTGGCAGAGTTAGGCTTGGAACTATGATATTCTGATTTCTGAGCCAACCTTCTTGATTTCTAAGTTATACTGGAGTTTACTATGTGCTGGGGATTGTGCTGAGTGTTAATGATTTCATTCATTTTTCATGACTGCCCTGTACCGCGGGTACTATTATCTTTACTCTTTTGCTTTTTTTAAAATTTTTTTATTTTTGAGACAGAGTCTCACTCTGTCGCCCAGGCTGGAGTGCAGTGGCGTGATCTCGGCTCACTGCAACCTCCACTTCCTGGATTGAAGTGATTCTCCTGTCTCAGCCTCCTGAGTAGCTGGGACTACAGGTACGTGCCACCACGCCTGGCTAATTTTTTGTATTTTTAGTAGAGACTGGGTTTTACCATATTAGCCAGGATGGTCTTCATCTCCTGACCTGGTGATCTGCCCGCCTTGGCCTCCCAAAGTGCTGGGATTACAGGCATGAACCACCGCGCCCGGCCTTATCTTTACTTTTTCAATGAAGAAATATAAGGAATTTGTTCACAGTCATGAAGTGGCATAGCTGTATTCACACTTGGGTCTGCCTGCCCTGACAGCCCACTGTCTTAATCTCATTATACACACATCTTCCTGTGTGTAATGACTATTGGATTGTGTGTGCTTTCTCCTCTGCTAGAATGTAAGCTTTTTGAGGAAAGAGGACAATATCTTTTCTATCTTTGTCTTTCAGGAGCCTTAGCAAGGTTCTTCTTCTTCTTCTTTTTTTTTTAAATGGAACTGTGATACAGAGGACTTAGCAAGGTTCTTGACTCATAGTCAATGATGCTTAATAAATACTAGATTTGTTACCTACACAACAGGTGGATTTGTTAGCTTGGAAGGTGACAGTCCAATGATCACAACCAAAGCAGATTTAACAAGGGGATTTCATTACTTGCAACAAGTAAGGACGACACTGGGGATAGTTCCTAAAGCAGTGCTTCTCCGAGCAACAGTGAAAACAGTGCTTTTATTGGGCTGGTTAGCTCAGTCATTGTATGTACAGGTGGAGTAAAGGCAGCGAAGACACAATTGCCGATCATGCTTCTACACATGTTGCATGTATAGAAAATGGTGAATAAGCTCTTCCCTGGGTGGGGATTTTAGCAGGATTGTAAGGGGAGTTCACCAAAGTTCATCTTCACTCAGGCATTTCTGGATCTAAATGTTTTGGTTTTTGTTTTTCTGGGGCTGGGCTTTTTCCTAGAACTTTTCTGAAACAACAAGAATGCAAGGTGCAACAGTTACAAGTGGGTACTTTTTCACAGTGCATACCCAAAACCCAGGACCCTGGGTTACAAATTGACTGGAAGTCAAGGTATGGAGGCTCTCAGAGTAGAAATCAAGGCATGAGTTGAGAAGATAAAGGTCCCAGGAGTTGAGAAGATTAAGGAACTCCGAGACCAAGTAATAAAAGGCTCTGCGTGTGGATGCTGAAGACCTAGGAAGGGCAACTGAAAACTCTCTGACACCAAAGTTGTCCGAGAAGGGTGGGTGGCGGTGCAGTGTGGCAAAACACCCGGAAGGCTAATTATCCAAGCAGAGTCACAGAATGGCCACAGCTCAGTGCAGCCACCATGTTTAGGGGCTAGTCTTCTGTTTTTCCACTGGAGAAACTTCATTTTCTCTTGATTCCCCAAAATGATTAGGTTTTCATGCTGACACACCAAAGGCACAAGAAACTGTTCAATAACCAGAATATCATGTGATTATGCTCAAATTACCTTGATCAGAATTTTCTTGTTCTGATTATAATGGTATGACCATCTAAGAAAGGCAAGGGGCAGACTAGAAAAGACATTCAGGCCGGGCGCGGTGGCTCACGCCTATAATCCCAGCATTTTGGGAGACAGAGGCGGGTGGATCACTTGAGGCCAGAAGTTCAAGACCAGCCTGGGTAACATGGCGAAACCTTGTCTCTACTGAAAATACAGAAAAAATTAGCCAGGCATGGTGGCATATGCCTGTAATCCCATCTACTCAGGAGGCTGAGGCATGAGAATCCTTGGAACCCAGGAGGCAGAGGTTGCAGTGAGCCAGGATTGTAACCATTGTACTCCAGCCTGGGTGACAGAGTGAGACTCTGTCTCAAAAAAACCCAAAATGGAGAGACATTCAATATAGTGTCCTCGCTGGAGAAAGACTGTGTGAATAGAAGGAGGATGGTCAGCCCAGAACAATGAAGGAGGCCATGGGAGGCTGGAAACGCCTGTCAGAGCTTGCTCAGGGGACAGAGTCTGACCTGAGCACACTTGGCCAGGTGAGTCCTCCAGTAAGTGGTCATTAAATGATGACTGTTACTTTTGTTAAGATGAGTGAGGATGTCTCCAGGGAGCCTTAACTGAGAATCACCTTTTGAGATTAGGTAACTCATGTTCTATTTCTTAGAGCATTGCTTCTGTATTCTTGTTTAAAGGAGTCCGCTTCCGAGGACAGAGTCCTCTTTCTGTGCAATACAGAGTAATGGCTTCTGCAGGCAAACAAGCAACGTTCAATTTTGCCTGGCTTTTGTAATCCTCTATGCCTCAGTTTCCCTTATCTGTAAAATACGAATAATAATAGTACCTACCTCCAAAAGTAGTTGTAAGAATAAATTGAGATAATGTATACGTCCTGGCACATAATAAATTCTCAATAAATGTTAACTTTTTTTTTTTTTTTTTTGAGACGGAGCTTTGCTCTTGTCGCCCAGGCTGGCGTGCTGTGGCACGGTCTCGGCTCACTGCAACCTCCTCCTCCCAGGTTCAAGTGATTCCTCTGCCTCCGCCTCCTGAGTAGCTGGGATTATAGGTGCCCGCCACCACACCCAGCTAATTTTTGTAATTTTAGTAGAGACAGGGTTTCACCATGTTGGCCAGGCTGGTCTCGAACTCCTGCACTCAGGTGATTCGATCACCTCGGCCTCCCAAAATGCTAGGATTACATGCGTGAGTCACCATGCCCGGCCAATAAACGTTAACTTTTAAGGTCCTGTTCCTGAGACTGCAAGGCCAGGACCAAACTATGGATTATCAAGGTAAATGATATCTAGTCAATGAGCCTACCTCCTCAGAGTGACATCCTCTGCTTCTGTATAGATCACCTTGACATTTCAAACAAGTCACAAATACTTATAATAGTCTCACTTATTTACATATATCTGAGACATACATATTTACTGAATGTTTCCCACAACCCTAAGAGGTAGGTACTAGGAGTATCCCCATTTTACAGATGAAGAAACTGAGGCACAGAGGGGCTAAATAATTTGTCCAGTGAGTAAAAGATGGCTCTGATTTTGTGTTAACTATCTTTTTATTTACTTATTAAACTACCTCTTCTTTCTTATAATCATATCATTAAAGAATGGGTATTTTGCAGTGAGAAAGGGATCCACAACTCACTTTTTCTGTCATCTGTAACAATGTTTTTAAAATGTACTTTCTGCTTAATGAGCTTTGAATCCATCCACAAATACATCAAGTAGCTATACAACGTGGTGGGAAACTTTGTTATTTGCAAATGATAAAACCAAACACAAGGTTGTTCACCAGCTATTACGTAGCAGGCATCACAGAGTACACCTGTAATAGTGCTTTTCCATTACTGAAATTTCAGTACTGGCTCATCTGTTCTCTTGTTTCAAAAATCCAGAAGATGGGAACAAATTTATAAAGACACTTCACAAGGTTATTTATATCTATAAAACCGACTAAGCATGCATTTATTAAGCCCCCAGGTGTTGGGATTGTACTTGGCGAACATCTAAGGCAGTAAAATTACCTTTTCTGTGGTATTCTAGGGTCTACAGGAGCTTTTTTATTTTTGTTTTGAGATGGAGTTTCACTCTTTTGACCTGGCTGGAGTGCAGCGGTGCGATCTCGGCTCACTACAGCCTCCATCTCTCGGGTTCAAGCGATTCTCCTGCCTCAGCCTCCCGAGTAGCTGGGATTACAGGCGCCCGCCACCATGCCAGGCTGACTTTTTTGTATTTTTAGTAGAGACGGGGGTTTCGCTTTTTGGGCGGGCTGGTCTCGAACTACTGACCTCAAGTGATTCGCCCGCTTCGGCCTCCCAAAGTGCTGGGATTACAGACGTGAGCCACCGTGCCCGGCCACAGGAGCTTTTTAGAAGATGTTTTACGCCACACAGTAATGCAACACTGAAAAGACAAGTCGCCTTTTCTCTGCTTTTGCATCTCTTTCCTTAACTTCTGGAAATCTTTAAAGTTTGTCCGCCGTACTTCGACAGTTGTCTACCGAAGATTCTCAGCACATCTACCGGCTGAGCCCTGAATGTGTCTCTGAATTTCTCCCGTTGAAAGTCGAGGTCCCTGGGCTGGGCAGAATCTGGGCATGCGCAGAAGCTCAGCCAACCCCGGGGCTCCGCCTCCCCTCCTCTAGCGAGGGGAAACGGGTGAGCGGCAGCGCGCGTGCGCAAGCTTGGTGGTGGGTTGCGCCTGCAGAGCGCATGGGCAGATAAACCGTACGTCCGTTTGTCCGGACCGGAGGGGCAGTGGGCGCCATCTTCTTCTGGGCTCACTGAGGGTCTACCTGTTTTGGGGAGGCTGCTGCGACGAAGAGTTCCCTCAGCCTCCGGCCTTGTGTGTCCGACTCGGCAGCAGTGGTGTGTGTTTATTGCCAAGTGCGAAGCAGTTCCCCTCGGGGCGCCGGGGGTGGGGAGGGCTGGGCGACCAAGCCGGAAGAACGGGGAAAGGCGGGACCGGCGGCCGCGCCAGTATCTAGCGTAGCTCCTGCCGTTAGGGCACCCTCTTTTCTTGCTAAAACACCGACTCTTCCTTTCCCGTCAGCTTCCATGTGGTGGTGTATGTGCGCTTCCCAGGGATCTTGAGAGTGAAGATCTCGAAGGATTTCATAGGTATATTTTTTTCTTTGCTATGTCATCGTAGTCAGTGGTGGCAGAAAAGCGCTGCAGGCCCAGCTCGTTAGGCTTGAGAAGGGCAAGTGTTTTCAGTTAGATCTGGGGGCAGTTCACCCTCTGGCGAGTTAGGGTGGAATGTTTGCCCTTGAGACGGCGTAACGGAAAGGCACGGAGGTTGGGCGGTCCAGGTTAATTTGAAGGCTGATTTTGGCTGAAAGTCTGGCGACAACATCGGATCCCACGTAGCAACTTTGGCCTGGCGCGAAAGAAGGAAGCTCTGACCCCTGGGAGTTGTGGACAAAGGCTTTGGGCTGTAGAATCGATGCCTTCGGATGATTCCCGTTTGAGGATGTTGGGAGAAATCCTGTGCCATGTGGATTCGTCTTCATTTACAGTTCTTCCTAGGGACTGTGGCTCTCATTGGTCATTCCTTTGGTTTTTATTTTAAACATCTACATTATAAAAGGTGGATCATCGTAAAGAATAATTATGGGTTGGTGTAGATTATTTTCTGCAGGGGAAACTCACGTTTAGAGTGTGAATATGCTACATCATGACCTTGGGCTTTACGAAGTAGTCGCAGAGTTAAAAAAAATTCTCTCCCTCACCATATCTGGAAAATGACTTTTTCTTCGCTAGTTAAAAATCAAATGGATCTGATGAGATATTACTTATTTAAATTCTGTCTCCCTCCCGTTTCCCTCTCTGTATCCCCTTAAGTCTTGATTAGAAGAGGCACGTTACGTATTGTTTAGTTATAATGGTGATTAAGTGGGATGAATCGTTGGATAAAAATAGCAGTTATTTAAAATGCGCTTTAAATTTCACTGACTTAAGTGATCTTTTAGGGACCCACTCTTCTTTTCATAGAAATTTTAACAGATTATTGTCTTCAAATGAACACAAAGGCACAAAAATACTTTTTGCATTCATAACTAGAAAAACGCAAAATTTTAATTGCAGACTACTTGAGGGTAATTTTCGTGTTTTGCTTTTGTGTAATTTAGTGTGTTAAGAGTTGAATTTCTGGAGAATTTGCTTAAGGAAATATAGCATGTTGGAACCACAGAAGTGCCCATTTTGAGAGCTGGTCTCTTACAGTTGGTCTCCAAGGTGTGTTATTGTAGAGGCATAAATGGTACATTACCCTACTGTCTCAAGGGTAGAGAAGTTTAAGCATTAGTTTTGTTTAACTGTGGCAAATGAGAATAAACTTTCTAAATAGTCTGCTTGAATTGGAATTCATGAGATTTGTGCTCATGAAACTACTTGGTTAAAAGATAGTTTTTAAGTGAGGTAGGATAAATTACTAGAGTTTTTTTGAATTTGAGATATAATTATTCCTTGAAACGTCTCTAATTTCTCTTGTAGATGAATTTATGTTCCCAGGGTAAATCCCGTTAAAATTTTTTTAAAAGCTTAGGAGAGACAAGAATATGTATAGCTTATGGTGCTTTCTAAAATATCTTAAAAAGAGTAGCTAAGCCAATTTGCATAGGAGGGAGTCTTGGGACTTTAATATGGATAAAGTAAGTATTCCAGAAGCCATTTGTAGTTTTTGTTGAAGTGTTAGTATGGATATTGGTTTGTTGAAGAAAATAGGCTTTTTTTCTTTTTTTGTTACTGTGCAAATACTTTAATAGCAAACCTGATTAATATTTTTCAGATGTAGAATGTGTGAAGTAATTTGATGTCTTTGCTAGTTTAGCTTCTGGTTAATCTACGTACCCTTTTTTAAAGGAAAACAGACCTCAGTGAATGTATCTTCAGACCCCCACTTTGGGGAACAGTGGTACTTAAGTGTAAGTACTGGATTCTGGATTAACGCAACATTTATTTGTACATTAAAGACATGTAAATTACTCCAGGCGCAGTGGCTCATACCTGTAAATCCTAGCACTGTGGGAGGCTGAGGTGAGCTGATTGCTTGAGCCCATGAGTTCCCTACCAGCCTGGGCAACATGGTGAAACCCTGGCTCTACAAAAAATACAAAAATTAGCCGGGTGTGGTGGTGCACACCTGTAGTCCCAGCTACTGGGGAGGCTGAGGTGGGAGCATTGCCTGAGCCTGGGTAAGTCGAGGCTGTAGTGAGCCAAGATCGCACCAGTGCACTCCAGCCTGGGTAGCAGAGCAAGAGAGACCCTGTCTCCCCCACCAAAGAAAGTGAGTGTAAATTATAATTATTTATTTGGCAAGTCTTCATGAAATAGTTTGGGTATCCCTGAAAGTATTAAACGCAAACTTCTTTAAAAAATTACATTGAGATTTTTCAGTAAACGGGTAATCCCAGTATTCCAAGTTAATTTTTAATTTTACTTTTCTACATCATCATTTGGGTTTCCTTAGTAGAGTGCAGAATAGTTGTTTGAAATGGAAATCTGCTATTGGCATTATTAATAAGATAAATAGCATTTTCTGTTTGGCTTGAGATGAATTGTAACAGTTACTATTTTTGCAATAGGAGTGGTATTGAGATTTTTAACTTTAGGGATATTGTAGTATTTGCCTTAATTATACTGGCTTCATGAAATTTGGTTCTGTGCTTGGATGTATGAGCTGTTTATATAGACCTTTAAATTGTATCCAAACAATAGCCCATAGGTTTGGATTTATTGTTTTAAAAATTGATTTTTGAATTTCAGGCTTTGCTGTTTTATTCATTTATTGTGTAATTTTGAATGGTTGCCTTAATTTGATTTGGTCTTATGTTTTGAAAGGGAGGAGAACAGCACGAGAGTTGGATATAAATATGTACTAGATTTTTGGATTTTCATGTGGCAAAATGATTGAAGTTCTTTTTTTTTTTTTTTTTTTTTTGAACTTTGGGTATTGAGATTTTACTTGTAGAACAGTTTTTTGAAGTAGATGTAAAACTTGTGTACAGCAAAATGTATAGACCCTAAGGATAGAATTCAGTAAACCTTGATAAATTTATACACCCATGTAACTACTGCTGCATTCAAAATATGTAACATTTCCATCACTCCTTTCTTCGTGCTACTTCCAATCAAGAGCAGTTGTTAAATTTTCGGCAAGTTTCAAATTTTTAAATAATTTTTATATGTCTATTTGGATATTGTATCTCCTTTTTGCAGAAGGATGATTAATTTCCCCTTGGAACAAAAGACCATTTTGTAACACCCGTAATTGTGGTTCCTTATTCTGCTTCACTTTTGATAGGTAATTCTGAAATGGATATCCTACTCTGGCGTTGTTTAAGATAAATTACAGGGTTCAAGGATTAATTATATTTCATTTTCTTTCCACAGTTAAGTTGCTTTTACAGAGTTAACAGGTCTCCAAGAAATTTTAAAAAAGGTAAGATATCCAGAGTTTAAGGCTTTGAGGCTCAACAAAAAACATGTGAAGTAGAATAGTACATCTAGGTATCCATGGCTTCTGTTCTTTTTTTTTTAAAAAGACAGGGCCTCACTCTGTCCTCCAGGCTGGAGTGCAATGGCACAGTTGCAGCCCATTGTATCCTGAAAATTTCAAATTGGGCTCAGGCAGTCTTCCTGCCTCAGCCTCCTGAGTAGCTGGGACTACAGGTGCATGCCACCATGCCCGGCTAATTTTTTCTTTTTAGAGACGGGCTCTCGCTCTGTTGCCAAGGCTGGTCTTGAACTCCTGGCCTCAAGCGATCCTCTTGCCTTGGCCTTGCAAAGCCTGGAATTACAGGCATGAGCTATCATGCTGGCCCTGGCTTTTGTTCTCTGTGTCTGGCCAGTGGTAGGCAATTTATTATCATGAGCAGAAATTATATACTAACCATAGATGACTTTTCTAAATATGTAAAATTCATTGCAGTTGATAAAATAATCTACAAAGCTCTCATGTTTCAGTAGAAGATAAGATTCTAAATGAGTCTGAAAGTAGTTTGGTCTTGTGAAGCAGCATTTGGCAGACTTACAAAGGAAGATTTGATATTTTTGATGTTCCTATTGTATAGAATAGGTGATACGAAATGTTTCTTCAAGGTAGTTGGTTTATTTGTATTTTTAGATGGGAGAAAGTTTATCCCTTGTTTTCTTTAATAATTAGATATGATCAGTATTTTTGTGAACTTGTATCTTGTTTTCATTTATAAATGTTGAAGAAAGCAGGAACCAGGTAATTATTAAGCTTAGTTTGGGCTAAGGTACTTCAAAAATAAGACTTGCTATTATGTGTACCTTTTTGTCTGCAGGTCATTATTGCTGTGGTTTGAGCTCAGCATGGCTGTAGTCATCCGTTTACTGGGGCTTCCTTTTATTGCGGGGCCTGTGGATATTCGTCACTTCTTCACGGGATTGACTATTCCTGATGGAGGAGTGCATATAATTGGAGGGGAAATTGGGGAGGCTTTTATTATTTTTGCAACAGATGAAGATGCAAGACGTGCCATAAGTCGTTCAGGAGGGTTTATCAAGGATTCATCTGTAGAGCTCTTTCTTAGTAGCAAGGCAGAAATGCAGAAGACTATAGAAATGAAAAGAACTGATCGTGTAGGAAGAGGGCGTCCAGGATCTGGGACATCAGGGGTTGACAGCCTGTCTAATTTTATTGAGTCTGTTAAGGAAGAAGCAAGTAATTCTGGATATGGCTCTTCAATTAATCAAGATGCTGGGTTTCATACTAATGGTACAGGACATGGTAATTTAAGGCCAAGAAAGACAAGGCCATTGAAGGCCGAGAATCCTTACTTGTTTCTACGAGGTTTGCCTTACCTAGTAAATGAAGATGATGTACGTGTCTTTTTCTCTGGTTTGTGCGTGGATGGAGTAATTTTCTTAAAACATCATGATGGCCGAAATAATGGTGATGCCATAGTAAAATTTGCTTCATGTGTTGATGCTTCAGGAGGTCTTAAATGTCATAGAAGTTTTATGGGTTCAAGATTTATAGAAGTAATGCAAGGATCAGAACAACAGTGGATTGAGTTTGGTGGTAATGCAGTTAAGGAGGGTGACGTTCTTAGGAGATCTGAAGAACATTCTCCACCAAGAGGAATTAATGATAGACATTTTCGAAAACGGTCTCATTCAAAATCTCCCAGAAGAACACGTTCTCGTTCCCCTCTTGGATTTTATGTTCACTTAAAAAATCTGTCCCTCAGTATTGACGAAAGAGATTTAAGAAATTTCTTTAGAGGTACTGATCTGACTGATGAACAGATTAGGTTTTTATATAAAGATGAAAATAGAACAAGATATGCCTTTGTGATGTTCAAGACTCTGAAAGACTATAATACCGCTCTGAGTTTACATAAGACTGTTTTACAATATCGTCCAGTTCATATTGATCCAATTTCTAGAAAACAAATGCTGAAGTTCATTGCACGTTATGAAAAGAAGAGATCAGGGTCACTAGAGAGAGATAGGCCCGGACATGTTTCACAAAAATACTCTCAAGAAGGTAACTCTGGCCAGAAACTGTGCATCTATATAAGAAATTTTCCATTTGATGTTACAAAAGTTGAAGTGCAGAAGTTCTTTGCAGACTTTCTTCTTGCTGAGGATGACATTTACTTGCTTTATGATGACAAAGGTGTTGGTCTGGGAGAAGCATTAGTGAAATTTAAATCAGAAGAACAGGCCATGAAAGCTGAACGTTTAAACCGACGAAGATTCCTAGGGACAGAGGTGTTATTAAGACTTATATCTGAGGCACAAATACAGGAGTTTGGTGTAAATTTTTCTGTGATGTCCAGTGAAAAAATGCAAGCTCGCTCACAGTCACGTGAGCGAGGTGACCATTCCCATTTATTTGACTCAAAAGACCCACCAATATACTCAGTTGGTGCTTTTGAAAACTTTAGACATCAGCTAGAGGACTTGAGGCAACTGGATAACTTCAAGCATCCCCAGAGGGATTTCCGGCAGCCTGACAGGCACCCTCCAGAAGACTTCCGACACTCCTCAGAGGACTTTAGGTTCCCCCCGGAGGACTTCAGGCACTCCCCAGAGGACTTCAGGCGACCTAGGGAGGAAGACTTCAGGCGGCCTTCTGAGGAGGACTTCAGGCGCCCTTGGGAGGAAGATTTCAGGCGCCCTCCGGAGGATGACTTCAGGCACCCTAGGGAGGAGGACTGGAGGAGGCCCCTTGAGGAGGACTGGAGGCGGCCACTGGAGGAGGATTTCAGGCGGTCTCCCACGGAGGACTTCAGGCAGCTCCCCGAGGAGGACTTCAGGCAACCCCCTGAGGAGGACTTAAGGTGGCTCCCAGAGGAAGATTTCAGGCGGCCACCTGAGGAGGACTGGAGACGGCCCCCAGAGGAGGACTTTAGGCGGCCTCTTCAGGGAGAATGGAGGCGACCACCCGAGGATGACTTCAGGCGGCCCCCAGAGGAGGATTTCAGGCATTCCCCTGAGGAGGACTTCAGGCAGTCACCCCAGGAGCATTTCCGGAGGCCACCTCAGGAGCATTTCCGTCGGCCACCCCCAGAGCATTTCCGGAGACCACCTCCAGAGCATTTTAGGCGGCCTCCCCCAGAGCACTTCCGGCGGCCACCCCCAGAGCACTTCAGGCGGCCACCCCCAGAGCATTTCAGGCGCCCGCCCCCGGAGCACTTCCGGAGACCGCCCCAGGAGCATTTCAGGCGGCCGCCTCAGGAGCATTTCAGGCGCTCCCGAGAGGAAGATTTCAGGCACCCACCAGATGAAGACTTCAGGGGCCCTCCTGATGAAGACTTTAGGCACCCTCCTGATGAGGACTTCAGGAGCCCCCAGGAGGAAGATTTTAGATGCCCTTCTGATGAGGACTTCAGGCAGCTCCCAGAGGAAGACCTTAGGGAAGCTCCGGAGGAGGACCCTAGACTTCCTGACAATTTTAGACCTCCTGGTGAGGATTTTAGGAGCCCGCCTGATGATTTTAGAAGTCACCGCCCTTTTGTGAATTTTGGTCGCCCAGAAGGTGGCAAGTTTGATTTTGGAAAGCATAATATGGGAAGTTTTCCTGAGGGGAGATTTATGCCTGATCCAAAAATAAATTGTGGTTCAGGTAGAGTAACTCCTATTAAGATAATGAATCTTCCATTTAAAGCTAATGTGAATGAAATTTTAGACTTTTTCCATGGTTACAGAATCATACCTGATTCAGTTTCGATACAGTATAATGAGCAAGGCTTACCTACAGGGGAAGCCATTGTTGCTATGATAAACTATAATGAAGCTATGGCTGCTATTAAAGATCTAAATGATAGGCCAGTTGGGCCCCGAAAAGTTAAGTTAACTTTGCTGTAGAGAGAGAGCATTTCTAAATTCAGTTATCTTCCTTGCAGTATTGATGGAGTAAAATACATTTGTTTTAAAAAAGTGTTTTTTTTTTAAATTATCTAATGAAATATTTTATTTTTGACCTGTGAATAGAACAAATGTAAATAGTAGAATGTGAATCTGGTTTTCTTTTGCTTGCAAATTGCCATTCTTTTTTTTTTTCAAATTTAAAATTACACATGCTGTTTTTTTCTTTGATGGGGAGAAAGAACTCATTCCCTGAGTTCATTCATTTTTGTTGATGTCATCGGTAATCTTCAAGACTTATTGAAGTAGAGTTGTATTTGGGGAAGATACATTTTATATTCACTTTTTTTTTTCTTTCTGTAGTCTACCTCTTTTACTCAAACTGTATAAGGAAATAGTGACTGATTGTTCAGGTTTGGCATTTTCATTGCTACCTGCCTGCAGAATTAATGCCCTCTTCCTTGTCTAAGATATTACTGTGTTAAGTGTCCTGTTAATTATAAATAGTTCAAAATGGACAGACTGTCAACTTGAAATTTACTTATGTAAAAAGCTTAGGTGATTCTTAGGGTTTCCATGTTCATAACTTTACAAAGCTTTATAAAAATAAAATTGCAACTTAATAGAGCTAATTAACTTGTATTTGTATAAAAAGAAAAAAGAATTGCAGCTCGATATTGTGAAGTTTTTCAATAACTTCATTAAACCATATTTATGATGGGAGGGACCAGACATTCTATAGTAATAATGTATAGTGCTGTGTATAATTCCATGGTTTCTTCAACATCTTATCAACCAAGTAAAATTAATACAAGATACGCAAAAGATAGTAAAATAAGAATCTAATTATAGGTGCAAGGGGACTCAGGCTTATGCTGGAAGAATCTGACAAGTGGTATAGTTTGTTTTTCTAGGAAGAATTTACTGATGAGTCACATAACTTGCATGTAATATTAGGTTCTCATTTTTTAGCTTCGAAACTGTGTCCATGCAAAGACTCTATAACTGTTAAGACTTGTGTGGTTGAATTTTGACTTCTTTGATATTCAGCATTTAGTGCATACATTTTGCAACTAGGGAATTTGATTTTCTATACCCACAATAATATTTATGGCTAACATTTATTAGGCACTTACTATGTGCTAGGCACTGTAAGCACTTTACATGCATAATCTCGGTATTCCCTGTGAGTACAGGGTTAATTATTTACCTCTATTTCACAAATGAGATAATGAAGTGGGATGAAGTGCGAGGTTAAGCAACTTGCTTGAAGTCATAGGTAGTAAATCGTGGGGCCAATTTTAACCCAGACAGACCACTGACTCCAGTTCATGCTTTTGCTGCCTCACTTTTTTAAGTGGTATTTTTAATTAGGAAGACCATGCTAAAGATACTTTCAAGGATAAATGATTATTTTCTCACTTCAATTGTTGGTTTAAAATTAGCATAAATAGGTAAAACCAGCATGCTCAAACACTGAGCTCAAACATTAACATTACTAATAAAAAAAAAAAGAGTGACTTTAAAAGTTTCTTTCTATCCAGGGTTTCTCTTGGGATACTCATATGGTATATTACTGGCTTATATTTCAAAATTATTTTATTCAACATGATTGACTTTGGCCTTTTATAATTTACATAAAACATAATTTTCCTCAGTTCTGTAATCCAGATTTTCCCCATTGAGTAAATAATACAATTAAATTTACATATGGTAATTTAGACATTTAATAGGATATTGCATAGGTAGAATACTTTGTCAGTACTTAGTTACTACCTATATGTATTTTTGTGTTACTTTTCAGTGATTTAAAGAAATCTAACAGAAATCTGCTTAAATTTGTTTTAAATAGTGAATATCCTGCTTGCTATGGAATGAATAAACAGGTAAATTTGATATGAAAAAGCACCTCAGTATGATTCTTTAAAGTATAAGCTTGTAAGTAGCTAGGATAATGTTAAATTGATTGTTTGGAATATCCAAACCAAGCACAATGAAGAAAGTAGAAATGATATTTTTAATTGAGCAAAGATTGTATAGATGGTTCATTTGGTCACCCATTTTGAATAATATATGGAAAGTTAAAAAATGCTTCTCAGATACAAAGGAATAAAGCTAAGATGAAGCTTAACGTGAGGGATTACTTACTGTGGAATTGCATTTCAAACTGGGCTGAGGTGGGATGGTGGTGGTAGATAAGAGGCCAGCTAGAGTAAACATAAGCTTTGTAGTTTTATTATTTTAAGAGTCAGAGTCTTGTTCTGCTGGCCAGGCTGGAGTGCAGTGGTCTGATAATGGTTCACTGCAGCTTCTAACTCCTGGGCTCAAGCTGTCTTCCTGCCTCAGCCTCCTGAGAGCTGGGACTACAGGTGTGTGCCACCTTGTCTGGCTAAATTTTTTATTATTTGTAGAGACAGAGTCTCACTGTGTTGCCCAGGCTGTTCTCAAATTTCTGGCCTCAAGCAATCCTCACTCCTTGGTCTCCCAGAATGTGTTGGGATTACAGGTGTGAGCCACTGTGCCCAGCCTTGTATTTTGATTTTTAAATTAATTTATATGAATATTTCCTTTTACCCTATAATGTATCAGGGCTTAATATTTTTAAACTTCATTATAAAAAGTTGATTACAGAAAGTGGTATCTTCTAGTTGGGAGCCATCTTTGCACATCTCTCTCCAACTCTGCCTTTAGTGATATGTCAATAACAAATTGGCCATGGCAGGAGTATTTTACACCATGGAAAGTGATAAATGCAGCAAATCAAGGAATTCCCCTCCTGTTGTCCCCTCAGAAAGCCAGCTTCCCAGCACCTCATCAATTTCAAATATAAAAAAAGAATAGTAAATTTTCATGTACACATCACTCAGCTTCAGTAATTGTCGTCTCATAGCCAGTTTTTCCTCTCCTATCCTCAAGGTATACCAGGTACACTGGAGGTGTATTCTCTAGCCTGATACCCAGTGGCATTTGTCTTAAAGCCAAACATTTTTGTCTAGAAATTATCTAAAAAAATGTAGATCATGTCTAGAAAGTCAATCCCACAACCAAGAGATAGGTAAAAATCATGTTAGGAGTGCATTTCTATTAATTTACTGAGATCACTGTTAAGAGCAGTGATTCTTGATCCATATATCACCTGTTAAGTAGTGACCTTGCTGCCTCTGTTTTTGCAGTAAATATTAGCTGTTGTTTATTGAGCTGTATTAGATACTATATGATGTATAATTATGTATGAATTAACTATCATTTAATTCTGATAATCCTAGTAAATGTACTACAGGTTGAGTATTCCTAATCTGGTAATCTGAAATTTCACATGCTCCGAAAATCACAAACTTTTTGAGTGCCAACATGATGCTCAAAGAAAATGCTCATTGCAGCATTTAAGATTTCAGATTTTTGGGTTAGGAATGTTGAACTGGTATAATGCAAATACTCCAAAATCTGAAGAAATCCAAAGTCTTAAATACTTCTGGTCCCAAGCACTTCAGATAAAGGATACTCAATTTGTATTCCTATTTTGGAGATAAGAGATGGAGACTTACAGGCTGGGTTGGTTGGATTGGTTGCCTGTTTTTTGTTGTTGTTGTAGTGGAAGCTAGGAATGGTTTTTCACATTTTTTAAGTGTACTTAAGTCTTACATGGTTACATAGTTACCTGTATAATAGTCTTGAATTTGCCTAAACCCACGAAGAATAACAGTATTTGCTATCTGGCCCTTTAAGAAGTTTGCCAACCTAGGCTGGTCTAAATAATGAAAATTTTACATTAATGAAAGTATTTTCATGGATAGTATTCCTTTTGTTCTTAGAATATTTCTTTGAGGTAGGCAGAATGTATGTTTTATTCCAGAATTACTGTTTTACGCAGTTTTAACTTTACAAACAAGGCAAATAATGCTCAAGAGAAGTTGCTATTTAGTAAGCAGCAAAATAATAACTCTGTTGTTTTCCCCCGAAGTACAACCAAATTTAAATACTGAGTGAGGAAGCAGTAAATATCCAATGATATCTTGAGTTTCTTAAGAATATCAATTTAGGGTTTTAAAATGTTTTAAATATTTTACAAAAAAGTACTGAAACAACTTTGTCACTTAGGACTATTCTCAGGAAGGAGTGCTTTGTTAAGAACAGAGCCATGATTGACAAAGTCAGAAGCTTTCTAGAAAGTCTTTATTTTTCTGTTATGAATAATTGCATTTTCTAATTATCCCAAATGATTTTATAAATTCCGTAACTTTTATATGCCTGCCTGGGATCCATGAAATAAAAGTATTCCTTACCAAAAGAGAAGCATCAGATACACTGAAAGGCTCAATGTTTTATATTTTCAGAAATAAAAGTGACTGTATACCCTTTTATTAACTATATGGTAGCTTGGTAAAATTTTTATAGAATTTTTAATGATCTATGGTGTTCTATGATGAGGCAACATTCCACCAAATTAGCCTTCCAAAAGTTGCAGTATCATGTATAATTATGACAGCAGTTTTGTTTTAAAACCAGAGTCAGATTGAATGTAGCTTTTTTACAGCTGAAATTTATGCCTTATGTGTATTCATAAAACATTGATAACTTAGTGTCACATTATCTTTACTCTTTGGTTATACTCTTCTTGAAAAGTAAATTTACTTATCAAATGATAAAGTTTCAGGGAAAGTTAAAAAAAGTTTTTTTTCTTAAGGCTTCATGGAATAGAATTCCATGAATCATAATGACTACGTAAGACCCTTTTCTGGTAATGAAAGCATGGAGTCTTAACCAAAAAGCTAAGCAGAATTGTTAGATCTTTTGGTTTCTGTCATAATGTACTATTGGAACTTCAAGTAGATATAGTACATTAATATGAAATACTTTGAAATACACCATCTTTAAAAAAAAAGGCACTTACACAAAAATCATGTAACACTAGGTAGGATGTTGAAATGACTGGTATGCAATATTTTTTAAAGCCTTCATTTTTGGTCAGCATAAGTTTCCTTTAATTATTTTTCTGTTTCCAGTTGGACTTCACTTTGAGGCTTAACATAGCAAAGTGAGTATAAAGTTCTACAATTTAGTCATTGTGGATTTCAAGTCATTTATGATGAAAATGGAAATGTGTAGTTTACTTAAGAAAATTTTCTTCTTCTGTAACATCTAACTCGTCATCCTCATCATCTTCTGCTTGTTGATCCTTTCTTAGTCGACAAGTGGATACCTGTTAAAAGTTAACACACTTTTTAAAATAAAAATACTAACTTAAAAAAATTTTACATTCTTGGTATATTTTTATGCTATTAAAGGGCACACAACAAATATTTCAAAAAAATGTCCATGTCATAATTTTTAGTAGTGAAAATTCCCTATGAATTTTAAGCTCAGAAGCCAGTTTTTTCATTCATCACATTTTTTTGAATAAAAATGTGTAATTAGCCATTTGATTTTAGTTGGATAGCCATCAATACTTCAAAAACATTAAAAGTATAGACTCTATATTATGAATATTAAAAATAAATTTTGGGTCACAGAAACAGCATTTGAGAATCATAAAATGGATGGCAAAAATAGAAGGATATTTCAGCTAGGCAGTGGGACAGAAATACTGATGTAAAAGTAGTGTGATTTAAATGGAATGAGTTGAGAATCTGAATTCACCAGTTTTAAGTTGCCTGACTGCCGCCACGTGGGGCATATTGCTTAAAACTTCTCTTGAGGGTGATTATATCTAACCCAGGGGACATTTGGGAATGTCTAGAGACACTGTTGTTTGTCAGTATTGGGGCTGTGTGTTTATGTGTGCTACTGGCATGTTGTAGGTAGAGGCGGGGGATGCTAATATCTGCTTGATGTCGTCACAATATACAGGACAGTATTCCGTCCCCTTCTTCCTCCCTGGTGGGCCCAATTATTTGTCCCAAAGTCAGCAGTGCTGAGGTTGAGAAACCCTGGGATAATGCATTCTGAAGTGCTATACAAGTGTTAGCTAAGGTGACATTATTAGTTGTAGTCAAAACTTTATATGGACTATAAAAGTAAATTTATGGAATTTATGTTCAAGGCACTTAATGCCGGAATAAAAAAAATACAATTGGGTTGGGGGAGAGATACATACATATAAAACAAAATAAATGCTTACAGGAGAATCAAATGAAAATAGAAAGTATGGTATCAAATTTACCTAAAAGTTGTATCTTGAAAATAAGTTTGTTGAATTTTATATTCTGAAGGCTAGATATGAAAAGGGCATAGCTCTCTAGATCAGGGTTTGGCAAGTTGCGGCCCAGCCAGCCTCCTGCTTTTGTAAATAGAATTTTATTAGAACACAGTCATACTGCTTTATGTGTTACTTAACAGTTGTTATTTATAGTTGTTGGGGTAGAAACCATATGGCCCACAAAGCCTAAGAATGTTAGTCTCCACATCTTAAAGAAAAAGTTTGTCAGCCCCTGCTCTAGATACTGGGAAACTCAAGCTTTCTGGATATAGAAAAAAAATGAAATGATTTCTGTGTTCAGTAAAAGCCCTTTTTTAGTATAATTTGGTATTTAACTTTATAATTTAATGAGATCCACTAAGTTTTGATAGTGAGATTTAAACCTAAGTTGGACTTCAGAATCTGCTCTTCATATTATAGCAGATAACACATCTGCATTAGCATTCTTTTGTCTTTTCCACTTCTGCTCTCAAGTGTTATGCTTTAGAGAGTAATATGTAATTACAGTATAAAAGATAATTAAGAAATAATAGAGCTGCACTTAATGCAATCTTCTGTCATTTTATAGAAGAGAAGAAATAGGTCCAGGGGAGGATAAGTTACCGAGGTGATATGACTGAGGGGAAACATTTTTAGAACTCAACAATTCCAAAGGCAGCAGCTCAAATTCCTTTAGAGTACGGTTTCTTGCTCACCTGTCCTGTTCCAGATACACACTTAGCTGACAGTGATCTCTGAAGAGGTGACTTTGAATTTGCTCTTACAATATCTAAACGAGATGAATAATCTGGTGCATACAGAGAATTTCGGAAAACCTATTGTAATGATAAAATAGCATTATAAAGTAGATGCTAAACAAAATCAAGACAGTCAAATTAAGTTCCTTAGTTAAGATTTTTTTTTAAAAAAACAACTCCCCCCAAATGGACAAAATTCCAATTATTGTAAATGTAAAAGAAAAGACAACAAAAATAAGCTAGAAAGATGAAAGCTAAAAATTCTATTTGAACTATGTAAGATGATGACAGATATTAAACAGTAATTAGTCATGAAACAATCATTTAAATGCTTTTGCCAGGAGAACTGCAGAAGTTGAGACCCTCAAAGAGCATGCAAGCTAGTAGGGAGGCTGCGACTCATACCTTTGAATCTTTCTGTTCTGCAAATTCTCAACTCTTACCAATTTAACTCTGCAGTACTGCTATGAAAATTACATAAGAGTAAATTGGAACCACTATAATTTATGGATTCCAACCTTACTAGGATCTGGAATGCCATGACTTGTCAGTTCTCTTTCCTTAAGGCACTATTTCCAAATGTTTACCACTTTTAAGCCTTTCTAGCTCCATCTTTTCTACCCTACCCCCACCATTTCTCTATATAGACTAATAGGTAAGGTTATCAGATATGAATCTCTTGAACTTTCCCTCAAGCTTTTCGCCCCTCCTTTTCCTTCTTTCTCTTTAAAAATACCATTCTGATTTAGTTCCAATGTGCATTTTTCCTTTAACCAAAACTTCAAACCCAACCAACAAAAGCTTTTGTTGTCACAGGTTCCCTCTCCTAAAAAACAAGCTCAAGATCAGTCTTTTTTTTTTTAGTTATCTCAAGGTATAACTACTTAAAAAACTTTCTTGAATATTCGACTTCATCTCCATTTTCTTTTTAAACAAATTTCTTTTCCATTTATTTATCAACAAACTACAATTGAGCTTTTCACCTCCCACTAAAATTGCTCTTCCTCACATCACCAAGGTCTTTTTTTCCTCTTCATCCTCACTGACCCCCTTCCTGAAACTTAAATGCTACTAAACTCTTTCATTGTCCTGGCTTCTCTATTTCTTTACATCTCCTTTTCTACTACTTATACCTAAAATATTTTTAAAGGGTTTCCTTTAGGCCACTTATTATATATAAAAACAATGCTGCTGCACACAGTGGCTCATGCCTATAATCCTAGCACTTTGGGAGGCCAAGGCAGGAGGATCACTTGAGCCTAGGAGTTTGAGATCAGCCTGGGCAACATGGCGAAACCCTATCTCTCCAAACAAAAAAACAATCAGCCAGGGGTGGTGGTGCATGCTTGTAGTCCCAGCTACTTGGGAGGCTGACGCAGGAGAATCACTTGAGCCTGGGAGGCAGAGGTTGCAGTGAGCCAAGATCACAACACGCCACTGCACTCCATCCTGGGCAATAGAGTGAGACCCTGTCTCAAAAAAAAAGTTTCTCTGAAAGATCTTATCTACACTGTTAATGACTACCCTTCAACTAATCCCCTGACAAGCATACCCTGTGATAGCTGTATTCATGCTCCCAACTATCTCCTGCTCTAGACCAGCACTGTCCAGAAGAACTTTCTGAGATGATGGAAATGCTTGCTGTTCTGTACTGTACAGAAACGTAGCCACTGGCCATGTGTGGCTACTAAGCACTTGAAATGTGGTTCACGTGGCCGAGGAGCTGAATTTTTAAATTGAACTTTAAATAGTTATATATGCCTAATGGCTACTTTACTGAACCGTGTAGCTCTAGATTAGCTATTACAATGAAAGACATTATCTTTTACCTAGAAGACCAAACTATAAGCCTGGGCATTCTCCCTAAATTTCTCACCTGACACTTTGGGAGGCCAACGCAGGCGGATCGCTTGAGCCCCAGGAGTTCAAGACCAGCCTGGGCAACATGGCGAAACTCCATCTCTACAAAAAATATGAAAATTAGCCAGGCATAGTGGGACGTGCCTATAATTCCAGCTACTTGGGAGGCTGAGGTGGGAGGATCACCTAAGCTCAGAGGTCAAGGCTGCAGTGAGCTGTGATTGTGCCACTGCACGCCAGCATGGGCAACAGGATGAGACCCTGTCTTAAAAAAAATTTTATATATATAAAACTTATACATTTCTCACCTGAGGCACTTCTCTTTTATTGACTCTACATACCCTTCACAGCTTACTTTTTATTTAAGGCCAAAATATGTTATTGCTCTCTTTAGACAGGGACCCACTGTCACTTAGGCTGAATTGCAGTAGTGCAGTCATAGCTCACTGTAGCCTCGAACTCCTGGGCTCAAGTGATTCTCCTGCTTCAGCCTCCTGAGTAGCTGGGACCACAGGGGTACTCTGGCTAATTTTTTCACTTTTTGTGCAGACAGTGTCTCGCTATGTTGCCCAGGCTGGTCTCAAACTCCTGGCCGCAAGCAATCCTCCTGCTTCAGCCTCCCGTAATGCTGAGATTACAAGTGTGAGCCACCACGCTTGGCCTCTTTCTCTATTCTAAAACTTTTTGTGGCTCTTGACTGTAAATGCAGAACCTAAGTTATACTATGCCTTTGCAATGCTGGTTCCTTAGCCTAGAATTACAACAAACTGTCCTTCAAGAATTACTTGTCCTTCAAGCACAATGTAAAACGCCATCTTTCTTCTGCATTCCCCTGTTGTCTGAGTAGCACCTACTGTTCATACCCTCAAGTACTGCTTTTTAACTCAGTGTTTTGTAATTGATTACATATCTGTCTCAATGAGTCTTAAGTTCTCTAGACCAACGGAGCCCTGTTTTATCTATGCATCTCCTCCCTGGCAAATAGAAGATGTTAATTAAATTCATTTTTGCCAAATGAATGATGTTAACAGTTAAGTTGCAAACATAGTTAACATCATTCATTTGGCAAAAGTGAATTTAATTAACATCTATGAGGGGGGGAAAAGGAGACCTAAATTAGGGGGTGGCTACACATTCCTTTAAGAGAACTTCAGGACACGGAAGGAGTCAAGGATAAAAGACAGGAGGTGAGACTTGTGTTTTAAAGTAATTCAGGGGTGCTAATTAGGTTAACAGGTTACCAAGGACCAAATTCAATTTTGGTGCCAGACATGGACCACTGACATCCTGGTATGACATAAAAATGCAATGACTTGGGCCGGGCACCGTGGCTCACGCCTGCAGTCCCAGCACTTTGGGAGGCCAAGGCGGGCGGATCATGAGGTCAGGAGATCGAGACCATCCTGGCTAACATGGTGAAACCCCATCTCTACTAAAAATACAAAAAATTAGCCAGGCGAGGTGGCGGGTGCCTGTAGTCCCAGCTAGTCAGGAGGCTGAAGCAGGAGAATGGTGTGAATCCGGGAGGCGGAGCTTGCAGTGAGTGGAGATAGCGCCACTGCACTCCAGCCTGGGCGACAGAGCGAGACTCCGTCTCAAAAAAATAAATAAATAAATAAAAAATAAATGCAATGACTCATTAGCTGGTATTTGGAGGAGAAACATTTTTCTTAAAACATTAACTTTTCTAGCAAAGATGGAATTTAAAGTGGGAAATGGAAAACAGTATGTAACCCTTGGGATACAAGTCTATACCAGTTAAATATTTATTACAATTAACATTTTACTCCAATTTATTGGCAATAATGCATTTTCCAACATGGTCCAAGATCTCTTCTAAGAGCAGTTCTCAAGATCTGAATGTGCTCTGAAGTTAATACAGAGGTGACCTGACAATATTTTTTTTTTTTGTGAGATAGAGTCTCACCCTGTCACCCAGGCTGGAGTGCAATTGGCACACTCTCAGCTCACTGCAACCTCTGCCTCCCAGGTTCAAGCGATTCCTTCCATCTCAGCCTCTCGAGTAGCTGGGATTACAGGCACGCGCCACCATGCCTGGCTAATTTTTTATATCTTTAGTAGAGACAGAGTTTCATCATGTTGGCCAGGATGGTCTCGAACTCCTGACCTCATGATCCGCCTGCCTCGGCCTCCCAAAGTGCTGGGATTACAGGCATGAGCCACCGCGCCCAGCTGACAGTACTTTTTATGTGAAGAACAATTAAGATGGTTTGTGATATAACTGGAGGTGCCTAACTACAAAACACTGGCTGCAGCTGGAATAAATCTCAGCGGTTCTTACAAAGCATGGACTATCTGGAAGAATAGCAAGTTATTTCTGTCTTTTTCTGCATGTTTTCTTTACTTCTTTCCAAGAAACCTGTATTTACAGGATCTTTCCTCTTGGTAGGTACCTGTTTGATATATCAGTTACATCAATTAGTTACTTCCCCTGGTTCCACAGTTCTCTCCAGACTGTTCTCTCCACAATAATGGCATAATAATAGTTTATGCCTGTGGTTCATTGAACACGTGCTCGTGCCCTATACTGTGCTGTTTTGTTTTTGTTTTTTTCCATGACATGCCATGATTCTCAACTGTGTTGTTTTAAATACACTGTTCTTTCTTCACAACAGTCCTGCCTCAGGACCTTGGTATATCTATCTATGCCCTCTACCTGAAAGTTTTTGCCAGGCATCCTCCCATGCATCCCTCAAGATTCTAAGAAATCACTCTGATTCTCCAGACTATTTGTAACCCTCCATCACACACAACACTTTTTTTTTTTCTTTATAGGACTGGTCATATAAAAAAATCATTACACAGTTTTTAATGTCTGAATTCCCTGGTAGATTTAAAGTTACTGCTTTGACAACTTGGACTGTTTCTTAGAATGCTACATCCTTCACACTTAGAATGGTGCTTGGTGCATATGAGGTGCTCAATAAACAGTTGTTGAACAAACACTATATGAGGTAAGTACTACAGTATCTCCATTTTAGAAAGGAGGAAGCTGAAGAGCGAAGAAGTTAACTTGCTCAGTATTACTTCACTAGAAAGTAGGGGAGTTGATATTAAAAAAAAATCTACCACATATTCCGGAGACCTTTAGTTTTACATAGAGCTCTTCTCCCACAAACTACTTAGATGGCTGATTAAGAGTACTGGTAAAAAGTTATAAAGGAAGTGGTGTGACAAAAAAATATCTAGGACCTCTGGGATGAGGAGGAAAACCTTGGGGACTGAAGGGCTTGAAGGAACTTTAAGGTCAGTTAACAAATGGTATGTCAAAGGTATTATACAAAGAAGAATGAAAATACTTATAAAGTGGACTACAGTCTTGAAGGAGAATTGGGGGATCACTTTTGAAGCTGCCACTAAATGCAGTGTTACTTCTTGCAGGAAATGGTTAATGCCACTCATCAAGAACCATACTTCTGGAAGTCTAATGTAGAGAGGATTAAAGCATAATGGGCCTTGTAGTCAGACTTCCGGATCAGACTTCCAGCTCTGCTACTTACTAGCTATGAGATCTCTGGGAAGTTTCTTAACCTCACTGTGCTTCAGTTTTCTCATCCACAGAAATCAGAAATAAGTACTTTTATCAAAGTTATTGAGAGGATTAAAATGATATAGTTAAAATGCAAAGATCAGTAGCTGACTCAAAGTAATTATATAAACGTTTGCTATTTTATTATTTTATAAATGACAGATGAAAGCTTGATAATCAAGTTTTTTTTTTTGGATGGAGTCTCACTCTGTTGCCAGGCTAGAGTGCAGTGGCATGATCTTGGCTCACTGCAAACTCTGACGCCCGGATTCAAGCGATTCTTCTGCCTCAGCCTCCCGAGTAGCTGGGATTACAGGCGCGTGCCACCAAGCCTGGCTAATTTTTGTATTTTTAGTAGAGATGGGGTTTCACCATGTTGGCCAGGCTGGTCTCGAACTCCTGACCTCAGGTGATCCACCCGCCTTGGGCTCCCAAAGTGCTGGGATTGCAGGTGTGGGCCACTGTGCCTGGCCTTCATAATCAATTTTTAAAAGCAGGACATGAAAAGGAGTGAAAGTTAAGAAACCTTAGCTGTAGTGTTTGGAATTAACACTTGGGAAGTCATGATTGACAAATAGAGAAATATAAATATGTATATATAACTGATATAAAACAAATTAGATTTTGACATTAGAAACACATATACACATACTGTAATATGTACTTTCTTCATTCTCTTTAACCTATATTCTGGTTTTAAGTTTCCTGGAGCCCGTGGAGTAATGGGACAGGAAGGCTCAGAGGGTCTCTTTACTGATAGTTAAGATACAAAAAAAACTAGGCCAGGCGCAGTGGCTCACGCCTGTGATCCCAGCACTTTGGGAGGCCAAGGCGGGCGGATTATGAGGTCGGGAGTTTGAGAGCAGCCTGGCCAACATGGTGAAACCCCATCTCTACTAAAAATAGAAAAATTAGCCGGGCATGGTGGCAGGCACCTGTAATCCCAGCTACTAGGTAGGCTGAGGCAGGAGAATCACTTGAACCCAGGAGGCGGAGGTTGCAGTGAGCCGAGATCGCACCACTGCACTCCAGACTGGGTGACAGAGCAAGACTCTGTCTTGGAAGGCGGGGGAAGATACAAAAAAAAAAAAAAAAAATCGGGGGAATCTTCAAATTTGTTAAGTGGTAGACACTTCCATATTTTATTAATACAGAACTCTTGTTATATGTGGGATTACATGGCTTTTTTCACTTCTATATTAGAGATGAGATGGGGAAAGTATGTCTTGAACAGTTACTTCAGCATAAATACTTTCGTACCTTCATTTTTTCCGTTTGGAAGGTAAGAGGGTTGGATATTTACAGAATTGCTCATTGAGGACCAGTCTTTGATATTTACTTGCTCTAATGTTAGTTGGCCAATCAGAATTATTTGCATTTAACTAAAACCATCAGCATAAAGCAAGCTTACATAACCTACATTTATTTCATAGCTTAGTGATTACATTACACAGTCAGTCAGAATCCTGATTCTGCTATTTACTAGCTAAGTGGCCACAAATAAGTTATTTAAATCCTCTAAGCCTGCTTCTGTAGTTGTAAAATGAGAGTTATAGCAGCACCTACCACCTAAGATTTTGAGGTTTGAATGAGAAAATGCATGTAAAGCTTTGGGCATTGTGCATGATGTAAACACTCAAATGTTACTGAAGTCAATAAATGTTAACTATTTTTTAGCACACTTCAGTGGGCTTATATCACCAGTCAAAATGATACACAGTATTTTATTTAATGGCTTTATGTAAATTATATTTTACTAGCTATTAATAAATTAACTCTTGGAACTTTTGCCATGGTTAATTTGAAAAATTGAAAATAAATGGAAAATCATAAAAGTTCATCTATTTTGGATTACACATAATAACCACTATAGTGTTCAAAGTTAAGATACTAATCATGGCTGGGCACGGTGGTTCATGCCTGTAATCCCAGCACTTTGGGAGGCCGAGGTGGGCGTATCACTTGAGATCAGGAGTTCAAGACCAGCCTGGCTAACATGGTGAAACTGCATCTCTACTAAAAATACAAAAATTAGCTGGGCATGGTGGCGGGCACCTGTAATCCAAGCTAGTTAGGAGGCTGAGGCAGAAGAATTGCTTAAACCCACGAGACGGAAGTTGCAGTGAGCTGAGATCACACTACTGCACTCCAACTTGGGCAACAGAGTGAGACTCTGTCTCAAAAAAAAAAAAGATATTAATCACATACTAATGTTCTCTTTTAAATATTTCCACATTAACAGAAGAACTGAGCTTAGATAGACATAGTCCTACCTCTAAATCTTCATCTTCATCAATGTTTTGTATATTCTGGTAGGCAGCAGTGTAGACCTCTAAAGCTTTGCCGTGAAATAACATTTCGATTGTGATAAATTCAGAAAATATAGTCTAAAAAAAACCAAAGAATTGAATTTAAACAATGATTTAAATTTCTTTATGAATATAGTAACTTTATTCCTCACTATAGTCTTGGTATTTTATAAAATACAGAAGTATCTGTTTTTCTATAGGGTAAATAAAGTACAAAAGATAACTGAAAAACAGTTGTGAAGACCTTTTGCTGCCAAACCTTCAAATAATACAAAGTATTTCCTTTATCACCATCCACTTCCCTCTTATTTTTTATTTTAGTTAGTTCTCTTTATACCTAGTAATTGACATTTATAATAACATAAGATCTGACTAAAATGTATGCTACTATATAATTTTAATACCATATGCTTATTAAGTATTAGAGCAGTTCAGTTATGAAGCTGGTGTTTTAGCAATTCCAACTGATGTTTAAACAGGAGAACGTTTTTTAAACAGGAATTATGTTCCACACTGTATGCTACTTGTATTCTCTAAACATAAAGGAGTTACTTGGTAGTAATGACACTCCTGCCACTGATGATAACACCATATATTTGCATAGAGCGTTCTAGTTTACAAATATTGACTTGCCCAGTGTTGCTCACAGGTCAGACTCTTTAGACACAGATCTGATTCTAAGGCTACAAGGTTATAGCTCATTTAAGGTTTTTTTGCTATTGCCCACTGAACTGTGCTGTTCTTGCCGGAATCAATCATTTCCTTCACAGATAAACCGTGCAGGTAACCTCTATAAGCATGATGGAAACCTATGACAAGGAAGATCATGAACAAAGAGTATGAGTGAAGATGTGCATGTTGATCTAAGCAGGGGGTGAGGTAATCAGTAGGTGTGGAAAAGATGGAAACCAGGCAAGTTTTTAATAAATATGATCTTATCATTTTGTTAATTATAACAAAATAAGCAATGTAGAGAGAACTGGGCTGAATAAGAACAAGGCAGAAAATACTCAAGCATGGATTATATTAGTAGGCAGTAGTCAAATACACATTTTCCTTCATCCCTGCTCTCCTAAGATAACCCAGAAAGGAGTGGTCATATACTTTGGAGGATAGCCATATAGATACTTATCAGTGGCCTGTGATTCTTTCCTCCAGCCCCATTCTTCCTAGATGATTGGAAAAACACTTAAGGGAGCATTAAGAGGCTCTGATTGCTACTCAGTGATATACGTCAGTCTGAGAGGACAGGGCCTAGGTAAAAAAGACTTGTAACGATGATTCACAATGACCCTTACTGTCACTTCATGTAAGTTATAGAGGGCTCAGGTATACCAGGCTGGCAACTGATGGATAAACGGCATTATGCTAAAATACAATTTTGGATTTCATATTAAAGTATCTCTAGATACCCAGGAATACCTTAGAGGAGGAATGGCTTCTGACCAGGGCTGGGACCTACTCTTAGTTGTTAGTGTCCTTATGATAGTTGCAAACCAGAAAGGAGTCAGGTTTTCTTGAGTGTGGAAACTCCTAGAGGGAAAACTGAACGAAGAGTCGATGACAAGCCAATACACCCATTTTTAATGCTCAAGAAGTAAACTAGCCAGGCACAATGGCATGTGCCTATAATCCCAGCTACTTGGCAGGCTGAGGGAGGAGGTTCCCTTGGGTCCAGGTGTCCCAGACCAGCTTGGGCAACATTTGGAGACTTCTGTCTCAACAAGAACAACAAAGTCAACTAGCTAAATTGGATGTAATGACTAACAGTAAAGCATCCATCTTGTTTGATTAACAAAAGAGATCTTTAACGAAAAGGTTTTAAGAACATTTTCGCAAAGAGGAAATGACAGCTCTCCAGCGTATAGGATATTCAATAAAGGATGTAAGAGAACTGTTTATCCATTTGAAAATTAAAGTTATATATCCATGTCGTACCACATGCAAAACACAGCTGCCAGCTAAATATTTAATGTTTAAAGTATTTTAAAAATCAAGAAAATATAAGCAAGTATTTATATAACCTAGGGGATGAAAACCTTTCTAAGCATGACACCAAGGAAGAAACCAAAGATAAGAAGATGGATTTGGCAATAAAAAGAAAACTTAGAGGTGGCAAAAACACTAAGCAGTAAAATGAGAAAATACATTTGCAACATACTTTCTCTTTAATTTGAAGGGCTAATTTTCTCAATATAAAGAATTTTTAGAAATTAGTAAGAAATTCCAACATCCAACAGAAATATAGGTTAAGGAAAAATATAATTTACTAAAGGAATGTATCGCTAAATACATTTAAAAAGCTCAGCAGTAATAACACAAATGATACTGATTTTTTACCTATTATTAAAAATACTGCAACTTATGGTGTCAACATTGTCATATTAAAAAAAAAAAACAACAAACACAGGCCGGGTGCAGTGGCTCATGCCTGTAATCCTGGCACTTTGGGAGGCCGAGGCAGGTGGATCACCTGAGGTCAGGAGTTCTAGACTACCCTGGCCAACATGGTGAAACCCTGTTTCTACTAAAAATACAAAAATTAGCTGGGCATGGTGGTGCACGCCTGTAATGCCAGCTACTTGGGTGGCTGAGGCAGGAGAATCACTTGAATCCGGGAGGCAGAGGTTGCAGTAACCCAAGATCATGCCACCATACTACAGACTGTGTGACAGAGCGAGACTCTGTCTCAAAACAACAACAAAAAAACAAACTCACCATTGTACCTGTGCTTATGCAAGGTTTAGTAGGAACGTAAATTGGTTTAACCTTTGTGGACAGAAGTTTTAAAAATATATATTAAAATTAAAAGTATGCTCTGAAGGAGGAACTCCACTTCTGGTAATTTATCTCAAGAGAATAACTGGGCCAGCACAAAGGCTGCTGTTTAACAATGTGTAATGATGCAGTGACAGCTACAATTGCAAAAATAACCTAGACATTCACCAATGAGGACTGGTTAAATGAACTAGTATAACCATACTGCAGAATATCATAAAGATAACAAAAAAATGATATGGATCTGTTTCTTGGCATAAATATATCCATAAGTTTTAAGAAGAGATGCTATATATACGGTGGTCCCATTGATGTATAACTGTTAGGACTAAAAATAGTACCTTCCTCATAATGATGTTTTGAGGAATTAATGAGTTTATTCATGCAAAATGCTTAGAATGGTACCTGGCACACAGACAATGTTTAAGAAATGTTTGTTATTGTTATTACTATGTCTCTGTATATATGCATAGGAAAAATCTGGAAGGATAAAATAAAAAATGAATATTTTTGGGTGGTGAGACTAAATTTTTGTCTAATTTTATGGATAAGTTTTATGATTTATATTTATAATAAAAATAAAGCTATAAAAATTAATTATGATGTTTCTTGCTCATGTCAGCTACTTCACTACATACTGAGTTCCCATCCCCATTTGTTACAGGAGCAACTCCTGGTTAAGTACCTTTTTTGTAACTGTGAAATTCCCTTGACATTCATCATATACTGATGACTTTTCCTAATACATGGAAACAAACAGGATTGTGATTTTTCTCTCATTTTGTACACTAAGTTCTATGCCAGCCGATTTCAGAGAGACACTCTGCAAAGTTCCTATGAAAAGTCTTCAAAAATGTATTACCTTGCTGTTTAATACCAATACCAAAATTCAAATGGACTTATCAATTAAACTCACCTCAAACACAGTAATGCACTCACAGTTATGAGCAGTGCTCACTACTGCCAATCATTTCTGCTTCCAGAATGGTTAAAGGAGCCACAAACTCTGCCCTTATCAGAAGCAGTAGCCTGATAACAGGTAAGAATAGGAATGTTCCGTTTCTCCCCAAATTAAGAGTGGTATCAATAATCTGACTTTTCCAGGCATTTATCTCACAGAAATGTTTATGAGACATGCTAAGATCAACATGGTAATATCTG
Organism: Homo sapiens; assembly: GCF_000001405.40. Classification (NCBI taxonomy): domain Eukaryota; kingdom Metazoa; phylum Chordata; class Mammalia; order Primates; family Hominidae; genus Homo; species Homo sapiens. Next base: position 93,714,813 of record NC_000008.11, on the reverse strand, counting down.
ACTATTGTTTTTATTAGAAATAAGGGGGCCAGCCAGGCACAGTAGCTTACACCTGTAATCCCAGCACCTGGGGAGGTTGAGGTGGGAGGATTGCTTGAGCCCAGGAGTTTGAGACAAGCCTGGGCAACACAGGGAGACACCAGCTCTATTAAAAAAAAAAAAAGTAAGGGGGCTATAATGTAACCCTTATTGACTGATCTTTGAGGCTACTGTTGTGAGATTTCTACATCCCTCTTTATTATAAAAGATCCCAAATGCGGCTTTACTTGGAAAGGAAGCAATTTGACAGTGATGAGGAATGATGTGCAGAATGGAGATTCAGAACCCTAACAGACTCTGGTATTGATATCTAGTGCTCATATTTCTGGGAGTCTGCTAGGGTTATGGGAGTTTGCATTTAAATTGTAGGTTGTTGCAGAAAACAGAATTTATATGTGGAAAATTGTAACGAATCCACTAAAAAACTATTAGAACTAATAATCAAGTTTGGCAAGGTTGTAAGACATAAGTCAGTATACAAAAATCAACTGTATTTCTATACATTTGTGACAATCTGAAAATGAAATTAGGAAAACAAATCCATTTACGATAGCAACAAGAAGTATAAAATACTTAGGAAGAAGTTTAACAAAAGATGTGCACAATTTATATTCTGAAAACTACAAATAGTGTTTAAAGAAATTAAAGAATATTAAAATAAATGGAAAAATATCCCATGTTCATGGACTGGAAGAATTACTCTTAAGATGTCAATACTCCTCAAATTGATCTACATATTTGATACAATCCTTGTAAGAACCCGAACTGACTTCTTTGTAGAAATTGACAAATTGATTCTAAGATTCATACAGGATTGCCATAGATCCAGAATAGCCACATCAATTTTAAAAAAAGAAGAAAGTACAAAGACTCACATTACCTGATTTAAAAACATACCATAAAGCAATGTTAGGACAGTGTGGTATTGACATAAGGATAGACACATAGATCAATGAAAAGGAAAGGGAGCCCAGAAGTAAAACCACATCAACTGATTTTCAACAAAGATGCCAAGACCATTCAATTGAGGAAAGAATAGTCCCTTCAACAAATGGTGCTGCAACCAGACAGTCATATGCAAAAGAATGAAATTTAACCTTTACAAAATTTAACCATATATAAAAATTAATTCAAATGGATCAAAGACATATAAGGGCTGAAACTATAAAATTGTTAAGAGAACATAGGAATAAATATTCATGACCTTGGATTTGGCAGTGGATTCTTAGCTATAACATCAAAGCACAAGTAAGAAAAGAGAGATAAATTGGATTTCATGAAAATTAAAAACCTGTGCTTCAAAGACACTATCAAGAAAGTGACAAGGCAACCCACAGAATGGGAAAAACTGCAGATTATCTGATAAGGGACTTCTATCTAGAATATATAAAAATCTCTCACAACTCAGAAATAAGACAATCCAGTTAAAATAAGGGTAAAGGAGCCGGGCATGGTGGCTCACGCCTGTAATCCCAGAGCTTTGGGAGGTGGAGGTGGGCAGATCACCTGAGGTCAGGAGTTCACGACCAGCCTGGCCAACATGGTAAAACCCCATCTCTACTAAAAATACAAAAATTAGCCGGGTGTGGTGGTGCATGCCTGTAATCCCAGCTACTTGGGAGGCTGAGGCAGAAGAATCACTTGAACCTGGGAGGTGGAGGTTGCAGTGAGCCGAGATCGCGCCACTGCACTCCAGCCTGGGCGACAGAGCGAGAATCTGTCTCGAAAAAAAAAAAAAAAAGAAAAAAAAGGAGAAAAAAAGGGTAAAGGATCTCAATAGCCATTTGTTCAAGGCAGATATACACAAATGGCCAAAAAGCATCATCAGGCCAGGCACAGTGACTCACGCCTGTAATGCCAGCACTTTGGGAGGCTGAAGTGGGAGGATCACCTGAGACCAGGAGTTCAAAACCAGCCTGGGCAACATAGTGAGACCTCGTCTCTATCTTAAGAAAAAAAAAAAAAAAGCATCATCATGGAATGTAAGTCAAAACTATAATGAGACGACTACTACAATAAAACTACTACTTCAAATCCACTAGGAGAACTACAATCAAGAAGTCTGATGAATAGCAAGTAGTGAGGATGCAGAGAAGTTGTAACTCTCATATACTGCTGGTGGGCAAACACAATGGTGCATTCACTTTAGAAAATGGTCTGGCACTTCCTCAAATGCTTAAGCATAAAGTTACAAATAATCCAGCAATTCCACTCCTGGGTATATATCCAAAAGAAATGAAAATATATGTCTACATAAAGACTTGTACATAAATGTTTATATTAGCATTCACAATAGCCAAAAGGTGGAAACCACCGAAATGTCCATGAAATGAGTAAACAAAATGTGGTATATCCATACAATGGAATACTATTTGGTCAAAAAAAGGAATGAAGTACTGATACATCCTACAACATGGATATGCCTTGAAAGCAGGCTAAGTGAAAGAAGCCAGTCACAGAAGTCAACATATTTGATGATTCCATTCTATGAAATGTGCAGAATAGCTCAATCCATAAATTAGTGGTGGCTGCTTAGGGTTGGGAGGCAGGCAGGGGGGCAAAAGCTAAACTGTACAAGGTTGAAGTGATGACAATGTTCTAACATTGAGTGGTGATATATATCTGTGTATACACTCAAGACCAGAGTTGCACAGTGAATTATAGCCCAATGTTTTTAAAGTGTAAGTTTCTTCCTGTCTTTTAAAAAATTTTTCTTCTGTGACCAAGAGACTTCCTAAAATCAAGAGACTTTCCTCTTTAGGGGGCACAATAGAGAAAAGCTCAGAAGCTCTTTTCTTCTCTGTGCACCCTCCACCATACAGCACCTTACTCCATCTCCTGTTGCTTCAGGAAATCCAAGGTAGCAGGAATTGTAGCTGGGAATGCTGCACTCACTTTCTCTGTGGGGTTTGGTACTGTGTAATGCTCAGGGAATTAAAACCAGCATCCAGGCAGAACATAGAAGTGAGCCCAAAGATCAGAATAGAGACAAATTTCCATGTGTAAATGAAAAATTTGCAGGTCTGAGGAACAATGATGGAGCAAGGAATCAGTTTCCCATCACTAAAGAAGCCTTTATCCAACAGTGGAATCAGGCATAGCTCACAAGTCTCCATTCCCATTTTTCAGGTTAAGGCTAATTAATTATCTTAATAATTCTCCTTCCTTGCTCAGTTTAAGAGGGAATGTCAGCAATTATAAAACTTTATACCCTGACCATACTCTCCTAGCTTGGTAAAGGAATTTGTCTCGGGACAGCCTCCTGAGATGTTCTTCTGTGGGTAGCAATCTACTATTACATAGAAGAGTACAGAGCCTGTGACTAAATTGAGCTCAGAAATCCTTTGAAACTATGACAGGAAATTAAAGAAAATAAAAGATGTAAATGAATACTGTTTCATGGATTTCAGAGATAAATAATATAATTAAGTGGCAGATAATGCTTATTTTATTGAAAGAATATAGCTTATGAAGGAAGATTTGTCAATAGTAGTAAAATAAAAACAAACATATTTAAAGCCTGTTACAGGAAAATCTTCAGTGAGCCAAAAAGAGCCTTAGATGAGTTTTAGTCTGTAAGATGGTCATAAGAGGTCCTTCAAGTGTTTCCAAGATGGTTATCAAAAAGACCTGCTGAATTTCATGATCCCCAAGAAAGTTTCAAATCTACATATGTGTTAGAATAAGGCAATTCTTGTGATTTTGTTGACTAAGATACCATATCATAGTAGATGCAAATTTACGTGGTTGGCTACTATTACCCTGTTTACTTATTTGATGATATGTAGTTACTACAAAATATTAAGCTATAAAAATTAATGACTGTATTATAACAGAAACCACAGATTAAAAAATTGGTTTATAGCTCCTATTTCTGGCTATTGTACTTTGGGTAAAATATTTTATGTCTCTGCTTAATTTCTTTTTTTTTTTTTTTTGAGTCAGAGTCTCGCTCTGTCACCCAGGCTGGAGTGCAGTGGCATGATCTTCTTGGCTCACTGCAACCTCCACCTCCTGGGTTCAAGTGATTCTCCTGCCTCAGCCTCCCAGGTAGCTGGGATTACAGGTGTGTGCCATCACGCCTGGCTAATTTTTGTATTTTTAGTAGAGATGGAGTTTCCCCACATTGGCCAGGCTGGTCTCAAACTCCTGACCTCAAGTGATCTGCCCGCCTTAGCTTCCCAAAGTGCTGGGATTACAGGTGTGAGCCACTGTGCCTGGCTGCTTAATTTCATAACACCACCTCATCCTCATGGAGTTGCTGTGAAGACTGCAAGAATTTATGTAAAGTGCCTGGCATATAAAAACACAATAAATGTTAGTTCCCCTTGATTAAATAGTATTTGTGATAAAAAGCTGAATATCTGGCTTCTGGTTGGAAATGTTGGTCTTTTATATATCACTGTTTCTACTAAAAAAAAAACCAATACATTTTATTTGTAATATTTTTTGCTTTTTCTGTTTTCTTTTTGTTGTTGTGGGGTGGGGTGGGCAGGGTCTGGCTCTGTTGCCCAGGCTGGACTGCAGGGAGTGCAGTGGCACGGTCATGGCTCACTGCTGCCTCGACCTCCCCAGGCTCAGGTGATCCTCCTGCCTCAGCCCCCTAAGAAGCTGGGTCTACAAGCATGTGCCACCACACCTGGCTAGTTTTTTGTAGAGATGGGGTTTTTCCATGTTGCCCAGGCTCATCCCAAACTCCTGGCCTCAACTGATCCACCTGCCTTGGCCTCCCAAAGTGCTAGGATTACAGGCATAAGCCACTGTGCCCGCCCCCTTATTTATCATATTTTCTTTATAAGGGGTATTATGGGCTAAAAAATTTAGAGTAATTTAAATTTTTCATTAAAGTAAAAAAAAAGGTTAAAAACATGTTTTGAACCCTAACAGTTACTTTATTACCTTTATATCCTTCATTTTCTGCCTTTCAAAGTTGTTAATAGTTTCCTCCAGATGACGACTTGTTCGGCTAGCATCCATTGCAGCTCTCTGTAATTCCGTTTCTGCCTACAAAAGTATTCCCCAACCAAGGATATAAAAAAAATCAAATGAGAATTCATTCAATTGAGCCTACTGGTAAATTCTACCATTGCAGTACTGGCTTTTTGGCATAACAGTGTAAATTGTTAATATTATATTTTACCATATATAATAAAATGATCTATGTAAGCACATGCAGAATAAAGAACTTTATTTAGTGATATGATTCATGATCTAGAAAAAAAACCCTAAGAACAAAAACTACCCCCAAATCCTTCCCTTTCTGTCTATAAAATAATTTTTTTTCCAGACACCCTTGGATAACCTACTGTAAAACCATCTCCCATATTTTCTACTGCTTCCCTCTATTTCACTACCTGTGCCATTTATCAAAAATTATTTTTCTTTTGTCTCTCTCTCCATTAGCCATTTCTCCCCTGAAAAGGACTTATGACTTAGTAAAAATTATTTCAATTCTCTCAATTACAGATTATCTCTTTTTTATTTATTTTTTTTTGAGATAGAGTTTTGCTCTTGTTGCCCAGGCTAGAGTGCAGTGGCACGCTCTCGGCTCACTGCAACCTCCGCCTCCTGGGTTGAAGTGATTCTTCTGCCTCAGCCTCCTGAGTAGCTAGGATTACAGGTGCATGCCACCACACCCAGCTAATTTTTTGTATTTTTAGAAGAGATGGGGTTTCGTCACATTGGCCAGGCTGGTCTTGAATTCCTGACCTCAAGTGATCCACCAGCCTCAGCCTCCCGAAGTGCAGGGATTACAGGTGTAAGCCACCGCACCTGGCCTATTATCTCTTACTCTTTATGCTTATCTCATAGGACTATTGTATGGATTACATGAAATCATCTTTGGAAATGACTAAGGAGAGTGGCACACAGTAGAGAGACAGCTATGACAATTTCTACCACTGAGAGTTTGATTTTTGAAATCATTACAACATTGAGGTATTTTGAGTTAGCAGGTATATAACCAAAGACTCTTTCTTTCTACCTTGCTTACTTCTACTTGTTCTCCAAATGCATTAAATATTCCTAATTCTATAATATCCTCATCAGGTGGAATACAATATACACTACAAATATTTCAGCATGGGACTTCTACTTGTAGATTCTTCTTTACAAGACAACCATGTTACACTGCTTCTATTTAGTTAATGCTTATTACAAAAAATAAATACACTAGTAACTAAAATTAGATGGCAAGTCTAACACGCTTGGACATGTACTCATATTATCTGGATCTGTTCTGTCCAATCAATATGGTGGCCACTAGCCATATGGGGCTATTTTCATTAAAACTAATTAAAATTAAATAAAAAATTAAAAACTAGCTCCAAAGTTACTCTAGTTGTATTTCAAGAATTCAACAGCCATATATAGTCAGTAGCTATAGTAATATTTCTAATCTAACTGTGTATCTCTCTTTAAGCATCTCGTCTGCTAGAACAAAAGTTGCCCAAAAACATTTAAGAGTTTTTCTTAAAAGGTAACACAGAAATTTAAAAAGACACAGCCCAGTTTTCGGATTAAATTCTTCCTAATAAAGTTTTGTTTCTTGTGCTAATATTATATTTACTCAAAAGTCACATATATCATCATTTAATAATTAATCATAGAAAAAGTTTGCATTTGTTGTCAAAGTTCTGTGATAAGTAATACTGTGACATTTAGCTTTTGCTTTCTTTTTCAAGAAAATGTATAAATTGAAACAAGTAAAAGGGTTTACTATAAGGATCCATTTCTTGACACACCACTTTATTACCCACCTGTGACTGAAATTTTTCATAAAGGAAAAAATACATTTCAAAGAGAGTATAACAGCTTTTTCAATAAATTTATATACTCATAGAATTATATACACTTACAATTAGGTTATATATTAATTGTAACCATATATCAATTATGGTTACTTATGTAATTCAGTTCATTCAACTACACATTTTCAAGATACTAAGTACTTAAAATTATATTCATTTATACCTCTCTGTGTTTGTATATACATTTACAATATGGGGTGTAGAATTTTAAAAAATCATACAAACTTTCAACTTAATCATAACCAGGAATCAAAAACATTTCTCTGTATTTCTGTGTTTGAGATTCTTTAAACCACAACTTCATCACAGGAAATTCAAAGATAAAATAGAGCTCCTTTGAAGACTTACTACTATGAAAAAATCTCTAACAGTTATTTGATACATGTTAACCTTGTGCTAATGAGAATATTCAAGCAGACTAATTCCTAATACTGTTTATTACACATGACTGATGCAGCTTTTTACTTGTGACTACTTCCTTTTGACTCATGTCTTTACCCTCCTCATTTATTGATATTTTCATTTTAAAATTTAGAAGAGTAAGTAGAGTTGGCTAAATCAGGGAAGCATGGGGAAACAGAAGCCATAACCGGGATATGTGTAGCTTCATCTTCTATCACCCTCCAGCAACTACTATTTATTTCTGAAAGTCTCAAATCCCTTTACTTGAGCATAGCAACTCACCTAAAGTAACACATCCATTTTTAGCAAAGAGAATATAGATTTCTAATATTTCTTCTTTTCACTGAAAATTCTTCAAAATTCTATAATATACCAACTTGAGTAGGAAATGCTTTGGATTAAAATACTAAGATACAACTCCATGAATACAGATATCAGTATATTAAATGGAATTAATTAAGAGTTCAAAATGATTTTTAAAAGGGTAAGCCAGATTGGTATTTCTCACACTGCATTATAGGAAGCTTGTTCAGGAGTCACCTGGAGCCCTACTTGGGGGGTGAGCAGGCAGAGCCATGGGATTCTTCTTTTCCCTATCCTCTCTATCAGAGGGACTCCATTTTATCTTACATATCAAACTTAAACATACTTCTACATAGATGAATTTTAAGAGTTTATCCTGGGAAATATGCCATAATACTATGATCGAATATTTGTATATTTATATTGACTACATTTGTATGTAGATTGTCCTTCATGTTTTGGTCTCAGGTTGTCAAAATACACAAGTTGCAGATCTTACCCAGTGAGCACACTGACTCACCTGTGGCAGTAATCTCTTAGGTTATATTTATTTCCTCACCATGTGAACCCAAAGACCTGCTTCATCTGTGCTCTAAGATTATCTCCCTTCCACAGCAGTGTTTACAGCACAGCATCCAAGTCAGAAAAATGTTTGTCTTAGGAATAGATTCATTTCTGTGTTTACTGTAGACACCAGTACTCCTGATTCAATCTTGCCAACTACTCAGGATTCCAGATGTCTTCATGTATCACCACCTCCCCAACTCCAGGCCACAAAGAACAAAACAAAACAAAAAATTTTCATCCCTAGCTTAATTCTTAAACACTGGTGAACCCCCCCACCCACCCTGCCCCATAGCCTCTGCCTTGATCTCTAGTTATCAGTCATAAATTTTCCAGCATTCTCTGGTTTGTCTGACTTGCTTAAAACACAGATTCTATAATCTCCATTTGCGGATCTTATGCCACTATGACTATCTAGATATTTCTGTCCCAGTCTCCAGTGGGCACTCCCAGCCCTATGGCTGCCCATTTTTGTTTAGTACAAAGTTGGGCTTCTGTACCTTTGGTCCAAAGGAAGAAGGACCAAGCAACTGGCGCAGCCCCAAATCGCTGCTCAAGAGACTCCCCTCAGGAATGGAGGTGTTCTGGAACCTCAAATGCTCTCAAAGAGCCACTCCTCATGTGGTTTCTGGCTGAGCTGGGCAGTAACAACCTTAAGGAAGCAGGAAGGAGACATATAGAAGAAGGAATGGGAAAAAGAGGCAGTAGGGATGTTAGTGCTTTCTTTCTCTTTTTCTTTTTTTTTTTTTGAGATAGTCTCGCTTTGTTTTCCAGGCTGGAGTGCAGTGGTGTGATCTCAGCTCACCACAACCTCCATCTCCCACGTTCAAGCGATTCTCTTGCCTCAGCCTCCCAAGTAGCTGGGACTACAGGTGTGTACTACCATGCCTGGCTAATTTTTGTATTTTTAGTAAAGACAGGGTTTCACTATGTTGGCCAGGCTGGTCTCGAACTCCTGACCTCATGATCTGCCTGCCTCGGCCTCCCAAAGTGCTGGAATTACAGGCACGAGCCAACACGCCCAGCCAGATGTTAGTGCTTTCTACACAGTCCTACCCATCTCAGTTGCTGGCAATTAGGCACTATTTTGTATGCTTTTGTTTACTCACGAACAAGGCACATTGTAGTTTAAGAAAGTCATGTTTAACAGAAGAACCTTGTTATAGTAGACAGTCCTTTCTAGGTTTGTGTCCAACTTGGATCTTAATTATACTCTTAAGACTCCTGAGGTTAACTGGCTGGAAGTCATGATGTCACATAGTTGTTTTATTTCTAAAAGATGAAGGAAATTAAATGGGAAAATTTTCTTTCCTTTTCTCAAAGCAGGGCATAGAGGACACTGATATATTAGGATTAACAATAGATCTTTAATTGTAGAATTAATATTTAGTCATCACCATGTGAAAATAAAATTCAGAAATTTGAATTTACTGTTTATAAAAACATCTGAATTTTTTGTTTGTTCGTTTGCAAAGTCTACTGTGTAAAACAATATAAGGGGATTTGAATTAGGTGGCGTAACCTCTTTAAAATTTCTATAGTGAGAATTCCTAAATGCATTTCTTTTCAATCTTTATATTCAAATTCTCTACTCGTTTAAAAGTAAAAATGCACAATTTCTATATACATTTACTTTTGTACTCCATACCTTAAACATTTTTTTAAAGACCCAAATTCAAAGGATACAATAACATGTCGATCAGATGGGTTTCGCTGACGTGTTCTTTCTAACTGAGTTAATTGCTTAGCTTCTCGATTCCTTGCTGTGAGTGTTGCTTTGAGGTCATCCTGCAAATTGGCATTTTTTTGTTAGTAAAAATGTCTGACTTAAGAAAATTCAGTTTTAAGAATGGAAGAATTCTTTTAAGAATTGTTTTAAGAATGGAAGAATACTTCTTGTGTGATCCTGGTACCATTACCACAGGAATTACAAGTATTACATAATTAGTGTCTATGTATGTGAGAATGTGTTTAATATTCTCTCAAAATAATGACACAATTTCAGTGCAAAACTATTAACCATAATAGATATATGCATATAAATGTGTAATTTTGATTGCGGTAGTGGTTACATGGGTATAAACATTTGTCCAAAACTCAATGATCACTTAAAATGGAAGAATTTTATCGCACATAAATCAAGGGCTCCCAACCCCCAGGCCTATTAGGAACTGGGCCAGCACAGCAGGTGAGTGGTGGGCGAGCTAGCATTAAGGCCTGAGCTCTGCCTCTTGTTAGATCAGAGGCAGCATCAGATTCTCATAGGAGTGCAAACCCTATTGTGAACTAAAGAAAAATTGTCTTCCACAAAACCGGTCCCTGGTGCCAAAATGGTTGGGGACTGCTGATGTAAATTATCAATAAAGTAACTTTTAAAAATAGAACTCTCTCACACATTTTAAAAGTCTAAATGCTATCGCTTTAAAGAAAAACTTATATTCATATAGTAAAGCAATTTCTGTCCATATATTTTTCATAATTATTTTAAAGTTTCCATAATAATGTCTATATTGCTACAGTATACTTAATAAGCTCATTAAAACTATTTCATTATTCTTAAAGATCTAAGTGATCTTTCAGAGTAAAAAGAATGACTATATACTACTTTGTATTTCTTTTCTTTTTTTTTTTTTGAGACAGAGTCTCACACTGTCGCCTGTGCTGGAGTGCAGTGGCGCTATCTCAGCTCACTGCAACCTCTGCCTCCTGGGTTCAAGCGATTTTCTTGCCTCGGCCTCCTGAGTAGCTGGGATTACAGGTGCATGCCACCATGCCCAGCTAATTTTTTTTATTTTTAGTAGAGACGGGGTTTCACTATGTTGGCCAGGCTGGTCTCAAACTCCTGACCTCGTGATCCGCCCGCCTCGACCTCCCAAAGTGTTGGGATTACAGGCATGAGCCACCACTCTTGGCCACTACTTTGTATTTCTTATTTAAAAAAACAATTGGAAACCTCATAGTCTTTGCCAGAGTAACTCACAGTTAAGTGAGAAAATGGATTTACTTACCCGTTTCATTTTCACAATGGTCCCATAAGTTTTCAAGGGTTCAACTACTTTGGCTTCAAGTCTTTCAACCTATTGAAAATTATTAAAATTTTAAATTAGAACGTTTAACATTTTAACCTATAAATAAAAGGCTAATCACTAGAAATTGATAAGACTCAGAATCTAAACTCAAAACACATTAAAAACTGTTAAGCTGCACAGTAATAGTAAAAGTAGAAAAGCACCTGGTGAGCAAAATGACAAGAAAATGTCTCAGGTTTCCCAGGAGCTCATCCTGGCCACATCATCATCTTAGGATTACTTTTTTACCTTAAAGTAGTAGTTTAAGGGTGTTAAGACAGTTCAAATTTTAATACAGCTAACATTTTCAGTGTGTTCAGCACAGTAATGGATACTTTGCATATATTATCTCTGAACTGTAATAGCTCAACTTTTCAGAAAAGAAAATCAAAGCTGAAAGACAGAGCATCTTGGAAACATTTAAAGCAACATAACCTTGAAAAGCAAAAAAGCTTAGAGATCACTGTATTTGCTGCATTTTTTTTTCTGAGAAGCCATTTGTGAATTATCGAAGCCTACAGAACAAGATAAATGGTCTGAGTTGCTGAGCTGTCAAACTGTATGTTTCATCTCTGTTTCATTTAGAATTAAATAGTTTTTCTTAAACGTTACAGGTTTTTAAATCACATTTTGAGTAATTACTTCTTTTACAAGTAGTACTAGTGGAAGGCACTGAAGAGAGATTTTTTTTAAGGCAAGTATTTAAATATAGCATAAGAAAAATAACTCTTGGACATTAAAATTTTTTTTCTCAAGATAGGTGATGTATTCAATTGCTTAAAATGAACATTTTTTAATAGCAGGAAAAGGGCTTTTTAATGATACATATTTATATAATTGACAAATACACTTAATTTCATATTGATTTTTCTTTAGTTTCTGTAAATGAAATGTATATGAATGTTTCATTTTAAAACATGTTAGGAAAATAAAAATCGACTTCTCATCAAGTATTCAAATATTAGGAATCCTAAAATCATGGATATTCAGGACAGTTTGCTTTACACCATTTCTTATAATCCATACTGATTATTCAGTTTAAGGATTATCTAAGTCTTTTTTCTGTTCTCCTTTTTGTTGCCTACCTTTTTGTCATTGTTCATTAGGACCTCCACCATTTGGTAAGCAAGGGAAATAAAAGGAGAACAAATGCAAATCAATTCACTTTGCTATTTGATAAATAGCACAAAGGTTTTCTACAAAGGGGCATTGAAATTATTGGCTAAAATAAGATTTTAGGATTACCTGTGAATATAAATTATCTTTGAAACATTAAGTCCCCAGTTATCATATATAATTGAGAGTTACTTGTTTATTACAGAAGTTTCATGACAAGAACTCCACATTTTTCCAAAAGTACCTCCAAATATGATTACTCTTCAAATTTGTATGGATAGCAATGATGAGTTCAATTTTTTTTATACTCATTCTGTTTTTTGAAAATTGAAATTCCCGTTTTAGGTTCTGAAAAGTATAAAAAAGCAACGCAGTTCTAACTGGGCAACTTCTGATAAGTTAACCTATGCCGTGAAACTGAAAATAAATACAAGTAAAAGTGCTTATTAAGTATTTAAAGGAAAAATATGGGCTTTTAGAAAGAAAACAATCACAAGGACACTTCTCCTGCTACCCAGAGCAAAAAGTCCACACGGTGTCTCAGTATTGGTTTGCTTCCATGATACAATTCATAGCATTTTGTTGTTGTTAGTAAACCATTGGTCAATTTTCCAAACCATGGATGCAGCAATGATGTCTTACCCATTTATTAATAATTTATCCATCCACATTACCATTCCCAACATTTCCATCTCCAGTCATTCTTTAAAACGTACTTATGTGCCACACAAGACATTAAGTTATGCTTATTTTCTTCCCCCTGGGTACTATTCCCACTACCCCCAGTAAACAGCCACCCCTTGGCCAAAAGTTGGCAAATAAAGTGGGGAAATTCAAGACCTCAAGATGCCCTAAAGGTTAGCTTGAAAAGGGTAAAATAAAACACAGAACGCTTCTCTTTAATAGACTCACACAGTCTTATGAAAATGTACGTTTTATCAAGTTTGCATCCACCTCTGCAGTTAGGTAGATTACAAGTGAAAGTTTCCACGGTTCCTTCATCCACTACTTCATGGCTCATTCATAACAATGACACTGTGATCTCACTCCATACCTCTGCTTGTCGATAATCCTGAAGTTTGGCAAACTCATCTGCAAAGTTCATCAGGCCCAGCTTTAAATGCGGGGTCTCTGTAGCAGCATACGCGTTAATTTCATTCACCAGGAGGTCTGCTTTGTCTCTCAGCCTGGCAGTTTTCCGCACATAGGCAGCGAAGATTTGGCACAGTTCTCCAAAATGCTTCTCCACATTTGAGACAGCTGTTTGCAGTTGTTTCGTTTGAGCGTTCCTAGGGAAAAGGTGACACAAAAGGCAAAACATTCTCGTTAGAGATGAGAAGGCTTCACGTTAATTTAACATGCAAACATTCCCCGGGCATTCTGCAGCTTTGAAGGCGTAAACCCATCAACGACCCAGCGTCTCCCGGCGCGGACTGCTCTCCATGGGGTCCTGACCTCACTATCCGGACTGTGTAGGCACAGGAAAAGGCCCAGGCCGGGTGGGCCTGGCCTTAACTGGGGAGGTGGCTGCTCCGGCTGCTCCGCGCAGCGCGGCCTGGGCGCCCGGCTGCCTCCTAGGCTTCCGCACTGCCCGCGGCAGTGTGGGGACCCGAGACCCGGTGGCGTGGGTGGGTGGCAGCCGGCCGGGCCCCGGGCTCCTCTTCGCCGCCGGCGGTGGCTGCAGCCCAAGGAATTAGGCCCCAGGTCACAGCGGGGACCGTGCAGCCTCCCACTCAGGGTCGGAATTCGGCGCAGAGGCCCCATGGACAGAGGCTTCCACTTCCCTCACCCCAGCCCTCCAGTGTGGGCGGCCCTGGGCAGCTGGGCTCGGGCTGTTACCGGTTTTCCAGGGTGCGCCTCATCATGCTGCCTCGCGCACGGCCGGGGACCTTGCGGGGGCCCAAGGACGGGGATTCCAAGGCGCCTGGGCGCGCGCTGGGGCGCAAGCAGCCGCCGGGAGCCTGAAAGCCCGCCCCTCGCGCCGCCGCGGCAGGCCGGGCGTTTCTATGGAAACGGGGCGCGCGCCCCCGCGGTCAATGCCCGAGGCAGCCTGAGCGCGGCTGGGGCTCGGAAAGCGCCAAGCAGGCAGGGACCGAGAGGGGTGATGGCGCGCCCACCCCTGCAGAGCCGCCTGCGCGGTTGTCCCGCGCGTCCCTGCCGGCGAAGGCTGTGAGAAGCACCGCGGGGCTACGGCGCCTCCATCCTCTCTAACAGCCGCGCTTACCAGACAGCCAGCCTCCAGCGCTGCTAGGCTACTCCGAGCAGGGGAGAAAAGACGCCGGTCCGCCGGGGACCAGGAGGGAGACGTGAAACCAGAGGCCCGGGGGCCCCCTCTCCGCCTGTGCGACTTGTAGTCTCGTACCAGACGCGTCCGCTTCACTGCTGAATCTGAAAACGTGGGCTCTTGAGAGCTGCCCTTGGAAGGAGCTGTGCTTTCTGCCTCATCTTTAACTTTTCGTTTATTCAGCAAATATGTATCAAGTTCCGACTTCGTGGAAGAGATTGTGTTAGACACTGGGAGTAATAGAAACATAATTAAGAAGCAGGGGTCCCGGACCTGAAGGGCCTGAGCGTCGGGTAAGGAGGCAACGCTTACACCGAACCTGTGCTGAGATAAATAACGAACAGTTCTGGCTCTTAGAGTTGGCCTGGGGGAACAAAAATTCAAAAAGAATAAAACCCCAAACAAACAGGAGGCTCTCCTTTGTCCTTTGAACGCCTCTGTCCCTTTGACCCTCCTGGCCTTGCGTGTGCTGCTTTTCCCAGTAAATACTGCAAGGACTCTATTCAGACTTTGTTTATTTATATATGTATTTTAGATGGAGTCTCGCTCTGTTGCCCAGGCTGGAGTGTAGTGGCACAATCTCGGCTCACTGCAACCTCCGCCTCCTGGGTTCAAGCGATTCTCCTGCCTCAGGCTCTCAAATAGCTGGGATTACAGGCGTGCACCACTATGCTGGCCTGATTTTTTGTATTTTTAGTAGAGACGGGGTTTCGCCATGTTGGCCAGGCTGGTCTTGAACTCTTGGCCTCAAGTGATCCGCCCCCCTTCAGCCTCCCAAAGTGCTGGGATTCCAGGCGTGAGCCACCGGGCCCGGCCTCAATTCAGACTTTATCTGCTTCAAGAAACCTCTCTGGGATCCTCCGTCACTTCACTTTTTCAGGCAGCGTTAGGGCCTTGTCCTAACGCTTTGGGACGGGGTCCTAATACTGTCTGAAGGAGCGAAGTGTTGGAATGCTCAAACAGTACACTTCGTTGATTTTGTACTGCCTCCTGTACCCTAGACTTTGAACCCTTTGAGACAGATTAAATGTGATTTTGGTCTTGTATTCCTCGCTGCCGTGTGCTGCTGATTAAAAGTTTTTATTTTGTACAAATAGATGTCCTCAGTCCTTTGTTTTGAACTTCCCCTATTCGCTTGTGTTACAATGTGTATCTCTCTTTGCTCCTTGCATTCGCTCAGCATGTTATTGGTTGGATGCCTGGTGTGTTCCAGGTATTATGCTTGGCTTTGAGGTTGGCACAGTAACCTAAGGTCAGAATAGTCTGTGCTTTTAGAGAGCTCACAGTTATGTGGCAGTGATAGAAGCTAATCAAAGATGTGTAAAATTGCCACTGAGGTATGTGCTACTGTATCCACTTTTGCAGTGTAACAAATCACCACAAAACTTAGTGACGTTTTACAATCGTTTGGTTAGCTTGGGATTCTGAGTGAGCTGGGTGGTTCTTTTACCTTGGTTCTGCTCAGCTGGGCTCTTACTCACCTTTCTGGTCAGCTGGCGGCTGGATGATCTAAGAGGCCTCACTTCTGTGTCACGGCATTGGCAGGTCGTCAGCAGGGGCCACGTGTTTCTTATTGTCTAGCACCTCAGCCAGGCTTCTTTCCATGGTTTCAGAGTTCCAAAACAGTGGAGCAGGACAAGTCAACTGCACAAGTGCCTTTCAAGTCTCTGCCTATGTTATGTTTGCTGATACACTATTGGCGGATGCAAGCCATGTGGCCTAGACTAGAGGGATCAGAGTGAGAGGGCAGTGGAAATGTTACGGATGGTGTGGTTGGTAGAGGAATTGGTGGCTACTTTTCCAGTCTACTATTAGGGGAAACTACATGGCAGCAATTGAGTGTATACTTAATATAGAGGTTTGGTTTGAACTCATCAGGGAAGGACTTCATTGAGAAAGTGACATTTGAGCTGAGATCCAAAGAATAGGAAGGAGTCAACTAGGTGAAGAGGGAGTGAAAAACAGTCCCAAGAGAAGGACAGTATGAGCAGTTTGTCCCCTTGCCCTCCCCCAGCCCCATTCCCATCTCTACCCAGAATTTCATATCTCAGAAAATGATGCTATTGCCCAGTTGATTGTTCAAGTCAAAAACTTAGGAGTTACCCTTTCTTTTCTCCAGTCACATGGGCAATTCCTATCTGTTCCATCTCCAAAATATATCCTGAATCATTCTTCATTTTTTTCTACATCCCCATAATCCAAACTGCTACCACCAATCATCCTTACTGCAAACCTCCCTTACTAGTCTCCCCATGTCCACTGTTAAACATCGCAGTGTGAAATCAAACATTAAATCAGATGATGTCAACCCTCCAAAGCCTCTCAGTGTGCTTCAAATAAAAATTTAAATCCTATTCTGGCTATTAAGGCTTTATCTCATTTCCGCTTACCTATCTACCTTCTCTTGCTGCCCCACTGTGCTATAGACACATGCCATATGTGTGTGTGTGTGTGTGTGTGTGTGTATATATATATACACACACACACACACACATATATATGTATATAAGCTTCTCTCTCTCTCTCTGTGTTTATCTATAGATAAACTTATCTCACAGTTAGTTCTGTGTTTGTAATTCTCTCTGCCTGGAATGCTCCTTCTTCAAGTCCTCACATGGATGGCCCCTTCATATAAAATTGTACTTAAAAAACACCTATGAGTGGGGCTTTCTCTGATCACCAAATGATTCTTTCACCCTGTTTTGTTTCCTTTGAAGCACATGTCACGTCCTGAAATTAACCTGTTTATTTACATGCTATTTCTGTCTTCTCCCATCCACGTACTAACCGGGCTGGACCTCACTTAGCTTCCAAGATCAGGCATGTTCAGGTATGGCTGTAGATCTATTTCTGTCTTCTGTGACTAGAACATATTCTCCATGAAACTAGCCACATTGTTACCTGTTCACTTTATATTCCCAGTACAACCTCAGTGCTTGACTCATAGTAGAAATTCAATAATTAGTTGAGTTTATCAATGAATAAATAAATAAATGAGTGAAAACCCCATGACAGAGGAAACACAGTATGTGTGAGGACATGGAAGAAAGCTGATGAGGGTGGAGTGGAGGAGGTGGCATCATGTTCTGTCTGAGATTTAGTTGGAGGGGTAGATGGAAACCAGGTCGTATAGGGCATTTTGGCCATGCTAAGGAGTGTAGAGATTGGTTCTTGTATTAGTCAAGGTTCTTTAGAGAAACAGAACTAATAGTCTGTGTTTGTAAATATAATATAATATAATATAATATAATATAATATAATATAATATATAATATATTGTATAATTTTATTATAAGGAATTGGCTGAAGTAATTATGTAGGCCGAGAAGTCCCAGAATCTGCAGTTCACAAGCTGGAGACCCAGGAGAGCCAATATGTCATTTCAGTTCAAGTCCAAAGGCTGGAGAACCAGAAGAGCTGATGGTTTATTTCCTGTCTGAAAGCAAACAGGGTGGAGACCCAAGGAAAACAGATGACTGAGTCCTACTGGGAAGGCTAGAAAAGATGACGTCCCAAGTCAATCAGTCTGGTGGGAGCAGTTTCCTCCTACTGAGACTTTTTTCCTATTCAGGCCTTCGATTGACTGGATGAGGCCTGCCCACATTAGGGAGGGCACTCTCCTTTATGCAAATTTTAGTCTCATCCGTAAACACCCTCACAGACATGCGGAATTATGTTTGGTGGAATGCCTAATGACACATAAAATTAACCATTACAATCATTGTCTTTGTATCAATGTGAAGCTATTGATGTGTTAAAGCAAGTTATTTATTGTGTAGCTCTTTTTTTTTTTTTTTTTTGAGGTGGAGTTTCGCTCTTGTTGCCCAGGCTAGAGTGCAATGACGTGATCTCAGCTCACTGCAACCTCCGCCTCCCGGGTGTATAGACCGGGTTTCTCCATGTTGGTCAGGCTGATCAGAAACTCCCGACCTCAGGTGATCTGCCCGCCTCAGCCTCCCAAAGTGCTGGGATCTATTGTGTAACTCTTAAAGCTGTTAGCAAATGCTTGGTAAATGGTATCATAATTGTTGAACAGAAGCATATTGAATTATCCCTCTTCAATCTGTACTCAATATATGGAAATGAAAGTGCTCAAGGAAATTTCCTCCTAAGATACGGGCTCTTGATTTTACTCTTCTGTCAACAGATATCTAAAAAACATGCATTAACACAATTGTTCTCAAATCTTTTTACTACTTGGAGGCATGTTCTTTCTTATAGGCTATACTTTTTCCAAGGACACATTATCTCATCAAAGAGGAGCTGGTGGCCTGGGAGGACAAGTGCCTTGGCCAGAATTGCATGATTAGATAGCAGAGGTGGAACTGAATCTTTGTCTTCTTTCTTCAATGTTCTTTCCAGAGTACCAGGATCTCTTTCTCTCTTAAAAGTGATTTTTTTTTTTTTTTTTTTTTCAAATCAAAGCCACAATGCAATACCACCTTATTCCTGCAAGAATGGCCATAATCAAAAAATCAAAAAATAATAGATGTTGGCATGGATGTGGTGAAAAGGGAACACTTTTACATTCTTGGTGGAAATGTAAATTAGTACAACCACTATGGAAAACAGTGTGGAGATTCCTTAAAGAACTAGAGGTAGCTCTACCACTTGATCCAGCAATCCCACTCCTGGGTATCTACCCAGAGGAAAAGAAGTCATTATACAAAAAAGATATTTGTACATGCATGTTTATAGCAGCACAATTCACAATTGCAAAAATATGGAACCAGCCCAAATGTACATCAATCAATGAGTGGATAAAGAAAATGTGTATATATACCATGGAATATGAGTGGATTATACTCAGCCATAGAAAGGAACATAATAATGGCATTTGTAGCAACCTGGATGGAATTGGAGACCATTATTCTAAGTGAAGTAACTCAGCAATAGAAATCCAAACATCAGATGTTCTCACAAGTAGGAGCTAAGCTATGAGGTCACAAAGGCATAATAATGATACAATGGACTTTGGGGACTCGGGGGTAAATTGGGAGGGGGAGACGAAGAATAAAAGACTACACATTGGGCACAGTGTACACTGCTCAGGTGATGGGTGCACCAAAATCTTAGAAATCACCACTAAAGAACTTATGTAACCAAACACCACCTGCTCTCCAAACACCTATTGAAATAGAAAATTAAATAAAATACAAAAAAGTGATTTTTTGCAAAGATTGTAAACAAGTTGAAACATTTTAATGTCATTCCATATTTGGAAGAAGGAGGGTGTGTGTCATAGGATCCATCTATCGCTGAGTATAGCATTTCAAAATCTCGAAATTATTGTTTCAGGTTATAAGCATTATAGGGTCTCACTTTTCTGAACTACTATGTGATATTTGTATATTTATTGTGAAAACAGCACAATATTATTTCGTGTAACGTTGAATGAACTCCAATTTATTTAGCATGTTTTAAGGGGGGCCTAGTGGAGGCGGAGAGTTGCATTAGCTTTATTTAAGTATTCAGCATTACTTGCGGAGAACTTGCCACGTACTAGGTGCTGAATTTAACATTCCTGAACTCAAGTGCTCAGAGCAATGCGGAAAGAGACACTGTAGAGGCAACTGGCTAATTTTGTTGAAGTCTTTTCCAGTCTCATTTCATCAGGAATTTAGAGATGATAATGTAGTTTAAACTAGATTATTTTAATTTAAAGTATATTATTATTTTGCTAATTGGAGTTTCCTCCTTCCCTTCTTCAGTTCTGTTTTAGAAATGAAGATGTTAAGTGACCAATCATGGTATATTGTATTTATTTGTTAAAAGTAGATTTGTGCCTAACAATATCACTCCAAATGCAGCTGTTCCATGTTAAGTAGCTTAAACAAATTGTTTTCATGATGATACATACAAATCAAACTTTTTTTTTTTCCAGCAAAGGATTGAGTGTGTGTTTATTTACATGCTTTTAAAAGGTTCAGCATTTGAGGAATGTCGGGACTCCCTCTAGCGGTAAATTTAATACTTAAAGTTGCTTGGTCAAGCACTGGAAGACAAAGGGAATAGAATGAAACTGCCCTGGACTGCTATCTCTTTTATGACCAGTTTTTAACTAGAAATCACCTATTACTGGTCTTCTTCTTAGTATAATAGGGAGAGAGTACAATTAAGTAATTAAGTACATGGGCTTTGATGGGCTCTGATGTCTAATATCTGGATTTAAAGTCTGGCTCCACTGCTCTCTCAAGCATTAGCAAGAATTACTTGCAGGACATGTTGAAACACAGTTTTCTAGGCCCCAGCCCCGGAGTTTCTCATTTAGGAGGTCTGAGGTGAGGATCAAGAATATGCCTTTATAACAAATTCTCAGGTGTTACTGAACCTGCTGGTCTCTACCACACTTTGGGAACCAGTGGCCTAGACTCCTGGAGTGCCTCACATTCCTCAGGGGTTAGCTCTGAGGTTGTGAAGATTAAGCAGAGTACTAGATGTTAAGTGCTTAGTATGGTACCTGAAATAGTAAGTGGTCCACAAAGGTTAGTGCCTACTAATACCATAGATTTGTCAGTGTTTCTCTAACTTGGAGAATTCAAAAAGGGAGAACTTTGTAATAATATTGTTGAGCTAATATTGTTAGCTAAGTAAATAAACACACACTCAATATTTTGCTGGAAAAAAAGTTTGATTTGTATGTATCAGCGTCTTATCATTAAGGTCTATGTGCCTAATACTACATAAGCACCGTTAATATACCTATTAGCATCAGTCTAATTATTAATACATTCATCTTTTTGTGAATTGATTTGAAAAATTGATACAACACAAAAGAAAAAACACACATGGGAGGGTATGTTAAGGAGACATAGGAGTCAATTAAAAGAGCTCTGGATGGCCAAAGCTCCAACAATTTGAGCAAGAAAATAAAGTAGTAATGGATTATAACCCAAAGTAAAAAATTAAATATTCTTGAGTCCATGCTGAGAGTAAATTAATGAATGAATGGAGAAGAAGAGACAAATCTCCCACAGAATAATTCCAAATAATTTATGTAGCTACTCCATCCTCAAGGAGGTGGAGTAAAAGTCCTGTCTCCTTAAGTGTGGGCTGCACGTAGTGACCTCTTTCCAAAGAGGACAGTATGGAAGGAAGAAAAAAAAGTAATTTTCCCATGGAGAAACATGACAAACACTACCTCAGCCAGGTGATCAAGGTCAGTATCAACAGCTATGGGTTATGTTCCTAGTATGTACCCTTTTTATGACATGATGAAAATGGTATCTTACACCTGTGGTTTTCCACCTCCGAATCCATGACCCCAGTGTAATTTTGAGAAAATGACAGATAAATTCCAATAGGGGGAGATTTTACAAAATACTTGACTAGTACACCTCAAAACTGTCAAGGTCATCAAAAACAAGGATAATTTGAGAGACCATTATAGTTAAGAGGAACCTAAGGAGACATAAACTTCTACTAAGTGTAATGTGGCAACCCAGAACAGAAAATGGGCATCACGTAAAACTAAAGAAATCTGAATAAAATATGGGGAAAAATAAAGCAAAGCCTTTTTTCTTATAATTAATTAATTATTTTCGAGACAGGGTCTCATTCCATCACCCAGGCTGGAGTGTAGTGGCACGGTCATGGCTCATTGCAGCCTCGACCTCCTGGCCCCAAGTGATCCTCCCACCTCAACCCTCCAAGTACCTAGGACCACAGGCAAGTGCCACCACGCCTGGCTAATTTTTTTTTTAATTTTTTAATTTTTTTGAGACAGAGTCTTACTCTGTTGCCCAGGTCAGAGTGCAGCGGCACAATCTCAGCTCACTGTGACCTCTGCCTCCTGGGTTCAAGCGATTCTTGTGCCTCAGCTTCCTGAGTAGCTGAGACTACAGGTGCACCCCACCATGCCTGGCTAATTTTTGTATTTTTAGTAGAGACAGGATTTCACCATGTTGGCCAGGCTGGTCTCGAACTCTTGACCTCAGGTGATCTGCCCACCTCGGCCTCCCAAAGCGCTGGGATTACAGATGTGAGCCACCATGTCTGGCAATTTAAAAAAATTTTCATAGAGCTGATATCTCCCTATGTTGCCCAGGCTGATCTCAAACTCCGCAGCTCAAGTGATCCTCCTGTGTCGGCCTCCCAGATTGTTGGGATTATAGGTGTGAGCTACAGCACCTAGCCTTTTTGTCTTTTAGAAAAAATATTGATACATGATCATTATTAGAAATTTCATTAATACTGAGAAGCATAATATAGGAAAAAACACCAGTGTTTTCATTATAAAATGTTAATATTAGGTGAACATTTTTCTAGATCTATCTATTTATCCGGAAGGTAAAGGTAGAACTTATATATGCGTAAGTTATATATATGTTATATATGTGTATTTATAATGAGAAGAACATATAAATACATAAAAGACAAAAAGCTTTGCTTTTTTATTTCTCCATATTTTATTCAAATTTGCATATATATGGAAATCTGAATACAATTCAGATAAAATTCTGATAAGATATATCCTCCCATGAAGATCACTTGAGCCCAGGAGTTTGAGACCAACCTAGGCAGCATAGGGAAATCTCAGCTCTACAAAAATAAAAAAACTTAGCCAGGTGTGGTGGCACTTGCGTGTTTTCCTAGCTACTTGGAGGGCTGAGGTGGGAGGATCACTTGGGCCCAGGAGGTCAAGGCTGCAATGAGCCATGATTGTGCAGTAAGATATATATAAGTTACATATACATATGTATACATATATAACACATATAGATATGTTATATATATGTTACACACGTCTCTTCCTGTCTACATATATATAACATATCTATATAACTTATATCTATATAAGTTATATAGTTATATATGTATATATAAGTTATATAGTTACAGTTATATATAGGTTATACAGGTTATATAGTTACATGTAGAGTAGACAGGAAGATCTTATAAAAATAGGATTATAAAAATATAATTTTTGTGTTTGATTTCTAAGTTTACTTTGGGGTTTTAAAATGTTTTCACAATATGAAATACATCCAACATACAGAAAATAACAGACACCTATACATTCACTGGGAAGATTTTACTAAATTTATTTCAGAATTTTAGTAATCAAAAGTTCTCATGATAAAAAGTACTCTTCAGACCAGTGGATTTTTTCTCATGATGATCACTATCTTCAAGATGGTGTGTATTCTTTCCATGTCTACTTTTATACTTTCCTTTATATGTATGTATGTATTCATGATATATACATATATGTTTGTTTTTAAACTTTATATAATTGGTATAATATTTAATATACCTTTTTGAAATTTACTTTCTTAACACAACATTAGATCTTAGAGATTGATCCATGTTGTTACATTTAGTATTGTATAGATTTCTATCCTATGAATAATTCACAATGGTTGCTTTCTTCTGATGGATATCAGTTGTTTCCAATTTTTTCTATTGCCAAATATGCTGCAATGCATATGAAATTGATTTTCTCTACAGGATCTACATAGAAATGGCTTGTCTGTTGTTTGCAATAAGTTTTGCAGAACAGGAGTTTTCTTTTCTTTTTCTTTTTTTTTTGAGACGCAGTTTCACTCTTTTTGCCCAGGCTGGAGTGCAATGGTACCATCTCAGCTCACTGCAACTTCTGCCTCCCAGTTTCAAGTGATTCTCCTGCCTCAGCCTCCCGAGTAGCTGGGATTACAGGTGCACGCCACCACACCCGGCTAATTTTTTTTTTTTCAGTAGCGAAGGGTTTCGCCATGTTGGCCAGGCTGGTCTCGAACTCCTGACCTCAGGTGATCCACCTGCCTCGGCCTCCCAAAGTGCTGGGATTACAGGTGTAAGCCACCGCACCCGGCCTAGGAGTTTTCAATTTTGGATTTTCAATCTAGCTGGAAATTTATTTTTGTATATCCTGTGAGGTAAGCATCTAACTTTATCTTTTTCCATATGGGTAGCCATTTGTGCCAAATTTGTTTATTGAATTTATTCCCATACCAACTGATTTTTATTACTACTATTGTGATATACCAAATATCTAGACTTAGGTTGGCCTTTTTCTAAGCATTCTCTTTTACTGGCCTATTTGTCTATTGCTGTGCCAATAACGACCCATTTTAATTAGGGATATTCTGAATAGATCAAGTTACTCAAAACCATGAGAAACTTGTTTATAGATTTGTAAGATAAATCACGTTAGCTTTAACTTGAATAAATCTTTTAATGGATGCAAACATAATTTATTTTCCTAGTCTACTTTTTTGTATAGCTTTATTGCGACATAATTTACCTACTATATATTTCATATTTAAAATGTACAATTTAACCGTTTTTTGTATATTCACAGAGTTGTGCAACCATCACCACAATCAATTTTAGAACGTTTTCAACACCCCAAAAAGAAACTGCGCACATTAACACTCACTTCCTATTTCCCTC
Source organism: Homo sapiens (assembly GCF_000001405.40). Taxonomy (NCBI): domain Eukaryota; kingdom Metazoa; phylum Chordata; class Mammalia; order Primates; family Hominidae; genus Homo; species Homo sapiens. Next base: position 93,689,836 of record NC_000008.11, on the reverse strand, counting down.
CAGACCTCCCAGTTCTAGGAAATCAGTAATCTCCTTTCTGTCTTTGTAGATTTGCCTCTTCTGCATGTCATACAAATGGAATCATAAAATATGTGGTCACTTGTGATTGACATCTTTTACTGAGCATAATGTTTTCAAGGTTCATTCATGTTGTAATGTGTTTTAATACTTCATTCTTATCACTGACTAATATTCTATTGTATGAATATTCCGGATTTGATTTATCCATTCATCAGTTGATAGATATTTGGCTTGTTTATATTTTTTAGCTATTACGAATAATGCTGCTATGAGTATTTGTGTATCACAAATTTTTGTGTGGACATATGTTTGCATTTCTCTCGGATATACACTTAAGAGTGAAATTACTTTGGTTGGTTATTTACTTTTGGGGAGAAAAAAATAAAAAAGTAAAATTGCTGTATCATATGGTAATACTATGTGTAATCTTTTGAGGAACTTCTAGACTGTGAAGTGGTGCAGCCATTTCACTTTTCTTTTTCTTTTTTTTTGAGAAGGAGTCTCCCTCTGTCTCCCAGGCTGGAGTGCAGTGGCATGACCTCGGCTCACTGCAACCTCTGCCTCCCAGATTCAAACGATTCTCCTGCCTCAGCCTCCTAAGTAGTTGGGATTATAGGCGCCCACCACCATACCTGGCTAATTTTGTATTTTTATTAGAGACGGGGTTTCGCCATGTTGGTCAGTCTGTTCTCGAACTCCTGATCTCAGGTTGTCCGCCCGCCTCGGCCTCCCAAAGTGCTGGTATTACAGGCATGAGCCACTGCGCCCGGCTGCCACTTCACTTTTCAAAATGGCTGCACCATTTTACATTATAGTGCTCTAATAGCAGCAATATATCAGAGTTCCAATTTCCTTTATTCCTGTTACTTTTATCTATGTTTTTATGTAGAAACAATATAGTTATGTATTGTTTTATATAGAAAATATAGTTATGTATTATTTCTGTATCCAGTTTGATAATCTTTGCCTTTAATTGGTGTGTTTAGGCCATTTACCTTTTTGTTTGTTTGTTTGTTTTTTGAGACAAGGTCTCGTTATGTTGCTCAGGCTGGTCTCAAAACTCCTGATCCTCCTGCCTCAGCCTCCCAAAGTGTTGGCATTACAAGCATTAGCCACCACACCTAGCCTAGACCATATATGTATATCTATCTATCTATATATATATATATATTTTTTTTTTTTTTTGAGACAGAGTCTCGCTCTGTCGCCCAGGCTGGAGTGCTGTGGCGTGATCTCAGTTCACTGCAACCTGCACCTCCTGGGTTTAAGCAATTCTCCTGCCTCAGCCTCCTGAGTAGCTGGGATTACAGGAGCCTGCCACCACTCCCAGCTCATTTTTGTATTTTTAGTAGAGACGGGGTTTCACCATGTTGGTCAGGCTGGTCTTGAACCCATGACCTTGTGATCCACCCACCTTGGCCTCCCAAAGTGCTGGGATTACAGGCATGAACCACTGCGCCCGGCCGACCATTTATATTTAATGTGATAATGGATCTAGTAATATTAAAATCGACCATCTTTCTAGTTGTTTTTAAAAATATATTTCATGTATCCTTTGTTGAAAGACCTAGGTCTTACTGCCTCTTGATGTTTTTGTTAATGTCCTGAGTCAGGCTTACTCCATGTAATTGGAGTTTGTTCTATGCCTATGATGGGAGATACCTTCTGGCTCCACTGCAGCATGTGGCCATGGGAAATGATTACCACAAGGGATTGCTCTATCATAGTCGTGGTCAACTCTGAGCGCACATTCATGTTTTAAAAGCACCTGAAGGGCTTTTAAAAATAGCAATGCCTGTATCCTACCAATAAAAATTATAGTTTATCTGGATTGTATCCTGGCAATTGATAATTTTAAAAGCTTCCCAGATGATTCTAGTGTGCAACTAGACTGTAGCCTCTGGGCAGATGATGAGTGAGAAGCAGAAAATTCTACTTTCATGGATTTTCCTTGATGTTTTTCTGAGCTGCCGACTTACTACCTTTTCTCACGTCTCTCAAAGTTTGGGGGAATTCCCGGGATTTAGTTGAACTTAACATTTTTCTTCATAACCATTCCTTGGAAGAAGGTATGGGGATTATGATCCTGTCTTGGCTGAAACTTTTCAGTCTATAACATAATTTAGTATCTCTTACTGTGTTTGATTTTTTATTGTATTTTTTGTTTTTTTTTTTACAAACTTTATTTATTTGTTTATTTTGTTAGATATTGGAGGGAAAGGATTCTGTGATCTAACTTTATTCTATCATCTTTACCTGAAATTCTTTAAATTTCTTATTGTATTATACTCCTTTCTCTAATCCTCACAATAACCTTACGAAGTTGCTGCTACAACTATTATTATTATTATTGATTTATTTATTATTATTTTTGAGACGGAGTCTTGCTCTGTCGCCCAGGCTGGAGTGCAGTGGCACAATCTCGGCTCACTGCAAGCTCTGCCTCCCGGGTTCATGCCATTCTCTTGCCTCAGCCTCCCGAGTAGCTGGGACTACAGGTGCCCACCACCATGCCCGGCTCAATTTTTTTTGTATTTTTAGTAGAGACAGGGTTTCACCATGTTAGCCAGGATGGTCTCGATCTCCTGACCGCATGATCTGCCCGCCTCGGCCTCCCAAAGTGTTGGGATTACAGGCGTGAGCCACCGTGCCTGGCCACAACTACTATTATTACTAGTAGTTATCAATTACTATAGTTACTGATTTTTCGTTGTACAGATTCCTGTTTTCTCATTTGCAAAAAGGAGACAGTAATGGTGCCTATCTCGTGTGGATGTGAAGATGAAATGAAATAATGTGTATAAGACATTTTTCATAATGCCTAGAACATAACCAGTGCTCAGTGAATGTTAACTAAGTCATTCTTCCATGTAAGGGCAGACTATCTATGTTCTACTCATGGCCCATTAGTTTTATTTACTGGTCACACTAATTTTAAAAAAGGATACAATTAGATATAAAAATTATTTTTTTTGAGAAAAATATAAAAATACTCAAACTACTCTATTTTGGTTCATTTTATAAGTTTTTTTCTCTGTCCTTTGGACTAGAAGATTATCTTTCTCAACTAGAAAAGTGTGTATTAGCAATCAACTGTAATTTACATTTTGGCTTCATCATTCGACCCACATCCATTTTTTCTTTATTTTCAACGTTGGTATGAGTTTTCTCTTTTTCTGAGTTTTCAGATATTTTAAGTGAGCAGTTGAATTTTTAACTTAATCAGTGTATGACAACCAATTGCAATTATTATTCTTTTTGATGCTCCGATTATCCAAGAGTTGGCTGGTGGGAGCCCATCCAGCTGGCACTGGTGTTGACACATTTCCATTTTTCTTAAATTTGTCCTGTGTTTTGGTACAAGATGTGTTAGGGTCACCTTGTAACTTTTCTGCTCAAGAATTGAAATTAGCCAGTTCTCCAAGGAACAGCTAGACATCATTTTAAACTGAAAACTCCAAATTCCTTACTGAACTATTCTCTCAAGATTGTTTTGGGAATAGCTAGCTTGCTGAGTAGAGTTGAAAGCATCCATTTTGACTGCTAGCTGCACTGGTCACTGAAACAATATGTGTATCTTTTTAACAATAGAATATCACAGTAAGAAAAAACTGAGATAAATCTATAGCTCATTGGGCTGTTATACTTTTGACCTAAGGTAGCGAAATTCTAAAATCATCTGTGTGAGATAATACATTTTTCTTCTGCTGGAGACACGTTTATGCACTTTAACATACAGAATTAGCTGAATGGGAAGAAAGTAACGTTTCTTCAGATCATCAGTTTTTACAAATACTTCTCATTCTGGTAGTTAGAGAATCTAATAAATACAGTGTTTACAAATACCGTGAAGTAAGAAGTTTTAGTAATTTATCAGAATATGTCTAGATCTACTAACTGAAGCATTTACATAATTTTCAGAAACATTTACTTTTTAATCCAGATAATGTTATATAAAAATATATTTTTTCATTTTTAAAAATGACAGTGTACTTCAAACTTTTATTTTCTTAAAAAAATTTCCCACATATCTGTTGCTTTGTAATTACTATAAAAGTTATAATTCTTAGACTGGGCGCAGTGGCTCACACCTGTAATCCCAGCACTTTGGGAGGCCGAGGCGGGTGGATCACCTGAGGTCAGGAGTTCGAGACCAGCCTGGCCAACATGGCGAAACCCCGTCTCAACTGAAAATACAAAAATTAGCTGGGCGTGGTGGCAGGCGCCTGTAATCCCAGCTACTCGGGCGGCTGAGGCAGGAGAATTGCCTGAACCCGGGAGGCGGAGGTTGCAGTGAGCTGAGATTGCACCATTGCACTCCAGCCTGAGGGACAAGAGTGAGACTTCGTCTCAAAAAAATAAATAAATAAATAAATAAAAAATAAAACCAAAAAACAAACAGCAACAAAAAGAACCCTGGGAGGTGTAGAACCACTGTTAATCATTCTGTATCTGATAGGTCATATTCTCCTCTGTAGCACTGATCACAGTTCTAAGTAAATACTTGATTGGTAATGAGCACTACTTGTGCCTGTCACTAAGATTGTAGATTGCATCTCTGCAGATGTGGCTGCACTGTTCACCACTGGATGCCCAGGAACTAGGGCACTTTTTTTTTTCATTTTTCAACTTTTAGTTAGATTCTGGGGGTACATGTGCAGGTTTGTTACAAAGTTATATTGCATGATGCTGAGGTTTGGAGTATGGCTGAACCCCTCACCCAGGTAGCTAGCATAGTACCCAATAAGTAGTTTTTCAACCCTTTCTTCTCCTCCCTCCCTCCTTCTTCCTTCTTGTAGTCTCCAATGTCTTTTTTTTTTTGGAGACAGGATCTTGCTCTGTTGCCAGGGTGGAGTGCAGTGCTGCGATTTTGGCTCATTGCAGTCTTGAACTTCTGGGCTCAAGCAAGCCTACCGCCTCAACCTCCCCAGTAGCTGGGACTGTAGGCTGGTGCTACCAAACCCAGCTAATTTTTGTATTTTTTGTGGAGATGGGGTCTCACTATGTTGCTCAGGCTGGTCTCAAACTCCTGACCTCAAGTAATCCTTCTATCTCAGCTTCCCAAATTGTTGGGATTACAAGCATGAGCCACTGTGCCTGGCACTGGGCAGTTCTTATATGTACTAGACGGTCAATAAATTTCTGTTGAACACATATTTGCTAAAATATTTTGTCCAATTTGTAATTTGCCTCTTAAATTTATGCTTTCAAACTAGCAGATTATTAAATTGATGCAGTCCTTTTTAGTGGTAATATTTTCTGTTGTAATTTGCCTTTTATATTTTGAAAATGCTGTTTCAAATTGATATCAGTTAAATGTTCACTTTTTCTCCCCTATAGCATTTGTAAGATTTTGTTTTATGCAATTAACTTTTAAATCCAACCAAAAGTTATTTTGTTGTAAGTTGGGAGGGAACAGTGTTATGTGATATCTCTAAATGGTAATTTCCCCTGGTACCATTGGTTTAGTAATATGTCCCTTCCCTGATAATTTGGGGCCCTATGTATAATTTCTTTCCCTCCCATTAGTCTCACAGATGGTTCTCTAAAGTATAGGCCTAGAAATAAGACTAAAATCCTCAATCACAAAAGTGTTTTTGACCCTATCCTGATCTTCATTTTTGCACCCTTTGCTCCAGGAATGCTGGAGTTGTTAGAAACAGTGGAAACAGGCACTGAACTGGTCACTTTGGACACCCAGCTAGCTCTGTGTTGTCAGGTCTGCCTTGAGAAAAGTTTTCGTTTTTTAAATAGATAATATTCTGGCATTCCTTCTTTGGGAATTGCATTCAACAGCAGATAACAGGGATGCAAGTGCCTTAGACAAGATCAAAATTTATTTTTCTCTCACATCAAAGATTTACAGAGGTAGGCATCGCGTCTTTTATGTAGGCCCCACAGAGTTATCTAGAATGTAGACTTCTTTCTGTTTTGCAGCGAGATACCATTACATATAGAATTCTGGTTTCCACCAATTTTTGGAAAGGCTAAGAGCAAAAAGGGTGTTCCCTAAAGGTCTGTTTCCTTTTAAAGGAGTCTTTTAAAAGTCCCACACAACCTCAGCTTACACATCCTTGGCCAAAATTAGCCACATGGTCACATTTGGCTGCAAGGAAAGCTAGGAAATGTGATCTTTTAGCAAAGAACATTGTTTATCTGAATAAAATTGGGGTCCTATTAATAAAGAAGAAGAGGAGAATGAATCTGACATGGACAGTAGTATTTTCTGGTGCACCTACCAATTTGTAGATTCCTTAAACAGGCTTCCTGCTTCTCAAAGTATGGTAAATGCCATGATGGGTGTGTCTTAGTCTGTTTTCTGTTGCTATAACATAGTGTCTAACACTGGGTATTTTATAATGAGCAGAAACTTATTTCTCACAGTTCTGAAGGCTGAGAAGTTCAAGAGCAAGTGCTGGCATCTGATGAGGGCCTTCTTGCTGTATCATCCTACGGTGGAAGGTGAGAGAGTGGTAGAGAAAGAGAAAAGGGGCTGAACTTGCCCTCTTGTAATGAACCCACTCCTGTGATAACGAACCCACTCCTGACATAATGACATCAATCCATTCATAAGGATGGTGCTCTCTCCGTGTCCCAAACACTTCCCATCAAGCCCCACCTCCCAGCACCATCATATTGGAGATCAAGTTTCTAACAAATGAACTTTGAGGGACACATTCAAACCATAGCAAGGGCACAGAAAGATGGCATGTAACTGAAAGTGGATACACTGAAAGATATGGGAAATCAGCAAATCCACTTTCAGCTAGCAGGTTGTTGGATTCTGTATCCAGTCCCTGTGAACAAAATATCCAAGAGTCTTCATTATGTAGACTCAAATTCAGCCACTGTGGCATGGACTCTTTGGCTCCATCATTATTGTTATTTGATGAGGAACGACATCTAGAGAATTAGTACACCTTCCTATTTGTATGATAGACATTGGTGAATTCTGAATTCATGCTCCTATAAGCTCTTACAATGGATACATACCCCACTGTCAACAATGAGCTAGTCGGTACCACATAGACATTTCTTTTAAAAAGTATTGCACAATTTTATTTAAGTTTCTTTTCAGAATGTATGCACATAAAATGAGATTGTGTACAATAGACAAGGCTACTTAGAGATCATATTTTTTTTTTTTTTTGAGACAGGGTTTCACTGTATCTCCCAGGCTGGAATATAGTGGAGATCATGGCTCACTGCAACCTTGACCTCCTGGGCTCAAGCGGTCTTCACACCTCAGCCTCCCCAGTAGCTGATCCTACAGGTATGCACCACCACCACTCCCAGCTAATTTTTGTAGAGATGGGGTTTTGCCATGTTGCCCAGGCTGGCCTTGAACTTCTGAGCTCAAGAGATCCACCCGCCTTGGCCTCCCAAAGGGTCAGGATTATCGGCCTGAGCTACCTTGCCAGGTCAGAGACCATATACTGAAGGTCAGCACGCAACAAATTCTTCCACTATCACATCCCCTTTCCACAACGTTGGAAGAGTCTCCTCTGCTTGGCTTTCCAAAAGTTGCCTGTTGTCAAAGTCCCTGATCTTCTGGACTTCACAGCCCAGAATACTTCATTGTGAGTCATTCCACTGACCACTGCTATGTGGCTTACCAGCTCTGGCTCTTTGGTCTGCCCTGTTAAGACCCTCTTCTGCACAATATCCTGGTACCTCAAAGAACAGTCTGCCAAACGGGCAACATGGCTACTCTACCAGCCACTGTATTATTATGGTCATTTTTTACATTAATATTTCATTTCTATTGGCTAGAATTTTTTTTAAAAAATTTTAATTGTAATTTTTTTTTGAGATAGGATCTCACTCTGTCATCTAGACTGGAATGCAGTGGTGCCATCATAGTTTACTACAGCCTTGACTTCCCAGGCTCAATCGGTTCTCTCATCTCAGCCTCCCGAGTGACTGGGACTACAGGCACTTGCCACTATGCTCAGCTAATTTTTGTATACATGTATTTTTTTTGGAGGGATGTGGTTTTGCCGTGTGTGTGTGTGTGTGTGTGTGTGTGTGTGTGTATGTGTGTATGTGTCTGTCTATCATCTATTTTTCTATCTATCTATCTATCTATCTATCTATCTATCTATCTACCTATCTATTTTTAGAGATGGGGTCTCACTATATTGCCAGGCTGTTCTTGAACTCCTGGGCTCAAGTGATCCTCTGCTTCCCAAAGTTCTGGGATTATGGGTGTGAGCCACCTTGCTTGGCCCACTCTCTCATATTTTAATTCACATTTCTTCGAATAGTAGTGAAGTTGAACATCTTTTAAAATACATGATTTCTGGTTCCTTTTAAAAACATTTTATTTGGAAATAATTTCAAACTTAACAAAAGTTGCAAGTATAAAAAACAGTACAAGGAACATACACCCTTTACCTAGGTTCCTGAATTGCTAACATTTTACCCCATTTGCTTTATCATTTGCTCTCTATGCGTATGCATGCATAGCTGTGTGTGTGTGTGTGTGTGTGTGTGTGTGGTGTGTATAATTTTTTACTGAACCATTTGAAGGTTACAAATATTATAGTCCTTTACTCTTAAGTATTTCCATGTATATTTTATAAGAAAAGGAATATTCTTGCATAACCTCAATGAAGCTACCAATTTTATAAGTTTACATTGGTATAATACTTTTTTAAAATATACTTTTTCTTTTTTTGGATGCATGTATCTCATCTAAAATGCAATACTTTAATCTACCATTCATATCCCAATTTTGTTCACTGACCTAATAATGTTCTTGATAGCATTTTTCCCCTCCAGCAAAAAAAATCCAGTCTAGGGTAAGTTATTGCATTTGTCATGTCTCTTCAGCTTCTTTTAATATGAAACATTTTCACAGCCTTCCTTTGTCTTTTATGTCATTGATATTTTATAAAAATATAGTTTCTATCCTCCCCAACTGACTTTCTAAGAAAGAAATTTATATGGTAGAATTTTCATCATTTTGTCCTTGTCTGATGTTTTCTTACAATAAGTTGGAGTTATGCATTCTTGGCCAGGGTTCTGCATAGTTAATATTGTGCCATTCTCAGGATATCACATCTGGAGAGGCACGTGTTGTCCATCTCTCCATTATTGGTGATGGTAGTTTTTTTTTTTTCTTGAGACAGTCTTGCTCTGTTGCCTAGGCTGCAGTGCAGTGGTGGGATCTTGGCTCACTGCAACCTCCACCTCCTGGGTTCAAGCAATCCTCCTGCCTCAGCCGCCCAAGTAGCTGGGATTACAAGCATGTGCCACCCCACCCTGCTAATTTTTGTATCTTTTTAGTAGAGATGGGATTTCACCATGTTGGCCAGGCTGGTCCCAAACTCCTGGCTTCAAGTGATCCTCCTGCCTCGGCCTCCCAAAGTGCTGGGATTACAGGGGTGAGCCACTATGCCTGGTCCTGGCCAATAGTTCTTATTGGTGATTGTAATAGTCTTATGTCAAGTCTCTAATGAGCTTGTCCTACATGGCAGATACATAGGAAGTTCTAGGTTGAAAGATGAATAAGAGAATTCCTTTGCTAATGAGTTTATAGCCTAGAGATGAAGCAAAAATGTAACAGAAAAATGACAATAGCATTGTTGAGTGCTGTAATGGAAGCATGGACAGTGAAGTAACTAAATCTACCCTCAGGAGTAACTCTAGTCAGGGATGTTGGGGAAGCTTCACAGAAATAAATCATTCATGAATAGGGACCACATTTATAGATGTTTTATCCTACATGACACTTTGCCTTATGCTCATTAACTAAGCATTAAATAAATGAATGAAAATAAAAGTCTATGTGCCCCCAAATAAAACTGATGTCAAAATATGGCATGTAGATTATTTAATTGTATCTCTCTTTTTAGCTTACCATTGATGACAGAATCTTATTGCTTTAAATGTTTTAAACACTAAGCAAATATATTTACATGCTGAGAGAAAATGCTCATAGTAAATTATATGTACAAATGTGGTATGTAAGTTTACGATATAAGCTTTTCTAATGTAGTTTTATATTCAGTTAGAGACCTTGATTATGAAATTGAAATATGTACAGAATCATAGATCTTAATGTAGAAAACAATTTCAGGAGTGCATCCATTCCAATTCCTTTTCTTTGAGCAGAAGCCAATTTTACAGATGATGCCTTGAGGCTTAGAGAAATTTAATGCCTCAACCAGGTCAAGGGTATGTGGTCATCTAGGACTCTATAACCCTGATTCAATGCCAAGCCTCTTTCTGGCAATAATTGGTACTCAATCTGTATTTGCGGAGTGAATAATACTCTTTCCTCCTAGTGCATTGTGATTTCCACTATCCATGCTGAACTTTTAGGAAGGTTTAAGAACTTTTAGGAAGTCACAGCTAATCCTCTAAGCCATATACTGAAGTTCCAATTTCTGTTGGTGTGAATCATGTAAAATAGCTCTGTCTGAGATGCTGGCAAGTTTGTGGAGAAAGGGAACACTTATACTCTGCTGGTGGGAATGTAAATTAGCTCAGCCACTGTGGAAAGCAGTCTGGAAATTTCTCAGAGAACTTAAAATGGAACTACCATTTGACTCAGCAGTCCCATTACTGGGTGTATACCCAAAGGAATAGAAATCATTCTGCCATAAAGACACATGCACATGAATATTCATCGCAGCACTATTCACAATAGCAAAGACATGGAATCAACCTAGATGCCCATCAGTGGTGGACTGGATAAAGAAACTGTGGTACATATACACCACAGAATATTACACAGCCATAAAAACAAATGAAATAATGTCTTTTGCAGCAACATCGATGGTGGTGGAGGTCATTATCCTAAGCAAATTCATCAGAAACAAAAAACCAAATGCTGCATGTTCTCGCTTTTAAGTGGGAGCTAAACATGGACACAAAGAAAGGGACAATAGACACCAGGGCCTATCTGGGGATGGAGGATAGGAGGAGGGTGAGGATGGAAAACCAGCTATTGGGTACTATGCTGATTACCTGGATGACAAAATTATCTGTACCCCAAACCTCTGTTACACACAATTTACCCAAGTAACAAACCTGCACATGTACCTGCTGAACCTAAAATAAAAGATTATCTGTACCCAAAACCTCTGTTACACACAATTTACCCATGTAACAAACCTGCACATGTACCTGCTGAACCTAAAATAAAAGTTGAAAAGAAAAAAAACAATAGCTCTGTCTGATAGAACTATAACATAACCATGATTGTGGTTATAAATTTTTTAGTAGTCATATTACAAAAAAAGAGTCAAATTAATTTTGATAATACATTTTATCTAATAAATATATCAAAAATTTTAGCATTTCAAAATGTAAACAATATGAAATTATTGAGATATTTTATATTATTTTTTCATACTGTCTTATGAATTTGGTGTGTATTTTACAGCCCATTTCAATTTCGACTATCCAAATTTCAAGTGCTCAGTATCTGCATGTGGCTACTGGTTACTGCATGGTCCAATATTCAGTATGTATAATGGACAGTGCAGATACAGAATGACCCTTGATAATCCGTCATCTTTGTGCTTTGCATTATTCAATATCAGCTGCCATAGGGCAAATGACCCAGAGAAGGGTTTCTTCTCTCCAACTGACTTTGACATAATCTCAGGGTTGTGGGTACAAATCTTTACATAGAACTGCAGAATTTTGGAGATGGATGGGACAACATAGTAGTACTTTAATAAAAACATACACATGTAACTACTTGCTTCTCACGCTTATGGTATCAACAGCTAGTTGTGATGTTTTCAAAATTAGATCATGGATAATATGTTTATCTAAATTGATTTCCATATCCCTTATATAGCTTGATATAATACAACTTCAAAATAAAATTGCTCACTCCTAGATTTGAGTAGGGGAGTAAGAAAGGTAGCTTTGGTGAAAATGACATTCAGATTTTTTTTTTTTTTTGAGACAAAGTCTCACACTGTCCCCCAGGCTGGAGTGCAATGGCGCGATCTCGGCTCACGGCAACCTCCACCTCCCAGGTTCACGTGATTCTCCTGCCTCAGCCTCCCGAGTAGCTGGGATTACAGGTGCATGCCACCATGCCCAGCTAATTTTTTGCATTTTTAGTAGAGACAGGGTTTCACTCTGTTGGCCAGACTGGTCTCGAACTCCTGACCTCGTGATCCGCCCGCCTTGGCCTCCCAAAGTCCTGGGATTACAAGCGTGAGCCACCGCCCCCAACCTGACATTCAGATTTTAAATTCTTTATTAAATATGTCAATAGGGAACATTTTTCTTGGCTGCTATAAAAGGTAGAAGCCTTTAATAAGATAACGTTTTAAATTAGTGGGTGAAGACAATATAATTAATAAATTATCTTGGGACAACTGAGCACTCGTATGTGGAACTGTAAAATAATAAAGTTGGATCTCAAATTTCCTTCTATACCAACATAGTGCTATGTGAAACTAGAACATTTTTTCTCATACATTGTTGGAGGGGTATGAAAATTGGAGGGAAATTTGGCAATATTGATGAAACTTGTATGCTTGCAATTTTATGAATTTATTCAACATGCATATTTGGCTGGCTCATGCCTATAATCCTAAGACTTTAGGAGGCTGAGGTGGGAGGATCGCTTGAGGCCAGAAGTTTGAGACCAGCCTGGGTAACATAGTGCGACCTTGTCCCTACAGGAAAAAAAAAAAAAAAAAAGCCCTGCATGGTGGTGCCTGTTGAGTACTATCTAAATTTGAAGTGCTCAATATCCATGTGTGGCTAGTGGCTATTGCATGGTCCAATATTTGGGAGACTGAGGTGGGAGGATCACTTGAGTCCAGGGGTTCAAGGATGGAGTGAGTTGTGATTGCATCACTGCACTTCAGCCTGGGTGACAGAAGGAGACCCCATCTCTTTTTTCGTTTTTTTGTGATGGGGTTTCCCTCTGTCACCTAGGCTGGAGTGCAGTGGCAAAGATCTTGGCTCCCTGCAATCTCTGCCTCCCAGGCTCTAGAAATCCTCCCACCTCAGCCTCCTGAGTAGCTGGGACTACAGGTGCGAGCCACCATGCCCAACTTATTTTTGTATTTTTAGTAGAGACAGTGTTTCACCATGTTGGCCAGGCTGGTCTGGAACTCCTGGACTCAAGCAATCCGCACACTTTGGCCTCCCAAAGTGTTGGGATTACACGTACAAGCCACCGTGCCCTGCCAAGACCCCATCTCTGAAAAAAAAAAAACATATATATTCATACATGTGAACACAGAAATATGTAAAATGTAATTCACTGTAGCAAATATTTATAATAGCAAAAAACTGGAAAACAACCAAAATATCCATCATTATAGGATTGGCTAAATAAATCATGATACATCCATATAGTATCTTACTATATATTCCTTTAAAAATGAGACCTCTCTAACGTCCTGATATAAAATTCACTTTAAGATAATATTGTTAAGACAGGCCGGGCGAGGTGGCTCACGTCTGTAATCCCAGCACTTTGGGAGGCCGAGGCGGGCGGATCACAAGGTCAGGAGATTGCGACCATCCTGGCTAACACGGTGAAACCCCGTCTCTACTAAAAAGACAAAAAAATTAGCCGGGCTTGATGGCGGGTGCCTGTAGGAGAATGGCGTGAACTCAGAAGGCGGAGCTTGCAGTGAGCTGAGATCGCGCCACTGCACTCCAGCCTGGGAGACAGAGCGAGATTCTGACTCAAAAAAAAAAAAAAAAAAATATATATATATATATATATATATATATATATATATATATATATATATATATATATATATATATATATATATATACTGTTAAGACAGAAAAACATGACACATGATCTAGATTAGGAGTTGGCAAACAATCCAATTGCTGCCTGTTTTTGTAAATAAAGTTTTATTGGAACACAGCCTCTTCGCTGACATACTGTCCACGGTTGGTTTTGTGCTGTGATGGCTGAGTTGAGCAGTTGCTGTAGAGACCATATGGGCTGAAAACCAGAAAATAGTTACTATTCGGCCCTTTACAAGATATTGTGCTTGGCCCTGTATGCTACTATCTGCGTTATACAACTTTTACTAGTTTTAGAAGAATAGGAAATAATTGCAAACTACATACACCATTTTGCAATTGTAAACCTGAAAATATTCTCATTGGTGTGTTTGTTGAAATGCTCTGCCTTTAAGAAACTTGGCATAAAGATCATCAAGGATATATATAAACATGATTTTTAATATGATCCATTCCATTTTCCTATGAAAATGATCATATTATAGATTCATTCTGTGCCAAGAAGAGCAATTATAAAGATGGAAAAATTAATCAACCAACTCATTATTTTGTATACAAAGTAACTGGTTTGAAGTTTGAAGTTTTTGAAATTTTTTTTATTTTCCTGAACTCACTAAAACAACTGCCTTGTCTTGCTCGAGACAACGTGGCAGCGTAGTAAGAGTTACTAGTTAGCCGGGTAACGAACATCATAAGGTCCCAGAGTGAGAAGGCTGGACGCGATGCTCATTAAAGCCCAGTGCTAGCCTACCATTGAATTATTCTGTGATTCAATAAACTCTGGCCTTCTTGTTACTGTGTCGTCAGCAGGCTCACCTGGCTTTCAGTGCATTGCCGGGCCTTTGAAGGGGTTGGTACTACGCTTAGTCAGGGATAGTTGAAGTTTGCTGGTTTGCTCTCTCTGGACACTAAGATGGTGACTGCAATGATAAGTTCACTTGGTTCAGGCTCCTCTTTTTAATAATAGGAGAGACTGTTTAACCTGAGATTCAGAGATGTCAAAATGATTTATTGAGAAAAATTGTATTCACATTGTGGAAATGAGTTATACTTAGATAACTAGGTGATGTAAGTATTAAAAAATATAAAACAAGGTTATGATAATATCCAGCCATAACAGTGGGGGTGGTGCTGGATTAACAGGAAATCCTCCTCAATGCGATTGCTCTTGTGGGGCTACTTAGCTAGGCTCTCCTCTGGCCCAAGGCTCCTCTGCTTTTCTTCTGAAGTTATCCCAGCTTTGGCCAGTCTGGTTGTTCTGACAGACCCATAAGCATTTTCTTTTTTCTTTCATAAAACACTTTTATATTTTTTTGGACCCCCACACAGAAGAGAGCCATTGTCATCGCCTTGATATCTTGCCCAGGATTTCCTCTGACTCTTATTTCTTTGTATTTTTTGAGTTCTGATCTTGGCGTACCTGCTGCTGACAGTCTGGCCTCTGTTTGCATGGTCCCAGCGCCTCACTGATATCCCATTTCTCAGTATTTAGTCATGCCTGATTGAAACCAAACCAAACCAATCTTTGTTAACGCCTATAATCACAAACATGGTCCTTGCAGAACTGAGGACATCTCAGCCAATAATCACGGTAATAAATCTTCCCCATCACGAGCACCCTACACTGCTCTATGTCTCCCAGACACACTGTGTTCTTTCCTGGTTCTGCTTCATGCTGTTGCTCTGTTTGTCTGTACCCTGCACTCTCTGCCTGGGGAACACCTCTTATCCCAACTCAGTCGTCTCTGACTCTCCTGGAGAGATTTACACTCTCTCCTTTTCAATCCTCATTTTGTTCTTAAATCTATTACTGTTTATTGTATTGAAATGCTTCATTTTTGAGCTTGGTTTGCTTCTTGATCACAAATAGTGCATTAGTCATTTTGTATACCAGGTGCCTTGTACACCAGTCACAGAATACGTCTTTGACACGAGGTTATTGAATGAATGTGCTGTCCTTTAAAATTTCTGGCAGTCTTAAGAGTTGAAGTTTCTACGAATGTCAAGGAAATTATGACAGCAAATTTATTCAGTACCAAATATTTGTTTAGTACCTACTATGTGCCAGACTCTGATAAACTGCTTGGCATATGTCCGTGAACAAAACAAAGAGCCCCGTACTCTTGGAGTGATGAATGCAGGCAAAGAATTATAGATGTAATAAATAATTCAATTCTACAGTATATTAGAAGGAAAGAGGTGCTACAACAATAGAAAAATAATGAGGAGCGATGTGTCATGGTGAGCAACTTGGAGTACCCCCATTGTTGCTTTCTAAGTACGTATCCAGTAAAATCCAACAGTTGAGCCAAATAGTCTAGGCAGTTTCTGAGCTCATTTAATTCTCATACTGGTCATAATAGCCACATGGGGTAGATATTAATCATATCATTCTCATTACACAGATTAGGAAATGAAGAGAAGAGAGGTTCAGCAACTTGACCCAGGTCACACATAGTACAACTGGAATTTGAACCCAGGCAGTCTGATCTAAAAGTTCAGGTTCTTACTATTAATTAGCACCCGAATATCTATGGGAGGTGATAAATTCCCTAAATTCTTTACATCACTTAAAAAATTTAATGAAAAAAATTAATAAAATATCACCCTGATATTCTAATATCCAGTGAAAACACACTGTGATATTAATGAAATATCACTCTGATATTTATAATACTCAGTGTTTACACGTTGTGATATTGATGACATATCGCTCTGATATTTGTAATTACATGTAGTGTTTACACACGGTGATATTGGTGATACATCGCTCCCTCGCTCTGAAATTTGTAATTATGCACAGTGTTTACACACTGTGATATTGACGGTATATCGCTCTGATATTTGTAATTACATGCAGTGTTTACACACTGTGATACTGTCAATATATCACTCTGATATTTGTAATCACACGCAGTGTTTACACACTGTGATATTGACAATATATCGTTCTGATGTTTGTAATTACACGCAATGTTTACACACTGTGATATTGGTGACATATCGCTCTGATATTTGTAATTATGTGCAGTGTTTACACACTGTGATACTGACGACATATCGCTCTGATATTTATAATTACGTGCAGTATTTACACACTGTGATATTGGTGACATATCACTGTGATATTTGTAATTACGTGCAGTGTTTACACACTGGTACTGATGACATGTCGCTCTGATATTTGTAATTACACACAATGTTTACACACTGTGATACCGATGTCATATTGCTCTGATATTTGTAATTACATGCAGTGTTTACACACTGTGATACTGACGACATATCGCTCTGATATTTGTAATTATACACAATGTTTACACACTGTGATATTGATGACATATCGCTCTGATATTTGTAATTATGTGCAGTGTTTACACACTGTGATATTGATGACATATCGCTCTCATATTTGTAATTACATGCAGTGTTTACACACTGTGATACTGACGACATATCGCTCTGATATTTGTAATTATACACAATGTTTACACACTGTGATATTGACGACATATCGCTCTGATATTTGTAATTATGTGCAATGTTTACACACTGTGATATTGATGAAATATCGCTCTGATGTTTGTAATTATGTGCAGTGTTTACACACTGTGATATTGATGACATATCGCTCTGATGTTTGTAATTACGCGCAGTGTTTACACACTGTGATACTGATGACATATCGCTCTGATATTTGTAATTACGCACAATGTTTACACACTGATATTGATGACATATCGCTCTGATATTTGTAATTATGTGCAGTGTTTACACACTGTGATACTGATGACATATCACTCTGATATTTGTAATTACACGCAGTGTTTACACACTGTGATATTGACAATATATCACTCTGATATTTGTAATTACGCACAGTGTTTACGCGCTGTGATATTGACAACATATCGCTGATATTTGTAATTATGTGCAGTGTTTACACACTGTGATACTGATGACATATCGCTCTGATATTTGTAATTACGCTCAGTGTTTACACACTGTGATATTGGTGACATATCGCTCTGAAATTTGTAATTACGCGCAGTGTTTACACACTGTGATACTGATGACATATCGCTCTGATATTTTTAATTATGCACAGTGTTTTCACACTGTTGATATATCGCTCTGATATTTGTAATTAAGCACAGTGTTTACACACTGTGATATTGGTGATATATCGTTCTGATATTTATAATATCCAGTGTTTACACACTGTGATATTGGCGACATATCGCTATGATATTTGTCATTATGTGCAGTGTTTACACACTGTGATGTTGATGACATATTGCTCTGATATTTGTAATTACACACAGTGTTTACAGGCTGTGATATTGTTGACATGTCGCTATGATATTTGTAATTGCGTGCATTGTTAACACACTGTGATATTCACGACATATCGCTCTGATATTTGTAATTACGCACAATGTTTACACACTGTGATATTGATGACATATTGCTCTGATATTTGTAATTACATGCAGTGTTTACACACTGTGATATTGACAATATATCACTCTGATATTTGTAATTACGCAGTGTTTACACGCTGTGATATTGATGACATATTGCTGATATTTGTAATTACGTGCAGTGTTTACACACTGTGATATTTGTGACATATCGCTCTGATATTTGTAATTACATGCAGTGTTTACACACTGTGATATTGATGACATATCACTCTGATATTTTTAATTATGCACAGTGTTTTCACACTATGATATTGGTGATATATCGTTCTGACATTTATAATATCCAGTGTTTACACACTGTGATATTGATGACATATTGTTCTGATATTTGTAATTACACGCACTGTTTACACACCGCAATATTAATGAAATATTGCTCTGATATTTATAATATCCAGTACTTATGCACAGTGTTTACACACTGTGATATTGATGGAATATTGCTCTAATATTTATAATATCCAGGGTTTACACAAAGTTTTTTTTTTTAATGTATTGGTTAAAAAAAGTTTTTTTTTTTATGAAGAAAAGAGGTTTAATTGGCTCATGGTTCTGCAGGCTGTACAGAGCACATGGCAGCATCTGCTTCTGGGGTGGCCTTAGGGAGCTTTCACTCATAACACAAGGTAAAGTGGGAGCAGACGTCTTACATGACAGGAGCAGGACCAAGATAGGAGGTGGGAGAGATGCTACACACTTTTAAAACAACCAGATCTCATGATAATTCACTCACTTCCATAAGACTAGCACCGAGAGGCTGGCACTAAACCATTCATGAGAACTCTACCCCCATGATCCAATCACCTCCCACCAGGCCCACCTCCAACCTCAGTGGGGACAGAGATCCAAACCATATCAGTTGAGATATAAATTTAAATAATTTTTCTATAATGACCTTATGTCCAGTGATATTGCTAAATCATTTATTAATTTTAAATTGTCTACAAATTATTTTGAATTTTAAATGCACACAATTATCTTTTTGGCAAACCCTGAGAGTTTTACTTCTTCCTATCCAAACCTCATGAATTTTGTTCTCATTTTTTCCTCATTGCAAAATTTTATGACTAGTATGATGTTGCAAAAAAAACAAACAAGTGGAAATAGCAGAAATTCTTGTCTCATTGTGAATCTCAGGAAAAAAGCACTTAATGTTTTGCCATTATGATAATTTTATGTAGGATATTATTAAATACTGTTTTTCAGTTTAGGAAGTTCTCTTCTATTCCTAATTTGCTCTTTTCTTTCCAATTTTTATTTTATATTCATAGAGTACACATGCAGATTTGTTACATGGGTGAATAGTGTGTCACAGGGGCTTGCCATTATTTTGTCACCCAGGTAATGAGCATAATACCCAACAGGTAGTTTTTCAATACTCACTCTCATCCCACCCTCCACCCTCTAGTAGTCTCTGGTGTTAACTTCTTTGCATTCATTTGTATTCAGAGTTTAGCTGCCACTTGTAAGTGAGAACATGCAGTATTTGGTTTTCTGTTCCTCCATTATTTCCCTCAGGATAATGGTCTCCAGCTTCATCCATGTTGCTGCAAAGAACATGATTTCATTCTTTTTTATGGCTGCATAGTATTCCATTGTTTGTGTGTGTGTGTGTGTGTGTGTGTGTGTGTGTGACATATTCTTTATCCAGTCCACCATTGAAGGGCATCTAGGTAGATTCCATGTTTTGCTATTGTGAATAGTGTTGTGATGAGCATACACATTCATGTGTCTTCATGGTAGAATGATTTATTTTTATTTATTTTTTCTCTGAAGTTTTTATTTATTTATTTATTTTATTTTATTATTATTATACTTTAAGTTTTAGGGTACATGTGCACAATGTGCAGGTTAGTTACATATGTATACATGTGCCATGCTGGTGTGCTGCACCCATTAACTCGTCATTTAGCATTAGGTATATCTCCTAAAGCTATCCCTCCCCCCTCCCCCACCCCACAACAGTCCCCAGAGTGTGATGTTCCCCTTCATGTGTCCATGCGTTCTCATTGTTCAATTCCCACCTGTGAGTGAGAATATGCAGTGTTTGGTTTTTTGTTCTTGCGATAGTTTACTGAGAATGATGATTTCCAATTTCATCCATGTCCCTACAAAGGACATGAACTCATCATTTTTTATGGCTGCATAGTATTCCATGGTGTATATGTGCCACATTTTCTTAATCCAGTCTATCATTGTTGGACATTTGGGTTGGTTCCAAGTCTTT
Source organism: Homo sapiens (assembly GCF_000001405.40). Lineage (NCBI taxonomy): Eukaryota > Metazoa > Chordata > Mammalia > Primates > Hominidae > Homo > Homo sapiens. The sequence goes on along the minus strand of NC_000008.11, from coordinate 93,669,346 downwards.
GCTGTTGTGAGTAGTGCCACAATAAACATACATGTGCATGTGTCTTTATAGCAGCATGATTTATAGTCCTTTGGGTATATACCCAGTAATGGGATGGCTGGGTCAAATGGTATTTCTAGTTCTAGATCCCTGAGGAATTGCCACACTGACTTCCACAAGGGTTGAACTAGTTTACAGCCCCACCAACAGTGTGAAAGTGTTCCTATTTCTCCACATCCTTTCCAGCACCTGTTGTTTCCTGACTTTTTAATCATTGCCATTCTAACTGGTGTGAGATGGTATCTCATTGTGGTTTTGATTTGCATTTCTCTGATGGCCAGTGATGATGAGCATTTTTTCATGTGTTTTTTGGCTGCATAAATGTCTTCTTTTGAGAAGTGTCTGTTCATGTCCTTTGCCCACTTTTTGATGGGGTTGTTTGTTTTTTTCTTGTAAATTTGTTTGAGTTCATTGTAGATTCTGGATATTAGCCCTTTGTCAGATGAGTAGGTTGAGAAAATTTTCTCCCATTGTGTAGGTTGCCTGTTCACTCTGATGGTAGTTTCTTTTGCTGTGCAGAAGCTCTTTAGTTTAATTAGATCCCATTTGTCAATTTTGGCTTTGGTTGCCATTGCTTTTGGTGTTTTAGACATGAAGTCCTTGCCCATGCCTATGTCCTGAATGGTAATGCCTAGGTTTTCTTCTAGGGCTTTTATGGTTTTAGGTCTAACGTTTAAGTCTTTAATCCATCTTGAATTAATTTTTGTATAAGGTGTAAGGAAGGGATCCAGTTTCAGCTTTCTACATATGGCTAGCCAGTTTTCCCAGCACCATTTATTAAATAGGGAATCCTTTCCCCATTGCTTGTTTTTCTCAGGTTTGTGAAAGATCAGATAGTTGTAGATACGCGGCGTTATTTCTGAGGGCTCTGTTCTGTTCCATTGATCTATATCTCTGTTTTGGTACCAGTACCATGCTGTTTTGGTTACTGTAGCCTTGTAGTATAGTTTGAAGTCAGGTAGCGTGATGCATCCAGCTTTGTTCTTTTGGCTTAGGATTGACTTGGCGATGCGGGCTCTTTTTTGGCTCCATATGAACTTTAAAGTAGTTTTTTCCAATTCTGTGAAGAAAGTCATTGGTAGCTTGATGGGGATGGCACTGAATCTATAAATTACCTTGGGCAGTATGGCCATTTTCATGATATTGATTCTTCCTACCCATGATAATGGAATGTTCTTCCATTTGTTTGTATCTTCTTTTATTTCATTGAGCAGTGGTTTGTAGTTCTCCTTGAAGAGGTCCTTCACATCCCTTGTAAGTTGGATTCCTAGGTATTTTATTCTCTTTGAAGCAGTTGTGAATGGGAGTTCACTCATGATTTGGCTGTCTGTTTGTCTGCTATTGGTGTATAAGAATGCTTGTGATTTTTGTACATTGATTTTGTATCCTGAGACTTTGCTGAAGTTGCTTATCAGCTTAAGGAGATTTTGGGCTGAGACAATAGGGTTTTCTAGATATACAATCATGTCATCTGCAAAGAGGGACAATTTGACTTCCTCTTTTCCTAATTGAATACCCTTTATTTCCTTCTCCTGCCTAATTGCCCTGGCCAGAACTTCCAACACTATGTTGAATAGGAGTGGTGAGAGAGGGCATCCCTGTCTTGTGCCAGTTTTCAAAGGGAATGCTTCCAGTTTTTGCCCATTCAGTATGATATTGGCTGTGGGTTTGTCATAGATAGCTCTTATTATTCTGAGATATGTCCCATGATATTAATGGAATATCACTCTGATATTTATAATATCCAGGGTTTACACACAGTGTTGACACACTGTGATATTAATGAAATATCGCTCTGATAATTATAATAGCCAGAGTTTACACACAGTATTTACATAATGTGATATTAATGAGATATCACTCAGATATTTATAATATCCGGTGTTTACACACTGTGATATTAATGAAATATCGCTCTGATGATAGTTATCATATCACAGTGTTTACACACTGTGACATTAATGAAATATCAATATCTGTCTGATGATAGTAATCATCACAGTGCTTACACAGAGAGTTTACAAACTGTGATATTAATGAAATATCGCTCTGATATTTATCATATCACAGTGTTTACAGAGAGTTTACACACGGTGATATTAATAAAATATTGCTCTGATGTTTATCATATCACAGTGTGTACCGTGTGTATTTGTGTGTACATATCACAGTGTGTATACACTGTGACATTAATGAAATATTGCTCTGATATTTGTCATATCACAGTATGTACACATTGTGATAGTAATGAAGTATCACTCTGATATTCGTCATTTCACACTGGTTACACAGAGTGTGTACACACTGTGATAGTAATTAATGAACTGTAGCTCTGATATTCATCCTCTGTGTACACGCTGTGATATGATGAATATCATAGCGATATTTCATTCATATCACAGCATGTACACAGAGTGTACACAGACTCAAAATATCGGTCTGATAATCATCATATCACAGTGTGTACACACTGATATTAGTGAAGTATCATAGTGTGTACACACAGTGTGAATGAAATATCGCTCCAATATTCATCATATCACAGTGTTTACAACACTGTAATATTAAAGAAATATCGCTCTGATATTCATCATATCATAGTGTGTACAGAGAGTGGGTACACACTGTGATATTAATGAAACATCACTCGGATATTCATCATATCACAGTGTTTATATACTGTGATATGATAAAAATATCCTTCTGATATTCATATCATATCACAGTGTTTACACACTGTGATACTAATGAAATATCGCTCCAATAGTCATATCATCTCACAGTGTTAACACGGACTGTTTACGAACTGTGAGATGAATGAAAGGAATTCGCTTGGATGTTTATCAGTCATCTCATGGTGTTTACACAGAATGTTTACTCACTGTGATATGAATGAAAGAAGTATCGCTTGGATGTTTATCAATCATCTCACAGTATTTACACAGAGTGTTTACTCACTGTGATATGAATGAAAGAAATATCACTTGGATGTTCATCCGTCATCTCACAGTATTTAAACAGAGTGTTTACTCACTGTGATATGAATGAAAGAAATATTGCTCGGGTGTTTATCAATTATCTCACGGTGATATTAGGAATATCAAAGATATGCTGAATAATATCACAGGTGTACACACAGGGTGTACAATCGCTGTGATATTAGCAGGAGTATCTATCCAAGATATTTTGGCTAATATCATTGAGGGTACACACAAGGTGTACACCCCCGGTGATATTAGCAGAAGTATCTATCCAAGATACTCTGAATAATATCACCGGGGGTGTACACACAGGGTGTACACCCACTGTGATATTAGCAAAAGTATCTATTCAGTATATTCTGACAAATATCACACACTCTGTGTGTACACCCACTGTGATATTAGCAGGAGTATCTATCCAAGATATTCTGACTAATATCACCAGGTGTACACACATGGACACCCACTGTGATATTAGCAGGAGTATCTATCCAAGATATTCTGACTGATATCACTGGGTGTACACACAGGGTGGACAGTCACTGTGTTATTAGCAGGAGTATCAATGCAAGATATTCTGAATAATATCACCGGGTTTACACACAGGGTGAACACCCACTGTGATATTAGCAGGAGTATCTATCCAAGATATTCTGACTAATATCAGTGGGTGTACACCTTGTGTGTACAGATTGTGTGATGTTAGCAAAAATATCTCTCCAGAATATTGTGAATAATATCACAGGGTGTACACACAGGGTTTACACCAACTGTGGTATTAGAAGGAATATCAAAGATATTCTGAATAATATTGCAGTGTGTACACCCACTGTGATATGAGCAGGAATGTCAAAGATATATTCTGCATAATATCATAGGGTGTGCAACCACTATGATATTAGCAGGAATATCAATTTTCTGCATAATATCACAGTGGGTGTACAAACACTGTGATATTAGCAGTAATATCGAATCTATATTCTGCATAATATCACAAGGTGTACACAGAGGGTGTACATCCACTGTGATATTAGCAGGAATATTGAAGATATATTCTTTACACACCGGGTGTGTACAACCAACGTGATATTAACAGGAGTATCAAACATATATTCTGCATAATATCACAGAGTGTACAACCACAGTGATATTAGCAGGAATATTGAAGGTATATTCGGCATAATACCACCTGGTGTACACCCACTGTGACATTAGCAGAAATATCAAAGATATATTCTGCATAAAATCATGGAGTGTACATCCACTGTGACATCAGCAGGAATATTGAAGATATATTCTGAATAATACCACAGGCTGTACACCCACTGCAATATTAGCAGGAATGTGAGAGATGTATTCTGCATAGTATCACAGGGTGTACACCCACTGTGATATTAGAAGGAATATGGATGATACATTCTGCATATTACAGATATGATACATCCATATTAGCAGGAATATGGATGATATTAGCAAGAATATCAAAAATATATTCTGCATAATATCACCCAGTATACACACAGGGTGTACATCCACAGTTCCATTAGGAGGAATATCAAAGATATATTCTGCATAATATCAAAGGGTGTACATCCACTGTAATATTAGCAGGAATATCAGAAATATATTCTGCATAATATCAGAGGGTGTACACCCACTGTGATGTTAGCAGGAATATCAGAGATGTATTCTGCATAATGTCACAGGGTGTACATCCACTGTGATGTTAGCAGAAATATCAAAGACATATTCTGCATAATATCACAGGGTGTACATCCACTGTAATATTCGCAGGAATATTGGAGATGTATTCTGCATAATATCACAGGCTGTGCACCCACTGTGATGTTAGCAGGAATATCAAAGGTGTATTCTGCATTATATCACAGGGTGTGCACCCCCTATAATATTAGTAGGAGTATCGAAGATATATTCTGCATAATATCACAAGGTGTACACAGAGGGTGTACATCCACTGTGATATTAGCAGGAATATCGAAGATATATTCTACATAACATCACAGGGTTTACACAAACTGTGATATTAGCAGGAATATCGAAGATACATTCTGTATAATATCACCGAGTTCACACACAGGGTGTACACCCATTGTCATATTAGCAGGAATATCAAAGATACATTCTGCATAACATCGCAGGGTGTACATCCACTGTAATACTGGCAGGAATATTGAAGATATATTCTGGATAATGTCACGGGGTGTACACCCAAGCTGACGTTAGCATGAATATCAAAGATATATTCTGCATAATATCATAGGGTGCACACACACTGTATACACCCACTGTGATATTAGCAGGAATATCGAAGATATATTCTGTGTAATATCACAGGGTGTAAACCCACTGTGATATTAGCAGGAAAATCGAAGATACAGTTTGCATAATATCACAGGGTGTACACCCACTGTGATATTAGCAGAAATATCAAAAATATATTCTGCTAAATATCACAGGATGTACACCCATTGTGATATTAGCAGGAATATTGAAGATATATCCTGCATAATATCACAGGGGGTACATACACTGTGATATTAGCAGGAATATCAGAGATGTATTCTGCGTAATATCACAGGGTGTACACCCACTGTGATGTTAGCAGGAATATTGAAGATATTTTCCAATGAGAGAAGGGTATAATGAATTCCAAAGGGAGGAGGGATAATGAGTCATGTTTGACTCCCACTTTTCATCATGGCCTGGACTAGTTTTTCAAGTTAACTTTGGAATGTCCTTGGCCAAAAGGAGGGGTTCATTTAGATGGATGGGGTGCTTAGAGTTTTATTTTTTGTTTACATTGGCTAGTGTGTTTCTTGACTATTCAATTTGTTCCAAGAGGCACATCTATTGGCAGGTTCTTTCAAACTGGGAAAGCTCATTAAAAGAAAAATGAGAAAATCTATTGGCTGGATCCTGAACCCTTGGAAGCTCTGTCTGGATACATTCTTCTCTGGCAGGTGAGTAAAGGTGAGGTACAAATTGATTGCTATTGGGAGAGAAAAAAAAGGTTCTATTTAGTGCAATAAGGTCTTAGCTTCCAACCACTCTATGGAACCCCTGGGCCTGGTGGCCTGGGTATAACTAGATGGGACCAGAAGAGTATCATCTTATGAGCCTTAAGGAGTAGCTAACTACCCTCTATCTTTCCCTTAATTACTGGTCCAGAAACTGTTATTCTATCACAGAGTTCCTCAACCTGGGAACTGTTGACAGATAATTCTCCATGGGGCATGCTGTTCTGTATATTGTAAGACATTGGCCAGGTGCACCTTTAATCCCAGCACTTTGGAAGGCTAAAGCAGGAGTATCACTTGAGCCCAGGAGTTTGAGACCAGCCTGGGCACCATAGGAAGACCCTGTCTCTGTTAAATAATAAAATGATACATTATAAAATTATAAAACTGTACACTGTAGGACATTTAGCAGCATATGTGGCCTCAACCCATTAGCAATCCCCTTTTACCTCCCCAGTGTCAAGTCATGGATACCAAAGAAGTCTCCAGACATTGTCAGTGTCCCCCTTGGGGCAAAGTTGCCCATGGATGAGAGTCACTGATCTACCATGACCCAGAACAGTCAAGGAAAGGAAAATGCAGGAAAAAGTGAGGGGAAGACCCTGGATGTCTTACAGCCCAGAACAGAGTGGACCTAAGATACTGGCCTCTAGTTAAGAGAGTCTTTTCATGAAGAATGAGGCCTTAGGTCCAGAGTAGAAGAAACACCAAAGCACATTTGCTGAATAAACAGATAAACATTTTTAGGTTGATCTCAAAACTCCAGAAGACAAGAAACCTTGTGTGTTCTTTTTTTTTTTTTTTTTTTTTTTTGAGACGGAGTCTTGCTCTGTCGCCCAGGCTGGAGTGCAGTGGCGCTATCTCGGCTCACTGCAAGCTCCGCCTCCCAGGTTCATGTCATTCTCCTGCCTCAGCCTCCCGAGTAGCTGGGACTACAGGTGCCCGCCACCACGCCTGGCTAATTTTTTTGTATTTCTAGTAGAGATGGGGTTTCACCGTGTTAGCCAGGATGGTCTCGATCTCCTAACCTCGTGATCCACCTGTCTCAGCCTCCCAAAGTGCTGGGACCACAGGCGAGAGCCACCGTGCCTGGCCTCCTTGTCTATTCTTTATTCTTTTTTAAGATGGAGTCTCGCTCTGTTGCCCAGGCTGGAGTGCAGTGGCATGATCTCAGCTCACTGCAGCCTCCACCTCCTGGGTCCAAGCGATTCTCCTGCCTCAGCGTCCCAGGTAGCTGGGATTACAGGTGCACACCACCACACCCAACTCATTTTTGCATTTTTAGTAGAGACGGGGTTTCACCATGTTGGCCAGGCTGGTCTTAAGCTGCTGAGCTCAAGTGATCCACCCGTCTCAGTCTCCCAAAGTGCTGGGATTACAGGCATGAGCCACCATGCCTGGCTGAAACCTTGTTTGTTATTTTTTTTTGTTCGTTTGTTTGTTTGTTGTTGTTGTTGTTGTTGTTTTGAGATGGAATCTCGCTCTGTCGCCCAGGCTGGAGTGCAGTGGCGCGATCTTGGCTCACTGCAAGCTCCACCTCCTGGGTTCAAGCCATTCTCCTGCCTCAGCCTCCCAAATAGCTGGGACTACGGGCACCTGCCACCATGCCCAGATAACTTTTTGTATTTTTTGTAGAGACAGGGTTTCATGACCCCATCATGATGGTCTCGTTATCCTGATCTCATGATCCACTCGCTTCAGCCTCCCGAAGTGCTGGGATTACAGGTGTGAGCCACCGTGCCCGGCCCCTTGTTTGTTCTTGATATCTGCTTTTAACCCTGATGCTACTGTGTGGAAGATTTTAAGTAAATATTTGCTAAATTGAATATTCATTCTGTGCTCAGTATGTTAGGCCATTACTCTAAGTGTTTTACACATGTTAACTCAGTTAATCTTCACAGCTACCTATGTGGCATTGTATTAGGCCATTATTGCTATAAATAAATATCTGAAACTAGGTAATTTCTAAGAAAAGAGGTTTAATTGGCTCATGGTTCTGCAGACTTGATGGGAAGCCTGGTGCTGGCATTTGCTCAGATTCTGGGGAGGCCCCAGGGAGCTTTTATTCATGGCAGAAGGTGAAGGGGGAGCAGGCACGGCTTATGGTGAAAGCAGGAACAAAAGAGGGTCAGGGGAGGTGCCACACATTTTCAAACAACCAGATCTTGCAACTCACTATTGCAAGGACAGCACCAAACCATAAGGGACCATCTGCCCCCATGACCCAAACACCTCTCACCAGGCCATACCTCCAACATTGGGGATTACATTTCAACATGAGATTTAGAAGGGACACAAATCCAAACTGGATGGGGTGGGTCCCACTGTTATCTCCATTTTGCAAAAAGAGAAATAGCAACACAAAATGATTCATGGAAATCACTGACTTGTCACTATATTATCTAAAAAATGTCCACTGGCTGATCTTTAAGGCAAGACTTTCCCATAAATTCTGCTTTGGGGACTGTTTGAGGGAAAGATACGTGTCTTTCCTCCTGCTAACCTCCCATCTTCTTGGAGGAGTTCCGTACTCCTTAGGTCTGGTGCAGGAAGTAGGTTCCAGCAGCCTGTATGTTGCAATTCCTTCTACCAGCTGAAGGACTGAGGAGTATGTCTGCATGAAGTTGGCTGAGTCTCCATGGCCTTTATTTAGGGATGTGGAGTCTCCCACTACATAGTTCCATCAACTGGCCAAACTCAACTCTATCCAGGACAGTGTATTAGTCCATTCTCACACTGCTAATAAAGATATACCCACGACTGGGTAATTTATAAAGAAAGAGAGGTTTAATGGACTCACAGTTCCACGTGGCAGGGGAGGCTCCACAATCATGGTGGAAGGTGAAGGAGGAGCAAAGACACGTCTTACATGGCTGCACGCAAGAGAGCGTGTGCAGAGGAACTGCTCTTTATAAAACCATCAGATCTCTTGAGGCTTATTTACTATCACAAGAACAGCATGGCAAAAACCCGCCCCCAAGATTCAATTACCTCCAACCAGGTCCCTCCCACTACACATGGGGATTATGGGAACTACAATTCAAGATGAGATTTGAATGGGGACACAGCCAAACTGTATCAGACAGGACCATCTCCTAACTTCACTGTAAACTATAAATCCCACTCCAAATATGGAAGACCAGCCCAGGAAGAGAAACACAGGAGCAAAGGCTACTGTCCTCCAATTCTGGGTCATACTGTTCTGCAGAAAGGAGGAGACTTCTATCAATTAACCAGATAGGATACCATCTGTGGACAACTCCTATCTCCAACACCTCCAAGCAAATATCTACTCAGGATCTTCCACACAGTAGCATCTGCCAAAAGATATATATATATATGTAAAGTAGAAGGTCTAATGTCTCTAAAAACAAATGAGTGGTGGCCCTCAGGTGTCTTGAAAATGCTGTGCTTTCACCTGCACACCTTGATATCTAAAGGGACAGAAGCCTAGGGCTGCTGAGTAGCTCTGGCAGGATTTGCTGTGTACCAGCCATAAAGACAAAACCAAGATAATTAGTGAGATTTATGGTTTCAAGACCTTTTAAACTTAAGCTGTTTATTCCTAGGATCTGAGTATCTCTATAAAGAATTTCAGTCTCATAAAATAAGCTGCTTTGGTCTGCTGGCATGATTTCATGTTCAGCCTCCCAGAATCATAAACCAAATTTTCTTCCACCTGTGTGCAATGTTCTGTTTCCATCTCTAGGATGCTCTATGTGGCTCTTTCCATGTGTAGTTTCCAATGAAACAGGAAGGACTCTAATTGAGTGCCTGCCCACATCTCTACAGCTCCACACCTTCCACTAAGGGCACAATAAGACCTCCACTGTGAGAGGCTCCACAGTGTACTACGTTGGTGGTGAGAAAAGGATTGGGGGAGAGGGGAGGAGAAGAACAGGGAAAGAAAAGCAGTGGTTGGAAGTCAGGCTTCGATTCTTTACAGGAAAACATGGTTATGGCTGTCAATAATGGAATGAGCCACTGGGAGAAGTGTGATCCTCTCCCATTGGTTGCCTGGAGAAGGAATGGGGAAAATTATTATTATTGTTTATATTAATTGTTAACATAAAGGAGCATTAGGAAATTTTGGGGGGTTCACTTTTTTTTTAGATGGAGTCTTGCTATGTTGCCCAGGCTGGTCTTGAATTCATGAGCTCAAGTGACCCTCCCACCTCAGCCTCCTGAGTAGCTGGGATTATGAGCACACACCATCGTGCCTGGCCAATGGTTCACAATCTTGATTTTCGTAATGGCTTCATAGGTGTATACATAGGCTGAAATTTATCAGGTTGTATACTTAAAAAATGCGAATTTCCCACATGTTAATCATATCTCAATAAAGCTGTTCCCCTTACTTAGATTCTTGCAATAATACACTGGCCTTGTGGCCAACTGCAGAAAAGAATGGCCACTGTGTCTTTTCTTTCCTATATCCAAGCCCCTTCCATGTAGCTGAGGGCCCTTTCACCTTGGGCTCACCCATGATTGCACTGGCTGATGGGGTGTAGGCAAACCCAATACAATGGTACCCTCCAGCAATGTGTGAACAGGCCTAACCTGGATGGCTGGGGAATGAGACATTGAGTGAAGAACAATAAACCCCATCCTACCTAGAAACTGACTGCAGAAGCCAGTCAAGAGAACTCTCAGGCCAAGCACAGCCTAAAATGTCAAGCAACAAACCCTAAATAAATGGTGGTGGGGTGTTGTTGTTGTTTGAGAGGCAGGGTTTTGCCATGTTGCCCAGGCTGGTCTTGAACTCCTAGACTCAAGTGATCCTCACGCCTGGCCTCCAAAAATGGTGGGATTATAGGCATGAGCCACTGAGCCCAGTCTGGTGGTTGTTTTAAACTACTATGTTTGGGGTGGCTATGAAACAAAACCTCATAGAAACAGGACCCTTCATTCTGTTCCCCAATTGGGAACCAGTTACTTTGCTCAATTGCAAATTTCATCAAATGTCAATTGATTTTCATCAATTTCCAACTAACACTTAAATTGAAACTGATAGACTAACATATTGATGTATGTGTGTGGGCTAGGCACAGTGGCTCATGACTAATCCCAGCACTTTGGGAGGCTGAGGTGGGAGGATTGCTTGAGCCCAGGAGTTTGAGACTAGCCTGGGCCACATAATAAGACCCTGTCTCTACAAAAATAAAAAACAGAATTAGTCAGGCATGGTGGCGTGTGCATATAGTCCAAGTACTTGAGAGGCTGAGGTTGGAGGATTGCTTAAGCCCAGGAGGTTGAGGTTGCAGAGAGCTATGATCATGCCACTGCACTCCAATCTGGGCGACAGAATGAGACTGTCTTAAAAAAAAAAAAGAGAAAAGAAAAAGGATATGTGTGTGTTCTACAATCTGTCCCATATTACCCTTCAAGCCTGCCTCCTACTCCAAAGATTGTCTTTTATCTACAGAATGTAACATACTGTCATTTTTTCCTGCGCCTTTGCGCTCAGGATTAGCATGCTTATTTGATTCTACTCCTGAACTCTTACTAAGCCTTCTACACTTAGCTTGTATCATTTCTTCTACTTAGATTTTCTTTATGGTCCAAGTTCAACATCCTCCCCATTTGGGGCCTCCCAAATGGATTCACCTGCCATAATAGGTATCCTATTTACTGTTGATATCCCTCTTCTCCTAGACCTTTACTCCCTTAAAGGCAGGACTATGTCTTATTGATCTTTCTTCCCAAAACCTAATTAAAAGTGGAGGGCAGTTAGCTGATATTCATTGGGTGTATATAGTAGGTTCCCTAGCAGGGAAGAATTCCTGAGTGGATTGGATGTTACCCAAATGTTACACAAGACAGAGATGGTCCCTGCTGGAGAGGCTCCAAGAACTGAAAACAAGACTCAGACAAGAAGACTGTGTTCCTGTAATTAGAAGTTCCCTCCAGAAACTGTGTGATACTCTGTCTATTCTGAGAATTGGCAGGGAAGTGCAGTGAGATCCAACAGTCATGGGTCACTTAGGTTGTACATGGAATTCATTATTGTGATGGAGAAATTGGGCATAGAGGGAATAGTTATGCTGGATTCCCAAGGCTCATTTAAAAAATGGCCGATTTTACTCAATGCTGAGAGAAATTTTACTCAATGCATTTTACTCAATGCTGAGAGAAAGTACGCTCTTCCCTTTGGGCCTGGCCTCTAGGGTACACATTCTTTTTTTTCAAACCCAGCAACACCCAGTGAATAATTGCTATTTCTTCACTAATGAGCCTAGTGACCAAGTCTCGCTGAACATTCAGCATTTTCACTCAGGGATGTAAATTGCCCTTACTACACACCCAAAGTCCTGCATGGAAGCACTGCAAGGGGGAAAGGAAGGGATTTCAGGAAGCCAAATGGAAGACTGTGAGCCCCTCTGTCATGAGCTCTGAGCCCAACAGAACTACTGGTTGATGCAGGCATGAAAGGGGTCAAGAGGTGAAACGAGGGCTGAATGTCACAGTAAGAAATTGATACTGGTCCCAGTTTCCAGCTGGTAAGTTGACTGTTTGCATCTATCTCTTTCTCTGCAGAAAATAAATGACTATCCCCCAGTGTTGCTGGGAAGACTGGTAGAGCTATGTGAAAAGAGCTCCAATCCACCATCTTCTTGGATGAGGTGGAGAAAAATTATAACCAATGTTAGGTCAAAATAACTGTCAAGGTCCAAGGCTGGAACTTCTGTCTCTAGGAAGCAAATTGATTGATTTAGATTCTTGAGGAGTAGCTAGATCAGGTTAACAATCAGTTTTTAGGCTTGGCATGGTGGCTCACGCCTGTAATCCCAGCACTTTGGGAGGCCAAGGTGGGCAGATCACTTAAGGCCAGGAGTTCGAGACCAGCCTGGCCAACATGGCAAAACCCTGTCTCTACTAAACATACAAAAAAATTAGCTGGGCGTGATGGCGCGTGCCTGTAATCTCAGCTACTCCGGAGGCTGAGGCAGGAGAATTGCTTGAGCCCAGGAGGCAGAGGTTGCAGTGAGCTGGGATAATGCTACTGCACTCCAGCCTGGGTGACAGAGCAGGACTCTGTCTCAAAATAATAATAATTAATAATAATAATAATCAGCTTTTATTCTGAACTCAGAAAAGTAGCAGTGGGCTAGTTAAAGACAAATCAAGGAACTCATGTTGCTTAAATGGAAGGATTTTCTTGGGCAAAAGATTAAGATCTTGGAGGCCAAACCAGATAGAAGTGAGTGGACTGGAAGAAAATGCAGATCCAACTGCCTTTAAAAACAAAAATAACCATCAAGTTTTGACAAGCATTTTTCAAATCTTGCAACCTGAAAGTTGCAAGTGAGAGAAACAGGGTCTCATGGAGCAAACAGAAATTGCTCTTGTCATGACAGAAAGAAATGCTTGGGTGATTCCTCAGTAAGGATTCCCAGCCCTCGTCTGTTTTAGGAGAAACTGAAATATACAGGAAAGCTGCCTCTTGAGAATTTCTGGGATGATTTTGTCTCCTAAAAAGCTAAAGTGACCAAAAATGAGTATATGCTGTACACTGTACAAATTTAATGGGTCAATCCCATCTGTCTATACTCCTATTCAACTTTACTCTTCCTCATAGCATTTATTCTTGCCAGTATTTACTTTTCTTCCTAGTGTTTATATATTTGCTTGTACTCTGGCTCCAAAGTTTAACGTCAAGAATCCTATGAATGTGATCTGTTTTGTGTACTGCTGCATTGCCAAAGCCTATGAATACCTGGACGAGAAAGTCATCAGTTAATTCCCAGTATTTATGGGAATGTAGTATGACACCGGTGGCATTTTAATGTAGCTGTTAAAAGTCGTTGTTTCGTAAGTGATGGAGGCAAATGGGTTATCCATTCTGATGAGGTCTCTAAGTACAACATACTCTGCAGCCACACTGAGAACAACTCTTAGACCTTCTGAAGAAACACAATACCCTCACACTCACAGTTTCAAAGGGACTAGGGATCTCCGGTCTAGAAAACCCAAATCCATGCTTAGACACACACTTAACAGTCCCCCAAGGGTTTTTATAAAGAAGAAAGCACAATACATAAATATTTTGGAAGTAAACTGCCTAACTACAAACCCTTGGCCTCTCTACTCCAAACTCCAAACCTAGGTCCCAGGACACAAATATTAAGAATGTGTTCACTCAGGATGTTCACTCATGGATGTGTTCACTCAGGTGAGGAATGATGCCCACAATGGCCAATATGCACAGAATAAGAATGTAAGGCCAGGTGCGGTGGTTCACACCTGTAATCCCAGCACTTGAGGCCAAAGTGGTAGGATCACTTGAGGTCAGGAGTTAGAGACCAGCCTGGCCAACATGGTGAAACACTGTCTCTACTAAAAATACAAAAATTAGCTTGGTATGGTGGTGCACACTTGTAATCCCAACTACTTTGGAGGCTGAGGCAGGAGAATCTCTTGAACCCAGGAAGTGGAAGTTGCAGTGAGCTGAGATCATGCCATTGCACTCCAGCCTAGGCAACAGAGCCAGACCCTGTCTCCAAAAAAAAAAACAAAACCAAACAAACAAAAGTAAAACCACTTAGCTAAGGAAGCTCGAAAATGAAAATGTGAAAATGGGAGAGGGCAGAAGGCTATTGGAGAGGGAGTCTGAGGCCCGCAGAAGAACCAATCATATAAGGAAGAACATTAAGGAATAAATCTGTCCTTAAAGTCAAAGTCAGAGTCCACCACTTGCAGGCTCCCACCCTGGAGACACACTACATCTTGTTTGTGCTGAACTGCAGCAGCTGCCTCTCCACGTGTCAGAAAGAGGGCTGAACAGACCATGTGAGGACATGGACACCATCTCCAGCAACACAGGGGTCCAGGGTCTTCAAAGCCATGAGGTCCCCAACGGCCATCCAGGCTCAATCTCAGTCTCTCTGTCATGGAGCTTGGATTCCTATGCAATTGGGTTCTGCTTGCAGCAGAAGGTGGTTTGAAGACAACCTTTTTTTTTGAGACGGAGTCTTGCTCTGTTGCCCAGACTGGAGTCACTAAATGGATTCGACAGATGAAAAGGACAGAAGAGCTAGTGAACTTTAAGATATGTCAGTAGAAGTCATACAAACTGGAAAACAAACACATCAGAAGAATGAAACAGGAATCTCAAGAGTCCTGTGGCACAACTGGAGTCCCAAAAAGAGAAAATGAGGAAGAAAACAATTTATGAAAATTCATGAGAATTGAAAGCAGGAACTCAAACAGACACTTGCAAACTAATGTCCATATTGTAGGGGCAACAAAATTTCACCTACATCATCTTAGGATCCTAGCTGGGCCCAAGAATTAAACTGACATATGATTAGGTTAACAAGATAAAAGCATATACATTTATGTGTTGTTTGTCACTGGCTGCCCTTTAGATAATTATCTTGAGTTTTCAACAGTTTGACAAACAACACATTACATACAGGGGGTATTGTTAAGAATAATGCTAACGTTTAGTCAGAAACAATGGGGGCCAGAAGACAAAGATATGACCTCTTTAAAGCATATCCAGGCTGCTTGCGGTGGCTCATCGCTGTAACCCCAGCACTTTGGGAGTCTGAGGCAGGCAGATCATCTGGGGTCAGGAGTTTGAGACCAGCCTGGCTAACCTGGTGAAATCTCGTCTCTACTAAAAATACAAACATTAGCTGGGTGTGGTGGTGCATGCCTGTAATCCTAGCTACTCAGGTGGCTGAGGCACAAGAATCATTTGAACCTGGGAGGTGGAGGTTGCAGTGAACCAAGATCATGCCACGGCACTCCAGCCTGTGTGACAGAGACTCTGTCTCAAAAAATAAAATAAAATAAAATAAAATAAAATAAATAAAAAAGCATATCCAGCCAAAGTATTTTCAAAAACTAAGGTGAGGAGACTTCCAGGTAACTAAAAACAATGGCCACTGAGTGGTAAGCAACCTCCCCAAATCTCCTCTTAAATGCTATGAAGTAACTCCACAATGAATCTTCTGCAAAAAACTATACCTTCAACACTGCCTTTAAGACAGAGAGAATGCCAAAATTGCAAAATAACTATGAGTAAAATGAGATAAAGCATGAAATCTCAGCACCACGGTTCCACACATGCCCATCCCAAGGCTCTGTGAGGTAAACTGCAAGAAAGAGGGAGAGCTGGTGGGGGGCCTGAGACAGAGCTGGAGCAAGACCCTCTAACTGATCTACCCTTAATTTGAAAATGCAAAAAAACAAAACAAAAAAACCCTGGCCAATCATAGGAGAACTGAGGAAACGGACTTAAAACTATGTGTCATTTATAGGCCGGAGCAACTGTGTGTCTCACACTGCTAATAAAGACATGCCCAAGACTTTATAAAGAGGCTTAATGGACTTACAGTTCCATATGGCTTGGGAGGCCTCACAATCATGGTGGAAGGCGAATGAGGAGTAAAGTTATGTTTTACATGGCAGCAGGTGAATGAGGAACAAAGTTACGTCTTACATGGTGGCAGGCAGGAGAGTTTGTGCAGGGGAACTCCCCTTTTCAAACCATCAGATTTCGTTAGACTTACTTATCACAAGAACAGCACAGGAAAGACCCGCCCCCATGATTCAATTACCTCCCACTGGGTCCCTCCCACAACACATGGGAGTTGTGAGAGCTCAATTCAAGATGAGACTTGGGTGGGGACACAGCCAAACCGTATCAAACAGTCTTCTAAACACAAGGCTTCTGGAAGACAGAAACGAAGGGAGAGGGATCCTTTGGCAATTGGGTGGTGAAGGAAAAAGAAAATTTTACAGTCTTCCAAGACAAACACCAAATTGAAAGACTCATAACCACTCTCCTACCTTTCTTGAGTTTTCCCTCCAGGAACCCAACTAGGTTCTTACTGTGAAGATTGACCTGGGGGAGGAAAGAGTATTTCTGATTTATACCCAGAACATTCTGTTCTTGGTAAGGTCTGCCCTCAAGGGAAACGATGTTGCCAGAGACTAAACTACTGGGGTTTTAACAAAACCTAACTGACCTAGGGGAAGAGAAATATCCAATTCAGGCTCACTAAAGACTGAGACTTACTCCTGGTATTATAGACACTTCACTCTCTGCACTGTAACCACCACATCAGTAGGGCTCCCGTATATTAATAGGACTACAGTTAGAAGCATTGCAAGCCTTAGCTCCTATTTCAAGTCTCTAGGAAAACTGAAAGACAACAGAAGGAATAAGAGTAAAGACACTAGAGGAAATTTTAGCCTCTGACACCATCACTACAGCAAGCAGTAAACAGAGGCTAACTTCTAGCCAGAACAACCACAGTGAAGGCCTTTTTTACTGCTGTTCCTACCACCGAATGCACCATGCCCGGCTTTCAATAACAAGCTATGAGGCACATTAAAAGGCAAGGAAACACATAAGTCTAAGCCAACAGAGAAAGCATTAGAACTAGCCTCAGATATGGCAGAGATTGTGCAATCATCAGATTGGGAGTTTAAAATAACTATGGTTAATATACTAAGGGTTCTAACGGAAAAAGTGGACAACACGCAAGAACAGATGGGTAATCTAAGTGTGGTAGGAGACAGGCAGGGCTTATTTCCTAGTCTAGACAGAATGAAATAAAGAAAGTGGCAGAACCAGCAAATGGTGCTGAAGGATACTCCAGGTGCGCTCACTGCTCATCAGTGTAAGACACTTACACCAGCGCCATGACAATTTACGACTGCCATGGCAAACCCAGAAGTTACCACTCCTTTTCTAGAGCTATCTGAATAGCCCATCCCTTAATTTGCATGTAATTAAAAGTGGGTATAAATACTGTTATCCAATAGCCCAAATGCTGCTACTCTGGGCACACTGCCTATGAGTAACCCCTGCTCCACAAGGGGCAGCTATTCCGCTGTGCCCTGCTGTTTCAATAAACCCAATTTCTTTTACTACCGCTGGCTCTTGAATTCTTTCCTGAGCAA
Organism: Homo sapiens; assembly: GCF_000001405.40. Taxonomy (NCBI): domain Eukaryota; kingdom Metazoa; phylum Chordata; class Mammalia; order Primates; family Hominidae; genus Homo; species Homo sapiens. Next base: position 93,651,369 of record NC_000008.11, on the reverse strand, counting down.
AGCCGAGAACCACCTGGGCTAATCCCCAGTTTGGGGGCTTATCTGCCCTGCATTATCAGCAGAAAAATGGAAACTCAAAGAATCAGAAGGAAATATTAGAAATCAAAGCCACCATAAGAGAAATGGAAGAATGCCTTTGATAGGCTAATCATCTGAACATGGCCAAAGAATCAGTGAACATGAAGAGACATGCCACAGAGTAGGAGAAAATATCTACAAAACATATATCCACCCAGTGGGCTCACACGTATATAAATCAATAAGACAAGGAAGGCAACGTGAGTATCTTCTTGTCTAACTGCACAGAATAGTTTGTTAGAATATAAACTGTAGAAAACTGGCAGTATCCACTGAAAATGAACAAATGCGTATCATATGACCCAGCAATTTCTGTCCAAGGTATGCACCAAGATAAGTACACACACCATGCACAACCAGAAATATTAAAATGTGCTCATAGCAGTATTAATCACAATAACCCCAAACTGCAAAGTTCAATGGTCATGAATATAAGATGCTTAAATGAATTGTGGAATATTCAAACAAAGGAACAGAATAAAATGTACTAGTTAGAGATACGGGAAACAATACTAATCATTTCACAAAAATATTGGAAAAATTAAGATGGACAAAAGAACAAAAGAAAGAATGCATACTGTCTGGCTGCATTTGCACAGGGCTCAAAACAAAAAGTCAAACCATACTGTCAGAGTCGGAATACTGGTTACCTACAGAGTAGAGAAGAGTGTGTAATTTGGAGGAAAAAAGAGGAGTTATCTGAAATACTGGTAATATTCTTTCTTGACCTGGTGGTTAGGTGGAAGTGTTCGTGTGATAACTGGTTTGTTCACTTACGAATTAAGCACATTTCTATATGTATGTTACATTTCAATAAAACCTGTTTTCAAAAACACAGACACACACGGTATTATTACACGACCACTGTAGAAATGACTTTGGCATTATACTGATAAGATGAACACGCAGAGACCTTACAACCCAGCAACCTCGCACTCCTGGAAAAACGTACTAGTGCTCCGGAAGGCATGTACACCTTACAGCACCACTGTTCGTAATTGGGAAAAATGGGAAAAACCGACTGTTCATTAGCAGTACAAAGCATAATAGTGGGATAACGATAAAATTATTACTGTCTGGAAGTTAAAATGAAACTCCGACTATATTCATCAATGTGACTCTCAAACCACTCCTCCTACTACTTAATCTGGCTGCCATTACATTTCACTTGAATTCTCCAATGACCTTCTAACTGGTTTCTGTTCATATCTCATCCCTCTTTAGCTTATCAACCCAGAAGCCACTGTGATCCTTTTGAAAACTGAAATTGGATAGTTGTCATTCTTCTGTTCAAGATCTAGTTAACCAGCTAGATGCCCTTCTGAACAGTCTGTGATACAGCTTTGACATCATCATCCTCTTACGATGCCCAAGCTTGCCTCACTCCACCACACCAACACCTCTGCTATTGCACGGCTTCCCCAAGCACAATTCTTCTTCATGGCCTTTGATCTGCCAAGGGTGCTCTTCCTGAGATTAAGGGCACATGCTTGCAGTTCCCTGACATCTCTGTTTAAATGCAAGTCTTTCCCTACCCACCCTATAGCTTCCTTCAACCTACATGCTCCCTCCATAGTTGTTTCCATTGCATTTAACACCACATGATACACAATATGTTTACTGGTTTGTTTATCGGGTGCCCCAGCCCCAAGCACCACCAGGGCAAAAATATGGAATCTCTGCATAGACCCTGGACACCACAGAGCAGTGTCTGTGCTGGGCATAAAGGAGGTATAAGCTCCGGAGCCAGACACCAGGGTTCAAAGGCAAACACTGCTACCAGCTAACAGGCTAACCTCAGACAAGTAAATCTCAGCTTTCATGCCTCAGATTCCCCATATGCAAAACAGAGATGCTGACCGTACCTGTCTCCATGCGCTTTTGTGAAAACCAATATACCATGATCAATAAGTCAAGAAAATATAAAGATATATCAAAGACCTGAAATACAATGTCAAAGATTGGTTTAAACAAATGAAAAAACCTATATCCTACAATTAAAAGTATACGTGTTGTGCCCACACATTTAGCTACTAGTTATAAAACTCATCAATGACCAGGTGTATGGGCTCCAGGCAGCATCCAGCTGGGTGTAGAGCCCCCCTCCCACCAATAAATAAATTAAATAGAAAAGCTGGGTGTGGTGGCACATGCCTGTATTCTCAGCTATTTAGGAGGCTGAGGCAGGAAGACTGTTTGAGCCCAGGAGTTTGAGTCTGGCCTAGGCAACATAGTGAGATCCCCATCTCAAAATACACAAATTTAAAAGAAAAACTATGAAATAGCCATAGCAGCTTAAACCCATAATCAGTTTTATTTTTTCTCATGTGATAGGACGTCTGGAAGTAACAAGTCCAGGGCTGGTGCAGACACTCAAAGAAACCACAGGGTAGGCCAGGGTAGCTGTGGGCTTTCTGCAGTCACTTCCTTAGACTGTGGCTTTCATCCGCATGGTCATAAGGTGGATCTTCCAATACTAGGTACCGAATCTCCTTGCAAGGTGAGAAGTAGGGGGTAAAGCAAAGAGCAAAACATACAGGGAAGAATTCAGGTTTAAGAATGACCCCTGTTCAAGAACTTTCTCAGAAGCCCATGCAGCGAATCTGCTGATTTGTCACTGGCCAGGGTTGTGGGACATGGATGGTCCTAGTTGCAAGAAAACCTGTAAGAGATTTTTTAAAAATAGCACACTTTACTAATCTGACAGAACCTGGATTTTCTTGATATGGGAAGAAGATGAGAGTGGACACTGGGGAAGCCACTAGAAGTATCTGCCACTCTTGGCTGGACAGCAGGCTGCAAACATACCACCACTTGATGGAGACATCATGCTCTGGTCACAATGCGTGTAAATTAGGTGCCAGTAACAAACCAGTACTGAGAAATACCCACATGTCACATGGATCTAAATACGTGATTGGTCAAGTAGGTTGTCCAAAAGGCAATTAGGACGTTATCAAGGATGAAGCTATAGTAAAAATACTATATATAAACCTTTTGTGATGAGGCTTTAGGGTTATTTAGAGGAGTGTAACCTTAAAAATAAAGATGAAAAATTTATGAGCGGGGGTCTGTTTTCATGATGAGAGAATAAGTGCAATCCCGTATTCACACGAATATCCTGTTGGGGTTCTCCCCCAGGGAGAATATTCACATGCACAAGTGAGGGGACCATGGCTGGAATCATTTCCACATAGGAATTATCAGCACTGATTGTATTTTAAAGGTTTTGTAAAAGAAATTTCTCCTAGTGTAACTGCTCAGAAGATTCAGAAAACTGAGGAATTGTTGCAGGAAATAATTGAGGAATGACTGCATGATTATTTTCAACCTCAGCAACAGTGACGTTTAGGGGCACATAACTCTTTGTTGTGGGGGGCTCCTGTGCACTGGAGGGTACTCAGCAGCATCCCTGATGTCTTCCTACTACAAGTCAGGAGCATCTTCTCCCAGTTCTAACACCAAAAATGTCTCCAGACATTGCCAAATGACACCTGGACAGAAAAATCACGGCCTGCCTGAGGACCCCTGCTGTAGACAAAGGGTCAGCCAAGTTTCTCTGGAAAGGGACAGATGACAGGAAGTATTTCAGACTTCGTTGGCCATATATGTTCTCTATCACACTTTCTTCCTCTTTAAAGATGAACCAACTATTGTTAGCTTGCAAACCATGCCACAGACAGCCAGCCATGGTTTGCGGACCTCTTCATGACCTTCCCACATTCCCTATTTCACTGATTTCTCTCTTTAGTGTGATTTCTGTCATGAGGAATCGAGTGAGACCAGGAAGGGTTTCCCCAGCCACTGCATTTACAGAGATTCTCCCTAGTGTGCTTATTATTACTCATGGGCCCAGGGGCTAGAAGTAGTGCTGAAGTCATTTTGACATTAAATGCCAAGCTGGGGTTTCTCGCCTTAAGTCCTTCTGTGTTTGTTAAGAGCTGAATGTACCCTGAAGGCTTCTGCATGCTACAGATGTACATTTTCACCCTCTCTCACCCAGCGTGAGTTCTCACAAATCTCCTATGGGATGAGAACACCTCGTCTTCCCACAGTTTTTACAGGAATTGGACTTTTCCCAAGTTACTTGGATTCTTTTGCACCCAGTAAGATGCGGGCTCACAGAGGCTTTCTCCTACACCCGTGAGATCTGTTTCTGGTCTGAGTAATCCTGTTTCTTTAAAGCAGGCGTGCTCACTGGAGCCTTTTCCACATGGACGACTCAAAGAGCTTCTCTCCCCGGTTAGTTTTCACGTGGCTCCTGAAGGAATAATGTTCGCTGAAGGCTTTCCCGTAGACAAGGCATTCATAGGGCTTCTCCCCGGTGTGGATCCTTCTGTGCACGTTCAGGTTGGAGCTGACGCTGAAGGCTTTCCCACAGTGATCGCATTCCTACGGTTTCTCCCTCATGTGGCTTTGCATGTGCTTCTCCAGCGTTGACTGGTTCCTGAAGGCTTTGTCACACTGCCTACTCTCAACGCGTTTCTTTACAAGGTGAATGCTCGTGTGCCTCCGCCGGGATAAATAATCACTGAAGACTTTCCTGCAGGTGGCGCAGTCGTTAACGTCTCTCTTGTGTGTGTATCTTCCTGTGTGCAGTGAGGCTTGAGCTCCCGCTGAAGGCTTTCCCGCAGAGACCGCACCCGTACAGTTTCTGCCCTGCGTGAGAGTTCATGTGAGTCTTAAGGATGGACTGGTTTCGGAAGGTTTTCCTACACTGCCGACATTCCACGGGTTTCTTGACTATGTGAAGTCTCATGTGTTTCCTCCGGGGACATGATAGCTCTTCTCCGCCATGTGGTTCTTCTTGCGCAAATTAAAGTTCGACTTCCAGCGGAAGGTTTTGCCGCACTGCGTGCATGCGTAGGGCTTCTCCGCCGTGTGATTCCTCACCTGCTTGTTGAGGTGGAGGGGTGCCAGAAAACTTTCCCACAGTCGTGACACTTACAGGGCCTCTCTCCAGTGTGCGTTCTTTTGTGTGCAATGAGGTGGCAGCTCTGGCCGTATGCCTTCCTGCACTGATCACACTTGTAAGGGCTCTCACCAGTGTGAAGTCTCGTGGATTTTCAGGGCTGAGAGGGTCCAGAATGCATTTCCACACTGACTGCAGTCAAAGGGCTTCTCTTTGAGGTGAGTTCTTGCATGGCTCCTAAGGGTTGAAGGGTCGTTGAAGGCTTTTCCGCGGTCGCTGCACTCATAACCCTTCTCCCTGGTGTGTATTCTCCTAACCATTCATGAGAAATCCGCCCCCACAATCCAATCACCTCCTACCAGGCCCCACCTCCAACATTGGGAATTACGTTTCCATATGAGATTTGCGTGGGGATACACATCCAAACTATATCAGAGGTTCTCAAAGAGCTAGTGGCCCTGAATACAAATGCAAAAGATTTCGGCATCTAAGTGACTCTGGCAGGATGTGGAACAGGGAGTCCAGAACAGCTGTAGGATCTATGAACTCAGAGACGTTCTGCCCCGTTTCTATGTGATACATGAAACAAAACCAGGATAATCAGAATGCTGTCACCATGGATAAGTTAGAACAGATAGGTTAATTTTTTCAGAGCTGTTAAGGCTGCTTAATTTCTCTTTTAATTTTCTTTACAACATGGCAAAAGCAGTTCTATTTTTCTATTCCTACAAATCTTACTCTATTCTTATTGGGATCTGTTTTTCTTCTCACCAGGGCCAGGACTGGGATGAGGCAACCCAGGCTGCTAGATAAGTGTGCAGTATTTAAGGAGGCACTTCCAGTGCCAGTCGGACAAGCACAGGGCTGGCTCAGAGTGAGTGGCATCTGACACTGCACTCACAAACCTCACCCTCGACCCAGCCCTGTTCCTCAGTTTTAGATCTTCCTCCTCCATCAAGTTTGTGGTCCAAAACAAATTTTGCTCCAAACTGTTCCATTATGAGCTCTCTTGTGACCATAATTCTCCCAATATTTGATTTTATCCCCATATTCAACTTAATCACAGTGTCCCAGGATATTCAGAATTTGCAGATGTAAATATTACAGAGAGAATAATTCTTTTGTTACTTTTACTGACTGGTATTTCTGTCCTTACTAGGACTATTTCTACCACTTTTATTCACGTAAATATAGGCCCGGCACGGTGGCTCATGCCTGTAATCCCAGCACTTCCGGGGCTGAGGCGGGAAGATCATTTGAGGTCAGGAGTTCAAGACCAGCCTGGCCAACATGGTAAAACCTTGTCTCTACTAAAAATACAAAACAATTAGCCAAGCGTGGTGGTGCATGCCTGTAGTCCCAGCTATTTGGGAGGCTGAGGTGGGAGGATCACTTGAACCTGAGAGGTGGAGGTTGCAGTGAGCCGAGATCATGCCACTGCACTTCCAGCCTGGGTGACAGAATGAGACCCTGTCTCAAACACCCCCAAATATATATATTAAATTATATATATAAAATATATAAATTAAATTATATATAAAATATATAAATTAAATTATATAAAATATATAAATTAAATTATATATAAAATATATAAATTAAATTATATAAAATATGTAAATTAAATTTATATATAAAATATATAAATCAAATTATATATAAAATATATAAATCAAATTATATATATAAAATATATAAATTAAATTATATAAAATATATAAATTAAATTATATAAAATATATAAATTAAATTATATATATAAAATATATAAATTAAATTATATATATAAAATATATAAATTAAATTATATATATAAAATATATAAATTAAATTATATATATAAAATATATAAATTAAATTATATATATAAAATATATAAATTAAATTATATATATAAAATATATAAATTAAATTATATATATAAAATATATAAATTAAATTATATATATAAAATATATAAATTAAATTATATATATAAAATATATAAATTAAATTATATATATAAAATATATAAATTAAATTATATATATAAAATATATAAATTAAATTATATATAAAATATATAAATTAAATTATATATATAAAATATATAAATTAAATTATATATAATATATAAATTAAATTATATATATAAAATATATAAATTAAATTATATATATAAAATATATAAATAAATATATAAATTTAAAATTTACGATTTCTAAAGGACAATTACAATTGCTAAAATAAAAGCAAAATGGAAACCCACAACAAAAGCCCTAAGTAACTAGCTTTTAGATTACACACAGCCAAAAAAAAAAAAGAAAAGAATTTGTTTCTTAAATACAGTCTGCTGCATAAACGTCCCCTGGAGCACTTTAAGTAATTCTGATACCCAGATCATATCGGAATTCAATTAAGTAAGACTCTTTGGGGTGGGCTGATGAATTAGTACTTTAACAAACCCTACATGAAATTTTTATGAAGGCTGAAGTTTAAAAGCTACTTGTAGCAATAAATGCAAGGCAAGCAGAAAAAGTTGAGAAAGATAAATACAGCTAAGAACCATGGAGGGGGCAGAAGATAAAGAACTGAACCATTTCTAACTGGAGTTACCTATGAGAGACAGAGAAGGAACACAGGCAATTACTGCAAAATATAGTGGCTGTAGATTTTTCATTTCAGGAGGAAAATATAAACAGATTGAAGAGATAAAAAGAAATCTTAGGCACAAGGAACCAGAGAATACCAATGGTAAAAAGAGTATCTTAGCAGCAACCAGAGGAAAAAAGACAGGTTACCTTTTAAGCAATAGTTCTCAAACTTTAAGTTACATCAAAGTCACCTGGAGGTCTTGTTAAACCACACTGTAAATATCTCTCTATTAAGAAACAAACCAATCCCGGGCACAGTGGCTCACACCTGTAATCCCAGCATGTTGGGGGGCCAAGGTGGGTGGATCACTTGCACGGAGGAGTCCGAGACCAGACTGGGCAACATAGCAAGACCCTGTTTCAAAACAAACAAAACAAAACAAAAATCTCACATTTCTAGGCCCCATCCCCAGGTTTCTGATTCAGAAGATCTGGGGTGTGGGGTCAAAGAGTATGTATTTCTAACAAGTTCTCAGGTGATGCTGATGCTGCTGGTCAGGAGACCACACCCCAAGAACCACTGCTTTAAAGAAACAAACGTTAGACCAACATCTGACTTCTCATTAGCAACGGTGGAAGCCAGAAGATAGTGGAACATCTTCATAGTTCTGAAATAAAATATAAAATCTTATAACCACCAAAAATGTCCATGAGAAAGAGGGAAAAACTGTATCTTTGGGCTTGCAACCCACAGAAAAGAGACATTATCAAAGATGTACTTCAGGGAGAAAGAAGTAATCCTTTGATTACTTAACCAAAGCAAAGAGTGTAAGAATTACATCAGAGTGTAAGAATCAAGTAAAGCACTCAAAATGGCAAATGTGAAAGTATAATGAAACAAGAAATGACGGTATGCAACAATAATAAAAATTTCTTCTGATAGTTAAAAAAATATGGAACTAAATATGTGCAACTATGATATATCAATAAAAAAACCCAAAAATGCATGATGAGAAAATCATGTAAATCAGGAGACTAACATGTATCCAAATCTAGATTTAATGAACAAGCAAGGGTAAGAATTGTTTAGAACAACCACCGAAATAATAGAGTAAATAAATTCAAAATGTACAGAAAATAAAAAAGGAAAATGACAAAAATACGCAAACGAAGCTAGAGAAAAAAAAAAATAGAAGACAAATGTAACATTCAAATATATTAATACAGAAGATGTTAATGGAATAAATGCTTTAACTAAAATATAAATATTCACAGAATAGATCAATCCAATTTTGTGTTATGTACAGGAGACATCTAAAATAGAATACAGTAAGAATGGAAATAAAGGGATATATAAGGTAAGTAGAAAGAAAAGAAAGCTGCTTCGAATGTTAGTATCAAACAATAGATTAAGGCAAAAAGGCTCATAGAGAAAAATAAAGTATTACATAATAAAAAGATCAAGAAAGAGGTGTGTGTATGTATAAAACATAGCCTCAAAAAAATGAAAAAAAATAAAAATAAAGGGACAGAACTCTAAGGAGAAATGATGAAGCCACTACCAGAGCTCTCACAAATACAGTTCAAGCAGACAATTCAATAACTACATGCAGATTGAACATGATGAAACAGCATTTCCTAACTATAAAATCCAACCACACATGGGGCCATGTTTGTCCTAGAAAATGCTTGACCACAGAGCAATGAAGTTAGCAAACAATGACCAAAAGATAACCAGAAAAAAAGTCATAGAAATGAAAATTAAAAGAAAAAATTCTAAATCCGCATGCCAAAGAAGCCATGATATTTGATATTTAGACTTAAAATGCAGTAAAGTATGATACTGCAATTCTTTGCAAAAGTAATTTTTTTCTTTTAAAGCCAGTTTTATTGAAAGATAAGGAATCTCTTTACAGCAGGGGGCAGCAAACGATTGCTTTTGAACTATGTATAGGGCAAATGAAAATTGTAGAGGTAGCTTTTCTGTTTAATTGTAATTAATAAGCCCCCAAATAAGACAATGGAAATCTTCCTTGGTCTTTTCTTTATTCTTTTAGAATAAAATTACTTTCAAGCTAAAAGTAAAACTTAAAAGTATTGCTTTAAAATATTAAATTTACAAAAAGAATATGTAATATCATCTTGACCTGAATCTTAATATAAATGTCAGCATCACTTTTTTTTAGTCTTGCCATGTTGGCCAGGCTGGTCTCAAACTCCTGGCCTGAAGTGATCCGCCTGCCTTGGCCTCTCAATGTGCTGGGATTACAGGTGTGAGCCACTGCATTCAGTGAGGACTTTATATTTGACAAATAACTTTCCACCTCTTTTTCTCAATTAACGAATGTAAGAAGAAGCCCTACTCATAACACATTTGAGGTACCAAGGAAAGTTCTATGCATGGGGAAATAGTATATATTTAATATATGGCCAAACATTTTATATGTAATACAAATATTACATAATATAATATAATATAAATACATAATATTTGTATTACATATATTTGTACATTTTATATGTAATATAAGATTTTATGTGTACAATAATTATATATTTATATTATAACATTTTATATGTACAATACATATTACATAATATTTATATTACATATAATATTTGTACATTTATATATCTGCATAATATTTAATATTTATATGTTTTTCCCTTTTTTGGTCCTGACTGTAGTTGACCCCTGGGTCCCACTTCATTGACTCACATGCTTTGTAAAGACTCCTCTCAAACTTAAGCTCCTACGGAGCGTTGAAAAAAATATTAATTTTATTTTTTAACTTTTTTTTGAGACAGAGTCTCCCTCTGTTGCAGGGTGTGATTATATTTCACTGCAGCCTCAACCTCCTGGGCTCAAGTGATCCTCCCACCTCAGACTCCCAAGTCGCTGGGACTACAGTTGTGGGTCACCAAGCCTGGCTAATTTTTAATTTTTTTGTAGAGATGGGGTCTCACATCTCACTATGTTGCCCAGGCTGGTATTGACCTCCTGGGCTCAAGCGATCCTCTTGCCTCAGCCTCCCAAAGTGTGGGATTACAGGTGTGAACCACTGTGCCTGACCCCTCTGTGGAGTGTTTTTAACTCCCAACCCCACCTCACCCTACCAGCTGAGCCTTCTCAACAATATGATTGCTTCCTTTCCTGAACTGCTATGGAGTCATGTTTGCATCTTTCTTTTAACTCTTAAAAAGTCTACATGATGTTAGTTTCAAGACTTTTGTGTGCTAACCTTCTTGACTAGATGTTAAGCTCTTGGAGTTGATTTCTCTTTCTATCCTCTGTGGTGCTCAGCACTGCGGGTAGCAGAGTTTCTATGTCTAGGCCTTCGCACTTGCTGCTCCCTTGGCCAGGAGTGTTGCCCCCACATACTGGCATGGCTAGTTTTTTCCCTTCATTGAGATCTTGACTCAAAAATCACCTTTTTGGCTGGGTTCAGTGGCTGACAGTTGTAATCCCAGCACTTTGGGAGGCTGAGATGTATGTATCCCTTGAGACCAGCCTGGACAAGGTGGTGAAACCCCATCTCTATAAAAAATACAAAAATTAGCTAGGCATGGTGGCAGGAGCCTGTAGTTCTGTAGTCCCAGCTACTCGAGAAGCTGAGGCCAGGGGATCGCTTGAGCCCAGGAGGTTGAGGCTGCAGTGAGCCATGATTGCTCCACTGTACTCCAGCCTGGGTGACAAAGTGAGACCCTGTCTCAAAAAAAAAAAAAAAAAAAAGAAAAAATGGTGACCATTTCAGTGACTAAAATCATCCTGTGCCACAACATTTTGTAGCTCCTTTTTCTGCTTCATTACTATTTTTTCCTTAGCACATCATACATCTAGCATTCTATATTTTAAAAACTCATCTGGTTTATTTCCTGTCTAGATTGCAAGTTCCATGAGGATAGAGATTTTTGTCTATTGTGTTCACAACTGTATCCCTAGTGCTTAGCACACAGTAGGAGGCCTACAAATATTTAATAAATAAAGGAATAAATAGATCACAGCATTAAATGAATACAGTAGAAATGAATCAGAGTATATAGGCATTGGATCTGAGCCTAGAACTAATGTCAAGGGAAATGAATGATTCCTTCCAACATGTGTAGAAAGGCACTAGCTAAATTAATTCACATTTACCTAGATCAGTTAAGTTTATGAAAAGCCAACTAATTGTCTTTTTTTTTTTTAAATAAAGAGTGAGTGTATAAAGATTTCCAACTTATTTCCACAGACCAAAGGGTCTTTGTCTCCTGGATTGCCAGAGAAATGATTATGTTTCAAAGACATCTGTTCAGCTCATCATTTTTGTTTCCTCCTGTGGTTTATACAATTGAGCCCATTGGTACATATTTGTTTACATAATGTGGCATATGGTATTGGTCAGTTCTGGCCATAGAAGTGTCCTGAAGATTTGCAGTAGCACTAGGCCTCACAATGTGGTTTTTGTCATTGAAAATTTAGATTTCTGTGCTGGTAAACAACTGAGAACTAAGCCTGTTACAGGAATTTTGAATGGAAACATTTAGATTTCTCACTCTATTGCAAAATAGTGAGTTGCATGAAGATCTAGTGAGCCTATACTAAAGAAGCAGTTCTCTCATTCATTGAAGGTAAACTTGGATCTGGGCAAATTTGGGTAACTTGATATGCCACGACGAGACTTGGAAAATACTGAGAGTTTTAGTAGGATTTGTAAAATAAAAATTAATTTCACCTTTCATTCATCTGAACGCAAATATTTCCCATAAAGCCTTGCCCTTGAAAAGTTTTGCAATTTTATTTTGGAGTAAAGAAAAAAATAAGAGAAATAGAAATACTCATAGGAACATTATAGAGTTTTGCTTCTAGAGCAAGAAGGCTTTATCTTATTAAACTCTCATTTATTTAGTCGATTAATCTCAGCTTAAATTAGAATTCTTGGTTTTGTCAAATAAAAAACAAATCCGGGTTTACTAAGGAGACAGTTTATTCAAAAGGATTATTGCAAGGAGGGGAAGAGATTATTGCAGTAGGGAGAGGGGAACTGTTGCAATAAGGAGAATGCTGAGACCATAAAATCTTCTGGTATTTCAAGAATTAGGTTAAAAGGATGTTTTTGCTGCTCACTGCAATCTCTGCCTCCCAGATTCAATAGATTCTTCCGTCTCAGCCTCCCAAGTAGCTGGGATTACAGGCACCTGGCACCATGCCTGGCTAATTTTTTGTATTTTTAGAGACGAGGTTTCACCATGTTGGCCAGGCTGGTCTCGAACTCCTGACCTCAGGTGATCTGTCTGCCTCAGCCTCCCAAAGTGCTGGGATTACAGGCATGAGCCACCATGCCCAGTCCTAGAAAGGGTGTTTTTAATAAGAGGAGTGAATGAGGCAAGAAAGAGCTGGTGTGAGGAAACGGAATGAAAGCAGTGTATAGGACCATGGAACAGGCAGCGTTTTATCCTGATCCAGCCTATTTTCCAGTAAATAGCCATAAATAGGGGTGAGACCCTGGCTTAGGCAGAGGGTGGGCTAAAGTTCAGGGACCTGGAGGAAGGATTAGTTTGGCCAACAATCATTTTGTTTCTATTGATCAATAGGGACAAGAAGTTCATTTATTGTAAGCTAATCATTTATAAGCCAAAAAAAGACACTTTGGAGGGTCTGTGTCTGATCTTGTCATGGGTGAAAAAGAGGTGTCCATAAGTCTTACCTATGCCCTGTAGAAAGGGTGGTTCTTTGCAGGAAACAATTTTATGGAACACAAAAAGTGGGGGCATTAATCATTTAACCTTTGATGTCTTCTGGGAGGACAGGGGTCTGGTAAAATTCAACACTGTTAGCTTCTAAACCTAGAATGGATTCGAATAATACCCTGGCCTTGTTATCTCTTGTTTATGGAAGGACCACAATGAAAACAACTGGATAGCTTTACATTTTGACATTAAAAATTTCCTCTCCAGGGTGTTTCTGGAAAAAAAGGGGAACAAAGTCTTCCTTTCTTTTTTCACATGTGCAGAACGTGCAGGTTTGTTACATAGGTATACACGTGCCATGGTGGTTTGCTGCATCCATCAACTCGTCATCTACATTTCTCCTAATGCTATCCCTTCCCTAGCCCCCCACCCGCTGACAGGCCCCAGTGTATGATGTTCCCCGCTCTGTGTCCATGCGTTCTCATTGTTCAACACCCACTCATGAGTGAGAACATGCGGTGTTTGGTTTTCTGTTCCTGTGTTAGTTTGCTGAGATGGTTTCCAGCTTCATCTATGTCCCTGCAAAGGACATGAACTCATCCTTTTTTTATGGCTGCATAGTATTTCATGGTGTATATGTGCCACATTTTCTTAATCCAGTCTATCATTGATGGGCATTCGGGTTGGTTCCAAGTCTTTGCTGTTGTGAATAGTGCCGCAATAAACATACGTGTGCATGTGTCTTTATAGTAGCATGATTTATAATCCTTTGGGTATATATCCAGTAATGGGATTGCTGGGACAAATGGTATTCTGGTTCTAGATCCTTGAGGAATCACCACACTGTCTTCCACAATGGTTGTACTAATTTACAGTAAAAGGGTGTTAAAAAGGAAAGGTTTGTTTAGAGCTTTATACTTGCAGATAAAGTACATATTAGGAGATACATCATCTTTAGAACACTGATTAACTAAAATTATCATTTAGAAACTTTACCATAAAGCCAAGCACCCAGCCCATCTTAAGCTACTTGCTTTAAAAAAAAAAAGTCTATTTCCTGATTGTCTAGGGAATTTCATTCCACAATGAGTGACAGTGTTATGGCAGAAAATTGCATAAAGATAGAAGGAATTAAAGATAAAAAGCTAGGTGTTTCCTTTTGTTGTGTGTGTTAAAAAAAGACCATAAAAACTTAAAATTTAGATTTCTTCTTTTCAGAAATATATCGTATTAGATACATTGACTTAATGATAACTGCCCATTTTGTTTTCTTTCTAAGCTATGTGTTCATATTAAATTCTGATTTTCCTCAAAATAGTTCAGAGAAAATGAGGAAAGTGTGTATGAGGAAAATGTATAATTCTATTGAGCTTCTGAAATTCCAAGCATATGCAAAAGAAATAGAAACAGAGTAGGGGTGTGGAAACTTTTGAGGACACTTTTGTAGGTATGGCCACCTTACAGGGAAATTTATTCTTACTGGGCCCAATCCGTGAGGAAGTCTGGTATCCAGATGGGGTTTTGTCTCTCACCAGTGGGGTGACCCCAACATCACCCAAATTTTCTTAGCTTGTTTCTTCATCTGTTAAATACAGAGTAGATGGCCTGCAAGGGTAGGCCTAGCTGTAAATGTTCACTGTATTATCCTAAAGCTAGAAATTCCTTGATTTATGAAGCAATTTAAAAAACCTCAGATCATCAATATTTTCAGTTCAAAAAGATTTGCAGGAGATGCAGTTAGGGAGGAGAGTGGGAAAGGAGAGAACAGAAAGATATAAAGTAGATGGCACAGGAGGGAGATTTTCTCTGAAAAGAGGTAAGTGCTCAGAGAAAAAAATAGTTCTTGCTGGTGACACTGTCCCCAGCACCCTGCCTTCCTCCCTCCTTTCTTGGTATCTTTGCAGATTCAGTGCTTGCGCTAAGTAAATCCCCCTCTTCCTGTTTTTCTTCTCTTCCTTCTCTTCAGTCTGCAGAGTACTCAACCTCTCACTAGCCAGGCTCACTTTGCTTCACGTCTTAGCTGCACCTGTGACAACGCATCGCCTTTTCCCAGGGCCCCATGCATACAGTGTAGGAAATGCCTTCCCTTGCTATTTCCATTTCCAGACAGTAGATGTTGCTGGTTTACTGTCAAAAAAGCCTTCCTGATTGTCCATTTATAAATGTTCTGATGTCTCATATAACAAATTCGATGTTGAACTACCTGAGAGTTAGATGTGCTAGATTTTTACTTGTTTGTAATCACATCTTCTAGGCAGTAACTTCACAAATTTATGTAAAATTTGCAAATAGTCCCTCCACATTTTGGATATTTCTATAGAAGAGTTATTTTCTGATTCTGATGGCAAGTGGTAGGGAAAACTAGCTCTCTGCCTTAGAGATCTTCATTAAATCGTGCCGTTCCCCATGAGTTGCCTTTTGGAGTTGTTGTTGTTGTTGTTGTTTTAAAATCTGTATAATTGACAATATCTTCCAGCTAAAATTCTGCAATTCTGATTCCAACAATAGTTTTTAAAGAAACTTCAAATTGTATCACCCATTTGATTTTTTTGTCTTTGTATATTTCCCTTTCTTTTTAAGCCAGAAGACATCCTTTAGTCTTAAAGGATGCAGATGAGAATCAGTTTTCTGGAAACAGTTTGCCATTTTCTTTCTAATGCTGTGGCAATAAGCTAAACAGAGTGTTATAGAGCAGATGTATACATCTGCACAATAGATAAATAAAATGATATACCACCATTAGAAATATCTGCCTACCTTTTGTAAAAATTCCAGAGATGACTTCATGAAAAATGTCTTAAGCATTTTCATGAAAAGCAAAATCGTGAAGAAAATTTATCATTAATAAACTTGTGATTTTTGTAACTCTAGTGACTGATGATTCCAATATGTAATTTTATTTATTTTACTAAATGTTGGTTTAAGTATAAATTAAATCTACTTTAGCAGTTTTTTCTTAGTTAAGTTATAAATGTATTATATTTACATAAATGTGAATCTGTGTATTTAAAATATAAGTTCTTTTTTTAGGGGGGGTGGTATTTGACCAAACGATATTCATAGCCCCAAACCTAAATGCATAAATTAGAATAAGGCAGGTTTAACTTCCATTAAAAGGTTTAAAAAAATTCATTGTTTTTCACAAAACCTTGAATCATATTGGTTTTTCTTAAAAATGTCTAAATAAAAAACCAATCAATCAGTTCTTGATGCTGTTGTTTAAGAGGGTAACCTAACTAAATTTTAGGAGCTAAGCTGAATTTTTGTTGAGTTCTGCTATTAGCATTAAAAACACTTAAAAGTGTCCCATATATTCCCAAATCTAGTGATTTTGAATAGATTATAATCTAAAAATGATCTCTGACATCTCTCCTAACAGTGGAGAGGCTATTCCTGTTCCCCTCTTAGTTTCTAGTTACCTGACGGCCTGAGCACCGAACACAATGCCTCCTTGACTTATGATGGAATTGTGTAGCTGTCAATTCTAGATTTATTGCTTAGTTTGGGAATGAGCCGTTTCAGTAGCGCATGCCCTGCAGATCCTTCAGAACGAGCAAAAACTGTTCATCTGAGACAAAATATTAGTCTACACCTCACATGCCTGCAATTCTAAGATTATGCAGGATTTTTTTTTTCTGAATAAAGTTAAAAATCCAAAATGACAACACAAATTTTTTAACTTCATCCTAACTCGGCGATATTGCTGTCTGGCAACAGCCTCAGCCAACCCCATGATTTAGATTTCAAACTTAGTAAGTGAGAAATCATCTTCAAGAGACAGAATACACAAAGCAGCAGTTGCAACAATATCCTTCTACAACACAGGTTAGAAAGAACATCAAAAACACAGTGCCAAAATTATTAATTTTCTAGAGGAAAATCACATGAAGCAAATCTACTTGTAGAACCAATAGAGTTGCATGCTTTGAAAAGTGCTTTAACTGGTAATAACACACAGTTATTGAATTATATGTTCAAGACATTGGAATTGTTGTTAATTTATACTTTAACTCTTTCATAACTCAATTTACTTGAAGAAACCAAATATCTTTAAAAGCTGAAGTTCTGAGGACTCAGAATATTTTCTGGAGCCGGACTCAGTGCCTCATACCTAAGAATGAGACAAGGAAGGGTAAGGATGCAGGTATTATATTATTTCCTCTTCCTCCCTTCCCCTTCTCGAACCAGTCACTATTGGATAGAATAGTTTTGCTCAGAAGTTCTGTTTTCAATTTCAATATTGGAGACATAAACTAACCTTTCTCTCTTCCAAACAATAGTATTTTTAATAAGATTTATTTCTGTTTCTTCCATCAGGTTCAAAAATCAGTGGCCATTTGAAATCTTTCCTCTCCTTTGGTCCTCCTATAAACCTTCACTACATTCTTTCTCTAAAACGTTTCCTCTTTGGGATCATTAAAATAATTGTCATTCTCTCCTTCTCACACTGGATTTGACAGGTCAGATTCAAATTAGTTTATCTACAACATTGCTTTTTATCTTTTTCCTCATCTTTTCTAGAACTTAGAGTTTAGACCCTATTGCTGGTAAGAGCAAATACTGACTTTTCTCTTAGATTTTTATTTTTATTTTTTTTGAGACAGGGTCTCACTCTGTTGCACAGGCTCAGTGCAGTGGCATGATCATAGCTTGCTGCAGCCTTGACTTCCCAGGCTCAAATGATCCTCCTACCTTGGCCTCCTGCGTAGCTGCGACCACAGGCCTGCACCACCATGCCTGGCTAATTTCTTGTGTTTTTTGTAAGGATGGGGTTTTGCTACGTTGTTCAAACTGGTATCGAACTTCTGGGCTCTAGTGATCTGCCTGCCTCAGCCTCCCAAAGTACGATGACAGGTGTGAGTGAGCCACTGAGCCCAGCCATTGCTGGTATAGTTTGAAGACCCTGACATGACTGTCATGATCCTCACTCTTCCCCCAACAATGGTAAGGCTCCTCTTACACCACACCTCCTCCCTGCCTTGTACCTCTTTCTGTGATTGTTCCACTTCTTGGCCATAGTTCATGCCATCTCTGCCCAAGTTTTCTTTTTGTGTATTCAAATTCAGTATTTTTTCATTCCAGTCACGTTGCAAGTCCCCGTGCTTCATTGTTCCCCTGAGAGTGCCCAACCGACCCTTTTCCTATTGGAAGTTCTTGCTAGCATCTCTAATGGACATTCCATGGCTTTCCTTGCATTCTTCCTATGGCTTCCCATGACTGCTGCTACATCTCCAAGAATATTTCAAACTTGTGCAGGCTGAGACTATTGATAATTTTTCAAGTCGCCCACCATGTTTTTGTTGTGGTTGTTGATGGCATTTGTTTTCTCCCTCAGGATTCCAAGGACTGCTCCCTGGAGCACTCTTCACACAGGAGAAGGTGGTGGCTATTTGTTTGCAGGTTCCTTTCTTTTGAAGAAAGAAAGAGGACTGGTGTGTGATTGGAAACATAGCTTCTACTGATTGACTTTTCTCAACAGCTTTGTTGAGAATGTAATTCACATATCATAAAATGCACCTGTTTTAAGTGTACAAGTCAATGAAATTTAGCATATCTACAGAGTTGTGTAACCTCCACCACAACCTAATTTAAGAATATTTCCATCACCTCCAAAAGAAATGTTGTTCCCATGTTTAGTCACTCCCCTATCGACTGGCATTTAACACACCAATATTTTAAAACAGTGAGTGATTCGCAAAGTCTCCATTCAATAGTATGGCTACTGAGGAGAGGGAACACTATTAACCAATTTCCTTTCTCTTTTCTTTCTTTTTCTTTTTTTAAAATTTACATCCAGAAATCTAGACCTCACAACTATTAACCAATTTTTGATGGATCTTTTACTCTATTATAAATTTTCCCACCACTTATGAATGCTTCAAGCTATTGTTTGGGTATTCCAGTTTTAGAAATTTTGTTTGTTTTTTGATACCTCAAACTCCAATAGGTAAGAACATTCACTTCTTATGCAATTGTAGATTTTTTTTTTTAACGAGAAACTTTTGTCAATAGGACAACTAATTCAATCACCTTTATTGAACAGATAAGTCCATTTGATTTTTACAACACTGAAAAAAGTGATTATTTGATCAAAAACAATTGCTGTTTTATTCAAGATTATCAAATAATTTGTGTGCATATAGTCTTACATCTGCATTAATTAATTAAAAAGTTGGTGGCAGAGACATAGGACATAATATAACAAATAATTTGAAAGGAGTATTACTTAGGAACCTAGCTATGTGTCTCACTCCAAAGCTCAATGTGTTTATCGAAAATTGACAATAGTAATTTAAGACATTTTATTTGACAGATGGGCATGGTAGCAAGTAAAGACACTGGTTTGTAGATGGCAAATCGGGACTTGCAGTCAATCTAGGTACCTTATGCACTTGTGACTACTTCTAATATTTGGAAACCATTCGTCAGAGGCTGACATATTGATTTGTTTATTTCTTTATTACTTCTTCAGGGTTTTCTGTATAGCCTGTGGATTTTACCTTCTAAATCTTTTTTCGTTGTTGTTATTTGTTGAATCTCACTCTGTTGCCTGGGCTGGAGTGCAATGGCACAATTTCAGCTCACTGCAACCTCCACCTCCTGGTTTCAAGCAGTTCTCCTGCCTCAGCCTCCTGAGTAGCTGGGATTACAGGCATGCACCACCACGCTCGGCTAATTTTTGTATTTTTAGTAGAGATGGGGTTTCGCCATGTTGCACAGGCTTGTCTCGAACTCTTGGGCTCAAGTGATCTGCCTGCCTTGGCCTCCCAAAGTGTAGAGATTACAGGTGTGAGCCACTGCACCCAGCCCTTCTAAATCTTTTTTGAATCTGTCCTCTTATCATTGCCCAGCTCTCAAGTCCTCATTATCTTTCTCTTGGATTTTTTTTAGTACAATCCTCACTTATATTCCAGCTTCCACTCTTGTGCCCATTCCCCTGACTCCAACCCTGAGCCTATCCTCACTCTGTAGCCAGAGTGATCCCTTGAAACTAAATCCACCCACGTCAGTTTCCTTCAATGTGCCTCCACCATGAGAACAAAGGCCAAGCTTCTCAACAGAGCAGACAAAGCCCTCCGTGTCTTGCCCTCTGCTCATACCTTGGCCCAATTTCCTGCCAATCTCCCCACACATTTGATGTTCTATGAACACTTTACTGCTGTATGCTTCTCTGCACACACCATAATTTTTCATGCTTCTCTTCACGCAGTTCATATTCCTGCAGTGGTTGTCTTTCCATCTTTCTTTGCATAGGTAATTTTGATTTTTCTTTCAAGACAGTCCAGGTGTCATCTTTTTCAGAAAGGCTTTCCTTGACCACAGATTAGGTGAAGACCCCTCTTCTGTACTCCCATGAGACCTCTTGCTCACTTCTATCACATCACTCATCTCATCATTTTGAATTAATTTGGGTGTGTGTCCCCTCACTGGTATGCAAATTCCTTGGTGGCAGGGAGCATGTTTTAATCATTTCTGTATTCCCAGTGTCTGGTAGGCAGTAGGTACTTTATAAGGGTTTGCTGCCCTGATGTGAACTTTATTGAATAAATGACTAAATTTCTTGGTTCATGGATCATTTCTGGGTTTTATTTTTTGGTGCCCTTTTTCTAGATGTTTGTTCATCTCAGTTTTGTCACCCTAATTTGCAACCAATGTTTTCTAGAATCTGCTGGGTACAAAACCTTTTTAAATGATATTCATGGGAGTAAATTAAGCCTGATCTTAGGATGAAAAATGGTAGATGAAGGTTTGTGTAGTATTTCTTCAAAGAACAGTAATGGCCCTGGGTCAAAAATGCTCCCAGATAGGTTTAGTGCCAACGTGATAATAACTTTTCATATGCTTACATTTATTTGTTGATTAGACATTTTCCAACCTGAAAGTTAGACAACTGATAATGATTGTTATTATTATAGCTATCATTTCATCATATATCAGGCACTCTAGGCCAGCCTATGTACAAGGCACTTCACATTTATGATATTTAAACATTCTATCAACAAACGTAGAAAAAATTGTTAGTCTCATTTTACATCCAGGGAGACTGAATTTTACATCCAGGAGACATTTTACATCCTAGGTCTCAGAAAGATGAAGTAAGTTGCCCAAAATTACACAGCTATGGGCTGCATAGCCAGGATTCAAATCTAGTGACATTGAGCTCGAAAGCCCATGTCTTTTCCACTTAGGCTCAGTGACTCCTGGAAAGGCAATATTTGGAAGAATGAGCCACAAAATAATTCTAAGTAAAGAGGTGGAGAGTGAGCAAGCCACAGTCAGGCACCTTTTAGAGAACAAGCCTTGAAGTAATAGGTCATGAGCAAGGTTGGGGTGGAGCTAGTGTCTCTGGGGGAGAGGAAGGGGCCTATCTTCAGCTGTGAAGAGGACCCTAGGAAGGGAGCTGCAGGACTGCTAAAGACAATGCTCTCGGGCCCTGAGGTTGCAGGTGACTGGCTCTGATAGGAAATATCCTGGTGCTTACTACTCATCACATGAGCTAGGAAAAACTACGAATTGATGAATCCTTCCCCTGCCCCTAATTCCCCTCGCATTCCCCCAGGAAGCAATGAAAAACATGGAAAAGAAAGAATTTAAAGCACAAGAAGGAAAAGTACGTACAGATTGGCAAGGACATAAGGATAAAGGGTTAAGAAATAATTATAACAGAGTTGGGACTGACCACCAGATACTTTTCTATGCAAACATATCAGGTCCTCTTGAATAAATTGTTCCTCTCCAAAATATTTTGGGGGCTAAATTATATATGCCACACATTATTTTTCAAGAAAATCCATTTGTCTTCATCTTAGCTTCAGTATTTAAAAGAACTAAATCATCATTCTATTTTATACTTTATGATTTTTTCAGATTCCATCTTCTCAACATTTGATCAAATTAAATTATTGAAACAGAAATGGAAAAACATGGATTTCTTCCAAATGGCCTGAGCATTACTTTATAATTTGGTCAGTTTGTGGAGGTGAAGGAAGGCTCTATAGTTTTGTCATAAAATCTGAGTGTGGACTTTCAATTTTAAAACCAACATCTTTTGTGAAAGTTGTTATATCACTTGGTACTAGAATTTTTACAATAAATTGTTTTCTTCTTTCTTTTTTCTACTGAGCTGAAACTTTCTGGTAGGTGAGTTTCTGCCCAATATGAATGATGGCAGACTTAAATTAACAATCTTTTTGAAACTGAAAAAATGGTAAGTGTATTGATAAATTGTGTGTGAGGAAAAACCTTGACATTGCATGGTGAATTACAATTTAAAATGACTTAATTTTCATAATATGTATGTATATTCTCATAAGTTACATTTGTTGATAGAATGTTTAAATATAATAAATGTGAAGTGCCTTGTACAGAGGGTGGCCTAGAGTAAGTGCCTGATACATGATGAAATGATAGCTATAATAATAACAATCATTATCAGTTGTCTAATTACATGCCCTTGTTTCTAACTACATATATATGTAAAATAGCATATTTAAAAATGGTTTATTTTAAAATGAGACAAAACTAAAAAATTTGACTCGGAGGAAAATTGAACAATGGGGAAAATGAACTTCCTTTGACCTGAGATAAATGAAAAAGTGATTTCAACCAAAAATAACATTTCTCCCTGCAGAGCAGGAAGGTAATATATGGAGATACCTTTGCAGCATCCAGACGTGTGATTTCAGGATGCTGCCAGATGTTATATGTGTTCCAGGAGACCTCACAGAATTGGGTAAGAATATGCTGCCTGAGCCACACACAAGGAGGGACCACGGGCCAATAAGGAAAGATTGCTGCATAAATCAAGCCTGCTGAAAGCTGCTGTAGGAGGAAGCTCAGGAGCCCCCCAGATGTTTGTGTTAGTTTGGCCCATCAAATAGGAGGCAAGGCTACTCAGGGTGTGCCTAACCAGATCCAAAGTTTACTCCCAATTCCTTTCGATGTCCTCTTCCCTGAGGATGTGGGAGGAAAGAACATGCAAATAAATCGTTCAGATTATGCAGAATTCAGTTCAATTTTAAATTTCAGGCCCTAATGACATCACTGAAATAGTTAGGCCTGCCTGTTATATATGTCATCCTTTTTATTTTATTTATTTATTATTTTTTTAGAGACAGGGTCTCACTCTGTTGCCCAGGCTAAAGTGCAGTGGTGCTATCATAGCTCACTGCAGCATCAAACTCCTGGGCTCAAGCAGTGCCCCTGCCTCAGCCTCCTGAGTAGCTAGGACTATATGCATGCACCATCATGCCCAGCTAATTCAAAACAGGTGTTTTTTTTTTGGTTTGTTTGTTTTGTTTTTTGTAGTGACAGGACCTCAATATGTTGCCCAGGCTAGTCTCCAACTCTTGGCCTCAAGCGCTTCTTCCACCTCCACCTCTTAAAGCGCTGGGATTACAGGTGTGAGCTACCACACCCAGCCTATGTCCTCCTTTTTAGCATTCATTACAAATGGGCTGATTGTTTCATTCATTTCTTCATTTCTTCCTTTCTTCCTTCACTCAGCTGTCAAATGTTGATTGCATTATCATTTTGCTAGGAGCTAAAGATTAAAAAGGGCAGCGGTCCAACCCATGAGGGGCTTATAAACAGGAGTTAATATCCGTGGTTTCAAATGTCCATGGTGGTCAGGGACAGCCTCTTTGAGGAAGGGACATGGAGGCTTAACCTGAAGATTGGAAGAAGCCAGCCATGCAGAGAAGGAGGAAGAAAACATTCCAGGCAGAGGGAGTACTAGAGGCAAAAGCCTTGAGCTCTGAAATCTTTGGGGTACAAAGGAACTTGATACTTTCAAGGTACAGAAAATGACTTTCACAGTTGGAGCTTTTTTGTGAGTAAGGGAGAGTGACACAAACTGGGAGGATGGGTAGGTGCATGCAGACCATACAGGGTCTTTTTTTTTTTTGAGACAGAGTGTAACTCTGCGCCCAGACTGGAGTGCAGTGGCGCCATCTTGGCTCACTGCAACCTGTGCCTCCCGGGTTCAAGCGATTCTCCTGCCTCTCAAGTAGCTGGGATTACGGGTGCCCGCCATGATGCCTGGCTATTTTTTGTATTTTTAGTAGAGACGGGGTTTCACCATGTTGGCCAGGCTGGTCTCCAATTCCTGACCTCAAGTGATCTGCTGACCTCAGCCTCCCTAGGAACTGGAACTACAGGTGTTCGCCCCCACCCCTGGCTAATTTAAACAATTTTTTTTTTTGGAGAGATGGGGTCTTGGTATGTTGCCCAGGCTGGTCTTGAACTACTTGCTTTAACAGTCCTCCCACGACAGCCCGCCGAAGTGCTGGGATTACAGGTGTAAGCCACTGCACCCAGGACTGTAGGGTCTTTCAAGGTGAGGCAAGGAGTTTGGAGTTTCTTTGAAATGAATTTGGAGGTGGCTCAAGGAGCTTAGGCAGGATGAGAAATATAAGCTAATTTATATTTTAAAAAGAATAAGGGGCTACTGTGTGACGAACAGATGGAGGCAGCAAAAGAAGAGGCAAGGAGAGCAGTAAGGAGGCTCCTGTACTGGTCTGTATGAGAGGACAGTGGCTTGTGTTGGGGGGTGACAGGACGGAGTGGGAACGCGGCTGACTGTGCCCATAGAATCAGCAAGGCTGAGTGTGGGGGTGGTTCTTTGCTTGTCCTTATGGTTCACCACTGCAGAGCCCTTTGCTCTGGGAATACAGTTTGAAAATCATTAATTCATAGCGTGCAAAAAGAGGTTGACTGCAAACTTCAGACACATAACAATAATTTGACTGAACTGATCACATTACCTAGTGGTTAGACCTGCAGTTCTAAAGCAAAAATTCTAGTTTGTCATATTCAAAAGTTACAAGACAGTTTTTGATGATGGAAGTGTATTTTCTGAGGTACAAAAAAACTGTTTACCACATGTTTTATTTAAAGTGTTGTGTGGAGGAAATAATTTCTAAATCCTTACTTTCGGCCTCATGATTGACATCTTGTGATTGAAAGTCAAGATCGCGGGAGCAGCATAAACAAGGGAAAAGGCCATCAGGAGGAAAAAAAGAGCAGAGATTGTTGGAGCCAATGATTTAATGGCACAAAGAAAAATAAAACCCAATCATGTTGCTGTGCTTGATCTCAATTTTTTTTTTTTAACTCTGCTCCTTCTTTCGATAAATGGTATTTAGAAGGTTAAAACAACGGCTTTGTGTTTTTTAGGCCTTAGGCAGGGTGTGCTCCTGTATTTAATTTTGCTGCAGTAAAGCACGCCCTGATGGCGCGCAGGCTTGATTATTGTAATTCTCTTTTAGTAGGACCTCCAGCAGGGTTTTTCTGTCACTTGCTGCTCATGCAGAATGCAGCGGCACATCTGCTGGCTGATTTGAGAATGGGCAATCACATTACCCCATCCTGTATAATTTGATATGTGTGGGTCACTGAGGACTCCGGCAACGTTTCTTTGTTTCTTTTCCTCTCTCTCTCTTTATCTCCCTTAAAAAAAAAAGAGGAAAATTACATTTCCTCTGTATCCACGCCTTTCTATTTCCACAATCATTTATCTTTTCTTAGGAAGAATTGTGTGACATTTTACCTACTCCCAAATCATGTCATTTTAGGCTAAAGATATCTATGCTGTTTGTAACATGAATGACAAGAAAAAAAAAGAATATATGACAAGATTATGAGGCATTGTTTTCATATAGTTTTAATATATTTTATTTCTACTTAATAAAAGAGGCTTATATGTCTGGAAGGATGAAAACCTATTCTATTCTATTCTATTCTATTCTGTTCCTTTCTTCATTCCATTCTATTTCATTCTTCTGCTCACCAATTTTTAAGTCTGGCAGTGGCCTGCAGGAGAGGGGCAGCCACTCCTGATGTTGCAGCTTTGCTTGGAGTTGGTAATGTGGCTTTTGACTCACATGGTTAGTGAATGCTAAAAAAGCTGTGGATGCAGAAACAGAGAAGTCAGGAATCATGACCCTGCAGGCCCCCCTGGGCCATCGGTAGTTTCTGTTTATTTTCCCATGAGCATCCTAGTTTAAGATTGTTCAGAATGGGGGGAAATTGGATTTGAAGAAAGATCAGCAATTTGTGTGCACCAGTCTGGGTTTCTATCCCATGGGGAAATGCATGACAAGGCATACAGGTAGGGGACATACATCCTGCCTTCAAAGCAGGCATTCGATGTCTGATTCCCTACTCTGATGTTCTCTTCTCTGATGTTAGGGGCATGAGGGAAAAGGAAGAGGCTCAAAAAGGTGGTAAAGCAGCTCAAATAGAGTATTCCACCTGCCTCTAGTACCCCAGGAGAGAGAGGTGGGCTGATCCTAGAAAAACTATCTAAGTGGCTCTGGTCATAACTAACCATTTCTTGGTTATAACCAATCTTTCTTAATGGTCTTCTACAACATTTGCTGCATTTATTCTTTTGATATACTTAGACATTAGGTCAACGCTAGTCTAACTTTTCAAAAGACAAGAACAAACTTGAGGAAGAAGAGACCATGTGCAAACTGCAGTTGCCATTATTAGATGCTGGTGTAATTCACTCAAGGTGATGACTGAAGTGTCCCCAGGATGACATAGTTGGAGGCTGGGGTGAAAACCCTAGCTTTAAGTCACTATTCTAGTTCTCATTAGTGTCTCTGTAGGCAGATGACTTTACATGTCTGCTCCTCACTTTCTTCATGCGTAAAATGTGGCTAAATGTATCATCTTTGAAGTGTTGGTATGAGGATTAAATGAGATAAGGGTCGTTAGCTCCTACCAGTGCCTTATTTTGACTCCTTCAAGGTTAATATTGAGTTCTGTCTACGTTGGAGAGCACTTCCTGACTAATCACATCCACAATGTGGCACATATTTACTTTATGTTGCTATGTACTACTAGTTAAGTATGTATCTTATGTTCCTAACTTGTGCAGGTGGTTTCTAATGTCTTTGAGAACACAGCCCATGCCTTGTATTTTTTTTGGTGTAGGCTATTGACTCTAGTATGGTGAGTTATATATGAGCCACCCTTAACAGAGATTTGTCCACTGATAACTGGAGTGACTTGCTGACTTTCTAAATTCAGTAGCATCACTAGTGATATTCTTAGGGAGCACTATATAAATCACTGTGTCATGTCTACAGGCATTCTCCAAAGGATTTGGCACTTCTCTTTGAGACAGTAACCAACCTATATACTTGGAGAATTTATCTGTCTCAAGACAGGGTAGCTGAGAGCAGGAAGGCATGGAGAAGAATTTCCCTGGAGCATTTTTCTCAAACACACCACTCTCTTTGGTAGTCTAGGTTCTAACTGTAGTCTGATGATGATGACAATGATGGTGATAACAGTAATAGCGATGATGATGATGATGGCTAGCACTTACAATCTTAACTACATGCCAGCACTGGGCCAGCATTATCTCATATGATCCTCACAGTGACTCATGAGCTAGGAATAACTGTAATCTTTTTTTGTTGTTGTTGTTTTTGTTTTTGTTGTTTTAAAGAGGCAGAATCTTGCTCTGTCACCCAGGCTGGAGTATAGTGGCATGATCACAGCTCACTGTAATCTTGAAATCCTGGGCTCAAGCAATCCTCCTACCTCGGCCTTCTGAATAGCTGGGACTACAGACATGTACTACTATGCCAGGATAATTTTTTTTAATAGATAAGGAAACTGAAGTTCAGAGATCCTAAGTTACTGTCAAGGTCACAAGTAACTTACTCAAGGTCACAGAACTGGTAGATCTTAGTAGATATGAAATATGAAGGATAACTCCAGTGCTTTGGTTTGGACTGTGGCTATAGTATAGAGAAAACTGGAATGTGTGTATACATGCACATCTGCACACATACATACATATACATATATACATATTTTGTGTACTGTTATTTGTGATAAACTAGATGGAAAGAAACTCCTCATTAATTCTGATTGATATATTTAATTCTATCTACAGAATAACTTTTAACTCAATGCAGTAGTTTTTTTTTTCTGTTGTCTAAGTTTGCCTTTTCTGTTTTGTGACATATTTTTGTCTTGGGAAAATAATTTTATTCCAGCAGGTTCCTCCTTCCCTCCCTCCCTTCTTTCCTTCCTTCCAATAAAGGGTAAAAGTAGACAGGCACTGAGACATTCTTTCTTAAATGGTATAGAGGCCAGATTAGTGATTATGTGGTTATAGTAAACTAATCAAGTTGTATGAGAAAGTTTTGAAATATGTTCACTTTGAAGACTATTTGTATTTTTAAAAAATTTTTGTAGACATTTTGTCTTTTAAAAGGTAGAATACTGTATCTGAAGATTTGTCTTATACAAATACAGTGGAAGCAATGTATAAGAGACTAAAGCACACTTCATTAGGGTAAGAAGGGTGAATCAAAGCAAAAAGCATTTTAATAGATGTATAGTCCTACCAAGATCAGAGTGGTTCACAGAAAGGAGTAGGATAGTTTATTAGTCTGCTTTCATATTGCTATAAAGAACTGACTGAGACTGGGTAATTTATAAAGGAAAAGGTTTAATTGACCCACAGTTCGCCATGGCTGGGAAGGCCTCAGGAAACTCACAATCATGGTGGAAGGTGAAGGGGAAGCAAGGCACCTTCTTCATAAGGCGGAAGGAAGGAGAAGAGCAGAGTGAAGTGGGAAGAGCCCCTTATAAAACCATCAGATCTCATGAGAACTCACTCACTGTCATGAGAACAGCATGTGGGAAATGATCCCCATGATTCAATTACCTCCACCTGGTCTCTCCCTTGACACGTGGGCATTATAGGGATTATGGGGATTACAATTCAAGATATTTGGGTGGGAACACAGGGAGCCTAACCATATCAGATGCTACAATTAATGCTAGATGTAAATAGTATAAACAAGGAAGTTATTTCATATGGTACTGAAAGCCAGCCTTGCTGCGTAACTATCATCACTTATGCTGAAATAAACTGTACAGTGTTAGTCTCAGGTTGGTGACTGGAGAACCTAATTCTTGGGACACTTCTCAACCAAAGAGTACTAAAGCTCTTGAGATAATGTGGCTGTTTAAGGATGCTGTTGGCTTTACAGACTTACGGTGATATATTGTGGGACTCTGTTAGGTAATAGAATTGGTTACTAGTTTTTGGAGGGCATTCCATTTAAATTTGGAATCTCCAAATTAAAAGTGGTGTCCCCTCCTCACTGTTCACTATAAAATAAATAAGTCTCCAGTGATTTCCTTTGCCAGAGCCTACAGAGGCAGGGAGCCCATCAATGAATGCATTGTTTCTTGTGGATGAAGGGCTTGTGGAAACTGGATGCTATTTTATAGTAATTTTTTGAACAGTTCAATAAAATTACCCTACAATGTATACTTGGAAGTGACAAAGAAAATGTTTTAGGAGCATATAATAGAATCAGTCACTTCATTAATTCTAATATGAGTGTGCAAAAAGATTATTCAATGCCTCAGCCTATAGCTTCT
Organism: Homo sapiens; assembly: GCF_000001405.40. Taxonomy (NCBI): domain Eukaryota; kingdom Metazoa; phylum Chordata; class Mammalia; order Primates; family Hominidae; genus Homo; species Homo sapiens. Next base: position 93,621,714 of record NC_000008.11, on the reverse strand, counting down.
GCAGGATATACCCATGGCAGAGTCTCAATAGATTCTGACAGACACTGATGTAAATGAAGGAGGCAATTTTGCATGCCGATCCCCCCACCAGGGACTTGAGAAAATTGCTTTTTTTTGGGATCTGGAAAGGAGATGCCAGGCTTGGAAGTGCCAAGGTGAGCTCAGAACATCATCCTAGACAAGTTTCTAGATTGTTGTGATTAATATGCCCCTCACATTTTTTTTTCAAAAACACCTCTAAAGACCTACCTATAAGGGATTTATGTAAATAACATGGGGAGGGTTCTTAAAAATATGCCTAATAAATTGTCTTCTAACTCACAATATCCTAGATTGATGAAGTCCATAAGACCTTTCAAGTGACTGTCAGAACCTTTTAGAAATAGCTAGACTCATAGTTTTTGCTTTGGGATTTTACGGATATTTTCATGAATGTTTGTGATTAATTTCATTTTTTTCCATCTTTTTAAAAAGAGTGTATGTTTGTGTTTTTATTTAGAGAAATAGCCAAAGATTTTATTGAGAGAGTACAAGATGGCTTAGGTTTTAGCTCAGCTTTGACCTGACCTTCTTGTGGCCATGGGCAAGTCAGTTGACTTCCCTGATCCTCAGTTGCTTCATTCTTAAAATGAGAATGCTGACATAGGTGCTTAGATTTGTATGAATACATAAAAATACATTATGCTTTTTGCATGTAAATATGCTTTCAATGTACATAGACTGTTGCATATCTTTTCCATTCATCACTATGAAGTGGTTACTTATGAGTGTGGATCAGAGATGAAGGGGAAATATAATATAGGAGAGGGAGCACTGTGTTCACTTATGACAACAGAGTGCTGTGGGCCCAGGAGTGTTACTAGCTCAACTCTCTTTACTCAGGCCCCGCCCCCCCTTTTTTTGAGAAAGGGTCTCCATCTTTGACCTGGGCTGGAGTGCAGTGGTGTGATCATGGGTCACTGCAGCCTCGACCTTCTGGGCTCAAGTGATCCTTCCACCTCAGCACTGCAGACGTGCACCACCATGCCAGCTAATTTATTTATTTATTTATTTGTAGAGGTGGAGTCTCACTGTGTTGCCCTGGCTGGGCCCAAAATTTTTAAAAAAATGAAGAAACAAAAAAAGAGAGCTGGACAAAACAAGTGGTTCCCAATCTTTTAAATCTCACCAACTAGTCACACGCAAGAGCAATGTTTGAGAATTGACAAATTGTATTTAGTAAGGACATAAACAATTTAGTGTATTACCTTCATTTTATACATAAAATGACATTCAAATACATAAAATATGAGAAGCATATATTATCAGAAAAAAGACAGTCCTTTGAATTCAAAGTTTACCTTCTGGAAAACTCATCACATTGTCCTTATTTTTCTTGCTTTTTCTTGGGCTAATAAAAAGAGTTATTTTATATGGTCATGGGTCCTAGGACTGGCATTTGGAAACCAATGAGTCTTTTCCAGAATTACATTCTATGAGTCTTGTTTGTATTTTCTGGGAGAGAGCAATTGGGCGATGCTCTCCTAGGCTTGTGTAAAATCCTGAGGCTAATGTCTAGGCTGTTATTAATCCAGGGTGGGGAGGGGAAGAAACACTCTGTGTTTGTTGTCTTCTAGGGAGACTAGCTGAGCTTCTCATTGTTTGCGGAGGGAATGCGTGTATGAGCACATGTGTCTTTGGACACAGTGGGGAGCACTGAGATGGAACCTTTGTAACCCTGCTGGTATTATCATCTTTAGATCGAGTTTTACAATTAGAATGGTATGAATAACATAAATAAACTGATGGTGATTTACCTTGCCTTTTTATTTCATTTCCTGGAGTTTTATGACTTGAATTTTGTGAAAATCTCTATTATCGGTCGGCGGGTAGCCCAGCCATCTAAAATTATATGTTGATTGTCTGAGAAATAATTTTTCCCCAAGGAAGACTAACATTGACATAGCACTGATTTAATTGTTAAACCATTCTGCTTATTTTCCCATAGCTTTGTGACCATGGGTAGGTAGCCTTTCTGTGTTCTGAGGGCACTCAATAACATTGAACTAGTAGTATGTCTGTGTGAATCAGGCTACACTTGAGTGTGAAAGCCTGCTGGATGGGGCTCAGTTTTCTCCCTTGTATCTGGAAGGATGATAACAACCAGGCAGTTTTCTCCTGGCGGCATGGATAAGAGCCTTCTTCTGCCCCATCAGGATTCTCTGACGTTACTGAGTTCCCTACCAATGTATATTTACTGTAGGAGTTTCCCATTAGCTGAAGCCAGAATTTCTTCTGCAAAGTCATAGTTGTATAGTGGTATAATAATAAATGTTCCTTAAGAGAAACTAGAAATCACCTTGGAATATTGCTGTTAGCATACGTTAGTCCTTTGGGCCCTGGACTTCTTCTGGTCAGTCCGTTTTGGTAGGCAAAAGGCCAAAGTTAGTTTTGACCCATAGGCACGGTGCAGTGGGGAGAAGTTAGGTAAGAGACATGTCTCCCTTTGTTTAAAGTCACACAGGGGGCTTAAAAGTCATCCTTCTGATGTTTATACTAGGTTACTCTTTCCCTCAAAGAAGGATGTTAAGTTCATTAAGTGGAAATTTCATTCTACTTTCCTCCAATTGAATGTTGTATATAATTAAGCATATTGTCTTTTTTTTTTTTTTAAAGTTTTGTCTTGGTAATGGATTAGCTTTGAAAAATAGCCTCTTTGTTTGGTGAAGACAGGACCCTTCAAAGATGGGAAAACAAAGAAAAGGGGCATGTAATAGATTGAGAGAGTGGCAGCCTAGAAAATGATGTGTGTTTGTTCAGCCAAGACCTCCAACCTCTCCTCTTGTGTTGTATACTTCCTTCTCCTAGAAACAAAAGCCCAGTTTCACTCAAACTAGAACTCTTAACAATTTTTATCCTGCAAATCCCTAGGCCTTAAATGATGAGACCATCTAATTTAAGCCGCCCACAGCACACATTTTAATCCATTAAAAAATCTATCCCTGCTATCAACTTTTCACAATCATTTACTAAGTGTAGGAGCCTTCTTTCCAAATATTTATCTCCATTCTCATCATAATTACGTAATCTAGGTCCTCATAACTTCTTGACTGGACTCAGGCATGATCCTCCTAGTTTGCTTCCCCAACCTCAGTCTCTTTCCCTTCCAGTTCACTCAATGTATTTGTTTTTGGATTTATCTTTTCTCCACCCCCATCATATCATCATCTTCCCTAAATTAACTGGTATCCAGTGCGTCAAGTCTCAACTCTAATACTTGGCTTCTCCATGATGCGTGTCCTCCACATGCACTTACTGAGAATCAACAATGCATCGGGCATGGTGCTAGGACCTGGATATAGGATACAAGTTTCGGCTGGGTGCGGTGGCTCACACCTGTAATCCCAGTACTTTGGGAGGCTGAGGCGGGTGGATCATCTGGCCTCAGGAGTTTGAGACCAGCCTGGCCAACATGATGAAACTCCATCTCTAGTAAAAGACAAAAACTGGCTGGGTGTGGTGGTGGGCACCTGTAATCCCAGCTACTTAGGAGGCTGAGGCAGGAGAATTGCTTGAACCCAGGAGGTGGAGGTTGCAGTGAGCCGAGGTCATGACACTGCACTCCAACCTGGGTGACAGAGTGAGACTCTGTATTAAAAAAACAAACAAACAAAAAAAACTCACTTTTTTTACTTTCTTTCTTTCTTTTTAATTTTTTTTTGAAAGGGGGTCTTGCTATGTTGTGCAGGCTGGAGTGCAGTAGCGTGATCACAGCTCATTTGCAGCCTTGACCTCCCAGGCTCAAGTGATCCTCCTGCCTCAGCTGCCAAAGTAGCTGGGACTACAGGCACATGCCACCATGCCCGGCTAATTTTTGTAATTTTGGTAGAGACAGGGTTTCACCAAGTTGTCCAGGTTGGTTTCTAACTCCTGGCCTCAGGTGATCCCCCCCGCCTTAGCCTTCCAAAGTGCTGGGATAACAGGCATGCGCCACCGTGCCCGGCTACAAGCCTCACTTTTGATGAGCATCGATTCTTGTTGAGAAAAGAGATATTAATAAGGGAGGAAGTTCCAGTATCAGGGAAGGCTTTGCAAAGGAGGTGCCCTTAGAATCTGGTCTTGAGGGAGTGGAATTTATCAGATAAAGGGGATTTTTCCAAGAAGAAGGAAGTGTGTGAAGAGAGATAAAAGGCCACCAAATACAGAGCTGGCATGATTTTACAGGTTAGCTCGGGATGAATAGGAGGGGCTGCAAGTGAGAAGGGTGGGAAAGAGGGGTGGCTGGAGCCTGGTTGGGCCAACCATGGTTCTTATCTTCCCAGCAGAGGACCTCAGCTCCCACCAGGCCCACCTCCTGCCAGTTTGCTCCTTCTGGCGCCTGGGCCCTCACTGAGGTTTCCCTCAGTAGGAATGTGCCATTTTCCCAGATCTTCCTATCTTTTAAGGTGTGATTCTTAAGCCACCTGCTTGAAACAGCTTGCCTAGATGTCTATGGTCCTCTTTACAGTACTTCTGTTTCTAAAATTTGTTTTGGATAATAAAATTTACATAAGATAAAAGGTATTATTGTGATCATTTTAAGGTGTACAGTTCAGTGGCATCAAGTACAGCCACAATGTTGTACAACCTTGACCATTGTCCATATCAAACACTTTTTTATCTTCCGCAATTGAAGCTCTGCACCCATTAAATGAGAACTTTCTGTTTCCCCCTTCTCCCAGCCCCTGGCAACCACTGTTCTACTTTCTGTCTCTATGACTGCTCTAGGTACCTCATATGAGTGGAAACATATAATATTTGCCATTTTGTGACTGGCTTCTTTCACTTAGCATAATGTCTTCAAGGTTCACCTGTGTTAATAGCTTAGCAAGTTTCATCTATGTTGCAGAATTCCCTTCCTTTACAAGACTGAATAATTTTCCATTGTACGTACCACCTTTTATTTATCCATTCATCTGTGAACATGGGTGTACACACACCTGTTTGGGTCTCTGCCTTCACTTTTTTGGGGGTGTTTTTAAACTTTTGAAAGATTTTTCAGGCCAGAAGTGATGGCTTACATCTGTAATCCCAGGACTTTGGGAGGGCAAGGCAGAAGGATCGCTTCAGCCCAGGAGTTTGAGACCAGCCTGGACAACAAAGCGAGACCTCGTCTCTGCTAAGAATTTGGTATGAAATCATTAATTGTCTCATTTATTGCTGATATTATTTTATAATGCTATTGAACACCTACTAAGTGTTATGGAATAGGCACTTCATGTACAGCAGCAGCCATAGCCACTAACACTGATTGAGCACTTACCATGAACCTAGGCACTGTTCTCAAGGCTTTACATGTAGTAACACATCTAATCCTGAGAATAACGTCATGAGACGAACACTTATTATCCCCAGAGGAGAAAATGGAGACACTGGGCAGTTGCGCAATGTTCCCAAGGACACATAGCTAGGAAGGAGCACGTTTCATCAACTCTCACGGCAACCCAGAAAGACAAATGTTACCGTTTTCATGTATTCAGATGAGAAAATCACTATCAGAGAAACCAAGTGGCATATCTGATACCACACAGTTCAGAAACAGCAGAAATCAAATGCACCCTTGCTTCACCTGACTCCAGTTCCCATGCTCTTTCCCCTGCCGAGTATCTTTATTTCATTTTATTTCTTCTACTGGATCACACACTCTTGAGAGAAGAAAACTTCCTTCTGATTCTGCACATTTCTCAGCACATAGCCAATGATCATTAAATATTTGATTTCTCATAGTTAGGTTAATAAGTGGATAAATGTATAGAGTTCAGGGAAAGGATAGAATAGTTCCGAATGGAGACTTGAGGACTTTGAGGACAGGGGAATGGAAAGAAATTATTTAAAATAATACTTTAACAAAGAAATCAGTGCTGAATTCTCATTGTTTTCCCAAGTCTGTGTGTCATAATACATGGCATGTTAAATATGCTGCATTCTGTGCAAAAAGCTATTGATTATTCACAAGAATTACATTTCTCTCGTGAATTATTAAAATTTGCTAATGAGATGACAAGCAGACCAAAACTCCCACCAGGCTGCTGTTTCTGTCCTGCCATGGAGGGACCTTTTCTGTTCAGAGGGGAGAGCTTTGCAGGGAGTCAGGCTGGGAGGGGATGGCTGACAGGGCAAGTCAGTGTGCGGATGGATGGCTCCAGTGGGAGGAGGGCACACGTGAATTGAGAAGTAGGATCCATCCATTATAAAAAAATAAACAATAAGCAACTTTTGAATCGCGGTGCTGTATTTCCTTCTGGGATTCAAATGACTACACAAACCACTTGAGCTTCATTTTTGTGGTTTATGAAGCTCAAGGGAATTATACACTCATAATTTATAGTTGCTGGTTCCACATAGTGTTTATGGCTCCGTATGCTATGTATGATGATATCGTGTGCATGCCTGTACACAGGGTTTAATTAATGACCTAGGGATTATCCTTGGCTTGACTTATTGATGTCTCTGTGTTGGAAAACATGTGCTCACATGCTGAAGGGTAAGAGCAGTTCAGGGCTGAGAGCAGCAGCCTTGGAATTGCAGAGCTGATCTTTGGGATTCTGCATGTGTCGTCACCTTTCCAGCTCATCCTCTAAGCTTTTGCAAAAAGTGAAGCAATTAAAAGTTAGATTAGATTTTGAATCCCTTTGATTCTCTTTCTTTCTATATTTTTTTGGAAAGCACAATGGACATAAAAGTTGCAATTGATTTTTTTGAGCTACTCTTTCTTTCAGAAGCAATTAGCCTTCTCCTTTTCTGCAGTTGGGGGTGAGTCTCCTGTAGTGGACCCTTGCAAGGTTGTCTTTTGGGATGTGAAGAGAAGAGGGAAGATCAGGGATGCGGGTTGTAATTTCATTAAATTTTTTCTTTAGAGTAGCTCTTGTTAGAAGGAGATTTTAGAATGTAAAGGTGGAAAGTGACTTAATTAGATTGAGTTCAGTAGTTTTCATATTTTAAAAAATCCACATATCCCTTCTTTACAGAAACGTGTATGTAGAAGCCAACAGATGAAACAGATAAAATAGTAGCCACTTTAGTCTCTCTGAGCAGTTGAGAGGCAGTGTGATGCGGTGGTTAAAAGAATAAATTGTGGTGTCAGACTGCTTGGGTTCGGGTCCCAAGTTTTTCCTCCTTATGGAACTAGGCAAGTCATTTAACCTCTTTGTGCCTCAGTTTATCCATCTTATGGTGGGGATGATATAATAGAAGCTATCTCATAGGGTTTTGCTAAGCATTAAAGGAAGGACTTAATGTAAGTTAAGCTTAGAATAATGTTTTGCATTTGGTACTTTCTATCAGCTACTGCTATTATTATTTGACCTACTTAAGGACTCAGTGAAGCAGCTTGAAAACCTCTGAATTATTCAAATATTTATTGAATACCTACTATGTGACAGGCACAGTTCGAAGTGCGGGGGACATGGTGGTGAACAAAACACAGTCTCTATTTTTTTGGCTCTTATAGTTCTGTGGTCTAGCCCAGAGGTTGGCAAATTTTTTCTGTAAAGGGCCAGATGGTAAATATTTTAGGCTTTGTGAACCATAGGGGGCTCTATCATCACTACCCAACTCTGCTGTTGTGGCACTTAAGCAGCTGTAAACAATATGGAAATGAGTGGGCATGATTGTGTTCTAACAAAACTTTATTTGCAAAACCAGGAAGTGGTAGGGATTTGATCTGAGTGCAGAGGTTTGCCTCTTGGTCTAACCTAACCATTCCTCTTATAAATAAGACAACTGAGGCTTAGGTCACATAATAGTGGCAAAATCAACACTGGAATCCTGCTTCAGACGTCCTATGGAGTACTGTCTCCATTCTACCATGCTGTCTGATGTGCTGGCTTTGCTAGGGCCTTGGCCTTTTCCCCTCTTGTTTTTCAAGTTGTACAGTGAGTGAGCTGGGTGGAAGAGGGAGTGTTGAGGAGTCCTTTCAGCAGATCCCATGATCTGGTTGCTTTCTTATTCTAATTCCCCAGTGTGCTAGAGAGCAGAGAGGAGTGTGTACATGTGGAGCAGAAGATGAGGTGAGGGGCTGGGCCTGGTGGCTCATGCCTATAATCGCAGCACTTTGGAAGGCCGAGGCGGGAGAATCACAAGGTCAGGAGTTCGAGATCCAGCTTGGCCAACATGGTGAAACTCCATCTCTACTAAAAAAATACAAAAATTAGCCAGGCATGGTGGCATGTGCCTGTAATCCCAGCTACTCAGGAGACTGAGGAGGGAGAGTTGCTTGAACCAGGGAGGCAGAGGTTGCAGTGAGCTAAGATCACACCACTGCACTCCAGCCTGGGTGACAGAGCAAGACTCCGTCTCAAAAAAAAAGAAGAAGAAAAGAAGATGAGGTGAGGATGGGAGAGAGATCATGCATGGGTCGTTTAGCTCAAGTGCAATGGGGAGCCATTGTAGTATTCTGAACAGATCAACACCATGCTCAAGAGAATAGGCTTGTTCTAGCTGCTCTTGATAGTGGAGTGCAGAAGCAGACTTGTTAGGAGGCCATTGCATGGATCCACATGAGATGTGATGTTGGCTCAGGCCGCACCATGGTGATAGTGATGGATGGAGAAAGGGATAGAGGACAGATCCTGGATATATATTTTGAACGTAGAACCAATAGGTATTTCTGACAGATTAAATGTGAAGTATGAGGAATGAGAGGAGTCAAGGATGACTGTCTGCTCATAGGGTTCATAGAGTTCCCAGGCTAATCACATAGCCGAAGAACCTTCTTTGAAGTATGGGAGAAGTAAGAGGAGTGACTTGTTCCAGGTCCCAGCAGCAAGGAATGGCTGCACCTGGTCTAGAAGGCACAGCTCTATCTATCTCCCTTTTCCATTTACCGTCATTTGCTTTTTTGAGTTAATCTTCTTGCTTCTGTAAGTCCACAGAGCTAGGTGCCTGCCATTGTTTGAATGTGTGCTCCCAAAAGCATGTGCTGAAAACTGAATCCCGAATGCAACACTGTTGGGATGTAGGGTCTAATGGGAGGTGTTTAGGCCATGAGGGCCCTGCCTTCAGGAATGAATTAATGCTGATTATAAAAGGGCTTGAGGCTGGCAGTTTGATCTCTTGCTCTCTCTTCCCCTTTTGCCTTCTGCCATGGGATGATGAAACAGAAGGCCCCCACCAGATGCCGGCCCCTTGATCTTGGACTTCACAGCCTCCAGAACTGTGAGTCAATACATTTCTGTTCATTATCAATCACCCAGTCTGTGTCATTCTATTATAGCAATACAAAATGGGTTTGACAGTGTTCCTCCACCCCTGACCCTTTCCACATCATCCTGTTTTTACTTATCCATGTTACAAAATTTCCCTTTCTGTTTTATAATTGCCTGTTTTCTGTCTCCTTCACTAGGTGAGCTCTTTCAGGATTCCTAGCATAGTGCTTGACACATAGTACATGTTTAATAAATGTTTGTTTTATGAAGAAATAACCAAGGTTTTTCAAATTGCCTTTCTTCTCTCAATTACAGCCATTCTATAAAATCTCACTGTTGTTTCCTTACAGTTTCTCTTCTTTCACTGAACTTCTGTTTGGTGTTTTCTTTATATCTTTTTTCTCTTAGGCTCTTTACTTGGGTTTGCTTCATGTTTTCTATTTAAGAATTTCCCCAGAGCCTGTCATAGTGAAGAGAAAAGTCCTTGGATTTTCATTTTAAATTACATCCGATGAACAGTAACACAACAAGTAGTAAGGCATTTGATATTTTAAATCTCCCTTTTTACTTCCTTTTAGTTTCTCAACACAACAGGTCTCCTGGGGGGCATATAAGTTCAGAGCATCTTGAACTTATATGCCCCCTGAGGACTGGACGGAGTTGTAGTAGTGTGGGTAGTACTTGAATATGTGCAGTGCAGCTGGAAAATGTGGGGTCTACGCATGCTCACAGTGTAATGCATCTGCCTAAACCCAGTCTTCTCTTTTGGCATTAATCTTAGTTGAAAATTTGCTGTAATAAACACCAGGTGTCAACAATCTAGGCAACCATGCCTTGACTAAATCTTCTCAGGATGAGGGTGCACCTGCTGGAAGCATCTTCCAGAACTGCTAGTTGCTGAAGCTGCAAATTCACATAACCCTTGCTTTTAGCTAAATCATTGCTCTGTGTCCTGCAAGCTATAAAAAGACAGAATCAGATTAGAGGACATAATGGGTAAAATACCTATTTCTTTATTTTTATTTTTTATTATACTTTAAGTTCTGGAATACATGTGCAGAATGTGCAGGTTTGTTACATAGGTATATGCGTGCCATGGTGGTTTGCTGCACCCATCAATCCATCATCTACATTAGGTATTTCTCCTAATGCTATCCCTCCCCTAGCCCCCCCAACCCCCCGACAGGCCCCAGTGTGTGATGTTCCCCTTCCTGTGCCCATATGTTCTCATTGTTCAACTCCCACTTATGAGTGAGAACATGGCAGTGTTTGGTTTTCTGTTCTTGTGTTAGTTTGCTGAGAATGACGGTTTCCAGCTTAATCCGTGTCCCTGCAGAGGACATGAACTCATCCTTTTTCGTGGTTGCATAGTATTCCATGGTGTATATGTGCCACATTTTCTTTATTCAGTTTATCATTGATGGGCATTTGGGTTGGTTCCAATCTTGCTATTGTGAACAATGCTGCAATAAACATATGTGTGCATGTGTCTTTATAGTAGAATGATTTATAATCCTTCAGGTATATACCCAGTAATGGGATTGCTGGGTCAAATAGTTAACATACCTATTTCTTACTGTGACCTGAAAGATATATTTTTATTCTTATTTATTCTCTTGCACATTAGCTTTTGGGAGATATGAGTCTTTTCATTGTCTTAAGAAGGGCTGTGAGCTAGAAGTAGATGATTTGTTGTCTTATTTTTGGCCTTATGATCATAACATCATTCTTCTCAATTCAATGATAAAATAATAGATAATATTTATCAGCCCGGCATTGTTTTGAGTATTCCACATGTACTCTTATTTAATCCTCACCAAATTTTAAGGTAGGTGCCATTATTATTCCCATTTTACAGATGAGGAATGAACTTAAGTAACTGACTCTGTGATGGTTAATTTTATGTGTCAACTTGACTGTACTAAGGGATACTCAGATATCAGGTAAAATTTATTTCTGGGTGTGTTTGAGAGGATGTCTCTGGAAGAGATTAGCATTTGCATTGCTAGACTGAGTACAGATCACCCTCACCAATGTGGGTAGGCATCCTCCAATCCATTGAAGGCCCCAATAGAAAAGGCAGAGGAAGGAGGAATTTGCTCTCTGCTTGAACTGGGACAGCCATCTTCTCCTGCCCTTGATATCCTGGTTCTCGGGCCTTTGGGCATGGACACTGGGAGTTTCACCGTTGACTCCCCTGGTCCTCAGGCCTTTGGGCCTGGAATTACACTACTGGCTTTTCTCCTTCTCCAGATTGCAGACAGTAGATCATGGGACTTCTCTATCTCCATCATCATGTGAGCCAATCTCGCATAATAAATCTCTTTCTATAAATTTATATATATCCTATTGATTCTGTTTCTCTGGAGAACCCTGACTACTTCAGTCCCCATGACAATATCTTTAGAGCCCAGGGCATAATCATTATCATCAAATGGTATTTGGATATCTACAGGCTCTATGGTATTGTGCTAGCTTACATTCCGTTTTTACTTATAAATGTTTTAAATTATGAGTTTTTTGTGGGTACAGACTAAATCTCAAAAAGCCTAAAAGTTGGCCAGGCGGAGTGGCTCACACCTGTAATGCTAGCACTTTGGGAGGCCGAGGTGGGTAGGATTTCTTGAGCTCAGGAGTTCTTTCGAGGACAGCCTGGGCAACATAGTGAAACATTGTCTCTACTAAAAATTAAAAAAAAAATAAGCCAGATGTGGTAGTGCATGCCTGTAGTCCCAGCTACTCAAGATACTGTGGTGGGAAGATTTACTTGAGCCTGAGGGATTGAGGCTGCAGTGAGCCATGATCATGCCACTGCACTCCAGCGCGGGCGACAAAGTAAGACCCTGTTTCAGAAAAATAAATAAATAAATAAATAAATAAATAAATAAATAAATAAATAAAATAAATAAAGCCTTAAGGTTAATTTGCGTTTAATATGGCATATAATATTTTATAAAAATTCTCAACATTTATATGCCACTGTAGTATTCATGAAGTGCTTTTATAGGCAATATCTCCCTTAATTTTAGTGTTCTGTTGACACTCAACCTATTCTATTATCAGAATCATACTGGTCATCTTAAGAGCAGAGAAATCTCTTGTCCCTCCTTTTCTTTTTTAATTTCTCCCAGTTCCCACCTTTCCCCACATCTATTGCTTTAGAATATTCAAATAATTTCATATCAATTACTCCATGTAATTCTCAAACCAGTCATCTGAGGTAGATGTTTATTCTTTGCTGTTGAAGAAGTTGAGACTTGGAAAAATGATGTGACCATTGGTGGGATGAGGCAGAAGGAGAAGTCAGAGAGATTCAAAGTGCGGGAAGGATTCAATCCACTGCCGCTGGCTTTGAAGATGAAGGGGCCACAAGTCAGGGAACATGGCTTCTAGAAGCTAAGAACAACCCCTGAATTCTGCCAACCACCTGGATGAACCTAGAAGCATATTCTCTCCTAGAACCTCTAGAAAGGAACCACTTCTGTTGACAGCTTGATTTCAGCCCTCTAAGACTCTTACCAGAGGACCATCTGAGCCAGGCAGTGCCTGGACTTATGATCCATGGGCATTGTGGGACAATAAATTTATTGTTTTAAGCCACTAAGTTTGTGGTATTTGTAACAGTAGAAATAGAAAGAGTGTAATCACAAAGTGGTTCAGTGGTGATGCAGGTGATGCCAAATTCCACACTGTTTTCACTGGCTGCCTGGGACAACATCCAGTGCTGTGGTCTTCTAAGGGAGGCAGGGGCATCCACCCCCAGGGTGTGCATATGATGATCCATTGAGGTAAGGAAAAAAATATATCATCTCAACTTTTAAACTTATAGTTCTTTTAAGGTTTTGTAATGTAATTAATGTGTTAGTGTAGTAGAATATTATATAATTTGCACATAGCGTGTTTCCCTTTTTTTTGTTTTTAGTAATAGGATTACATGATCAAAGTGACTGTTCACAGTGACCTAGAGGAGAGCAGAACATGGAGTTGGCATGCTATAGTGGAAAGCTTACTGTGTTTGGAGTTGGAACCACAGATTTTGTTTCCGTCTGTGATGATAATTGGTACGGTGGCTTGGGCTAAGCCACTTGATTTCTTTGGCTTGCATTTCCTTATGGAGCTTGAGGTAGACATCATGTATGTTCCCTGAGCTTTCCTTGAGAATGTGGAGATGCCACATGGACCTCTAAATCAGTAACTACCATCTCTGAACCATGTCTCTTTTCTGAACCTCTGTTCACGTCTTTGCTATTCCCCCAGCATCCTAATTTGGAAACCTCGCAGATGTATTCAAACAATTGCCAAGCTCTCTTGGGTCTACCTCTATAAAGTCGATAGAATTGATCTTGCTCTCTGTTTTCTTATGGCTGAGGATTTAGTTCAGGTCCTCATCAGCAGGCTTGGATGATAGGTACAGCCTTTTAACTCCTCTCCGCCTCTCTAAGCTCCACACAGCTGCTGGTTATCTGTCCAAAACCTAAGCCGAAATTTTTTTTTCTTATGAAAACTCCCTTTACCTTTACACTGCTTTTAGCAAGGCCCTGTGGAATCTTGCCCTTTTCATCATTACATTCTGTCTAAGGAACAAGATGTGCACTTGGTGGCAGTAATCTTGTGTTATCTCCGGAGTACATGAGTATGCTGGTGGTGGCTGGATGGGGTGCACTAACACCTGGGTAAGGGAGCTGCCAACACTGAGATTACTCAGAACAAATGGTCAGAGATTGAGGGGGACTAGAACCTCACTCTCTGGGACCATTAATTTCTGCTTCCATTGCACTTTTCACCTCGTAAATATTCCATTTTTACCAAGGTGTACACAGGAGGAATGAAAGCAAAGCCTAGAGGATTTGCAGAAATCCGTGGAAGGGCTCTGGACACACTCTCCCTGTGAAGATACTGGGAGATACCATGGATATAAGCTTTGGTTTCCAAATACATGATTTATAGGCCTGAGATCCTTTAGGTTATTAAGCTATAATTTAGTGTACTTAAAAGGAATGTATTACTAGTTGTCTTTGTGACTTCTGAAATATAGACAGCATAATCTTCATCACCATTTTATCTATCACCCAAAAGTGTATTTAAATGTTAATTTATTTTCATTTAATGTGTAGGATCCATTCAGCTATTCCCTTTTCCATTTCTTCCCATTGTTTAGGCAAAAAATAAAACTTTGTTCATTAAATTTATAAAAAATATTTCTATAACCCTTATTGTGTATCAGGCACTGTTCTAGGAACTTTGCAAATTTTAACGCATCTAATTCTGTGAGGTAGGCACTACTATAATTAGCCCCATTTTGCAGATGAGGAAACTGAAGCACAGGAAAGTGAAATAACTTGTCCACACAGCTCGTTTGCCTTTAAGGTCAGGTCCTATGTTACAGACCTGATCTCATTGCTCCCTGTTGGTCTCTCTCTTTCTGGTCTTCTTTGTCTCATGACCTTGTATAAGTATGCTGGGCCTAGTATATAGTCTTCTCTGTTCTTCACTTGTTCATTCCCAATGGGGAAAGTATTATGTTATGAATATATTTCAGAATGACAGAATTCTAATGGCCACAATTTCCTTAACGGTGGGAATTGATAAATTTTAATGCAAAGGCCTAAATAGGGTTTGTATTTTCCTCCCCTTTATCTGTGCTTCTCAGGGTGTCTTCCCCGTCTCTGTTGGAAGGACCACCTCCCATCCCCCTGTTCAGGCTACCCCGTCTCTGTTGGACGGACCACCTCCCATCCCTGTGTTCAGGCTACCCCGTCTCTGTTGGAAGGACCACCTCCTGTCCCTGTGTTCAGGCTGTCCTGTCTCTGTTGGGGGAGCCACTGCTCATCCCTGTGTTCAGGCCACCCCGTCTCTGTTGGGAGGACCACTGCCCATCTCTGTGTTCAGGCTGCCCTGTCTCTGTTGGGAGGACCACCGCTCATCCCTGTGTTTAGGCTGCCCCGTCTCTGTTGGGAGGACCACCTCCCATCCCCGTGTTCAGGCCGCCCCATCTCTGTTGGAAGGACCACCTCCCATCCCTATATTCAGTTTATCCTGTCTCTGTTGGGAAGATACCACCCATCTCTGTTTTAAGGCCCACTACCTTGGAGTTTTTCCTGACTCCTCTCTTGCTCCCTTAACCCACATCTCATTCTCTACAGATCCCATCAGTTCTACCTTCCTAGCTTGTCCTGATTCAAACAATCTCTCTTCTCCTTCTCCATTACCAGGCAGGTCTATACCGCAATTGCTTCTTGCCTGGACCACTACAAGAGCCTCTTTTTGGTCTCTTCCTCCCTCGCTCCTTCCAGTATGTTCTCCGCACGCAGCCAGAGTGATCATGCCATTGCTCTTACTCAACTCCAGTGGCTTTGTGTCACTTTCAAGACACAGCCTGGTGTCTCACTGTGGCCTCCAAGGCCCTCACAGCCAGGCCCATGGCTGCCTCCCCATCATCGTTACTTCATCTCTCCCCTGCCTGCTGTCTCAGGTCCACTGGCCTCCTCCCTCCTGCTCCAGCCTCACTCACAGCTGCCTACCACCTCAGAGACTCCTTGTCCACCAGCTCTCCTGCAGCCTGGAATACTCTTCTCTCAGACCTGCCCGTGGCTGCTCCTCCTTATTCTTCAAGTCTCTGCTGTCTTCTAACCCTGTTTGTTTTCCTTCAAGGCACCTGACTTTTTTGCTATACATTTATATGGTTTTCTGTTCTCTCTCTAGAATATAAGCTCCATGGCATCAGGAATTCAGCACCTGGAAAAATAACTGCACATATTAAGGCTTTATTAAATATTTGGAATCAATGAATTGAATGCATTTTTGAAGAATTAAAAATGAATACGGGAGAAGGGAGTTGGATATTTCCAAAAAAACTTCTGGTGAGAGAAGCAAGGGAAATGGAAGGCAGTATCTAGGAGTGAGTCCCTTCCCTCGACAGCAAAAGGAAACTTACCTCCCTCAGGGAACAAAGCAAGCCTGAGTTGAGGGAGACCTCCCCACCTCGTTCCATCTTACCCAGTTCCGTCTTACCCACCTATTGCCTGCCTGTGCGACCCCTAGTCTGTGAGTTGGAGGCTTAGGGGAAAGCACCTGATTGGCCATCACTGAGCAGAGCAGCACTGCTTTTTTGCAGTTCCGCTCTGCAAAGGGTCTCTCCAAGAAAGGGCTTACAGGAGCTTGGTGCATAGGATGACATTCCCTCCTGGGATGGGCTAGCAGGCACTGAGAGGCTATGTGTCAGTTGGGACCAAAGTCCTTTAGGAGAAACTTAATACTTTGGTTGAATAGCAGAGCCTTTCTCAGGGAAACTCTCCAAGGAGTTTCTGCCCAGGCCTCCCAGGGTAGAGCAGTGATTTATAGCAGTTTTAGGTCTCTTTGTATTCTAGTTTCATCTCTCCCCATTGATTTTACCATTTGCGGCTCATAATGGAAATGAGGACAGCAGGTACAGATGAAGCAGTTACTAGACTCTCCTTTCTGTCTTGTAGCTGGCGCACTCCTGGGGAATCAGAAAAATGGGTATTTGCTTCCTTAACTCTTCTCTGGGTTTCACTAAGTTGGGGTCATCTGGAAGGTGGGCATCAATTCTGTGGATTGGTTCATATCGTACAGTGAGAAAACAGATGAAAGGATTAGGACCACCTCCCAACATAAAAGCTTAAAAGAGAATATGTTATAGATTGTGGCAATTTATACTAATTTTAGCAATATACTTTGCCAATACAGGATGAAAAATATGTTTTGTTAAGACATGTTCCCTTCACCCAGGTCTTAGGGAGCAATGCAATGTTTACTGCAGCTTTATTACGATGCTGGCGTCATTAGGAATGCCAGTATGTATTTGCTTTGAGAAAACCCAAGATAAATATTGTAGCATCTCCTGCATATAGAGGTCAGTCTGGAAGACAGCTTTGATCTGAAACAATAAGTGAAAAAGGCCTTTGAGATACAAAACAATAGACTCATTGTCCCTGCGTTAAAGCCAAAAGCTCCTTAGCACTTCCTAAAATCTTCACTGATTTCCATTTAGTATTCTATTTTCAGCCTTTCCAGTTGTCTTGTTTCCCAGCCCAGAGAAGCTAAGAAGCAGAGGGCAGAGGAGGTTGCAAGTTGGAATCGCTCTGATGGAAGAGTGAAATGACAGCTGACAGCCTGACAGCTAGGGAGGTGACAGCAAAGCTTTCACCAGAAATGCAGGGCTGCTGCCACTAGCTTGGAATTGTCGGGTTTGTCTGAAAGGCCAGGACAGACTCAGTGGGGACTGCCTGCAGATGTAACACACGGGAAGGGACATTAGAGGGCATGGCTTAAGCTGGGAGGATGTTAATCTCTAAAAGTGTTTATGAATTTGCCAAGTTAAAGAGCTATGCCTGGGGAAGAAGCTGGGATAGGGAAACTGAGTAAATATTGCTTGGCACAAACTGGATGCTGGAAGATAAAAAAATATAGTTTCCAAGGTAGGTGGGCATGAATGCTAGTAAGTAGATTAAGGTGATTGTGGGTGGTTGGGTTGTTTAGAAACTAAAATAGGAGGGTTTGGGGCTGGCATAGTGGCTCATGCCTGTATGCCTGTAATCCCAGTACTTTGGGAGGCTGAGACAGGAGGATCACTTGAGTCCAGGAGTTCAAGATCAACCTGGACAACATAGAGAGACCCTGTCCCTACAATTAAAGAGTTTGGGTTTTTGTGGCAGGGTTCCTTTTATATAGCTATTTAAAAAAATTTGGCATAGACCAGTACTTTCAACATGGAGAATGTACCCTCTAGGAAGGGCATGTGATAATCTTAGCTAAGTGATATGTACAGTATTTAATGCCTTTTTATACAAATGTAGAAAGAAATTAAGCTTTAGTTAAATAAAAATTGACAGTAGCATTTGCATGAAACTTATAAATAAATATACATATATTTGGGGGTGTACTCAACTCAAGTACTAAATAAACAGTGTTTGGAAATGACTGGCCTACAGAGTAATATAGCCTGATCCAACAACCTACATGAATTCTTTCAATTTCCTTCTTCCAACTTTATGTGCAAATGTATCCATATCCATAACCTTGTTTTCCCCCTTCATGCCTCTTCTATGGAAAAGATGTGTTTTAATGGAAGGAGTGGCCGGTTGCCCTCCTTCTGAGGGTGGTTCCTCCACTTGCATTCAGGGTCCCAGCCCCACCAGTTAATTTTGAAGCCTTACTTCATAAATATGTTCTCTCTCCCTCACTCAAATGTTAACTGCTTTTTGGCTCAATGTATGAATAGTTTCACAACTCTTCCATCTTAAGAAACACTCTCCGACTCTCAGCCTGAATCTCTTGTCCTTTTCCCCCACAACACCCTGCCAAGTTTTTGCAAGTGGAGCCCGAGCTCCCTGTCTACACTCCCTGCCTTCTTTTTACCTCTCTTCCCTTGCAATCCGAGTTCTGCCCTCTGATGTCCCCTTCCTGTGTGTCGCATCTGCAAGCAGTCCCCACTGAGTCTGTCCTGACCTTGTAGGCAAACCCGACAATTCCAAGCTAGTGGCAGCAGCCCTGCATTTTTGGTGAAAGCTTCGCTGTCACCTCCCTAGCTGTCAGGCTGTCAGCTGTCATTTCTCTCTTTCATCAGAAGATATCCAGACACTCAGATTTCCATGGAAGCTGCCCCGGCTTTAGTGCTGTGGCTCTAATGACCAACAATCACCTAATGCCAAATCCAGAGCACACTTTCTACTGCTCATTTTAGTCAATCTCTCTTTGGTGTCTTGACCATTCCTTTTTTTGGAATGTCTTCTTTCAGCTCACCTCTTTGTTAACACTCATGGCCTATATATATCTACTTTGGAAACCATCTCTTTTAGGTAAAACAACAACAACAACAACAAAACATCATCTTTGCTCTAACCCGGTTCCTCCCCCTATATATTTCTATCTTGATAAATGCCAGCACCATCTATCCTATCACCTGAGAGTGAGACTCAGCTCCCCACTACTGAGCTAGTCAAAGGCACTCTTCACTTCTGTTACTGCGTTTTTGATTTCTAGCATTTTCTTTAGATTCTTTCTTAGAGTTTCCATCTCTCTAGTTATATTGTCCATCTCATCTTGCATATCGCCTACCCACTTTTTCCCTTAGAGCCCTTAACAGAGTTCTTGTATGAAATAATTTCCCTGTGTGATAATTCCAACATCTGTGTCATATCTGAGTCTGATTCTGATGATGGCCTTTTCTCTACAGACTGTGGTTTTTCTTGCCTTTTGGCATGCCCTGGAATTTTTTGTTGAAAGCTGAACATATTATGTTGGTAATAGGAAGTGTGGTAAATAGGTCTTTAGTGGGAGGATTTATGTTAATCTGGCAAGGAGTTGGGCTGTGTTTAATCTTGATTTTACTTGCAGGTGCCAGAGGATCAGTTTTCTCTGGTGTCCTTATTTCTATCCTCTCTCTTGGCTTTGAGGCATCCCTATACACTGTTTCTTAGAGACAGTGTGGGTCTTGCACCTCTTTCAGCTGTAATTGGCAGTTATTACACTGGAGCCTGTTGGCGTGGCAGTAGGGTATGGGGAAAGGAAGGGGAGCATTCTACAATCTTCTGATTAGGTCTCAGTCATTTGGGGGGCCTGTGTCTTGAAGCTGTGGCCTTCACATGTGTTTCTATCCCTCCTCCCATGGCATAGCCTTTCCCACCTTGTCCTTGGTCAATCCCTGGCTGCAGCTTTCCCAGTCTATTTCCTTGAAGCACTGTCCCTTGATGACTATGGGATTGCTTTTCTGTCTTAAGTGAGATGGAAAGGCTGAGGGAGCTGGAGTGAGGAGAATTCCTTTCCTCCAGGTGAGATAAGGTTTTGGAATTGTACACAGGTGAAGTCTTTTCCCTAGAGAATAGGCCTTCATTTTGGAGAAGGCTCTGGGTGGGCTTCACGGCAGTGACTCCTCCCTTCCCTGTGCCAGGGCGAGGAGATCTTGCTCAGATCCTCACTGTGAAAACCTAGTGGGTTCCTGAAAGGGATCTGAAGGGAAAAATCCAAGACAGTGTGACCCCCCCAAGACTATGGCCCCCAGGAATTTCTCACTCTTACACTAGTTTACACTCAGCCTCTAGCAATTCATTAAACTTACCATTTAGGTGTTTCTACCAGTTTCCCCGTTCCTGCAGCTGCTGCTCTAAGTAAACAGATCTTTGTTGTTGTATCTTTAGGATGCACCTATTTTTCCCGGTTTTGGGCTGGTGGTTTGATCTGCTGCCTTCATTCTGTGATAGGTCCAAGAAAAGTTGTTGATTTTCAGTTTGCTTTTTCTTGTTTTAAGGATAGGAGTGGTGGTTTCCAAGATCTTTACATGTCAGAGCTGAGATCTAAGTCTGTTTCAACTCCTAGTCTCTTGTCTTCCATATCCAAATCTTATTATGTCTATTTCCAGAATATCTCTTGAGACATCCTCGGCTTTAGTTCAGGGCATGGTGACTTTTTGTCTGAATCATTGCAGCGGTCTGCTGACCATTCTCCTCATCTCCAGTAACGTGCTTGTTCAGGAGATCCTCTAGGTCTTGTCTTAGGACTCTCTAGCCCCCTTAGTGTAGATATGGCATCCTGCTACTGCCCTTGTCCTTTAGTCCCTTGCAATCTAGTAGAAAAGACCAAAGGCTCAGGGTCTGGAGACAATGTTGTGAATGTGTTTTATAACAACTTGAAAATAATTGCTCTCATTTCCGTTGCTTTAATTAAATGATCTCTTTAAACTAGAACATGTTTAAAGATGAAAACAGATCAAAGAGGAATAAAATTCAGGTAGAACAAATTTTAATATATGGCCTTTCTATTTATTGATGTGAAATACATGTTTCTTTGTGATCACACTGACATATTCATAATACTTTGTATTGCATAGAGGAAGGGACTGGATGAAAACATCTTTAATTTAGGTCACGACTGCAATAAAGTTATGGGGGCTGTGATGTGACACACATTCTGTCTGAACATACATGAAGCTAGGCATGGGTAAGCTGAGGGCCCATGGCATAGGCATTTGACCTGTTTGCGACCTCAGGCACTCTTAATTCACTTCCAAAGACTGAATGAAGTGATAACCATAATATGTCAACAGTCCAGAATTTAGATGGCCCTGGAGATGCTGCGTTAGTGTCCTATGGGCGAAGTTTAAATTAGATGGCAGTCAGGTATGTACACAGGATTGGTCATTACTGTGGGCAGATGTGCACAGCTAATGGCTGGCAGTGGGGATTGCTGCAGGGGGAATTCCCTGATAAAAATGAGTTAAAATGAGACAATGGATTATCCAGAAGGGTGCTTTTCCACAGACTACACTTTTATTGGTGAAAGCAATCAAAGGAAAAAAAATTGAGCCATTAAAAAAAAGAGCTGCTATAATGTATTTATTTAATATTATCGGTGTAGCACACAACTGTATGCATAGATACGAATTTATTTCTCTTAGTCTGAGTAAACTAAAGAAAATAATGCTTTTATTCTTTTCCAAATAAATGTAGATGGGAGGCTGGTACATTAAGGCAATGTAGGAACCTAATGTACAGGGGCAGAGGGACTACTTGCAAAAGACTGAAATCTTTATGCATGTAAGCCAAACTGCCCATGATCTCATTACACCACAGAGAGCTTGCAAGCATAGCTCCCAAATCACAAAGAAAAGTCAGCGCACAAGTGACCTGTGTATTAGCATCTCTGCAAATCTCAGGCAGAAGCTGAGATTTATATACACTTTACACACCCCTGAGGAAATACCCATTTTATGCCACTCATAGGCCAGATGTATTTTCCTCTGTGAAATGTGATCAGAATGTAGTTAGAAGAAAATATACTGTGTATTCAAAAGCAAATAGATGGTATTTTTAAAGAACTCCTTAGTAAT
The DNA here is from genome assembly GCF_000001405.40 of Homo sapiens. Classification (NCBI taxonomy): domain Eukaryota; kingdom Metazoa; phylum Chordata; class Mammalia; order Primates; family Hominidae; genus Homo; species Homo sapiens. The sequence goes on along the minus strand of NC_000008.11, from coordinate 93,599,706 downwards.
TTAGAATGGGCAGCAACATCAAATTAGTGGAGTGGTATGGAAGGGTTATTAGTGTGTGACTGGGCCTATGTGGTTATATTTGCTGCAGGGCACTGATTTGCTTCTAGAGCTGAATGGAAAATTTCACATGTCCAAAAAACCTTTTTCTCTGAATATGATTACTAATGTGATAAGATGTCTCACATTAGATAGTGTGATTCCTTGAAAATGCCAGTATGGATTTGAATCTTTTTTTTTTTTCTGAACCAATTTTATATTGAAGGAAAGAAATAAAGATGGCTTTCAGGAACAAATACACATATTTCTAATAGAACTTGCTAGAGTAATCACACAGACTGCTATTATTCTACTGTGTCTGTGCATTTTACTGTAACAAAGTGATTAATATGCTTCAAAATTTGAACTTATGGACTCAACTATTTTAGTGTCATATCATCAAAATACACAAAAACCTGACAAATCTAATTTCTATGTAATCCTAAGTAGTAAAAAATTATACGTGTATTTATAATGCTTAGGCATTTGAATGGATTGTGTGACATAAGCGTGGACAATTATATACAGGAACATGAATAAAACATGTTTAAATGCATACATAAGGCAGACACCAGCCAAAATAATTGTATATGTGCATGATGAATTAGGATGAAAATTCATCCTTTAATCTCTTCTAGACTTTGGATCACAATATTTTATGTAAGTCTAAATACTTTATGGGAAATATCTGGGAAAAAAGGCATAATCTATAACCTGTGAACTACAAGGATTTTAATCCTTAGTTTTATGCGAACCAAAAAGATGAATAAAACATTGTTAGTGTTTTTAAACCTCTCTGAAGAGGTCCAAAGAGAGGATGGATTAGTGACAATGGATTTAAAGACAGGATTAACAAGGGTTGCTCCTGAATTGAAGGCATTAGAAGCCAACTTTACAAAGCAGTGTATTCTCACAAGTGGATTTGGGCACAATTTGGGACTATTGATGGGTCCCAAGGAACCAGTAACCCATAGCTTTGCTCTGGTATTGTCAAAATCTTACAAAATTGAAGAATATCTCGAGAAAAAGAAAGTTTGTAGGTGCCCACTAATGATTAAAACAAGACATGTGACTGTTTAACTAATTGGCCCCAAATTCGTTGATACTCCACCCATTGAGAGGAGGGGTCTGTGATCCTTGCCTTTGAATCTAGGTGGGTGTGTGACTGCTTCAGCCCCTTGGATGCAGTAAAAGTGTTGCCACTTGGTTCTGAGGCTTGGTCAGTAAAGGCCATGCAGCTTCCACCCAGTTCTCTTGGGATATTCACTCTCAAAGAAACCAGCTGCCATGTAAGGAAGTCCTGTCACCGTGAGACTGCCAGGCTGGAGAGGCACATATAAGTGCATAGTTGACAGGCAGCATTGACTGCCAGCTGTGAGTGAGCCTACATGGATGTCCAGTTGAGCCTCCAGGTGGCTGCAGTATGCATTTTTGCAAAGACCCAGGCATTGAGGTGCACAGACAAAGCCATACTCTGTTTTCCTTATCCAAATTTCAACCCATAGAAGGGTGAGAATAGGCCGGGTGTGGTGGCTTACACCTGTAATTGCAGCACTTTGGGAGGCCGAGGTGGGCGGATCACCTAAGGTCAGGAGTTCGAGACCAGCCTGGCCAACATGATGAAACCCCATCTCTACTAAAAATACAAAAATTAGCGAGGCGTAGTGGCGGGTGCCTGTAATTCTAGCTACTCAGGAGGCTGAGGCAGGAGAATAGCTTGAACCAGGGAGGCAGAGTTTGCAGTGAGCTGAGATCACGCCACTGCACTCCAGCCTAGGTGACAAGAGTGAGACTCCGTCTCAGAAAAAAAAAAAAAAATTGGTGAGAATAATCAAGTTGTTATTTTATATTTTATTATGCTAAGTTTTGGGGTATTTGGTTTGTAACAGTAGTGACTGGGACAAATCAAGATTTCCTCAACTTATTTTAAAATAATTATTACTTGGGGAACATGTTAAAAATAAATTCCTGCATTTCACCCATGGAAGTTTCTGACTTAATAATCTGAGGGTGAGGTGAGGGTGGAGAAATCTGTTTTTTCTTTCTTTCTTTCTTTCTTTTTTTTTAATATTCCTTGCATCACTCTATGGAGAAATCTGTTCTTAACAAACAGTATGGAAAATTAACTATATGAAAATGACTCTAAGATGCCACATGATTTGTTGGCCAATTTTGATCTATAAATTTTTCATGACAAACATATTTCTTTGATTACTTGGAATGGCCCCATGGGCCCATTGTTTTCCTTATTTTATGATTGTGCAACACACCACTTAAGGGGATATCTGTCTTTCTAGTCCCACTTGTGAAAAAGCAGCAAACAAGACAAGAACACTCTCATTTAACACTAAATCAGAGTGGCGAGAGGGAGGACAATGAGGCTTGGAATAGGTGGGGAGTTTTGTGGAGAAGGTGGGCCTGGAGTAAGGTCTTTGACACTCAAAGCATTGGAGCTGGCTTAAGGGAGAAGGAAGATGTCGCAGGTGGCAGATGCCAGCAGGAGGACAGTAGAGAGTGGGTGGAGAGGCCACCTGGCCAGAGCCTTGGTGGTAGGGCAGAGATGCCAGGTAGGATCCATCAGACAAAACCAGGAGATGTCTTTTCTCCTGAGTTCCCAGCTTCTATCATAGCTCTAGGGGTACTTTATTGCACTTGTGTATTATTACTGTTGGCTCTAACAACAACGGCAACCTAAGCCATCTTTGACTGTTTTCTGTGTGTGCATTGCCCTTGTTTTGCCCACATGTGTCTCTTGCCTTTCTAGTGCAAAAATATTGTCTTACTCCTCTTTATTCTGTGATTAGCTTGATGCCTGGCATATGGTGGGCATGGTTATAACTATTTGTGGAGTAATAATAAGAGAAAATGATAAGGATCATATTTAGGGGGCACTTGCTGGGCACCAGACCATGTGGTAGGCACTTTAAATGGATTCTTATATTTAATCCTAACAGTAAATCTATCAAGCGTAAGATCATTATTCCCATTTTACTGAATGGGGAATGAGGCTGATTGGCAACCTGCCTAAAGTCATGCAGGTGGCGAATAGTGGTCCCTGCATTCTGACCTGGACAGCTGGACCATGGAACTTGACTCAATGAATTAATGAATCTGTGAAAGGGAATGCATTGTCTGTCACTCTTGACTCCTCCATCAACTGCCTGGGACACTCCTTTTGCCCTTCCTTGCCTAGCTAACACTGACTCATCCCACACTGCTCTTTCCTTGTGGGGGCCTACAATGACAGGGCCCTGGCTGTCCTCTCTCCTTCCCTTCCCTCTCTACCTCCTCTTTCATTGCTCACACTGAAGTTGAAATGACTTGTTTCATGTCTCCCCTTCTATCTAGACTGTAAGCATCATGAGGAAAGGGTTCACGTCTGTCTTATTCCCTCATCACGGCTCCCCCAGCTCCCAGCATAGGGGTGGCACATGGCAAGCTCCCAGTGCAGTGTTCCTGATTAATATGCTTTATGTGTATAGTGCATACTACATGGTAACAGGGTGGCATGTCAAATATTCCATTGCACACAGTATTAAGTACTGGGGATACAGAAATGAGGAAGCCACGCTGTCTATTTTCAGAGAGCTCAATGTTTATCTGGGAGACTGACAAGGAAACAAAGAGATGCAAGCCTCTGAGTGGAGGCTGAGGTGGGAAAATTGTCAGAAAATACAGGCAAGATGAGGAGATTCTTGAGCTGCCCTTGCAGGATAAGTACTGGCTAGTCAGATGAGTGTGGGAAGCAGGGATTGGAAGAGGGTACTCTAGGCAGAGGGAACAGTATGGGTGGAGGTTCAGGGGTGTGAAGGGACAAGGTACGCTCGTGTGATGGCAGGAATATTGGTGATGCTGGAGGCAAGGGTATATGGGGCCATCATAGGACATAAATCTGCCAGCAGCAATGGGGACAAGCCATGAAGGACTTGATCAGGTGTGATGAGATTTGAACTCTCTCCTTAAGGAAATGGGAGTGTCCTTAGATATCACTCATTCAACCAACATTTAGAATAGGTTCTTAAGGAGAGGCTTGAGTAATATGCGGGGGTGCCCTGGGAGGTCATGCTGACTAGCAGCACCTCCGACATTTGGTGGGGGACAGAAATTGTGCTAAATGTACTGCAGTGCATGGAACAATTCAACACAACATGCCGTGAGAACCCCAGTTGAGAAACACCGCATAAAAACTCTAACTAAAAGCTTGAAAGAAAACCCCCAAATATTTACAGGGTCCAAGAAGTGAATACTTTTATATATTTACCAAATCTTATTAATAAGGGAAGAAAATATTTTCTCTTGACCCTCTCTAAGCGTCAGACTTACAGGGAATAATTTATTTAAGGGTTGATTCCACAGAAACCTAAAACGGTAGCATTTTAACTTTTGTATCTTAATCAAGGATATTTTAATTGTCTAGTTCTTCACACAATTTATTCATTTATTCTCATGGTCATTCATTTGGTCAGCAAATATTGATTGAACACTTTTTGTGGGCAAAGCACTGCTCTAGGCTTAGGAGACACAACATGAACAAGATAAGCCAAGATTCTGTCCTCATACAAGAGGGAGTTTACAACCCCAAGGTTCCAAAAGGATATAAAACATGAGACAGATGACTTAATTGTTTTTTCTTTTTTGCAGGCCAGAATTATTTATGTGAGATATCTGAAAATGTAACTAGGGCCACATTTCTTCATAACTAGACAAGCTTGTATCCCCATGGGTGTATGCGTTGCCAATGCCTCGCAAGAGAGGTAGATGTAGACAATGTCATTACTGCCAATGGTGAGCACATACCTAGGACTGTTTGGGGACTAGGAGAATTGAGGATTTATTTAAAACTGGGAGAACAAGAGTTGGCATCTACAGGAAATCTTGCCACTCCAGTTATATTAACTGTCACAGATATTTCAGCATAAAACCCACGGCTAAAAGGACACTAACACTGACGTAACTGGTTGCAAATAAGGCAAAATCCAAAGGTTGCCCAGAATCCTTTCAAAGCGGACTTGGTTTCACTTTATTTCTCTTCATTTTTCTACACCTCTTTGCTGGGGGCAGCCAGGCAGGAAGAAGAAATATACATAGGAGAGAAGGAGGGTGTTCATTGTTATATCATCATCATTATTATTTTATGTATTTTTTGTGTTTATGGTACTTCAGATAGTATTCTTCTTAATTTGGTGGACCAGAAGAAAGAGAGCTGAGATAGTTTCCTAACCACTAGCTCGATGTAACTGAGGGGGAGAGCAAGGGAAACATTTCCTGCAACTAAAGCCAAAGACACAAAAGGTAAAGAGATGCCATAAGTAAACAAAAGTTAGCCACAGTTAATCACACAGAATGCTTACTGCTGTGGCAGATAATTTGTTGAGCTACGACCTGTTTTGCCTTTCCTGTGCACAAAGACAAGGGGGCTGCTCTTTGGGTCCACTTGCCTCAGGGAAAGTTTGGACCAGAAGGGAACTTCTCTTCTTGTCTTTGGTGAAAGCCTTAACTTGAGGCGATTATACTAACGTGCCCTGGATGTCAGGAGACAGATGTAAGAGGACAGGTAAAAGAAGGAATAACAGGAGAGAGATGGGATCCTCCAAGACTGACCAGATCTTGGAGTAGTGGATATCTGTGCTCTGTTCCCATATAGTGGCAGGAGGTGGCAGGGCCTCAGAGGGGAATGGAAATGTGGAAAGCTAGATCCTAAGCACAGGGTTCGCCAGTCAAGGCAAATATTTCATTGTCTATTTTGACACATAGAGGGTCAATATCCCTCTATGAACAAAGTGAGCCTGGACTGTAAAGAACCAGCTGTCATCAGCGGGATGGAAAACTGGAAGCTTATCTCTATTTTCTGGATACCATGTAAGCCTCTCAGGTTTCTGTAAGATTCTGGAGACAGTAAGGTGTCAAGAACTGAGAAGGGTCTGAGAGCTTACCCTACCTGCAAGCTGATAAGTTAACTTATGACTGTTTCATAAATCTGGCAGATATGAGACTCTTGGGGCAGAGATGGAGGGTAGTTTATTACTCACAGCAATACCAGCAGCCAGAGTATTAGCATTTTTGCGTTGATTCCCTGGGGCCCAGTGCCCATAGGGTGATATGAACAGGGCTGGATGATACCCACACATGCAATAGGTTTCATGACAGGAGAGGACGTCTGAGCCTAGGGATCGCCAATTTTGTATCATGGGCAGTCAGCATGCTTGCCCTTTGCTCTGAAGGAGACACCATCGCTACCTTTCAAGGCTGTTTGCTATAGAAATATTTTTGAAAAGATCATCTGAGACAAAGGGCAGTCAGTGCCTCACAAAATGTACAGAAACCCAAAAAACCCATGAGAACGATCTCCCAACAGAAGGAACTTCAACACAGATTGAGGTTGAAATCCTGTCATGGAATAGGGACTTGAAATCAGATTTAGTTTGGTTTAAAGAAAATAAAGAAATATAGAAATATGACATTTCTTAAAAGTAGAGTCCGTGGAATAAGTTTTACACCTACTGCATGCTTCATGTGATTTATCTTACTTAAGAGCATGAATTTTGGAGTCAGCCAGATCTGAGTTCAAATAATGGTCACCACTTCCTGGACGAGTCATTTAACTCTTCACCTTCTGTTTGCTCACCTGTGAAATGGTACGAATAATTTCTGCCTCATATATGATTGAGGAATCGGTGAGGTGATACATGAAAAGAGCTTAGACAAGCTTATCCAACCTGCGGCCCATAGGCCCCATGTGACTCAGGATGGCTTTGAATGCAGCCCAACACAAATTTGTAAACTTTCTTAAAACATCATGAGATCTTTATGGCATTTTTTGGTTTGTTTTTAGCTCATCAGCTATTGTTAGTGACAGTGTATTTTATGTGTGGCCCAAGACAATTCGTCTTTTCCGAATGTGGCCCAGGGAAGCCAAAAGATTGGACACCCCTGGCTTAGCATATTGTCTGGCATAGAGTAGGTGCAAAATCTTTGGGAGCTATTCATATTTAAAAGCACAATAAATGTATATGGGAAATGTAATACAATAAGTGTATGAGGGAAATAGGACAATTGAAGGTAGGAAAAGAGAGATTTATTTTTCAAGTCTTCTGCCTTATCTCTGAGATTCTCATTCTTTTGAATTGGAAAGCTTTTTCACTGGCCAATTTAGGTTGGAAAAAAATTCAAAATTTCCTACCAGTACCCCTCATGCTTTTCTCTGAGTTGATATATCATATAGAAACATTATTACTTTACAGAGAAAATCAAACCTAAAGAATAGGAAGGCCTTAAAATGCAGGCTGACCCAAAGACATACAATTAGAACAATGGACCCAGGCTGGCGGCCAGCCAAGCGCCTTAAGGCAGGGCTATCCAAAGACTGAGTATGCAGACAGGCTGTGGATGGGTTACAATGTGACAAAATAGTGGCACCCTCAGCCCAAGGGTGGCTGAAGAAGGGCCCAAGCCAGCTGGAGGTGCCTCCCTGGACCAGTTGCCTCTGACTGGTAACAGCTATATCATCAAGGACAATTTTTTTTTTTTTTAAAGAGATGAAAGTTTCATTCTGTTGCCCAGGCTGGAGTGCAGTGGTGCAATCACAGTTCACTGTAACCTTCAATGCCTGGACTTAAGCGATCCTCTCGTCTCAGCCTCCTCAGTAGCTGGGACAACAGGCTCACTTCACCATGCCTGGCTAATTTTAAAAAATTGTATATAGAGACAGGGTCTTGCTGTGTTGCCCAGGCTGGCCTCAAACTCCTGGCCTTAAGCGATCCTCTTGCTTTGGCCTCCCAAAGTGCTGGGATTATAGGAGTGAGCTACAGTGCCTGTGCCAGCAAGGACAAAAATTATTTTTCATGTGTGCCATGATGTGAAAAAGGTTCTGAAGCTATGACTGAAGGATTGAGCACTTTAGGCCTATAACAGGCAGTATTGTCTATAAAGGAGGAAAGTGAGGGGTAAAGTATCATTAAAAAGCTCAAACTATATTCAAGATTTATCATGCACAAGCAGGGACAGCATAGATGAATTCCAGGTTTCCAGAAAGACAACTTCGTTGCCACAGAGTTGCCCAGATAGAGCACACAGTGAATGGTGCCCCCTGAAGTTGTACAATGCAAGAGATCCTGTGTGGGGGTCTAGCTGTCAGGTCAGATGAAGCCTGGAGTTTGAAGGTAAAAATTCTACTCCAGCCAGTGGGTTTGGGGGCTGGGACTTACCTCTTGGGCAGATACTGCCACAGGTTACAACGCAGAAACCCATTCATCTGGGAAACCCATTTATCGGCCAATGCCAGGGTGAACCTGGAAACCAGAATGAAGTCCTACCAATGCCCAGGCTGGTGGCTTAAGGCCTCTTAGGGCAAGAGGGCAAGCCTGGTGTCAGACTGGAGCAGAGACAGATTTCAAAGTAAAGGCTTTCCTGGATTTAGGTTTGAAGAAAGAAGCCAGATGGAAAGCCAAGCCCCACGACAAAACGACCCTCTCTTTAGGGCTCTTGCGGCTGTGCTTGCAGATCAGCCGACCATTCCCTACTCCCACATTTAGGTAGCTTTGCTCCTTGCTGAAGTTCAAGAACATTTGGAGTCTGTTCTGCCACATCAGATTGCAGAATTTTTAAAAAAATTGAGTGGGTTAAGTAACAAGCTCAGATAATCATGCTCAGCCCTCATAGCCGCATTTGAGTCATATATTAATGCAGGGACATTAATCTGCTCTCTTATAAATACAGGATGATTACCCAGATGATGTGTGAAACTCTTTCTAAATTTCTTTTCTTTATTTAGTCCAACATAAGAACTAACATATGGTGCCTTTGCCATGGGTACATGTGGATGAGGTCAGTTATGAAGTAAGCAAAAACTGATTGATACCTGGGTGTGATTTTCAGGATCGATCATTGGGAAAGTACATTAAGGCCTTCTTCTACGACTGGAACAAGGCGTTAGGGGCACAGGGACAAACGAAGTAAAAACCGTAGGCACCAGCCCCAAGGGATAGCAGGGGAAAGGAGGGCTAAGCTGAGGAGTCATTAGAGTAGGTGAGAACTTGGAAACCCATGGAAGTGAGACCCTCCAGTGTGGAGGAGCCTGGCAAGGTCAAGCCTGCATGCTGGAGGAAGGTATGCACCTAAAATACAATAGTTTTTTTTTTTTTATAATGACTTTTTGTTTCTTTTTTTAAAAAGTAGAAACAGGGTCTTGCTATATTGCCCAGGCTGGTCTTGAACTCCTGGCCTCAAGTGACCCTCCTGCCTTGGCCTTCCAAAGTGGTGGGATTACAGGCATGAGCCACCATACCTGCACCTGACCAAAGACAATGGTTTACACCTCTGACTTGGCTTCTGGTTAAGGATTCTTAAAAAAAAAAAAAAAAAGAATGGTTTCATCCAATGTAAGGTAAGTGATTGTGGAAAGAGGCAATTTTGGGTTCCATTCTTTTTTTTTTTTTTTTTTTTGAGATGGAGTTTCACTCTGTTGCCCAGGCTGGAGTGCAGTGGCATATTCTCAGCTCACTGCAGCGTCTGCCTTCCGGGTTCGAACTATTCTCCTGCTTCACCCTTCCCAGTAGCTAGGACTACAGGAGAGCACTACCATACCTAGCTAATTTTTGTATTTTTAGTAGAGACGGGGTTTTACCGTGTTGACCAGGCTGGTCTTGAACTTCTTACCTCAGGTGATCCGCCTGCCTCAACCTCTCAAAGTGCTGGGTTTACAGGCGTGGAGCCACCATGCCCAGCCTGGGCTTCATTCTTTTAAAAAACAAACCAAAAAAATAGCAACAGTAAAAAGAAGGCAAATCTTTGGTTAACTGAGCTGTGATATGATTTGAGAAAGAAAGAATGATAGATCTAAGATCCATGCTAAGAATTTGTAATATTTCTTATCTTTTAAGCTTCCTGCATTTTATTTTTTAAGCTTTTTTTCTCCACAGTGATTATCAATATGCTTTGGGGAGAGAAACACATTTCAGGAGATTGGGGGCTGGTGGCTTGTTGCTAACAGGAATTCTAATAATAAGTGTTCGGCTGTTGGCTGTGCTGGACTTCCCTCTGTCACTCCAAAGCTCTGCCTCCCACCTTTGTATGTTGTTGACAATTTGTGGGAGGGTAAAAAGGAAATGGGGGCCACATCTCACACTGGTGATGTGGGCTGAAGAGAAGAGAATGAAGGAGGAAAGATGCAAAACTGAGATAGCGAGAACTACTGAACGCAGAAAATCAAAGCAAAAGGGAACCAGGGAAACAGAATTCTTCGGAGAGTCCTGAGATAGTGGGGGTGATGTTAATTCATGCTTGAGGATTTTTTTTTTTTTAAATTGAAGCTTAGGCTGTCCCAACACCCTTGCCCCCACAGTGCCAGAAAGTTTTATGGGGACATCTGATGGTTAATTATTTGGTTATAAAAGCCCCTGCGTTTTTCTCTGAGCAGCAAGGAAGGAGTGGTGGGTACTACAGAGACCATCCAACTCAACAACCAACCTTGATGGAAAAAACCTCAAGGGATTGAGAGGGTGATATAGGAGAATAGGAGAGCAAGCCGACTTTCCAGCACCGTGGCCTGCAGTGGGGACAAAAAGGAAGCCTGCATATGTGGCTTAAGAAATTAAGAAACCCTTGTGGTTTCCACAGAGAGCAATAGCCGTCAAGTGCCATTTGTCCCCAAAGAAGGCATCAATTAGCAATGAATGCATTATAAATTCAAAGAAAAGGGTAAGAGGAACCACTGAAGCTTCTCGGAAGAGATTTGGCTTCATTTTGATTTTAAAGAGTGAGAGGGATTTGGCCAGGCCAGGAGGAGAAATATTTAACGATAGCTCCCATTCTAAGTATTTCCTATATGCCAGACCTGTGCTATTTTACACATGTTATTCGATTTAATCCTTGGAAGGCTTATTTAACAACTAAGCAAAATGAGGTTGAGAGAGAGAAAGTCCATTTTCTGATGGGTGGTGGGGCTGCGTTTCATATCTAAGAACCTCGGACGCCCATGAGTGTTTTTAGTTGCTATAGCTTGTGGTCTCTGTAGTTCAGACCATGTGGTTTTACATGGGGGACAATACTGCCCCCCTGGAGGGTGTTTTGAAAAGTGGGGGCGAGGGGAAGTTTGGGGTTGTCATATGAATTGGAGGTTCTCTCAGCATTTAGTGGGAGAGATTTAGGGTGCAAACCATTCCACGATATGAGGGCAGTCCTGTGCTGTGAAGAATTGCCCCAAATGCTGATGGTTGAGGAACACAGCAGAGAACAGCGTAAGGGTAGTAGGTTAGGCGACTGCAAATGGGAATCACCAGCAGTAGGTCCATGGGAGCAGAATGGAGACGTGTCTGGTTAATGCACAGAATCACTCTGGGGAGAAGTGTGTGTTTGCTTCTCAAACATTCCATGTCCTTTCCCTCTTCTGCTGGTTGTTCCCTTAAGCTGGCTTTTCTTTGCATGGTTCATTCTTGTCCTTCAGGTTTTAGAGCAAATACAATCTCCTCAAGTAGGTCTTTTTGAACCATGATGCAGTTCTTTGCATTATTCTTGTTTTACTTATCCATTGCTATGTAAAATTGCCCCAAATTCAGCAGCTTAAAACGACAAGATCTACTGTCACACACTTTCTGTGTGACAGGAATCTGGGATCCAGTGGTTCCAACTCAGGATCTCTCCTGAGGTTGCGGTCAAGTGGTCAGCTGGGACTTGGGTCATCTGAAGGAATGGAGGACCCACTTCTGAAACTGTTCATATGGTTGTTAGCCACACGGGCCTCTCCAGAGGGTCTGAGTGTCTTCATCATATGACATTTGGCTTCTCCCTCAGAGGGAGACAAAGCATGAGAGTGACCAAAACGGAAACCACGGTATCTTCTATAACCGAATCTTGAAGATAACACACCATCACCTCCACTATATTCTATTGGCCAGTCAGACTGACTCTACAAGGTGGGTCACTGACTGTGGTCACCAACTCTCCAAGGTGGCCCCAGTGCTTCTGCCTCCAGATATCCATGCCCTTTCCAAGGGTGGTGCACTGGGGCCATCTTGGAGGCTGCTGACCATGGTCCTGCTTATTTTCTTCATAGCACTTATCCCAATCTTGGATTCTCTTGTTTATTTGTTGATTATTAATCTCTTGCCCATTAGAATGAGAGTTATACTAGGGCAGAGATCTTGATCTCGCTCACTCCTGAATCTCTAGCTCCTAGAAGACTGTCTGACACAAAAAGTATTGTTGAAACAATAAATACATGAGTGAACTAAATGGCAAAGTATAGAAGTTACTAATGAACCTCCATTCCTGTCTAAATTTATTTATTTATTATCACATTTGTTGGTGGTTATGTTGCAAGTTGACTTGTAAAATCACTCACTAGACAAAGAGGCAGGAACATGAGATACATATTTAGTTTGACTTTTTAACTTGATAAATGATGTAAAAAGAATTACCTATATTTTTAGTCTTTCTTTTGCATTCTACCAAATATAGACTCTAATAATGAAAATAGCCTGATATAGTACATCATAGTTTTAAAATTGCTTTCACATTTCTATACTTCACTTGATTTTAATGATGCCTTACTTAAATTGATAGAACTTATGTTTGTAGATGAAATATCAAAGGCTGGGAGAGGTCAGTGACTTGCCAAAGGGATACACTTAGCAGGTAACACAGAAACCGAAACAAAGCCTCTGTCATCAAATCAAGAACATTGTCCCTGAGCTCAGGCTGCCTTTGCTTAATGCTTTCCATAACACCTCTCTCATAATTTTTAATAATCTTACATAAAATGTTATTCTCAGAATAGCTATTCTGAGAATAACTTATATTCTTTCAAATGTGCATGGACTATTTCTTGTATACCAGAAAAATTGCATTAACTTACCATTATGACATGGGCTTTGAATTGTTTATTTAATTAGTTATGATTTTTTCACTGCCTGCTGTATACCAGCACAGTGTTAGGTGCTGCATATAAAAAAGGAGAATAAGATATGCACTTTGATTTTGATTTTTTTTTTTTGATATGGACTTTCACTCTTGTCGCCCAGGCTGGAGTGCAATGGTGCAATCTTGGCTCCCTGCAACCTCCACCTCCTGGGTTCATGTGATTCTCCTACCTCATCCTCCTGAGTAGCTGGAACTACAGGCATGCGCCACCATGCCCGGCTAATTTTTTGTATTTTTAGTAGAGATGGGGTTTCACCATGTTGGCTAGGCTGGTCTCAAACTCCTGACCTCAGGTGATCTGCCTGCCTTAGCTTCCCAAAGTGCCACTTGATTTTAAAGAATGACATTTCTTGTATTTTCTTTTCCTAATTCTAAATGCAACTTAGGTGTTGTTAGGAATTTCTGAAAAATATAGAAATGTTGAAAGAAGAAAACCAAATCACTTATAAACCAACCCCCAAGTGTTAACTACTAACAACTTGGCATGTTTTTCTCCAGTGTTTCATATGCATGTATATGTACTACTCTATAATCTGTCAAGTAAGAAAAAAAATCATGTAGGTTTATTCCACATTTCATTAAATCTGACATAGCCCCTAACCTACTTGGTTTTAGGTTGTCTGGTTGTTCCCATGAGGTTGTAAAGGACCCCAAAACTTACACCATCTGGGAAAATTGGGAAGGCTTCTGATTTCTAGCCCATTGTGGCCCCAGCCCTCAGGGACCATTCAGTGATGGAGGCTACCAGGTGTTATGGTTCACCAGGGACTGCTATTCAGGCCTCAAATCTCCATGAGCCATGCCCACGTGGGACACATCAAAGAGGGCCAGGGAGCAGCAGCTCATCCCTGGACTCCTGCTTCTCCCCAGGCTTCAGGAATCCAACTCTTTCCTTGAGTCTGGGCCATGCCCCACCATGACCCGTAAATCATCCCCATCCTATAAAGGTTCAGCTTGTTCACTCTTGCTATGACTGAAACACTAAGATGTTAACACCTTTTAAAAAATATTTTTTATTGATTCTTAATATTTTACATATTTGTGGGGTACATGTGATGTTTTGTTACATGCATAGAATGTGTCATGATCAAGTCAGGGTATTTGGGGTATTTATCACCTTGAGTATTTAGCATTTCTATGTGTTGGAAAGGGTTCAAGTCCTCTCTTCTAGCTACTTTGAAATACATAATACATTGTTGTTAACTATAGTCACCCTCCTCTGCTGTTGAACATTAGAACTCATATCTTATATCTAACCATATGTTTGTACCTCTTGACCAACCTCCGTTCTCTCCCCTCCCACCCACACACCCTTCCAAGCCTTTGTATGTATCATTCTGCTCTACCTCCATGCGTTAACTCCTTTTTGGAGCGATAGAGTCTACAATCTCACAAACCTTGCTGTTCTTTAGTGAGAGGTTTAGAGGGGAAAATTACATTCCCATCCTCTTCCTAATGATTACTCAGCAGAAATGAAGAGCAGTTGCTATTAGTTTATTAATTATGCACCCTACTTTCTATATTTCTTTTTACCTATATTTAAATTTAAACAATACTGAATATAGTTTTGTATCCTGCTTTTAAACCCAATGTTATATCATTAACATATCCCATATTATTAAATATTTTTATAAGAAACATGTTTTTCCTACTTTTTGATGTTATAAAACGTTCTGAAATCAGCATTTTTGAATATAAGTCTTTGCCCAAACCTTATAATCAGTTTTTATTTTACTTATTTATTTAACTTTTATTTTAGGTTCAGGGGTACAGATGAAGGTTTGTTACATAGGTAAACTTGTGCCATGGTGGTTTGTTGTACAGATTATTTAATTACCTAGGTATTAAGCCCGGTACCCAATAGTTATCTTTTCTACCCCTCTCCCTCCTCCTGCCCTCCACCCTCAAGTAGACCTCAGTGTCTGTTGTTTCCTTCTTTGTGTTCGTGAGTTCTCATCATTTAGCTCCCACTTATAAGTGAGAATTTGTGGTATTGGTTTTCTGTTCCTGTGTTAGTTTGCTGAGGATAATGGCTCCCTGCTCCATCCATGTCCCTGCAAAGGACATGATCTTGTTCCTTTCCATGGCTATATGGTGTTCCATGGTGTATATGTACCACATTTTCTTTTTTCAATCTGTCATTGGTGGGCATTTAGGTTGATTTCACGTCTTTGCTATTGTGAAGAGTGCTGTGATGAACATTTGTGTGAATGTGTCTTTATGGTACAATGATTTATATTTCTCTGGGTATACACCCAGTAATGGGATTGCTGGGCTGAATGGTAGTTCTGCTTTTAGCTCTTTGAGGAACTGTCATACCACTTTTCACAATGGCTGGATTAATTTACAATCCCAACAACAAGGTAAAAGCGTTCCTTTTTTTCCACAACCTCACTAGCATCTGTTGTTTTTTTAACTTTCTAATAATAACCATTCTGGCTGGTGTGAGATGGTATCTCATTGTGGTTTTGATTTGCGTTTTCCTAATCAGTGATTGGTGATGTCAAGCTTTTTTTCATATGTTTGTTGGCGGCGTGTATGTCTTCTTTTGAGAAGTGTCTGTTCATGTCCTTTGCCCACTTTTTAATGGGATTGTTTGTTTTTTTTTCTTGTAAATTTGTTTAAGTTCTTGTTGATGCTGGATATTAGACCATTGTCAAATGCATACTTTGCAAATATTTTCTCCCATTCTATAGGTTGTCTGTTTACTCATGATCAGTTTTTAAAATGTATCATGCTTTCTGCTCTTAAAAAGTTCACATCTTGTTTGGGAGTGGGGGTGGGACAGGGAGAAAATGAGAAAAATAATTTTCTTGTAGGCGGTAGATTGGACAATGGAGATAGAATACCAGGTACAAAGGTGACCCAAATGGGGCAGTCTAAGCAGCAGTGATAGATTTGCCAAGATGTATTCAGACACACTCCCTTAAGTCCTCTGACAGTCAATGGTGTATATCTTAGATCTGACCCCGAAAGAGTGGAAAAAGTCTTACTACTTGAAGTGTGGCCTCACACCAGCAGCATCAGCAAACTGGGAGTTGTTACAAATGCCAAATCTCAGAACCCATCTGAGACCTTGATAAATTGTAGATAGCATCACTCTTATCCCATCCTAAGCCTTTCTGTTCTAATCAGCTGATAAGCCTGCATTTTTAGCTTACAACCTAATTTCCCTTTCCATCAACCCAGAACCCATGTTTGAAAATGCGTGAGCAGTTATTGCTATTATGATGATGACTATTATTACTATTACCTTGATTTTATGGTGTATATTTTCTTTTAAGAGCTGAGATAGCTTAAGAAACATTACATATCACTAATCCTTACAATGTTACTGTGAAATAGGTAGGTGGCAAATATGAACAAGTATCAATATTATGCTAAATCATACTTAAGTATATGGTGTGAAATTCTGAGTGATCTAATGAAAGCAATATCCTTTTGCTTCTGGTGAAGTATTTTAGTTTATATCTTTTATGGTAAATCTCTGAGGCTTGGTGACCTATTATGCTTTTCTCTCTCTTGCCAGTATAAATAATGTTTCTTTTGCATTTATATATAATTGGTTTAGGTATATTTTTGTTAAAATTCTAGGCCTGAAGGAGATTTCACAAACATGACCTCAGCAATGCCTCTTTTAGCACCACACATATGAGGAAAACAGAGGTACTTAGAATTATCAAATTGAATTGAAATCAAAGGCTAGACTTGAAACCAGTCAAATCTGGTTTGAGTCAAATCTGGCCTGAGACCAACTCATCTCTGTATCTTGCTGGTTACTCTATCCTGTTAGATACAAATTTTAAATCACTTGCCTTCATTATCACCAGTTCTATCATCTATTTTTTTTTTAAAAAACAACTAATCTTTAACATTTTAAATAAACTTCTTGAAAGGAAATTTTATATTACCACGCAAATGGAAGACCAGTAAGTACTACTTGGTATAACATGAGGTAATACTAAAAATAAACACATGAAACCAAACAATGTTATCAAGTTTTAGTCTGTAGACTTTGAGCCTTGGGCCTGGCTCTCTGTTAAGAACGGGGATTTAGCAAGTACTGCAGTGGTGTTAAAGATATATTGGCACCAAACAGACTATCTTCTTGAGGCAACGAAGAGAATTAACAGAGTTACTACGGGATTATTTTTCTGACTTTGTAATTCAGTGTTATTTAGTGCCTACTTGTGGTACTGCCTAAAATCATTTCCTTTAACTCCCATAGTTTTGGACATTAATTCTCAGCTGTAACCAGAGTGGCTACCTGCAGTTCCTTCCAATTATTCCTACTTCTCCCACTAAATATTTCCTGCCTTGAACCGTTGTAAAGCTTCTCCCACCTGATGAGACTTCTAAAACCATCCGAACTTTTTCAGCCTTCAAGGTTGATCTTAAATTCCTCTTAAAGAAGGTCCTTAATTATCTGGGACAGCGGGAATCTCATCATCTTTTAAATTCCTTTTATAGTATTTAGTTCATATTTATCATACACCAGCTTAATGGCTCAGAACCTTGTGGGAGAACCTGTCTGTGTTATTAGTGAGGTGGTAAGCTTTCTGAGGCCAATGTGGCATCTTGATCTGCATCTCAGGACAGTGCCTCGCCAGTAACAGGTGTTCAATAAGTAACTTGCTTATTTGAGCTAACAATTCTCTGATCCTACTGCATTTATGACTTGACTATCCATTGGCCCACGTGGGTATCTACAGTAGATTGATAGCTCTGAGAGTTCTCATTTGACCTTGTCACTTGGTTCGGTGATATTACAATAGAAGTAGAAACTTTCAGCAGCCTGTAAGTGAGAACGGTAAGTTCCAATTTATTTCTGCTTTGACCTGGAAGTTATGGTTTGTGCTACTTGTGACTGTGGACAATTTCAGTGACCTTAGAAAAGCCCTGTCTGACTCAGAGAAGGTAAATGAAATCAAATTGAAACTTTGGGTTTGGATTCAATCTAGTGGCCCATTCATCTAGAATTCATAGAAACCATTCCTGGAAGAGGCAAGGAAACCATCTTAGACCACCTGACATGGTTTTCATTATTTAAGACATCAGATCATGCTTCTTTCTTCAGCGTGCAATATTTTCATGCCTCCCTATCATGATATGATTACTTTTCAATTTAATCCTTCTCTTTGGGCTCTATTTGCCAGGTTAATTAACTGTATTTGTTGCATCCTGAAAGGTAATTGCTTCTTAGATTTGGATGTGATATTCCTCAACAGATCACCAAATTGACAAACACATTGTTGCCACTGAAATGTTGATATTTCACCAGGGTGAAATTGAAAGTACCAAGATCATTGTGTAAATACTAATACACTTTCTTTGTTCATAATCTTCTTTCCTGTTTGAAATCTTCTTTATGTATGGTTACACTTTGTAGTAGGATTTTTAAGGTACTTGATGACTGTCAGGAGTTTCTTTAGGAATACACTCTTTCTGCAGGGGTCTTGTTTTCATCTGTGAAATTTTCAAAAACAGGTAGAGTACATTTTAAACAATATCAAAGATTAGTGTAAAAGACCGGAACTCACATAGGAACAAAGGATGTCTAATCTAAGCAAGTAAATCCATAGTTCCTTTTTCTTATTTTTAGAGTTGTTGAGACTGTATTTTCATGCCCTTTATAAAATTGCCTGTATCTGTAGGAATGTTAAAGGGTTAATCTGTTTCGTTTACTTAAATATTCCAAACCACGATAAAAACATTTTTGCACCTAAGAGGAAAGATTGTGGGTGAAAAACTGAAGATACATGATTTATCACTCCCCTCACAAATAAAATTTATTCATTGCATCCACCAGCCATCACACAGATGGTCAGAAAATTGGCTTTGTGTAGGGATGTGGATTCAGGCATGAATATTAATATGAGACAGATGTAAACGCATATTAATATGCATTTGCTTTGCATGGACTGACATTACAATATTTTCATTAAAGAAACTGCATTTGAAAAAGAAAGTATAGGTCACCTTTTACAAAGCATAAAATTGTATAGTGGAATGTATTTGTTGGCTCTGGAAAACTGCTGTTGATCAGAAGTGGAAATATTTATGTTGAATCTGTGGTTGGATGTTTACAACAGAAGCATCAGACCGATTTTGCTCCTCTGGATAAAAATTAAATGATATTTTCGAACTTTAGCCACACTAGGTACAGGCTGCCACTTGGGCAACCTAGGAAGCAAAGCCCTGTTTGGATATGATATGTGGACAAGTATAAATTATGAGTCTAAGAGAAACTATCTGGAATAATCCATTCACATCTAAGACACAAATTTTCAGTGTGAGGTTGCAGTGATGGCAGTGATTCATAAAAATATAAGATTTATGCAGGCACAGTACTTTGGGAGGTTTTTTTTTTTTTTTTTTCTGGTGCGGGACAGCATTTACGCTGACATCAGCGCCAGCATCTGTGCTCTGTTAGTATCTGCTTATGGTAGCATTGTGCTTCCTTCCCAAGTGGAAGGAGAGAACGTGATATTGTAAAAAGCTATTCACATGCTGCTGCTTTGTACTCACAAACCATTCACGGGGTGTTTTGCCACTAAAATATTGCTTACTGGAGAGAACAGCAGCTTTCTTCTGTTTGTGAATCCCTTTAAAACTGCTGTGTTGGCCCTTCAGACAAACATGATTACATTCCAGCACATGAACGTGCAAGTTAATAATTATAAATGATCTGTTATAGATTATTCACTTCAGTGGCTTCACTAATTCTTACAAAACCTCCATGAAGCTTCTGGATTCCATTCTCTAACCCTCATTTCTCCCCTCAGACCTCTTCATGCTTTTACAGCTGCCACCCATTCAACAAATTCATCTGGAAGTCCAGTGATGTGTCCAAAAAAGAGGCGAAATCTCCTACCCTCTGCATCCCCTAACTAGCGTGGTCTAGTATAGTAAGCATGAACTCTGGAGCAAGGAAGCTTTGGGTTTAAATCCTGGCTTTGTTTCTGACTGGCCATGTGAGGTAGGCAAATAATTTCACTTTTCTGAGCCTCAGCTTCTTGCTGGGTAAACAAGGGGATAATTTTACCAGTTTCCACAGTTATCTTTATGTATCAAAAGGGAAAACTTATAGAAAAGTGATCAGTATGTTTGACATGTAGCAAGTTCTTAGATTTCTTTCCACAGTTTTCTATTTCTTTCTTTTCTACTTCTCAGCTTTCTTGTCATTGTTTTCTATGTCTTCTCTTCTATTTCTGGCTCCCTAGGTTCTAAGCCTTCAAACTTGGAATGAATGACACCTTGGGCTTGGTGTATTGGGGATGCCATTTCTTCCATCACTCTCTTTACTCAGTTACTGTTCATTTCTGTTTCTTATTTATTTCACCCTCAAATTCTGCTTTAGCCTGTACTATACCTCTCCTGATATTTTGTTACACAATGGTTTCATAACTGGCGTCCCCATGTCCTCATCTAATCCATGGGACAGGTTGACTTTCCCCAAGTATAGCACTGGTCAGGGGTCTCCTTTATTTAAAATCTTTCAGTGAAATCCTGATCCTTAGTTGGCAGCCAGGGTGTTGCTAAGCCTCTAATCTACTCTTTCAGGCCAGTGTCTGTCTTCTTGAGGCACAGCTCCAGGGCTGTAGCTAAGTGTGCTTGTCCACTTTTTCCCAAACCTGCTCTCACCTTCCTGCCTTGGCCTTTGCTTGGATTCCATCCGGGAGAGTGCACCCCTGCACACCCCCAGATGGTGAATTCCTTCCCATTCAAATAATTCATCTTCCAGGAATTTGTTTTCACTGCACACACATAGTATTTGGTTTTAGTCCAACAGATGTGTGATGGTTAATTTTATGTGTCCACTTGGCTGGGCCACAGGATGCCCAGATATCTGGTTAAACATTATTTTTGGGTGTGTCTGTGAGGGTGTTTCTGGAACACATTACTATTTAAACTGGTAACCTGAGTAAAGCAGTTTTCCCATCCCAGTGTGTGGCTGAACATCATCCAATCTGTTGAGGGCCTGAATAGAACATAGAAGTATTCTGTCTGCCTGACTTTCTTGAGTTAGGACTTCAGTTTTCTCCTGCCCTCAGACGGGAACTCATACCATTGGCTTCCCTGGTTCCTAAGCCTTTGAACTTTGACCGAATGACACCATTGGGTTTCCTGGGTCTGAAGCTTGCAAATGGCAGTACAAGGGACTTCCCAAGTCTCCATAATCATGTGAGCCAATCCCTCATAATGAATTCTTTATATCTTTATATCCTATTGATTCTGTTTGTCTGGAGAACGCTGACTAATACAAAATACTTGTTGAAAAATTTCACAAGCACTTTCATAGCCCTCTAATTTATTCAACCTTTATTACAACTCAGTCGTGCATCCATTCTAGAGATGAGGAAACTGAGGCACAGAGAGTAGGTACTTCTCTTGGTCACATGGCTGTTAGGTGGAAGATTCAAGATTCTAACCCAGAGAGTTAGTTTGGCTGCAGAATCGGTAATATTAGCCTCGTGCGTTCTGGGCCATGCTGCTTCTCAACTTCAAAATTTTAAATATTTCATGTGTCTTCCCACCAGTCTTGTTCCTATTAACATATTACTACAGTTCTCTACCAAACCATCCATTAAACAAAAAAGAAAACACCAACAAGATATCTTTTGGCTGGATTATTGAATCATTTAGCTTTCTTTGACATATTTGAGTCAGAAGATTAAAACCAATGTTTTTCTGAAAAGCTATATATGTCTATATATTCATATATATTTAATGCAATGTATATAAAATACAGTGTAAAATAATAAAATATATATATCAGATATTTCTTCATATATTTGCATATTATATGTTCTTCAAGGACTGATATGATAAAATATTTTGACTCTGGTTCTATAATTCTTATGAATCCTTTACACAAGTAGTTCATAAACTGCAGATTTTTAACAAGATGGGACATCTTGCATTAAGCAGGCGAAGAATCTTCCTGTGCCTTTAGGCACTCAGTAGTTTCTGGGTAGAAAACAAGCTTGTTTTTCTCACTGCCTTATTTTCAGTGTCTAGCATATTGCCCAGAATATGGCTAGTAAACAAATGCTCAAAGAACTGTTCTATTTCCTCATGTTGTTCTAAGTACTCTTAGTAATAAGTTATTTATATGTTAATGTATTCCTGCATGTTTGTTATGATCACCCTTGGTGTGGCTCCTAAAGTTCCAATACAGAGTTCTCCATCTAGTCACTTCCAAAGAAACAAAGGAATGCATCTTTATTTCCCACTTGAGGAAGGCTGAGCATCATAGCAAATAGAGCCCAGGGTGATTATAGAATATATTTAATAGGTCCCCTGACCCCACTTCTCTCCATTTGTACAGGCATCCATTTTTGAAAGCAGGAGCTCCTAGTCAGGGACATGAACCCGTCATGAGATTCACAGATAGGCTTTGGGGTCCACAAGATTGCTATAGTTGTGTACAGAATTTTCGTGAATTTTTTTGGGGGAAGAGACTCCACAGATTTTTTTTGAAAGAATTTCTCATTTTATCCTCATTTGCCTTTTTAAATAATAAAAGTAATATATTCACACTATAAAAATTCAAACTGTACAGAGCATATCAACTAAAAAAATTCAAGAGCACAGAAGTATATCAAATATAAAGTTAGAAGCCCTTTTTCTTTACTTTTCACTCTTTTCATCCTCAGTTGCCCTCCTTATAAGGGGATCAAACTGTCATTCTATTTGGCAGTTGAGTTTAGTAATATAAGTACACATTTCTCTATCAGTATATATATGTATCTTCTTAAAACTTTATTTTGCAGTAATTAGAGATTCACAGGCAATTGAAAAAAAGGAGGTCCTGTGTTTACTCCAAAGGTAACATCTTGCATAACTATAGTTCAGTACCTAATCAAGAAAACTGACATTGATACAATCCATGAGCTTATTGAAATTCACCAGTTTTACATGTACTCACATGTGTGTGCATGTGTGTGCATGTGTGTGCATGTATGTGTGTGTAACTCTATGCAATTGTATTACATGCAGTTAAGAGTAACCACCAACATAGCCAAGGCATAGAACTATCCCATAACCACAGGGATTCTTTCTGCTACCCCTTTTATAACCACAGCCACCTCCCTCTCTGCCATTTCTAATCCTTGGCAACCACTAATATTCCACTAATATGGTCTTCATCTCTATAATTTTATTTTAAGAATGTTATATAATGGAATCATATAATTTGCAGTGTTGAGATTCACTTTTTTTTTTAACTCAGTGTTGTCCCTTGAGAGTCATCCAAGCTGTTAAGTGTATCAATAGTTCCTTTCATTTTATTGCTGAACAATATTCACAATTGGGATGGACCATAGTTCGTTTAGCCATTTGCCCACTGAAGGCCATCTAAATTGTTTCCAATTTTGGGCTATTACAAAAAAGCTGCCATGAACATTAGTTTACAGGGTTTTGTGTGGATGTAAGTTTTCATTTCTTGGGGATAAATGCCCAACAGTGCAGTTGCCAGATCACATGGTAAGTGCATGCAGCTTTACAAAATGCTGAAAAACTATCTTGGGGTCCATAGTTTTCTCACAGGTTATCAAAGGCGGCTGTGACTCTAAGATGGTTGAACCAAATTGACATGACCCAAATTTGGCCTGGGACCCAGGATAAATTTGCTTGAAATTGTTAAATAAGGAAACTGCTCTCTTTTCAGTCTTTCTTCTGCTACTCATAGGCATGTCATACTAAAACTTGAACAAGTTCTTTGATTACATTTCCTTGTTATTTACAACTCTGGTCCTAACTCCTTCTATTCATCTTCCAATCTTCTCAGCATTGATTATCCGCAAAAGAAATCAGTTTCAACTCTTGCTTTCTAGGATTTTGGCTGAATTTGTCAAACTATTATTATTTATTTACATCATTGACATTCCACCACTGATTGTTAGTGTCTTCTCTGTTAATTCTGTGTTTGATAGAAAGTTAAGCTCTGTCTACTTGCTCTTGCAGTGCATTCCCAGGTCCTTTTAGTGCAGCTAATCGAAACCCAATATTAACTATTATCCTTTTTGATGATGGTAAAATTTAAAAGAAATCAGCTCTGCTTAGGTTGGTGGTATGAGGTGTATTTTCTAGAAAAGAGAAAGATGATGATGAAAATTGATAAAACCAAAATGATGCAGGTTTAGAATTTTTTCTAAGTTAAGTCTTCATGGGTGCTTCATTACATGTAAGTCTATATGGTTCCATCTGAGGCTGGGATCCAATGTCCAACCATACCTTGTCATCCGAATTGGACAACTTACGCTCTGGATAGTACTTTCAATTTGCTGCAGCTGATTTTTATCAGATCGTCATCCTCACAGATAATCTAGCCTGACAGCAAGTCTTCTACTTCTAGGCATTTTTTCTTTTTTCTTGATCTTGGCTAAAACCTGACTAGATTCCAATGATTGTGAGGAAACTGCAGAAAGGGTCTTTGTCATTTTCTTATTTTCTCTTTCTTTTCAGTTAATGTTTACTGAGAGCTAATTAAGTGCCAAGGATGGTGCTGAGCATTTTGAGTGCATTAACTCATTTAATATCTACATCAATCTTAAGCACTTAGCCCATGGCTGTCTTATCTGAAGCTTCCCATCCCTGTAAAACAAGGGTCCCCAACCCCCAGGCCACAGACTGGTACTGGCCCATGGCCTGTTAGGAACCAGGCCACACAGCGGGAGGTGAGCATGGGCAAGTGAGCATTCTGGCCTGAGCTCTGCCTCTTGTCAGATCAGCGAGAGCATTAGACTGTCATAGGAGCGCAAACTCTATTGTGAATTATGCTTGTGAGGGATGTAGGTTGTGCACTTCTTATGAGAATCTAATGCCTGATGATCTGAGGTGGAATAGTTTCATCCCAAACAATTCCCTTCTCCCACTGTCCATGGAAAAATTGTCTTCCGCAAAACCAGTCCTTGGTGCCAAAAAGATTGAGGGCTGCTGCTCCAAAACCTGTTGACTGGTATTCCCAGCACACTGAATGCTCAAGGCCAGTGGGTGGCTCTCTGGTGTGCTGCGCTTCTCAGCCTCACTCAGCTGAGGGATTAGCTCAGGAGGGCTGGTTGAGTTTGTTCCCAATCTGTTTTTCAAATGTGTGGTGGTGTTGAGATTATATGAATTTATTAAATATTATATACAATAATGATATATGAATGGGGAAGGAAGAAGTATTGTTTTCATGAAAACCAAGTGGAAAGTTTCAAAGGTCTTGGTAAGGAAAGTCATTAAACAAGTTGCTCTTAACTTTAGTGTGGGGAAAAAGTAAGAAAATCTGGAAGGATTTTGCACTTAGGTTGTTTCACAAGTGTTTGTATATTCTTGTTCCTCCTTAAAAAAATGTAGAGCTGGAAATTGTAGATACATTATGGGTATGGTTTATGCAAGAAAGATGACCCTTTAAAGATTTGTATCCCCCCCGACAAAAAAAAGCATTAGTACTATTTCGAAAGCTTAGTGAATGTTCACTGATGTGTTTTTAGTTATTGTAAAATGTTTTAGGTATATTTATATCATTTTGGGACTCCTCTTTTAACTGATATTATGACCACTTCCAGGACTGAATTGTGCAAAATAAGGAGGCTGCAATATTACCATTGCATTTTATAAAAAGGAAACTGAAACTTAGAGAAGTTATGTACCTTGTATTCTTTTACCAGACAATTCCATGATACACCATGGGATACTGCAAAACTGAGATTGGATATACATTCCTTAAATGTCAGAAAATTGCTTGATTCTGTATCAAGTTTTTTTTAAAACCTTAAAAAATATTAACATATTATATGCATATTGGTGCTTAAAACCATTTTGATGGTGGTGATAAATCTAAAGCATGGTAATATTTTAATTAAAATACTCAGGAATTTAAAATACTGAATAGAGAAAAAAGCAGATTACAAACAGTATATATAATGTAAATCAAATTTTTGGGAGAGTTGTATGCATATATACATATATATATCTTTATCTAATTTGGGGGAGAATTATGTGTGTATATTTGTGTGTGTGTATACATACATATATAATGTACATTTTAGATTTATTATCACCATCAAATACATATATCTCCATGTAAAATAGACCAAAAGGATTTGGTCTATTTCATTATACCAAGTATTAATGATTGTTTTTATTTCTGAATTGTGAGAGGAGAAATTACTTATTTCTTCTGGTTTTCTGTATTTTTCAAAATGTCCTCTATGTACACATAATATTTTTACAATCATTCAAAATGTCTTGCAAACCAATCATGGCCTGGATTTCTTCCCTTTCCCCTTTCCCCTAAAAATATGCTGTTTAGCCTATTATTGCAGTCACCTTAATAATGGGGACATGAAGTCAGGGAAAGAGAAGGAAGTTTTGACAATATTTTCTCTTTGTCTGGCCTTTTGGACAAATTGCTATATAAAACAGGCTTCCATTCTGACCTGCTTTTCTGTGATTCCTGACAATTCGTCTCAGATGTTTTTCTCCTGGGTCTACCAGTGCCTTATCAGTACTGCGTTCTGAAGAATTGTATGCAGTATGGGTTGATTTAACAGAGCTTCTGTCATCCCAGATCTCTATTATGTGTAAGATTATAAGAAGTCTCCTGTCTTGTGACCTGGAATGGCCCAGCTAGAATGAATAATTCACCATATAGTCTTTTCCCTTCAACTATTTATCCTTTACCTTTTTAAGGTTGAAGTTTTCTAACAAATGCAAAAAAACCATAGGTAACAAGTTTTCAGATTTCATTTCTCATACACCTTTAGTAGATTCCTGAACTGTATAAATGTGCAAATGAAAGCTGTCTCTCTCTATCCACTTGGCTTTCTCTGTGCAATTCACTTATGTTTCTGTCTTTTCTTTTTCATGTAACAATCGCTGATGTGAGGATGAACTGTAATGTTACTTATCTGGAATCTAACTGAGTCAGGTATGCCTGAGGAATGCAGTGATTAGGTATGTTTGGGGAGTGTTTTTATGTGAAAAAAATTTTTTTTAAAATCAGCATTAGTGGAAAAATTGCCAGCTGGTACATAAAGCTTTTAGTTAAAAAACAAACAAAAAAGCTTTCAGTTATAGTTTTCCACAGGAACATGATAATTTATTAAACTTTAACAATTTAATCAAGGAATCAGGGATGGTGGGGGGCCTCTGTGTGAAGTATAGAAAAAAAAAAACCTCTCTGAGGTTTGGTGCAATTTTCTTGCTTTTAATCTGGAGCTCAGGGTGTTTCCAATCATCCTAGCTTCACAGTTGGGAGTTTTTCCTTCGTGTTCTCAGAGATTGTAAAAGGAATGATAAAACAGCTGTTATCAGGCTGTGGGACAATCTATGTCTTACCTCACCACAATAGGAGAGTGAGGTACAGATGTTGTTTAATAAAGAACTTAAAAGACGAGGTCAGCCTGCCCAGCCGGGATGAATACAGGCTGTAATTACTCCAGGAGAGAACACAGGTTGTACCCCTAGGAGGATTCTCGATGACATCTCTGGCTTTTCTGCCTGAGACTTCTGAGAGGCAAGAATAATGATGTCCGTGGGTATATATTGATGTGTGTATGGGCAAACAGGGAGGGTGGCAGGTGGTAGATTTGAGGGTCACACAATGTTTTTATTAACTTTTCCTTTGTCTTCCAAATTTAAGACACTTGTGGCATAAGAATAGTCCTGAGAGTCCAGTCTTTGACTTTACTTGAACAATTCAATACTCACTGCTAATCCACCTGCCAATCAACAACTCAGAAGTAAATGGGAAATGTGCGAGGATGAATGATGTTCATTATAGAGTTTTCATGGGCAGAGAACAAGAGTTCACTCAGATGATCTCTCTGGACAACATCTGAGAACTTTTGCTCAAAATAATCTGATCCATGAAGCTTAATTCTACTCTTAGTATAGCAGGTGACAGAAGCTTCCCAACCACCCAAGTGCAAGGCTTGATCCCTTCCAATGACTGAACACTTTTTGCACTTTGGTGGATGAACAAATTACATATGAGTGTAATATCTGTAATGAAAAGAGTCTCAGGAGATGAGAAAAATCTCATTTTTCATAAAGTACTATCAATTTTGTCTACCTTTTTAATGGTAAAAGTGAAATATGCTGATTACAAAAAGAAAGAAAAAAATGAAGAGAATAAAGTATCTCTGCATTGTAATGCCATCATCCAATGGTAATTCTTGTTAATATCTTGGTGTAGGTTTTTTCGTACTGTTTCTTAAGCATGTGTAAGGCACCCCTTACACATACACTTACATTGTTTTATGATAATGAGATAATCACATCCATATTGTCTGACAATCTGCTACTTTCACTTGACAATACACCATGGTCATTATTTCACGTCAATACATTAAGCGTATGTCATCATTTTTCATAGCCACATGGTACTCAATGGTATGGATCTATTGTTATTTACTTGGCTGTTTCCCTACTAATAGACATTTCATTCATTTTTACTATTTTGCTATTATAACAAATTCTTTTTTTTTTTTGAGACAGAGTCTCACTCTCTTACCCAGGCTGGAGTGCAGTGGCATGATCTTGGCTCACTGTAGCCTCCACCTCCCGGGTTCAAGAGATTCTCTTGCCTCAGCCTCCCGAGTAGCTGGGATTACAGGCACACACCACCATGCCTGGCTAATTTTTGTATTTTTAGTAGAGACGGGGTTTTGCCATTTGGCCAGGTTGGTCTTGAACTCCTGACCTCAAATGATCCGCCTGCCTTGGCCTCCCAAAGTGTTGGGATTACAGGTGTGAGCCATTGCACCTGGCCTCAAATTCTATGATGAATACCTTTGCAATATTTTTTAAAAAACATTTGACAAATTATATTAGGAAACATAGTTTCTGGAAAAAAATTAATACTATAGCTAAACTGTCATCAAAAGATGTTAAACTAATTTATATTCTTGCCAATAGTGTATGGGAACGCCTGTGTTCCTTGAAACTCTTGCCAACATTAGATTTTGTGTTTTTTTTTAAAAACTAAATTACTCTGTTAGATTAAAAATATTATCAGTTTGTTTTTCTGATTTTCATTTATTTTCTTACTATACAATTGTAAGAAAATATTTTTATATGCTTGTTGCCATTTTTATTCTTTCTCTATGGTCTACCTCTTCATAACTTTTGCTCACTTTTTTCTATATGGTTGTTTATATTTTCCTTATTGATTTTTAAGTTTGTTATATATTAAGCTTATTAATTATTTTGTCATTAATTCTACCTTATAAGTCTCAGTTTGTCTGTCAATTGTTTTCTAAAACTTTGTGAGTGATGTTTTGGATCAAGCAGAAACTTTAAAAATGATATGTAATCACATTTATCCATCTCTTCCCTTCATAAGTTCTACTTTTGGTGTAATTCCCAGTACAAGATTACATCAATTTCTCTTATATTTTCTTATAATACTTTTATTATTTGTTTGTTCCTATTTGAATCTTTAACTGGAATGTTTCATGGTATACAGCATAGGTCAAGAATTTAATTTTTTTCTCTGTAAATGGTTAGCCAGGTTCTCCATTATTATTTGTTGAAGTTTCCTTGATTTTTTTATTGTTTTGAGATACTTTCTTTATCAGATTATTAATTCTGATACATTATGGGTCTATTTCTGAATTTACTGTTCTATCAATCCATCGATTCTGGTGCCATTACCATGCCCTTTCAAAAACTGTAACAGAATATATTGAGTAACTGGGAGGCATATCTTTTTGTCTATTTAGCCATTACATTACACCACATTTCCATAGCAGTTATGAGCATGAGTTTAGGAGTTAAGATTGCCTGGACTTGAATCCAACCCCATTACTTACTAAATAAAATCACAGTGAAATTATCCAACTGTCTCTTAAATAACTCATGCATTTATTTCTTCCCTTGTAAAATCAAGAAAATAATACTTAGCTCACAGAGTTGTTGTGACAAGTGAAATAAAGTAAAGCTCTTAGTGCAGGGTCTAGAATATAGTATGCTCCACAATCATGGTTAGTTCATAATGGAAAGAATTTAGGACATGGTCCTTCTTATGATTTTGCCTATGACTTCATTGGAGAGATTAGACATAGATGTGAAAAGGGAGATGATAATACACGGTAAGGTAAATACTCACATTTCAGCCCTTATTCCTAGGAGGAGGCCGACTCGGGGCCACTATAGCAGGTACAGAGATGTGGTAAGGTGGCTGGCTACTCAAGCCAGGTATTTCAGGCAAGTGGGGCCTTGGTTTGGTAACTCTTGTCCAGGAATTGATTCTCAGCTTTTGTGTTCCCATTGATCTGGAGTCAGTTGAGATTTGGAGTACCAAGTTACATCCACTAAACATATGTTTTGAGTGTTATCTGATCCGAGATGTTGCACAACCCTAATTAAACAGGGCTGACTTTCAGATCATATGCCCTGTCGAGAAAGTGTAGAGACCTGTTTTCTGC
Organism: Homo sapiens; assembly: GCF_000001405.40. Classification (NCBI taxonomy): domain Eukaryota; kingdom Metazoa; phylum Chordata; class Mammalia; order Primates; family Hominidae; genus Homo; species Homo sapiens. The sequence continues at coordinate 93,569,335 of NC_000008.11, read as the reverse complement.
TGGCTAGTTTTTTATTCGTTTGTTTTTGAGATGGAGGCTTGCTATGTGGACCAGGCTGGAATGCAGTGACTATTCACTAGCGTAGTGATAGCTCACTGTAGCCTGAAACCCCTGGTCTCAAGTGATCCTCCCACCTCAGCCTCCTGAGTAGCTGGGACTATAGGCATGAACCACTGTGCTGGTTGCTGGCCATTTTTATAAGCACGGCACAAGTCCTCCTCCCCATTTTCTCCATCTACCAATCACTATGATGTCCAAGTTTCCCAAATCAGATGGGCGGTGCACACTGCAGGTGTTCAGATGCAGTTGTAACTTACCTGGTACCCTCTCCCTCATGGAATCTGGGTCATCTACATTGTTTATGGTATGAATTTCCTTTGACTATAGGGCTTGCCTTCAATGCCCTATGTGACTCTAAAATGACTTGATATGACCTACTTATTAGACTCCTTTTCTGTTCCTCAGCTATTTCCTATGCCAGCCTCTCATCCTGGATTAATTATGCCTGCACCCTGAAATAGAGTAATTCTTTCAGTAACAGGAATATTTATTTATTAATACAGTGTTTATCCATCATTCACTATTTTTTTTTTGAGAGGGAGTCTTGCTCTGTCGCCCAGGCTGGAGTGCAGTGGTGCGATCTCGGCTCACTGCAACCTCCACCTCCTGGGTTCAAGTGATTCTTCTGCCTCAGCCTCCCCAGTAGCTAGGATTACAGGCACCCACCACCACGCCTAGCTAGTTTTTGTATTTTTAGTAGAGATGGGGTTTCACCATGTTGACTAGGCTGGTCTCGAACTCCTGACCTCAAGAGATCCGCCTGCCCCTGACTCCCAAAGTGCTGGGATTATAGATGTGAGCCACTGCACTTGGCCGTCCCTCATTCACTACTGAAAACACATTGGCAAATTTATATTCTTTAGCCTTCTTTTTCCTTTACTACACACAGACCTCTCTTCTGTCGATACATCTCTCCTTTATATTTATTCTCAAATACAGTTGATTAGGTTAGAACTTTCATTCCCTACATTCTAGCTGTTGAACTTGTTGGATTCCTAAGTCTATGCAGCAAGCCATTTACATACCAAGTCTTACAACCACTGAATATGAATATGTTAATCTCTTATATGCCAACTTTTTCTACCTTCAGTTTCAGTGGGTGGTTGTTTCCTGATGCTGTCTCCAAGTTCGGAGGGTGTGGACATTTGAGTACAGCCCCCCAAGTGAGTAGAGTGACTTCTTTTATGTTACTAAGTGGAATCTTGTGCTTGCATCCTAGTTCCATTTTCCTGGGGTGACACAAGACAAGGGAGTTACAGCTTTTCACATCTAGTGTTATCTATCTATATCATAGTAACAGGCTTTATTTTCTTTATTTATTTTTTTGAAACAGAGTCTGTTTCTGTCTTCCAGGCTGCAGTGCAGTGGTGTGATCTTGGCTTAGTTCAACCTCTGCCTCCTGGGCTCAAGCAATTCTCTCACCTCAGCCTCCAAGGTAGCTGGGACTACAGGCACCCACCACCATGCTTGGATAATTTTTAGAGGTTTTTTTTGTAGAGACAAGGTCTCACTATATTGTCCAGGCTGGTCTCAAACTCTGTTGTCCAGGCTGGTCTCGAACTCTTGGGCTCAGCGATCTGCTCATCTTGGCCTCCCAGAGTGCTGGGATTACAGGTGTGAGCCACCATGCCCACTCCGGGCTTTATTGTTTTAAACTGCTGTAGAAAGATACAATCACTGCTAAGCCATTACCTATATATTTATCACCTACTATTCATTATAATGCCTTGTGTTCTGACAGTGTTATCAGAGAATTTTTCAGGCATCTACTGGATGAATGACATTGGGAAAGGCACTGTCTGGGGTTCTTATTTAGAAAGAAGCATCACAAAGAAGGCAGGAAGGGTGACTTTTTCTCTACAGCCCACCGCTCTACGCTTCATTGTGGTTTAGGTTAACAAGTTGTTGTAATTGCTCATTTTGTCCCCTAGACCCTGTTAGGATTTCCTAGAAATACGAGTGCATTTGTCATGTGTTTTAGATGGGCTCAGTGCAATATGGCCTCTAGATGAATTTGCAAATGTAATAAGAAAAGATAGTCCCTCCCTTTTTATTTTAACTTTAACACACAACGAAAAGCAAGAAACACTGGTACCTTGCACCAATGATTTGGAAAGCAGCAAAACTTTGAGAAAGGAGAAAGAAATTACATGTGTGCCATCTGTGTGTATGTGTGCATTTCAAGTGGCATAAAAACTTCTACTTCCATTTTAATATGTATGCTGTAGAACTTAATATGAGAGTTGTAAACATTTCTAGACTTATTAGCTGAAATAAACTTAGTTTACTTTATTACACATGATGTGCTGAAATTTCTGGTGAGGCCTTAATATTCTCTTCCGGGGATAGTTTCTGACTTCCTGGCTTCTGATCAGAATAGATTCTGAATTCTCACTTTTCCTGGTCTTTGGATTCAACAGTCATCTTAAGTCTTACAGTGTAGATGTAGCTGTGCTTTACAATCACCCTGTTGGGCTAGTGGGTCTGAGGTGTCTGTCTATGTCAGCACACACTATATATCTTTTGATCCTACTTTCTTTTGGCCTCTGGGGTATCTGTTGTTACAGAATGGAGGCCTGCTAGAAACTCAAAAGTGACAAGTCTACCATAATCTCTTTGAAGTTCTGAGTACTTCTTTTACTGTGAAAATGATGATGGCTTTAGTTACAAGTCATTTCTCATTCTTTGCTCAAAGTATTTTAGCGGAGTTTGAAGCTACCCAGGTAGAGGAATGCCATGACATATTCTTGAACCCTGAGAAGAATTCACATTGTATCAAGGACAGAAGCAGGTTAAGTTATTGGACAAGGCACTTCAGGGCAATGGAACCTACTTTGTATACACAATAGTCATTACTGTCACTAATAATATTGAAAAGAAATGTCGGTGTGCGCAATCACACCATTTTACATTGTATCCAGGTATTTCTTAGACTTTCATTTGCACGATGTATGTTTTTTTGTGTGTGTCCTCTTATTCAACATAGGCAGAGGAGATACCATTGCCTAGTTTGGGGAGGCATCCTGGGGTACTGGAAAGAGCATATGACTGAGAACCAGAAAGACCTGGGGTTGGATTCCATTTAAACTCCTTTATTGACTTAGTAGTAAATATGAGCAATTTATCCTTATCACTGAATTGGGGGTTATAACACTGGGGTTCCAGAGAGCAGACAGAAACCTTACCAGTTCTAGTAACAAAGATAATTTAGTATTAAAACATGTTAACCGGGTAATAGAGAAATGAAAAGATAAAAAACAAACAACTAGATATAATGGAGGTGATCGTGCAGATCCTACCACTTCCCAGCTGAGGAAACAGAAGACAGAAGTTGGGATTACTTAGAACTCAGAAGATTGGAGGAGAAGGTTTCTTGCAGAGCTGGGACGCAGGTCTCTGAGGAGGGTGTATGGTCTGGCTGGGCTGGTGTCCAGAGGTGGCACAATGAGGCTGGTTCAGCGAGTGTTAGAAAAGCTGCACACTTGAATCACTGCTGCTACTGGAATGAAAACTGCTACTGGAAGCTGGAATGAGCTGCTGCTGTCAGGGCTAAGAAGTATTGCTGAGATGCTGCTGACAAGAATAGGAAGTAAAACAACAAGGATCAAAATCCCTCTTACTCCTTTAGCGTCGTGGTCTCTCTGGCGCCCCCTCTTGGCAGAGCCTAATGGAGCCTCTGGCAAAGCGGAAACGACGTGGTCTGCAGAGTTCCAGAGTTGCAGCCCCAGTATCTTGTGAGCAGAGTAGAGAAGCTGGTTTTAAATTGAGAAACCCTCACTTAATAACCAACACGGCGAGATATCATCTACTCTACAGATTGGTTATCATTTTATTCATTATTATTATTAAAATTTATGTGAAGAATCTAGTATTGCGACTGGCTCATAGTAAGGACTAAAATTCATCAGTTTTTTTCAATTTTTGTTAGTTTACAAAATCTTCTAACAGCCAGTTGTAGTTATTGAGGATGGCCAGTTCCACTTTATATTCTGATTCCTCTATTTTAACCCCAACCCCAGACTAGTAGCATTCACGTGTAGGAACTGGTACTGGTGGCTCTGGAATTTATTGATTATTAGCTATGAACGTTGGGCAAATTAATGAAGTTCTCTAAACCTTAGTTTACATTACATGAGATAACATATGTACAGTCCTTAACTTAAAGCCTGGCAAATAGGAGTTTAAAAATGTTAGCTGCCATTATTGTTATCATCACCATCATCATCATCACTATTTAATGGGTATAGAGAATTAGCAACAATAGTCTAAACTTAACATACAACATTTGAGAAGCCAGCTTTCTTCAAAATCACAAATGATTACCTTGGTTCTCTGAAATGGAATCACTATAATAAAAAGTTAATACAGTTCATTTTCCTTTATAGAGATCTCCCGCATTTTTGGTTTTTCGAAAGATTTCCATTTTTCTAATCTTTTAACTGATATTCTGAAAGAAGCCAATATTACCAATTATGTTTTGCATTAAAGGATACTGAGGTCTGAAGTCTCTCTGAGACTTTCCCTGAGTCATGCATATGTTTGTAAAAAGGCCTGGAAAAGATTCAAGAATCCATCACACCGTTATCAGGGACTCTTGATTTCTGAAGCATTCCTGGCTCTCACTTGCTCAGGAATGTGGAGACGGTCCCTAGAAATTCAGCATGAGTGTTCTGCATGGTAATGCGGTACATCACTGCTAGGTCCTGAGGCAAGCTGAGGACATCCTGGGTTGTATGCATTATGCATGAGAGGGTGTAAGAAATAAAGGATCAATCATCTTCTCCCTCAGATAACATTGATCATTTACTACACATTATTTGGCTGGGCTCTGTGCAAATTTATTTTCTCCAATGAGAACGAGAAGCAGATTGCCTGTTTTCTTAATGAGCAATGACATCAATCTAGCCAAATCTATCAATGCATTGGATTGGATGGCTCTCTCTCTCTTTCTCTGTCTCTTTCCCCTCCTTTCTTGTTTCTCCTCAGCCCCCTCTGTCATAGTTAGAAGAAACACGGACAGCTTCTGAAGAGTGTGCCAGCTCCTGTGAGGGTGGTGACAGAGTGGGAAAATTGGGTCTAATTCAGGGTGATGAAAAGTCTCTTTCTCTCTTTTTTTCTTTTTAATTTAAAGCAGTGTTTCACTCTCCATTTTTCCAGATGGCATATTCTGAGGGGCTGATCTGCAGAAAAGGCCAAGTGAAAAGTCACCCAATAATGAGAAAGGAGGAAGATGGCATGTAGAATGCATGAATAGGTAATGATGCTAGGACTCTGAGCAGGCTGTGATGGCACAAGCAGTCACTGGGAAAAATGGCAAACAGCAATCAGAAAATGTTATTACAAGTTAGACAACACAAATGACTTTTAATAACAATAGAATCAACATGTAGCATCCAATGAGAAATTGGAGTTGAAGCTTGTCTTCTGTTGATACAGTGTTCTTTTCATTGTGGTAGCAATAACAGGCTGTTGGAAGTAATGGTGTGATACAAGATTCAAGAAGAGACTGAGATGTCTTATTGGGGCACATTCCCTCCCTCAGCCAGACAAGTGTCTGCTAAGAGAGGCAGGGGCTTTGAAGTATTGACTAGCTGAGGTTGGGCAACTTAGGAATTGGTGAAGCAGACTACTTATGGCAGATCAGGGCTGGCATGGGGTCCTGGCAGAATCAACGCCATTGGAAGCTCAGTTTGCAGGGAAACACCATGCCTAAGGGAGAGTGGAGATTGCAGGTCCCAGTTTAGGCAGACGGTAGACCAAGAGGGATCCCAACTGTGATGGCTAATTTTATGTGTCAACTTGACTGAGCTAAGATATGCCCAAATAGCTAATTAAGTATTATTTCTGGATGTGTCTGGGAGGTTGTTTCTGAAAGGGATTAGTGTTTGAATCAGTAGATTGAGCAAAGAAAATCTCCTTCACCAATGTGGTTGGGTATCTTCCAATCCATTGAGGGCCCAAATAGAACAAAAAGGTTGAGGAAGGGCAAATTTGCTCTCTGCTTGGGCCGGGATATCCATCCTCTCCTGCCCTCAGGCATGAGTGCTGTTAATTCTCATGCCTTTGGATTTGGACTAAATTACACCACTGGCTTTCCAGGTTCTCCAGCTTGCAGATGGCAGATCATGGGACTTCTCGGCCCACAGAATTGTATGAGCTAATTTTTGTGACAAATCTTTCTCTCTCTCTCTCTCTCTCTCTCTCTCTCTCTCTCTCTCTCTCTCTCTCTCTCTCTCTATATATATATATATATATATATATATATATATATATGTATTTGTTGCATTTCTCTGGAGAACCCTGGCTAGTACACCAATAGAAGAGGGGACTACGCCAACAGGTAGATGAAGTACAGAGACGGGGCAACATCTTGGAGGTCCCGTCAACAAATGGCAGTGGCTTGGGCCCAGAAGGAAGAGTTGTGAGAACCAGACAGGGCACGCATCCTAGGCAAAGGCCAGACCGGTAGGACACAAGATCTCCTACATTATAAATTTCCCATTTATACTGTAGCACACCCACTCCCAGTGTCTCAAAGTTACAGAGAAAGAAACATTTTTGAAACTGCTAGAAGCCCATTAGTCATGAACCATGATTGCACATGGAATCAATGCTGTAAATTGTGAAACATAAGTCTTGGTTCTATTTATTTTGCAGAAGTATAAATATGGTGAATTTTCACCAAGCTGAAAATTAAGGACAAAGAAGAGCCGGGGAAGGGCATGTCATGGAGTGCTATATCGCTACTGCATCGGGCTTGCTTCCCAACCTGAAGGTTATCAGAGCTGAAGCTCAGGAACAGGGCCAAGGGAGATTCAGTTACAACAAGATTTCAGTGGAGGAGGGAAAGGAGAGACTGGGGGGTTTCAGAGGCTTAGCTATAAGAATAGCTCACTGCATGGCAGACACTGTGAGGATTTTCCCATGCATTCAGTGTTCTTATCATCCTTCTTTTCTTTTTTTCTCTTTCTTTTCTTTCTCTATTCCTTTTTTTGTGTGTTACAAATGAGGAAACAGTAACATAGACATGAAAATGTACTCTCCCAAGATGACACAACTGGCAGATAGAGACCTGATCTATAAACTGTTGAGTCCAGAGCCTGGTCTTGTAATGACTGTGCCACATGGCATCTCAGTAATCTGATCTGGGATGTTATATCTGAGCCAGACCCTGTTCAGAGACTGCCCTGAACCAACTCACCTCTCTCATCCTAGAGACTTTCCTTTTATGAGTTCATCCTCATATCAACTTACTGTTTGGGAAGTTCAGATAGAATGTGGTGTTGATGGTATTAACTTGTAATCAGCTCCTAAGCTGTTTTTATATTTTGTCCCCAAATGTAGATTTTTACATCTTATTTAAAGTCATCTTGGTATATTTAACCTATTGCTCTAGGCTGTCAAGATCTCTTTAAATTCTTATTGACAGCAGATTCTTCTTTTTTCTTTTTTTCAAAAAAATTCAATACAACATAAAATACAAACCACAACTCCTTTAAAAGTCTTCCTGTTTCCAAAAGCTCTGACACATTCAGCAAAGATCTATTCCTTGGTGTCTGTCTGTGTTGTGTTTATTTTCTGCTTTGCTGATTCGTGGAGTATAACTGTACCCAAATGTGCCTTTAGACAGCAAACTCTTTGGGGCAAGGGCTCTGCTCTTTGTTTTGGCACGTGCTACCTATTATAGAGCTCAATGTACACCTGGGGCTCTGGATAAATAATAACAGTCCAGGAGCATTTCTCACTTGGAGAGCTGCACTGAATCTTTCAGGCAGCATGTTAGCTTTCTGTAAAGAACATCCGCGTGACCGATTTCACCTTGATATTGGAGGTGCCCATCTCTGCACTTGTTCTACCTGCTGCCCGGCTGGTGTCTGCCTCTTTATTGTTTGGTGTTTCTGCACTGCCCTTAGGAGCCATTCCTGAGAAGCAGCACTCTGTCTTGCAGATGGTGCTTGCCTTTATGAATGTTTTGATTCCAACTTTAGCTGGGAGGCATCCTCCTTTTCCTCCCTGCCTCATTGCAAAACCCTTCCCCGCCACATCCTATTGGTGCTGAGGTGTGATCCCAGATGATTTCCAGTGGACAGAGCCGGAATAGAGGTGGTAAAGAGGTGGAAGAGGACGGTCATTTGAATCTCGGCAGTAAAAACAACTAAACAAAGCTGACTTTCACAGATTTTAGTAAACGGGACTTTGATGTTGGTTTTGTTCTCTCTCTTTCTCATGAGGGGGATGGAGTGGGGGGAATTACACCTTTTAGGAGCTTTTAAAAAAGTAGTTTAAATGTAGTTAACATATGTATGATCATCTTCAAAATATAGAAAGAAAGAGATCCTGGTTGGCTTCAGTAGATTTGAAAACAAAGTCGTCTTCTTTGATGGCAGCCAGACTAGATTACCGTAATTGTCTCAAGTGGCACTTTTGCCAACAATTATAGTGAATCTTATAGAGGGGCCAGGATTCAGTTGAGAGGAGGATGTCTTACACCCATAAATCAACTATATTTTCTCTGAGATGTATAGTAAGAATTTTATTTGCCCCTTTGTGTTGCTGTCACATAAGGAGTGTTGCTTTTTAACAGACTAAAGCTTCAACTTTTGGATTACCTGGCTCAATCTCATGGCTTCTGATTCTTGTTGGCAAACCAAACTTCAGCAGCAAATAGTACTTATATTCTCAATCAAATGGACCTTTAAGCATTTCTTTTTATCATGCTAACATCTCATTCACTCACCTCCAAAGTAGTCAGGCCAAAAATGTGTGCCAGGAAACTCCTATATTATCCTGTAGTGTGTGATGTCTACATGAAATTGGTATTAGTTTATGGTTGTATATTTTTGTTCCAAAAAGTAACTTTATTTCTAGACGAATTTTAATTTCTGCCACTGAATATTCAACCTGTTTTTAAATTAAACCAGTCCAGTTTCCTCATTTCTTGATCAAGATGTATAAAATATAGTCCAGCTCAAAGCTTAATGAGTTCAGTATTCAACTGTATCAAGACTGTTTTCCCCATCGAGTTTCTTCCTGTGTTAGTTTATTCTTGTGTTGCTGTAAGGAAATACCTGAGGCTGGGTAATTTATAAAGAAAAGTTTTTTTTTTTTAAATTTTTTATTGATACAGAGTCTCACTCTGCCATCCAGCCTGGAGTGCAGTGGCGTGATCTCAGCTCACTGCAACCTCTGCCTCCTGGATTTAAGCAATTCTTGTGTGTCAGCCTTATGAGTAGCTGGGATTACATGTGTGCACCACCACACGGGGGTAATTTTTGTATTTTTAGTAGAGACGGAGTTTCACCATGTTGGCTAGGCTGGTCTCAAATTTCTGGTCTCAAGCGATCCACCTGCCTCAGCCTCCCAAAGTGTTGGGATTACAGGTGTGAGCCATCACGCCTGACCAAAAAGTTTTTTTATTTTGGCTCACAGTTCTGCAGACTGTACGAGAAGCATGTCAGTCAGCATCTGCTGCTGGTGAGGGCCTCAGGAAGTTTACAATCGTGGCGGAAGGAAAACTGGGAGCTGGCATATTACATGGTGAGAGCGAGAGCGAGAGCAAGCGAGAGAGAAGGGGGAGGTCCCAGACTCTTTTTAACAACCAGATATCATGTGAACTAACTGAGCAAAAACTCACTTATCATCAAGGGGATGGTACTAAACCATTCATCTGCCCCCATGATCCAACTACTCTTCACCAGGCCCCACTTCCAACACTGAGAATCACGTTTCAACATGAGATTTGAAGGGGACAAACATCCAAACCATATTGCTTCCTCTTCCTTTCTCCTAATCCGGTTTCTTTATTATCCCAAGGAGAGAGGGAGTGGCTTTCCTGATAGTGACGGTGGAGAGATACCACATCCGTTTTTCTATTCTGCTGATGTTCCTGTTGTCTATTATCCTATGCTGGTTGACACCCGGGGAAATCACACAGAGAAGCAACTATCCCTCTTCTCATGCTACAGGTGGCTACATTCTCCTTTTTCTCTTTTTGGGAATTCTTCCCCAGGTGGTCTCCCAGGATTGCTTGTTGGCTTGTCCTTGTGTTGGGCCCATGAGATGCTCACAGACCTCCACACCTGGCTTGTGGCTGATGATGGTGGTCAGGGCCTTTCTCACGTCTGTGTGTACATGCCACCCACACTTTTATTTCCTTCAAGTCTCATAGGGCTGAATATGGTTGGAAAGACTGCTGCCCTCCAACTGTATCTGGAAAATATATTTGCAATCTTTTTTTTTTCTCTCACACATTCTCAAACATCACAGGAGAATACCCTAGTATTCCTCAGGTTTCTAATTTGGCCAGAGGAAGAAAAGAGTAAAAAAAATCCTCACTGCTCTTTTCATCTGGATTTCTCTGTCTCTCCTCTTCTCATGTGCTCAAACTCTAATGGAATGGCAGCAGGAAAGGGGTGGTGTGTGGGGAGGGAAGGAAGGGTAGAGACTAGCTCCTTTGCTTTAAAGATATGCACCACGCGGTGGCTCACGCCTGTAATCCCAGCACTTTGGGAGGCCAAGGCGGGTGGATCATGAAGTCAGGAGATTGAGACCATCCTGGCTAACAAGGTGAAACCCCGTCTCTACTAAAAATACAATAAATTAGCCAGGCGCGGTGGCGGGCGCCTGTAGTCCCAGCTACTTGGGAGGCTGAGGCAGGAGAATGGCGTGAACCCGGGAAGCGGAGCTTGCAGTGAGCCGAGATTGCGCCACTGCAGTCCGCAGTCCGGCCTGGGCGACAGAGCGAGACTCCGTCTCAAAAAAAAAAAAAAAAAGATATGCACCAGTCTCCTTTCTCACATCTGAGGCTTTTACCTCAAATTCAAGACTTAGGCATTTCTTCTGACTCCTCCTAGGCAACTACTTCCCCATGGCAAATGGCAACTCAGTGTCTCATGGACTGAATGGGGATGTTGCAGGGAATATGAATACTACCTGCTGCTTGATGTCTCAGATTATTAATCTGCCACAAATACTTTTTATTTCTTCCTGCTGTGTGTGTGTGTGTGTGTGTGTGTGTGTGTGTATTTTGGCAACTAACATAACTGAAGTATTCATATAAGGAACAAAATTCTCAAATATAAAAATGTTTTGTAAAATAAATAATGCCAAACATACAGGTATTTAGGAATATTAATGATGACATCATCTCAAGAACCATCTGTAAGAAAGGGTCAACGTAACATTTTTGTTATGAGAAGGAAATATTCATGGTTATATTAACACAGAAATATAATGGTTAAGTGAATATAAATATTTAGTGATTTTTCTTTCCTTTCTTTTTTTTTTTTTTTGAGACGGAGTCTCGCTCTGTCGCCCAGGCTGGAGTGCAGTAGCGCGATCTCGGCTCACTGCAAGCTCTGCCTCCCGGGTTCACACCATTCTCCTGCCTCAGCCTCCCGAGCAGCTGGGACCACAGGTACCCACCATCACGTCCGGCTAATTTTTTGTATTTTAGTAGGGACAGGGTTTCACCATGTTAGCCAGGATGGTCTTGATCTCCTGACCTCCTGATCAACCTGCCTCGGCCTCTCAAAGTGCTGGGATTACAGGCGTAAGCCACCGCGCCTGGCCTCTTTTCTTTTTTTTTTTTTTTTTTTTGAGCGGAGCCTCACTCTGTCAACCAGGCTGGAGTGCAGTGACATGATCTCGACTCACTGCAACCTCTGCCTCCTGGGTTTAAGCGATTCTTGTGCCTCAGCCTTCTGAGAAGCTGAGATTATAGGCATGAACCACCGCACCTGGTTAATTTTTGTATTTTTTTTTTTTAGTAGATATGGGGTTTCACCATGTTTGCCAGGCTTGTCTCGAACTCCTGACCTCAAGTGCTCTGCCCGCCTTGGCATCCCAAAGTGCTGGGATTACAGGTGTGAGCCACCATGCCTGGCTGGTATATTTGGTGATTTTTCTTTGTCCTGGAGATTGGGAGCGAGGTGACAATCTTCTCTAATTCTGGGCTGGTGTGAGACAGGTGCAGGGATGCTGGGATGGAGGTCTCTTGGTCAGAACCAGATGAAGACTTCATCCTAATTTGGGGATTATTCACAGCAAATATAGAATTTTGAGGTGGTTTTCTATACCATGCAGAATAGGTTGTGTCTCTTTTCCACACTTTCAGTTGGTATGTGGTAGAGAAATTACACTTAATTTCCCTTTAGTCGCTATTCACCCCAGCCCCCTCTACATCCTGCATTGCTAGGGCCCCCTCCACACCCATTCTCTAGATGGCAGCCAAAAAGATCTTTTCGGAGAGCAAAACTGAGCAGACTCTCTTCCATGGAACACTCTGCAACATCTTCCCATTGCTCTAAAAATATAAAACAGCTTCTTATGGACATGAAGCCCTCATGTGGCCTCAGCTGCACTCATAGCCACTCCCTGCAGCTCTCTCCTCTCCCCATGCTAGCTTTTTATTGCTGTCTCCTGCTTGCGGGGGTCTCTTGCATCAGAGGGCTTTTGCCTATGCTGTTTCTTCAGCTGGAAGCACTTCTTTTCTTTTTCAGACTGGTCACAGTTTCAATCTTACCCTTGTTGTGTCATTGAAGTCTATGTTTGTGTGTTTTAAGCCTGGGTCTCTCGCTTGACTGTGAGCTCTGCCTGCCAGTTCTGCAGATGACTGCATTGCTAGGGCCCAGGGAAGTACGTGGCCCAGGGCTGGGGCTCAGTGAATGAGTATATAAGAGGATGGATGCATCAAGGAAAAGGTGCCATTTAACCTGGATCATGGTAGATCGGCAGGAGGTCATTGTGGGAATGGGGAGAAAGGCATTTTGGAAGGACAGCAATAGCATGAGCTATATGGAGAAAGGGCCAGTATAAATTGGTACATCACTGAGGCCCAAGCAAAGAGTGATGGGGAGGTGGACTGGCTACAGAAGAGGCTGAACATGTCATATGGGGCACTGTTAAAAGCCTCGTATGTCTTGCTGGAACATTGGGCCTTTATCCCAAGCAATGGAACCATGGCTTTAAGAAAGAGACTTACATAATGAGATGGAAACTCAACTTGCATGATGCCGTGGGAAAGGAGTGGTGGCTGGGAGCCTCCGGAGGAAACTGTTGCCTAAGCCCACAGAAGAGCTCATGGAGCTTGGCCTAAGAATGTGGCTGTGGAAATACAGAAGAGGAAATGAGAGAATGCACTGAGCTTGGAAACTAATGGGACACCGAGTTGAGGGAACATAGGGAGCTGTAGTCAAGTGATGTGTGAACTAGGATGGCAACTGCACTCCAGACAGCTTGTAGAAGGCTTTGAAAATCTACAATATTCCCCTTGTACCTAGCCTTAGAATGGCAAACAGAGTCAACTCAGAGAGAGAAAGAGAGGAAGGGGGAGGAGAGGAAGAGAGACAGGGAGGGAGGGTGAGGGACACGTTGGAGAGTGGTTTGTGGAAAGGGAAAGATATGAATATGAGTGTCTAGCTCAACAGTGGAGGTGGGCTAAATGGCTTCATTGGCTGCTCGGAGTCCAGCAGTCACTCTTGTCAGCCCAGAATGTCCCAGCTGAGAGGTCTTTTGCTCCAGTGCCTGCCTACATTTGTTTATTTTTCATTTCTGGCTCTCCCTTTAGCTGGTGATGGGGAATTGCTCTGATTCTGCTGGTGGCTAGAAGACACTCTGCTCGGCGTCCTCCCTGATGCTTCCTGAGTATTCTGTTTAGTTTGATCATTTGAAATGGAGTCATATCATTCTTGTGCGTCCTTTGGGAAGCATTTTAGGTGGGTGGTTTAGTTGCTCACTGGATGTCCGAATTATGATTAAAATCCAGAGAAGGAGAAATACATGGCAGCACAGCACCAATCCAGCAATGCATCCAGTCCAATGTGTTTGAACCCAGGGAGAGGCTCTGCCAGGCAGGAATGGAACTAGCATAAGGGGTGTACAGGCAGAAAACACGCTTGAAGAAAGGTGTGATGTCATCCCAAAAAGGTAGATCTTAGACTGTAACCGCATAGGGACAATGTCTTTTGAACTCACAAAGGTCTGAGCTACCATACCACCTTATTTATTTCTTAGGTCTCAACCTTGCTACTTTTGACTCTCAAGGTTGCATTATTGCTGCAAACTTAAAAGCATTAAAGTTTACCCTAGGAATGTGGTGTGGAACTCCTATCAGTGCATCCACGTACTAGGAAAGAATAAAGACATTAAGACAAAAATGTTAAAGTCTTGTCTCTATAGGAAAATTTATCTATAAATTTATCACTGGTTTTAAGCTAAAATAAATTATTAAAATATATGTGTTTTATTTTTTATAATTTCTTTCTTAGATGGCATTTTGATCAACCTACTAAAGATTGGTCCCAGTTGTACTGGATCTGATTTAGGACCATATCATATAAAAACATGTATGTTAAACCTTGGCAATCAAACAGTATGGGAGGGGCATGGGGAACCCAGTTGACTGAAGCAATAGCAGGTTCTTCTCATTCTTATCACATTCATTTTAGAGCTCTGCTCATTGAGTGAACTGTTTTAAATTGTGGTTACAGCATTTAAATTATTTTTTTTCCTGTGCTCATACTTACTCTTATTCTCTCTCTTTGACTGAGATCATAGAGTTAAGTTCGCATTAATTAAGTGCACATTTCCACTTTATTGTTATCTCCTTTTCACAGATGAAGAAATTGAAGCTTAGAGAAGTTCAGAAACTTGTCTGCTTCTCTAAGCTTTAACAATGAAGCATTCTGAAAGCAAGCCCTGGGGAATGTGCAGGCTTGTGGCTGGGGCTGGGAGAGCTGTCTCCCTCTGTGTTTCTTATCCATTATCACCCAACTACTTGATCAAACTCAAAACAGCAGTCATCCTTGATTCTTCCCTCTTTCTCACCCTCCACACAATAGATATTTAAAATGTATCAATTTCCTCAGTTTAGACCATCTTTATCTTTCACATGAATATTAATGAGAATGAGAACATGATAATAGCGAAGGCATGTGTGTGCGTCAAGCATTTACTATGTGGCTAACACTGTACCTCGCACCTGACCCATATGAGCTTACCTATATTTAATTCTCATAGTTACCTTTTGAGCTAAGCACCATTATTTTTCTCATTTTAAAAACAAGCAAACTGAGGCACACTTAGAGAGACTAGAGGCAAAAGACAAACAACATCCGATTTGATTTTCGTACCTCTGATTTGTTTTCTCCAATTTATTTTCTGCAACACAGAGTGATGGTTCATTAAAAAAACTTACTATATGACTCAAGAAGGTAAAATCTCTTCCTCTCTTCTTGGCATCTTGCTGCCAAGTTGGTATCATATTCTGTACCTTCTTTCATGAGATCTTACCTATGTACAAATAGTAAGTGATGGGAAATTAATGGTAGAAGTTGGGGATCATGGCTGGTTTGGGGGAGAGACATTTTTGGAGCAGCCCTGTCTTGGTGTCTTTGACAGACTGTCTGTTCCACAGACAGTTGCAGCAACAGTTCCCTCTCACATGCTGTTCTTACAGTGTGACACTCTGAGACACAGGGGTCTGTGTTCCTGCCTCTTGAGTCTGGGTGGGCTCGTGATTGTGGCCACTATGACTTTATGTGACTTCGAGACTAGATCATAAAAGGTGATGCGGCTTCTCCGTAAATCACTGGAGTACTTACTGTGGATCCCTAAGCTGCCAGGTAAGCAGTCACAATGCCTGAGGCCACTGTGCCGTGAGGAAGGCCAGGTGAAGAGACCACACGGAGAGGCCAGGAGACTGAGTGAGGACAGGGATGTCTGGCTAGCTCTTTGGAGGAAAACCAGCGTTTTGGAGGGTTTTCCTCCAAAGTTTCCCTGTCTGCAATGTCCTTTGCTGTCTTCTGCATTTGATAAACTCCTAGTAGCCTTTCAAGACCCACCTCTTCTCTATCTTACCTGACTTTCCCAGGGAATATATTATTCCTTCCTTAAGAGATGTGTGATGTCATCCCAAAGAGACAGATCTTAGACTGTAACTGCACAGGAACAATGTCTTTTGAATGCACAAAGTTCTGAGCTACAATAGTACCTTATTTATATCTTAGGTCACAACCTGGTTAGTTTTCAGTAGATCTTCATCCTCTCTTCCACTATTGCCCGTGCTCGTGTACTTTTGTTTGCACCTCCAGATCTACTCTCCCATCCTTTCTGCTTTGCCGTTGGCCTGAATGGATCAGGTTGGCCTGAATGGGTCAGGTCAGCCTGAATGGATAGCAATGGACTCTCTTGAACTATGGCTTCTGATTGGGCTTGGCCATTGGCAGGAGAAAAGGGGGAATATGGAGAATAAAATTGGAGTATTTATTTATTTAGTTTCCTTCCTGTGGGATTGCTCTGGGTTGGTTACTTCCCACCACAAAGATTACACGTAGTGATGTGCTGGTGCATGATTAATCAGTATAGGGGTTGGAGAAGCCTTGATTTCTAGTGTTTGCCAATTTCTACAATGTAAATACTCTTACCATGGCCAATTTCAAGCTACCGGTGTGACATCATTCAAGGTATTGTCTGCTTTCTCCAGCTGGCATGAGCCAGATCCAGCACACCACTGTCCCATTCTTTCCTTCCAGCGAATTGTCTCCGCTCTTCCCCAGCCCTTCAGGCCTGTCTGTGCCACACTATTTTTAGCCCTGGGACACTGCACTGTCTCCTGTGGTTTTCCTCACCAAAATGATACCTTTGTAAATAGTCACCTTATTAAACCCTCCTCAAATTATCCAGTTTGAGATACCATCTGTTTCTTGATGAGATCCTAATCAAGTTATACTATCTGGAAACTGGTAATTTGGAAATCTTTGCTCTTGCTATATTGCCAATATCTAGAGTATAGAGAGTATACTTTATTAATTTATGTATCTTCAGCACCTAGCCAATGAAGAGGGTAGGAAGGGAAAGAAGAAGGAATACATTTTTATTTGAATATCTACTATGCATCAGATATCATGTCAGATACTTTAGGAATGTTTTCTCTTTAATCCTAAGAAATCAAATTAATTCTAGGTACTGTCATTTCCATTTTGCAGGTAAGGAAATTGAGATTCACAATGGCTCAGTAACATTTTCAAGTTTACACAGTTAGGAAATGGCTGAATAAGGGTTTGAACCTGTGTGTCTCACTCTAAAACCTATACTTTTTTTCTGCACTGCTGCCTAGTTTATTTTTAGTGAGTGAGCAGATGTTTTAGTCAACAGAGAAGATAGAATGCCATCAGAAATGCCTGATAAGGGAAGTTTTCAAGTGGAAGAGATGGAATCAGCTTCCTCCTCTTCCTAGAAATGAAGTTTCCAGTAATCTAGCAGTGCATGTAAACCGTCCTGTATAAACATTCATGTGAACAGAGGGTATTTGAGATCACATTAGGCAATTCATGAATTAGCCCTAAATCTCACAGATCTTTTTATTGTACCTTGACAAATTCATGTCTCCTGTGGTTTCAATGCATCCCCAAAGTTTATGTGTTGGAAACTTGATAACCAATGTAGAGGTGTTAGGAGGTGGGATGTATAAAAGATCTTTAGGACATGGGCACTGCCCTCATAAATAGATTAATGCCATTATCTCGGTAGTGGGTTCTTTATAAAATGAGGTGTTCAGCCCCATCTCGCTCTCTCTCTCTCACTTTGTGGTGTCTTTTGCCATGTTATGACACAACAAGAGGACCTTCACCAAATGCCTTGATCTTGGACTTCCCAGCCCTCCAGAACCATGAGCCAAAAAATTTCTGTCCATTATAAATTACTTAGTCTGTGGCATTCTGTTACAGCAGCACAAAACTAAGACAATATCTTACAGTAGTATTGGGCAGTTTCTAATCTCCTTAAAGATTGAAAATAGCTTAACACTCTGAGATGAGAGAAACTATGTCTGTGTTGTTGCATTAAATTATGAAGAAACTGCAAACATGATCAATTACAAGATAAATTTTGTACAAGAAGACACTTTGCCTATCTGAAATTTTGTGCTCTAGTCTTCCATCTAGAAGGTACTGGTGATTCTAGTCAAGACTTGGAAGAACCCATAGCAAGTGCCTTAAAAAAGTGTGTAATATATTTCTGATCTGTTAACAGGCCCTAAAGCAACTGTTATTTTTGTTATAATAATGAAAAACATTTACTGGAAAAATTGATGCTGGCTTTGGCAATTTCATTCAGTCTGTTAAGATGCCTCAAGAGGGAGCACAACAGGTCTAATGGGGCTGTTAGAAACCTGAGTTAGAAGACATGAGTCCAGTTCTGACCTTCTCACTTGCCTAGTCTTATTTTATTTATTTATATTTATTTATTAACTTATTTATTTTTGAGATGAGGTCTGGCTCTGTCGCCCAGAGTCTATCCCTCATTGCAACATCTGCCTCCAGGGTTCAAACCCTTCTCCCACCTCAGCCTCTGGAGTAGCTGGGACTATAGGCCTGCACCACCACGCCTGGCTAATTTTTGTATTTTTGGTAGAGATGGGGTTTCACCATGTTGCCCAAGCTGGTCTTGAACTCTTTGGCTCAAGTGATCTGCCCACCTCGTCCTCCCAAAGTGCTGGGATTACAGGCCTGAGCCACCGCTCCCAGCCATTTGCCTAGTTTTAAGTTGTAGGTAAGCCACTTAAATGTTCTGTGCCTCTGTCTCCTTAAAGGTGAAAAGGACAGTTGGATTAGACTAAGGGTAGTTGGATTAAGTTACCTTTCTAGCTCTAAGGAGTTTTTGTAGTGCTTAAGAAATTTTCTTTCTTTTTAGTAAAGCCATTAGTATTTTTCTACACTTGTTAGCTACTGTGTCTTTTCATGTCAATCCTATTTATTTTTCTTTATAGTAATAATTTTGTTACTCATTATATCTCTCTTTTTCATTATCTACCACCTATATATTATCCACCTATATAAATGCTAAAAAGAAAAGCTGCCCAATGTTCACTGTAAGGACACAAAAATAAAACAATCCCTACATATGCTTTGTGTATATGTGTTTGTGCACATATATACTACATATATGTACATACACATATGTATACATCTATATACATGTATAAATATATACACATATATACACACACACACACACACACACTCTCACACACACATATATATGCACTGGTGTTTTGTAAGTGTTTTCCAGTCGGCCCTCCTGGAAGAAAAAAATCCCTGATTTATAGCGTTTGCCGGTTTCTGTGGCGTAGCTACTCTCACCATAGCCAATTAAAGCTACTCAAGTTGAGTCACTGAACATGGAGCTGAGGAAAGATACACAAACTAGACTCTCTTGCAAGGCAATACAAGTTGGTTAGAGCACACCACTGAATATAGACTGTTGGGTGCTACCATCTCTTGTTTATGCTAAAATACCTATTTTTAAAAATTAAATTTAATTTTATTTTAAGTTCCGGGCTACATATGCAGGATGGGCAGGTTTGTTACACAGGTAAATGTGCGCCATCATGGTTTGCTGCACCTATCAACCCACTGCCTAGGTATTAAGCACCACATGCATAAGCTATTTATCCTGATGCGCTCCCTCTCCCCGACCCCCTGACAGGCCCCAGTGTGTGTTGTTCCCCTCCCTGTGTCCATGTGTTCTCATTGTTCAGCTCCCAGTTATAAGTGAGAACATGCAGTGTTTGGTCTGAAATACCTATTTTTTTTCTTCAACTTTTATTTTAAGTTCAGTGGTACATGTGCAGGAGGTGCAGGTTTGTTACATAGCTAAATGTGTGCCATCGTGGTTTGCTGCACAGATCATCCATCACCTAGGTTTAAGACCAGTGTTCATTAGCTATTCTTCCTGATGCTCTCCCTTTCCCCATCTACCCCTGACAGGCCCCAGTGTGTTGTTCCCCCGCAAAGTGTCCATGTGTTCTCATGATTTAGCTCCCACTTATAAGTGAAAACATGTGATGTTTGGTTTTCTGCTGCCGCCTTAATTTGCTGAGGATAACAGCTTCCAGCTCCATCCATGTCCCTGCAAAGGACATGATCTCATTCCTCTTTATGGCTGCACAGTATTCCATGGTGGATATGTACCACGTTTTCTTTATCCAGTCTATCATTGATGGGCATTTGGGTTAATTCCATGTCTTTGTTATTGCAAATAGTGGTGCAATGAACATACGTGTGCATGTATCTTTATAATAGAATGATGTATGCTCCTTTGGGTATATACCCAGTAACAGGATTGCTTTGTCAAATGGTTTTTCTGCCCCTAGATCTTTGAGGAATCACCACACTGTCTTCCACTATGGTTGAACTAATTACACTCCCACCAACAGTGTAAAAGCATTCTTTTTTTTTTTTTTTGGCACAACTCCACCAGCATCTGTTGTTTTTTAACTTTTATTAATAGCCATTCTGACTGGCATGAGATAGTATCTCATTGTGGTTTTGACTTGCATTTCTCCAATGATCAGTGATGTTAAGCTTTTTTTTCATATGTTTCTTGGCCACATAAATGTCTTCTTTTGAGAAGTGCCTGTTTATGTCCTTTGCCCACTTTTTAATGGTTTTTTTTTTCTTGTAAATGTGTTTAAGCTCCTTATAGGTTCTGGAATATTAGACCTTTGTCAGATGGATAGATTGTATTTTCTCCCATTCTGTAGGTTGTCTGTTCACTTTGATGATAGTCTTTTTTGCTGTGCAGAAACTCTTTAGTTTAATTACATCTCATTTGTCAATTTTTGCTTTTCTTGCAATTGCTTGTGGCATTTTTGTAATAAAATCTTTGCCCGTGCCTATGTCCTGAATGGTAATGTCTAAGATTTTCTTCTAGAGTTTTTATAGTTTTAGATTTTACATTTAAGTCTTTAATCCATCTTGAGTTGATTTTTGTGTAAGGTATAAGGAAGGGGTCCAGTTTCAATTTTCTGCATATAGCTAACCAGTTCTCCCAGCACCATTTATTAAAAAGAAAATCCTTTCCTCATTGCTTGTTTTTGTCAGATTTGTCAGGTTTGTGTTCTCTGTTCTGTTCCATTGGTCTATGTGTCTGTTCTTGTACCAATACCATGATATTTTGGTTACTATAGCCTTGTAGCATAGTTTGAAGTCAGGTAGCATGATGCCTCCAGCTTTGTTCTTTTTGCTTAGGATCGTCTTGGCTATTCAGGCTATTGTTTGGTTCCATATGAATTTTAAAATAGTTTTTTTTCTCTAATTCTGTGAAGAATGTCAATGGTAGTTTAATGGGAATAGCAATGAATCTATAAATTGCTTTTGGCAGTATGGCCATTTTTACAATATTCATTCTTCCTATCCATGAGCATGGAATGTTCTTCCATTTGTTTTTGTCCTCTCTTATTTCCTTGAGCAGTTTTTTGTAATTCTTCTTGAAGAGGTCCTTCACTTCCCTTGTTAGCTATATTCCTAGGCATCTTATTCTTTTTGTAGCAATTGTGAATGGGAATTCATTCATAATTTGGCTCTCTGCTTGCTTGTTGTTGATATATAGGAATGCTAGCGATTTTTGCACATCGATTTTGTATCCTGAGACTTTGCTGAATTTGCTTATCAGCTTAAGAAGATTTTGAGCTGAGACGATGGGGTTTTCTAGATATAGTATCATGTCATCTGCAAACAAAGATAATTTTACTTCCTCTCTTTCTATTTGAATACCGTTTATTTGTTTCTATTGCCTGATTGCCCTGGCCAGAGCTTCCAATATTATGTTGAATAGGAGTAGTGAGAGAGGGCATCCTTTTCTTGTGCCAGTTTTCAAGGGGAATGCTTCCATCTTTTGCCTATTGAGAAAGATATTGGTTGTGTGTTTGTCATATATGACTCTTATTATTTCGAAGTATGTTCCTTCAATACCTAGTTTATTGACAGTTTTTAACATGAAGGGATGTTGAATTTTATTGAAGGCCTTTTCTGCATCTATTGAGATAATCATGTGTTTTTTTGTCTTTAGTTCCATTTATGTGATAAATCACGTTTATTGATTTGTGTATGTTGAACAAACCTTGCATCCCGGGGATGAAGCCAACTTGATTGTCGTGGGTAAGCTTTTCGATGTGCTGCTGGATTTGGCTTGCCAGTATAAAATACCTATTTTAATATATAGTTCGAGAACTGCATACTGAATGTAAAACTAAGAACACAAAATGTGTTTTTTATTTGATTTCTGTTTATTATAGTCTTTACTTGGAATTATTTTTAAGTAACTTTCTTACCTTATGCCAAATACCTACACACACGCACGTATATGTACATACACTTACCTAAATTTTGTTAAAATTTTTTTGGGATGTCTATGCATTATGTAACCATGTATAAGTAGATTATACTAAAATGTGGTGCAAATTTGTTTTTTCATAAGTCACCTATCCTTTCAAATTTAAAGTTAAAAGAACTTCCTTAAATATCTGTATTTCTTTAGGGTTCTAAACTTTTAGGGCCATCCTCATGAGTGTACCCAATATTTTCATTGACTAGTTGTTTATCAAAGGACTTAGGGCTGGAAAAGCCCCCAAACTATTAGATCATCAAGTCTGGGAGTGATATAAATTTGAAAAACTCAGAAATCCAAAAAGCTGCATACAGTAATTTGGTATTTAGTCAATCACAGAAAGGCTACAATGCGTTAACTGTTGACTGAATGATGAGCATCAAACATAGAGTGTAATTAACACAGACAGAAGCTTACTGCCAACAACAGTTTGAAACAATTTTAGTCCTCTATTTCCTGCCAACTTTGATATATAAAGAACCCTTCGTGGCATGATTGAGCGAATTTGTTTTTGCATGGGGAATTCAGCTCATACCCCAGAGTCTCTAGAACAGGGGCTCTCACAGGGTAGAAACTGATGGGCATTTTTTGGATTGAACCAGTTGAACCAGATCTACAGTTTTTTTTTTTTAAATTAGTCCTCAGACACAACACTTCTTGTTAGTAAATTCTCATTGCATTTCATGAATCAGTGGTAATATGTTCTCTGTCCCCTTAAGTAGTAAGTGAACTTTTGCTAGGCTAGGGTGCATTGCCTAAGGGAGAAAAGACAATGATGAATACCTATCTGAATCAAGGGAAAAGTTTTACAAAAATTGTTATTAAGAATTTGAAGTGTGTACTGATCAAATGTGCAAGAATGAATATCAGCTCTAAGTTATCCATTAATAGTTTATCTGCTACAACTGGAACCCTGTCTGCCATGTCTGTCCTGATTCCTTGCTGATCAAGGCAATCAGCTTGATTCTAAGCTGGGAACCTGTCAGGACAAGATCTGGAAAAGCATATGTGGCTCAGTAAGCTGCAGGTAGGTGTGTGCGTGTGTGTGTGCACGTGCGCATGTGTGTGTGTGAATGTCAAACATTAAAAGATGTGTATCATTTATCCACACTGATAGAAATAATTGACCTGCTGGGAGTTCCTTCCTTCTGCCCCGCAGATCAGTAGTGCTGAATTACTTGCAGTTCCTCAAAGCAGTCAGGCTTCCTCACACCTATGTATCACATGGGCTGCTTTTACAGCTTGATATCAGCCTTGTCCCATCCCAGCATTCTCCCCAACCCCTGACTGAGCTTGGTAACTACCGTAATTCGTTCTTCTAAACCCAGTTCCGAGGTCTCTTTGTCAGGACGTCACGCTAGTCTGCAATGAATGCCCATCTTGTGAGGTCCATTGCATTCAATAACACATTTATCCATGTCTTTATCACATTGTATTGTGGTTTTTGCTCAGCTGCTTGTCTGTCTCCCTTGTAGATTATAAGTTCCTTGAGGGAGATATTGATTCTTACATCTTTGTATTTCCAGGACCTACCACAGTACTTGGCAAATAGTAGGTACTTATTAATGTTGAATATTTCAATATGCAAATAACTAAAATTAATGAACAAGTGATTTATCAGTTGAGTATTTATATATTCAATCTCAACCTGCTTTTATTAGTCAAAATTTTTAACTTGTAACAAAAACATCTCAAATTCACTTTAGGACAATCAGGAATTTACCACTTTAAGTAACTAAGAGTCTAAGGAGGGGTGCAAACTATGGACATATTGGATCCAAGTCTCAGATGATGCCATCAGAAATCTGTCTCTCTGCAGATCTAATTTCTTTTTCCTCTGGGGTGATTTTATCCAGCAAGGACTCTTTCTACTATAAAGGATGGTCCTGGTAGCTCTAGGCTTATATAGTGCAGCACAACTCACAATTTCAGAAGGATACTGAATATCTACAGGAAGCCACTCAAAATGACTATGCTTGGCTCTACTTGGGCTCCACATGACATTCACCCTTGGACCAGTAACTGTTCCTAGGGTGATAGGGTGTTCTGATTGGTCAGTTCAGGTCATATGCAAACACTAATGGAAAGTAAGCTTCCTTAATTAAAAATTTCCTTGGGGGTAGTTCCTGGGGACAGTTTGCAAAAGAAAATGATATGGGAAGACAAAAATATAAACCGTATCTATACACTGTTGTTGATTTTGCAATATGATAAAATTTTTAAAAGCCTGCCATGTGTCCAGACCAGTTTAACTTCTTCATGCCTTTTTTCTAGGCCCACTGAGATGCACCAAGACTGACATAAAGAAATGTTGGGCGGATGCTCAATTTTCAGTTACTTAGATGCTGAACTAGGTGCATAATTCTCTGTCTATATTTTGCTCCTTACTCCTTCTTTTTATTTATTGTTTTTCAAAAAAATCTTTTAAATTTTGGAATAGTTTTAGATTTGTAGACAAATTGCATGGATAGTGTAAAGAGTTCTTGCTCACAGCTGAAATCTCAGCACTTTGGGAGGCTGAGGTGGGAGGATTGCTTGAGCCCAGGAGTTTGAGGTCAGCCTGGGAAACATGGTGAAACCCCATCTCTCCAAAAAATAAAAAATAAAAATTATCCAGGTGTGGTGGTGCACACTTGTTGTCCTAGCTATTTGGAAGCTGAGGCGGGAGGATTACTTGAGCTCAAGAGGTTGAGGCTTCAGTGAGCTGTGTTTGCATCATTGCACTCCAGCCTGGGCAACAGAGTGAGACCTTGTGTCAAAGAAAAAGAGAGAAAAAAGGCTTTACCTATACCACATAATCCAGTTTTCCCTATTGTTAACGTCTTACATTACTGTGGTACATTTGTCACAACGAAGGAACCAACATGGGTTAATTAGTTAACTAATTAATCTCCGCGGTTTCCTGAGCTTTCACTAATTTTTCCCTAATATCTTTTTTTCTATTCTAGGATCCCATTCAAATTATCCTGTTAAATTTATTTGCCATGTCTTGTTTGTCCCCTCCTGTCTGACATTTCTCGGGCTTTCCTTAGTTTTGATAACCTTGATCGTTTTTAGAAGTTCTGGCCAACTATTTTGTAAAATGTCCCTCAATTTGGGTTTGTCTGATGTTTTTCTCATGATGAGACTGGGTTATTAGTTTTGGGGAAGAAGCCCTCAGTGGTAAGGTGTCTTCTCATCACCTCATGCTAAGCACACATACTATCAACATTACTTATCCCTGTTGATGTTGACCTTGAACCCTGGGATAAAGTAGTGTTTGCCAGGTCTCCCTGCTGTCAAGTCCTTTTTTCTCCCTTTTCCCATATTCTACTCTTTGAAGCAAGTCACTAAGCACAGCTCACACAAGAGGTGGGGAGCTAAGCTTCACTTTCTTGAGAGGAGGAGGATCTACCTCAATTATTTAGAATTGTTTGGAATTCTGCCATGTGGGAGATTTGTCTCTTCCCCATTTATTGATTTATCTATTCAATCACTTGTTCATGTCAGTATAGACCCATGGATATTTATTTTATTCTTTGGGCTATAATTCAGCACTGCATTATTTATTTTGTTGCTCACATTGTCCAAGCTTTAGCAATTGTGAGCTCTTTCACTGGGCCCCTCTGTCCCTTTGCCATGCTCTCAGACTTTTGGTTTTTGAATACCTCCTTACTTTCTGGCTCTACAAGGTGGTCCATTCTCATCTTGTGTATTCTCTGTCCCAGTCATAGAATCATCTATTTCCTCAAAGAGCACTGGTTCATTTTGTTAGAGAGTGGTAAAGACCAAGACCTGGGTGCTGGTTGTGCCCTGTCGATACTGGGGTATCATTACCTCTAGGCCCTCTCAGCAGACAGAACTGGGAAATAAATGTATGGTTACTAACTCATTTCACTACTTCCTTTTAATGTCCTTTGTTACCGACCTTTCCCTGTATCATTTATTCATGCCTTTGCCTTGTCCTCTAGCTTGATGCACATTTTGTTGTCTCCTGTCTTCCAAATTTGGTTCTAGTTCTCGGTTATGCTTTTATTGCATTTTCTCCTTGATTCGGTGATTATGATGTAAGAACAAATGTGTTCAGCTTGACTCAGCTTTTGGAACGTCTACTTTGCTCTTTTCTTGCAGACTACATGGATGACACTCAGATGCTGTAGGATATATAGACAAGGCTTTCTTTCTGGACCCTGTTTTGAGACGCTTATAATCTAATTGTGTAACGCTGGAAAAAATATGACTAGAACATACTGTATACTCTCATTTATGCTTCTTGGTGAGGGGCTGGTCTATTTTCAGTCACTTGTGAACTCACTCAATCATCAATCATTTGTTGAGCACTAATGAATCAGACATGATTCGAGGCCTTGAGGATACAGTTTTGCATCAGCCACAGTCCTTATCACTACCTCTAGCTTCCAAGTTTTGGAAGGAGACCAACAGGCAAGAAATAAAGTGTTAGGATAGAGGTAAGCTGGAGCAACAGCAGGGAAAGAGGGAAAGGATTAATCAGTTCCATCTTGGCGACACCCCCATTGCAGGCACAGTGCTTGATAAAGAAACCAAAGGCTGCTCTAGCAAATTTTATAAAGTCAAACCCATAAAAACAAGAGGCAGAAGATGCTGGAGTGCCCTCTCCCCTTCAAACTCACTCTCTCATCCTCCCCCCGGCCCCCGCTCTGGCCGTCACCAACAGAGTTCAGAGTCTTCAAGTTTTGAAGCATTAACATAATTGAGAATTTTATAAATTATCTTCAAGGGGACATCATTAGATTCCATCACCAGGAAATGAAAAAGAATCAGGATTCTAGAATCCAAGATGGGCTGGGTGTGGGGGAGTGAGGTGTGCCAGAAGGGGGCAAGTTAAAAATGATCTAAGTTACTTGGCCTAGTGAATGGGAGTGAATAATGCTGGGCTGAAAATACAAAACTTGACAGACATAAATGTATTGCAATTATTCAACATAGGTAGCATAGACAGGTGGCATGGGTTCAAACCCCTGCATAAGTTACTTAACTCCTCTGTACCTCTGTTTCTTCATCTGTAAGGTGGAGAGGGTAATTGTACCTTATGTGAGGGTTATATGAGTTAATGTAGATGCGATCCTTAGAATAGTGCTGGATGGATAGTCAATGTTGTATAATTAAGTGTTGGTGATCATTATTTTTATATATTGAATACCTTCTACTTTAGCAAGATACTCTATTAAATACTAGGAACTACACAAGAAACTCCAGATATGATTCCTCCCACTGTAACTGCCCAGTGGGTTCTCCTTGCCCACTGCCCAGACAGAGCTGATTTATCAAGACAGAGGAATTGCAATCGAGAAAGAGTTTAATTCATGCAGAGCTGGCTGTATAGGAGACTGGAGTTTTATTATTACTCAAATCAGTCCCTGTGAAAATATGGGGATTGTGGATTTTAAGGATAATTTGGTGGGTAGGTGGCCAGGTGGTGGGGAGTATTGATTGGTTGGGTCAAAGATAAAATCATAGGAAGATGAAGCTGTCCTCTTGTGCTGAGTCAGTTCCTGGGTGGGGGCCACAAGATCAGATGAACCAATGTATTGATCTGGGTGGCACCAGCTGATCCATTGAGTGCGGGGTCTAAAAAATATCTCAAGAACGGATCTCAGGTTTTATAATAGTGAAGTTATCCCTAGGAGCAACTGGGGAGGTTTAGAATCTTGTGGCCTCTAGCTGAATGACTCCTAAACCATAATTTTGAATCTGGGCTATTTATAATTTGTCAGTCCTACAAAGGCAATCTGGTCCCCAGGCAAGAAGAGGGCTTGTTTCAGGAAAGGGCTGTTAGCATTTTTGTTTCGAAGTTAAACTATAAACTAAATTTCTACTTTTCATGAATACTTCAAAGTTAAATAACAGAATCTTTTGGTAATTCTCTGAGACCTCATCTGTCAATAAGTTTCACAATAAAACTTCAGTGTCTTGAGTTATTAAACTAAAAGGCTACTCACTGCCACATTAGAAGGTACACAAGCCTATGTCTGCTAAAGAAAGAATCTAGAAAATTGCTTTTAGCTTCAAGTAAAAATGGATGTCTTTTAATAGTTCAAAATTAGAAAGTTTTGATTGGTTATAATTTCAAATTAGTAGATTTAAAAAAAAGATGTTTGGGGATCTGAAATACAAGGAATGGTTGCATTTTAAAATACGTTTATGTTATTGAGATACTTTAAGAAATAGAAGTACCAACACAAACTCTTTTCATGGTTCCCTTGATCTCCCAAAAAGGAAATCCAAAATATTTCCTTTTGTCAGGGTTTTCGGGCATCTGATCTTTAAGAAATTGATATGGTACCAGGAAATTTCACTGACTTCTCCCATCCCTGAACTCTCCTTGCTGCTTATAAAGACTTTCAATGGGGTTAGTTTCAAAATTAATCCAGGCTTTTGAGGGCAGTTGGGCCCTCTGCGCTTGAATAGTTAAGTGAATACTATTAAAAAAGGAAAAGACTACACATTAGTAAGTTGGAGGAACCAGAGTGAATGAACCACTTTTCAGAACCTGCATGACAATTTTGAAAATTAAACCCAGTTAATAGAAAAAAATGCTAAATCAATGGCCATAAAATTTAATGGGTTTATAGCAGCCTTAACACAGTAGGACTGAATTATCATGTTAATTTAATTTCCATTTCTAAATGAACCAGAAGGCACAATAAAGGTCAATTAACCAGCTACCTTCCCTGTCTTCTTTTTCTTTTACTGCCGGTTTTAAATCACATTCAGCCCCAAAGCACTCACACTGCTTCTGGAAACTCATTAGTTTTTCTTGAAATTAAAACAAAAAAGAAAAAAGAAGAAACACAAAACTAACAACCAACCATGTGCTGATTGAGACAACCACTGAGTATGTTCCACAATTATGGGGATATATGTATTCAATGAAAAATCCCTACCCTTGTCACAAGGAGGCTACAGACTCAGTCACACCAAGCCTAGGGAAACACACAAGTTAAAGGTCTCAATTATTGTGTGTACCAAGTGTTCATCTACAGTGAAAAAGCTATGTGTGCCACTCTTAACGTTTATGAGGCGAAGAAGGAAGGCAACTCCATCTGTGTAATGTGGGTCTGCTGTTAGTATAGTGAGCACCTCTTAGCATTGAAACGTGTCACTTTACATTAATAGGTTTTAAAAACTCACTTAAAAAATTTACTTAATAGAGAATAAAAAGAACTCAGTTGCCCCCCCTCCCCCACCACCAGCAAAAGGAAAAAGACACAGTTTTTGGTTTGGGTATAATTAATTTATTGTTGCAATGAATTCCTTGCAATCTGATGGAATGTGGATCAAAATTTTTCAAAACTTCTGGTGTTTTCTAGTGATGTAAATAACATTAGGAGAGTAGGTTGGTGAACAAAAAATATCTTTATTTTACAAAATGCTTAGTCACTATAATTGATTTCTAATTCCATTTGCCATAATTTGAACAGTGATAATATAATGTTAGTCTGATTTGATCATTCCACAATGTATATAAGTAACCAAACATCACAGTGAGCCCTATAAATATGTACAATTATTATTTATCAGTTAAAAAATAATAAAACTAAAAATACATATACTCACAAATGCAACTGGTTTTGAGAGGCATCCTTTTTATCTTTGAAACTTTAAATCTAGTGACAGCATTGAGCTTTCTAAAAATTGTGACATGTTTGATCCACTTTTAAAGTTCCCGTGAAAGAACAGAAAAAATTGAAATTTTACTACTGAAATTCTTTAAACACCAGAAATATCTGAATGGTTTTGTTGACCTCATGGGTATTTTCTGGGATGGAAGGAGTCATTGTGCTGTTTTCCTCCCGCCTCCCCTCAGATTGACCTTGGGTCATATAAAGCCCTCAGTCATTGGCATGGGCACGGTGGCTCCTAGCTGAATGCTGACCTCCTCTCCTCCCTTTTCTCCTCCCTCTTCTCCCCTCTCCTCTCCCCTTTCCTGCCTCCTCCCCTCTCCACCACAGCAGCACTCTCCCTGAGCTGCAGAGAGGGATTCTAGGAGCAAGTGTCAGCTAAGTGCCTGCTGTGGCCTCTTGCCACTTGCTCACAGTTTTCTACAGTTGATGAAAACACCCTGTTACAGTGGATTCTCAAAAATTATTGCTGATTAACAGAACAATATGTTCTGCTCTCTCCCTGCCCCCAGCCTGCTTTTGGGACTCAAGAGATTGTTTTTGCACATCAGGCCATTGTATGATGAATCCTATCACGGAACTGTTGGTATGATTTAGCTGCTAGAATCCCTGAAGTCACTGGACTGTGACTGACCACGTGCAGACAGGGACTGTAAAGGAGCAGTTTGGGTACATGGTAGGGTAAGCAAGGAGAGAAGAAAGAAGAAAAATGGTAGCAAAAGGAAGAATGAAAGAAGATGATAAGAATAGAAGAAAGCCATGGCAATGCATGCCCTTCATAACTGCACTCATGAGGCAGAATTACCACTCCCAGGTTTGCAAAGCTCTGTGTGAACAGCCCCTGCCATGCATGTCTTGATTATTGATCTAGCTGCTAGCATCACTGCTGGTATTACTTGCTGTCATGGCCAGGTCCAAAGATTACAGACTTTGAAATATTCTGTTCTGAGGGTTTGAGAAGCTTCCTCCCAGGTCAGGTGCTGACTGGTGTCGCTACCCACCATTATCCAGTATTTCCTAAGCCCATGTCTCCCAGGAGTTGTCCTATCAGAATATAGAACTGCGTTTTACAGCTTTTCTACCATCTGGCTTTGTGACTTTGGAAGTCACTTCACTTTGCTGGGCCCTGGTTTTCTCAGTGGTGAAGGGAAGAATTTGACCTTGAAGCGACTTCTAGCTCCAACACTCTGTGATTCTCTGAAGCCCCATAACAAGCATGGGGCTGTAAGACAGGATCAAAGTGCTCCAGCTTTCCCTTTTTCCTGAGATTCACTTCTTGTTTAAAGTTAAACAGCTGATTTTTTCCTAGGAACCTGTGAGTGTGTGCATGTACACAGACACATATTTATACACACACGTGTATACATACATGTATATGTGTGTGTGTGTATATATATTCTACAGTAGTCTGAAATTTTAATAATGGTGTTCAGTGCTTTAAAGGAAGAATTTGAATGTTCTCTAAGTAAAAGGACAATAAAAAGAGGAAAAAAGTCTGTTTTCTGACCATCTTGAAAATGTTTGGGCCGACAGTTACATTCTTTTATTGAGATGGGCCTTGTGTATGTATAAATGTGTATTTGTTTTTAGTTTCAGCCTGTCAGGGAAACTGGAGAGAAATGGTACTCATTAACCACTAGGAAACATCTGTCCATCTTCGTAGCATAGTGTGTATATATTTTTAGGGACAATATTTTATGTTACACTTAGACCTCCCCAAGAGAACCCAAGACATTATACTGGGGCAGGGAGTCTGATGCCTTATATAAAATGGGCCAGGCTGCTGACTGCTAAAGAAAAACACAAATTGGGTACATAGCAGGATTTGGTTTATTTTCTTAAAAATGTGTTTGCTAAGAATGTAGAGTGGTAGGAACATTTTTGGGATTGTTTCCTTTTTTTTTTTTTTTTTTTTTTTAACATTTGGAATGATTGTATAAATTCCTGATGCTAACAGAGTGTGGGTGGGTGTCCTTCCTTTACATTGTAGAGCCACTGTCAGGAGGGTAAAAAAGAGCCAGGCCAGCATCAGAAGGGCCCTTCTGTGCAGGGACAAGAGCCATTCGGTTCCCTCTGGGCTCCCTCCTGTCCATGTCCATGAGCAGCCAGAGAGGGACACAGGTGAAAACTCTGGGCCTAATGGCCCTCTCTCTATTTTTATCTCTCAGCTGGGGGTTGAATGTTCTTATTTTATAGTCACTTGCCCTTTTCAACTCTGAGAAAAGAGATGGTTTCTCCCTCCCCCAACTCTATTATCTGTGTTTCGTGTTCTTTGTTCCAGAAAGAAAAGAAAAACAAAACCCTAGGATTATTTCTCTGAGAAATTTCTTACATTCAGAAAACTGCACGCGAACATAGCTGAGTGCTGTGTGAGGTGGTGCAGAATGTAGCGAGGTTGTGGGGCCCACCTGCAGCCTGGGGATCAGACAGGTATGAAGGTGGCTTGGGTAGGTATGGGAAGATGAATGTAGTGTGCCTGAGAAACAAGCAAATCACCTTTAATCCTCTGGATGCCACCTCGGGTTCTGCATTGTTGTCAGCGAAATAGTGACTGGTACTTCCATCCATCCATCCATCCATCCCTTCATTTGTTCATGTATTAATTGAATCAATATGCATTTGATGAGCTTTTCTGTGTCAGGAACAGATGCTTGGTATGCAAACTGAAATAAGTCTACCAATGGAAGACACTCACAATAACGAGACCTTTGATTTATTAAGGTTTATAATTTGCCAGGTGCTATGCTGAGTTCTTTATATGTGTCATTTTGTTCATCATTTATTACCCCATTTTTTCAGATTAGGAAACTGTGACACTAAAGGGCTTGCTCAAAATCACATAGCTAGTAAGTGACAGAGTCAGATTTGAACTTGGATCATTGCAACATTGTGATGAATTTATTTGTTTTTCAACTCCGTTTCTTGGCATTCTTTAAATCCTTAGAATCTCCAAAGTGATGTCTTTTTGTATACTAAAGGTTGACTGATGGCTAAAAGCTCCTAAGCAGCTTCTGGATAGAGGCTGGTCACCTGAAAGACCAAGGCATGATTAGAGGGTTGAGACTTTCAGCCCCTCTCCCCACCTTCTGTGGAGGAGAGAGGGACTGATGATTAAGTTGATCACCAATGACCAATGGTTTAATCAATCATGCCTACATAATGAAGCCTTCATAAAAACCCAAAAGGACTGGGTTCAGGAGCTTCCAGACAACTGAAAACATGGAGGTCCCTGGAGGGTGGAGTGCAAAGGAGGGCATGGAAGCTTTGTGTCCTTTTTCCCATACCTCACCCTGTGCATCTCTTCATCTGTCTCCTTTTAGTATCCTTCATAATAAGGGTAAATGTGTTTCCCTGAGTTCTGTAAGCCACTCTAGCAAACTAATAGAACCCAAAGAGGGGACAATGGGAACCCCAACATGAAGCCAGTTAGTTGGAAGTTTTGGAGGCCCAGACCTGCAACTCATGGGGGTGGGGGCTGGTCTTGTGGGACTAAGTTCTCAACCTGTGGGATCTGACCCTATCTCTAGGGAAATAGTGTCCGAATTGAATTAAATTAGAGGACACCCAGCTGGTGTCCACTGCAGAACTGACTGCTTGCTTGTTGTGGGGGAAAATCCTCCACATATTTGGACACAGAAGTCTTCTGTGTTGATTGCTGTTGTGGTGTGGGAGCAGAGAAAAACATAGTTTGAGTTGGTTTTTCCACTCACAATCATCTTACTCTGGAACTTCCCCTGAGGAGAACATTGCACTAGACAATGATAAATGCAATGATGAAGCATGCCTGGGGGCTGAGTAATCAGAGAAGAGGGATTCCATCTACCTTTGAGAGTCAGAGAAAGCATTTTGGAGATAGTGGTTTTTGAGTTTAATGTTTAACTATAGACCTGAAACAGCAGATTCAGCTTCTACTGGAGATTCTAGGCAGACGGGGTAACTTGTGAAAACAAGTGTGTGTGGGAGGAATTGAAAATATTTTGGTGTTTCTGAAACATCACATGCGAGGCAAGGAGTGGTGAGGGATGAGCCTGGAAAGGTGGGGAACAGGGCAAATCATGATGGATCTTTTAGAATCTACAATGCCAAGTGATGAGCTCAGTGGTCTAGGTGAAAAGTGGACATGGCAGGCACAGTTGGCTGGCAAGAGGGAAGAGAGGGAAGACTTGATGACTTATTGAGAGGGTATGGGAGAGATGGAGAGGGTACAGGATGCCTCCAAGACTTCTAGCTTGGTGACTGGATGGATGGGAATGCCAACCATGGATACAGAGGACCCAGGAGGAGGACTGGATTTAGACAAATGTGCTGAGCGGTTTTATTCTTCACCAGTCTATAGTCATAACCACAGATTACTAAGTTTTTTTTTTTTTTTAAATAGCAGGTCAAAATGGTATTGCATGGATTTCATACTTACTATGATTTATAGTTAATTATTAACTTATAATTTCATAAATAACATCTTTCTTGCCTGGGGGAAATGAAATACCTTTGCTATAATCATGAAAATCAAAGAGTTAAGTAAGCCATAATTTATGAATACTAATCATAATAACAGCCACCTATTGAGCACACACATGGTCCAGATATTGTTCTTTATGCTCTTATATTAATTCCATTCCTTTTGCCACTGAGATTTTAGCTTGAAAAACTAAGTGGCAGCTACCCAGGAGTTCAATCGTGTCTTGCTGTGGATGCAGGTCCAGTGGTGTCGTTCTGCCAGGGATGAAGTTGAGCATGGTACAGCCCTCGTGGCCTGGTGACTGAGATCCAGAAGACAGCTGTGTGAAAATCCATCTCAAAGCCTGTGGTGTTCACCATCATTCAGCTTCTGTTGCTTTTGATGCTGGGATTATTTGGAATTCTGCCTGGGATATTCTGGAATATCTCCTGGGATATTGCTTGGGATATTTCTCTGGCACCTATCACTTCAGATTTCTTATCTGAAACAATTGGGCATTGTTATCAATCCTTTCCCATCAATTTATTCTTGAAAGACATCCTTGTTCACTTTTGCTAGAAACACCTCTCCTGGTAGTCTACTGCAACTACAACTTTTAAAAAATGTTTTTATCCTGTTATTTCTATAGGATTTTGTGATAAGAACATAGTGGATTCTGTGATGTGTTGTCAAGATCTCATTAAGGACTGAAGGACTTATTCCTCCAGCTGCCCAAGGTTGGCTCCCTTCCTGGGAAAGCCTTCATCCAATGACTCACTGACACAGAGCTCAACCTTCTCACCTAAATTGGTACAACTCTAAAGGAGACCACCCAACCTCACAGCTTCCTGTGGTGTTGGCAGAGGCCTCCATTGAGAACCATTCAGCCCAGCTTCTCCATCTGTTCATTTTTTGCTTTCTACTCTTCCCTTGCACAGTGTTGATACCCAAACTACTCCCTAATAAACGTCCTCCATGTTAACCTCTTAGTGTCTGCTTCTGCTTCTGGGAAAGCCCGAACTGTGACAGTGAACAAGTGAAAACATGTTCTTATGCAGACACCCTGAAGGATTTCTTTTTTTCCTTTTTGAGACAGGGTTTTGCTCTGTGGCCCAGACTGCAGTGCAGTGGCACGATCTCAGCTCACTGCAACCTCCGCGTCCTGTGTTAAAGCGATTCTTCTGCCTCAGCCTCTCTAGTAGCTGGGATTACAGAAGTGCACAACCACGCCTGGCTAATTTTTTCATATTTTTAATAGAGACGGGGTTTCATCATGTTGGCCAGCTGATCTGGAAATCCTGGCCTCACGTGATCTGTCTACTTGGGGCTCCCAAAGTGCTAGGATTACAGGTGTGAGCCACTGTGCCCAGCTAGACATCCTGAAGGTTCTGCATGCTTTTTACACTGCTTACTCTAAGATCATGGACTTTAAAACAATAAGATAATGAAATAAAGCTAATTCTCCTCTCCAATACCAATTCACTCCTCTTAGCTTTTGATCAGAGACACTAGGCTGTTTGGTTCCCAACTCTCCTTCCTCTCCCGACAGCTGGCACTATGTGACCCTTACGTAAGAGCTCAGCCTCCCATTGCCCAGGGCCAAACGTGTTTCTAAGTGGAAAATGCTTAGCAGTTTGTTTTAAGTCAGATTCTATTAAGCAGACCCTAAGACTAATATTTGCATGTAAATGCTTTGTTATGGAAGTGTCCCGAGAAGAAGGGGCATGGGAGAAGCTGGACAGGGAAGAAAAGGAAGCCAAGCAGTAAGATCTCAGGCAGAGTCCCTTGGAGGGTAGCTTTGACTGATCTACAGAACTCTGGGGTGTCAATTGTACAGTAGTTGTGTGTCATTTGAGATAACTTACTGCAAAATGTTTTATTAGGCAATTCTGTTGTGTGACAGTCACAGTGAACTTATAAAAACCTAGATGGCATAGCCTTCTACACGCCTGGGCTATAGGGTAGCCTATTGCTCCTAGGCTGCAAACCTGTGCAGCATGTTACTGTATTGAGTACTGTAGGTAACTGTAACACAATGGTAAGTATTCATGTATTGAAACAGAAAAGATACAGTAAAATATGGTATAAAAGATAAAAAAATACAACTGTATGGGGCAGCTTCATTATAATCTTATGCAACCACCTTCATATATGCCATCTGTCATTGACTGAAATATCTTTATGTGGCACATGACTATACTCTCTAATTTTCCCACCTCAGACAGGGAAGTTGGAGTTGGGCTTTCATGCTCTTGCACTCAATAGTCACATTGTTTGACAATGATTCCCTGTTGGGGGAGCTGGAATGTAAAGCCTCAACACTTTTGGCTCTCTGACTATGAGGGGCAAAGCCACTCCAGTGCCATGAGGGTTGTTCATCAAAGAACACATACACATGCTGGATGTGAGCACACAGAACCTAGAGAAGGGGCACCCAGGAACAGCAGGAAGGGCATGAGGGGGTTTTGGGTGGAGTAATGACCTTGTCTGCTGAATAGGTCCATTGCCATCATCCTGATCAATCCGGTCTTGGTGCCGTGCTCCAATATTCATAGTGGGTTCTGACAGGAGACTTTTGAACATTGGCCATACAAGTTGTAGTAGTCTGTTCTCACACTGCTATAAAGAAGTACCCAAGACTGGGTAATTTACAAAGAAAAGAGGTTTAGTTGGCCCATGGTTCTGCAGGCTGTGCAGGAAGCATGATGTTGGCAACTGCTCAGCTTCTGGGGACACCTCAGGAAACTTACAATCATGGCAAAGGCCAAGGGGGAGCAGGCAGTTCACATGGCAAAAGCAGGAGCAAGAGAGAGAGCAAGAGGGGGAGCTGCTACACACTTAAACAACCAGATCTCATGAGAACTCACTCACTATCACAAGTACAGCACCTAGGGGATAGTGCTAAATTATCTGTGAGAAATCCACCTGGATAATCCAATCACTTCCCCCAGGCCCCACCTTCAACATTGGGGATTACAATTCGACATAAGATTTGGGCAGGGACACAGATCCAAACCATATCACAAGTATCCTGTCTCTACCATAGTAGAACTTGTAAGCTATTTAATTTTGTATTGGACTGCATTCCAATGAGCCTGTCTGGATGAATTAGTTGCAAAATGCTCCATTAGATAATGAAATGAGTTTATCTTTTCTAAGAGGTGCCCTGCATTTGCTATCTAAATGCTGAAGAGTGTTTGCCAAAAGCAGCAATCCTGGTATTGGTCTAATTGATATTGAGCTGTTCCTCATGGTAGTAATTGCCCAACAAGCATAGTTGCTCCTTAGGCCACTCTCAGAATGAAAATAGAAATGTGACATTAGCATAAAGGAGGATGCTATGACAGGAGGTCATGCATCCAAATTATCAAAAGATGTATCTAATGGTCTGGGTGGAAATTAAGGAGTAGGTGGGCTTGGACATTTGTATCATTTGGGACTGCAGTCTGCTCTGTCAAGAGCTCATTTCCTATCCATTTTGATCCCTTTTTGGTATTACAGTAAAGGCTCCAAAGGACTGTTAAAAGCCAGGAATCAATATCGAGATCATGCAACTTGGCCCATAAATAGCTTCTGTCTATAAAATCAAAGGCTGACAATACAGTAATAAATCCTGCAAGTCTCAAATTATTTCTGAACATTTTTTATAATAAACAAAATAGAGTGTAGTAATAGTCCACAATAGAAAAGCCATCTCTAAAGCATTTGTGCTCTTTCTGTAGGAAATTATATTGAGAAATCCAGATGTGCAGTTGTGCAAGAGCAAGCTGGTGTGGATTTTTGAATGGATATTCTGAAGACAACTAGGTGGTAAGAAAGGACAGAAGGCTGCCCTTCTTTACTAACACTCTATTTTGTAGAAATTATAGTGTAGGTGATTGAGTCAATAATTTTGCATGAGTTGGCACATAGAATTTAGAATAGGATTTGTGGTGGGAAAACTCTTGCTGCTGTAGTTGAACGTAAAGTCATTATTTGAATGAAATCTAATGAGTTGAGGCACTGGGTTTGAATTAGAGAAAGTTTCAGGATGTTTAAAGCATGACATGAAAGTAACAGTTCTAAAGATAAGAAAGAACAAGCACCAATTATTGAATTAATGACAACAGCATGGTCAGGCAGGCAGGTATTGAGATCTGCGTGC
This sequence comes from Homo sapiens, assembly GCF_000001405.40. Classification (NCBI taxonomy): domain Eukaryota; kingdom Metazoa; phylum Chordata; class Mammalia; order Primates; family Hominidae; genus Homo; species Homo sapiens. The sequence goes on along the minus strand of NC_000008.11, from coordinate 93,530,883 downwards.
TGTAGGCTACAGAAAGGCAACCCAATGAAGGAAAGAATGAGAGAGAGAGAAAGAGAGAGAGAGAGAGAAGGTTCTTAGAGAATGCACAAGGTAAAATCAGGGAAACTCAGTTCAGTCATCAAGTCTAAGACAAGGAGAAAGTACAAGGCTGAAAAACAAACAAACAAAAGCAAGAACCAGGAGACAGACATCTAAGAACTCTAATATTATTATATCATAGTTCAAAAAGATCTTGATAGATGCTAAGTAGCCATTTGTATTCCCTTCTAATAAGGACTAATAACCCTTAGTTAAACTATAAGTAGACTATACTTCCTTAACATGATAAAGAATGTCTGAAACTAATAGCCAAGCTTATGTTTAAGGGGAAATACTTAAGATGTTCTCATCAAATTTAAAAAGTCAGAGCAAGGTACCTGTTATTAACTAGCGTTTGTCTGAAAGTTATAGTCAACAGAGTAAGTTGAGAAAAAGAAAGGAAGTATAAATGTTGGGACTTGGATGATGTTGCCATGGAAGTTTGCTGCTGGGAGTGTTCTCAAGAGAGAACTTGCTGTTCAGCTGCGCAAAGTGCAGTTAGCTGACGATCTCCTCTTCTAGTAACTTCAGGTTTACCTCAGCTTCCCAGGCAGCTCCTGGCCAATGATGGACCCTTGCTGCTCAACATGGAATTCCTCTAATGGACATTTCCCCTGTCTGGAGCTGCTAAGTGGGTTGGCTGAGACTGGGTTGGGTCTCCATCATAGTTGGAGACCCTCCATGACCAGTTTTTCTTCCTTCCCCTTTTACTTTTCATGGGTGTTAGGCCCATGCACTTTTTGCATCTTAACTCCATTTCAGTGTCTGTTTCTCAGAAGCCCAACTGACAGTTTTGGTAGCGATAGTAGCCCAAGAAAGCAGGAGATATGATAGGGCTTGAGAACTGAACCATTCACTGCTGCCTGGCAAGGATGTGGGACATAGACACTATGTCAAGAAGTAGCAGCCCAACTGCTAAATCTGGTAGAATTGCCTGATTGTTACTAAGTTGCACCGATGTCTTACAGAGGAATAATGAAAAGTTGGAGGCAGTTAACAAACAATTGAATATCGACAGAGGCTTTTTGTGGTTTTCAGACTCTTACTTCTTGCAGTCTGTGAGCAGAATAAGCTGAAGACCAACTCAGGATTTAATAGAGTTGCCAAGCTCCTAAGATGATTGACTAGTCCATGAAAGGGATATATGCAAGGACCAGGAGCCTTGTTGAAAACATGTGGGGCCCTGACACATGAGATGGGGACATCTGGATTGATGCCCCCGAAGATTTTGGCTCCTTAGACTCCACTGACTCCTCAGCATTGCAGTTAGTTCACTCATTCCTTCTAAGAGTGGGCACTCTCTGCAGGTGGGAACACACTGTAGAGACATCTTTCTTACAAAGCAGTAGATTTCCTCCTTAGGATCCATTCTCATCTCTTCTCCTAGCCATAAGGTTGATCATTTTGGTTGAGTTGCAGCAAAGCCCAGCTAGGGACACACTGGGCCTTATAAAGGAGGAAAGGGAGCTACAAGAATTAGCTGACATTAACTGGTAGGAGTGGGGAGAGACTCTAGGGGACTGGATTTGTGGTTGCTTGATCAAGAGGTCTAGAACACGAGACTGGATAAGAGTGAGCTTATTAATGTGGGAACTTTTTCTAAAAGATACAGTATTTAATATCCAGGCAAAGACCTTGAAAGCCTTCTGAAAACAGTGACCAACAGTTTAGATGACCGAATTACTATGACACATAATGGAAGAGGGATTAAAAAACCTATGGAAATGGGCATTTTGGATGAATTCTGCAAGGCCAGAAAGACCATCTAAGAAGTATGTTCCATAGGAGTCCAGGGCATACACCAAGCCCAGGTGAGAGAGGCACCAACATCTCTAAGGTCAGTAGTAGACGACAGGCTGAAAAAGTGAACAATGGCCACTATAAAGAGCTTGAGGAGACAAACCCCAATCTTTGTAGCATTTGTCCCAGAATGGTCAGGACTTAGCCAGTAATGGCCAGCTTCATTATTTTTACCTCTGATTCCAACTCAGGACCAACCAGAAGAAGCCAAATCTGCTCATCAAATCAATCTCATAGGATGCCTCACTTCTAGTTAGCCTGCCTCCAGCTTCCTCATGCCAACAACCTCCAAACAGCATACTTGAAGCCTTCCCTTATTTTTCATTACTAATCTTTTTGCTCCCTTGCCTGCCTTTGAGTCTAGGCCAAACACAAGTGATGGTGACTGACTCCCTTGTAGCAAGCTCTGTTTATTATCATTTGGATGGTCTTCAGCTATTTTTACTTGGCTCTCCTCTGCAGGCAAAGGCTGATGGTAGGAGAGGCTGTTACAATCCTAATAGATACTAATGAGGGCGATGGAGTTATGAAGCTACAGAGGCCAAGGTTAAATGGCAGCCAAGAAGGCTGAACCTAAAGAAAGTTGTGGGGAGATAGTTAAGAGAATATAAATAACAATGCTAAGGGATAAAATAGGAAAAGAGTCAAAGAATGTATTGCCCAATACATATATTTAATCATGAAAAGCAATCATGAGGAAGTGAAAGATCTCTAAAAGGAAAACTACAAAACACTACTGAAAGAAATCATAGATGACACAAACAAATGGAAATACATTTCAATGCTCATGCATGAGAAGAATCAACATTGTGAAAATGACCACACTGCCCAAAGCAATCTATAGATTCAATGCAATTTCTACCAAAATACCATTATTATTTTTCACAGAACTAGAAAAAACAATCCTAAAATTCATATGGAACAAAAATGAGCCCACATGGCCAAAGCAATACTAAGCAAAAAGAGCAAATCTGGAGACTTCATATTATCCAACTTCAAATTATACTACAAGGCTATAGTTACCAAAACAGCATGGTACTGGTATAAAAATAGGCATGTTGACCAATGGAACAAAATAGAGAAACCAGAAATAAAACCAAATACTTACGGCCAACTGATCTTCAACAAAGAATGGGAAAACATAAATTGGAGAAAGAACACCCTATTTAATCAATGGTGCTGGGAAAACTAGCAAGCCACATGTAAAGAATAAAAATGGATCCCCATCTCTCACCTTATACATAGATCAACTCAAGATGGAACAAAGACTTTAATCTAAGACCTGAAACCATAAAAATTCTAGAATATAGCACCAGAAAAACTCTTTTGGACATTGGCTTAGGCAAAGAATTCATGACTAAGACCCCAAAAGCAAATGCAACAAAAACAAAAATAAATAAATGGGACCTAATTAACCTAAAAGGCTTCTGCACTGCAAAAGAAATAATCGGCAGAGCAAACAGACAACCCACAGGTGGGAGAAAATATAAGCAAACTATGCATCTGACAAATAACTAATATCCAGAATCTACAAGGAACTCAACAAAAAAACAAATAATTTTATCAAAAAGTGGGCAAAGGAAATAAATAGACATTTCTCAAAAGAAGATGTACAAATAGCCAATAAACATGTGAAAAAATGCTCAACATCACTAATCATCAGGGACAAGCAAATTAAAACCACAGTGAGATATCACCTTACTCCTGCAAGAATGGCCGTAATTAAAAAGTCAAAAAACGATAGATGCTGATGTGGATGTGGTAAAAAAGGAACACTTTTACACTGCTGGTGGGAATGCAAATTAGTACAACCACTGTGGAAAACAGCATGGGAATTTCTTTCTTTTTTTTGTTTTTCTTTCCCTGAGATGGAGTCTTGCTCTATCACTGAGGTTGGAGTGCAGTGGTGCGATCTTGGCTCACTGCAACCTCCGCCTCCCAAATTCAGGCGATTCTCCTGCCTCAGCCTCTCAAGTAGCTGGGATTACAGGTGTGCTCCACCGCACCCAGCTAATTTGTTTTTATTTTTAGTAGAGACGGGGTTTCACCTTGTTGGCCCAGGCTGATGTTGAACTCCTGACCTCAGGTGATCCACCTGCTTCGGCCTCCCAAAGTGCTGGGATTACAGGCTTAAGCCACCACGCTCAGCTGGAAATTTCTTAAAGAACTAAAAGTACAACTACCATTCAACACAGCAATCCAACTACTGGGTATCTACCCAATGGAAAAGAAGTTGTTATATGAAAAAGACACATGTACACACATGATTATAGCAGCACAGTTCACAATTGCAAAGATATGAAACTAACCTAAGTGCCCATCAACCAATGAGTAGATAAAGAAAATGTGGTATATATATGCCATGGAATACTACTCAGCCATAAAAAGGAATGAAATAATGTTTTTTTGTGCAACTTAAATGGAGCTGGAGGCCATTATCATAAATGAAGTAACTCATTCAAAATGAACTCTATTCCAAATGAAGTAACTATTTGGAATAGAAAACCAAATATTGCATGTTCTCACTTATAAGTGGGAGCTAAGCTATGAGGATGTAAAAGCATAAGAATGAGGTAATGAACGTTGGGAGCTTGAAGCGGGGGAAGGTTGGGAGGGGGTGAGGGATAAAAGTCTACATATTGGGTACAGTGTGCACTGCTCGGGTGATGGATGCACTAAAATCTCAGATATCACCATTAAAGAACTTATCATGTAACCCCAAACCACCTGTACCCCCAAAACCATTGAAATAATAAAAAAAGAAAGGCAATCATGGAAGAGTAGAAAAAGGAGGGCAGTCATCGCAATAAAAAGTCATGATCTATTTTTGTAGTTATTGAACCTGAGTCAGTTTTCAGCCTCAGACTTAAGTGCCTGAAGGGGTGTCTGGTTTCCAGTGAGAAGGATTCTGCATCATCATGGCAGGTACATACAGTAATAATTCTTCCAGCCCTTCCACAACAGGACCTATGGCTATTTACTTGGGTGGTTATATAATGGACTAACTGAACTCACTGAATTTTACCACAGCCTCACTGGGTGGTCTTTTTCCCACCTCCTAAATATATAATTTGAATTGACAAACTTGGAAATTGGGTATTTTAGCCTGTGGAGTAAAGCTATGATCATGGGGAGGGCCAAGAAGAAGCCTTTGAAACTGCCTGCTCACATCTCTAGCTGCGATAATAAATAAAAAGCAATAGCACACCATGGGAAGAAAGGTGAAAGTTAGTGCCCCCTTAAGGATCTCAAGAATGTAGTAGTGATGGTCCCCAACATACCTTTATTTAATTAACCAGTCTAGTTTCTGCAGAAACTGGATAGATCCTGGAGAATGATTAGAGACTAACACAGACCCAACCAAGTCATAGCCTTGATTGTGGTAACTGTGGCAAAATGAATCTAGCTTGCTAGAGTGCATTAATATGCCTTTGTTACTCAGTATGTAGCCATTGATTTGGTGATAAGGCTCTTTTCTTTCCCTATCAGGGAAGAGGCTGCAAACAGTTTACATGCATATACAAAGATGAAAAGCAATATACACTTGCAGTTTTGCCTCAGGGGTATTTTAGGTTGTCTGTCCTGTGCGTTAATGTAGTCTGAAAAGATATAGACTGCTGGGACATCCTGCAGAATATCCACTGACTTACTACACCAGTGACATCATGCTGGTCAGGCAGTATGTGCAAGAGAGGTTAGTTAGCACACTGGAGGCCCTTGGTGCTCAGTCTAGAAGGTGGTAGATAAATTCTACAAAGACTTAAGAACATGAAACTTTGGGAACATTGTTACGGGTCCAGTGGTCCCAAGGGCAGGCTGGGACATCTCCAAAGTATAAGGTAACTTGCGTCATCTTCCATGCACTGCTACAAAGAAGGAAGTACATGTCTGTTAGGTTTTCTCAGGTACCAGAGGTTCACATTCCACATCTAGGATTACTGCTCTAGCCCATAAATCACAAGACCCAAGAGGCTGTCAGTTTTGAGAGGGGTGTGGAACAGGAAAGGGCTCTGCAGCAGATTCAGATGGTGGCATAAGCAGCTCTGTCATATGGGCATGTAATCCGCAGACCTAAATGATCATGCATCTGGAACTGCTTTTATGAGTTGGGTTCTGTTGACCCATCATGCCATACAATTGGATGAGCACAGCAGCAATCCATCATAAGGTAGAAATGGTGTAGCCAAGATCACGGCCAGAGGGCATAAGTAGCCCAGACCCCATGTCACTCATCATGGTTTCACCCAACCCATCCCTTAACTCAAACATGGCTATATGGTGGGAAGACAAGGTGGGAAGAGAGCCAAAGGAGAAAGAAAATCCCTGAGGTTGGTTTTTGGATGCGTTGGCTTGGAATTTGAGCCCAAGCTGAAAATAGATGGCAGTAGCAATACAGCCACATGCAGGGGAGGCCTTGGAAATTAATGCTGAGAAAAAAAAATCTTCCCATAGTAGAGCTTTGAACAATGTACTTGGTTATCTACTTTGTGAGGAATAAAAACTAGCCTGAGGTGAGAATATATACAAACTTCTGGGCAATGATGAATGGCCTGACCAACTGGTCAAGGACCTGGAAGGAAAAAGATTGGAAGATCAGGTATAAGATCTGGGGTAGAAGTATGTGGTGGAAAAGATGGAAGTTGGCATGAAATGTGATTTTTGTATCACATGTTAATTAATCCTTACCCATATGCATATACCATTGAAGTGGCATTGAAACCAACAAGTAGACAAAGTGACTGAGACAGTTGACATTAGCCAGCTTTTGTCACTGGCCACTTCAGAACTGCACACTGGGCCCATGAATGAAGAGGCCACAGAGGCAGAGATGAAGGTTACACATGTACATGCATACAGGCAGCTGAGACCAGCTACATGGTGGCAAGTTGACTTCACTGGAGTCTTTTTGTTTTGGAAGCACTAGTGATTTGCTCTAACAGGAATAAATACTTATTCTAGATATGAGTTTGCCTTTCTTGCCTACAGAACCTCAGCCAGGACCAATATCTGGAGGCTTTCTGATCCTTAGCATTTTACTATTTTCTTTCTTTCTTTCTTGTAGATTGGGTCTTGCTTTGTTGCTCAGGCTGGACTTGAATGGGCTTAAGTGATAGTGCTGGCTCAGCCTCCCGAGTTTCTGGGACTACGGGCATATGCCAGTGCGCCTGGCCTGATCCATAGCATTTGTGCAATGAAGGAAATGGGAGAATGCAATTGTTATCATGGGATCTACTGGTTGTATCACACACTACACCATCCAGAAGCTGCTACCCTAATTGAGCACTGGAATAGCCTGTTGAAGATGCAGCTAAAGTGCCACTTTGGGGACAATACTCTTTAAGTGTGGGGTTCCTTGATTAGAAACATAAGGGAAGAGTCAGGTTGCTATTTAACTGTAGACTAGACTGTTGACATTCTCAGGGCTGTAACTTCATTACCACGCCTCTGGAATATGGCTTCCTTATACAGTGTAATAAAGTATACCTTAAAATTCAGTGACCTCCCATTCAGTGATAAAAGAACAGCAAAGCTAAACTGAGATACTAATGTTAGTGCCTTCATGCTTCACCAGAGTGCTCCTCCCTGCCACCTGATTGTAAAACCCTTCTCTCCTGTTATTGGTCTAGGTGAGATCATGCTACAGTATACACAGTTCAAATTAACACACAAACAACATTACAAATGATGATGTGTTTTGGAACTTTAGGGTCACTCAGAAGTGCTCAAAACCATAAATGTTCTATTTGCTGAAGTTTAGACCCCACTGAATTGTGATTGCAAATTCTTTTGATTAAACGGTAGCCTTTTCAATTGCATAGGTTTCTCTAGTCATAGCAATCTTCCAGCTCAGGTCTCTCATGCATTCCATTTGGAGGAATCATTTCCCATCTTTGCATTCATGTCTCTTGTAATATTATGTCTTTTAGAGGATAAAATAAATTTATGTGATGCAAATAATAGCAAGTTGGGACAATGTATTTCATACATATAAATGTAATTTGATGGTGCGACACGTGTCTACCGCATGCTCAGTCCATCTTGTTCGGAAGCAGAACCATTCATTGTGTGATAAGAAGTCCCATCTCCAGTATTCATTTGGATCCTAAGGTTATTAGAAATGCATTCTTTTTTCCAAAATGATTGCCTTGTTTTGAACCCAGCTGTGCGTAAGTTATTTATTAATCCCAAACCCAGAAGGAAACACTTATCTTTACATACGTGGTTATTTTGTTGGAAATAGAATCAATATCAGATGGTTTTTAAAGAAAATGATTATATTCTTAAAGAAATCTGTAAGAGTGTGATCTGCAAAGAGACATTAAGACTACTTAAGGAAAATGATGTATTAGCTCACTAAATTAGCATGAAAATGGCTTACCTTACCTCTTACCTTTTTAGAAAGGTGCTGTTAAACAACCATGGTATATTTTATTTGTTATTATTCAATGCTAAGTATTTTTGTTGGGCTCTCAAAATAGTTTAAAAATTTCCAATTGTACTATTCCTCTGCAAAGAGAACAGTCAGTGAAATAAACAATTCCATAAATATGCTTCCACCAAAGATAGACAACATGCACAAGAAGCCACAGAATTTGTCTTGGTGGAACTCACTATTGGGTTAAAGTAGGACTCTTGTTCATTAATAACTATTTCAGAACTAACTATGGAATATAGAAAATGGTATACTTAGGGATTAATGTCAAATGCCAATGAGGAGCCACAGGACCCTAGAGCAAAGAAAAGTTACAAAGCCTCATTTTCTGTGGAGTCAAGAAGAAGGAAAAGGGAGACAACCTCAGACCATGTTGGTGGTGGGAAAGAACATAAGACACTTCTCAAGATGACTGAGTGATCAATTGCTTTCTGGTTTGAGATGGGGGAGATAAGTCCTCTATCCAGAAATGTTGCCTTCCAAGGGGACTTTCTTGACAGAGAGGGCCAGGTAGTCCCAAGGAAATCTGCTTGGCTCTGGGGAGCATCATCCACTTTCTACAAGCTGACTAACTGAGCACCAACCATTTGCTAGGTACCCTGCTAGGTGCTGTGAGGGTTACAAAGATAAATAAAGGGTAAATTAACTTTTTCGTGTGTTTCTACTTTGTGTCAAGCCCTTGTTAGGAATTCTGTGAAATAAGCTTTACAGTTGCCATTTTTACACATAGGAAAGTGGGGGTTTGGAGAGGTTAAGTAGTGTGCTCCAATCACACAACCAGTAGATGATAACCATATGATCCACTTCACAGGGTTGTTGTTAAGTCCTTGGTGCAAAGTGGAAGCTCAAAAAAAATTTTCTTCCAGGGAGTTATTTTATCTTAATACTGCTTTCAAGCGGTATCTTCCATTTGCCACCTGATTATAACACATTCATCTTAGTGATGGTCTAGAGTTTTAAAATTATGCATTAGTTTCTGCTGCTATGAAAATCTGTAAGCTTTTTGGAGATCTGAGACTATGACTTATACTGAAAGGTAAACTTTCACTGCTCCACAATTTGCCTCCTTGCTCATCAGACATTGCTTAGCGAAGACCTAGGTTTTACTCTTTAGCTGAAGTGCTCATTCATTCATCAGTGAGAATCACTGATGGCAAAAATCAGAATTTTACTTTAGATCAGTATGCTTTAAAAATGACTTTCAAATTTCTGTCTAAAATCTACAGATGTATTTTTCACTGGGCACTGCATATGTGTGCCTACATACACTTCAGTCAAAGGTTTCATGAATCAATACTTACCTTAGTGTCAACGATGAACTCTGATTTGTGCTATTCTATTTTATTCTCCCATTCCATTCCACCCCCATCCCATTAAATGTTTTCCACAATTCATTAAATTGATTTAATAACCCACTAATGGATCATGGTCCACCTTTTGAAAAAACATTTCTTTAAGATATTTAAAGTTTGGGGCACATATGATTTTATTATTTATTTTTATTTTTATTTTTATTTTTGAGATGGAGTCTCGCTCCGTCACCCAGGCTGCAGTGCAGTGGCGTGATCTCAGCTCACTGCAAACTCTGCCTCCCAAGTTCACGCCATTCTCCTGCCTCAGCCTCCCGAGTGGCTGGGACTACAGGCGCCCGCTACCACGCCTGGCTAATTTTTTTTTTGTATTTTTAGTAGAGATGGGGTTTCACCGGGTTAGCTGGGATGGTCTCGATCTCCTGACCTCGTGATCTGCCCCCCTCGTCCTCCCAAAGTGCTGGGATTATAGGGGTGAACCACCACGCCCGGACTTTTTTAAAATTATACTTTCAGTTCTGGAGTACATGTGCAGAATGTGCAGGTTTGTTACATAGGTATACATGTGCCATGGTGGTTTGCTGCACCCATCAACCCATCATCTACATTGAGTATTTCTCCTAATGCTATCCCTCCCCTCTCCCTCCGCCCCCCAACAGGCCCCAGTGTGTGATGTTCCCCTCCCTGTGTCCATGTGTTCTCATTGTTCAGCTCCCACTTATGAGTGAGAACATGGCAGTGTTTGGTTTTCTGTTCTTGTGTTAGTTTGCTGAGAATGATGGTTTCCAGCTTCATCCATCTCCCTGCACAGGACATGAACTCATCATTTTTTGTGGCTGCATAGTATTCCATGGTGCATATGTGCCACATTTTCTTTATCCAGTCTATCATTGATTGGCATTTGGGTTGGTTCCAAGTCTTTGCTATTGTGAACAGTGCCACAATAAACATACGTGTGCATGTGTCTTTATAGTAGAATGATTTATAATCCTCTGGGTATATACCCAGTAATGGGGTTGCTGGGTCAAATGGTATTTCTAGTTCTACATCCTTGAGGAATCACCACACTGTCTTCCACAATGGTTGAACTAATTTACACCCCCACCAACAGTGTAAAAGCATTCCTATTTCTCCACAGCCTCTCCAGCATCTGTTGTTTCCTTGCTTTTTAATGATCACCATTTTAAATGGCGTGAGATGGTATCTCATTGTAGTTTTGATAGGCATGGGCAAAGACTTCATGACTAAAACACAAAAACCAATGGCAACAAAAGCCAAAACTGACAAATGGGATCTAATTAAATTAAAGAGCTTCTGCACAGCAAAAGCAACTATCCTCAGAGTGAACAGACAACCTACAGAATGGGAGAAAATTTTTGCAATCTATCCATCTGACAAAGGTCTAATATCCAGAATGTACAAGGAAGTTAAACAAATTTACAAGAAAAAAACAATCCCATGAAAAAGTGGTCAAAGGATATGAACACCCACTTCTCAAAAGAAGACATTTATGCAGCCAACAAACATATGAAAAAATGCTCATCATCCCTGGGCACAGATGAATTTTGAACCTCCTATAATGCCTAGCATGGTACTAAAATAAAACCTGGGTAATCTTTTGCAGCAGATTGCAAAAATTGCCCCCATTTTTTACCCCCTCCCCATATCCATATTCTTTGCTGTCTAACTTTATAGTGTATACCTATCTTAATGTTAGCCTAGGCCACATGCCTTGCTTTGGCTGATGGGAGGTTGGTAAACATAATACAATCAGAAAAGAAAAGTGTATGTATGCCTGGGCTTGTTTGCTTTCTGCCTTGGTTATGAGAACGAGCCCTGACTTGTTACTAGAGACACATGGATCAGAGCTGAATCGCTTTAGATATCCCAGCTGAGGCTATCTGAGATTAGACCACAGCCAGCCAACACTCACATGTGAGTGAGCCCAGCCAAGATAAGCAGAGGCATCTAGCCATCTAGCCAACCATTCCAGACATGTGAGAAATAAACATTTATTGTTAAATGCCACTAAGGATTTTTGGTTTGTTACACATTATTACTGTGGCAGTAGATAACACACACCTGGCAGTACTCAGTCATATACTGTTCATGTTTGAGTGCATGATGTTTGCCTATGTAACTTGAAGTCTAGCAGAATCAATTAAGGACTCCCCCATCCTGCCTCACTCTTACTTAAGCACCAAAATGTATCCAGCTGGTTGATTGGAGTCAGCTGGTTCCAGGTTTTTCCACTTGAAAAAACAAACAGCAGTTCTCAAATCTTAGTGTCCATCAGATCATGTGATCTTCTGAATCGGAACCTAAGTTAAAAAGTGTGAGAACTGTTGATTTAGTAAATTCTTTGCCATCTTGGACTTGGAAGTGAAAGAATTAATTGATCAAGACGAATGAGTGAAATGCAAATAGTTTGCTTATGCAATATATTTAGGCATATTTATCTTATATACAATGAGTGATAACATATATAACACACGTTTCTTTGCTTAACTGTTAGTCTTCCCACATTAGGTGATTAAAAGTAAAACCTCATCTTTGGTTCTATTGTTTTAGTGCATGATCTCTCCAAAGGTTTTCCCTGTTTTGGCTGATGGAACACCTTCGAGTGGTGGTAACATGCTTAGGTCTGTGTTGTACCCAAAGGCTGCAGAGACTCCTTTTGCTTTTAACAAAACTCAATTTCTAGTGTGCAAAACGTTTTCCCTTTGTTGCTGTTTATTTCTGTTTTGCATCTTTCTCTTTCTGCTTGTATTTTCCAATTGTCAAATTTCATTAACCTTTGCTGTACTTGATTTCTTGGTGTTGGACAAATGTGGGGACACCTTGAAAATCAAGTACTTTCTTTTTGATCATCTAATCATGAGGATAGTCCTTAGTATACCTGCTTTCCTCAGAAGACTTCCCCTGGCTGTGTGGAGATTGTTCACAACCTTGAAAAGACCCCATATTGGCCTCTGAATATAGGGCCATTGATATTGTTAACATGTAAGAAGATTATAGAGCAGTAATGTTAAAATAGAATGAAGTATACTACATATGCATATTTTAAAAAGGGCATACTACTTTATATAGTTTGGATGCCTGACCCCTGCAAATCCCATGTTTAAATGTGATCTCCAATGTTGGAGGTAGGGCATAGTGGGAGGTGTTTTAGTCATGGGGGTGGATCCTTCATGAATGGTTTGGTGCCCTCTAGGTGGTAATGAGTGAGTTCCTGCTCTATTATTTACCACCAGATCTGATTGTTAAAAAGAGCCTGGCCCTTCCTCCCTCTCTTGCTCCCTCTCTCTCTATGTGACAAACATGCCTCGCCTTTGCCTTCTGCTATGATTGTAAGCTTTCTAAGGCCTCACCAGACACAGATGCTGACACCATGCTTCTTGTTAAAGTCTGCAGAACCATAAGCCAAAAGTAAACTTTTTCCTTATAAGTTACTCAGTCTCAGGTATTCCTTCACAGCAATGCAAAATGGACTAATATACCAGTGTTAGGAATTTGATGGTTATTTTAAGTTAAAGGAGCATGACTGCTTATCCTTTTCATCTGTTCTTTCACATTTTCCAGCTTTTTGTTTTAGGACTTCTCTCCCAATTACTCTTGTCCTTATTGGCATAACTCATTTATCACTCCCTCAAGTAGGTATGAATATTCTTCATTCTTCCCTTGTAAAACTTAGACAACTTGGGGTCTTCAAAAGAAGATAGTGCTCACTGCTCTGGAAAATCTGAAATAGATGGGACTATCTGGATATGTTATTTGTCATGGATATCATCAAGAAAGTATAATGACCAAAAAAAGGGTTATTAAAAGACACATGAACCGCCACCTCTCCCTCTGATATCAGAATGATCTCTAAGCCTGAGCCAGAGTGCATAGCTTTAAAACAGCCAGAGTAGTCTCATTATCTTTCACTACAGAAGTCTTCATATAGTTGCTTTACTTATTATTAACCAAATTGAGTTTTGTCTTTCTAAGTTTGCCTGGGACCCCAAAAAGGCCAGGCCTTCTAGAGGGAGGGGCCCCAACACCCTAACAGATATTCCTGGTCACCCCATCTTTCAGGTGCACCAAGCATAGATGTCTTTATCAGTCAGGTCCCAATGACAGAACCAGACTGACTTTCATCTTCACATCTTTTTTTGTTTCCTCTGACTCTTGAGTATTAATGAAATGTCTGGCTTGTGAACTCTGGGATATCAATAAGCCCTTTAGCCCAGTGGCTTTCAATCTCTGCTGCACTTTGGAATCACTTGAGGCACTTTGAAAAATCCAGATGCCCAGGCCACACCATTATTAATTATATCAGGGTCTCTGGGATCTCAGGCATTAATGCTTTTGTCAAACTCTTGGAGTAGTTCAGCATGAAGAAAAGTTGAGAGCCATTGCTCTAATCAGTTTCTCACAGCTCATTCTAAGTTCTGTACTTTCAGTAAATTGGGATGTACCAAGTTTTATGCCTCTATGGTTTGGGGGTAGAAAGTACAAGATTATATACATTGTGCCAATAACAAGACTATCTTAAAATCTTCTTTTTCTTCTCTACTTTTCCTGTTTGTAAAAAAAAAATCTATTTTTTCCTTCAGGGCTGTTAGTCAAAGAATAAAGTAGTTCTGCTTTAAATGTAAAGCATGGGGCTTATGTTCAAACCACTGCTACCCCAGCAGAAAGTCTTGAAACCATTAAGTCTTTCAAACCTAGCATATGGTATGAGGTAAACATATAATTGTTAAATTAAATTGAAACATGCATGTTTCTCCTTCACTCATAACAAGCACATTATCCCACTGCGTCCCTACATTTCTGAATCTCAGGTAATTCTGACTTGCCTGGACTAAACAGGATCCTTTCATCTTGTAGATGTCTAGCTCCAAGTACTCACAGCCATGATGTTTAATCTTCTATGAATTCTTAAGCTCTAAGGAGATTTTCAAGATAAACACAATGTTATTTTGGCAGGCAGTTGTATGTTTGTGGGTGGGGGATGATACATGCCCCTATATTTCTCTTTAACATGGAAGGAGCTTGGTTTATTTTGCTCCTATTTTATTCCCTTAGGAGCCAGAAAGAATACTCAAGAGGCAAAGGGATTTTATTTCACTCTGAGAGGTAACAGTGATAGAAACTTGGAAATGAAAGCAAGTGTGCATAGGTATGTAGGTCATGAATTTTGAAAGTCCGAAGTACTTCTGGTTTATTCATCTAAAATGAAAGTATTCTTCAACCATCAAAATCATGTTTATGGCTTATTTGGGAAAATTTATCTTAAAACCAGATATAGATTTTGGAAGGAAACCAGAATCCTGGACAGTTAAATTCACTTGGGGTCAAAGGCAAAATTGCTGGAAGATTAAATTTTTCTTATTAAGCCTGCAATATTCAGATTTGGGGAATACAGAAGAAATAACTTAAAATATCTTCCTGGAAGTAACTGTATATCATCAACTTTAGATGAAAAAGCTAGGAATTTTATTTGAAAGGATAATTACTCCTCTCTCTAGAGTTTGCTTAAATAAATTCAAGGACCAAATTTACAGCTTCTATCATGTGCTGTTAAATTTTTTTTTTTTTTTTGCAGAATTTGTTAAAGCTGGAATACTTATTAAATTTCTGCTTGTTCGTTCATTTGGGACATGCTTATTGAATGCCTACTATATACCAGGTTCTGTCAGGTCCTGGAAGTACAGTGATGGACAAAAGATGGTCCCTGTCCTCATGGAACGTACAGTTTAGAAAAGAAGAATGTCATTGAACAAATAAGGGACCCATGAAGTGATTTAATGCCAGTTGTGGTAAGCACAACAAGAGGAAAATTACAGTGTGCAATGGAAATCATTAATATGGGAAGTGCCTTATCTTGGGGTTTAGGATGGTTTTCCTGAGGAAATGACATTTCAGCTGGCACTAGTGGGATTAGCAGGTGTTAACTCACATGTTATTTGCTAGGGTACATTTTAATCAAATCACTGGAAGCTGTTATTTGTAGAGGAACCAGTTCTGTGTGACCAGTAGCCTCGGAACTTGTGTAAAATTTAATCTAGGATATCAGTAACTCTGTATATCCATAGAAGCCAAAGGTTAACAGCCAAAGTGGCAGGAATAACTCAAAATATTATATTCATTCACTCAATAAATATTTGCACTGGCAGTACAGCAGTGAATAAACAGAAATCCCTGTCCTCATGGAGGTTGCCTGATAGCAGAACAGAGAGCCGTAAACAAGATAAATAAGTACAATATATAGCATGTTATTGATAACTGCTCTGGAGGAAAAATAATGCAGATAGGGAGTTAGGAAGTGGTGGTGGTTTCAAACTTACCATAGCTTCCTTTAGCATAATGCTCTTGGAAGAAAATGTACTCCGATTCTACTCACAGACCAGGATTGCAGTTGGCTGGGGCTGGTACCATATTTGAAAGTTCATTGGAATTCTTCAGAGCTGTCATCCCTAAATTATTGTGAGGAGGCACTAATGTCATTTTCCTCACGACTTGTGATTTGTAGACTTCAGAGAAGGAAAAGTGCTGGCAGAGACATCCTTGACTGCAGCTAAGTGAGAGGCTCATCTGTTGGCTGAGGGCCTTTGTGTGTCTGCAGAGGCAGGGGAGTACAGTGTGATACGGTGGAGGGAGCTGGGCCTCGGCCCGACAGATCTGGAGTCAGACCCGGGCTCTGATTCATAAGCTGTATGATCCCTGGGAAACTAATACATCTCTCTGATCCTTAGTTTCCTTATTTGCAAAATAAATGGCTTGGACCAGATCTCTCAAACTCTTTCAAACCTAAAGACATCCTAAGCTGAAAGGCTTAGGATTGCTTCTTGGAACCTTTGAAAGCACCTTGTGTACACTACCTTGCCTGCATTCATTCGTAGCCCTTCTCCTGGGAAGGTAAATATATTGTAATTATATTAACAACATTTTAATAACAATAATCAACAATTGTGTGTTACTAGTTATGTGCTAGGTATATTTCTCAGCCTCTCACCTATAGTCCTCACAACAATCTTACAGGGTGAATATTATTCCCATTTCACAAATGACAAATTCAGAGAGGTTAGTTAACTTGCGCAAGGTTTCCCAGGTAGTAAGGGATAGAATTAGAAATAAAATTCAGGCAGTTCACGTCATTTTGAAAACACACATCCCACTAATAAAATAATTTTGAGCACTCATCCCAATATATTTATTGATTTAAAATTATATGTATATATTAATGAAATAACAGTATATACATTATAAAGCCTGCATAAAATAGAAACAAATTATCGGTCAAAGATGAAATAAATTTTAGTTTTATTAACAGCACAAAAAGTTTTTGCTTTCATAAATATGATCAAATATGCTGCTTTTTTTTTTTTTTTGAGACAGAGTCTCTCTCTGTCGCCCAGGCTGGAGTGCAGTGGCTTAATCTCAGCTCCCTTAAAGCTCCGCCTCCTGGGTTCACGCCATTCTCCTTCCTCAGCCTCCTGAGTAGCTGGGACTACAGACGCCTGCCACCATGCCCGGCTAATTTTTTTATTTTTAGTAGAGACAGGGTTTCACCGTGTTAGCCAGGATGGTCTCGATCTCTTGACATCATGATCTGTCCGCCTCGGACTCCCAAAGTGCTGGGAATACAGGCGTGAGCCACCGCACTGGGCCTATATTTTGTTTTGAATTGTGGACTACAGTATGTGATTCAGCTCTTCAAAGATCTATTTCTAAGTTCTTAGTTGAAAAAAATACCTGTGAAGATACTTGGATCTTTATGGAAGAAGTACACCATGAGCTGCCCTTAATTATGATATGTGTTTTGTCAATCATCCACTGTTTATATAAAGGAGTTTTAAATTATTATTGTTGAAAATTCCTATCATTGCTGATTTGATTAGTTGTTCCTGCAAACTCCTTGGAAGGGGGTGCATTTTTATATTTTAACAGGTGAGATTAAAACCAACTAATATGTTATTCTGAGGGTGTTGAAGCTGGTTAGAATATTGTTTCTACCTTTTTTCTTTTTTGGTATAAAGGTTTTAGAGGAAATATCCCTCCTTAGCTTAGTTTTCCCAGAAAGCAGAACCTGAGTTTTATTTATTGACTTTCATATTAAACTTATATTAATTTTTAAGTTCAAGGGTACATGTGCAGAATGTTGTTGCATAGGTAAATGTGTGCCATGGTGGTTTGCTACACAGAACATCCCATTACTCAGGTATTAAGCCCAGCATCCATTAGCTATTCTTCCTGATGCTCTCCCTCCTCCCTTCCCACCCTCTGACGGGCCCCAGTGTGTGTTGCTCCCCCTGATGTGTCCATGTGTTCTCATCATTCAGCTCCCACTTATAAGTGAGAACTCATGGTATTTAATTTTCTCTTCTTGCATTAGTTTGCTAAGGATAATGGCCTGTAGCTCCATTCATGTCCCTGCAAAGAACATGATCTCATTCCTTTTTTATGGCTGCATAATATTCCATGGTGGATATGTACCACATTTATCCAATTTATCACTGATGGGCATTTAGGTTGATCCCATGTCTTTGCTATTGTGAATAGTGCTGCAGTGAACATACATGTGCATGTATCTTTATGACAGAATGATTTACATTCATTTGGGTATATACCCAGTAATGGGATTGCTATGTCAAATGGTATTTCTGCCTCTAGGTTTTTGAGGAATCGTCACACTGTCTTCTACAACAGTTGAACTAATTTACACTCCCACCAACAGTGTAAAAGGGTTCCTTTTTGGCCACAACTTCACCAGCACCTGTTTTTTTTGTTTTGTTTTGTTTTTTGGTGGTTGTTTTTTTAAGATGGAGTCTTGCTCTTGTTGCCCAGGCTGGAGTGCAACGGCATGATTTCGGCTCACTGCAACCTCCGCCTCCTGGGTTCAAGCGATTCTCCTGCCTCAGTCTCCTGAGTAGCTGGGATTACAGGCGCCCACCACCATGCTCAGTTCATTTATGTATTTTTAGTAGAGACAGGGTTTCACCATGTTGGTCAGGCTGGTCTCAAATTCCTGACCTCAGGTGATCCACCTGTCTCAGCCTCTCAAAGTGCTGGGATTACAGGTATGAGCCACCGCACCTGGCTGGTGTGAGATGGTATCTCATTGTGGTTTTGATTTACATTTCTGTAATGATCAATGATGTGGAGCTTTTTTTCATATGTTTGTTGGCTGCATGTATGTCTTCTTTTGAGAAGTGTCTGTTCATGTCCTTAACCCACTTTTTAGTGGGGGTGTTTGTTTTTTTCTTGTAAATGTTTTTAAGTTCCTTATGGATTCTGGATATTAGACCTTTGTCAGATGGATAGATTGCAAAATTTTACTCCCATTCTGTAGGTTGTCTGTTTACTCTGTTGATAGTTTTTTTTTTTTTTTTTTTTTTTTTTTTTTTTTTTTTTTGCTGTGCAGAAGCTCTTTAGTTTAATTAGAGCCCATTTGTCAATTTTTGCTTTTGTTGCAATTGCTTTTGGGATCTTCATCATGAAATCTTTGCCTGTGCCTGTGTCCTGATGGAAGAGAACAGATAAGCAGAAATAGGACCACACACCTACAACCATCTGATCTTTGACAAACCTGACAAAAACAAGCAATGGGGAAAGGATTCCCTATTTAATAAATTGTGTTGGGAGAACTGGCTAGCCATATGCAGAAAATTGAAAATAGACCCCTTCCTTACACCATTTACAAAAATCAACTCAAGATGGATTAAATACTTAAATGTCAAACCCCAAACTATAAAAACCCTAGAAGAAAACCTAGACAATACTATTCAGGACTGAGTTCTATTTAGAAGTGTACAATCCTGTTGAGGATGTGTTATGAAGTTGGCCACTATCTCATATAGAACATGACTGTTTGATATTGAGAGATGACCTTCCTACAGGCTGTAAACAATTGCTTTTCAGGACAGTCTCTTTGGGGAAAGGAATCTTCTCTAGTTCCCATCCTCCACTGTTCAAACCTTCATTCCATTTTTGGGTTGTACTTATGTGGATACTCATGGGGGCATCCTGTAGTCTTTCACTCTCCAAGTCAGCAGGAAAGACCTGGGGGTGGGAGGCAAGAAAGAGACATCTCAAACAGGTACGAGGCAGGGAGCTGTCAGCTTTTGCCTGCTTGAAGGAGATTAGAGCCCATGCACACACAGGGGCTGCACAGGAGAGAGGTGGGGCAGAAAGAGTTGAAGTGATACTGGAAAGACACACTTAAATGATGTCTATGGCAACAGAAATGTTTTCATAGTCACATAACTATGCAAACATTTTTACATAGCCATTTTCAAAATACTCTCTCCTAAGCACTTTTAAAAAACATTTGCATTTTATTGTTAAAACATCATCTATATCTACCTAGGTACAGTGAACTGCAGCATGCTGCAATATATCAAAGTAAAATGGAAAGGTGGGGGGCTCCACTGTGAAATGCTTAAGGGAGTAAACCTTCCCTTCTCCCAGGATGCTCACAGACTGTATTTGAGTGCTCAGCAACTAGACTAATTCATGCGCCAGGATCAACCTGTATATTAAATATTGGCATAACAATATTGGTATTAACTTGTATCTATTAGTCCATTCTCACATTGCTATAAAAAACAACCTGAGACTGGGTAACTTATAAAGAAAAGAGATTCAATTGATTCACAGTTCCACAGGCTGTACAGGAAGCATGGCTGCGGAGACCTCAGGAAACTTACAGTCATGGCAGAAGGCAAAGGGGAAGCAGGCACATCTTACATGGGCAGAGAAGGAGGACGAGAGAGCAGGGGGAGGTGCTATACACTTGTAAACAACCAGATCTCATGAGAACTCACTATCATGGGAATAGCAAGGGGGAAATCCACCACCATGATACAATGCCACCAGGCCCCTCCTCCAACACTGGGGATCACAATTCAACATAAGATTTGGGTGGGGACAGAAATTCAAACCATATCACTGTATATTAAATATCAGCATAATAATTTCTTATTTTTAATTGAAAATAAATAGAAAAAGATGTCTTAATCTTTTCTAAAGAAGTTCTCCTATTTTATTGCCTCCAAACAGTGGATTGTCTTGCCGCATACTTCAGTGATCAGTAGTCTAGGTCTTCTAAGACATAAAGGAATTAAGGCAGCTACATTAGTGATTGTATTAATATATTAATGGATGTCTGTATAGTACGGAGTGTGAGAACATGGGCTTTGCAGTCAGCAGGCTTGGGTGTCAATGCCTTGGTGAAGCTATTTAATTTTACTTTCCTCATCTGAAAATGAGCATGATAAAACTGATCTCTTACGTGGCACACAGTAAATTCTCAATAAAAGAAAGTCATTGTAGTAGTAGCTGTTGACATAACAAGGGACAAGGAGAACTAGTTATGCAGCAGACTGCTGCCAGTGCTCCCATTCTAACCCAAGGTTTACAAAGTACCAGGAAAATGAGTTTTCTGCCACCTCCATATCTTCCAAACCTTCTTCACCAGCAGCAATACTGGTGGGTAGGACAGTAGGCAAGAATTCATGCACATGAAATTACATGATTTATTATCTACATGGACTTAGCTCGGAAGCTCTGGAATATGAAACTCAAATTCTTTTCTTTATTGGTCTCACTTTGTTGATCACAAATTGGTTCCTCCTCAGACCTTCTCAAGATGGAGAAATCCAAAATCCGTGTTGCTCTGTTGATAATTACTATGTGTTCCAGTTGTTTATAATTTTTTCATTTTTTTATCATTATTTTTTCATTTTTTCATTATCTCACCAGCAGGGGAGAAGCATCCTGCTTTCTGAGGGAAGCTTTAGTGGGCCAGGGGTTGTTCAGACCTTGTTGGAGCTTCTTTACTTGATCACACATGAACACTGATATTGACTTGCTTTCATTTTGTGGTCACGAGAATGAAACATTTCCCACAGTTCAGCCTGCGGCTTCTCCCTAGTTTGCGTCTTTTTGATAAAATCACTGACTTGTGTACTTTCAAATTTAAGTCATTTTATATCTACTAAACTTGATAATTTTTACCCATCTGCTATTCAGTGAATTTTATTTCTGGTTTTTTTTTCTGTGATTGATGGGGCCCATGCAACAGTAATAATTTCCAAAAGACAGTTTTTCAAACAATTGATAACTTTCCTAATATAACCTTATCTAATATAGCACAATTTAATATTTTTCTTCTACTAATATGAGAAAAAAAAGATATCGCAAAATATATGAGCATTTAGCCTTCAAGTTTCATGTGTACTTATTCCAATCTGGCCTGAAATCCCAGCCCTCTGTGCAGATGAGCAAAGCTAATGCTATAGAGTGGGGTTTGCATAAAAATGTGAGCAAAAAAAGGCTGTAGTTGAATGTCCTCTGCCTTAGGATTGGGACTAATACTTTCTGTATTGCCAGCTTACCCTAGGCAGTAGGGGCTCCCAAAGCAATGCCAGCATCCCCACCTTTCTGCTTATTTGTACCTATTAGGTCCTGACATTTATCTGAGGCAGGAAGCTCTTCTGGTAGCATGTTTATGACCAATGTCCCCAGTCAAAATCATTTTCTTGCAGTGCCTAATTGAAATTGTGTGTGTGTGTGTGTGTGTGTGTGTGTGTGTGTGTGTGTGTGAGAGAGAGAGAGAGAGAGAGAGAGAGATTGATCCCAGGAGGACAAAAGAGGTTGCTGCCTACTGGTGGTTGGGATGCCATTCAGTGAGTATGGAGAGAAGGGTTGCCGTACAGTGTTAATTAACATTGACTGGGTGGAGACTGACCCTCTCTCCCTGAAAATTGTGTGGACTCTGGTTGAATTTCTTTTTTGTCCCTGAAAACTGTTAATTTTTTTAAAGACATAAATTTATGTGGAAGGAATCTATCCATCCATACCAAAACTTCAAAAAGCAGCTCTCACAGGAAGCTTAAGTTGAAATTCTTTGGATCTCATCACCTTTTCGAAAAGATCTTTTATACTTAGTTTAGGCCCCTGATGCCACAACACTGTGTATTTTTTCTGTTATAACTTTCGACACTCTTTATTTGCTTGTTTTATTATCTGTCTTTGCTGCCAGCCTTTAAGCTGTTTGTTCACCAGTATGTTGCCAAGGGGGCCAGCACTGTGCTTGACATTCAGTCTGGATGCAGCAGTCTGGCTATATATAAACAGTACTTCGCATATGTTTGTTGCATGTTGAGAAAGTGCTTTAGCTTTACTCCTCATAAAAAGGTCTTCAAACACATTGCTTTCATTTCATGACTTTGTCTTTAATATCATGCAAATGTGTAAGAATGATATCATGCGAATCTGTAAGAATGTGCGAAGATCTGTAAGTAGCCCACCTAGATCCATACTGAATATTCTTTACTTCTCTGACTGCTGTTGCAAGAAATATACAAGGAAGTATATTGATTTTTGTTTCTTTTGGGCTACAGCCACACACATTTCTACATAGTTTCAGATATTAACAACCAAGGCAGTCACTGGTGTTATAGTTTTGGGGGTTTTGACAACAAGTTTGGTCTACGCAGCTCGTTCATCTTTGGACATGTATCTCCATCTGCCAGGCTGAGGTGCTTTTTCTCAGAAGCATTCAAATACACTGAGCATGTGTTTGGGTTTGCAGAGATGGTGTGTCAGAATAATAATCTAAGCTGATGCCTCGGCAACAAAGAGGGCTGAGCAGAGCTCTAAGGCAGATGTAGCAAAAGCAGGACACTTTCAGGAGAGCAGCAATGACATTTCTGATGAAGGAACACAAACCTCACTCCCACCCATCCAGCTTCTCCCTTGAGACATCCATATTTTAGTAAGAAACACAGAAAAGGACTGAGATCCAGGTTTATCTGTGTCTGTGGGGATGGGGCCAATTGTATAGCCCTATCTGAAAGCCATTGAGTGCATTTCTTGAAGGGTCTACCTTTGGCTAGAGGACTACAAGTATAATCACTTTCTGTTTTCTTCATTTTCCCTCTTAACTAATTGTTTCCCTTTTCCTTCATCTGATGAAGAGAAAGCAACAAGAAACAGAACTATCATTTCCCCTGTGGTCTTAATTTGTGTTTAAGAGAAAAATAATCCAATGAATGTAATCAATGATGAATTCATGAAACCTCTTGCTTAGTGACTGGGGTTACAGCTGACGCTGTCTAAACATCAGAGCTAGGGAGTCTACCGTGCTTTCAACATGGCACAATTTTCAACTCAGAGGGTAAACATCTTTAGTAGAGTCCCTATGGAGATGGGTGAATGAATTATGTAATTGAGACCTTGCTTAAACATTCACTGTTGTAGTTGACTACAGTGTTGGTTGGAGGTCCACCTTAGACTATTTGCATGCTGATATTTTAAGAGTATCCAAGCAGGGAGGTCAGCCTGGGAAACTCATCTTACCACATGATGGATGCAGAGCACACACATCTTGCTCGGACTACTGCATTTAGCCTCCAAGTTGTTTGCATAAATCCGCTAAGCTCTAAGTTCTCATGCAGGACATGAAAAGTATCTTGAAAAGTGACTTACATTCTTCAGCTTGAAGTTGGACCACAATCTAAAACGGTTTTAAAATGATAAAAATGAGTGTCCTGGTATCATGTTTACATCATTGGCTTTAAAAAATATCAGAACCTACAGCTTCTTTGTGATTCATGAAGGATTTCTATCAAAGAGAATATTGCTGTGCGTGATTCTTAGTTCTCAAGACATGTTCGTTGCTTTTATCATGGTAGCATCAATGTAGACCTTGTTGTGCAAATGTAATTCTGAGATGGAAAACTTTAACATTTCTAACCCATCAGCACCTCCCCTCATGGGTCAAGATCTGATGATATGGAATGTTGAAGTTTCACTGCTTGCTGGAGTCATGCTTGAAGGTGATGGGTCAGGGAGGGATAGCAGAGGCCAAGTTCTAATGATTGTATTAGGCTCCCTCCTAGCCACTTCTTACCACCTGGAGAACAGAAGATTGAAACTGTTTGTTAAAAAGCAGTTTTGGAGATAATCTATGGATTTGGTGTATCTTGGTAGCTATAGGAAAGCAGACAAGATAGAGGACATTAAAGGGACCGGAAAAATAATGAAGGTCACCATGGTAGAAATGAGGGGGAGTGGATTATGTTGGCATTAATGTATATATGCCTCCTTTCTCTCTCTTCTGTTTTCCTTTCATTCTTTTTCTCTCTACTTGTCATCCTTCTCCAAGTGGAAAGATAGATCTGGGTGTGCACAAAGGCCCTGTTTTTTGATCATGTCTTCTGCCCACTATTTGTTCAGTCTACTACATATTGAAGGCACAAATTGCATCTAGTAATACTAAAGTGAACAAACCAACATAAAGTGAAGTCTTGATTTAAAGTATACATGGGGAAATTTAGTGACATTGGGGCACTCTGTAATCTGTGCGTATTGTTATAAAATAATCATTAATATTTACTGAATACCTTCTATGTGTCAACTCCAGCAGGGGCAAAGACATATAGACAGGAATTTCTATGTCACAATTGCCATAATGAAAATATGTAAAAGGCACAATTGGATGTGTCAAGAAGGAGCCTTGAAGTTTGCTTGGAGGAAATCAAGAGATAAGCTTTCATCTTGACAACTGCTGTAAAAGTTTGTCGGGGGGAACTGGGATAATACATTCTGGGCAAGGGAGCACCGTATACAATGGGAAATGTGGGACATTTGGTATGGATGGAATGTGAGCTGCAAGGCTAGAAAAGAGCATGCGATGAATAAGTAGGAAGGGACAAGATCACAGCAGATGCTATATGTTGTACTCCTTCCCCGGAGCACTGGGGGATTGTAAGCAACTAAGAAATAGATTATGAGTATGCATAAGATGGAGTGGGAAAAGTTTATACTGGAAGTAGGGAGAACATTTAGGGTATATGAGTGAGAGATCATTAAACCTAAACCAGGGCAGTGTTTTTTATAAAGAGAAAGGTATGGTTTTGAGAGAAATTTAAGAGAATAAAATGCCTAGGACTTATCAGGTAATTGAATATAGCATGTGTCTTCTAAGACAACTCAGGATTTTGGTTTGGGCAACACATAGGCAATGGTTTCTTTTTCTTTTCTTTCTTTCTTTCTTTTTTTTTTTTTTTGAAACAGAGTTTTGCTCTTGTCGCCCAGGCTGGAGTGCAATGGCGCAATCTCGGCTCACTGCAACTTTTACCTCCTGGTTAAAGCGATTCTCCTACCTCAGCCTCCCGTGTAGCTGGGATTACAGGCACCTGCCACCATGCCCGGCTAATTTTTGTATTTTTAGTAGAGACAGGGTTTTGCCACTTTGGCCAGGCTAGCATCAAACTCCTGACCTTAGGTGATCTGCCTGCCTCGGCCTCCCAAAGTGCTGGAATTAGCAGGCATGAGCCACCATGCCCAGCCCTAGGCAATGGTTTTGTTTATTCATTTGATAAATATTTATTATATATTCACTAGGTCTCAAGAAAAGTATTGGGACTACCTAGATGAAAACACATGAGACCTGCCTCCAAGGTGTTTACACTATAGTAGGAGAGACAGATACCTCAGTGGACAAATTAAATAGGGCACTTGCATAATGGAATTATGACTGTTACTTCCAATAAGGACCCTAACAAGGGGTTCTAGAGGATGTGTTCACTTATAGATGTGCGAGCTTAAGAAACCTGTGAGACAACCGATGGAGATGCAATAGATGCCTGGGGACAGAGGACCAGGACTCAGGAGACACATGCTTCAGACTAATCAGGGTAGTTCACAGCCAACATCTTGTAAGCAATGAAATAATGAGGCAGACTGGGTTGTGTCATAAGAAAAAGTGGGCAAGGAGAGAATAAGATTTTAAGGGGCCACAGAGGAAAAGATGCCAGTGAATGAGTTGGAGGAACTTGTCAGTGGGATAATGGGGAACATTTGTGTCTTATCTCCTATCGCTCTTGAAAGTCCTGCTTTGATGGAAGAGAAGCACCTTTACTATTTCCAATATCTATTGCAGTGCCTAGTATAGAGCAAGTACTTTAAAAATGTTGATTTAATTAAATGTAATATAAACATTAGGGAATTAATTCCATCCTAATGGTGTGATGAAGGAAACAGAAAGAGAGTGAAATATGCAAGATTTGAAAAGAACTGAACTTGGTATTTACGAAATTTGTGACCAGGGAAATTTTAGTTCTAGACTTTATCACTAACCACTGGGCCAGTTTGTTGTTCTTCAGTCTTGTACTATGTATCTCAGTGTCCTCTTAGTAAAATCAGGGGCTTGGGCTAAGAGACAAAGTCCTTTTTGGTTCTAAAAGTCTAAATTTAGAGACACCATTAGAGGGTCAAGCTGAAAATATGATGTGTTATCAACGGAAAGTGTCCTGTCAGTTTTCACTGATATATTATCTTATAAAACATTGAGACATTAAATATTTGATAGGGAGTGGAACTCTGGATATTGATTTTTTCCCCCTAGTCGTAAATGGCCTTTGCTTCTGAAGAATGGTAGGCATTACAGAGTTGTTTATACCAGTAGATTGCATCCCTGCAAAACGAATGTCAAACAGCGCATCTGGGTATTGTCTTGATAAATTACATGACTCAGTGATCACTGACCCACATTTTGTAATATGATTTTATAAAACCCGTGTGACAATGCTAATGGAGATAGATGCACTGTAGTTCTTATACAGTGGGAGTCAACAGTGTTCCTGGGGAAAAAATGAAAACAGGAAATGTTATTACAGATGTGCTATTATAAGATTTCATATAAAGAAAAAATGTCAGGTGGGTAGATATTCTATATAGGGAAGTTGTTAGAATTTCAAGCAAATTTACTGAATGCCAACACATACTACTACTTTGTCAAAAATAACAGTTTAATTCTGTGCTTCTAGAATCTCCACTGGCATTGCACCAGGTGTGAAATAATAGGTTTGTGCTCTGTACATATGCTGGGTGCATGATACTTTGGCTTATGTGGTCTTGGCTTGGGATTTCTGTTTTATGACTTATTTTAGTGGTGGCAGTCTGCATCTGAGGCTTCCCAGCAGAGGAAAGACTCTGACCTTAACAATGAAGAGTTTTAGACCCCCTTATGCAAGGAAGAAGAGTACCTCAAACAATAAATTCACCTGTGTTTACCAAAAAAGCAATAGGACAACTTTAAAGATTTTTTTTTTGAAACACAGCAGCTTGTATTGTTTCATCATGTAACCTGCCAAGATAGAAGGAAGAATTTAGTGAGCTTTAGAATGCAAGACGTGTTACCCCAAATCTCTTTCTAAACAGAACATCTGGATTCCCAGAGTTTTGTATGTCTGCTCCAATCCAGAGTCCAAGTTTTTGCTTATCAAAAAATTAGAAATATTGATTGGCAACTACACACAATTATAGTCACCCTTTTAATTTTATTTTAAAAATAATTGTAGGAGGCAGGACGTGGTGGCTCACACCTGTAATCCCAGCACTTTGGGAGGCTGAGGCAGGTGGATCACTTGAGGTTAGGAGTTCAAGACCAGCCTAACCAACATGGTGAAACCCCGTCTCTACTAAATATACAAAAACTAGCTGGGTGTGGTGGCACATGCCTGTAGTCCCAGATACTCAGGAGGCTGAGGAATGAGAATCACTTGAATCTAGCAGGCAGTGGCTGCAGTGAGCCGAGATCACACCACTGCACTCCAGCCTGGGTGACAGAGCAAGACTCTGTCTCAATAAATAAATGAGTAAGTAAATAAATAACTGTAGCAATCTAAAAAACACTAAGCTTATTTTTATCACCTTTTTAGAACAGAGTTTCTAGTCTCTAATTGCCAAGTGTGTATATAATATTCTGTTATTTTGCATCTTAGTCATCATTGTCAGAATCAAAATGAGGGTGGAAAGGTGAAGCCAAATTAAAAAAAAAACAACACCCAGATAATTTAGGTTCATGAAAGGATGAAAGGATTTTTTTTCTCCTGAATTTTTTTGAGGGTTTGAGGGCAAGGAAACTGATGAGGTGAGTTTCTGTCAGTTTGAAGTCTTAAGCTTAGAGCATATGCAAGCACAGAAGTGAGCCTAGAGGTCAGATGTCATCATCTGTAAGTGTTAGTTGAAGTTTGTGGGTAGGTGAGATTACTCGAGGGACAGCTTGAGGAGTGAGATAAGTAAAGCTCTGAGAGTCAAATCTTGGTAAAGATCAATTTTTAAATGGCTGGTGGAGAGAGACAAGAAAACTTAAAGAGAAGAGTCAGTCAGTCATGAGGAAAACCTTGAAGCTTAAGGCAGAAGAGAATTTCAAAAAAGAAGGGAACAGTCAACAATGACAAATGCTGCAGGGAGATAAAGTAATAATTGAACTGGAACGTGTCCATTGTATTTGTCAACCAGTAGATGTTACTGACCATTGTGAGGGTGAGTTTGGTGGAACAACCATGGCAGAAACCCAGATTGCAATGGATTGAGGAGCAAATAGAAAAAGAACAAATAGAACATACATCATTACCTTTTGAAAAAAGACTAGTTTTTCTTCAGTGAAGTTGCATTATTGCATGTGTGTGTATGTGTGGTGGTGGCAGGGTTGTAAAATGAGATTTCAAGGAGAAGGAAGAGTTTAAGAGTGTTGTAATAATGGAAAGAAAAGTCTGTTGTGATCTAAGCTGGGGCCAGTTTGGGGATTTTATGAAGACAACAGAATCTGACAAAACGCAGACAGATTAGATGCAGCATTATTCAGTAAACTTTCTTGGAAGAACATGAAGTACAAGCAAGAAAACAGAAGGAGGAAGGCAAGAGGCCCAGGGTCTGACTGAGGTTAAACACTGAAGCCCTTTAAAAAAAAGTGTTGGAAGATTGTATTATAGTCCATAACATAAGGGAATCTCAAGGTGATAGGTATGGGACAGTCATCCTCAAAGCCAGAATAAATTTGTCAGTAGCTTTGAACACTGACAATTTCCAAACAAAGAGGACTCTGGAAGCGACAGGCTGTAGAGCTGGCACAGGTAGAGTTTGGAGTAGTGGGATTGGGGTTGTAGGAAAGGGGTGGCCCCAGCAAATGTTTGAAGGATACCAGTGGCTGTGCTTGAACTCAGCCTCCATGTGAGAGGTCAGAGGTGAGTGGAGAGCCACTTTTATATTTGTTTCTTGAAATGTTTGTGATAGAGTGGCATGGTCATGGGAAAGGAAGGTTGCTCAGGGTTTATGACTAAGAAGATGGACAAAAGGGACCACTAGGTCCTACGTAAGAATTCCTTAGAAGAAACTTATCCCAAAAGCTTTGGTATCTTTGGTTATTTATGCTACAACATCTGTCATCATGGAGGTGTCAGAAATTTTAAGAAAACATGAAACATGCGGAAGAGACGTTTGGGATCCTTTAAAAGAATGGGCAATAAAAGAAGGAATCAATTCCTGAAACTGTAGGATAAATATTCAATGAAAGCAGACAAAAATGACTCTGAGGTAGCAATATTGGTGTGGAAGAGTCATTCTCCTCTAGTTCTTCAGTGACATTGAGATGGGGTAGTTATAATGAATTTTTAAAATAGGATCTCAAGGTAGGAAAAGCCAGACCTCTCTTCCAGTGTAAAAATTCCCTTTAAATACTCCTAACAAACTGAATGAACATCTCCAGGATCTTGGGTTCATTACTAGACATGTTACTAGACATGTTAGTGACCATCTCTGAGAGATGGCACAAGCCTCTCTATTGGTAGGAAGACTACAAGCTACAAGGCCACCTATTCCACTTACAAATTCGACATTCATTGTCATCCAGTGCTCTATAGTCAATTACCTCAACCACCCAAATTGTTTTTCCTTCTTTCTTTTTAATCTACAAGTACATCAGAATATTTATTTACATAGAAAAGCATTGGAAAGGAACACAAAATACAAAAGACACAAAATTATTTTCTTCTAAAAATGTCTTCCTTATATAGAGCTTTCATTTGGTGGTCCTATTTCAATCCTCTGGAGTTACTCTCTTAAAAATTAAAGGCTTCTATCCCTGTTCGGTTATATCTTTTTACCATTTTCTTATATCATGGTCCTCAAATACCTTGACATTGGGTATTTGAACCTAGAATTGGACACAGTTCCTAAATGTGAGCTGGTGGTGTTTACTGGAGCCACTGCCACATCTAGAGCCAAACACAGTGATATCACCCACACAGTCTGTGATTGATTTTCCTAGCAAGGGGGGTCACAGTCTTTAGCACAACAGGTTTTTGACTCTTGAATTTATAATTTCACATGAATTGTTATAAAGTGAGGATTTCCCATTTTATTCTTCTAGAAGAGATTATCTTTAAAACATAAATGAAGATTAAAATTTTATCTTGCTGGCATAGGCCCTTTGCTCCAGCCTGTCAAGAGCTTTCTGAATCTTGATAATGTTTCAACAATACTTTGCCTCCTTCTCAGCTTTTTGCAGTCCGTAAAAAAGACTTTGCCACAGTTCTTGATAAATACACTGAATAAAACAGAATCAAAGAACGGGCATAGAAAAATGCCAACAGAATTCTTTTTACTTGCTAACAATTTTATACATTGACATTTCATGCGACAATTTTCCAAATAGTTACAAACTGACCTTCATTGCTACACGTTCATAGTTCTCCATCATATCCACAATAATATGATGAGAGACTGTCAAATAACTTGGTGAAATCAATGTGCATTTTCTGGCTTACAATCCTCCAAAGGTTCTCTATTACTCTCAGAGTAAAGTCTAAAGTTCTTAACATGGCTTTTAGTTTGGACTCTTGTCTGTTTCTTCTACCTTTCTCTCTGCATTCCTTACTCTCCACTTTGAAGTCTATGCTTCAGTCTTCCTGAACTACCTACGGCCTCCTAAGCCACCTCGCTCTGTCAGCTTGAAGCCTTTCACCTCCTGTTTTCTCTGTCTGGCACATTCTTCACCTCCAGTTCCCAGATGTTTTGGCCTGGCTTATTCCTCTTTATGTATCCAATCCCCTTGAGATGCCAACTTCCTACAGTAGAGTTTCCTTCATCTAAGAGCTTCCTTTCATCTTTCCCCATTGCACCCATGCTGAACCCCATGAAGACTGACCTTGTGTTCTTTTCAACTTCTCCCACTCCTGCTAGACTTAAATCCCCTTGAAGGCGACGACTGTGTCTTGTCTGGCATTTTATCCCAAAGGCCTATTATGGTAAACAGCACATAGCAGGGACTCAATACATTTCTTCCTTTAAATCAATCCTGACAGGTGTTTGAATAAAATCTGCCTGTAATATTCTTTCCATCTCCTTCTAATATAGTAAGCGCATAAAAATAATTTGTCATGAATTATTTTTGGCTACCTTATGCTGGCCTTTGGTGATTGCCTCTTTCCCTACTAAGTGCATACACATAATCGAGTTAAGAATACATTTTAAAATGTTGCTGGGCATGAAAGTCAAACTCATCTGGCTTTAGATTATGAAATCCCTCTTTTTGAAATCTAAGGCATTTGCTTAGCTCTGATCTTCTGGCAATTTTCCCATTCCCTCTGATTTTTTTTTTCCCAGGACACGAGCAGCTGCAATAACAGCTGCAAATTGTTTTAATTGTCTTAGATGTAATGCATCTGGACTTGAACACATTTTAAAGCTGTTAGACACTCTCTTACTATCTCCCCTACTAGGATTTGTGTTCTGTCCTTTGTAGTCAGAGTATCTTTCTCTTTCACGGAGAAGAAATGGAATCAAACCAGAAAGAGAATTGTTCTGCTTTTTTTCTTTTATCATCTTTAAATGGACTCATCTATTCTTTTGTCTTATTATTAAAAACACAACTTTAAAACACAAGAACAACATTATTTTGGTCTCATCTAAACTGAGATCTGGAAGTTTTTCCCAGCAAGGTTGGTGGAGGCAGGTGGGGTGGGGGGCGGGAATCTAAATGGATAGACATGAAATGGAGATCATTGTGGGTACCCAAGATCTGCTTGGTTCCAGACATTTCAATAGATGGGGATGTTGCTACAAACATAATTTATTCCCCATCCTTAAAGAGCTCATGGTCAGATAGCGGGTGTTAAAGGCCATAATGGCATATTTCAGTTAGCTGTGAATCTACCTTGGTTAAAAAGAGAGGTGCTAGTAAAACAATTGTCTATTTTGTACAATTTAGTTTTATTTCCTTACATTCATCCATATATCTTTTAAGTCATGGCTCTCAACCATGGATTGAGAATTCCGCAGGGATTCTGAACTGGGTAGCAACAAAGTAGGTAGATTTGTAACTATTTGGGAACTTTGCTAACACAATATAATCAGAACCAACTTAATCAGAATCTCTGTGGGTTGAAGCCTAGGTGGCAGTATTTATTAAAGCTCCCACAGAGATTGTAGATTCAGAGAGGTGAGAAACACTGTCTTAAGCATTACTATGTGTATAAATAGTGCTGTGCCAGGGGCTGAGGAAGATCTATACTGTCTTATGTAATACAAAGGCCTTGTTCATCAAGAGGTTATACTCTATGTGAGTAGACAAGGCGTGCACATGGAAAAGAGCAAAGTAAAACGTCAAGGTAGTGTGTCATATGGTTAAGAGCCAAAGTGAGAGGTAGAAGCAAAAAATGTCATGGAAATTATAGGAAAAAAGAAATCGATTATGGATTAGAGTTGTGAGAGGAGTGGGACTTTGAAGAACATACAGGATCTAGGTAGGTAGTAGGACAGGGGCATGTAGTTCTGACAGGAAGCACATAAATGAGCAAAACTTAATGTCAGGAATGTGTGTGGAATATCCTGAGCATCTTATTGACCAGATGCGCCAGCATTGACTGGAAATTTTATTTTGGAGAGCAGTCAGACTAAGTTTATGGAATTAAGACTGAAGCTTGAGCTATTCATAAAGATGTAGCAAAAAATAATTCTGAAAAGTTGGGGCCAATTGTAAATGGACGAATTAATTAAAAAAATTCGATCAGTAGTAGGGAAACTATGGAAGATTTTTAGCAGTGAAAAGGCATGATCAGAGCTGTGCTGATGTTTTGCATGTTATTTTGAGGTACTTTTACTTTAAAGTATAGGTAATACTTTTTTTTTTAAAGAACTTAACCATAATCTGTAAACATCCTCAAACCTTTTTCAAATTAGCAAATGTTTTGTCATTGATCAGCCTCAGCTTTGGCATTAATTAAGTGCAGAATCTGCAATACAAATTCAGTAAAGGAGGCCAGGCGTGGTGGCTCATGCCTATAATCCCAGCACTTTGGGAGGCCAAGGCAGGTGAATCACCAGAGGACAGGAGTTCAGGACCAGCCTGGTCAACATGGTGAAACTTCGTCTCTACTAAAAATACAAAAATTAGCCGGGCGTGGTGGCATGCCTGTAGTCCCAGCTATTTGGGAGGCTGAGGCAGGAGAATAGCTTGAACCCCGGGAGGTGGAGGTTGCAGTGAGCCGAGATCGTGCTACTGCACTCCAGCCTGGGCGACAGAGCAAGACTGTGTCTCAAAAAAAAAAAAAAAAAAAAAAAGTAAAGTAGAGAGCAAGCCAGATCTCACGGCCAAATGAAAGTACGGTAATGCTCTGATTTGCCTGCGTCAGTGGTGTGCTGGTAAATGTATAACAACCACCTCTCCAGGAGAAAAAAAGCCCTGATTTATAGTGTTTACTGATTTCCATGGTGTAAATACTACCACGATGACGAATTTCAAAGGTACTATCGGTTTAAAAATGTTTGCAATATTCCTGAAAACTTGACATTGACTCTCACAAACTGGTATGAGCTGTTCCCCAGCACGGCACTCTTTGTGTTTACATTACTTCTCTCATCATAACGGTTTGTCTCTGGGAAGATGGGCATTCAGGTATGGAAAATTTGCCTTTGAAAGTTAATATTCGGTTTACTGTAAATTTATGTAATGCATTTTTAAAAGGGGGGATTAAATGATTAAAAAGAGAAAATCCTAACACTTTCAATGTAGGATAATCGAAAGAATATTTGGACATCCAAGTCTCAGAAAATGCCATTGCAGAAGCGTCTTGCACTGAGGGAGGGGCCCTGTAGTGCTCAGGGGGCTGGGCGGAGCTCTTCTCACCTTAGTTTGGTGGTGTTTCCAGTGGAGCAGTGAAGGGTTTAAAAAGCCTGGCAAAAAATATGCATACGGTGAATCAATCAGATTTCCACGCAAGGGTGCTCTGCTTGCCCCCCGAGGAATCCTGGGCAATCTTATTCCCTGAAGCTCTGGCCCCTGCTGCACTAGATCCTTGCAGCGTTGGCCTCTGGGCCCCCTCCCGCTTAGTTCCCGGATAAAAGCAGCCCGGCCGCACCTGCCTTGCCAGTGCAAACTCTGCAAGACTCCCAACGCCATCAGCCCTAGTCTGATTGCAGTCGCCTGTTCACAGCCCCGAATCATTCACAGCGCCAATTAGCCCGGGCTGGGTCCTCCGGCAGAGCGGGGGCGAGCGCGCGGGAGTCCATTTCCAGCGCCCTGACGCCAGCTGAGTCCCGCGCCCGGTAACGCGGGCTTTCAAGGGCAAGGCCGCCGCCGCGTCCCTCCGTGTCAGCGCATTTCCCTTTCTTCCCCGCTTCAAGAACAACTGAAGTGTGGGTAGGAGAGCCATTTAGTCCCAACTAAAGACGAAAATGTTTTTTCCTTCTGATAATGTTCCCTGTTCCGTCACTCGGTATTATGCTCCATAATGTGCCGCGTGCAGCCATTTTGTCATCGCTTTGGGTCATCCTTGCTCACAATTGGTTATTTACTCAGGGGCTTTTGAAATTATTGAGTTGACACATCTGTCAGAC
Organism: Homo sapiens; assembly: GCF_000001405.40. Classification (NCBI taxonomy): domain Eukaryota; kingdom Metazoa; phylum Chordata; class Mammalia; order Primates; family Hominidae; genus Homo; species Homo sapiens. Next base: position 93,495,585 of record NC_000008.11, on the reverse strand, counting down.
GGCAAAAGCAGAAATGCTAAAAGGTCACTTGGAGAGAAACCAGCTGCTCCAGACAAACCTTTCTGCCTCCAAATAGCACAATCATTACAGCCTGGCAGATGGGGCCTTCGCTTTCACTTCAGACGCTCCCCTTGCCTTCAGGTATTTAGCTACCCTACCTCATTGCCAGGTCAGCCGGGCCTCCCTGTAATTACCCACACAATAGGCATCTCTCTGCTTAAGAAGAACAGCTCTATTTTCTCTAAATAGGAAACCAGTTTCCTCACGGATATGAGCTACCCAACGCTTGCCACAAACTTTCCTGTTAACAGATTCGTTTTGACAGTGGTAAGTATGTTTCTATTACTTCTGCAGCCTTCATTACACCCTGAAATGTGAGGCTCGGTCTGATGGAACGGTTTGGAGGGCTTCTGAGGGTCTCCGAGTAGATGGCACCTGGGGAGTACGGCTGAGATTTCCTTTCCCCTCCACCTGAGTCTGCCTCGTCCTCCCCTCGCTCACCTCTTTGCATGCCTCTGAGGCTGTGTGGGGAGGAACAGGGCCAAAGGCCATGCCTGTCTGTGCTGCTCCACTGGAAGGTTTCATGGAGATGCCTTTTTCAGGTAGCCTGACTTATGTGTGAATGTGCGTGTGTGTGCGTGTGTGCGTGCGCCTATGGCAGTGGGAGAGAAAGTAAAATAAAAATCAAAACAAGCTGATGTTGAACTTCAATCATATAGGGAGCGAAAGGAAATTCTTCCATGATCAGATACTTGCAAACTCTGTTTTAGGGGACAATTAATATGTCAGCAGTTGTAATAACATCATCTTAATCTTTCAGAGTAATAACAAATAAATTGATCAACATAAGGATGTGTCTCTCAACCTGGAGTGGTAGTGGGGTGATTGTTAGAAACCTGAGTTTAAACCTGGCTCTTTTCCCTGAGGTAGTAATATTACCAGAGGTAAGATAAAACTTTTCTCTGTCGTTAGGGGGATGCTTCAGTAGGTAAGTTTAAAAAGCACTGCATTGAGCTACCTGTATGAGGCTGAGAGTGAAAGGGGGTTTGGGAGTTGCCACATGATTACAATTAAAGTTCTAAAATCATCACAGATTGAGTAGGTGAGGTGATCTCAATATCCCCTTTCAGCCTGTTGGAACATCACATGTAAATGAATGGGAACCCCGAGACTTCATTTGGAAAATGCTATCAAAGAGCTTCAAACAGAAAAAGAATAGCAAAACCATTAACAGCCTAATACCTTGGCAACTAATGATTGATGCCCCCAGATTGATGATTTGCTTTTAGTTTCCCCCGATCTGCTATCTTGCCTGTTAGTCTTCAGTTTCTATCTGTGCATTTTCTTAATTCTATCTTTTATTCTGGAGGTTAAACAAGTGACTTGCAGTTGGCTTTATGGTCTGTAAGCTGCAAGAGTAACTGTTATTAGCAGCCAAAAAAGGGAGCTTCATACATTGTATCTCCATTACCCTACAATGATTCAATAAAGTCTTGTTATATACCATAGTCTGAGCTTAGCTGTGAATCAAGAAATGGTGAGAAGTTGAGAACTCTGATAGCTTGTGTCAATATGACCTATTATTTCTAGGAAATTCTTTCTCAACAAGATAAAACTGTAAACCAGTAAATAACTTTACTGTTTGCTTTAGGAAATTCTTGCAAATTAATTTATCTGGGCAAAGCATTTGGTTATCTAGGCAAACAGTTCTATCAGAATGATAGGTTTCCTCATCTAAGCAACGGTTCACTTTTCAGATAACGATTTATCACAACTTGCTTCAAGACATGAGTGTTGCTGTATTCACCAATTCTAAACTACTATGTCATAAACATTGTCTAATCTCAATTAGTTCTCCAACTTGAAAGAATCCCCCTTAAGCCAAGTCATAGAATTCTAGAAATATCCATTTTCTGATCTGCATCCTCTGAGACCAAGTAAGTCCTTGTCATGGTGGTATTCTTTACAGCGGTTAAGTCCGATAAACTTCGCTTTGCTCAATCACCAGGTTTTTCTGGTGGTCTTTTTGGGGGAGCTGATGATTAACAAAGTGGACTGGTGTCCAATCTTGAAGCAAATCAGTACAGGAAGAGAAAACACCCCAAAGAGACCCTAGGGAAGTTCTGATACAGCAGTATTTCAGAACATGGGTAATAGGGCGAAGTTAAGATACATTTTGGAGCATATGGGTACTCCACTGGGGTTCCCAGAAATTATATATGGAGGAAACTTGGTTAAAAAAATAGACTTCCTGTGATTCATGGGACAGGATTCAGTCATTATAATTTTAATATTAAATAATAAATGATCTTATTTTGAGATCACTAGCTGTTGAAGCCTAGGGGCATATGGATTCTTAGGCAGAAAGGATATAGTTTGGAGTTTTCGAGGAGGAGGACCTATGGGAGAAGGGAACGGTAACAGGAAAGACTTTATGTAGGAGGTAGGTGGCATTTGGGATAGGCCTTGAAGAATGGTTGAGTTTCTGTGTGTGTGTATGTGTGTGGTTATTTGGGAAGTGGGTGGTGAGGGCATTTGCGTTTGGAATGGAGTAAGTGAGAGATAAAGTGGTTAAGGGAATGGGCATGTAATTCAGAGGCCTGGATTTGAAACCTAATTCCAACACTTAGTATGTTATAGGTAACCATAGGCAAGTTGCTTAACTTCTTTGAGGGGGGATATGATACCTACTTTATTAATGTGTTTCTATGGATAAAGGGAGATAATGTTTGTAAAGGGATTAGAGATTATGTGGATGTAGTGAAGACTCAATAGGTGGTGGCTATTACTATCATTCGTTATTATCATTACAGGGTAACATAAGTAACAGAAAAGAGAATGGAAAGAAAACTTAGGGCATATTCAGAGAAAGACTGAAGCTTGAGCTAGTCATAAGAATATAATAGAAAGCAATTTTGAAAAACTTGGGACTAATTGCAAAGAGCCCTGAATTTATTTTAAAAAAATTATTCATTTGGCAGCAGGGAGCCTATGAAGGTTTTTTTTTTTTTTTTTTTTTTTTAGCAGAGGGAAGGCATGATCAGAGGCATGCTGGATGCACAGGATGGGTGACATTGGAGAAAAGACCAAAGTTAGGGAGACCAATGAACTAACTAGTAGACTAAAAAACCAGTAGGAAGTAACCAGGGTGGTGTTTCTAATATTGAAAATAAAGAATAAATACAAAGGAGACTGTGGAAAGGTTTTTAGGTTAAAATTTTCTTTTGTTCATTCAACTGTCTAAAACACATCCAATGAATTTTATCAAGACTTTAAGTTCATCATGCTGGCATCACAGTTTATGCTTGGATCCCAAGGACATACTGGGAAGGTGAAATGAATGCACAGAAAAAGCGATGAGTGAATACACCTGAACGCTGTCTAGTTTATAATATATTTATACTGCCTAAGAAGTGACCATAGGATTAGGGCCCTTAAAGTAGTAGAGTATGATGCTTCGTTTTACTGTGGTTCTGCAAATTCTAACCTTGTCTTTTTATTATATAGGTAGTTAAATTTGATGCCCTCCCCATCCTTTTGAGTTCGTATCAATTTGGGAAGGAAGCATTAGCAAATCTACTGAATATAGTATTTTTTGAATCAATTCTTGCCATGCTTTATTTATTGGCACTTAAATTTATTTAATTAGTAGGCGCTAATTTGCACTAAACAGAAAGCCAGGACTCAGAGCAAGAATCAGGTGACGCTTATGTTAGCCTAATTGGTTAGATCTGTGTTAATTATCAGGTAACTTGGCTAAATAATAAAGCCATTCCCAGACAAGGACAAAGTGATTTTAAAAGTCTCTCTTAACAAGGCCTCACTTTTCTAGAACAATCTAGCAGCCTTGAGAGCCACAACGTGTTATCAATATTTACAGTGGCCTTTGTTAGAGAGTCTATTTTTAGATGAAGGCTTGGAATTAAGGCTCAGGATTTAAGGTCAGAAGATACAAATCAGAGTAAGTGGAAGATGCACAAGGAAGGGAGATCAGCTTCAAGGGTTTGGATGATATTTAGAAAAGAAATGAAGAAAATAATGTATTTTATGCTTAAATAATTATGCCTTTGAAGAGACTGAGAACAATCTAGATAAAATCCAAACCACCTTCAAGGATTAATCAACAAAAGATAACACCTCCCCTCACAGATTGGGATCATATTGCACCTATGATGTGGTTTTCTGATCCTTTTACTTAACACACTATGAACATTTTTCCCCATGGTATTAATTATTCCTAAAACCCACTTGCTTAACTTTACAATTAAACTAGATAAATTATAGATAACATTTTAGCTTTTTATATGAGGAGGGAAATAACGAATAAGAACAGGGCGAAGAGGGTATCTGTAGGGTCCAAATGGTTGAGTAGAAGTGCTCCATGCAGAAAAGAGGGAGGGAGCCCATCTCTCCTTCATTCAGCCTGGGAAATTAATTAATGATGTTAAGAGGGCAAGGTATGAAGCTATATTAACCAAATTGAACCTTATTCAGATTTCTTACTCCAGAGCAGAAGCCATTCAATAATCTTTTTGTCTTTAGATATTTAATTTGTTAATAACAACAACAAAAAAATGGCCAGTGAGCCAAATTTAGCCCCTTGCTTGTTTTTGTGCAAGCCGTAAGCTAAGAATGTTTTTATATTTTTAAATGATAAAAAAATCAAAAGAGAAAAATATTTTGTGACATTAAAATGACACGAAATTCAAATTTCAGTGTCCATAAATGAAGTTTTATTGGAACACTGCTATACCCGTTTAGTTACATATTGTCTGGCTGCTTTCTTGCTACGATGGTGAGTTCAGTAGTTGAGGCAGAGACTGTATGGCCTGAAAAGGTTAAAGTATTTACTGTTTAGCCCTTTAGAGAAAAAGTTCATCCACCCTTGCTCTAGAAGGTAAATGTTTATCCTCATATCCACATGTCTTCTTGGAATTTTAAAGGGAATTGCAGGCCCTTAATAACAACTTCCTGACATCAGAACCTTGGCTACCAATTGAATATCCACTTGTTATTGAGAATGTTTGTTTCAAATAATTAACCACTACTGATAAGACAATTTCAGCCTGGACTACTTTGACATGGCCAAGTGCTCATACTGTATAGTCTTCTGTCTCACTTCTGGGTTGTCAGGGCTACATATGATCACACATTTAGAATTATTCATTAAGGAAAAATCAACTTTCATTTGGTATTTTATGAAGCTCAGAAAGAACCTTAAAATATTATGTTAACATAGAATGATATGATTTTAATGACTTTGCAAAGCACCTTGAGAGATCTTGGCTGATAATGAGAACTGAATATGTAGTGGGCAAAACTATATGTCGGCCAGTTGTTTATTCAAACACAGACTGGAAGATAAAATTATGTGTCGATTGTACCATCTGATTGCTGTCTTTCTTTCTCACCATGCATGTGCGCATGCACACACACACACACACACACACACACAATAGATGAAATACAAACTGACCACTCTATAGACAGTAGTGACTCTTATTCATGCACTATAGTATGTATTTTCATAATGAGACAGTAGCATTATGACTTATTTACCAACGCTTGCTTTTATTGACTATTCATTATTCATTAAATATGGGGAGAACAACAATTTCATGTTTAGTGTGTCATAAGCACTTAATAACAGTTACTCATCACCAGCACCAGTACCAGCAGCCAGTTGGCTAACGTAAGTATATGTCCAGATAATATTTGGGAGGCCAACTGGCTCTTAGTGGCACAACTGGAGAACAGACCAGAGGATAGAATTCAAATCGTGCTGATGTGTCTCTAATAAGATCTTGTGATATGTAAAACCAAAAGTAAGCTGTTTTCAGTGTATGTAGAGTAACTGAGATAGTGAGAGATATGATTGCTTGTATATGGAGTTTTTGTTTGTTTGTTTATTTTTTGAGATGGAATCTCACCCTGTCACCCAGGCTGGAGTGCAGTGGCACTATCTCAGCTCACTGCAACTTCTGCTGCCCGGGTTCAAGCGATTCTCCTGCCTCAGCCTCCCAAGTAGCTGGGATTACAGGCTAATTTTTCTAGTTTTAGTAGAGACGGGGTTTCACCATTTTGGCCAGGCTGGTCTTGAACTCCTGACCTCGTGATCCACCCACCTTGGCCTCCCAAAGTGTTGGGATTACAGGCGTGAGCCACCGCACCTGGCCATATATCAGAGTTTTATTTATTTATTTATTTATATTATACTTTAAGTTCTAGGGTACATGTGCACAACATGCAGGTTTGTTACATATGTATACATGTGCCATGTTGGTGTGCTGCACCCATTAACTTGTCATTTACATTAGGTATATCTCCTAATGCTGTCCCTCCCGACTTCCCCCATCCCACGACAGGCCCTGGTGTGTGCTGTTCCCCATCCTGGGTCCAAGTGTTCTCGTTGTGCAATTCCCACCTATGAGTAAGAACATGCAGTGTTTGGTTTTCTGTCCTTGCAATAGTTTGCTCAGAATGATGGTTTCCAGCTTCATCCATGTCCCTACAAAGGACATGAACTCATCCTTTTTTATGGCTGCATAGTATTCCATGATGTATATGTGCCACATTTTCTTAATCCAGACTATCATTGGTGGACATTTGGGTTGGTTCCAAGTCTTTGCTATTGTGAATAGTGCTGCAATAAACATACTTGTGCATGTGTCTTTATAGCAGAATGATTTACAATCCTTTGGGTATATACCCAGTAATGGGATGGCTGGGTCAAATGGTATTTCTAGTTCTAGATCCTTGAGGAATCGCCACACTGTCTTCCACAATGGTTGAACTATTTTACAGTCCACCAACAGTGTAAAAGTGTTCCTATTTCTCCACATCCTCCCCAGCACCTGTTGTTTCCTGACTTTTTAATGATCGCCATTCTAACTGGTGTGAGATGGTATCTCATTGTGGTTTTGATTTGCATTTCTCTGATGGCCAGTGATGACGAGCATTTTTTCATGTGTCTGTTGGCTGCATAAATGTCTTCTTTTGAGAAGTGTCTCTTCATATCCTTTGCCCACTTTTTGATGGGGTTGTTTGATTTTTTCTTGTAAATTTGTTTAAGTTCTTTGTAGAATCTGGATATTAGCCCTTTGTCAGATGGGTACTTGTAAAAATTTTCTCCCATGCTGTAGGTTGCCTGTTCACTCTGATGGTAGTTTCTTTTGCTGTGCAGAAGCTCTTTAGTTTAATTAGATCCCATTTGTCTATTTTGGCTTTTGTTGACATTGCTTTTGGTGTTTTAGTCATGAAGTCCTTGCCCATGCCTATGTCCTGAATGGTATTGCCTAGGTTTTCTTCTAGGGTTTTTATGGTTTTAGGTCTAACACTTAAGTGTTTAATCCATCTTGAATTAATTTTTGTATAAGGTGTAAGGAAGGGATCCAGTTTCAGCTTTCTACATATGGCTACCCAGTTTTCCCAGTACCATTTATTAAATAGGGAATCCTTTCCCCATTGCTTGTTTTTGTCAGGTTTGTCAAAGATCAAATGGTTGTAGATGTGTGGTATTATTTCTGAGGGCTGTGTTCTGTTCCATTGGTCTATATCTCTGTTTTGGTACCAGTACCATGCTGTTTTGGTTACTGTAGCCTTGTAGTATAGTTTGAAGTCAGGTGGCGTGATGCCTCCAGCTTTGCTCCTTTGGCTTAGGATTGACTTGGCAATGCGGGCTCTTTTTTGGTTCCATATGAACTTTAAAGTAGTTTTTTCCAATTCTGTGAAGAAAGACAATGGGAGCTTGATGGGGATGGCATTGAATCTATAAATTACCTTGGGCAGTATGGCCATTTTCACGATATTGATTCTTCCTATCCATGACCATGGAATCTTCTTCCGTTTGTGTGTGTCCTCTTTTATTTCATTGAGCAGTGGTTTGTAGTTTTCCTTGAAGAAGTCCTTCACATCCCTTGTAAGTTGGATTCCTAGATATTTTATTCTCTTTGAAGCAATTGTGAATGGGAGTTCACTCATGATTTGGCTCTCTGTTTGTCTGTTATTAGTGTATAAGAATGCTTGTGATTTTTGCACATTGATTTTGTATCCTGAGACTTTGCTGAAGTTGCTTATCAGCTTAAGGAGATTTGGGGCTGAGATGATGGGGATTTCTAAATATACAATCATGTCATCTGCAAACAGGGACAATTTGACTTCCTTTTTTCCTAATTGAATACCCTTTATTTCTGTCTCCTGCCTGATTGACCTGGCCAGAACGTCCAACACTGTGTTGAATAGGAGTGGTGAGAGAGGGCATCCCTGTCTTGTGCCAGTTTTCAAAGGGAATGCTTCCAGTTTTTGCTCATTCAGTATGGTATTGGCTGTGGGTTTGTCATAAATAGCTCTTGTTATTTTGAGATATGCCCCATGAATACCTAATTTATTGAGAGTTTTTAGCATGAAGCGCTGTTGAATTTCGTCAGAGGCCTTTTCTGCATCTATTGAGATAATCATGTGGTTTTTGTCTTTGGTTCTGTTTATATGATGGATTACGTTTTTTGATTTGCATATGTCGAACTAGCCTTGCATCCCAGGGATGAAGCCAACTTGATCATGGTGGATAAGTTTTTTGATGTGCTGCTGGATTTGGTTTTGCCAGTATTTTATTGAGGGTTTTCGCATTGATGTTCATCAGGGATATTGGTCTAAAATTCTCTTTTTTTGTGCGTCTCTGCCAGGCTTTGGTATCAAGATGATGCTGGCCTCATAAAATGAGTTAGGGAGGATTCCCTGTTTTTGTATTGACTGGAATAGTTTCAGAAGGAATGGTACCAGCTCCTCTATGTACCTCTGGTAGAATTCGAGTGTGAATCCGTGTGGTCCTGGACTTTTTTTGGTTGGTAGGCTCTTAATTATTGCGTCAATTTCAGAGCCTGTTATTGGTCTATTCAGGGATTCAACTTCTTCCTGGTTTAGTCTTGGGAGGGTGTATGTGTCCAGGAATTTATTCATTTCTTCTAGATTTTCTAGTTTATTTGCATAGAGGAGTTTATAGTATTCTGTGATGGTAGTTTGTATTTCTGTGGGATCAGTGGTGATATACCCTTTATTATTTTTTATTGCATCTATTTGATTCTTCTCTCCTTTCTTTTTTATTCGTCTTGCTAGCAGTCTGTCAATTTTGTTGATCTTTTCAAAAAACCAGCTCCTGAATTCATTGATTTTTTCGAAGAGTTTTTTATGTCCCTATCTTCTTCATTCTGCTCTGATCTTAGTTATTTCTTGCCTTCTGCTAGCTTTTGAATGTGTTTGCTCTTGTTTCTCTAGTTCTTTTAATTGTGATGTTAGGGTGTCAATTTTAGATCTTTCCTGCTTTCTCTTGCGGGCATTTAGTGCTATAAATTTCCTTCTACACACTGCTTTAAATGTGTCCCAGAGATTCTGGTACGTTGTGTCTTTGTTCTCATTGGTTTCAAAGAACATCTTCATTTCTGCCTTCATTTTGTTATGTACCCAGTAGTCATTCAGGAGCAGGTTGTTCAGTTTCCATGTCGTTGTGTGGTTTTGAGTGAGTTTCTTAATCCTGAGTTCTAGTTTGATTGCACTGTGTTCTGAGAGACAGTTTGTTATAATTTCTGTTCTTTTACATGTGCTGAGGAGTGCTTTGCTTCCAACTACATGCTAAATTTTGGAATAAGTGTGATGTGGTGCTGAGAAGAATGTATATTCTGTTGATTTTGGGTGGAGAGTTCTGTAGATGTCTATTACGTCTGCTTGATGCAGAGCTGAGTTCAATTCCTGGATATCCTTGTTAACTTTCTGTCTCGTTGATGTGTCTAATGTTGACAGTGGGGTGTTAAAGTCTCCCATTATTATTGTGTGGGAGTCTAAGTCTCTTTGTAGGTCTCTAAGGATTTGCTTTATGAATCTGGGTGCTCCTGTATTGGGTGCATATATATTTAGGATAGTTAGCTCTTCTTGTTGAATTGATCCCTTTACCATTATGTAATGGCCTTCTTTGTCTCTTTTGATCTTTGTCAGTTTAAGGTCTGTTTTATCAGAGACTAGGATTGCAACCCCTGCTTTTTTTGTTTTCCATTTGCTTGGTAGATCTTCCTCCATCCCTTTATTTTGAGCCTATGTGTGTCTTTGCACGTGAGATGGGTCTCCTGAATACATTACACTGATGGGTCTTGACTCTTTATCCAATGTGCCAGTCTGTGTGTTTTAATTGGAGCATTTAGCCCATTTACATTTAAGGTTAATATTGTTATGTGTGAATTTGATCCTGTCATTATGACGTTAGCTGGTTATTTTGCTTATTAGTTGATGCAGTTTCTTCCTAGCATCGATGGTCTTTACAATTTGGCATGTTTTTGGAGTGTCTGGTACGGGTTGTTCCTTTCCATGTTTAGTGCTTCCTTCAGGAGTTCTTGTAAGGCAGGCCTGGTGGTGACAAAATCCCTCAGCATTTGCTTGTCTGTAAAGGATTTTATTTCTCCTTCATTTATGAAGCTTAGTTTGGCTGGATATGAAATTCTGGGTTGAAAATTCTTTTCTTTAAGAACGTTGAATATTGGCCCCCACTCTCTTCTGGCTTGTAGAGTTTCTGCCGAGAGATCAGCTGTTAGTCTGATGGGCTTCCCTTTGTGGGTAACCCGACCTTTCTCTCTGGCTGCCCTTAACATTTTTTCCTTCATTTCAACTTTGGTGAATCTAACAATTATGTGTCTTGGAGTTTCTCTTCTCGAGTAGTATCTTTGTGGTGTTCTCTGTATTTCCTGAATTTGAATGTTGACCTGCCTTGCTAGGTTGGGGAAGTTCTCCTGATAATATCCTAAAGAATGTTTTCCAACTTGGTTCCATTCTCCCCATCACTTTCAGGTATACCAGTCAGAAGTAGATTTGGTCTTTTCACATAGTCCCATATTTTTTGGATGATTTGTTCATTTCTTTTTACTCCTTTTTCTCTAAACTTCTCTTCTCACTTCATTTCATTCATGTGATCTTCAATCACTCATACCCTTTCTTCCACTTGATTGAATCGGCTACTGAAGCTTGTGCATGCATCACGTAGTTCTCGTGCCATGGTTTTCAGCTCCATCAGGTCATTTAAGGTCTTCTCTATGCTGTTTATTCTAGATAGCCATTCATCTAATCTTTTTTCAAGGTTTTTAGCTTCTTTGTGATGGGTTCGAACATCCTCCTTTAGCTCGGAGAAGTTTGCTATTACTGATTGACTGAAGCCTTCTTCGTCAAAGTCATTCTCTATCCAGCTTTGTTCCATTGCTGGTGAGGAGCTGCGTTCCTTTGGAGAAGAAGAGGCACTCTGATTTTTAGAATTTTCAGCTTCTCTGCTTTGGTTTCTCCCCATCTTTGTGGTTTTATCTACCTTTGGTCTTTGATGATGGTGACATACAGGTAGAGTTTTGGTGTGGATGTCTTTTCTGTTTGTTAGTTTTCCTTCTAACAGTCAGGATCCTCAGCTGCAGATCTGTTGGAGTTTGCTGGAGGTCCACTCCAGACGCTGTTTGCCTGGGTATCACCAGTGGAGGCTGCAGAACCACAAATATTGCAGAACAGCAAATGTTGCTGCCTGATCCTTCCTCTGGAAGCTTCGTCTCAGAGCGGCACCCGGACGCAGGAGGTGTCAGTCAGCCCCTACTGGTAGGTGCCTCCCAACAAGGCTACTCCGGGGTCAAGGACCCACTTGAGAAGGCAGTCTTTCCGTTCTCAGATCTCAAACTCTGTGCTGGGAGAACCACCACTGTCTTCAAAGCTGTCAGACAGGGACGTTTAAGTCTGCAGAAGTTTCTGCTGCCTTTTGTTCAGCTATGCCCCGCCTCCAGAAGTGGAGTCTACAGAGGCAGGCAGGCCTCCTTGAGCTGTGGTGGACTCCACCCAGTTTAGCTTCCTGGCTGCTTTGTTTATCTACTCAAGCCTCAGCAATGGCAGATGCCCCTCCCCCAGCCTTGCCGCCACCTTGCAGTTCAGTCTCAGTCTGCTGTGCTAGTAGTGAGCAAGGCTCCATGGGTGTGGGACCCTCCGAGCCAGGCACAGGATGTAATCTCCTGGTGTGCTGTTTGCTAAGACCATTGAAAAAGTGCAGTATTAGGGTGGGAGTGTCCCGATTTTCCAGGTACTGTCTTTCAAGGCTTCCCTTGCCTAGGAAAGGGAATTCCCTGACCCCTTGTGTTTCCTGGATGAGGCAATGCCTCGCCCTGCTTCGGCTCATGCTCCATGGGCTGCACCCACTGTCTGACAAGCCCCAGTGAGATGAACCCGGTACCTCAGTTGGAAATGCGGAAATCACCTGTCTCCTGAGTTGCTCACACTGGAAACTGTAGACTGGAGCTGTTCCTTTTCGGCCATCTTGGAACCCCATCCATATATTGGAGTTTTAACAGAAGTTTTTGCAGAGATCACAAACGGGGGCCCCAGAGTTGAATTTGGCCCACAGATAGCTTTAATTAGCAAAGAGACTATTATTAAAAAATACATTTGGATGTTTTTAGGCAGGGCATGAACTCTCAGGTTTGCCGTAGTCTTCACTACTCCTATTGTTTAGCTTTTTACCTGTCTTATTCTTAGAGGCATTGGAGTTTGTAATCCTTGATTAGAAGTTTTAGAACAGTGTTTTAAGGAGCTTAGATAGGTGTGTGTTTATTCATATATATATATAAATTATAAAGTTCATATATGTAAAATTGTGTATATATAAAATACATATTCATTATATATAAAATTATAAAATTCATATATATGAAATAGATATAATTAATTTTTGCTGCTAGATTTCAGCTTTCAAAATAATATAGTTAAATAAGTATTCCAACTGAAAATAACTTAAGGCAAATTCTGTGTAATACATTTCTCTGTGTCTGGTAGTAAAAAAACCACCCACAACAAAAACAAACTCCTCCTTCCCCTTTTTAAATGATGTAGTCTTATTGCCATTTACTGTGCTGAAAAAATAAAAGTTAGAGGGCATCAGCCAAGAGAAAACTGGCACTACTGTGAAAATATGTGCATCCTTGGTGTCTTAGGCTGTTTGGGCTTCTGTAACAAAATTCTGTAGACTGGGTAGCTTATGAATTATAGAAATTTATTTCTTACAGTTCTGGAGGCTGAGGAGTCCAAGAACAAAGCACTGACAGATTTGGGAGCCAGTTGGCCTCCCAGAGTTAAAATGATAGAGGGAAATAGAAATGATTATAGTCCTACTTGTCCTCTATATTTTCTGGTGAGGGCCCATTTCCTGGTTCACAGTTGGTGTCTTCTCACTGTATCCTCACATGGTGGAAGGGGTAAGAGATCTCTCTCAGGCTTCTTTTATAAGGGCACTCATTCCATTCATAAGGACTCTACTCTCATGACCTAGTCTCCTCCTCCCCACCTCTTACTACCATCATCTTGGGGGTTAGGATTTCAACATATGAATGTGTGGAGACATCAGCATTTCATTTGGACCGCAATACTTACTTGGATTATATGAATTTGCTCTTGTGATCTGAGGATGCTATAGTCCCCTTTAGGAAAAAAAGCAGAAGCTTTTCCTGTTCAGAGAATTTTGAACACTAGCTGGAGTGAGTGTCCTCTGGATGAGTGATGAGATTCAGACTTATTATGTAGACATCTGTCCATTAAATACTTGTTAGACACAGTCAGTTTGCTCCACAGAGGCCATGGATAAGTCTGATTTCTTTTCCAGCCACCTATTGTGAGACATTCTCAGGAAGTGACTTGGTTTTCTTGGGGTTCCTAATGGTAAAGGGAAAAAATGTTGGAAAGTGCCTATCCTGGTAGTAAGGTTGAAAAGAGAATTTTTAAGAGTTTACATAATGGTTTCTGTAGCCACAGACCATAGAAAGAAATAGCATTCAAGAGGGGAAGGGAGCTGTAAAATGAAATATGGACCATGTCCATGGTAGAGCAATTCAGAAACATATCTGCTCTGTGTGGGGACTTGGCCCCTTTAAGACAAGGGTATTCCTGACCAGAAAGTCAGATCCAACAGTGACAAAGGTATCCCTTAAACAACCGTCAATTAGTGACTCTTGCCTCTGCATGGGGGACTGGAACTTTAGCTTTAACTTTGGTTCAGCACCTGCCCACTTGCTGTCAGGTTTGCATTGTCAGAGCTTGGACACTTGTCTGTCTGTTTACCCTTTTGGCTACCTGCACACTTTTACCCAGTCTGGCCTTCCTCCTCTCCCTCCTGTGTTACAGAGAACCAACTTTGGATACACCCTGGGCAAAATTTTGAGATAGATAAAAAGATGGAAATTCCTACTGTTTCAGAGTTTAGAGTGAAAGAGAGAGCCATATGTAGAGACTAAAATAGAGATAAATGCAAAAAACTATGAGAAAATGAAGGAAGACTCTGTCCTTGATATTTGGACAGCAAAATGTATTCACAAACATTATCTCACTTAATCTCCCCATTTTCCTGTGGAGCAGGAGACATTCACTCTCATTGAAAGGTGAAGATACGGAGGTTTAGAGGTGAAAGAAGAAACAACGTATGGAAGATTAAAAAGTTCAAAATGTGCTATGATTAGGGAAAAAGTGCTAAAGAAAACTAAAAAAGATTATTTGCTATGTTTGGAACAAAAAAGAGAACAAATAGGCCCATTATTGGAGGATTTAAAGTTAAAATGATAGAGGGAAATATAAATTATTTTAGTTCTACTTGGCCTCTGTATTTTCTAAAAAGGAACAAAAATCCATCAACTGTGGATTCCCTGAAAAGACACTAAAAGACACCTTTGATAAAGCAAAGCAGTAAGAGAGACAACCATTTCAGAGGAAGAACAATGAAAGTCATATGTTTATTAGGTTTTTAGGGGTCTGGTCTAAGGCAGGTCTTTCAATGTGGTGGCCTGATTGGGACCAGACAAAGTTCATGACATAATTGTTTTGATTGATGGCAAGGAGAGGTTTTTTTTTTTTTTCTTTTATACTTTAAGTTCTAGGGTACATGTGCACAACATGTAGGTTTGTTACATATGTATACATGTGCTATGTTGGTGTGCTGCACCCATTAACTCGTCATTTACATTAGGTATATCTCCTAATGCTATCCCTCCTCACTTCCCCCACCCCACGACAGGCCGCAGTGTGTGATGTTCCCCATCCTGTGTCCATGTGTTCTCATTGTTCAATTCCCACCTATGAGTGAGAATATGCAGTGTTTGGTTTTCTGTCCTTGCAGTAGTTTGCTGAGAATGTTGGTTTCCA
Organism: Homo sapiens; assembly: GCF_000001405.40. Lineage (NCBI taxonomy): Eukaryota > Metazoa > Chordata > Mammalia > Primates > Hominidae > Homo > Homo sapiens. The sequence goes on along the minus strand of NC_000008.11, from coordinate 93,480,402 downwards.
GCATCATCCATGTCCCTACAAAGGACATGAACTCATCCTTTTTTATGGCTGCATAGTATTCCATGATGTATATGTGCCACATTTTCTTAATCCAGACTATCATTGATGGACATTTAGGTTGGTTCCAAGTCTTTGCTATTGTGAATAGTGCCGCAATAAACATACGTGTGCATGTGTCTTTATAGCAGCATGATTTATAATCCTTTGGGTGTGTATCCAGTAATGGGATGGCCAGGTCAAATGGTATTTCTAGTTCTAGATCCTTGAGGAATCGCCACACTGTCTTCCACAATGGTTGAACTATTTTACAGTCCACCAACAGTGTAAAAGTGTTCCTATTTCTCCACATCCTCCCCAGCACCTGTTGTTTCCTGACTTTTTAATGATCACCATTCTAACTGGTGTGAGATGGTATCTCACTGTGGTTTTGATTTGCATTTCTCTGATAGCCAGTGATGATGAGCATTTTTTTCATGTGTCTGTTGGCTACATAAATGTCTTCTTTTGAGAAATGTCTCTTCATATCCTTTGCCCACTTTTTGATGGGCTTGTTTGATTTTTTTCTTGTAAATTTGTTTAAGTTCTTTGTAGATTCTGGATATTAGCCCTTTGTCAGATGGGTAGATTGTAAAAATTTTCTCCCATTCTGTAGGTTGGATGGCAAGGAGAGTTTTGAAGGATAAACAAGTGTTATGATCAGTCTAGTTGGGAGATGTATCATTGGTATAAGGGGCTATTAACTTTGATGAGGGTAGCAGAGTTGTTCATTGTTTGAAGAAATGGATTTTTGGAAAGTTCTAGAAACAAAAGGCAATGCAATTTCATTTTCTTGGAAAACTTCCTGGTAAAACTTTCATGGAATAGTGAAGTAATATTGTTGTGGACAAGCCAGGTGTGGTGACTGACACCTATAATCCCAACACTTTGGGAGGCCAAAGTGTGAGGATCACTTGAGCCTAGGAGTTTGAGGCCAGCCTGGGTAATATAGTGAGAATCCATCTCTACAAAAAAAATAAAAAAAAAATGAAAAATTAACTGGGCATGGTGGTATGTACATATAGTCCCAACTCCTTGGGAGGCTGAGGTAGGAGGATTGCTTGAGCCCAGGAGTTTGAGATCAGCTTGGGCAACATAGCGGGATCTCATCCCTACAAAAATTAAAAATAAATTAGCCAGGTGTGGTGGCACGTGCCATTCAGGAGCTATTCAGGAGGCTGAGGTAGGAGAGTTGCTTGAGCCTGGAGGTTGAGGCTGCAGTGAGCTGTGATTATGCCACTCTACTCTAGCCTGGACAACAGAGTGAGACCTTGTCTCATTAAAAAAAAAATTCAGACAGGTGGATAGTAAAGTCATGTTAATATAAACCCTGTCACAGATGGTTTCCATTCTGAATTCAAGTAGGAAAAGTAAATAACCTCATTAAGAGTAAACATAAGTTCAAAGTAAACAAAGAAAATAAAATGACATCGCCTACATTTAAAAGGAATTCAATTCTTGACAACCTAGAGAAACTATAAATATTTTCTTGTAGACATGTAAACTTGAAGATGTTTAGATGTTTTCTCAGATTTGCTGCAAGTAATTGAGGATAAATTAAAATATGAGGGAGATGGCAGAATGCCAGAATGCCAGAGATGAAAGAAAGTTGCCTGGATTTTCAGAAAAATAAGGCTGACATTGATCCTATACAAAATTCTAGTCTGCACAGAGGTGTCCAACTTGACTGATCACTTACATATGCCAGGCACTAGAAATACCCTAGTGAACAAGGCAGACATGGCCTTTTCCCACAAATTCTGTTGGTTCCTTCTCAAAATAAATTCAGAATCTGAACCCTATTTTCTTTAAACCTATATCCACTGGGTTCAAGTCAGCATCTCTTGATTCAAGTCAGCATCTCATGTTGGGATCACAGCACCGGTCTCCTAAATAGTCTCCTTGCTTTCACCTTTGTCCTCCATGGGTCATTCACAGCACAGCGCAGCACTCTGAGTGATTCATTTAAATCCCAAATCAGATCATGTCACTCTACTGTTCATAACCTTCCAAAGGTGTTGTCTTAGAGCAAAGGCCAAAGTCCTTACATTGACCTGCAAGATACTACAATATAGTCTGCATGATCTGGGTCCTGATACCCCACTGAGTTCATTTCCTATACTTTCCACCCTTTCCATACATTCCCTCCAGCCACACTGGTGTCCTTGTGCTTTTGTAAATGTCAAGTAAGATCCTCCCTCAGACACCTTTGTACTTGACCCTGTGCCCAGGGCACTTTTCCTTCACTTCTTTCAGGTTTCTGTTCAAATATCACTTTATAAGTGAACCCTCCTCCAATAACCCAATAGAAAAAGGTATTTCCTATCTTGCTTGTACTGGGAGTCATCGTGAAGGGCCTTGTTACTATTTTACTTTGGCTTTTACTCTGAGTAACATGAGGAGTCATTGCAGGATTTTGAGCAGAGGAGTGACATAATTAACATATTCTTTAACAGGATGCCTCTGGATACTGTGGTTAAAAAAAAAAAAAAAGAAAACTGTAAGGGATGGAAACCAAGGTAGAAATGGGGAATCCATTGAAGAGACTATTGTAATAATCCAGGCAATTGGTGATAGTGGCTCATATCAGAATTATAGGAGTAGGAAGTGACTGGATTGTGGATATATTTTAAGACAAAGTCAACAAGATTTTCTGATGGATTTGACGTAAGACATGAGAGAAAAAGGAGAGTTAAAGATAATTTCACAGATTTTGTCCTCAGCAACTGCAGAAAGATGCTATGCATTGAGATGAGGAAGGCTGTGGGTGGAGAAAGTTTTGGGGGGGAAGATCAGGAGTTCAGTTTTGGACATATTGAGTTTGAGATGTCTATTAGACATCCAAATGGCAATGTTGAGTATCAGTTGGATATACAAATCTGGAGTTCTGAAGAGAGGTCTGGATTTTAGACATAAATTTGAATGTCATTGGCATATAGATGGTGTCTTAGCCTGAGTTTCCCAGAGAGTATAGCTTGATGATAGTAGGAGGTGCAATCACAGAGAGTAGAAGAGAGGGCCAAGGGGAGTGAGGTGGGGAAGGAGAGGGAGCCAAAATGAAATGTGTTATCAGCCTGGCTGCCTCAAGATGAGACTGACTGATTTCATGGGGCTGTTGTACAAGAAATTATATAAAGTACATTTTAGGACAAGTTGCTTGGGCTTTATTGGTCAGCTCAAGCTGCCATAATAAAATACCATAGTCTGGGTGACAAACAACAGAAATTTATTTTCTTGCAGTTCTGGGTGCCAGCATGGCTGAGTTCTGGTGAGGACTCTGTACCTGGCATGTGGATGATTGCCTCCTTGCTGTGTGCTCATAGGGTGGTCAGAGCACTCTGGGGTCGCTCTCTCTTTTTATGAGGACACCAGCCCCATCAGATTAGGGCACCACCCTTGTGACCTGTTTTAACTTCTATCATCATCTCACAGGCCCTATCTCCAACTACAGTCACATTAGGGGTTAGAACTTCAACATGTGAGTTTTGAGGAAACAATTTGGTTTACAGCAATGCCCTATAAATCTCCTAAATTTGTGCAAAATGCACTTATTTTATCCCAACAGCCCCGAAAATCTTAATGCAGTCCAGTGTCAACTCTAAAGTCTAATGTCCAAAGCCTTATCTAAATATTTAAATGAGATGTAGATGAGATTCAAGGTACAATTCATGCTGAGGCAAAATTCCACAGTGGGAGAGAAGAGGAAGGATTTATCCATAGGCATCAATCTCCCCTTGTCTAAAAGTTCATCCCCAGGTATAAACTCTTCTTATCTTTCCAGGTTATATATTCCCGGGTATATTAGTCAGCGTTCTCTAGAGGGACAGAACTAAGGGAATACACAAACACACACACACACACTCACACACACACACACACACACATATATGAGTTTATTAAGTATTAACTGACATGATCACAAGGTCCCACAATAGACCAGCTGCAGGCTGAGGAGCAAGGAGAATCAGTCCAAGCTCCAAAACTGAAGAACTTGGAGTCAAATGTTCAGGGGCAGGAAGCATCCAGAACAGGAGCAAGATGTAGGCTGGAAGGCTAGGCCAGTCTCTCTTTTCACATTTTTCTACCTACTTATATTCTAGCCACACTTGCAGCTGGTTAGATGGTGCCCACTCAGATTAAGGGTGGGTTGGCCTCTCCCACTCCACTGACTCAAATGTTAATCTCCTTTGGCAACACCCTCATAGACACACCCAGGATCAATACTTTGTATCCTTCAATCCAATCAAGTTGACACTCAGTATTAACCATCACACTGCGTGCCCAGTGGGGCCCACCAGCATGCAGGAGGAAGCCCTGAATGAGGTGGGAGGCCTACAGTGGCATGAGGCAAGGCTTTGTCACATCGTGCCTGTGTGAAGTTGTTTGGAGCCATGTGGAGCTCGTTGTTGCAGTGGTGGCTGGAACAAGGGACTGTGAGGCCAAAGGGATCTGAAATGGTGCATAACAGAGCAGGATTAGTTAGGAGAGAAAACTTTCCCAGTGGTTTCCCATTCCTTAGTCAACCTAAAATGACTATATTTAAAAATTTCTGGTATTGACTTATGATGCTGGAATTTATTTTAATATAGAGCAAACGTTTTTACTCCACAATAAGGAATCAAAGTTTGAATCATAAATTAATATTTAAGGAAATACATTGACCAAAATTTATCATATTGAAGAGAACTCAAGCGATTATGGTACACTGATCTGATAGCCAATCCTTTCCTGATCTGATGGAAAGAAGGGAAAGTTAAAAGGTACGGGCACTGGAAAGTGGGGATGGACCTTTACCAAAGAAGACACGGTAGAAAAAAGCAATGGCATTCAATCAGCAAATATCGAGCACTCGACCACTCTGTTTTTTCCAGGTGCTCTTCTAGACACTGAAGTACAACAGGTTACCAAACAGACTAGATCCCCTAGGGATTGGAGGAGGGGACAGACAGTAAACAAACAATCCATTGAAAAATATGTCAGTGATACGTGAAAGTCCCTAAAGAGTGGTGCACCTAGAGAGAGCATGGAAGCTCCACACCTCTTCTTACACAGTCCCTTTGCATCTCTCTGTTGCTATCTTTTGTAATATCCTTTATAATAAAGCAGTAAACGTAAAAAAAAAAAAAAAGAAAAGAAAACTATGTCAGTGGTTAAGTCTTATGAAGAAATATAAAACAGAATAGGAGTAAAGAGAGTAATAGAAGGGTGTTATTTGAAATAATTGAATGGGAAATATTGTAGAAGATGAGATTTTAGTAGAGATAGAAAGCAACTCAGGGAAAATGCCATGCCAATAGATGAAAAAAAAATCTTATACAGAGAGAATAGCTTGAGTAAGACCCTGAGTCAGGAGCATGCTAATTTTTCAAGGAACAACAAGAAGGCCAATATATTTGGAAAGAAATGAGGTAGGTAGAAAATGGAGGAGGTAAATCAGAAGATGTTCTTGTGATGGAGGAAAGAGAGCATAGTTTTGTTTTTTTGGTAGATTCACTTTTCTGGGAGTAAGACCTGTTTATTTCATTTGGACATGAATACACAAAAGGTGCAAGGAAAGAGTCCATTGTATAATGTTTTGTATATGCCCAGTTTAATAGAACACTGTCCTGAAGCCCTGTGTGCACTTTTGCTTAGAATATTTCCTGAAGCCCGGGCCCTATGTATGCCTGCATAATCTGTGAATGGAAGCATCGTCACTTCAAAAAGAAAAAAGTCTATCGTGCTGTTACCCACCACGTATGACTTAACTGCACCTGCCTGAATGAATCCTTCTCCTTTCTACCTCAAGGCAAGATTTGTCCTTCTTCCTGCCACTCTGAGCTCTGGCTCCCCTCCTCATAGTGTCTTTGTTTACAAGTCACTCTTTTAATTACAAACTTCTCTTCTTCCATTGATTCTTTTTCTTCAGCTTTGAGAAAGGCTGAAGCCCTGCCCATCTTAAAACAACTCCCCCCAAACATGATGACAAACTCTGTCTTTAGCCCATACCTATGGTGGCATAAACTCATTCTCTGTACTTTTCCTATTAATTTTTTACCTCAGCCACCTAAAATCTCGATTCTATACCACTTCTGCACAGAACGCTTCTCTTAGTTAATTCGCGACTGTTTGTCAAAAGTAGCTCATATCTTTCAGTTTTCATTTTATGTAAACTCTTTGAAGTTTCTCTTTAAAAATTCTTTTCCTGGCCTCCATGATGGCATTTTCCCTGATTTTCTTCCTTTGTGGCTATGCCTCAGTTTCTTTTGTTATTTTCCAGCTGCCTAAATGTAGATGTTTCACAGGACTGAGCTTCCCAACCAGCACAAAATAATGATCCCCTTGGTTCTTGCAGTAGCCAGACTCAGGACCCTTTTCCTGCAGACTTGAGCCACCTTGTCCTTTTATCTCAGTGGACTGCACAAACACTATCAATGTCCGTGTTCCCTGACATGAAAAAGCCTGGAAAACATTGCCCTGGGATTCCATCCTCTGCCCTCCCCATTTGATATTCTAGAAACTCTGTGGTGATATCATTCACTCACCTACCCCCATAGGGAGATGAATTCTAAATCTCTCATTCCAGCTATAATCTCTCTATTGAGTTCTAGATCAATGTAACCTAACCAAATACCTCTTCATGGATGATCCTCAAACTTAACATGTCCAATATTAACACATTTATTTCCAATCCCATTCCTCTCAGTGAATATCATCAACCACATACAAATGTGAAAGTGATTCTTCTTTGAACTCCATTACTCTCACATCTAATTAAACATCAAGTCTTCTTGATTTTGATTGTATCCTACTATTTCCAATCCTGCCTTGTCATCACTCTGATGCCACTTTAGTTTATGCCTTTGAATTCTTTTTACCTGAACCATCGTGGTAGATCTTCTTATTGTTCAAAACATTTGCAGTCCTTCCTTGCAGCTCCCTTCTTTGTAAAGACCCTTCTTGTGGTGGGATTATACATTCCTCCTTCAATAAATTCAGAGAGGGTGGTCAAAGATTTGCTTAGGCTCAGAAAATGCAAATGGAAGCTAGCAAAACTGCAAAGTTTGAGGGAATGATGGTCTTCCAGTCTGCCAGTTCTCCAAAGACTCCTGACACCAACCACAAGAAGTTAGAGTCCAACTACAGTTAGAGGGAAGAGTTTACACAAGACCACCCTTACTCTTACACTACTTGCAAGTTCAGGGGTAATTATCTGTTTGGATAATTTGTTAGAAAGACTCATAGAAGTCACTACAAGCTATTGTTTTCATGGTTATGGTTTATTATAGGAAAAATATACAGATCAAAATTATAGATGAAATATATAGACAAAGGAAGAGATACATAAGGTAGAGTCTGAGAGGTTTCCACAAGCAAAGATTCTGTTGTCTTCAGGATTTGTTACCCTCCCAGCATCAATGTGTGACAATATGCATGGAGTATTGCCAACCAGGGAAGACTGCCTGAGCTTTGATGTTCAGTATTTTCGTTCGGCTCCATCACGTAGGCATGATTGATTAATTGATTGCCCATAGGTCGATTGCCATGTGGTTGATCCAACACACCTTTCCCAAGTCACATGGATGTCTTTCCAGTGACTCTAAAGCTATTGAGTGTGGCTGGCCCCATCCTAAGATTCACGTGGCCAGTCCCTTCCCTAAACAAAGACATTCCTATGAGGTAGAACATAGACTGCATCCCAGAAGGTGAAAACAAAGGCTGACCTCAATTTGGGCAAAGCCAAATTCTTTACTACACAGAAGTGAAGTAGATCAGTTCTTAATAGAAGCTTTAAAAAGCAGAATAGGATTTGGAATATCTCTTTCCCCTCTGTCACCTGGCTGGCAATATTCCAGGGAAAATCAGGCTGGTCCTGAAGTGAAGATGGCATGGAAGTGAATTGCAATTGACCCAACTGTTACATGAGTAAGAAATAAACATGATGTTCATGAGGCCCTGAGATTTTGAGATTGTTTGTTACCATGGCATAACTTCTAGAATGGGATCAGCTAAAGGATGGAGCAGTTGGCACCTGCCTCTTCCTTTTTTGCACTTTGATCTTCCAGGCCTCTTTGAGCTCAGGCATCATAAAAGCCTATGTTTCCAGTCTCTCATGGTAAACAGACCAAGCAATTCACATTTCTCTCAGGCCCAACCAGATCTCTGCTCACTTGGTTCCAGCTTCTCCACTGGCTGTAGGCTGCTTAAGCCAGGAGCAATTAGCTCCCAATTTGGGGAGAGAAAGAATAGAAGCCTTGCTATATTCTATGATCCAGCTTATAAAATAGATAATCTAATCAGGTTTTCTGATCCTCCCTCCCCATGGTTCCTGGCATCCCTTTCAAATGGTTGAAACCTGGAAAGGGAAAGATAATTGCTTAACAACCCCACACTCCAACATTGGCTACCAGGGAAGTCTAAATTGCCAACTTCAATACTTGATGGTGGGCAGGACTGGGGCAAGTAGGATTTGATAGTGTAAGTAGATTTTGTTGTTCATCCATTTTTATTTTTATTTTTATTTTTTATTATACTTTAAGTTCCAGGGTACATGTGCACAGTGTGCAGGTTTGTTACATATGTATACATGTGCCATGTTGGTGTGCTGCATCCATTAACTCGTCATTTAACATTAGGTATATCTGCTAATGCTATCCCTCCCCCCTCCCCCCACTTATCTGATGGCCAGTGATGATTAGTATTTTTTCATGTGTCTGTTGGCTGCATAAATGTCTTCTTTTGAGAAGCGTCTCTTCATATCCTTTGCCCACTTTTTGACGGGGTTGTTTGATTTTTTTCTTGTAAATTTGTTTAAGTTCTTTGTAGAATCTGGATATTAGCCCTTTGTCAGATGGGTATTTGTAAAAATTTTCTCCCATTCTGTAGGTTGCCTGTTCACTCTGATGGTAGTTTCTTTTGCTGTGCAGAAGCTCTTTAGTTTAATTAGATCCCATTTCTCAATTTTGGCTTTTGTTGCCATTGCTTTTGGTGTTTTAGACATGAAGTACTTGCCCATGCCTATGACCTGAATAGTATTGTCTAGGTTTTCTTCTAGGGTTTTTATCGTTTTAGGTCTGATATTTAAGTCTTCAATCCATCTTGAATTAATTTTTGTATAAGGTGTAAGGAAGGGTTCCAGTTTCAGCTTTCTATACGGCTAGCCAGTTTTCCCAGTACCATTTACTAAATAGGGAATCCTTTCCCATTTCTTGTTTTTGTCAGGTTTGGTATTATTTCTGAGGGCTCTGTTCTGTTCCATTGGTCTGTATCTCTGTTTTGGTACCAGTACCATGCTGTTTTGGTTACTGTAGCCTTGTAGTATAGTTTGAAATCAGGTAACGTGATGCCTCCAGCTTTGTTCTTTTGGCTTAGGATTGACTTGGCAATGCGGGCTCTTTTTTGGTTCCATATGAACTTTAGTTTTTTCCAATTCTGTGAAGAAAGTCATTGGTAGCTTGAAGGGGATGGCACTGAATCTATAAATTACCTTGGGCAGTATGGCCATTTTCATGATATTGATTCTTCCTATCCATGAGCATGGAATGTTCTTCTGTTTGTTTGTGTCCTCTTTTATTTCATTGAGCAGTGGTTAGTAATTCTCCTTGAAGAGGTCCTTTACATCTCTTGTAAGTTGGATTCCTAGGAATTTTATTTGCTTTGAAGCAATTGTGAATGGGAGTTCACTCATGATTTGGCTCTCTTTTCGTCTGTTATTGGTGTATAAGAATGCTTGTGATTTTTGCACATTGATTTTGTATCCTGAGACATTACTGAAGTTGCTTATCAGCTTAAGGAGATTTGGGGCTGAGACAATGGGGTTTTCTAAATATGCAATCATGTCATCTGCAAACAGGGACAATTTGACTTCCTTTTTTCCTAATTGAATACCCTTTATTTCTTTCTCCTGCCTGATGGCCCTGGCTAGAACTTCCAACACTATGATGAATAGGAGTGGTGAGAGAGCACATCCCTGTCTTGTGCCAGTTTTCAAAGGGAATGCTTCCAGTTTTTGCCCATTCAGTATGATATTGGCTGCGCGTTTGTCATAAATAGCTCTTGTTATTTTTAGATATGTCCCATCAATATCTAATTTATTGAGAGTTTTTAGCATGAAGGGCTGTTGAATTTTGTCAAAGGCCTTTTCTGCAATTACTGAGATAATCATGTGGTTTTTGTCTTTGGTTCTGTTTATATGATGGATTACATTTATTGATTTGTGTATGTCGAACCAGCCTTGCATCCCAGGGATGAAGCCCACTTGATCATGTTGGATAAGCTTTTTGATGTGCTGCTGGATTTGGTTTGCCAGTATTTTATTGAGGATTTTCGCATTGATGTTCATCAGGGATATTGGTCTAAAATTCTCTTTTTTTGTTGTGTCTTTGCCAGCCTTTGGTATCAGGATGATGCTGGCTTCGTAAAATGAGTTAGGGAGGATTCCCTCTTTTTCTGTTGATTGGAATAGTTTCAGAAGGAATGGTACCAGCTCCTCTTTGTACCTCTGGTAGAATTTGAGTGTGAATCCGTGTGGTCCTGGACTTTTTTTGGTTGGTAGGCTCTTAATTATTGCGTCAATTTCAGAGCCTGTTATTGGTCTATTCAGGGATTCAACTTCTTCCTGGTTTAGTCTTGGGAGGGTGTATGTGTCCAGGAATTTATCCATTTCTTCTAGATTTTCTAGTTTATTTGCGTAGAGATGTTTATAGTATTCTGTGATGGTAGTTTGGATTTGTGTGGGATCGGTGGTGATATCCCCTTTATCATTTTTTATTGCATCTATTTGATTCTTCTCTCCTTTCTTTTTTATTCGTCTTGCTAGCAGTCTGTCAATTTTGTTGATCTTTTCAAAAAACCAGCTCCTGAATTCATTGATTTTTTGAAGGTTTTTTTTGTGTGTATCTCCTTCAGTTCTGCTCTGATCTTAGTTATTTCTTGCCTTCTGCTAGCTTTTGAATGTGTTTGCTCTTGTTTCTCTAGTTCTTTTAATTGTGATGTTAGGGTGTCAATTTTAGATCTTTCCTGCTTTCTCTTGCGGGCATTTAGTGCTATAAATTTCCCTCTACACACTGCTTTAAATGTGTCCCAGAGATTCTGGTACGTTGTGTCTTTGTTCTCATTGGTTTCAAAGAACATCTTTATTTCTGCCTTCATTTCGTTATGTACCCAGTAGTCATTCAGGAGCAGGTTGTTCAGTTTCCATGTCGTTGTGTGGTTTTGAGTGAGTTTCTTAATCCTGAGTTCTAGTTTGATTGCACTGTGTTCTGAGAGACAGTTTGTTATTATTTCTGTTCTTTTACATGTGCTGAGGAGTGCTTTACTTCCAACTACGTGGTAAATTTTGGAATAAGTGTGATGTGGTGCTGAGAAGAATGTACATTCTGTTGATTTCGGGTGAAGAGTTCTGTAGATGTCTATTAGGTCCATGTGGTGCGGAGCTGAGTTCAATTCCTGGATATCCTTGTTAACTTTCTGTCTCATTGATGTGTCTAATCTTGACAGTGGGGTGTTAAAGTCTCTCATTATTATTGTGTGGGAGTCTAAGTCTCTTTGTAGGTCTCTAAGGATTTGCTTTATGAATCTGGGTGCTCCTGTATTGGGTGCATATATATTTAGGATAGTTAGCTCTTCTTGTTGAATTGATCCCTTTATTATTATGTAATGGCCTTCTTTGTCTCTTCTGATCTTTGTCGGTTTAAAGTCTGTTTTATCAGAGACTAGGATTGCAACCCCTGCTTTTTTTTTTTTTTCCATTTGCTTGGTAGATCTTCCTCCATCCCTTTATTTTGAGCCTATGTGTGTCTCTGCACATGATATGAGTCTCCTGAATACATTACACTGATGGGTCTTGACTCTTTATCCAATGTGCCAGTCTGTGTGTTTTAATTGGAGCATTTAGCCCATTTACATTTAAGGTTAATATTGTTATGTGTGAATTTGATCCTGTCATTATGACGTTAGCTGGTTATTTTGCTTATTAGTTGATGCAGTTTCTTCCTAGCATCGATGGTCTTTACAATTTGGCATGTTTTTGGAGTGTCTGGTACGGGTTGTTCCTTTCCATGTTTAGTGCTTCCTTCAGGAGTTCTTGTAAGGCAGGCCTGGTGGTGACAAAATCCCTCAGCATTTGCTTGTCTGTAAAGGATTTTATTTCTCCTTCATTTATGAAGCTTAGTTTGGCTGGATATGAAATTCTGGGTTGAAAATTCTTTTCTTTAAGAACGTTGAATATTGGCCCCCACTCTCTTCTGGCTTGTAGAGTTTCTGCCGAGAGATCAGCTGTTAGTCTGATGGGCTTCCCTTTGTGGGTAACCCGACCTTTCTCTCTGGCTGCCCTTAACATTTTTTCCTTCATTTCAACTTTGGTGAATCTGACATTTATGTGTCTTGGAGTTTCTCTTCTCGAGTAGTATCTTTGTGGTGTTCTCTGTATTTCCTGAATTTGAATGTTGGCGTGCTTTGCTAGGTTGGGGAAGTTCTCCTGGATAATATCCTAAAGAGTGTTTTGCAACTTGATTCCATTCTCCCCGTCACTTTCAGGTACACCAATCAGACGTAGATTTGGTCTTTTCACATAGTCCCATATTTCTTGGAGGCTTTGTTCATTTCTTTTTACTCTTTTTTCTCTAAACTTCTCTTCTCACTTCATTTCATTCATGTGATCTTCAATCACTCATACCCTTTCTTCCACTTGATCGAATTGGCTACTGAAGCTTGTGCATGCATCATGTAGTTCTCGTGCCATGGTTTTCAGCTCCATCAGGTCATTTAAGGTCTTCTTCTCTACGCTGTTTATTCTAGTTAGCCATTCATCTAATCTTTTTTCAAGGTTTTTAGCTTCTTTGCGATGGGTTCGAACATCCTCCTTTAGCTCGGAGAAGTTTATTATTACCGATCGTCTGAAGCCTTCTTCTCTCAACTCGTGAAAGTCATTCTCTGTCCAGCTTTGTTCCATTGATGGCCATGAACTGCGTTCCTTGGAGGAGAAGAGGCGCTCTGATTTTTAGAATTTTCAGCTTCTCTGCTTTGGTTTCTCCCCATCTTTGTCGTTTTGTCTACCTTTGGTCTTTGATGATGGTGACATACAGGTGGAGTTTTGGTGTGGATGTCCTTTCTGTTTGTTAGTTTTCCTTCTAACAGTCAGGATCCTCAGCTGCAGGTCTGTTGGAGTTTGCTGGAGGTCCACTCCAGACGCTGTTTGCCTGGGTATCACCAGTGGAGGCTGTAGAACCACAAATATTGCAGAACGGCAAATGTTGCTGCCTGATCCTTCCTCTGGAAGCTTCGTCTCACAGGGGTACCCGGACGTATGTGGTGTCAGTCAGCCCCTACTGGGAGGTGCCTCCCAATTAGGCTACTCCGGGGTCAGGGACCCACTTGAGAAGGCAGTCTTTCCGTTCTCAGATCTCAAACACTGTGCTGGGAGAACCACTACTGTCTTCAAAGCTGTCAGACAGGGACGTTTAAGTCTGCAGAAGTTTCTGCTGCCTTTTGTTCAGCTATGCCCTGCCCCCTGAAGTGGAGTCTACAGAGGCAGGCAGGCCTCCTTGAGCTGTGGTGAGCTCCACCCAGTTCTAGCTTCCTGGCTGCTTTGTTTACCTACTCATGCCTAAGCAATGGTGGGCACCCCCCACCCACCCACCCAGCCTCGCTGCCGCCTTGCATTTTGATCTCAGACTGCTGTGCTAGCAGTGAGCAAGGCTCCGTGGGCGTGGGACCCTCCGAGCCAGGCATGGGATATAATCTCCTGGTGTGCCATTTGCTAAGACCATTGGAAAAGCGTAGCATTAGGGTGGGAGTGACCTGATTTTCCAGGTACCATCTGTCACTGCTTCCCTTGGCTAGGAAAGGGAATTCCCCAACCCCTTGTGCTTCCTGGATGAGGCGATGCCTTGCCCTGCTTTGGCTCATGCTCCGTGGGCTGCTCCCACTGTCCTGCACCCACTGTCCTACAAGCCCCAGTGAGATGAACCTGGTACCTCAGTTGGAAATGCAGAAATCACCTGTCTTCTGTGTCACTCATGCTGGGAGCTGTAGACTGGAGCTGTTCATATTCGGCCATCTTCAGTTCATCCATTTTTAATAAGACTATTCTAAGTACAGAAAATAGATGATTTACTCACTATTAAGGGAGACAAAAAAGGAGTTAGTAGGGTGTTATGGCAAAGAATAAACATTTGTGTTTAATCAGTTTGGGTCATTTTCTAGGAGGGAATCAGCTAATGGATGATGCAGTCAGCATTTCCAATGAGTGTGAGGCTGTCACATGCATGGGCAGCAAAGCCAGCAAGCAGCTGATGGGCTGGCCATAGTGCAGCCTTTCAAGAGGGTGAGAGAGGCTCTGAGAGAGGAGATGGAGTGGTGGGTGGCTTTGAAGAGGAGGCCAAGAATCTATATTTGATCTAGGAGGTAGAAGCACAAAGTGGCTGAAGCAGTTCACAGAAGAATTAATTTCCAGGGAAACAGGATACTTAGCAAATTGTCTGTTTTCCTGAATTGACAGATATGATAAGAACTATAGTAATACATCTCAAAGGATGAGCAGTTTATTCCCAGAGGTACTTTATTTACTGAAAAGTAAATCTCACTGAGAACCTGGCTGGAAATATCTTTTCATTTACTATCCTCTCTGCCTGCCTTGCCTTTAATAGAAAACAAGCCAGGAATGTTCTCAAATAAAACTAAAGACCATACGGCCACTAGTGAGTTCTAGAGGAACATTTATAACAATAATTGCAGACAGAAGATCATTCTTTCACAGATCATTTCCCAGGCGTCCTTGTTGAAGGGAAACAGACAATACTGTGTAACACTGGACCCGATGCTTCCTATAAAGTTCAGAGATAGTCAACTGGAACTTAAGGGGAAAGAAAATGTGGACAGAAAGAAAATACTCGAGAGAAGGGTTTTGTTTTAAAGGGGAAAAGACCTTACAGGAAGTATGTTGAGCACTTCATGAACTCCTGAGTTACTTTTTCTTCTTTTTCCACTTTGACAGCACCAAACCTTCTGCTTCTCTGTCTCTGCAACCCCCAGAACCCCAGGAACTGTCCCTAGACAGGCACCAAAATGGAGCTTTCTCTAGGATCATGTGATACTATTTCTCGAAACTAGCAGAGGAATGACAATGGTGAAGGCAAGATGGCCATGATGAAATAGACAATTATGCAGAGTGGGTGTCTAGTCTTCACTGATAATCTTGCTTGGTATGTGCTAAGCTTGGCACAGAATGTAGATCTTCCTTCATTTTCCTTACTAAAGGATGGAACAAGCAGCTCCTGCATGGTTATGGTAGGGTTGGAAGTACCAAATGGATCCCAGGCCTCAAGATACTCCCTCTCCAGGTTTGTTCTCAGGATCTGAAAGACACTTTTCTTGCCAATAAAATGATTTCCTGAATGCCTGCTGGAGACATGCATCTTAGATGAAGCCAAGGCAAGAAGTTAGTTCTCTGGTGAGAGTGAGTGCTTGTGTTAAGTCCAATGTGGCCCAGAACACTTCCTTTTCCTCTTTAGCATCATCTCTGTGAGGAGAGAAGCCCAGGGGAGGTGGAGCAGAGGTTAGGTAGTTTGATGGGTAAGCAAGGTCTGGAACATGGATGGACTCCTCTCAGGACCCAGTAGAGAATTTTAAGCTAGAAAAGTGCTTGTAGGATAAAGATATAAAGAAAGTGGGAATAACGGAGGGCACTGGTCAGGCACAGGCTTGTGTGAGGATGCTGTGTGTGCACGCGTGTATGGGAACTACAGAAAGGGGCTGGAGGGTAATAAACAGAGAGGGTGGCATTGTGAGACTTGAAGGTAGATGTTTTCAACTTGATAACTTTAAAATTTTTCTTACCTGGTAGTACTACTTATTTCCTGACCATGCCATATTAATTTATCTCTGGTAGCTCCTCCAGGAGTTTTAATCTATATTTATATCCCTCTCTATATATTTTGTATATAATTTTAACAGTATATAATATTGTATATAATAATTTTATTTTTAGGCCAGTTTCAGATTTATAGAAAAATAGATTTATAGAAAAATTGAGAGATTCTCTCTCCGCCTCCTCACCTCCCAGTTCCCTTGTATTAATGTGGTACGTTTATTATAATTAGTAAAGAAATATTGATACATTGTAAAGGCCATAGTTACATTAAGTTACACTCTTTGTGTTGTACCATTCTATGAGTTTTGGCGAATGCATAATGTCATGTATCTACCATTACACTAACAAACAGAATAGTTTTACTGCCTTATCAATATCCATGCCTAACATATTCATCCCTCTCCCAGGATTCATTTTTTAATTGAATATAGTATATTTGTATATGTGATATAAGAATATGTGTGTGTATATGTCTGTGTGTTTATGTATATATATATATATTCATGCACTGCAAAATGGCATTTTTATCAGTGATGGATTATATGTATGATGATGGTCCCATAAAATTATAATAGAGCTGAAGGATTCCTATTTTTTACTGATGTCCCAGCCATTTGTAAAGTTGTAAACCAATGCATTACTTACATGTTTGTGGTGATGCAGATGTAAACAAACCTACTGAGCTGCCAACCATGTAAAAGTATAGCACATACAATTACGTACAGTACATAATACTTGATAAGGATCATAAAAGACCATGTTACTAGTTTACATACTTACTATACTGTTCTTTCAATCATTATTGAAGAGTGTACTCCTTCTACTTATTGAAAAAGTTAATTGTAAAACAGCCTCAGGCAGGTTCTTCAGGAGGCATTCCAGAGGAAGGCACTGTTACCATAGGCGATGGCAGCTCAGTGTGTATTTCCCCTGAATACCTTCTAGTGGGACAAGATGTGGAGGTGGAAGACAGTGACAATGATGATCCTGACCCTGTGTAGGCCTCAGCTAATGTGTGTATTTGTGTCATAGTTTTTAACAAAAAATTTAAAAAGTAAAAAATAAAAATTTTAAGCTAGAAAAAAGCTCATAGGATAAAGATATAAAGAAAGAAACTATTTTTGTATAGCTTTACAATGTGTATGTGTTTTAACCTAAGTGTTAAATAAGCTAATTTGTTGTTGAAAAAAATATATATTTATTATTATACTTTAAGTTCTGGGATACGTGTGCAGAACATGCAGGTTTGTCACCTGCATGTTTGTTACCTGCATGTTTGTTCCCTGTGCCCATATGTTGTCATTGTTCAACTCCCACTTATGAGTGATAATATGTGGTGTTTGGTTTTCTGTTCCTGTGTTAGTTTGCTGAGAATGATGGTTTCCAGCTTCATCCACATCCCTGCAAAGGACATGAACTCATTCTTTGTTATAGCTGCATAGTATTCCATGGTGTATATGTGCCACATTTTCTTTATCCAGTCTATCATTGATTGGCATTTGAGTTGGCTCCAAGTCCTTGCTATTGTGAACAATGATGCAATAAACATACATGTGCATATGTCTTTATAGTAGAATGATTTATAATCCTTTGGGTATATACCCAGTAATGGGATTGCTGGGACAAATGGTATTTCCAATTCTAGATCCTTGAGGAATCGCCACACTGTCTTCCACAATGGTTGAACTAGTTTACAGTCCCACCAACAGTGTAAAAGCATTCCTATTTCTCCACAGCCTCTCCAGCATCTGTTGTTCCTGACTTTTTAATGATCACCATTCTAACTGGTGTGAGACGGTATCTCATTGTGGTTTTGATTTGCATTTCTCTAATGACCAGTGATGATGAGCTTTTTTTCATATGTTTGTTGGCTGCATAAATGTCTTCTTTTGAAAAGTGTCTATTCATATCCTTCACCCACTTCTTGATAGGGTTGTTTTTTTCTTGTAAATTTATTTAAATTCCTTGTAGATTCTAGATATTAGACCTTTGTCAGATAGATAGATTGCAAAAATTTTCTCCTATTCTGTAGGTTGCCTGTTCACTCTGATGATAATTTATTTTGCTGTGCAGAAGCTCTTTAGTGTAATTAGATCCCATTTGTCAATTTTGGCTTTTGTTGCCACTGCTTTTGGTGTTTTAGTCATGAAGTCTTTGCCCATGCCTATGTCCTGAATGGTATTGCCTAGGTTTTCTTCTAGGGTTTTTTATGGTTTTAAGTCTTATGTTTAAATCTTTAATCCATCTTGAGTTAATTTTTCTGTAAGTTTTAAGGAAAGAGTCCAGTTTCAGTTTTCTACATATGGCTAGCCAGTTTTCCCAACACCATCTACTATATAAGGAATCCTTTCCCCATTTCTTGTTTTTGTCAGGTTTGTCAAAGATCAGATGGTTGTAGATGTGTGGTGTTATTTCTGAGGCCTCTGTTCTCTAAATGTATTAAAAAATACATTTAGTGTAGCCTAAGTGTACAGTGTTTATAAAGTCCACAGCAGTTTACTGTAATGTCCCAGGCCTTCATAGTCACTCACCACTCACTCACTGTCCACCCAGAGCAACTTCCAATTCTGCAACCTCCATTCATGGTAAATGCCCCCTACGCAGATGTACCATTTTTTTTATCTTTTATAATATACTTTATCTTTTCTATGTTTATGTATGTTTAGATACACAAATACTTACCATTGTGTTACAACTGCCTACAGTACTCAGCACAGTAACATGCTATACAGGTTTGTAGCCTAGGAGCCATAGGCTATAACATATAGCCTAACTGTGTAGTAGGCTGTACCACTGAGGTTTGTGTAAGTACACTCTATGATGTTTGAACAATGATGAAATTGCCTACCAATACCTTTCTCAGAACATATCCCTGTTGTTAAGTGACACATGACTGTGTGTGTGTGTGTGTGTGTATACACACACACACACACACACACACAGGATTATTTGTTTGTGTGCATGTATATGTATATGTGTATGTGACTGTATATATACAGTCACATACACATATACATATACATGCACACAAACAAATAATCCTGTATGTAAATGACACCCGTTTCTTCTGGCTGCTTTTAAACAATCTTCAATAAAAAAAGAGGCTGCTTATGTATAAAACCTTTATTCTTCTACCTTGTGTCTGAGGTGTGTTCTTTGGCACAACAATGCAACAGTATTGTCATCTATCATTAAACCCATGCAGTGTCAAACTTATCACCTTGACACTTTCATGATCCTTAAGATGTCCTTGTAAAGGCTTGATGTCATGGCAACCAGTGTGATATATCAGGACCTAGCACTGCTGAACTACTCTTAATAAATCAGGCATAATTGGCATATATGCATTATAATGAATTAAAAGTTATTCAACTGGAATGATTTTATATCGTGTAAAATTAAGTCATTAAATTTGCTTGTCTTGATCTTACTTTGGTGTCAGTATTCTTGTTTAGTTCAAAAAAAGCCCTTACATTTTAGTATCTTGCTTTAAAATATAGCTGTTTATGGATAATGTATTGTTCAATAGCTCAATGCATGATTTATTTATTTGCTTTTGACAGTTAAATTTAAATTCTGGTGGGTTTAGGTCAGAGAGAAAATAAGTTATAAGACTGTCTTTCTATTCTCCAGTGGAGTGAAGGTACTTGCATGTACCTCACTGTACCTGGCTGCTGTGTGGTCAGTCATGGTGCTGGTTAGCTGTTGGGTAGGTAACTGCATGAGTTACAATGCATGTGCCAGGAGTAGTTACCTCACCCCCTCATGCTTTCCTATTGTTTTTTTGATTGTTTCCAAATCAGGGGTGGAGCTAAGAAGAACTAACTATTCAAAGTTTGAAGGCAAGGAAGAATTTAGGAAGGGTGGATGGCATAATGCCTAGCTACTCAGAGTAATCAGAGGACTAGCAGATCTCTGATTCCAGAAGCTTGTTAGAAATGCAGAATTTCAGATCCCTCCCCAGTTCGACTGAATCAGGATCAGCTTTTAATCATGACTCCCAGATAATTCGTATGTACAGCAAAGTTTGAGAAGCAGTACTTTAGTGGTTAAGCACATACACCCTGGAGTGGGAAGGACATGGGTTTCAGCTGTGGCTCCACTACTTTCTAATGGCAGCAATTGGGCAGGTTACTCAGTTTCTATGTGGTTCTTTAACATGGGAATCAAAATTATGCTCTCAGGAGGATAATGAAAATAGATGTAAAGTGTCCAGTACAATCCTTTTACATAGTAGTGTTTGTGTCAGCTGTAATTAAATCTGGTGGGAGACAATGAAATACCATCTTATACCAGTCAGAATGGCCATTATTAAAAAGTCAAAAAATAACAGATGCTGGCAAGGTGGAGAAAAAGGAATGTTTTTACACTGTTGGTGGGAGTGTAAATTAGTTCAACCATTGTGGAAAGCAGTATGGCAGTTACTCAAAGAGCTAAAAATGGACTACCATTAGACTTGGCAATCCCATTACTGGGTGTATACTCAAAGAAATATAAATTATTCTACCATAAAGACACACACATTTGTATGTTAATTGCAGCACTGTTTGTAATAGCAAAGACATGAAATCAACCTAAATGCACATCAATGGCAGATGGGATAAAGAAAATGTGGTACATATAAACCTTGGAATACTATGCAGCCATAAAAATGAATGAGCTCATGTCCTTGTCAAGAACATGGATGGAGCTGCAGGCCATTATCCTTAGCAAACTAATGTAGGAAGAGAAAACCAAATGCTGCATATTCTCACTTATAAGTGAGAGCTAAATGATGACATATGACCACAAAAAAGAGAACAACAGATGTTGGGGCCCACTTGAGGGTGGACGGTGGGAGGAGGGAGAGGTTCAGAAAAAAAAATATTTATTGTGTACTAGGCCTAGTACCTGGGTGATGAAATAATCTGTACTTCAAACCCCTGTGACATGAGTTACCTATATAACAAACCTGCACATGTACCCCTGAACTTAAAAGTTAAGAAAAAAATACTGGTGGTAGAGTCAGTGCTCAAGGAAATGCCGATACAAGTGACAGAGAACAGGCCCCAGCTGGAAAATGTGATAGGACATATGAGTCAAAATCAGTAAGAAGTAATGAATAGCCTTAGAACTTAGGAGGTGCCCAGAGAGTGGAGATAGTCTAACCAAATACCCTGGATGATTTATAGGGTCAGGATCCACCTTACTAGTCCAGCTGAGCTTTTCTAGTTTTGTATTTGCAAAACATCCCAGGTATTCAGGAATTGAGTATCATTGCTTCAGCAGCTCTTACAAAGTAAGAAGAGGGTGAATAAGAAAGCAAGAAAAGAGCCATCTCCCATTAGAATTATAGGAGACCATGTTTGGAAGAAGCCTTAGGGGTTATCTATTCACATCTCCATTTGATATTTTAATTCCCACCAAGTTGTTCCCAAGGCAGATATTGAATAGCATTTTTGCCTGAAAACTCACTACTACTGAATTAACTGGGAGATGACTGCTGTCTGTGGGCAGAGAAGTGCTGTAGAGGTCAGCTGACTCAGAAATTTAGTATCTGACACACAGAGAAACTAATCACAGAATTTCAGATAAATTCTCCATATTCGCAGTAATATTTGTTGAAATATCTACTATGTTCCAGGCATCAGGTTAGGTGCTGGGAATAAAAATATGAATGAGACACAGAAGCTAACCTTTTGTTGAGTTCATAGTCCAGATAAATGACACACATATAAATAATAATTATAATATCATGTAATAAAGGCTATAATAGAAGAATGAACAAGTCAACAGGAAGCAGAGACAGGACGTTCCTTCTGTGGGGGTACGTTGGGGATCTTTTAAGAAGACGGTTTTTGAACTGGGTCTTGATTGTAGGGCATTAGTGCTTGCTGAATGAATGCATGGGCATATGAACTGTGTGTGTGTCTGTGTGTGTGTGTCTGTGTGTGTGTGTGTGTGCTTGAGGGTGTGCATGTGTTCCTGAAGGAAACAGCAGGTATCTAGTATCTTGCAGTCCTGAGGTTGGCTCCTGCTCCATCCCTCCTTTGCTGGGTGATGTTGGGAACATTATTTCTCACCTATGAACCTAAAGTTTAAACAAGGGCAGTTCTTGGTGTTTTCTAATAAATAATACTGCTTTGCAAATTCTGCTTTAAGAAACTCATTGTGCGATAATAGAGATTTATAAAACAAAAATAATTTTATCATTATACACATAAAAATCATTCTTTACTTCATAAAAGAATTTATTTTCAGAATGTTTATAATTTCTCTTTAGTGCATTTCAAATGTAGTTTGACTTAACAAAATCTTTCCTTATAAGTATCTTGCTTTTAAAGAAATATAAATCTCCAATTATATGGTATGGATCATAAAACAAGTGTTTTAAGTACTAGGGAAAAATAATTTATGTTAGAAATGTATGGATCCTAGGAGCAATGAAAAAAATATATTGAATTTTTTAAACTCTAAGGGTATTTCTTCTGTTGAACTACTTATCCTTTCATCCACTCACTAATGTATTCATCTATTGTAATCCAAGAGTTACTCATTTTTTCCTAAAGTTGTAATTATATTGAGCATAACCAACTTAAAAATTAATCTCAAGTGTTGAAAAGTCTAAGATATTGTCTAGTTGTCCAGATTTTTCTCAAAAATAAAATTTAAATCACCCACATCTTTTTTTTGAGACAGTCTCCTTCTGTCATCCAGGCCGGAGTGCAGTGGTGCAATCTTGGCTAACTGCAACCTCCACCACCCAGGCTCAAGTGATTCTTCTCCTCAGCCTCCTGAGTAGCTGGGATTATATGTGCCCACCACCATGCCCAGCTAATTTTTGTATTTTACTAAAGATGGGGTTTCACCATGTTGGCCAGGCTGGTTTCAAACTCCTGACCTCAAGTGATCTACCTGCCTCAGCCTCCCAGTGTGCTGGGATTACAGGAGTGAACCACTGCGCCTGGCCACCCATATATTTATACCTTTGGTGAATCATAAGGTAATACAACAGGTTATCTCTTTTCTATTAATTTTTAGATGAAAATTTGAATTTCACTCTTTGCCTGAAGTAAATGTTACTCTCTAATATTTCAAATGTCCATATATTATTTAATATGCCTGCTACTTGGATCTTAAATATTTTATAATTCATTTAGTACATTTCACCAGGTTTACCCTAAGAAAAACTTCTAACCATCTTAACACTCATAAGGATATCTTTGGCTTTTTGGACATCAACTTGGTACAAAACAGCAGTTTGTTACAAAAGGTGTAAATGAATTAGAAACAGGTGGATTCTATTTTTGTGAATAAATGCAATTAATGGTTTAAGAGCTTGGAGAAAAATATGTGCTAAAATTGAATTACTAGAGAGATAGTCTAGGAGATGTGACTAACCTCAAATAGGTTAGGATCCCTTTCCAAGTCCACCATAAAGTGTTTTTTTTTTTGGTTATTGTTATCTGTGTATCTACATGTTTAGTCAGTATTTGTATTTGTGACTAATTTTTAACTGTCAATTGGTGTTAGATTACCCAGAACACCCATGAAAGGAACTGTACTTTAAACTAGGGGCCCCAACCCCTGGGCCATAGACCAGCTCCGGTAGGAACCAGGCTGCACAACTGGAGGTGAGTCATGCGTGAGAGAGCATTACGCATGAGCTCTGCCTCCTGTCAGATCAGTGGGAGCATTAGATTATCATAGGAGTGTGAACCGTATTGTGAACTGCACATGTGAGGGATCCAGGTTGCACACTCCTTATGAGAATCTAATGCCTGATGATCTGTCACTGTCTTCCATCACTCCCAAATGGGACCATCTAGTTGTAGGAAAACAAGCTCAGGGGTCCCACTGATTCTACATTATGATGAGGTGTATAATTATTTCATTAAATATTACAGTGCAATAATAATAGAAATAAAGTACACAATAAATGCAATGCACTTGAATCATCCAGAAACCATCTGCCACTCCAACCACCCCCTACTCTCCCCGCCCCAGTCCATGGAAAAATTGTCTTCCATGATACTGGTCCCTGGTGCCAAAATGGTTGGGGACAGCTGCTTTAAGCCACTTCCTAATAGCTTAGACCTACTAGATAAATATGGCAGTTAGTAATCACTTTATCATTTCTAGCTTTTGGTTCTGTTGTAAATGTCTACTTGTTGCATTCACTAATTGCCCCCTTTGCCTCTCTGAAGTAGGCATTACTGAGTCACGTCCAGAGTTTGCTCAATTAGATAGGACCAATAAACTGAATTCACAAGCAGATCTGATATTTAATATCCAGAAGAGGGCAGTAGGACACAGAGATTAAAACCCACTCAACTAGATGCTATGACTAACAAAGGTTGCTACCGACTACTCAGTGTTAGATCAAATCCTTACCACCTTCCCTTTGGCATACCATGGGCAGCATGGTGTGGCTAAGAAAAGAAACTAGCACTTACTGATCCCCTACTACGTATCAAGCACTAACCAGTTATTTTTCATGTGTTAAGTCATGACAATCCTGAGATGTAGGTATTATATTATTCCCATTTATATTGATGAGAATATCAGTGTTCAGAGACCTTAGGCAACTTGCCCAAAGTCTCACAGCAAACTAAGGTCCAGACTTGACTCCACAGGCTCTGCTAATCCATATCAGGGTTTGGTTACTGACCCTACTACTCATAAATTTATTGACCTGGGAAAAGTAGTAATTTAACCATTCAGTACTTCAGTTTTTTCATCTGTAAAGTAAGACTAACAATATCCTCTTATTGTTTAAGAATTTGTCTCTAGATCAATTTCTCCATAATCAGCTCTGCCCAAGTGGATAGATTTTGTCCTTGGATAATGTTTTAATTAGAATTTTAGACTTAACAAAGTTAAGTCTAGAAAGGATATAGAAGAGCTTGTCCAACCCTTTTAGAGATGATGAAACCAATGCCTGGAGCGTTCAAATGACTTTAAACTTGAGTAACAGACACTAGAACTCAGGATTGACACCTTTACCCAGATCTCTTTTCTTACCTCTCTTCATCATTTGTTGGGGATACAGACACATAGATGTTGATGATGACAATACTGACGATAAGGGTAAAAATAGCAATAAATGTTCCTTAGGAAATTATAGGAGAGTTAACTTTAGTTTAGAAGGAATTTATTTTGTTAGGAAGTCCTGGTTTTCTGTTCTGTTTAAGAGGCCAATATATGTGATTTGTCTAAGACTTCTGGTTGACAAGTTGGGAAAGATCAGGGTATGCATCTTTAACATACTCTTTTTTTTTTTTTTTTTTTTTTTTTTTGAGGCAGAGTCTCACTCTGTCGCCCAGGCTGGAGTGCAGTGGTGCGATCTCAGCTCACTGAAACCTCTGCTTCATGGGTTTGAGTGATTCTCCTGTCTCAGCCTCCCAACTAGCTGAGATTACAGGCGCCCACCACCATGCCCGGGTAATTTTTTTTTTTTTTTTTTAAGTAGAGACAGGGTTTCACCATGTTGGCCAAGCTGGTCTCGAACTTCTGACCTCAAGTGATCTGCCTGCTTGGCCTCCCAAAATGTTGGGATTACAGGCGTGAGCCACCATGCCCAGCCAACATACTGTTTAAATGAGAAATGCTCACATGCAGCCTCCAATCATAGATTCACATGACTCTCTCTTTATCAGTCCATCTACCTGGCTTTCCCAAGAATCTGGGATGGAGAGGCTGGCTACTTGGAAGCAACATGGGAGATTTATGTAGAAATGTCTCCTTTGAGAGATTTTGAGATAACCAGCTGTATTTTATTTCATTTCTTCTAACTTTTTCCTTTGTGAATTTGGTATAACTTTCTTTTCTTTTAGTTTTAAATTTTTAATTAATTTATTTTTTTGAGACAGAGTCTCGCTCTGTCGCCCAGGCTGGAGTGCCGTGGTGTGATCTCTGCTAACTGCAAGCTCTGCCTCCCAGGTTCACGCCATTCTCCTGCCTCAGCCACTGGAGTAGCTGGGACTACAGGCGCCTGCCACCACGCCCGGCTAATTTTTTGTATTTTTAGTAGAAACGGGGTTTCACAGTGTTAGCCAACATGGTCTCGATCTCCTGACCTTGTGATCTGCCCGCCTCGGCTTCCCAAAGTGTTGGGATTACAGGAGTGAGCCACTGTGCCCGGCCGAATTTGGTGTAACTTTCTAGTACCCAAAGTCTTGCACTCATGAAGGATAAAAGAAAGAGAAAACAGAGAAAGGAAAGAGGAAAGGGGGAGAGAGAGAGAGAGATTCTTCAGTCTTCATCATCAAGAGGCTGAGATGCCAAAGCACCTTGTTTATGTGTTTGAAGGATTCCCCAGGTTCCATTGGCCTGTGGATTTACGGACTATAGCTAGGAAAGCTGATCGTCAATTAAATAGATGCAAAGAGCTTTCTATTTTAAAGTTACAATCAGAATGACTTGTTTCCCTAATTTATCCAAAGGTGGCATTTGTGTTAGAAATTGTTTGGAAAATGGTGATTTCTAGTAGTTTAGGTCATCTATCCCTTTGCTCACCTTGAGGGTGGTTTCTCAGATCTCACACCTTCCCCTTAATCATCAAATCTGTAAGGTTGTCCCTTTTCCTTCCCTTCTGGAAACAGAAGTTCTCAGGGGTGTGGAGAAAGGCAGCTTATGTAGTGAACCATGAACACATGTCCTAAGTACTAGGACATATTCTGGGCTGTCCTGGAGGCTGAGGGGAAAGGACGGGTGGAGACCAGTAACGTCATTCTTCTGAACTCAGCACTTGAACATCTGCAGAACTCGTTGACGATTAGTCATGTGTCAAAGTCTTTTCCAGCTTTCTGTTATCACCAGCCAAATTTATATTTTATTTGTGTTTTTTGGCCTAATACTTTGCCTCCATTCCAGGTATGCCCAATCTGATCTCACATCCAGCACCTAGAACAGTGCCATGAACACAGAGTTACGATGATACTTATTAATCATCTCAAATGACCCATTGAACTGGATGCTTCTGACCTCTAATTTATATGGACTTATTGGAAAACTAGATTTTGAGATGTGAAGTATAAAAAGAAAGAAAAGAAAACTGTTTGGCAGTGCAACATGGTCCCTTTAAATGCAGAGTTTAGCATATTAACAAATCTGACA
The DNA here is from genome assembly GCF_000001405.40 of Homo sapiens. Classification (NCBI taxonomy): domain Eukaryota; kingdom Metazoa; phylum Chordata; class Mammalia; order Primates; family Hominidae; genus Homo; species Homo sapiens. Next base: position 93,453,419 of record NC_000008.11, on the reverse strand, counting down.
ATATTGCCTGTAAACTGCTGAAATAACTCCTGATATATTTCCTGCTGGATGGCACCAAATTGTTGTACAAGGTTGTGAATGATAACCCTTTGTGAGAGGTGAAGCTTCTAGAGGGTGTGGTCTGCCCATTCTACATTGTATAGAGATGTTGCTGCCTTGGGACACTATTATTTCAGTATGATAGATGTTTGATTCAAGTTGTAATAATTTTATCTTCCACAGAATTCTTGGAAGGAAGTGATGGAGACACACATACACACACACACACACACACACACACACACACACACACACACACACACACACACACACACACGGAGGCATGAGTATAATTTTTCACCAAGAAGCCTTTAGTTACCCATGGAGATGTTATAATTTTAGATGTTAGAAGGATCAGAAAAAATAGCAGATAGTAAAATTTGAGAATGAAATGACCACAATAAGTATTAAATGCTTGTATTGTCTATGATAACAAATGAGGGCTGTTGCTCCTTAAAACATGGTCAGCCATATAAAAGGTTAACATGGTCAGTAGTGTTTAATACAGATTAGTGGTGTGTTGAGTTATGAGAAGAACTAAGGTCTGACTTTGCCATTTTTACAATAGGTCCAATGATGGATATTCAGAATATCCTGTATCTCATCACCCTGTAATACCACTATCATTTTTATCATAAAAGAATTATGTTACTCCATATATGAAAAATGCATTCTTGAACCACTGTGAATTAGTTTTTAATGTACTGTGACCTTGGATTGCCCTGGGATATTAATGTTAAATGATTACTTCTGAATGCTTTTTGAATAGCTGCATAGTGCAATTAAATGTGCAATACATCATGGATGACATAGCTAAACGCCTCTTCTGGTCAAGGAACCCAAAGAGGTCTTGGGAATGATGGTAATTCTGCATTGCTGAGGATGGGAGACAAAAGACTCTTTTGTTAGTAGCGAAATAAGTACAGACTGAAGTAGATGATAACCTTTTCCTGGGGTTAGTCAATGGGAAATAAATTTTTGATTAATAACCAGAATGGAAAATAATTTTTGATTACTGACAATGTAGTGTTCCATTATATCTGCCAAATGCGCATAGTGAATAATTGTTCTCAGTCTTTATGGTGACAAGTTGCTAAATAGTATGTGTGGGCATGTGTGTGTGTGTATGTGTGTAGTGGGTAGATAAAAAAGAATTTGGTTCATATTCTAGCCCATTTCCTAGAATGGGCTTATATTGAATTACAATTTGTGTCAGTGTGGAACCTTGTAAATCTTGCACTTAATCAAATATCTTTTAATCAAATTATTAGGTTTTGGGAAATTATAAGAGATGAGTGGTCGGCATGGAAGAGCCATGGTGAAGTAGAGGACCTTTGGCCTATTGATCAATAACTTAAATCCAACCATGTTGGCTGGTGGCTGAAAGTGATTACTGTCCTGCTGGTTGTGGACAGGTGGTCAGAGCTTAGTTGTCAGCTGACCCCATGAGGCAAGGCCCTGAGTCCAGTGGGCCCCCAGTCAGAACTGGGCTTAGCTGTCTCACAGATGCTCCTTATCCTTTAGGTGAGAAGAGTGACTCTGAAAAGCCTGCTTCAAAAGGACCCAACATTTGCTGGTGCAGTGGCTGGCACCTGTATCCTAGCAACTCCAGAGGCTGAAACGAGAGGATCCCTTGAGCCTGGGAGTTTGAGGCTGCAGTGAGCTAAGATGGTGGCATTCCAGTCTGGGTGACGGGACAAGACTCTATCTCTTAAAAAAAAAAAAAAAGGGCCCAATACTAGAGATGTTCAATGTGTGATCTGAAGATTTCAGTCTTTGAGTTGTCAAGAAGAGGAAATTTTAACTAATGCAGAATTCAATTTTTCTTTAACTTATAACATTTTAGAAAGAAAACATTAATAAGGACTTTGGTTTGCTGTCATGAAAACAAGCTGCAGTTGTGGCAGTCAGCACAATTTCAGAACTCAGACTTAAGTGCATCAACCCAACCAGGTCTAGCCTAGCTGTGGCCTCAAGTAAGACCTACTTGAGGGGCTGAATCAATACTGAAGTGCTCCAATGAGCCTCTCCCAGAGATCCCCTGGAGATTTTATGGGCCTCATTAAGCCCAGAGACAGAAAACAAATTTATCTGTAGGATAGAGTTCCTCATACCTAACCTTTTACTCTCTGTGCCTGCAATTGTAAGCCTTGCTTGCTGTTTGAAGACTATGACCTTATATTTTAAATGTTAGTGTTTTTGAGTAATAGCACCAGCCTAGATGTACGAATACTACTTCTCTAGAATGATACTCATGTAAATTAAATGTCAATATATTCACACTCTGTATTAGTCTGTTTTCACATTGCTATAAAGATACTACCCAAGACCAGGTAATTTATAAACAAAAGAAGTTTAATTGACTCACAGTTCCACATGGCTGGGGAGGCCTCAAGAAACTTACAATGATGGTAGAGGGGGAAGCAGGCATATCTTACATGGTGGCAGGAGAGAGAAGCACGAAGGAGGAACTTCCCAACACTTCTAAAACCATCAGATCTCATGAGAACTCACTCACTATCATGATAACAGCATGGGAGAAACCACCCCCATAATCCAGTCACTGCCCTCCTTTGACATGTGGAGATTACAGGTCCTTCCCTTGGCATGTGGGAATTACAATTTGAGATGATATTTGGGTGGGGCTACAAAGCCAAACCATATCACACTTCCATCTCAACTGACTGACTTCTCTGGGTGAGTCTTCAAGGACCTTTCTATGTGTACACATACATAGCTGCTATTCTAGAGTTTTATTTGTTTATGTATTTATCATGTGTCTCCCCAGTAGACTGCCAGTTTCATGAGCAAAGAACAGTGTTCATCCTATGCACACAGCACCCTAGCACAGTGTTTGCCACATAATGGATATGCAATAAATATTTGTGGAGTGAATAAATGAGTAAATGTATAGATACAGTTGTTAGGATCACATTTACATGCCTGTGTGAATGGAAGAAGGGGCCTAGGAAGAGGAAAGGAGTAGAAGATTAATCCTTTTACCTAATCAAGTTATGAGTTTGGAACGTAATTACTAAAGATACAATGTGAATCAAATTCAAAGTTCTTCATGAGGCAGAGCAGAATCAAGAAATCTTTCAGTGCTTCCTTGCTGGCTTTGAAGCTCACTAGCTATGAGCTAATTCCATTCTTAAATGTATTTGAGAAGCTCTATTTCTCAAGCACAGTTTCTCAAATTTTGATGAGAAACACTGGAATTAATGGCTAGAGCTTTCTAACTTCTCTGATCCAAGAGTGGCCAGAGAAATCTTTCCAAAATGCAAATCTGATCATGCCACTTCCCAGTTTAAAACCTTTCAGTGGAACCCAGTTCCTTTTAGAATAGAATCCAGACTTCTTCATGTAGTTCACAAAGCCTTTCTTGACCTTTTCTTTCTCTAATCTGCACCCTCTTGTCTTACTCTCTCTGGCCATCACCTGCAGTTTCCTGGGAAGCCAAGCTGCCCCACTGCTTTGTGTTTTTGCAAGGGATAGTACCTCCCTTTCTTTTGTTTGGTTAACTCTTTTTTTCCATTCAACATCAAGTTTAGGTTTTACCTCTTCTTTTTTTTTTCCTTTGAGACACAGTCTTGCTCTGTCACCCAGGCTGAAGTGCAGTGGCGTGATCTCGGCTCACTGCAACCTCTACCTCCCGGGTTCCCGCCATTCTCCTGCCTCACCCTCCCGAATAGCTGGGACTACAGGCACCTGCCACCACGCCCGGCTAATTTTTTTGTATTTTTAGTAGAGATGGGGTTTCACTGTGTTAGCCAGGATGGTCTCGATCTCCTGACCTGTTGATCCACCTGCCTTGGCCTCCCAAAGTGCTGGGATTACAGGCAGTTTTTTTTTTTAGTTTTTTTTTTTTTTTTTTGAGACAGAGTCTTGCTCTGTTGCCCAGGCTGGAGTGCAAGTGGCATGATCTCGGCTCACTGCAACCTCTGCCTCCTGGGTTCAAGCCATCCTCCTGCCTCAGCCTCCTGAGTAGCTGGGATTACAGGCACGCAGCACCACGCCCAGCTAATTTTTGTATTTTTAGTAGAGATGGGGTTTCACTAGGTTGGTCAGGCTGGTTTCGAACTCCTGACCTCGTGATCCACCCACCTTGGCCTCCCAAAGTGCTAGGATTACAGGCATGAGCCACAGTTTTACATCATTTTTATACTCTGTCCATACCTTCCTATCAACAGGCTCCAATACGTCTCTCTCCTTTGTGCTCCATGTACTGATGTGGCTCCTCTAGCTCTGTGATTGTGTGGCTCTGGTCTGTTCTTTCACCAGATGTTGAGCACCTTGGGGGAAGGACTCTTCCATCTCTGACTGTCTGGTGCTCATGTAACCTGCACATTCTCATTGCTTGTGCTGGTCCCTGCATCCAGCCATGTGGAGCCACTCCTTTCTGTCTGTGTATTCCATACTTTCCCACCTGCCTTGGTTCATTTGAGCTGCTATGACAAAAATGTTGTACACTGAATAGTTTAAACAGTTTATTTCCCATAGTTCTGGGGGCTGGGTAGTCCAAGATCAAGGCATCGGCAGATTCAGTGTCTAATGAGGGTCTGCTTTCTGGTTCAGAGAGAGCCATCTTCTTGCTGTGTCCTCATAAGGTAGAAAAATAGTGAGGGAGCTCTCTTGGGTCTCTATTATAAGGGCACTAATCTCATCCATGAGGGCTCTGCCTTCATGAACTTATCACCCCCCAAAGGTACCACCTCCTAATACCATCATTAGGGTATTCAATATATGAATTTTGGGGGGACACAAATGTTCAGTCAGAGCACCACCTTAGTGTCTTTGCTCTGGCTGTTCCCTTTGCCAGGGATGATCCATTATTTATCACCTTGGTAGTCATTAGCTAATATAGTTATGTATTTACTAGACAGGATTTATCTGCTTCCCCTTTCTGTCTCCCTCAGGGACATTGCCCAGAGTAGATACCATATAGATATTTGTTGAATGAATGAATGAATGAATAGAATGATGCTGGCAAGAAGACCATAATCTCACCTTGCAGTGAAATTAATGATGTTAGACCATGTCTTAATTCTTTTCCCTGGCTTCTTTTTTTTGGCTCATTGCCAAGATTTGTAATAAAACTTAAGTCCATGGTGGCTTTTACAGATCCGGTGGTAGGGTGGAGAGAGAGATGGAAACAGTTACAAAAGCACTTAGAAGATATCTTCTGGTGCAGGAGCAAAGAAAGTGGAATGAAATATTCTCCTAACACACTTGGAATAGGAAATTTCTGTTCAGTGACCCCAGATAAAACCATTGTATGTATCACTCCGATAGCTTATTACAAGTGTCTTTTTTTCTTCAAATTATTGCAAATTGAATACATAATTATTTCAAAAACTGGGTCTAAAATTTGCCTTGCAAATCCTTAACTCACTGAAGGCATTTATCGAATGCTAAGTGGCAACTCCAGAGCAGTAGTTTACTGGGTAATGAAAATGCTGAAATGGAAAAATCACAAGCTATATATTTTGGAAATCTTGTAATATATTAATGTTTTAAAATAAGTACACTTTCTTTTCTGTAAGCCATAAACAGAATCACAGCTCATCTTAAAGCGCTATGTTCATTTAACAATCCAAAAAGTGACTCGTAAGTCAAGCTAAATGTTACTACTTTTTAAAATTGGAATGTTGTCAAATTCTTGGATGACTGTTCCTCCAACAAGGACAACCTAGGAACTGTATGAGCACCAGCAAAGGAAGAGCCCGGATTCTGGCAAGGCTGGAAGCCTCAAACCAAAGCCAGAGTGGGACTTGGTCTCTTGGTTGGTCCTCAATATGGAGATAACTTGATAAACCTTTTAGCAAATCAGGTTCTTTTTGTATGCCCTGGGTATTAGTTTTCTGTTGCCACTGTAGCAAATTGCCACAAATTTAGTGGCTTAAAACAACATAATGGTATTCTCTTACAGTTCTGGATGTCAGAAGTCTGAAATGAGTCTTATGGGGTTAAAATCAAGTTGCTAGCAGAGCTGGGTTTCTTCTGGAGGCTCCAGGGGAGAATCTGTTTCTTGCTCTTCCACATCTGGAAGCTGCCAGCATTCCTTGGCTTCTGGCTACCTCACTCGAACCTATGCTTCTGGGGTTACATGGCTTTCTGTACAGTAGCCAAAACTCTTTTGACCTTTTGTGATTACATCCAGGCCTGCCCAGATGATCCCAGGATAATCTCCCTATCAAAAAATCCTTAATCATATTTGCAAAGTCCCTTTGCCATATAATATAACATTCAGAGGTTCCAGGGATGAGGGTGTGGATATCTTGGGGTGCCGTTATTCAGCCCACCACACCTTGTCTTTCAAAAAGCTTTTCTGTATCCAGACTACCATTGACTTTTATAAAACACTGACTTTCCCAGAAAAGAAAAATAAGGTGTTTCAAAAGACTATGGGTTGTGGGTGGAGAGTAGGGCAGGAAGGTTCTGATTTTGCCTTTGAATTGTGGCTCATGTGGTTTGGTTGCCACCAGTGCAGATTGTCTCTGTCACTGTGAGCTTGTGTTTGCTTCTATATGCAAACCTAAGGGGGCATGTATACATCATTATGATTTTGAGATATGAGAAACATCATAGAACTCATTTCATCTTGCACAAAATGGATCTGTAGGCACTTAACGGTCTAATGAAGTATTTATGTAGTCCCTCTGCCACACCACCTATTATCCCTGTGCAATCTTAGGGTACTAGGGTCACACTGTAAACCTAGTAAATTACTGCTCAAAGTAGAATTGATTTTTAGTCTGCTTGAAAGTAGAAATGGAAAAATTCATCTCCACCTTCTCCAGTTATTGTATCTTTCCTTATAACTCTGGGTAGAGAATAGTTTAAACCTTAATTCTGATAGTCCTTAATTTTACGAGTTACACTAAAACCCCCGGGAGTCATTTAATTTGATGGAGTTCAATGCTAATATCCAAATGCATTCTCTCTGAAATACATTTTTACCTTCTATTATAGAGATTGAGCTCCCGTTTTTAACACATATGTTCTTAGTGCTTATGCAAATTTGCTGCTTATCTGTAAAATTGGCATATCATTGTTATTGTTATTATTGTTATTATTATTATTGTGTATTGACCAAGTTGAATGCCTCATTCTCAAGGGATTGCTGTCAGAGTTATATAATACAAGAACAATGGGTGAATGTTGTTCATTTTAAATGTGAAATTATAAATCAATTACAGTGGTGGCTAAAACCCCTTCATGACATGCCACAATTTACTTCCAATGACATTTAAACCTATCTCACATGCTGAACAATCTGTAATAAATTATGATTTTTTTTTATTTTGCTTCTGAAATGAAGCTATAATTATGACAGTTGAATTCTTGTTCTGGGAAATAAGGTGGCATTTAATTCCTTGAGAACAAATGACACTCACAAAAGAACAGTTAATTATTCTCAGCTGCAAAGGAAGGGAGGAGGGGAGAGAAAAATTATGAAAAAGAACATGGTAGCACTTTATGTGAAGTATCTATTAACTAATCCTTAACTAAGGCTGAACTACAGTTGAACTTCTGGGACTGTCCCCAGCCCAGGTAACACCTTTTATGATTTTCATTCTCAATAAAACCCAACTAGGAGGAATTAGCAACCTGAAACTTTCTCTATTTCTTGCACATGATAATGCAAATGTTCCACAATCAGCCTTTGGTTCCAAGAATGCAGACTGACACTCTAAACCAGTTAAATGAGACCTAGGGGGTTGGGGGGGGGTAGCATGGTATTAGTTTTCAATTACAGCTGTCCTAATTCAAGTCTTTAACTGCTATAGTCATTCAATCCATATTGCAAATAAAGGAAGGAAAACATCATGCCCCAGAATTTTTTGTTGTTGTTGTGTTTGTTTCTAGTTGAAACAGCAGCTATACTTTCATTGGCTTTTCTCTGACAGCCCTTTCCTGTTCATTCTGGCAAGAAGCCCTGATGCAATTGAATCTGCCAGCAAACAGTAGGCCACTCCTTGTTGCTAGTCCTGACACCATCAGCTGCAATGTGAGCAGCCTGCTATTAGAAACGCCTCTTTCTTTGACTTCCCTTTCTTCCTTGGGAGGAATAGATACTCTAGAGAAGGGCCCTGCTGAGTGGAATTCCCCATTTTGACTGCAATTAAGGATTGTGACTTGATTGATTTGGGGGCTCTCTGAAATGTAGCAGGATCAACACAGTTGCACACAAAACAAGGCATAATCCACTGGGTTAAATTAACGTTAAATCAGAGATGATTGGATTAATTGCTATTACATTTTATCTTCTGTGCACATGTGCTGTTGGCAGGCTTTCAGAGTCTTTTTAAAATTAGCTTAGAACTGGATGGAAATGGTACAGGTGCAAATGATTTGTGCACTGGGTCTTTCAAGTACACAGTGGGCTCATAAGAAGGTGCATTTTTTTTTCCAAATCATATTTTGGATGTGATTTACAAAAAACTGCACGGAGAATAAACTTGACATCACTGTACAGAAGCTATAGATGTGTTAAATGGCAAAAGGATTCTGTTGGCTGGAAGATAATTTGGAAAATGGATCGCCTTCAAATTGGTGGCCTTGGCACTGTCTGCCTGTTCAGTTTGCTCCCCTGACATGATTTTCTGCCCTTGTGGGAGTCTTTAGGGTCCTGGTGACCAATGCAGCAGAGCACTTAGCATGACATCTGATGCCCTGGAATATACACTTCCAAAACTGCACCCCTTCAACAAATTTTAAAGGTAAAATGTTGGCATGATGGTTGCTAACAGGATAAATCTGTTTAAGGGAAATACTTCAGTTATGTGATTGAAAGATTAGTGTGGTGACAAGATCAGGGACACAAAGCAAAGATAATCAAAGGCTAGAGACTTTTTATGTGCTTGTTTCCCCATCAGCCCGTGGCTCAGGCCCACTGTAGGGCTTATCATGTGAAAACTTGTTAAGCTACTTGGAGGAAAGGTTATGTGTTTATATTTTAGGAAACTGGGTGAATCAACAACTCTTTTTAAAATACCATTGTGTGCATGGACTATAAACAGGTACTGTGGAGGAGACAAAGACTTCATTCTGGGGCTGATCAGATTTTGGATCAGTACAAATAAACTGGTAAGTGCATGATGTCTTCTTGTCCTTGACCCTTTAAACTCTGTGGGTAATGTTAGGCTCCTTATTGCAAGCTGTGAATATCAACAGCGTTTTCCCTCCTGGGGCGTCTCCCTTCTGCAGATCCTTTATAGCTTATGCATTCACTTTTGTCTAGTTTCTCTGACCTGCACTTCTTCTTCTTCATCTTTTTTTTTTTGAGATGGAGTCTCGCTCTGTGACACAGGCTGGAGTGCAGTGGCATGGTCTCGACTCACTGCAACCTCCGTCTCCCAGGTATCTCAAGCGATTCTCCTGCCTCAGCCCCCCGAGTAGCTGGGATTACAGGTGTCCGTCACCATGCCCGACTAATTTTTGTATTTTTAGTAGAGATGAGGTTTCACCACGTTGGACAGGCTGGTCTCGAACTTCTGACCTCAAGTGATCCACCTGCCTCAGCCACCCAAAGTGCTGGGATTACAGGCATGAGCCACCGCACCTGGCCTGTACTTCTTGGCTTCTTATCTGCCTTCATTATTCCTGCTGCTGGCTCTGTTCAGGCTGGTGACCATCTGTACTCATGCCCTCCTTTCTTGAACTTGTCTCTGCTTGCCTCTTGGCTTTCAGCCACCCTTATTACCACTTATGGGCACTTGTTTCCCAGCCTCTACCCCAGGCAATATCAGTTCCCCAAAGAAAGGACAGTTTGATATATACAAATATTCCATTGCAACAAACAACTGGGAGCTGGGCCCACAAAGTCATTTCAACATATTAAAAAAAATCATCTTTTAATTTATTATTTTGTAAAAGTAACATACACCTGATTAAGTTCACAAGATGGCGACAAGCATAGTTAAGAAAAAAAGCTCTCTTTCCACCTGGGACTTCTAGTTTCCCACTTCAGAGACAGCCTACTGAGTTTTATTTTTTACCTGCTCTTCCAGGAACATTATAGATATATAGATACCACACATGCACATATTCTTCACCCCATTTTTGAACACAGAGGAAATGACAGCATACTCCGAACACTGTTCTATATCTCCCACTGATTGTTTGCTTACATATATATTGGAGATTGTTCCATATTAGCACACATAGAGATGCCTCATACTTTTTAAAATTTCCATAGTATTCCTGGATGTGCTCACCTGTATTGAATCTATTATCTACTGATAGATATTCAAGTAGTTTTCAGTCTTTTGCTTTCATGAAAAATGCTTGAACCTAATTTTTAATACACTTATGCATCATATCTAAAGAGTAAAATTCCTAGAAATAAAATTTCTGATTTAAGGATATTATTACAAAATTTTAACTTCTTTGTGTGTGTAGTAAACACACTTAAGAAGGGAGGACAGATATATATGTGCCGGCTCAGTGAATCGCACATGGAACACCTGTGTAATTACTGCTTGGGTCAAGAAAGAGACTGTTGTCAGCACCCCAGAAGGCACCTTCCTCTGCCCAGCTGGTTTTCACCTGTTTTGCTCCTCTACTTCCTTTACTTTAATACTGTAGTTTAGGTTTTCTTGCTTCTGAACTTTATATAATTGATTTACACAGTGTGTAATTTGTGTGCCTTGCTTCTTTTGTTTCTTATTGTGTTTCTGAGGATTGTTCATGTTGTTTCATGTAACAGGAGATAGGCCATTTTCACTGCCGTATACTATTCCATTCAATGGATATACCACAGTGCATTTATCCAGTCTTCTGTGGTAGACATTTGGGTTGTTTCCTAATTTGGCTATTTGAAATAACGCTGCAATGATCCAACAATCCCACTTCTAAGGGTATATATCGATTGTCATTGGCACTGTCATTGGGTACATACCCTTAGAAGTGGGATTATTGGAACACAGGTTCTATGTATGTTTAACTTTACTATATAATGCCAAACTGTTTTCCAAATTTGTATTCATACCAGTATGTATAAGAATTCCTATTGCTCCACATTCATGCAAATATAGTTGGTAATATCACTCTTTTTTTTTTTTTGAGACAGAGTCTCGCTCTCACCCAGGCTGGAGGGCAATGGCTCACTGGAACCTCCACCTCCCTTGTTCAAGGGATTCTCATGCCTTAGCCTCCCAAATAGCTAAGATTACAGACATGCACCACCATGCCCAGCTATTTTTTTTTTTTTCTGTATTTTTAGTAGAGATGGGGTTTCACCCATGTTGGCCAGGCTGGTCTTGAACTCCTGAATTCAAGTGATCTGCCTGCCTCAGCCTCCCAAAGTGCTAGGATTACAGGCATGAGCCCCCACACCCAGCCAATTTATTTTTATTTTTTATTTTAAGCATTATGGTAATTTCATAGTGTTATGTCATTGGAATTTTAAATCATATTTTTTGATTACGAAAGAAGTTGAACATGTTTCCTTATTTAGATATACTCTTTGTGAAGGGCCTATGAAAGATTTTTGTCTTTAAGGTTATTAAGAACCATTACAGTGTTTTATATATTCTGGATACAAGCCCTTTGTTGGATTAATAGATGTGACGAAATTTTTCTCCCAATTTATGGCTTGCTCTTTCACATTTGTAATGTGGTCTTTTGATTAAAATTTCCTAGTTTTAATGTAGTTCAACTTACAAACTTTCCCTTTATGGTGATTCTTTTTCTTGTGGCATGTGTGTTGTTGAGAAATATTTCCTTACCTTACCATAGTGAAGATATTCTCCTGTATCATAAAGTGCTACTGTTTGCTTCTACTTACTTGGAATTTATTTTCGTGTGCATGTGAGATAGGAGTTATTTCATTTTTCCCATAAAGATATCCAACTGATTCAGCATCAGTTATTGAAAAGACTATCCCTTTGCCTCTAAATTGCATTATTATGTTGTTATAAATAAAGTGTCCATATATTTGTGGTTCTATTTCTGGGCTTTGTATTTTATTTAATTGGTTTATTTATCAAACCTTGCAACAATATTGAATTTCTTCCATCCAAGTACTAACCAGTCCTGACCCTGTTTACCTTCCAAGATCAGACAAGATCCAGTGCGTTCAGGGTGGTATGACCATAGACTAATATTGCATTTCTTAATTACAGTTGCTTTCTAGCAAGTCTTGCTATCTAGTGGAGCAAATTCTCTCCCCTTGTTCTTTAAGAGAATTTGCATATTCTTAGCCACTTGCATTTCCATATAATTTAGAATTGGCTTGTCGATTTCCTCATGAATAAATGCTGGGGTTTTGTTTTTGTTTTGTAGAGACAGGGTGTTGACATTGCCCAGGCTGGAGTGCAGTGACACTTTCATAGCTTACTACAGCCTTGAACTCCTGGGCTTAAATAATCCTCCCACCTTGGTCTCCTGAGTACTGGGACCACAGATGCAGGATACTGCACCTGGATGATTTTTTTTTTTTTTGGTAGAGATGGAGTCTCTCTTTGTTGCCCAGGCAGGTCTTAAACTCCTGGCCTCAAGCAATCCTCTTACCTCAGCCTCCCAAAGTGGTGGGATTACAGGTGTGAACCACCATGCCCTGCCAATGTTGGGGTTTTGATGATAATCTGTAGAAAACCTGAGGGAAAACTGTATCTTTGTAATATTGAGTCTTGCTATCTATGTGTATTACTGGAATCCTATGTTTATTTGTAAGATTGGCCCATGATTCTCCTTTCTTATAATAGTTTTGACAGGTTTTTGCATCGAGATTATTAATCTCATAAAAATGAAATATTTTTATATATTCTAAGAGTTTATATAGCATTATACCTATTTCTTCACTGATGAAACCTGAGTCTGAAGTTTTCTTGGTAGAAAGTTTTTGATTTACAGATTTCATGAATTTAATAATCATAGGACTATTCTGATTTTTCTGTTTTTTCTTAGTTTTTTTTTTTTTAGGATTTGTGCATTTAATTACATTTTCAACAATAACTTTTTAAGTTTTTTTTTTTTTACAATACCTTCTTAGGATTTTTCAATGTCTCATAATGTTTCCCATTTTATTCCTAATATGGTTAGGAATAGTGCCTTTTGCCTTTTTTTTTTTTTTTTGATGCATCTCACAGGTGTCAGGTTATCAAATTTATTGATTTTTAAAATAATAAAACAACTTTTGGTCTTGTCAATCCTCTCAATTGTATATTTGTTTTCCATTTTATTAGTTTCTATTCTTATCATCTTCATAGTTCCTTCCTTTTACATTACTTAGGCTTATTTTATTGTTCTATTTCTAACTTCTAGAGATGGACACTTAACTCGTTGATTTTCAGCTTTTCTTCTTTTGCGATGGATATTGGACATTTTCCCTCTGGGAATGGGCCCAGCTACATCCTACAGTATTTTACCATAGTCAGTTAATAAAAATAAGTGTGTTTATTAATCTACACACATATGGAGGCTTTCTAGTTATTGTTTTTGCTAGTGATTTTAAGCTTTATAGAGCTCTGGTCAGAGAACATATTTTGATAATTTAAATCCTTTGGAATTTGTTGAGCTTCCTCGATGGCTCAGCATATGGTTAATTTTTGTCAGTGCTCAGTGTGTATTTGAAAGGAATATGTATTCCACAGTTGTTGGGTACTGTTTTCTACAAGTCAATTAGCTTAAGTCTGTTGATCGTGTTGTTCAAAATCTTCTAAATATTTACTGATCTTTTCTATACCGCTATCGTTTGCTAAGAGAATTTTTCCACTGTGATGATGGGCTTTTATATTTCTTCTTGTAGTTCTGTCAATGATTGCTCTCTTTATTTTGAGGCTATGATATTAGCTAAATACAAATTAGGAATGGGTTAAGATGGATTGACCCTTTCATATGAAGTTCCCCTCTTTGTCTCCAGTTATGTTTTTTATGTACTTTACCTGATATTAGTACAGTTTAAACAGCAATGATTTTTGGTTAATGTTTACATGTTGTATCTTTTTTCATTTCTTTATTTTAAACTTTTTGTTCCTTATCTTGAGATGTGTTATTTATAAGCCACATATATTATGTTTTAAAATTTCAGTCTGATCATCTTTATCTTTTAATAGGATCATACTAATATTGACATATTTGGGTTTAAATCTCTCATTTTATGTTTGTATTCAGTTTGCCTAACCTGCTTTATGCTTATTTTCTTTCTTTCTTGCATGTTTTTTTTTGATAGATTAACATTAAACATCAACATCCCCATCAATATCAGGTTGGTAGCTATACAATTACTGACATATTCCCAGGTCAGCCAGGAGGCCTATGTGGCTGGAGTTAAATGAGTGTGGCAAGTATCAGTGGATGATGTCAGAGGGGTAGTAAGGTTTTTATAATGAGGTAGCAAGGTGAGAGTAGAGGAAAGTCTCTAGGGCCTTGTAGAAGGATTTTGACTTATTGTTATGACATAAAACCCAATTTAAGAGAAGATATAGAAGTTGAATGTAAAATACAATTTTTTTCTTTTAACTTCCTTTTTTTTTTAGAAGAATTAATTTAGACCAGGAACTGTATTAAGCACATTACATGCAAGATTTTATTTAATAGTCAATGGATAAGAAGAATGGGGGTTTCACACAGGTTAATTAACTTATGCAAGCTCACAGCTTATATGCAGCAAAGCTAGGAGTAAAGTCCATGTGGTCTCTTAGCGATAATTCTGTATTTTTCTGACTCTCCTTGTCATCCAATGACAGAAAATTTAACAATTCATCTGGAGAGATCTAGCTCTGAACTCTTTGGATGGGCTTGTCCACTTGCTCTTTCAGTATGCATAGCACCAGCACCAGCAAATGATCCCGAGACAGTTGGTTTGTAACATGGATCTATGGTCTAAGTTTTACTTGCCACATGGTACCTATCCAATTCTGGGCATTTGTTTCATAAGTGCCCATTGCCATTCCATAAGGATGGAGAAAGACATCATGGATGGATCAAACTAAATTGAACACCATCACTGAAAAAAAAAAAGCTCATGCCCCACAGAGGACATTGGTGTGTGAGTTCTTTTAATCTATTATAAAATCTTTTGTCTACATTTGAGTGACCAATTATGCTCCTTTTTGACTTCTTATAATATAAAATAAAAATTAAAGTGGGTAGAATATGCAAGAAAAACTTGTGCTTAAGACAATCCAATGTTATATTTGTAATATCATATGCATTCTTAGTTTATCACCTTTCTAATCATGCCCAACGAACCCTCCTCCGAAGGAGGGATGATGGCTAACCCAACCCCTGTGGAACAATCAGGAGGTTGGGCAATTCATTTTATTTTGTACACAATTTGGCTAGAAAGCTGAAGATTTATTGATGCAATGTAAAATATTAGCTGGCAGGTAAAAATAAGCCTGTTAATGAATGTGATTAGAACAGCAGCTGGAATCAATTGCAGCATTTGCAACATCAAAGGAATTAGTAGACCTTAAAATATTCAGGAATCAATTAAAAGTCTTCTTTGGGATTCAAAAAATGTGTGTTCATGTGCTTAACTTTAAAATGAGCACCGGGAGAAGAAATGGCCAAACCTTCTGTCAGAAAAGCGTTTAAAGATTCCAAGGGCATCTGACTGTTTCTGGGCCCAGCCAACTACTGAAAGAAACCGTGGTGGGCTGAACGGCAGGCGTCTTGGAACACAGGCTCCAGACTGTGCTTCCAGGAATTAAACAAGAGCAGCACGTGAGAGCAATTGAAATGGGTGGCCTGGCCACATTCCCTGAAGGTTCTGCAACCTCGTTAACCTTTGAGAAGAGCACAGCTCCCGACCAGGATGAAAGAGTAAAGGAAGGTGATAGTTTCTTCAGCTCGTTCTTCTCTAGTGGTCACCCCAAAGACCTTGAAAAGTTTTCAAGCACGAAGTTTTGAGCTGAGTAGTCTTGTGTAAAAGTTCTTGGGAGGAATTAATTGGACAGCATAATGTACAAGCAACTGAAGATAGATATTATCTAGCTTTTCCAAAACTAGATTAATTAACCTCCATTCCCCCCACTAACAACAAATTAAATAGGCTTTTTCAAGCTAGGCCTTTATGCTTGTACCTTCCAGGAAGAGCCAAGAGAAGCATCTATTTTCCTTATAATTGTTCTACAATGCAAACTTGAAGATTTCTCTTCAAATTAATATAACATAGAAGCATAAGATAATCAAGCTGGGGGCATCATTTAGTCCAGGCCATGATTTGCTAAAACACGTATTTTAATTCTGGGGATAGACTCATGCCCTGTTCTGTGTCTAAATCCAGAAGATATATACTTGTTCACACGTTAACTACAACCTACACAATATCTATGTTGCTTTTTTTTTTTTTTTTTTCCCCTCAGCATATCAATAGGAAGCTGGGCAGGGTCAGAAATCCTGCTGTCAGAACTACTGGTTTTGTGAAGATGACTTCAGGATTTCTGAACTTGTAAAACTTCCTATTGGTTGCTTATTGCCCACATAGCTCCAAGCTTCAATGTCACCCTTAGATCCCAGCAGCCAGGGCCCTCCTTGGTGCCATGCTGCTCATAGACATCCTGGGGACAGTGGAGTTAGCCAGGGGGATGTGCCCACCCAGAGTAGTCTCTTCTAAACCATGCTCCAGGGACCCTGGACCTTGAAATTACTGCTCAAACCTGCAGGTTGGCATTCAAGGCCACAGCTCGTCCTTCCCAGAGTGGACTGTGATGCTGTGGGTGTGTGCACGCATAGGTCTAAGCAGTAGCCAGGGGGTGGCTGCTTATGGGGGAGGAGTGACCAGTGGGGAAGAATGGAGCTTAGACCTGTGGGTGGGTTTCCACAAGCATGCACCCCGGCCCTCCAGGGGGGCCAAATGACACGGGACAGGCAGACAGGAAAACTGGGGCTGCCCACACAGTTAGGGAGCCTCTAACTTGCTGCTGCAGCTAACCCTGGCCACAGCCACACCAGAAGATGGATGTGCTGTCTGAGTCTTTGGTCCCTAAAAAGTGACAGAAGACACATTTGCATTCTCACCAATTTTCTCTAATTGTTTTCTTCAGGAACTGAATTACCCACTTGACATTTTATTGGTGATGTTATCAGAAGCAACAAGGAGTAATGCCACTGTTTGTTCTACCCTAGTCCTAGTCTTGGCAACTTGTTTCCTGTTTCAGCATCTCTTTGGCTCCTCCTGTTTAGTTCTTCCTTTTCTGGCAGTGTCTTCCCTACTGTGATCCAGCCATCAGCCATTGCCTCCATAAATGGCTTTTGTTGTCCTTGCCTTGGTCCGGTCCACTAATGACGGAAATTTCAGGTGGAAGGGGAGGGTGTGGTATCATCATGCTGTGTATGTGCGTGTTTGCCAGAGGTGGGGGTAGGGGAGCACAGTGCATATTCTGCAGTGGATACCATAAAACCACGGAATCATGAGGCTGAACATTCTTTCAGAGTTTATGTTGTCAATTAACCTTTCAAATACCCATAAAAATAAAAATGCATTTCCAGTGAAGAGTGCTAACGAGAGCAGATTATTATTTTTTAGACAAAGCTGAAGAGGTAACATGTAAACATCCTAATCAAGAGCTCAAATTCTCATCTAGGGACAGGAGGGATAGGCAGGTAGAAGTTAGGTTTAAATTCAACAAATTCAGGAAAATGTACCAATTTCAGACCAAGAAAGGGCATGCATTTGAATGGTGAAAACAATGCTCTGAACTCTTCTGAGCAGAAGGACTTAATTCTGTCTCTTATCATCAACTACATGCATGGCCTCAAGCACTTTACCTAACTACTTTCACCTTCAGGTTCCTCATTTATAAAATTAGCATAATTTCTTTCTTGGAACCTCATGAGGTGGTTATAAGGGTGAATTGAAACAGAGAGTATGAAAACAGTTTGTTTACTGGAATATGCTGTGTATACACGTTTGAGCCCCAAGTTCTCTACGGAGTTCAGTTTGTGTCTAAGATCCAGACATGGTCAAGGCCAGTAACATGGTGCTGCTTTTGCAGCTTTGCACTACTGCTTTTGCTTTTTCTTCTGATTGTCCACAAGCTGTTGTTCCCTGGATATAAAAGTTTGTTGTCTAAAGCTAGGAGTGGTAGCATGCGCCTTTAGTCCCTGCTACTTGGGAGGCTGAGGTGGAAGGCTTACTTGAGCCCAGGAGTTCGAGGCTACAGAGTGAGTCCTGTTTTTTGTTTGTTTGTTTGTTTGTTTGTTTGTTTGCTTTTAAAGCTTCTCGTCTCATGAAAACAATGTGGAATAATCTTCTTCTAATTCTGTCATGTGGTCCTTTATTTCATTTTTTGTTTGTTTCATTTTGATAATAGAGATAGGCAAAAAGATCACACCTAGTGTTCCTTATGGGCGGGATAAGTTCTCTTTCCCACAAGGAAACCTAATTTTGAGGGGTGTGAATAGTTTAAGGGTTAGGACAACAGCTTGGCCATTGATGAGCTGTGATGAACCTTGGGCATAATATTAATTAGGCTATTAGAATGCTAGGCTCCCTCAGCTATTAAAATAATATTTTGAGTGATATAATTTCTAGAATCCCTCCTAGGTTTAATTTCTAGGATTTGAAATCTCCTATGCATATCTGCTCAGCTTTTCTTTTTCTTTTTGAAATGATGAATAAGCAAAGAAGAACCAACCAGAATCTAAAGAATTAAAATTATAAACTGTTTAATTAAATAATTTATTCATCCAACAACTGTTTTTTGAACAACTTTATGCCATTTCTAGGTGCAGGGGACATGGGAAAACAAGAGAGACAAGGCCTTTGGAGCTCACTGCGTAGCAGGAAAGACAGACAAAATAGGCATATAAGTAATAAGAAACATGTTGAATAGAACATTTTTCATATTAATAAAATGAAAAAATTGGAAAAGAGAATGGAGAATTTTAGGTTCACAAAATTAACCATAAATTTTTTTCTTATCTCCTTCAAATACCAAGATTTCTGGTTAAGTATTATCTTTTAAGTAGATCCAGAGCATTTGGTTTGCTTGCATGGAATGGGAAAGAGAAAATAAGTTGATAGGGGTTTAGGAAATACTGAATCTTTATTCAAAATCATTGACTCTTCCAATAGTTTGGGCAGAAAAACTAGACGAAAAATGAGCGAGTCCTAGTCTTAGATACATCATTGAATATATGAGGTTTGTTTATGTAGAAAACACTGAATACTAGGGTCATCAACTTAGGGGGGGGTCACAATTCAGGCATTCATTTGCATCTTGATCAAATATATTGATAAGACAGAGGTTCCAAATGAGATGGAACTAATTTGGAATCTCACACATCCTATTAGCTCAGCCAAACTAGTCACTCTAGTTAAAATTTTAAAAATGAAACAGAAAAGAATGCTAGTATAATGCTAGTAAATAAACAAAGCAGAAAACCTAAAAGTGGGTAGGATGTTTTGAATTTTATATTGAATGTCAGCACTTGAAACTAACTGGTCAAACCAGAGCCACATATGACATGAAGTTAGAGAGAGAAGGCTTTGTAGACGTTTTGGAGAGCAGCAGTGGTCGAGGGGCTGGGTCCTTATTATGCCATCTTTCACTTCTGGATATGTGGCTTTCTTTTCCCTGGCGCCATGAATTCTATGCTTAGGCTTCTCAGTCATGATTATAGTCATTTTATTTGACTCATAAATGGAACAATGTAAAGAGGAGAAGAAAGGGCATGAACACTTTCTGCAGAAATGCAGAACGAGTTGAAAAAGGGTTGGGAAGAGAAATGGGATGGAAGGAGACAAGAGTATGCGGATACTTAAGAAGGAGGACCTGTCTGAAATTCAACCAGTAGTGAGGCAGAAAGGCAAGAATGGGAAGAAGAGGTTGGGAAAACAAGGGTATTTGTCTTGTAGGCAGAAAGGAAAAACTATTATAGAAGACTACAGCAATGAATTTAAGATGGTGCTTGGCGCTGGTGACACATTGCAACCTATAATTTCTATTTAGGAATCTTTATAGATCAGATATTGGTAATGTTCAAGTATGTCTATTGTTTGAACATTTGCCTTCGATCTACCAGTGTTTCTAACCATACAGCATTTTTTAAAAAAGACAAATTTAATGGTATTCTTTGTCATGCCCCAAATCTACTGTCAGGAGTGGATGATTTGCTGACATTTTAACACCAACTACAATCTATTTTCCCCACTAAGTGGTGAATTAGACACTTTATGCTCATAATATGGATCTAAGAAATTTCCCTGCAGAGGTTAATGTGTTTAAAGGTCAATGGAGTGGGGTGTGTTTTGGAAGAATATAATATAAAGCATTTAAAAAATATAGAATTGACAGATCTTTTATAAAGTTTATTGTCTAAAATGTAATGCTTAGTTTCTGTGAGATTAATATACCCACAAAAGAAATCATTACTGGTACTTTGACAGAATGAATTGTTTCTGAAGCTACCGTAACACCAAATCCATACTGAGCACAATGTTCACAGGGTGGCAGTGAAGGTGTAACTCAGCCTTGTGTGATTATGATGTTTAAGTGGAAAGCAAGATTAAGGGAAAGTGTTTTGCAACAATGTCCTCTCCAAATAACAGAGTATTTACTGATTCACCAAGAAAATGCCAGTGTTCAAAAGGACTTCAGGTGTCACAAGCAATTAGTGTGTCGACGAAGGATCTTCTGCAATTCCCAGAGAAGATAGGAAAATGTTATATAGAATGTGAAATGTAGGGGTCATTTCAAACGTAATGGATACAGACACAGAGCTACAATTTTAAGGTTTACACATCACTCAAAGAAATTGGATTAGAGCCAGAGAAAAAGATGTCTTATATTATAAAAAAAATCTTAAGGGCATTTGGTGCAAGACAGCGTAATATCTACCTTCTTTTGAAATGTAATATACATGCAAGCAAAGGGCTCTGTCATTTTTGAGGTAAAGTGGTACCATTTTGAGCATATTTTATTTCAAGTCTTTATCCCAACAATAGCCTGAACATATTAAAATAGTTTCCAGATAGTATGTAAATGGAGTACCGAAATTCTAGTGTTCAATCCCCTGCTGAATGAATTTATCAGATGTTTCATAGTCTATGCCTAATTCTCAAATAAGAGCAGACTGCCGTTTGTTTTTCTTGTAAAGACTCACATTTAACCAGTTTAGTGTTTTGACTCAGACTTGAACTCATAATTGCGGGCATTGGTTGACTTGGGAGAGTGCTTGACTCTCTGAGGCTGGACTCTGTAGACATCATGAAAGTTATCTCTATGCAGGTGTTGTAGTGCTTTCTATGGTGGCCCCCCAAAGGATATGTTTACATCTGAATTCCTAGAATCTTTGGGTATTACCTTATTTGAAGAAAGGGTATTTGCAGCTCAGTTAAGGATTTTGAGATGAAGAGATGCTCTTGGATTTTCTGGGTGGGCCCTAAGTCCAGTGACAAATGTCTTATAAGAGAAAGGCCTACCAGGAGCAGTGGCTAACACCTGTAATCCCAGCACTTTGTGAGGCCAAGATGGGAGGACTGCTTAAGGCCAGGAGTTTGAGACCAGCCTGGGCAACATAGTGAGACCCCATCTCTACGAGAGAGAGAGAGAGAGAATGACAGAGGAGAAGGCCATTTCAAGACACAGAAGAGACAATAATGCAGCCACAAGGAAAGGAAGCCAAGATATGCCAGTGGCTACCAGAAGCTGGAAGAGGCAAGGAAGGATTCACCTACAGGAGGTCCTGAGGAAGAGGCTGGCCTGGCTGTTACCTTGATTTTGGACTTACAACCTCCAGAACTGTGAGCGACTACATTTCTATTGTTTTAAGCAGCCCAGTTTGTTGACACTTGTGACAGAAGCCATAGGAAACGAATACAAGAGCCTTTAACTCCTGAGGTTCTTTGAGGCCTATTTACCCATCATGTCTCATTCTGTACTTACGGTAGGTGACAGTAACACACTGGGAGGTGACAACAAAGATGGAGAGTGGTTCTCAATTCCAAATGCCAGATTGTTCAGGTACCTTTAGTTTTGAGTTGAGGAAAGATAGGAACCATTTCTATCTGCATGTTTCCCACTCTATCTCTGCCTGCCTCCTTTTTCCTTGCCTGCTATATACAATTTTAGCCTTGGGAAGAGGAGAGCATGGGAAAGGGAAGGCATGAAAAGAAAGGAAGAAATAACAATCAGGAAGTAGTAACAGCTGTGTTGTTAGCTGTGTACAGGGGTCAAGCTAAATAAACAGAAGTGCTCATTAGCTTTGGTGCTTAGGAGCTCACTGGTGGCCTTTGTAGTAGATCACAGGCCTTTTCAAGGATTTAGCATCCACACAAACACTGTTCCACACTCAGATACGTGTGTGTACATACACACACATACCTATGTATATTTAGGTCTATATATATGTACATATATAAAAAATATAATTTTGACTCAAGACTTTGGAATGCCTAGGCTGGCAAGTCTACTATACTTTTGTAGTTAGGGACCTAGTCTAGGTTCTCAGCACATAGAGATATCTGCCAAAAGTTAAAGGAGGAGGGTATACTCCTGTGCTGTGGATATGATTTTAATCCTAACTCCTGTTGTATGCTATAATCTTATACATTTCATCAGGTTTTCTAAGCTCCATCTGCTTCCCAGGCCTTTGGCTGCCACTGAGACCGATCAGTCATCTGTGGGCACATGCAATTTTGTCATCTGAGGCTGTACTCCTGGGGGTCTCCAATTCCTCCGGCCACTTCTAGGCTTGGATGTACAGGACAACTGCAGCACTGGGATGAGCTTCTTCAGCAGCTAGTGAGGAAGTTGGATGACATGACTTGGAATTTGTGGGGCAGCAACTCACTCTGTGGGAACCTGGGAACTGGGAGATGGTAGGAAACCATACAGATAAATTCTCCCTTCTCCCTTTTTGAAGGAACTGCTTTGAGCTGCTTCTCTGAACAGCCTGTCTGGAGATGTCCCGGGTGGCTGAATCACTGCACCTGCTGAGTGACCAGCTGTGTGTCTTTGAGGCTCGTGGTAAGGCAGTGGCCAGTGCAATGACACTGCAAGTGTGGCTTTCCACCCTGCCCTGTCACTCCTCCTTTTTCACTCTCACTGCCTTGGGACTCCACGTTTCAAATAAAGCACCCAGTCCAGCCCCATTTTCAACAGAACACAGGCTGAGACATTTGTTTATCTCCCATGTCCACTTAGGTTGCTGGTTATTTTGGCAATACCAACAGCAAAGCTCAGACTTTTCTAGCCAATAGCCAATCTGTCATCTCCTTTCCAGCTTCATGGGAATTAATAGAGCAAGGACACCACACAATTTGCATGGCCTGAATAATTGGCCAGGATTCATTTTGACTGACATTCTGCCTGTTACGCAAAAGTTAGAAAACTGACTTGAATACAGACATTGTTGTTTATTTTGGAACAAAAACACAAAATCCACAGGCCACCTCCTCAGTAGAGCACCAGGCTCTGACTTAATTTCCTTAGCTGCGTGTGGCTGGAGAGCAGGGCCATACAAATATCAGGAAGAAGATGATTCTCTCAAAGTTCCACCTATCTGCTGGTTCCATCAGCTGGGCCCCATTGGCGTGGATGTAAAGTTATATTTCTATTGAAACATGTCCTTTAGGTTAAGAGTAATAAATAATATCTTACTTAATTGAGAGGTTGTTGGGATTATTACTTAGGCTTTTGGCAAACTTGCAAGAAGAACAGTGAATCCATATACTCTGGAGGAGAGGGAATGAGTTCAATGCCAAGATCTGGAGCAAATCTCTAAGTAGCTGGACAAGAGCTGGGAGAGGAGGAGAGGTTTTTGAATAGGCATTCCTATATAGGACTCCAGATGGAGGGGAGAAAATAAAATCAGCATGTGCCAGCCTCTATTTCTAGAATTTTGGTTATTTGAGGAAGAATATATAGGATGGTAGAAGCAGAAGCTAGGTCAAGGTTCTCATCTTTCTGTATTGCTTTTTCAATATTAGGTAGACTTTTGTTTATTTACAGGCTGAGGGGAAGGAGCCATCTGTTGAGTTACAGTGTAGTCACAGAGGAATGTTTCCCTTGCTCCCCAGATGGCTCTTGGGATCTCATGTGAATTCTGATATTTTATGATCATTTTGTCTGTCTGGACTCAGTTTTTCTTATTGGCAAAATGAGGACAGGGCACTAGGTGATCTCCAAGGTGATTGTGATAAATGGTGGTTTTATGCACATTCATTTTGCTGTGTAAGGCTGAGTTATGGGGCTTCTATTCACTCATTTTCAGGCCCCCCACCATGTCCTCCTTCCCTGATTCCCAGAGCAGAAATGTGTGTGTCACTGACCACCCTTGTTCTGTTGTGAAAGTTGTGATTCTGAATACTTCACATGATGAAAACATTGGGGTAGGATAGTAACAAGGAATAAAAAAAACAATCTTTGATAGATGGGCTGCACAGATTCTGAAGTCCTGTGGTGCTCAAGGAAGATGGCTGAAATGTAGATGAATAGAGCTTAGGTCAACTGTGAACAGGGTCGGGGGTGGTGCGGAGAGAGAGAGAAAGAGAGAGAGGAGCACAGGGGCATGGGGAGGGAGGGAGGGAGGGAGAGAAAGAGAGAAAGAGTCAAAGAGAGAGACAAAGAGGGAGGAAGAAAGACAGAGAGATATATAGAGAGAACTAATGGCTTTACCATAGAAATAAATACCAGGAATCCAAGGTTTTGTTTTCAGCTGGGCAAAGCTACACTCACTCTCAGACCTACCAGCCCTCTCTAAAATTCAAACTGTCACACCTCACTTTTGTCTCTTTGCCACTCTGTGGGAAAGGTCTGCATAGTCAAGATCTTTGCATCTCCTTCCTGCTTATTCTAGTTCACTGTTGCAACGTATATTTGCTGAGTGCCTCTGCTATGCCAAGCACTGTGCCCCAAGTTGGTGCATAGCAGTGCACAAGACTGTGGGGTCCCTGTACTTGTGGGCCTTCCAGTTTTGGATCAGGCTTTCTATTCAGGACCTGATCACACATTCTGTGAAATGTTCAATACCTTTTTCTAATTTTTCGTAGATAATTTAGAAAAAACTGCAGATTTTATTCATTTGTCATAAGAACATTTGTTGAACACCTGCTACATACCAAAGAACTTTCTAGGTATTGGGGTTAGTGTCAAACAAGACAGACACTGTTACTGCCTCCTTGGAGTTTATGTTGTAGTGTGGAAAACAGAGATTGAACAAATAAGTACATGTGGTAAGTGTCGTAAAGAACTACAGACTGTTGAGGAGCATACGTGGGGGTATTTATTTTTATTTTAATAGAGATGGGGTCTCACTATGTTACTCAGGCTGGTCTGTAGCTCCTGGGCTCCCAGAGTGCTGGGATTACAGATGTGAGCCACTGTGCCTGGCCTCATGGGAGTATTTGATTGTGGGAGTCAGAGAACAATTTCTGAAGATGCCCTGTTCCAGGAGATGAGAGCTCATTCTCAATTACCTGAGTTTGGTAAATTTAATGCAGAGTAAAATCTTCATTTCTCTGACTCCCTGTTCTTCCCTAGTAGGAAAGGAGGGTTTCTCCCTCAGCAATCAGTTGCTGCTTGCTAGGGAGCTATATTCTCATTTAAATGTTAATATAAGCAAAGCACTAGTAGGAAAGTAACTTTGATGTAAATAAATAAATAAATACCCACATGAATAAATTAATGGTTCCAAAGCCCAACACTAATTATTTAAAAATTATTGGCTGTGTTCGATGATCTGTGCCACTCTTTATGAATATGAATGGTTCAGAACTGATTGTAAAAATGCTATTTCTAGCAGCCAACTGATCTCCTCCATAGATCAATTTAAGTTTTCTTATTTGTGTTTGATTTTAAAAAGAGAGTTAATGTTTTCCCTTGCTGTGTATCAAACCATATCCTATGGTGTTCCATGAAAGCATGTCTTAATTCTAGTTTGAGATGCTAATGACTCGCTTTCTGAGAATGTTAACTAGCTGATGCTGCGATGACTAGGGACACAGTGGCGATAGTCTCTCAAATGGGAGAAAAACATCTATGATTTGGGTAAGTGGGGGTGGCACAGCTGCTAGTTTGATTACGATCTGATGATGCTTTTGGGTAGCATTACTTTTCAGGAAGCAGGTAGAACAGGCATTGACATTCCCTAATATAACTGTGGACACTAGAGACAGGCCAATGCCTTGGAAGGCCAATTTTCAGGAATTGAGTTGAGCATCAGGAAAGCAAACCACTTGGGTTACATGCATTTTATGTCAAAGATTCAAAACCATGTGTATCCCAACTCAATAACGAGAGTCAAAATGTAGTCAGAACAAAGATGACCTCAATGAGCTACGAACTTCTTGGGAGATGTTTCTATAACCTAGACAACTACATTGTAAATTTCAAAGCTAATTTCTATCTCTTCCAGGTCTAAACTACAAATGTTCTGGAACCACATCCAAAGAGCCTCTGAAGTGTGGTTCAATCTGTATGCTACCTCTCAGGGCCATTTTAGAATAGAATTGGCTGGGGACTGAACAGCACTGCATCAGAAGGAGAAATAAACCTGGATCTAAAGTCAAAGTCTAAGATTGTCCTGATCTTCCAGAGGTTCTCTGATTTGAGAATAATTTTAACCTTTCCTGTGACTCTGATAAAAGCTGTGGATTCTTTTCTGGGGAATGGAGCATGTGCATATATACATAAAACTTTGCTTGTTGCTTTTTAAGGGACCATGGACTTCAGGTTAAAAAGCCTTGGCCTAGAAGTAAAATGGGGCCTGGTCACTCTTATTTGGACTGGAATATTCTCCCATCAAATCTTCTTTGATATTGGCCTAAGGAGTCTTCAGTCATTCATGGGGAGTTCATGTTTCATTGTATTTGCTTTGATATTTATGATTTCTGGTGTTATTTTTAGGTAAGAGAAGTTTCTATAGTGCCATTCAGTTTCAGATGCAGTGTCAAATAAATTCATAATATATCAAGTCTGGTGTTGTAATAATAATAATAATGCTGACCTTGATTTAATGTCAACTTTTTTCCTCTCAAAATGTAGAACTGGATCCTGGGCTTCTTGCAGACTGAAGCCTCAAGTTTATGACTGGGCAAGGATTTTGATTGGCTTCTTTGCTCTTTTCTATGTGTGTTGTTTATCCTCCCTGATCTTGCCAGCTGTGATTTCTAAGCCCTTGAGGGTTGGAACAAAGTCAAGAAGAAGCGGAGGAAGGGGCAAAAAGAGCCCATTGACAAGTACTGTTGTGAGCTGGCTTCAGTTTGATGATACTATCACTTCTCTACTTTCTTATGGGACATAGTAGATGTCACAGGACTGAATTGAGGGAATTTTTTTTGACAAGAGCTGCTGCTAAAGGTTGAGTGAGTTATTACACACTGTAGCTGAGAATTAATGAGCTCTGTGAAAGAAGGAAATTCATACCCATGCCTCTGACTTACTTTGGTCCTGCTATGGTGTGAATGTTTGTGTCCGCCCTAAATTCATATGTTGAAACTTGACCCTCAAGGTGATGGTATTAGAAGCTGAAGCCTTTGGGAGGTGATTAGGCTATGAGGGCTCCACCCTAATGAATGGGATGAGTACTCTTTTAAAAGAGGCATGAGGGAGCTTTTTGCTCCTTCTATCATGTGAGAAGACAACAAGAAGATGTCATTTGTGAAGAATGTGCCCTCACTGGACACTGAATCTCCTGGTACCTTGATCTTGGATTTCCCAGCCTACAGAACCATGAGCAGTAAATTTCTGTTGTTTATAAATTCCCCAGTCTAAGCATTTTCAGATCTGACTTTTTTCAGCATCAGCTTTGCAGTCTCCAATCAATTTTAGCCTGACATTCTCTTACATGTATAATGGATATGTATGTACAGGTATGTGTTCGTGCGTATGTGTGGAAAACATATTGTGCTTGACAGAAGAGCACATAACAAGGGCTTAATATGTGGTTAAATTAAAATAGTCATAGCCTATTTCCTGCTGTTAGGTCTCAGCTGTTGGATTTGCCGTGTGATTTGGAAACAAAAGCCACTCAATGTTGTGTCAAAGGCACAGGTCATCATTTAAAAAGTGAGGAGGGTATGCATCACCAAGAGTGGGACAACCTCTTGATGTGAAAGATCTCTGCTTCTTAACACTGCATTCTTAGGAGTTATTTGCTGAAGTAGTGAGGGGTGAAGTGGCCTGATATCTGCGCCTAACTTTCAAGTGGTTTCCCAAAATAATACACACATACATGCAGAATAAAGCAAATGTGTCAAAATGTTAACAACAGGCAAATCTAGCTGAAGGGCATATTGTACTATTCTTTCAATTTTTCTGTACATTTGAAAATTTTTGAAATAAGTAGTTGGGTGAAAATTAAAGTCAATGTTAAAAAATATGTGGGTAGACTGGGTACGGAGTAGGTACTTATTAGTGTATACACAAATTCTATGTGGAAATGGTGGTATGGAGAGCTTAGGCACTTGTTTCAAGGTCACCCAATTAGTCTTTAATGGACTTTTTACTTAAAATGAACAATTAATAAGAAACCCAGGTCCTTCTGACAATCAGTAGTCACTTACCGAAGCATCAAGGCAAGGTGCACACTGCTGTCTTCCCTTTCCCCTTTCAGTCCCCACTCTTGGTCTTTCTTTAGCATCTTTTAAGTAAAGCCAGAAATGTTTATCTTAACCTGATTTCATCCACATAAAGATGGACTCAGGATGTGGAAAATCTTCTGTGCCTTCTTTGAGACTCACACCAAAAGGGGATTGCCTAGTGGTAAGGGATTCAGTGACTGCTACTTCCCTTCACCGGGGGCGGGGCTGCATCAGTGGCACATGGAACTTCACAGCCCCTGGCTACCCTCTGCTACTTTTGAGAGTTGAGCAAGCTCAGGGAGTCTTCCCTCATGCAAGTTTTTTCATTTCTAGATGGATAGGGAAGAAAGCATAATGAGTAGGAAGACTGTAAGCTTTGGGGACAAAGGAAATTGTGTCCAAGCCTACCTTTTTCATTTACCAGCTGTGGAAGCTTTGTGAGACAGTTATTGTTTCAGTGGTTAGTTTTCTAATTGGAAAAAGGATAATAGTAATAGCCACTTTGCGGTGTATTGGATAATCAGGGATAATGTTTATAAGGCATATGGCATGAATGGTAGCTAATAAGGTTATTTTGAAAATACCCCGAAGTCTCTTTAGCACAGGAGTCTATCAGGACAGCACATCCTCATCCATTCTCAGTCTCTATCAAATATTCAACATGGCTTCCAACACATTTACTGCTTTGAGAATAAAAAAAAAAATTGAAGCCGAGGTTATTTTTCTTTTCCACATGTGGTTTCTCATAGTTCTACATGTGTGGCTTCGTTTTTGGATCCCACTCAGTCATTATGCAACATCCTGATGTTCCAAAGATGCTGTGTTGGAGAGAGAGGTACACTTAAAACAGACACCAGTATCAGAGTCAGACCCTTGGTGCTGGCAAGAGATGAACTTGACCAGATGTTCCCCAGCCTCCCACAGGCTGTGACTCACAGGTGGCCCCTGGAGCCGTGTGTAGCAGCTCAGAGGATAGCCTGTTCTCCCAGCTGAGTTCTCCATCATGGTTAGGTCAGAGCCCTGGTGTGTTCCCAAATTTATGAGCTCCTGGCAAGAGCGAGTGCAGATGGAGAAAATTTGAACTTTAGCTTTTGTGAGAGGATCAGGAATTACCTTTAGGAATTGTCACTGACATGACTTACTAGGGAGTTCTATCATCTGAACCCTTTCTCCCATGAGTCTCTCCTTGGCTACTGACTTCTTCCCTTTTGTCTTTTCTTATTTCCCCTGACAATCACTAACTATGCCTATGGATCAAACCCTAATTCTTGACATCCTCTGCTCTTGATATTAGTTAGAAGTTTCTTCTTTTGTTTACCATTCTGAACAGATCTGAAATTCCACATGGTCATGCACATTCCCTATTGATGACAGAACTGAGAATATGGGATTGCATCACTCAGAGAGCTTATAAATTGAAGTTGTCTTAGCTTTTTCTTCCTCAGTGGTCTTCACCATGGTCTTGTACCAAGTGAATGGCATTTCTTGGCTGTGCCTTTTGATGCTGATGAAATGTCTTGGTATTGAACAATGTGTCTTGCCATGCATTTCTTAACTCTTGGTCAAAAAAAAAGAAATGAAAACAAAGTGTTTACAGGAACAGAAAACCAAACACTGCATGTTCTCACTCATAAATGGGAGTTGAACAATGAGAACACATGGACACATGGAGGGGAACATCACACACTGGGGCCTGTCGGGAGGGTGGGGGGCTAGGGGAGGGAGAGCATTAGGAGAAATACCTAATGTAGATGATGGGTTGATGGGTACAGCAAACCATCATGGCACGTGTATCCCAGAACTTAAAGTATAATAAAAAGTGTTTAATGTGAGTTGCTTGTCTTTAAATAGAAAATAAATCAAATATCCTAGTCTATGGACCACAAAAGGTTCAGATTAAGTAGAAAATTTTCCACAGAATTCTCTAGAAATGGTCCTTTTCCACTGCTAGCCTTTTTGGTGTATGACTCCTCAGCCTCTGTTCTAGCCAACAGCTGCTGACAATTTAGCAATGAATCTCCCCTTTAATTAATCAATTGGAGTCCACATGGAGGAGGTCTGTATTTACTGTGTCAAAATTTTGACAAAAGCATGCATGCAGGGGAATCAGGCATGCACAGAAAATCCAATTTCTTTCCAATAACATTCAAATAGTAATCAGAAAGCTGCCTACAAGAAACATGCAACTGCCTTTGCATAGACAATGCATGTGTCATTTTTTTTTTTTGAAAAAGAGAGGCAGCTTTGGTTATTAGAATAAACATAACAGTACAATAAAATCAAGATCAGAAGAATATGTTTATGAAAGAAAAACAAAGTTCATTAATCCAAGAATTGGAATAACCAAGAGTTTTTAGAGAATGAGAATCAGAGAGGAGAGGGAGGTTCCCATTCTTCCCCAACATAAACAGAAACATAAGCTGAGGTTATATCTCGCTCCAGAAGTGCTGTTAACGGGACGGTTTTGCTGACAGAGAGTGAGGACAGTTAGGGAGGATGAAGGGTAGGAGGCCCACTTCCTGACATATTCTAAGGCATGTGGAATGTGGGAGAGTGGACACATGAGTCTGAAAAGGTCACAGGGGATGGGGGGTCCTCCTGTAAAAGCCAGATCTCAGTGAAGATGGGCAGCAAAAGATGGGTCCCATGAGGAAGTTCAAGATACAGGAGTGTTTGTTTAGATGGAAAGGGCTCTACATCACGGAATGCATTTTATTATATGCCACATGTTTTGCCTGTGTATATACACATATATTCACCTGTACGTTATCCTAAGTACTTTTTCAATTTCATGTGGTTTTTTTTTGTTAAAAAAATGAAGTTTCCATGACCTCAAAACATTTGTAAAGCCTAGCAAATCTCTTTTACCAAGATGATTTTTTTGACTGTAAAATAGCTGAATTAAAACAAACTGGCCAGGTGTGGTGCCTCATGCCTGTAATCCTAACACTTCAGGAGGCTGAGGTGAGAGTATCACTTGAGTCTAGGCGTATGAGACTACAGTGAGCTACAATTGCACCACTGCACTCCAGCCTGGGTGACAGAGGAAGACCCTGTCTCTATTAAAAAACAAAGAAGAAAGGAAAAAAGATAGCTGAATATGGCACAAAAACTCTGGATGAATGATATATACAGATGAATGGTATGTAATCCATATATTCATATGTGTAATATATATAAAAATATACTATATTTTTATATATAGTATATATAATATACTAATATATATTTTTATATAGTATGTGTAATATATAGTAAAAAATACTATATATTACACATGAATATATGGATTACATATCATTCATCTGTATATACTATATATATAAATATATGCTACATATAATATATAAAAATATATATACTATATATTAGACATATACATATATGGATTGGATAGATATGAATGTAAATACTGGACAAAACATCAAAGAAGGGAGTCAGGAAGTACATGGAGTTGTGTAACACCTATTTACAGTGCCAGGCTTTGATAATGACATGGTTTCTACTTTTTTCTAATCTTTAATCACCAATGTAAAACAGTGCTAGTATCAGGGCCCCTCTGGGACATCTTCCTTTCACAGGGAGTCAGGAGTTATATTCTTGCCAAGATGTTTTGGGTACAGCCTCAGTGGGTGGGTGGGTGGGCTTTTGTCTTTTTCTTCTGCTTCATACTTTGTTTCCCTGCGTTAGAAATGCCACTGCTGACAGTGTTCTTTCTCGGCAGTTTCCATGCCACAGAATGTGCTGAAGTCGTCTGGCAGCTTCCATGATGAGGGTAATCAGGCTGGCAGGCACCAGCCCTTGTGCACCTGCACTTGGCTCCCACGCAGCACAGTGGATGGATGGAGGGAGGGCTCCACCACAGCGCTTCACCCTGGCCCTCCCTCTCTCCCTCCCTGCTGGCTCAGGGCTGCTTTTTTCCTGCAGAGAAGTGTGCAGTGAGGGACTTGGGCAGACAGCATGAGAGGCAGAGTCTTTGCTTACCTGGAGGTTGCCTTCTAATGTACTGGGCTCCTGGGAGTGCATGAAGGCTTCTTAGATGAAGAGTAATGGGGATGTCTTACACAGCAAGATGAGAAAACACAGACCACTTGGCTCTCTAGCGAGGACCAGAATTTGAGTCAAAATTATATGGTAAGAAGCAACTTTTGTGTGTGGTACTAACATCTATTTCTCATGAAATGTTCTCAGAAGCATCACCAAACGTTTATTCCAAAAAGGGAACTAAGCTGTGGCTTGAAACACAAAGGCAGTTCGTTAAATGTAACAAGTAGTTATTGAGTGGATTGAGTGCTGTCTGGTCCTGGACACTGCTAGGGGCAAGGGAATCCTAAAGGAAAGACTAGTTAGTGCCTTTTCTGAGGAACTATCCATGGACAATGTTTAAGAAACAAGTGCTTCATTTCTATTGTTACAAAAATACATGCAATAAGAATTAAGAGGAGGATTTGTTAGCTGAGGGCTGGGACTTGGGAAAGGTTCCCTGTATGGCATGGATTGGATGCTGGATCTGGAAGGAAAGGCAGGATTTACACAAGTGGAAAATGGAAAGATCATGGAACAATGCATTGATTTTAAATTCTTCTAGCCCATGTCAGTTTTTGACGCAATTAGGAATCAGTGTTAAGTTCTGTTTTCTAAGTGTTAAGTTACAGGGTGTTTTTCACCAAAATATGATGGGAGGGGGTGAGCACTAGGAACTGCTTGGGGAGATGTTATTAGAGAATACATTTTCATCCATGTAAAGCTCATATGGTAGGAACAAACATGGAGTGTGTGTGTGTGAAAGAGAAAGAGAGAGAAGAAAAAGAAGGAAAGGAGGAAGAGGAGGAAGATGAAGCAGTAGCAGAAAGAGGAGGAAAAGGAGAAAGGAGAGGAGAGAGAAGGGGAGAAAGGAAGAGAGAGAAGGAGACATACACAGAGAAAAACAGATACAGAGACACAAAGAGAGACAGAGACAGAGAGAGGAAGGAGGTGGAGAAGTGGGGAAAAGGCATAATTACTCCAAAAAGGAGGAATTAAGTCTTGAGATTTTAAGAGTTGAGACATTGTTATTCTCAGAAGGCTTAAGACAGTGTCACACCAGTGTTTGACAAGTGTAATCCCACTGGTTAAGAGCTGGAAAGAAGCCCAGAGAAAGGGTGCTTGTGCTGGGCTGTAGCTAGGAGAAAGGAAAAGAAACAAGAATAAGGAAATCTGCCTCAGTATGAATGGCATCATGTGCCCTCCCTCTTTGATTCCAGGACTATTTTTTAACGACCTATATATTGCTTTGTATTATTCAGAATTTCATAAAAGTTAATTTAGTCATTTTTATTGCATTGTTTCAATAAATGGTACTTTATTTAAACACTGCAGAATAAGCTATCTGGTATAGGAAAACTTGTGTTCTGTTAAGAAAACTTAAATTTCCAGGCCTCTGTTAGGGTGATGAGTACCTGTAATCATCTGTGGCAGGTGAGAAGGCATCTCCCAGTTCCTGGCTGCCATGTTTGACTTCTCCCCTTCCATTGCCCTGTGTCTCATGAGCTGCCCCATGAGCTGCCCCATTTTCTTTCTGTAGTATCTCACATCTTGCCACTCTTCTCCATGTCTATGGCAGCTATCCATGCTAGAATAACCCCTTGATATGATTTGGCTGTGTCCCCACTCAAATCTCAAATTGTAGCCCTCCTGATTCTCACATGTCTTGGGAGGGACCTGGTGGGAGTTAATTGAATCATGGGGGTGGGTCTTTCTTATGCTATTCTCGTGATAGTGAATAAATCTCATGAGATCTGATGTTTTTATCAAGGAGAGTTCCCCTGCACACGCTCTCTTGCCTGCCACCATGTAAGACATGACTTTGCTCCTCCTTTGCCTTCTGCCATGATTGTAAGGCCTCCCCAGCCATGTGGAACTGTGAGTCCATTAAAACTCATTTTCTTTATAAGTTACCCAGTCTCAGGAATGTCTTTATTAGTAGTGCAGGAATGGACTAATACACCCCTGCCTTTCAGCATAGCCTCAATTATTGCAAACACCACCATTTGGGCATCGAGGAAGGAGCTGGGATTACAACTGTGCCTGGGATACAGACCCTGCTTTTCAGTTGCTCACAGTCCAGTTAAGGAGCAGGACAAGCAAGCTGAAAATGGAAATACGATTTTAGAGCAAAGAAGTCAGGATGTTTTTAGGATGTCAGAGGGCTACCCACCCCAGGGAGAGGGGCAGGGGTGATTTTCTGAAGAAGGAAGTAATGCCAAAGCTAGTCAGAGAAAGCAGACTGGGAAGGGAGTGACCCACACAATGGTTTGCAGGCATGAGCGAGCATGGCAAATTTAGGGAACTGCAAGGCATCCTGAGTAACAATAAGACAGTAGCTAAGCAAGTGGACAGGATCAAGCTGTGATAGGTCTGTGTTTCATCCACTTGTCATTTAGTCATTCCTACGATGAAGGCTTTGAGTATTCACCATGCACAAAGCAAGGGATTAAGCAATGTATGTTTAAGAAAACTGAAAAATATGTCAAAAATGTATTAATGAAAGAGATCACAGGTGAGGTATAGTAAGAAGCTGGATGCAGAGAGGAGAAAAGGGTTGATACCTGACTAATATCCTAACCAGGGTTGTCCTTGTGCCTCTGTTCTCTCCAGTTCCTGCTGCAGAGCACAGCTGCAGTGACACTGGGCAACTAAATATCAAGTTAACTTGGCTCTAAAAATATAAATGTAGGAAGGATGATGGGGTATTCAGCAGTAAGGAAATGAGTCAGGGACTAAGTAGAAGCAAGCTAGATGGTTGAGCAATTTTCTTAAACGATATATGAAAGGAGAATCTTGAAAAGGAATGGGTTTTGACTTTATATTCAGAACTTATAAAAATGCGGGGCAACATGCGCTCAGCAGAGCATTAGTGCATTAGGAGCCATAATCTAGTTGAGTTTCTACAAAGTAACTCCAACCAAGAAATGAAAAATGAGGGTATTCGATTTCTGCAGAATCAATTGTTTGAAAAAAAAATGTAGTGAATAATGGATGCAACAGAATGGAATAATTGCATAATACAATGGGAAGGAATTAGGAGCAAAACAGGGAAATGTAAGTGCTCAAAGATAATCTGATCCATGGCAAAGGGTTATAAACTACTATTTAGCAATAAAGATACTTTGGAGCCAGGGAAAAGAATATGAGAAATAAAAAGTGATTTAAAATAAAAAACCCAGAAACGTGAAATATTAAACACTTGCACCATGCAATATTGAAAAGACAGAGCAAAATTAAAATAATATATAAACGTTGACAGTTCCTACTTGTTTCTAAAACCATGTTTCCTGGCTGAATGCAATTATAATCCCAGCATTTTGGGAGGCTGAAACAGGATGGTCGCTTGAGCCCAGGAGTTCGAGACCAGCCTGGGCAAGATGGCAAGACCCCGTCTCTACAAAACAAAAACAAACAAAACCATGATTCCTCAGGCTGACTCCCAAACTCCTGCCTGCCATTTCCTGGTGGTCTTTGCTCACCTCCTTTTGGGGAGACACTGGGAACCACTAGCCTCTTGTGTGCCTCTATCTTCAGGCAATTCAGAGTTCTCTTTCTGCATTCACTGCTCCAGCCATTCAGCTGGATGAGTTCCCGTTAAATTTCAGCTCTTGCACCAGGTTCTTGGAACTCTGGGATAACAGTGCCTGCTCTTAAGATAGTATGGCCAAGGTTCTAGAGACAGAATGATGAATAAAGCAAATGAAGGGAAAATATACTCTAAAAAGAGATGTGGTCATCTTCTTCTGGAACGTGTATTCTAGGGCCAATAAAATCTCTTACCACTTTGACCTTTTCCCTTGGATGATTTTTGTGCCTACCTCAGAGATCCTCTAAGAGTGGTTTGTGGACTGGCAGTGTCAGTGCCACTTGGGAACTTACTAGAAATACAGATTTTCAAGCCCTACCCCAGACCTACTGAAACAGAAACTGGTTCTGGGTGAGGCCTAAAACCTGTGTTTAGAGGAGTTCTTCAGCTGATGCTGATGCACACTGAGGTTGAGAAGAACCACTGCTCTGTATTTTGGTCCAGCTTATCCTCAGGATTCATTCCTCAAGGAAGCCCAGGCAAGAACTAGGTGCTTCCATACACAATCTCTTTCTTAATCCTGGAAACAGCCTTATGAAATAGTTCTTTTTACTTGCCATTTCTACAGAAGACAAAACTGAAGCTCAATTAGATAAAAAGTATGTGCCCAAGGTTACGGTGTTACCAAGTGTAAACGCTGCAATTTAAATCTAGGTCTGGTCTCATTCCAAAGCCCAGGTTCTTCTCTACATGTTGTCGTTTTCTCGGAACATCACAACCTTTACTAATCCAACTTTTCATACTTCCA
The DNA here is from genome assembly GCF_000001405.40 of Homo sapiens. Lineage (NCBI taxonomy): Eukaryota > Metazoa > Chordata > Mammalia > Primates > Hominidae > Homo > Homo sapiens. The sequence continues at coordinate 93,416,540 of NC_000008.11, read as the reverse complement.
ATCAACAGTTCTTCCTTTGAAGTCTGCTGTATCCTATCTAAAATATGTATCAGTATTTGTTCCTCCCTCACTGTCTCCTGCTGAGAGAGAGAGGGAGAGAGAGACAGAGGCTCCTTTGCAAGGCTAACCCTTCCAATATGTTGCCCTTGGCCACAACTCTGGGACTTTACTCTCTTCCTCTTCCATCTCTCTGCCATTTTCTATCTATTCCTGTCATTTATTTTCTTTTCATTAGCCCTTTGTACCCTGTTTATGTCTTTCAAAAATTACCTAGTTGTCTCTTCCTTTCTTTCAGTTTTTATCACCAGATGCCCCTGTCTTTCCTTCTTGTTTTGTATTCTCTCACTGAGTAGTCACCTCTTCCCAGGATCTCTTTGGATGAATTCCAAGACCTATGTCTCCAGTCCTGGCCTCTTTCCTAAGCCTCAGACCCATGGCTCAAGCTTCTTCCTGGATCTGTTATTCAACCTCAGCTTAACAAGCCTGAAACAGAGTTGGTTGTCTTTTTCTCAAATCTGTTTCCTATCTGGCTAATGATGCCATTCTCCATCCAGTCTAGCTGGAGAAGAAATTTGGCCTCTTCTGTATTCTTCCCTCTCTTTTGCACTCTATATCTGATCAATCTTTGTGACCTGATAATTCTTTCTTAAGATATTTCTCAGAGCTGATCCTTAGTTATATTCTCTAGCTCCGCGAGATATGGGAAGGATCTCACTCTCCTTATATCTCTGTACCTAACTCATTGCCTTGCCTATTATAGGTGCTTAAAAATATTTACTGAATATGTAGATAAATTATGGGGAATAAAATTGTAACAATTGTTATTCTCATAGGAAGAGGAGAGAAAAAGCAGATACTCTAAAGGTAAGTTAAAATAATTTATTGACAGTCAAGGTGAGTGTTAAAATGCTAGCTGAATTATTAGCCCCAGAGGAGCAAGAGAATGGGGACTTGAAAGACTTATCAAATAATGAATCAAAGGACGGTTCTTATAGCATCCTGTTAAGAGACAGAGATATTTCAGCATCTCAAGAATCAAGTACTACAATCTTTTATGAGACTAGAAAATCATTGTAGGTCTCATAAATTTCCCTCTTCTCATTGTTCCAAAGGCTTAATTTAGGATGAGTCACTCCATAAATCTAGGCAAAGATGACTAATGATTATAATAATAATATCATAAATTATATATTGCTTTTCCTGCAAAGGAAAACTGTATCTAATTTATTCTCTCAATATTCCTCATTGGTTGCTAGGGCCAGGGATCATTATCTCTATTTTTCAGATATCTGGGCATGGAAATGTGCTACCAATTTATCCTCATTGCCATAGGATGCCCTATGGCTGCATCCTCACGTTTAGTGAAGCTTACTTCAGAGTAGATTCCCACATCCTCTTCACCTCATTTAGTCTCCAAGCCTTGGCTTGGTTTTCTTTCCTTCTGTTTGCCATACCACATTCCCAACATTATCTGAGAAAATTTTATAACTTAGTCATTTTCTAACTCATTCTAGAATTCAAGGAACCTAACTGGAGGGGGAATAGAAAAGGTGAAAAAAAAAACATAAGAAATATACTGAGGTCAGTTTCTTGCTAATAATTGTAATACTAGTTAAATGCTCTCCTTTAACAGATACTTAAAGGTACTGTAAAACTATGGACATCCTTTGTGGTATATTCGTTTCCAATAATCCAGTGTATTGTCTTCTATTTGTTAATTACAATAAAACAAGAAATATACATGTTTGATATAGCCTCAATCATTGTTTACCAAATTACGTTAGATGGTTATTAAGCACACAGTTGTTTACTAAATGGCTTGGTTAATGTCACATGGTCAATAATACTATGATCATAGTGTTTGAGTCATAAAACATGAATCCATATCTTTTAATACTAAGTTTATCATTTGGTTCATACAACCATTATTGTGTAAAACCTTAAGCAGAACTTCACAATATTTTTTCCCAGTAAAATGCTACTGGTGGGTTAATCTATGAACAATGATTTTTTAATTATATAAAAGCAAAACATAATACCTTGGATTTAATAAATTCTTATGAATTCAAATTGCATTGTGTATGTTATTTAAAATTACTTCATAGGATGTTAACGTAAAGAACACTCATATTCTTGCCTTCCCCTTCATAGAGTTGCTAATACTCTTCATTCATCTATTTATTTATTCCACAAATATTTGTTGATTGCCAACTGTATGCTAGGAGTTCTGCTGGGTGCTAGTTATACAGTAATGAACAAATCAAACATAGCCCTTGTCCTCCAAGAGCTTAGCATATAAAAAGAGACAGGGACGGGGAGCAAAGAGACACATAAAGGGATGCATATCTGGAGATCATGACAAGTGTCATGAAGTGAAAGAATGGGGAGGAATGAAATTTACAATGAGGACTCCAAGAAGCCCTCTTTGAGAAGGAGACATTTTTTTGTGAGGTTGAAGGGTCAGAGTAGGCATGCAGATGAATCAATGCGTGTGAATGACCACAATGCAGCTGAGAACCTGGAAAGCAGAGTGTGGCCTGATGGCAAGGAGGGGAGAGGAGGCAGGGAGAGCCCTTGCCAGATGGCATCTCATCTATTATCCATGTGAAGATTTTGAGATGTTATATTAAGTGCAACAGGAAATTATCAAAAGGTTTTAAGCAGGTGATATCGTTTGGCTGTGTCCCCACCCAAATCTCATCTTGAATATTAGCTCCCATAATCCCCACGTGTTGTGGGAGGGACCCAGTGGGAGAAAATTGAATCATGGGGGCAGTTTACCCCATACTGTTCTCGTGGTAGTGAATCAGTCTCATCAGATCTGATGGTTTTATAAGAGGTTTTCCCTTTCCTTTGGCTCTCATTCTCTCTTGTCTGTCACCATGTAAGATGTGCCTTTCACCTTCTGCCATGATTGTGAGGCCCCGCCCAGCCACATGGAACTGTGAGTCTATTAAATGTCTTTTCATTGTAAATTACCCAGTCTTGGGTATGTCTTTATCAGCAGCATGAAAACGGACTAATACAGCAGGGAAATAAAGAGAATGAAATTTTTGTTATAAAAGGACCACTCTGGCTACTCTGTGGGTGTAAAGGTTGGAGAGGTGTCAGAGTGTGTGTTAGGAAGCTCTTGAGTTAGTCCAGGTGAGTAAATACCAAGGTGATTACCATAAAGGTAGACTGATTTAAACTATAATTTAGAGTCAGATCACCAGAACTTTGTGATGAATTGGATGGAGTCAGAGTGGGGGATATGGGAAAACAAGATTCCCTACGTCATTGAGTCTCTGACTGTTAGAGCCAGAAGGAGGCTTAGATAATAACTGATCCAACTCCCACATTTCAGAGAAATTGGAATTGAGTTTCTGAGACATATATTTTCTCACACAAATATTTTACTAGAGATAAAATGGGTGTTGCTCAGAGCCAAAAGGTTGAACCAATAGAATTAAATGCTGTCTACTTATATGTAATTCTTACCTCTAAGAAAAATACCTGGGTAATTTAATATCATCAGACACTTGCCATTTATTTTATAAATATTTGCAATGTATTAGAGGACATACAGGAAAAAGTTTCTAGTTCTTCTTCCTGTATGTTTAAGTGACTCATCATTTGGGAGAGCCACCTCCTCATCTGGTTGGTTTCACAGTCCAATGCTACTATAAAGTGATTCCTTGATGTTTAGCTCAAGTTTATGCTTGTCCAATGTCCGATGTTATATTTTATTTGGAAAAATAATAGAAACCAGTATTTCCTAACTTTTCCCCTAAAAGGAAGATAGGGAGCTTTATTCTTTTCATGAAGGGTGTTCATGCATACCATTTTTTTTTTTTTTTTTTTTTTTACTGATGCAAAAAGAATTGGCTGCTGGCAAATGAATCACAGTCCTTAGTCCTGTTTTGATCTATGTGGCATATTCCTTAAAAGTTTGATTATTAGTTAAAATAAATTATAATTTATCACCATTCTCTTGGAAGAATGAAGCTTATATTCAGTGATAATCATAATTATGTTTTAATAATGATAGCTAAACAAAAAGAGACATTTCCTATATGCTGGGCACTGTACCACAACTGTTAACATGCACTGTTTGCCTAGAGTCAGACAGCTAATAGTGACAGAGTTGAAATTCAAGCCCAAATCTATCTGATTACACAGTGCATGTTCAAAGCCATTCTCCTGTACATTCATTCATTCAATAAATATCAAGCAGTTGGGCGCCAGGACTGTCCCAGGAGCTGGGTACACAGCAGTGAACAAAATGGAAAAAAATTCCTACCTTCCTAACCTTATATTCTATTTTGAGGTGGGAAAGGGCAAGATAATAAAACATAATCAATAAAGTATATAGTGTGCTATAAAGTGGTAAGTGCTGTGGAGACAAGGATATTTGAGTAAAAGGGAATGTTGCAATGTTAAATAGAGGAGATAGGGAGAGCATCACTGACAAGGTAACATTTGAGCCAAGATTTCAAGGAGATGAGCAATTGAGGTCTGTGGGGAAGACCACTCCAGGCAGAGGGAATAGCAGTGGAAGGCTCTCCCTGAGGAGTTGCCAGTTGCCAGGCATATTTGAGGACAGGCAGGGAGGCCTGTGTGGCAGGGGTGTAGGGAGGGAAAGGGGTCTAACAGAAGGCCAGGTCATCCTGTAGTGTCTTTTTTTGTTTGTTTGTTTTTGTTTTTGTTTTTGTTTTTGTTTTTGTTTTTTTTTAATTATACTTTAAGTTTTAGGGTACATGTGCACATTGTGCAGGTTAGTTACATATGTATACATGTGCCATGCTGGTGCGCTGCACCCACTAACGTGTCATCTAGCATTAGGTATATCTCCCAATGCTATCCCTCCCCCCTCCCCCGACCCCACCACAGTCCCCAGAGTGTGATATTCCCCTTCCTGTGTCCATGTGATCTCATTGTTCAATTCCCACCTATGAGTGAGAATATGCGGTGTTTGGTTTTTTGTTCTTGCGATAGTTTACTGAGAATGATGGTTTCCAATTTCATCCATGTCCCTACAAAGGACATGAACTCATCATTTTTTATGGCTGCATAGTATTCCATGGTGTACATGTGCCACATTTTCTTAATCCAGTCTATCATTGTTGGACATTTGGGTTGGTTCCAAGTCTTTGCTATTGTGAATAATGCCGCACTAAACATACGTGTGCATGTGTCTTTATAGCAGCATGATTTATAGTCATTTGGGTATATACCCAGTATTGGGATGGCTGGGTCAAATGGTATTTCTAGTTCTAGATCCCTGAGGAATCGCCACACTGACTTCCACAATGGTTGAACTAGTTTACAGTCCCACCAACAGTGTAAAAGTGTTCCTATTTCTCCACATCCTCTCCAGCACCTGTTGTTTCCTGACTTTTTAATGATTGCCATTCTAACTGGTGTGAGATGATATCTCATAGTGGTTTTGATTTGCATTTCTCCGATGGCCAGTGATGATGAGCATTTTTTCATGTGTTTTTTGGCTGCATAAATGTCTTCTTTTGAGAAGTGTCTGTTCATGTCCTTCGCCCACTTTTTGATGGGGTTGTTTGTTTTTTTCTTGTAAATTTGTTTGAGTTCATTGTAGATTCTGGATATTAGCCCTTTGTCAGATGAGTAGGTTGCGAAAATTTTCTCCCATGTTGTAGGTTGCCTGTTCACTCTGATGGTAGTTTCTTTTGCTGTGCAGAAGCTCTTTAGTTTAATTAGATCCCATTTGTCAATTTTGGCTTTTGTTGCCATTGCTTTTGGTGTTTTGGACATGAAGTCCTTGCCCACGCCTATGTCCTGAATGGTAATGCCTAGGTTTTCTTCTAGGGTTTTTATGGTTTTAGGTCTAACGTTTAAATCTTTAATCCATCTTGAATTGATTTTTGTATAAGGTGTAAGGAAGGGATCCAGTTTCAGCTTTCTACATATGGCTAGCCAGTTTTCCCAGCACCATTTATTAAATAGGGAATCCTTTCCCCATTGCTTGTTTTTCTCAGGTTTGTCAAAGATCAGATAGTTGTAGATATGTGGCATTATTTCTGAGGGCTCTGTTCTGTTCCATTGATCTATATCTCTGTTTTGGTACCAGTACCATGCTGTTTTGGTTACTGTAGGCTTGTAGTATAGTTTGAAGTCAGGTAGTGTGATGCCTCCAGCTTTGTTCTTTTGGCTTAGGATTGACTTGGCGATGCGGGCTCTTTTTTGGTTCCATATGAACTTTCAAGTAGTTTTTTCCAATTCTGTGAAGAAAGTCATTGGTAGCTTGATGGGGATGGCATTGAATCTGTAAATTACCTTGGGCAGTATGGCCATTTTCACGATATTGATTCTTCCTACCCATGAGCATGGAATGTTCTTCCATTTGTTTGTGTCCTCTTTTATTTCCTTGAGCAGTGGTTTGTAGTTCTCCTTGAAGAGGTCCTTCACATCCCTTGTAAGTTGGATTCCTAGGTATTTTATTCTCTTTGAAGCAATTGTGAATGGGAGTTCACTCATGATTTGGCTCTCTGTTTGTCTGTTGTTGGTGTATAAGAATGCTTGTGATTTTTGTACATTGATTTTGTATCCTGAGACTTTGCTGAAGTTGCTTATCAGCTTAAGGAGATTTTGGGCTGAGACGATGGGGTTTTCTAGATAAACAATCATGTCGTCTGCAAACAGGGACAATTTGACTTCCTCTTTTGCTAATTGAATACCCTTTATTTCCTTCTCCTGCCTGATTGCCCTGGCCAGAACTTCCAACACTATGTTGAATAGGAGCGGTGAGAGAGGGCATCCCTGTCTTGTGCCAGTTTTCAAAGGGAATGCTTCCAGTTTTTGCCCATTCAGTATGATATTGGCTGTGGGTTTGTCATAGATAGCTCTTATTATTTTGAAATACGTCCCATCAATACCTAATTTATTGAGAGTTTTTAGCATGAAGAGTTGTTGAATTTTGTCAAAGGCTTTTTCTGCATCTATTGAGATAATCATGTGGTTTTTGTCTTTGGCTCTGTTTATATGCTGGATTACATTTATTGATTTGCGTATATTGAGCCAGCCTTGCATCCCAGGGATGAAGCCCACTTGATCATGGTGGATAAGCTTTTTGATGTGCTGCTGGATTCGGTTTGCCAGTATTTTATTGAGGATTTTTGCATCAATATTCATCAAGGATATTGGTCTAAAATTCTCTTTTTTGGTTGTGTCTCTGCCCGGCTTTGGTATCAGAATGATGCTGGCCTCATAAAATGAGTTAGGGAGGATTCCCTCTTTTTCTATTGATTGGAATAGTTTCAGAAGGAATGGTACCAGTTCCTCCTTGTACCTCTGGTAGAATTCGGCTGTGAATCCATCTGGTCCTGGACTCTTTTTGGTTGGTAAACTATTGATTATTGCCACAATTTCAGAGCCTGTTATTGGTCTATTCAGAGATTCAACTTCTTCCTGGTTTAGTCTTGGGAGAGTGTATGTGTCAAGGAATGTATCCATTTCTTCTAGATTTTCTAGTTTATTTGCATAGAGGTGTTTGTAGTATTCTCTGATCGTAGTTTGTATTTCTGTGGGATCGGTGGTGATATCCCCTTTATCATTTTTTATTGTGTCTATTTGATTCTTCTCTCTTTTTTTCTTTATTAGTCTTGCTAGCGGTCTATCAATTTTGTTGATCCTTTCAAAAAACCAGCTCCTGGATTCATTGATTTTTTGAAGGGTTTTTTGTGTCTCTATTTCCTTCAGTTCTGCTCTGATTTTAGTTATTTCTTGCCTTCTGCTAGCTTTTGAATGTGTTTGCTCTTGCTTTTCTAGTTCTTTTAATTGTGATGTTAGGGTGTCAATTTTGGATCTTTCCTGCTTTCTCTTGTAGGCATTTAGTGCTATAAATTTCCCTCTACACACTGCTTTGAATGCGTCCCAGAGATTCTGGTATGTGGTGTCTTTGTTCTCGTTGGTTTCAAAGAACATCTTTATTTCTGCCTTCATTTCGTTATGTACCCAGTAGTCATTCAGGAGCAGGTTGTTCAGTTTCCATGTAGTTGAGCGGCTTTGAGTGAGATTCTTAATCCTGAGTTCTAGTTTGCACTGTGGTCTGAGAGATAGTTTGTTATAATTTCTGTTCTTTTACATTTGCTGAGGAGAGCTTTACTTCCAACTATGTGGTCAATTTTGGAATAGGTGTGGTGTGGTGCTGAAAAAAATGTATATTCTGTTGATTTGGGGTGGAGAGTTCTGTAGATGTCTATTAGGTCCGCTTGGTGCAGAGCTGAGTTCAATTCCTGGGTATCCTTGTTGACTTTCTGTCTCGTTGATCTGTCTAATGTTGACAGTGGGGTGTTAAAGTCTCCCATTATTAATGTGTGGGAGTCTAAGTCTCTTTGTAGGTCACTCAGGACTTGCTTTATGAATCTGGGTGCTCCTGTATTGGGTGCATAAATATTTAGGATAGTTAGCTCCTCTTGTTGAATTGATCCCTTTACCATTATGTAATGGCCTTCTTTGTCTCTTTTGATCTTTGTTGGTTTCAAGTCTGTTTTATCAGAGACTAGGATTGCAACCCCTGCCTTTTTTTGTTTTCCATTGGCTTGGTAGATCTTCCTCCATCCTTTTATTTTGAGCCTATGTGTGTCTCTGCACGTGAGATGGGTTTCCTGAACACAGCACACTGATGGGTCTTGACTCTTTATCCAACTTGCCAGTCTGTGTCTTTTAATTGCAGAATTTAGTCCATTTATATTTAAAGTTAATATTGTTATGTGTGAATTTGATCCTGTCATTATGATGTTAGCTGGTGATTTTGCTCGTTAGTTGATGCAGTTTCTTCCTAGTCTCGATGGTCTTTACATTTTGGCATGATTTTGCAGCGGCTGGCACCGGTTGTTCCTTTCCATGTTTAGCGCTTCCTTCAGGAGCTCTTTTAGGGCAGGCCTGGTGGTGACAAAATCTCTCAGCATTTGCTTGTCTATAAAGTATTTTATTTCTCCTTCACTTATGAAGCTTAGTTTGGCTGGATATGAAATTCTGGGTTGAAAATTCTTTTCTTTAAGAATGTTGAATATTGGCCCCCAGTCTCTTCTGGCTTGTAGGGTTTCTGCCGAGAGATCAGCTGTTAGTCTGATGGGCTTCCCTTTGTGGGTAACCCGACCTTTCTCTCTGGCTGCCCTTAACATTTTTTCCTTCATTTCAACTTTGGTGAATCTGACAATTATGTGTCTTGGAGTTGCTCTTCTCGAGGAGTATCTTTGTGGCGTTCTCTGTATTTCCTGAATCTGAACGTTGGCCTGCCTTGCTAGATTGGGGAAGTTCTCCTGGATAATATCCTGCAGAGTGTTTTCCAACTTGGTTCCATTCTCCCCATCACTTTCAGGTACACCAATCAGACGTAGATTTGGTCTTTTCACATAGTCCCATATTTCTTGGAGGCTTTGCTCATTTCTTTTTATTCTTTTTTCTCTAAACTTCCCTTCTCGCTTCATTTCATTCATTTCATCTTCCATTGCTGATACCCTTTCTTCCAGTTGATCGCATCGGCTCCTGAGGCTTCTGCATTCTTCACGTAGTTCTCGAGCCTTGGTTTTCAGCTCCATCAGCTCCTTTAAGCACTTCTCTGTATTGGTTATTCTAGTTATACATTCTTCTAAATTTTTTTCAAAGTTTTCAACTTCTTTGCCTTTGGTTTGAATGTCCTCCCGTAGCTCAGAGTAATTTGATCGTCTGAAGCCTTCTTCTCTCAGCTCGTCAAAATCATTCTCCATCCAGCTTTGTTCTGTTGCTGGTGAGGAACTGCGTTCCTTTGGAGGAGGAGAGGCGCTCTGTGTTTTAGAGTTTCCAGTTTTTCTGTTCTGTTTTTTCCCCATCTTTGTGGTTTTATCTACTTTTGGTCTTTGATGATGGTGATGTACAGATGGGTTTTCGGTGTAGATGTCCTTTCTGGTTGTTAGTTTTCCTTCTAACAGACAGGACCCTCAGCTGCAGGTCTGTTGGAATACCCTGCTGTGTGAGGTGTCAGTGTGCCCCTGCTGGGGGGTGCCTCCCAGTTAGGCTGCTCGGGGGTCAGGGGTCAGGGACCCACTTGAGGAGGCAGTCTGCCCGTTCTCAGATCTCCAGCTGCGTGCTGGGAGAACCACTGCTCTCTTCAAAGCTGTCAGACAGGACACTTAAGTCTGCAGAGGTTACTGCTGTCTTTTTGTTTGTCTGTGCCCTGCCCCCAGAGGTGGAGCCTACAGAGGCAGGCAGGCCTCCTTGAGCTATGGTGGGCTCCACCCAGTTCGAGCTTCCCGGCTGCTTTGTTTACCTAAGCAAGCCTGGGCAATGGCGGGCGCCCCTCCCCCAGCCTCGTTGCCGCCTTGCAGTTTGATCTCAGACTGCTGTGCTAGCAATCAGCGAGATTCCGTGGGTGTAGGACCCTCTGAGCCAGGTGTGGGATATAGTCTCGTGGTGCGCCGTTTTTTAAGCCGGTCTGAAAAGTGCAATATTCGGGTGGGAGTGACCCGATTTTCCAGGTGCGTCCGTCACCCCTTTCTTTGACTCGGAAAGGGAACTCCCTGACCCCTTGCGCTTCCCAGGTGAGGCAATGCCTCGCCCTGCTTCGGCTCGCGCACGGTGCGAGCACACACTGGCCTGCGCCCACTGTCTGGCACTCCCTAGTGAGATGAACCCGGTACCTCAGATGGAAATGCAGAAATCACCTGTCTTCTGCGTCGCTCACGCTGGGAGCTGTAGACCGGAGCTGTTACTATTCGGCCATCTTGGCTCCTCCCCTGCGTGTAGTGTCTTTCAAGCCAGGGTAAAGTTTAAAATATATACATATATATATATATATATACACATATATATATATATATATATATACATATATATATATATATACATATATATATATATATACATATATATATATATATACATATATATATATATATATATATATATATATATATATATAGTGCCATCAATCTTGTATAAGAATGCTATTGTGCTGGGCATCCCAGAGAATTGATCAATGACAGTGTTGCTGCTCTCTGAGAATGTCCGATCTGCCAAGGAAGCAGTGCTGGCTCAGGAAAGCAGTTGTGTAGTGGAAATTTTGGAAACCCAGAGTGGTTTGGGCTTTGTTCAGCTTTAGAACAATTTCCTAAATCTGTCTTATAGTGCTTTAGAGCAGTCCCTTGAAAGTGTATATTGATTACCTTGAGGATCATGTTAAAATGCAGGGTCTATTTCAGTAAGTCTGAGGTTGAGCCCATGAATCTGCATTTATAACAAGCTCCCAGAGGAAGTCAGCGCTGCTGGGTTGTGATCCAGACCTTGAGAAGCGGGGCTTTAGGGTTGCTGCAAGACTTTCCAGTACATCATCTCATTTTAATTTGTATCTTCATTGAAACCCTGAGTTAATTGGTTCAGATATTATCATCTTCCTTTACAAATGAAGAACTCAAAGCTCAGAGGGGTGAGATGACCTGGCAGAGGTCATATGGCCAATTGACAGAGCTGTGACTTGAATTTAGTTCCTTGGCTTCTAGACAACAGCTGCCCCGATGGCTTTTAAGCTCTAATACAGAAAGCACATGCTAATTAATGTTTTTGGCTGGTGCACGCATGTGTACACACACACACAAGCACACATACAAGGCTGTAGTGGGGCATGGGTGGGGGATGATTAGGCCCCCCTAAAGCTGCAGCTGCCCAGAGGCAGGCCTTGGCAGTGGTCTCTGGAACTGATCCAAACATCACAACATGCTCTGGAAATGTGCCTATCTCCTGCACAATGCCCGCCCCTACCTTGGATGGGAGCGTTTTCTTCACAATTACTTTGCACATGAGCTAAATGGCATTTCATCTACCTTGGAGGTAATCTGGTCCCATCCTTTTGCCCAAGTCAGAAAGTTATTTACTGTCAAGCTGGAAAATCCTGTTCTTCTCACCCAAGGAGAGCAGCGTTCTCAGAGATGAAGCACATTGCTTCATACTGAGCTCCAGCTTTCTGGGAAAAGCAGAAATCTTTGAAGCATTTCCAACCAAATCCTTGGAGAGGTAAACATATTTTTCAGCTGCAGGATTCCAGTTTAAAGAAGTATGTTCCCCACTTGTTTACAAAGCAGTGCAGCAGCTGTTAGGAGGCCTCCACCCCCACTGGACAGACAGAGGCATTTGGAAGATGCGCCGAGCCTTCCCGTACAGTCTGCTCAGGCTCACCCCTCTGGGAAGACCTCATCACCATCAGGCACCAGCAGTGCTGAGAACTCAGGGGTACAGGAATGGCAGATGAGTCACGCCTGGCTTCTCAGATTCAGTTTTGGTGTGCTCTTATTATTAACATTTTAAGAAAAACATGCTGCCTCTCAACTGTTTTTTGCAGATGATGGGTAAAGAAAAGCCTGCACCATCTCCTGCCTCCTATTCCCTTGTAGGAAACATGGCTTCAGAGACACAGGCATTAGTTTCTTGGATGCTGTGATGAGAAGGGCTCTAATCCCTCCCTTCTGCTTGTGTGCCCCTGCTTCAAAACCCTGTTCACATCTTGTGTTCTCTATGAAGCCCTTCTTGAACACACAAGGCTGCAGCGGTTGCTCACTTTCCTAATTCCTGGAACACTTAGTGTTTTCTCTAGTCATTGGATATTTATTTTGCACTGCTTTGTATGGTTAAGAATAATAATAGTGACAATAATAGCTAGCCTCAATAGTGTGATTGCTATTTGTTTGACACTGTGCTAAGCACTTTGTATGAATTATCCCATTTATCCTCAGAACGGGCCTCATAGGGGCAAATTGCTTGAGTCCAGGAGTTCAAGACCAACCTGGGCAACATGGTGAAACTCCATGTTTACAAAAAATACAAAATTTAGCTAGATGTGGCGGTGTGTGCCTGTAGACCCAGATACTCAGGAGAGACTCAAGTTCATATGGTTCTTAGTACCCACGATCTCAAATTTGAACTTCTATATCAGTTTCTGATTGGTTTGACCCTGATCCATATGGAAATGTTTATTAAGGTAGCCGAAATGGGAGGACCACTTAAACCCAGGAGGTGGAGGCTGTAGTGAGCCAAGATCGTACCATTGTACTCCAGCCTGAGTGACAGAGTGAGACCCTGTCTCAAAACGACAGCAACAAAAACAACGGACCCTGTAAGATTAGCGTTATTATTTATCCTCATTTTAAGATAAGAAAATCGAGGCATAGAGAAATGATTAGATGTGGCAAAGGTCATACAGCTCATAAATTTGAGAGTCTGGACTGGAATTTCAGTCTGGACTGGACTGTAATTATCATTACATATTGAGAAGATAACAAGGATTCAAACACAAACTGTTTGATAACAAGGATTCAGACACAAACTGTTGTCTTCTCAATACGTAATGATAATGCCTCTTCTATTATGCTGGGATAATAGTGAAGTCTGTGATGAATAGCAGCAGTACTTTAATAAACATTTCCATATGGATTAGGGTCAAACCAATGAGAAACTGATACACAAGGTCAAATTTGAGATTGTGGGTTTTAAGAACCATATGAGCTTGAGTCTATCAGGAGCCATCTTTGCCCCCATATGAATAAAGCCAGCCCAAGAAGAAAGCCACATAGAAAGTAGAGCTGAGAGATGGAAAGATATTGTTTTAATGATATATTTGAACCCCTGATCCAGCTGGGCTTTATTTCTATATTTTTCAGTTATAGAAACAAAGAAATTCGCTATTTTGCTTAAGCTATTTTTGAGTTCAATTTTTTCCCTTGTAATCAAATGATTCCTGACTAATATAACCCATTAGAAAACAACAACCCCCAAATTAAAACTAACACTGAAACATATGACCCCTCTTCCTTTAAATAACAGAGTTGTTTGAAAACCAATAGTTTGCTCTCTCTCTTGCTTTTTTTTTAAATCTAGACCGATGCTGTCCAATGTTACTTTCTGTGATGATTAGGATGTTCTAGAAATGGTCTAGATCTGTACTGTCCAATATAGTAGCCATTAGCCATATGCACAAGTGCTTGAAATGTGATTAGTATAACTGAAGAACTGAATTTTTAATTTGATTTACATTTAATTAATTTAATAGCCAAATATCGCTAGTGGCTATTGTTTTGGGCAGCACAGATGTAGATCATCTCTGTACTTCATGAATGAATACAGAAACACCTGATGACTCCATTGCAGTGGGTGGAATGAATTATAGCTCACTCATTCTTTGTTACTGGTGGGTCCCCAGGAGTCCTGATACGTCTGTGAGTCCAAAGCCCATGCTCCTTCCACCTATGAGAATCAGAGAAGTGAATAATAACTTGCCAGATCTTTTAATGGAAAATGCTTTATTTGCTCTATTAGAGCAATGGCTGATGAAGGAAACTCTTACTTTATAAACATGGTTATACCATCTTGTTCTATCTATCCTGTGTGAGAATTCTTGTGTGACTGGCCCTGGGCACTCATTATAGTTGAAACTTTTCACAGTCTAGGTCATGCGAACACTTGTAGAAATGGATAAAAAAAAAAAAAGAGAGAGAGAGACAGCAATGTCCAGATGTACTCTTATTTGTCTTGAAGGTTTTCATCTAAGTTTTCAGAGAGAAGGTGGAGAGAAGTCATGAGGTATTAATTTAACAAGAAATTCACCTAGTCATCAAGAGCCTTTGGAAACAGGCAGGCTGGGATCTAAATCCTGACTTCTTCTCTTAACACATTTGTAAGACCCCAGTTGAACCACTTATGCTCTTTAAATGGTGAGTTATTGCAACTGAGAAATGGGAATACTAGTATCTACGTCACGGTGTTTTAGTGTGTATTTCATGGAACAATACATATTCAGGACTTAGAGTTCCCAGCATGTGGTAAGTGCTCTGTAAATGTCCACTGTCATCATTGTTTCATATGATTATTGATATCCATGGGTGATATAAGCAACAAAGTGCACAGCCATGTTGATGATTCTCTAACAACTTTCTGCATTGTGGATCCTCACTAGCCTGCAGCATCCTTTCAGTATGAAATTTGGCTGAAAGTTAGAATGAAGTTCCTCTCCACAAATTAGTCTCAACTGAGGTAAATTAAGATTCCTGGTCAGAAAGATGAGCTTCTGCCTGGTGCTCACGCTGCTTTTCGCTGTTTGGCAACTGTCTTTTCATGTTTCAAAGATGTCAAGGCTTCTTGGCAGTGGGATTAAAAAATGGTCCTTGCTGTTCCTTTCCCAAGGCTGAAGTGCTCAATACCTTAACAATGACATTAGGCAGCAGCTCCCCTAAAACACTGGTGAGGAGGCCCATGTCCCCACCCAGAGTAACTGCCTAGGTGCTGTTCAAAATAATTAGATTGGAGTTCAGGAATCATTTACTCTAAAAATATTGATTGAGCTCCTCCTACTTTCCAGACATCGTGCTGGCCACTGAGGATACAGTAATTAACAAAATAGACACAGTCTACAGCTACCCTCATTGAACTTATAGTCTAAAGATTGACTAAGCATGGGGGACATTTTGGTGCCTTGTTTGCAGAAAACTGGTCATCTTTAAACCATCACCTTCTCATTAGGACAGCACTATTGGTGAAGCCTATGGGTATGTACACAGAGTTTGAGAGAACATTATTTGATGAGATGCTGCAACTCCTCTTTTAGCTTTTTATGGTCTTCATGCAAAGCGAAAATTTCTATGTTCAAGTAAGATAATTTAATGGCTGGATTCAGGTATAATGGCATAATTCTATCCATTAGAGGAAAGAGGAAATATTATAACATATTTGAGTCCCACACATTATCAGCTAATTTTATCTAGACTTATCTATAATACTTACTACAAAATAGAATGAAAGCATTTAGCATCTAAACATTAGGAAGCAGGCTCATCAGCATGAAGTATCTCACTAGCTAGAGTAGCCATTCAAAGTATTCATTCTGCAAACATTAATACAATACCCATGTTATGCCAGACACTGACTGGAATGTGGAAGCACCAAGCCTTCTCAATTCTCAGGGAAGAGGCTGTTTTCAGTAGTTTAAGAGTAGTAGAGTTCTGTGCATTTACATGATTGCAAAACATTCTTTTAATGGAATCCTGCTTCTCATTTCTAAAAAAATATTGTGTTGGGATTGCAGCAAAAAAAATATATATCAAGGAATCAATGGGCTTACAAAATGAGTCTTTCATGTCTCATGCTGTATTCAGATTTATCTCCATCATAGGTGACTGTGGCACATGACTGTAATAATTCAAAGGGGACAAAAATGTGGAAATTTAAATTCATTTTAGTTCCTTTTACTTTAGCAGCTATTTATGGAGTCATATGCCCCACGAGGTACCATTAATAATAGCACACATTTACAGGGATTATCTGATGTCCTCTCACCACATTCTGACATAGGTACTCTTTTTGTTGCCATTTAGCAGATGAGAATATTGGGAGTCAGACTTACATTGAAATACCTGAGATTAAGCTGCTAGGAAAAGGCAGACGCGGACTGCATGCAGATGTATTTGACCTCAAAGCCCATTCTTTAAACCACCATATCTGAGAACATGATGTCAAGTTCCTTTTAGTCCCTGCAATGTTTTACCTATAGAGAGAGCTCTCAATAAATACTGACCAATTGTAAGTTTGAGGATCTGTTTCAGAGTGGGGTAGGGGAATGAGAGAGTCTAGCCTTAGTTTTAAAAACATTTTTCAGTACCTACTTGACCTGGCTGTCACCTGCCATTTCTTTATGCCTTTGAAATTCAGGTGAACTGGGTTGGAGTCAGCAGATTTTACATCCTGGTTAATACCACTTTCTACCTCAAGTTTTCTTATCCTGCCACCACACAGGTTCTGTTTCTGAGCTGTCCTGATGTAAAATTTACCCTCTGCAAGTGTCCGCAAGACACCTAACCTCACAGTATGATGTTTTTCTAGTACTTCTCTTGAAGATGTTGGGATTACATTGCATGGCTTACGATATTTTGTTGATACTTTCCCCTTCTACTGCTCCTTATCCCCACACACCTAAAACCACACACACGCTCTGAGTCTTCTAAAAGTCTAAGCTTCAGCCCCCACTGGGATACCCTCTTCTTGCAGCTTCCCCATGAAGCATCATCCGTTCTTCTCTAATTTTCTTCCATAGGAAATGTGGTGAATAAAATTCTCTACATTTTTTTACACTAATAGGTGCTTTGTGATTTTATGTACAGTTTCACGTAATGCTTGCAATTAGATGTTAGTGTTCTCATTTTATGATGAGAGAGAGAGAGAGACAAGAAAAAAAAATAGTCTTGAGTAGTTAGGACTTATCCGAGGCCAGTTGTCACTGAAGGTACTGTGTTGGGAAGCTTAGCTCCCTGCCTGGACTCTGATGATTTTTCTATTCTATCCTGCCTCCCCAGTCCAACTGAGGCATGCAGCAGAGAGGAAGAAAGGGGATTCTGTCTTAGGTAGCCAGCTCTGGCAGTGTTTCTCAATGGAATGCTGTTGACAATTTGAGTAGGATGATTTGCTGCAAGGAACTGTTCTGGGCATTGCAGGTGCCTGGAATCCCTGGCTCCTATCCACTAAGTGCTGGTAGTGTCTTCCACTCACTGTGGCAACCAATGAAGTAACCTCATGCATGTCTAAAGCTTTAAAGTATGTGGAGAAGTATAGATTATCCCTGAGATAGGTGGACTAAGTCTTTATTTCGATACTGGGGTCCTCATTTCCATATTCATAGATTAACTGGAAGGAAGTATGAATATAGCAGCCACTACTAATGTTAAAATGGCAACATGAAACAAAATGCTGAGGGAAGAGGAGAGTGGCAGTAGGAAAACTACAGTCTTTCTCTCCCCGTACTTGACACGTGGGTCCCATGGAAGGCTCAGATTGCAGTGTCCTTCTCACCCCTGGAATTAGGCTGTGGGTAGAAGCCAAGATAGAATGGAAAACAAGGCCAGGAAGGAAGTGGTGTCTTGGGAAGCAGCAGGAAAGAGGGAACCAGCATTTGTTGGTGGGGAGATGACTGGGCAAGCAGGAAGGACATCTAGATAGAGTCTTTGCTTGGTTGCAAGCAATTGTGTAATCTTGAACAGTATCCTCTTGACATGCAGAATGAGAGACTTGGATCAGGGGATGGCCAAGAGTCTTGGCCCTGTTTCTCAGTTCAGGGACTTTGAGGATCAGAAGTACTGGTTATTTTGTTTACTGATATTTCTTAATACTTTGGTTGTTGTGTACAGTTTAGTCTGTTAATGATTTCCATATTTGTCAGCTGCTTCAGCCTGAATCATTTTTATCCTTCAGGAGGAAAGAAAGTCAAAGCCCATGATTTGATTCTGCCCAGAAACCATAACCCTCAGGCTCAGGCTGGGGGCCTGTGCCTCCCTATTTATTCCTGCTGGCAAGTTGCAAGCTCTGGGTGAAGGAGATAGATGATCTTAAGTGTTTGTAGAATCAGATGTGCTCAGTGAAAACAGTCTGGCTGACTCACAACAGATTCCCAGCCCCCTTGGCTGTCCTCCAGAAATCATGTCTGGTAGGATTTCTGCAACAGATCTGATAGTTGCTGACTTAGGGAACTTGTTAGTTGCTTGTGAATTCATGGTGATGGTCCTAATTCCAGACACAAAATCCCATTGACAATAAGAGGCTAGAAATTTACAGAAAATGCATTGAAAGCTTATTTGTGAAATGTGTGTGTGTGTGTGTGTGTGTGTGTGAAAGAGAGAAAGAGAAAGAGAGAGAAAGGGAGAGGGAAAGAGAGAAGGAGAAAGAAGGGGAGGAAAAGAGAGAGGAAGAGAAAGAAATATTATGTAGATGATACAAAATAAAAATAACTTATATTGGTAGAGGCTGGATACCCTGTAAATGGAATATTTTGAAAGATGGCTACATTGGGAAAGAAGTGAGACTAGAATGATGATCTCTAATGATTTTCCTAACATAGAATATAGCCTCATAAGACATTGTTCCAAAACATAGCATGCTCTACCAAAAGGCCAGCATATAACTTTTGAAAATGAAGAGAAAGTGGGTAGGCAGACTGGAGACAGAGGAGAGTTGGTAAACTTTACCAGAATTTCCAGATTGGTTTTATTTATTTTGTGTTGCAGAACATCAGATAAACTTTTTTGGTAGATGATAAGATTACTTTAAGAACTTTTTTTCCTTTTTGAAGCATAAATGACATTTTATTTATTTGTTCAGCATGTGTTTCATAGAGCCTTACTCTATCCAGATAACAAGCACAGACTACTCTCATTTGTATGAATTTGTACATGAGTGTGTGAGGCAAAGGGTAATATGTGGAGGCAGTAGAATAGATGGGAACTGGTTATTTTAATATCTTTTGCAGATTTGCTGCTTGTTTGCAAACGACAATTCCAAAAAAGTGGAGGAAAAATAATATTAATGTCTAATAAGTGATTTGTGGGACTCGGGGCAAAATGTGCTCTTGTTCAAAACTTAGTAAGAATTTTAAGGT
This sequence comes from Homo sapiens, assembly GCF_000001405.40. Classification (NCBI taxonomy): domain Eukaryota; kingdom Metazoa; phylum Chordata; class Mammalia; order Primates; family Hominidae; genus Homo; species Homo sapiens. The sequence continues at coordinate 93,397,147 of NC_000008.11, read as the reverse complement.
GACAGCATCAGAGCATTAAACCAAGCACAGCGTTCTTCCTAGTGTAGGGGCCTGTGTGACTGCACAGATCACATACTTTTGAAGCACCCCTGGTCATGGTACATGACCCTCTGAGCCTCAGTTACATCGTTCAATTGGGAATAATGCTATCAACCTTGTAGGGTAATCATAAAGAAAACTTGAAATCATGTTGTGTGACAGTGTTTATTAAGTTTATTATGTTTATCAAGCTTATTAAGGTCATATTAGGTGTTTAATAAATAATAATGTTAGAATGTAGTGATAGTAAGTTGAATTAATAGCATAAATTAGAATTTACTTGGAGGACTTACTATGCCAAGAGTGTTTTTTCTTTTATTGCTTTTGGTCGGAGGAATCATCTTGCTAAGTACTTTCACTTTTGCCCTAGATTTTTCTTTTCAAGTTAATAGACATTTATTAATTTCCTGTTCAAAGAAGTAAGAGTTTGGTCGCAGGCCACATGTGTATCATAAATCAAACCCCGGGTAGAAAATATATAAAATGTAGAGAAATGCTTGACTCACATGCTTACTCACCTTATAATATTTGCAATCATAAAAGTATCCTCTGACACTTTCAAACTGGAGAAGAATATCTTTTTCACAGAGTACCATAAACAAGCAAGGTTCCAGGTTCTGTAATATTTGTTAGAAATGCTTTAGTTGAGCTATTGAAAATAACTTTTTAAACCAAAACGAGAAAATGTATACAGCTCTTGAATATTTAACAGCTGAAATAATTTAAGCTCAAATCTCATCTTCAGACCCCAAAAGAAGCAACAATAAAAACTTTTAAGCCGTAAAGAATATTTTTATTTTATTTTATTTTATTTTGAGATGGAGGCTCGCTCTGTCACCCAGGCTGGAGTGCAGTGGCGTGACTTTGGCTCACTGCAGCCTCCTCCTCCCAGGTTCAAGCAATTCTCCTGCCTCAGCCTCCAGGGTAGCTGGGACTACAGGCACCCGCCACCACACCTGGCTAATTTTTGTATTTTTAGTAGAGATGAGGTTTTACCATGTTGGCTAGGGCTGGTCTCTAACTCCTGTCCTCAAGCGATCCACCCGCCTCAGCCTCCCAAAGTGTTGGGATTACAGACATAAGCCACCACACCCAGCCACATAAAGAACATTTCAAAAAGTTATGAGTTAATAAAAAACAGGACCATTGATTTTCTGAAAAACACTTTGACATATTTTTCTTACCTGGACCATAGAGTTGTTGAGAAGTCATAGTTACAGAGTTTGAAGGTGAAGATCTGTTATATCTTCATTTTCCTAGTGAGTTATCAGGACAATATTTCAGACAAAATAACTGAAAATCTAATATTTTATTCAAATTTATTAATAGTTAATAGAAATGGAAAGGGAATAAACCCTATGAGGTGATAGTATTTTCTTTCATTTTATTCCAAAGTCATTCCTTCTCTCCCTGTCTAGCACTTTAGTGTTTCTAGATTATCTCTTGGGTAAGAGTAGCAAATGTTTCTATGGTGTTATCACCTCTAATTAATAACGCTACTATCAAAATCTGGTCAAGAATCCATGTATCAGTCTTCTGTTCTCTGCCCAGGGAGCCCAGAGGACATATAACTCCATGAAGTGAACTCTAAGATTTTGAAGGAACTTCCTACCCAGTTCATGGGGGATCAGATGTTCCTGGTAAAATGCCGGAGGTGCTGACCTTGAACACTCTGGATGGATGCGGAATTGCTGCCCCTGTGCAGGATCAGGGCCTGTGGAACAAATCCTGTGTCTTTTATGACAGAAGTCCCCAGCCCCAGGCTGCAGACTGGTACCTGTCCATAGCTTGTTAGGAACTAAGTCACACAGCAGGAGGTGAGTGGCCAGCGAGCATTGCCACCTGAGCTCTGCCTCCTGTCAGACCTGCGGCGGTATTAGATTCTCATAGGAGCGGGAACCCTATTGTGAACTGAACATGTGAGGGATCTATGCTGTGCGCTCCTCATGAGAATTTAATGCCTGATGATCTGAGTGGAACAGTTTCACCCCGAAACCATCCCCACCACTCGGTCCATGGAAAATTGGTCATCCACAAAACCGGTCCCTGGTGCCAAAAAGGTTGGAGACTGACTGCTGCTTTAAGGGGTCAACTAAAGAAGAGCTAAGCTGGGACAGACCAAAGGACATTACATGCTCTGCTCCCCATCAGAAAGATTTCCTGTGTCTTTATGTGTCATTTCTGAGCCTAGCTCCAGGTTGTCCACTGATGCTGTCTGGGACCCCAAAGTCAATCTTCCCAGCTGGTAGTCCCTTCATTCTGTTGCCGACTTTCCCTTGAGCTCCATCAGAGTTTTGTGCCCTCTCATACCTGGCCTCACCTGCACCATTATACCTGTGGGAATTATCACCTGCTTCACATACCTGGTGATCTCTGCCTCATTCCACATCCTACTGACCTGGCCTTCCTCCACTGCTGCAGTATCTGGACATTTCCTTCCTGACTTCGGAGAACGTATTATTCCTATGCACACTTGGCATGGTGGAGTCTTCTAGAGGCCCGTTATGGGTTGGATTGTGTTCCCCTCCACGTTTGGGTGTTCTAGTTCTAATCCCTGGGGCCTCTGAATGTGACATTTCTGGAGATAGGGTCCTTGTAGAGATAACCAAGTTAACATGAGGTCACGAGGGTGGGTTCTAGTCCAATATGATTGGTGTCCTTATAAAAATGGGAAATTTAGGCTGGGTGTGGTGGCTCATGCCTGTAATCCTAGCACTTTGGGAGGCCGAGGTGGGTGGATCACCTGAGGTTAGGAGTTCAAGATCAGCCTGGTCAACATGGTGAAACCCTGTCTCTACTAAAAACACAAAAGTTAGCCAGGCATGGTGGTGCGCACCTGTAATCCCAACTTCTCGGGAGGCTGAGGCAGGAGAATCGCTTGAACCCAGGAGGTGGAGGTTGCAGTCAGCTGAGATTGCGGCATTGTACTCCAGGGCAAGAGTGAAACTCCGTCTAAAAAAAAAAGAAAAAAAAAGGGTGGGGGAGAAATTTGGATAGACTCACATACAGGGAGAAGACCTTGTGAACCTGAAGATGGCTGTCTACAAGCTAAAAAGAGAGGCCTGGAAACAGATCCTCCCCCACAGCCCTCAGAAAGAGCAGACCATGCCGACACATCAATTTTAGACTTCTAGCCTCCAAAACTGAGAGATTATAAATTTCTGTTGCTTAAGCCACTCAGTTTGTGGCACTTTGTGGCAACTTCCTTAGTAATTAAATACAGGGTCTCTTCCAACAGAGCTCTCAACTCCTTTCTTGGTTCTCCTAGAGCACTCAAAGGTTCAAAGCCCATGAGGTGACAACCACTCTTTCTATGCCTGAGAGTATGTTGCCAAGAAGGTGGGAAGGTTCACTTCCATGTCCACAAGCTCACCACTTTCTGAAATGTATTTGGTCTGCGCAGTGCAGGTCTCTCTGCTTTCCTGGGACCCACATTTCTGAAGGGGCTCCTGGAGTGATGATGTCCACATGTCTAGTTATGTGTTGAAGCTGTTTTATTCTTTGAGTACAAAGTATTCAGTTATCTCTTCAGACCAAATTTTTCTCCCTTCACTGGCTTCCTCCTAAGTGGAGTGTGTGAAAGTCAGCCAGCCCTCAAATCCCCTCCAGTGAGGACAGTTGCCAATGTCTGGCTCTGCTGCTTCATCATGGAGGGTGACAGTGGGCCAGTCATGCCATCAGGGGCGCAAATCAAATGTAGTCGATCCCTTGCAGTCAGATAAAATATTGTTTCCTCTGCCCTCCTTACAAGCAAGTGGTCAGACCATAATTACTCCTGATGGCAGGTGGCAGGTCTACATCACATCTTGACATTAGCTTTTAGCTATTTTTTTTTTTATAGCTGCCAGTGTGCTCGGTCAAATACCTGTCTGTCATCACAATCAGACAGGTCTTAATGTCTCTGCATTACAGAGGAGGACCTCGGCTCCCTTCCAGCCCGTTTATTATGGTCCCAGCATAGCATTTTATCACACATTCCTTACACATAGCCTCTTCTCTACCACCACGGAAATCTTCCAAGTTGGCAGCTTTAGTGTCTACTGCCATTAATCTTCACTAGGCTGGGATCATGGGCCAAAGGATGATTTATTGCAATTACCTGTTATAGTGCAGAGCTCAGGTGAGCTGGGCTCAGATGCATTTACTGGGCTCAGTTGCATTTACTGGGCTCCCTTATATTCTCCCACAGCCAAAGAGGAAGGCATGTCTGCCTTGTTTCTAGGTATATTTGCTTTCATTTAGCCCATCAAATGTTAGTTAATTAACAGGGAAGTGGAGAAATAGATTTAGATAGTATTAGGGTTATGTATAGACATGGTGAAGGCTGCCTGTTCAAATCCAGAACTGACACTGACATTTGACAGTCCATTTAGTTTCTTTGTTGTTTCTGCATTTTAAGAAACATCCAAAGGAAATTTGAAATTGCATTTACCTGACACTTTCTGCACCATCTGTTCCAGGTGATTAAAACCAATCTGCATATAGTGTTGTGTTTCATTTCCAATTTCTCACTCCCTGGGATGGCAGGGGGCAGTGCACGAAGTGGGGAATAATGTGTGCTCGGGTGCTGCTAGTGAGGGAGAAAACAGGGGTGATGGTAATGGAAAATAAAAGGGGAGAAGTTCTTTGCAGCAGAAATAAATATGTTCTTAAAAGTGGCCCATTGTTTTCCCATTACCAGCTCTGATGACAGCTTCTTGAATGCTCTGAGTCAAAGAGCCTCAATGCTCTCATGTCCCTGGCCTGGTGAAAAGTGGCAATTGTCAGGACAGATGAATGAAACTAAAAAGCTTTTTCGCTATTGTACCCAGGATCTGCTTCATTCTCAGGCTTTATGTAATCTGTAGAAGATACTATTTGGTGCCCTTATTATGGACGATAAACCATTTATTTCCTACTGGGTGGTCAGTTAGAGGGGGACTGGACTAAATGAGCCTTACAGGATTCTTTCTGGGTTTGTGTCCTTCTAAGACGACAGTAGAGTTAAGGAGAGAATGGCTGCTCTACAATTCCCAGCTCAGACAGATAGAGCATTAGCGTCTATCCCTACATTTTCCCACTTCGTTTTGTTCCCCCTCAACTTGGCCGTAATTCTCTGCAGGGGCTGCTGGGAATGGGGGCGCTGGAATTTTATGTAGTCCCTGCCCCAGTGCACCTTCCTCTCAGCATTGATGGACATCCATTTCCCTTGCATTCTGCTACCAATATGGGCTGCCTGGGATTTCACAGAACAGTTGATGAGGCTGCAAGGAGCCACCAGTTTGCCAGCAAGACCCAGATTTAGTGGATATCCATTCTGCTGGGTTTTCACTGGTTCTGCATCCCAGTGCAGAGATATTATCCTTCAGCATATATTTGAGACAGAAAGAGGGCCCTTTTAAAAATATGTGTTGCCAGGAATGACTGCCTGGCAAACTTGTATCACCAAACTGAAAGTCTTATGCAAGGACTTTTCTTTCACATGTTCTTGGGACATGGTAGTAGGGGAGAACAAGTTTCCATAGTTAGGGATTACTAATTAGGGATTAAGGCAAAGAAGACTGATGCTTGGAGAACTTTCCATGTTAACCATGGGGAGTGGAGGCTTAGCAAAGTTAGGTAATTTGCCTAAGATTGCACAGCTAGTAAGTAGGAAGGTCGGCACTTGACCTTCAACAATCGACAGGTTTTTACATCGACAGATGGGTTAGGTTGCTTCTAAAATGGCTCCCAGCGATCACTGCCTCCTGGTATTTATTCCCTTATGCAGTCTCCTTGTGTGTGGGTTGAAACTGGAGACTAGCTACTAATGAATAGAATATGGTGCAAGCGATAGGATATCCATTCTAAGATCAAATTATAAAAGACTGTGACCTCTGTTCCCTCCACACCCTGCTCTGATGAAGCCGGATGCCATGTTGTCAGCTGCCCTATGGAGAGACCCATGTGGGCAAGGAACTCTGGCCAACAGATGGTCTGGGTGGTCTCTGGTCCACAGCCAGGGAAGAGCTGAGCACCTCTGACCAGAGGCTTATGACAAACTGAATCCTGCCAGCAAGGTGAGCTCAGAAGCAGACCCTTTTCCACTTGAGCCTTGCGATGAGTACAGACCCACCTGACATCTCAACTATGTTGTAAGAGACCCTGAATGAGAGCATCTAACTCAGCCATGCTCAGATTTCTGGCCTGCAAAAACTGTGAGATGGTATGTGTTGCTATAGGCCATTATATTTTGGAGCATTTTGTTATACAGCTACAGTTTGTATGTGTGTTATACATATGTATAATTTATTAGATAACTAATAAAACGAGGAAACCTTAAACACACAGGAATCTTTCTCTAATTGTTTGCTATAGAGAGGGATCTGAGAAAAGACCCATTTGTCTTGGAATCCTGCAAGTAGTACTAAATGAGATCAACGAACAGGTAATAATAAAAGTATTTTAAAATCTCAATGGCACAGACACCAACCAATCCAGAAGTATCAGCCATCTCCCTATGCAGGGTGCCAGAGGACCAGGTTCTAGCCCATTCATTGCTGGATTGCGGAGGACTCCAGGTGGTCTGGGAAAAGGAGTGGAGCAACATGCAGGTACTTGTGAGGCTCAGGGAAGAGGTTGACTCCCCTGGGATGAGTCATGGGATGAATATGTTTATATTTTAACAATCTGCCTGCCCATAAGGCCTCCCTACTGGCTATCAGGCTCGGGCCAATTCCTGGAAGCTCATTTCGGGTAGCATCATCTGAATCAGAAGGCACAGACCTAAGAGGTCAGTGAGATGGTGGGGAGGTGGGAATCCATTTTTGTTCTTCCTTCTGACTTACTGAAGAGACAGTCTTGGGGCTCCAAGGCTCCAAAGACCACAACCAGCTGCCTTTCTGTGTGCTTATCAGTAAAAGTCTATTAAAAGCTCAAAGGTTTTGGAGAACATACCCTCCCACAGCTGGAAGCCCAGGTTTTGCTCTGATATCCTTTCTCCAGTTTTCATGCATTAGTGAATGTTATTCTTCAGTATGCAGGAGCCTGGGCAAAGGCAGGTCTTTTAAACATTCAGCTGCATGCTTGAACTGGGGGAAATCACAGCTGCTCCTTGCTTTTGATAATGCCAGGGAAATTGGTAAATAAATAAATAACTAGGGCCCAGGGTTCATTTACTAAATACCCCAATATGTGCAAGCAAGCCGCATCAGGCACATCAAAGGAAAATAAAAACATAATTTAGTAATAACATGGTCTCCTGCAGCCTCCTGCTTAACTCAAGTGTTAAAAGAGGTAAATCAGGGGTTTTGAAACACAATTTTATACTTAGTCTTCTTTTTCTTTCTTTCTTTTTTTAAAGAATAGGATCTGGGACAGTTTTCCTTTCTGTGAAAGGGAAGAATTTAAAAAATAATTGTTAACAATTATTCTTTACCCTTCAACTAGGGAATTTTCCCACATGCAAGAAGCATGCCATGTTTAAAGTGTTTGCAAGTATTTGAGGGACTTAAGATATTCCCCGTGTCAGAGATTGGTTTTCAGTTTGGGTGTGGCAGAAACAGTGCAGGGCCCATACCCTGACTGAAGAAATTAATCTGCAAGGAGGCAAAAAAAAAAAAAAAAAAAGACACTGGGACACCTTCCAAATTATTCCCAGGGACACCCAGACTCCAGACCTATATTATGTTGGAGAACAGACCACATAACTGTCCTCCAGCTTTTCAGTGCCACTCCAGAATTCACGCCCACCCTGGGGCAAGCCTTCCCGCATTTCTCCCACTCCAGCTCCGTGGATTTATCCCTGCCTTGGATGCCATGCCCCTGTGCGGCCACATCCCTGTGCATCTATTTGCCCATTGTGCTCTGATTTCTCACTCCCTGCCTTCCACCTTGGTGCGGAGTCTTTCAATTTCATCTTGTTGCATGGTTCAATATTGAAAACTGCTTCTTCTGTACCCTCTCCCAGCTAAAATGATGTCTTTCTGTCAGTCATGCCCTTCATTGAATGCCCTTGCTGTGCAAAGATGTGTGGGCTCTGGAGTCAGTTAGCTGGATTTCAAATACCACTCTTCCTACTTATTAGCTGTGTAATCTCAGGCAAATTAATTTGCTGAGTCTTGGCTTCCCCTGATTAAAGTAGAAACTTCTCCAAGTCTTGTTTTTTCCTTAAGTAGAAATCAGTAATCCTTAAACTCAGGTTTGTTGTGAGGATTAAGTGATTTACACGTGTAAAGTGTTTCACATGCTGATTGGCCACATAGGAAACCCTCAATAATTGATATGTACATATGTGATTTAATACTACCCTAATACTGCTGATGTTTTTTTGAACATTAGATAATGTTATCCTGTCAACCTCCCTACTAGATAAGTACAATTATTATTCCCTTTGCACAAGTTATACATCTATAGAGAGAGATTTGAATCTGGGTCTGAATTCAGCGTCCCACTCCAGCTTCTCTTGAGATGATGGATGATTCGCTCACCCTCTCTTTTTTTACTCTTCATCTGGCCAAGAACTGATGAAGTGTTTATGTTTCAAATGGTTTACCCATACAATGGGATAAATAGAGAGAGTTGAGAAGTCAACACAGGTGTAATTAAGCAGATCATCGGCTGTTGATAGCGACTTTCCCAGATGTCAACAAAACAGGCTCTTAAATAGAGCGGATGGTGGTAGTAAACTTGAAAGCGAGCCATACCTTGGAAGATCAAAAATCACTGCTAATGAAAAGAGCAACAGCATAATTAATTCAACACATGGATTAATAATAATTTACTTTTAGATTTAGAATCTGTTTGATACTCATATTGGTTCACGTGAAGATGTTTAATAGTTCCACCATTTAGAGAAAGCATCCTGTAAAGACTTCATCTGTAAGGAGCTCAAACTGCATGCCTATCCCTCCATTTTCTTCTTCCACTTTCATTCCAGAGATGATGCTACACTTTCATCTTAGGGAAGCTCCTTGTAAGTTTCATACCTTCTTGGTGATTTGAAGAAAAGAAGGAAAATTCAGTGTTTTTTTCTTAGACTAAATCTGAAGTAGTTTCATGAGGGGTATGATCACGTCTTGATAACATTAGCATACTCTGATGAGCTCTGTAGTCAATTAAGCATCTGAAATTCCTTTGGGCAAGCTGCTCTTGACTTCAGTTTTGTTAGAGGAAAAAATGAGAAACTCCCAAATTCAAAATCTTTCTCGATTGTTCTGGGCTGCAGAAGAAATGTGTAAATCAACAGGGGATTAAGGAATAATAGAAGTAAAGAGGACCAAAAGCAGAGTCTTTCTGAATAAAGAGGTCAACATTCAGAGTTAATTAAAACTTACTGCCAGATCTGAAGTTGCTGGGTCATGTGTGGGACTTGCAAACCAGAAGCATGCAGACATTACTTGGTCTTTGGCCTTGAAAATAGTTTGAGTTTTACTGCTAATATCCATAGGTTGGAAGGTTTCATATGAAAATCTATATTTCTGATTTTCTTGAAATATAGAAAATTCTGGCAACAGTAGACCTGTATTTTTCTGAATAATAATCAGATGGTGCTGAGTAACAGCTAGCTCCTTAGACAGAGAAGAGGCTCCCCAGTTTGATCCAGTCCTGAGTAGGACAATTTCTGTTATGTCCTGGCTCTCAGGATGAGTGCCTTTGCCAATCATCTTGGTATTCACTTATTATAAGGGTTTTATATATATACACATATACAAAGTATATATTATAAGGGTTATTATAATTTAGGATTTTGTAAGGGCAACATATGAATGGAGAATATACTAAACATGGTATTTGCTAGATAGTTCACTTGAATATTTATCTACCTATAATGTCTAACATTGCTTTATGCCTGGTATTGTATAGGCACATCACATTTCATTAGTTCCTCCTAATAGCCTCATGACAATATGATAACTGTAATAATGTTAATATTGGGTCAGACCCAATATTAACCAACATTTTATAGATGAGGAAACTGAGGAACTAACAGCATTAGTGATGCTCACATTGCCCAGCTGGCACGTAGCAGAACCAGGGTTCCAAGCCAGCAGTCCAACTCAAATGCCCACCTTCTTAATCACCACTTTTCTTGCCTCCTATCTGTAGGGAAGAGGGATCAGTAGTAGCTCCAGGGCACTTCAGGCAATCTCAGGTGGAAGATTTGTGAACAGTGAAATGAGTATCAAGTATGTCTATAGGGACTCCTATGTGAAAGGTGAAAAATAGCAGCACATGTGCCTCCCCTGGTAAATTTGTGCGTGAGCAATGATGGAGCTTTGTTGCCCTGCTGACTCTGACACTAATAAGTAGAGAAACTGGCGGAGTTTCTAGCTGCTTCCTGTATTGCCATTAGCAGTCATGGTAGGCTAGACACTGGGGAAGACCAAAGCAGTAGTTGGTCTTGTGTCCTTGTGGGACTCTAATATCACATTATCTGGTGTTTGCTGGTGTTTTGTGAACTGGTAATGCTGGTAATGCCAGCAACCCCGGCATTGCTGGCTAGAGAGCAGCTGCACTGTGGTGGAAGGCATGCGATCTCTATGTGTTTTATTTTCTTTGTGTCACAGTGCTGATCAAGCTATGGATAGCGTGTTAGAGGAAAACTTAACCACCATCGTCCTGTGTCCTGCTGTAAATGTGGAAAGCCTCATACACTATAATGCTAGAATGGGAACCAAGAAATTGTTGTGACTAAGAATGTGATCTTAGGGGCTCAGTGGACCTGGGTTTGAATTCTAGCTTTGACTGTTAATAGCTGTGTGACTTTGGGCTTGTTAATTAACCTCTTTGAGTGTCAGTCTCACAATTTATAAAATAAGGACTAATGTGAGTAATGTGAGTAACTGGTAAAATCATATTTTAAATATTATTAGGAGCAGATGGAAAAATATGTGGGTTTCTTTTACTAGCACCATCACAGGCTCTGCTAAACCATGCCTCTTTGATTCCAAGTCATGCTTAATAGTACCATTATCAAAATAGTAACTTTTAGTGAGAAAAAGATACACTAGCTCAATGAACCAACTTGTAAGGCATTTTGTTTTGTTTTGTTTTGTTTTTTGTTTTTGAGACTGAGTTTCGCTCTGTCGCCCAGGCTGGAGTACAGTGGTGCGATCTCCGCTCACTACAACCTCTGCCTCCCAGGTTCAAATGATTCTCCTGCCTCAGCCTCCTGAGTAGCTGGGATTAGAGGCACCCAACACCATGCCCAGCTAATTTTTTTTGTATTTTTAATAGACACGGGGTTTCACCGTGTTGTCCAGGCTGGTCTTGAATTCTTGACCTCAGGTGATCCACCTGCCTCTGTAAAACTAAAAAAAATATATATCTCAAAATCATGGAAATGCGACTTATCAAGCCTGAGCTGTATCTGGTCAAAAAGACTTTGCTTTATTAACCTTCCAGATATCGTTCCCCCAAATTGAGCCTAACTGATGACTTTGTTAGTTCTCTCACGAAGTCATTGACGGGCCCTTGTCCATTCTGTTTCACACACTATGGAGTAGCAGAAAAAACACAAGTGCCTCCTGTTGGTGGACACATGGGCAAGTTACTTTTCTCTGGCTGAGCCTCAGTTTCCCATCCTTAAATTGGATATTACCCATCTCATAATTGAGAATTAAATGAGACAACATTGACAAGTCCACCACCCTGATGCCTTCCACAGAAAAGGAGCTCAATGTATTCTGCTTCTTCTTGCTTTCACACAACAGACTGTGTGCTACATGAATTAGAGCTAAATGACTTGTACACGAGGAAGTGGCATGGGATGACATGGAACATTTCTGAATAAAAAAAAAATTAGACCGCTGATAATTCTCAGCCTGTGTATTTAGCGAGCACTCATTGTGTAATGAGCACCAACATGGCAAGCTGGCTGCAAAGCCCCCAATTAATTATGCTACTTGATGTGGGGTGGCCTAGAGATTATGACTCTGGAAGGGTCCACCTGGGTTTAGCAGAAGAGGGGCTCCTCTGATGAATCAGTGATTTTAGGGAGGCTCTGAGAGGTTAAAGCAAGCTTGAGAAACAGCACTCCTACTCTTTCCAAAGAGTCAAATTTTTCATTTATTTGTTTAACTATTACTTATTATTATTAATTTTTTGAGACAGGGTCTCATTCTGTTGCCAAGGCTGAGTGCAGTAGCATGATCATGGCTCACTGCAGCCTTCACCTCCTGGGCTTAGGCAATCCTCCTGCCTCAGTGTCCCATGTAGCAGGGAATACAGGCACACTCCACCATACCCAGATAATTTTTTATTTTTTTGTAGAGACGGGGCCTCACTATATTGCCCAGGCTAGACTTGAACCCTGGATGCAAGTGATCCTCCTGCCTCAGCCTCCTAAAGTGCTGGGATGTGTGAGCCACCATGCCTGGCCTATTATTCTTAAAGCACCTTAAAGTACCTCTGCTATAGTCCAAATCTGTCCCTCTAAAATTCATATATAGAAACGTAGTTGTCAATGTGATAGTATTAAGAGGCCAGGCCTTTACAAAGTGATTAGGTCATGAGGATGGAACCCTCAAGAATGGGATTAGTGCCCTTATAGAAGAGGTGTGAGGTAGCTGTTTGCACCTCTCACCATATGAGGATGCAGCAAGAAGGCGCCATCTTTGAAGCAGAGAGCAAGCCTTCTGAAGACACCAAATCTGCCGGCACCTTGATCTGGGGCTTCCCAGCCTCTAGAACTATAAGCAATAAATTTCCATTATTTACACATTAGCCAGTCTAAGGCATTTTGTTATAGCAGTCCAAAGGATGTAAGACCACTGCCTTGTGCCAGGTATTGTGCTTGGCAGGGTATATAGTGGTGGATGTGAGACACATGTGGTTCTTGTCCTGTGGGGCTTGGAGTCTAAAGGAGCAGATAGACAATAAACACAGAAAAAAAATCAGCAGGGAATTATAACTTGAGATAAGTATCACAAAAGAAAAGAGCAGAGCACGGGGAATAATAAGAGAATGTTGGATGGTTGAGGAAAGTCTCTCAATGGGGCTGACATCTAAGCTGGAAGAAACCAGGAACTCAAAGCACAAAGAAAACTATTCTTGGCTGAGGCAATGGTATGTAAGAAGTTTCTGAGGCAGGAAAGAACTTGGCATGCTTTAGGACCTGAAACAAGCCATTGGGTAAAAGGACAGTGACCAAAGGACAGTCTCTTCTCAAACAGCAGATTCACTTATTACTTCAGTAATGTGTTTTGGTGACTCTTCATGGATCATTATGATATGACCTGAATACTTGAACTCCCATTGAGAAGATGCAGGAAATGGAACATGCAAGGAATATGAGTGGAGAGCTGATTGTCTTTGTCTTCTCCTGGCGATACATGTTACCATGACCCATGTATATCATCTTTGCTGTGATTTGAGTCACACTTTGCCTTTCCAAAAGTGAAAGTTCAGAGAATGAAGCAGAGGCTCCTGGGGTTTGGTTTCTCCAGCTGGTACTTATTTCATTCTGGCTCTGTGGACTGGTCATTTGGTTCCTGGAACTGGAACAGATCTTCCTGGAAGCAATGAGCTAAGAGCCCAGCAGAATGTAAGAAGATTTTCTTCCATTAGCCAAGTTTTTGAAAGCAGTTACATTTGCTTTTCATTGAGGGATTGGTAGTCTAGAACAGTGTACATCTTAATAGGTATTGGATGAAAAATAAAACTAGGGAAAAATAAGTTTGGGAAGCCTTGGGTGGTAAACAATGCTAGATTGCTTTATTACAGGACTTCCTGAAGCCTTTTATAGGCTTACAATTTCTCAATTACTGTAATGAATGTTTATATAGTCATGTATCACTTAATGACAGGGTTATGTTCTGAGATATGTTCTGAGACATAAATTTTTAGGTGATTTCATCATTATGCAAATGTCACAGACTGAACTTACACAAAGCTAGATGGTATAGCCTATGTGCCTAGGCTAGATGGTATACGCTATGGCTCTTAGGTTACAAACCTCTACAGCATGTTACTGTACTGAACACTGTAGGCAATTATAACACAATGGTAAGTGTTTATGTATTTAAATATATCTAAACATAGAAAAGGTACAGTAAAATTGCATTATAAAAGTTTACAAAAAACGGTACCTCTCTACAGGGCTCTTATCATGAATGGAGCTTACAGGACTGGAAGTTGCTCTGGATGAGTCAATGAGTGAGTGGTGTGTGAACATGAAGTTCTAGGACATTACTGTACATTCCTGCAGACTTTATAAACATGGTACACTTAGGCTATGATATGTTTTGGCTCTGTGTCCCCACCCAAGTTTCATGTTGAATTGTACTCTCATAATTCCCACATGTTGTCAGAGGAAACTGGCAGGAGATAATTTGAATCATGGGGGCAGTTTCCCCCATACTGTTTTCGTGGTAGTGAATAAGTCTCACAAGATCTGATGGTTCTATCAGGGGTTTCTGCTTTTGCATCTTCCTTATTTTCGTTTGCCACCACCACATAAGAAGTGCCTTTCGCCTCCCACCATGATTCTGAGGCCTCCCTAGCCATGTGGAAGTGTAAGTTCAATTAAACCTCTTTTTCTTCCCAGTCTCATGTATGTCTTTATCAGCAGTGTAAAAACGGACTGATACAGTAAATTGGTACCAGTAGAGTGGGCACTGCTGAAAAGATACCCAAAAATGTAGAAGTGACTTTGGAACTGGGTAACAGGCAGAGGCTGGAACAATTGGAGGGCTCAGAAGAAGACCAGAAAATGTGGGAAAGTTTGGAACCTCTTAGAAACTTGTTGAATGGCTTTGCCCAAAATACTGATAGTGATATTGACAGTAAGGTCCAGGCTGAGGTGGTCTCAGATGGAGATGAGGAACTTGTTGGGAACTGGAGTAAAGGTGACTCTTGTCATGTTTTAGCAAAGAGACTGGTGGCATTTTTCCCCTGCCTTAGAGATTTGTGGAACTTTGTACTTGAGAGAGATGATTTAGGGTATCTGGCAGAAGAAATTTCTAAGCGTCAAAGCATTCAAGATGTGACTTGGGTGCTGTTAAAGGCATTCAGTTTCAAAAGGGAAACAAAACATAAAAGTTTGGAAAATTTGCAGCTTGACAGTGCAGTGGAAAAGAAAATCCCATTTTCTGAGGAGAAATTCAAGCCAGCTGCAGAAATTTGCATAAGTAACGAGGAGCCAAATGTTAATCCCCAAGACAATGGGGAAAATGTCTCCAAGGCATGTCAGAGGTCTTCACGGCAGCCCCTCCCATCACAGGCCTAGAGGCTTAGGAAGAAAAAATGATTTTGTGGGTCAGGCCCGGGGTCCCTGTGCCTGGTGCCCTGCATCCCAGCTACTCCAGCCATGACTAAAAGGGACCAAGGTACAGCTCCAGCTATGGCTTCAGAGGGTGGAAGCCCCAAGCCTTGGCAGCTTCCACATGGTGTTGAGCCTGCCAGTGCACAGAAGTCTAGAACTGAGGTTTGGGAACCTCTGTGTAGATTTCAGAGGATGTATGGAAATGCCTGGATGTCCATGCAGAAGTTTACTTCAGGGACAGGGCTCTCATAGAAAACCTCTGCTAGGGCAGTGCAGAAGGGAAATGTGGGGTTGGAGCCCTCACACAGAGTCCCTACTGGGGCACCACCTAGTGGAGCTGGGAGAAGAGGGCCACCATCCTCCAGACCCCAGAATGGTAGATCCATTGACAGCTTGCACTGTGCACCTGGAAAAGCTACAGACATTCAATGCCAGCCAATGAAAGCTGCCAAGAGGGGGGCTGTACCCTGCAAAGCCACAGGGGCAGAGCTGCCCAAGACCATAGGAACCCACCTCTTGCATCAGCATGACCTGGAGTCAAAGGAGATCATTTTGGAACTTTAAGATTTTGACGGCCTTGCTGGATTTTTGGATTTGCATGGGTCCTATAACCCCTTGTTTTGGCCAATTTCTCCCATTTTGAACAGCTATATTTACTCAATACCTGTACCCCATTGTATCTAGGAGTAACTAGCTTACTTTTGATTTTACAGGCTCATAGGTGGAAGGGACTTGCCTTGTCTCAGATGAGACTTTGGACTGTGGACTTTTGGGTTAATACTGAAATGAATTAAGACTTTGGAGGACTATTGGGAAGGCATGATTGGTTATCATTGGTTTTGAAATGTGAAGACATGAGATTTGGAGGGGCCAGGGGCAGAATGATATGGTTTGGCTCTGTCCCCACCCAAGTCTCATCTTGAATTGTACTCCCATGATTCCCACACATTGTCAGAGGGACTTGGTGGGAGATAATTTGAATCATGGGGGCAGTGTCCCCATACTATTTTTGTAGTGAATAAGTCTCATGAGATCTGATGGTTTTATCAGGGGTTTCCGCTTTGCATCTTTCTCATTTTCTCTTGCCACCACCACATAAGAAGTGCTTTTTGCCTCCCACCATGATTCTGAGGCCTCCTCAGCCATGTGGAACTATAAGTCCGATTAAACCTCTTTTTCTTCCCAGTCTCAGGTATGTCTTTATCAGCAGCATGATAATGGACTAATACAGCCTACACTAAATTTATAAAAAAATTTTTTTCTTTAATAGTAATTTAATCATAGCTTACTGTAATTTTTTACTTTATAAACTTTTAAAAACTTTTTGACTTTTTTGTTATAACACTTAGCTTATAACATAAACATGTGTACAGCTGTAAATAATATTTTCATTCTTTGTATTCTTATGAGCTTTTTCTATTTTTCCTACTTTTACGTATGTTTTTACATTTTAATTTAAACTTTTTTGTTAAAAACTAACACACAAACATAGGATCATCAATGTCCCTGTCTTCCCCCTCTGTATCTTGTCCCAGTGGAAGGTCTTCGGGGGCAATAACATGCATGGAGCTGCCATCTCCTGTGATAACAATGCCTTTTTCTGGAATCCCTCCTGAAGGACCTGCCTGAGGCTGTTTTACAATTAATGTTTTTTCTATAAGTTGGAACACACTTTAAAATAATGATAAAAATTATAGCAAATACATAAACCAGTAACATAGTTTTCAATTATAATTTGAAGTATTACATGCCATATATAATTTGTGTGTTATAATTTTATATGACTGGCAGTGCAGTAGATTTGTTTACATCAGTATCACCACCAACATGTAAGTAATGCATTTCGCTATTATGGTAATATGGCTATGATGTCACTAGGTGACAGGAATTTTTCAGCTCCCTTATAATCTTAATGGGACCACTGTGTATGTGTGGTCCATTTTTGGCTGAAACATCATCATGTGGTACATGACTCTATTTCTCTTAGGGTAAATATGAAGTAAAAGGAAAAGTTTTAAAATGATATTTAAAATTTCTTCAAAATATTTGGGAAAGACTCAACTTATGATAACATATGCCATAATCAAGATTGATAGCATTGGACAATTAGGAGTGTGAAACAAATTATATGCTACAGTATAAGGAATTAATGGAATGGAATTTGAGCTGTGAATGAAAGGCAATAGTATGTAGCTAAGTTTCAAATTAATTCCCTTCAGAAATAAGCAACACACAGCCATGGTCAGCAAGATATACCTCAGTGAGTGTGTGAGTTAAAGGCATCTCTCATGTGGCTGGAATCAGGGATACATTTGTGAGGATGTGTAGTTTGGGGGAAGAGTCTGTAAATAAATGCCCTCTGTGAAAATAGAATGAGGTGGAAAGTGAGGGAGAGGGAATTATTAAGGGAGAGCGTGCAGATGAGCCTAGCCATATGGTCAGTGCCATAGCGGGCAAGCCTGTCAGGAGTAGGCACTCTGGGAATGCAGGCGAAAGGGAATTTGTCCTGAAAGAACCACATGCATTCCGCCATGAGGAAACGAGGACAGAGGGCTGTGGGCAAGACTCTGCTCGGTGACTGACACTTGCACTGATTGGAGCCAACATTGGATATTGAATCATTTCTACGCAAAGTTGATTAGGATGGATGGGAGCCTTCTAATGCCCTAAAAACATTCCATTCAGGGCAAACCATACTCATCCGAAGTGCCATACACAAGATTGGCTTCTGTTTTGCAATGTATGTGACTAAATTTACTCAACTGATTAGAGGCATATAAATAGATCTTTCAAGAAAGTCCTCTTTTCTCTAACCAATCCCTGTTCCAAATGTCTCTCTATAGCTACCATTTATCTATTAAAGTATTGGTTATATTAAAATTTCAAGCTTTCTGGATTAGGCGGAAAAAATGATAACTTTAGAGATGTGCCTTTGTCTACGCATTCCCTGCACCTTTGGTTAGAAAAAGAGGACTTTCTTGAAAGATCTATTTCTATCCTTCTAATCAGTTTAGCTTTGAATACTTTAGAATTTGCTAAGAGTATGGATGAAAAGACTTTGTTTGTTTGTTTGTTTGTTTGTTTGTTTGTTTTCACCAGCTTTCTATCCCCTCAGCAGGGCACAAGCATGGGGCCGTTACAAGAGACATGGTAGTTGATCATCCCTCAATTCTCTCTCATGCTGTGTGCATGCAATGCTGATGGAAATGCAGCCAGGTATTTGGAAAGCTACAAATGGCACATGCATACTGCTTTTTCCAAACTAAGCCTCTTTCTTGGTATAATAGATGTATATTGGTTATAATGCCATCCATCCTGACTTCTAACATAAAAAGTAGGAAAAAGATTCTAGCTCATTTAAGCTTTGCTTTGTCCACTTCCCCACTCCCTACCCACTGTGCTAGACGTTGCCTTTTCATGAAAAATCACTAACCCCCAAGATTCTCAGGCTGACCTAATAGACCTAGAATTGTTAGCAAATTAGTCTCTCTCACACACACTCACACATAATCACACAAATACATTATAATCTTTTAATGTTCTACTGGAAGGATTACTTGAAATTTTTGCACAAAAGAATAATTATCACAGTTATGGTTATATTATAATGCGTACAAATGACCTTAATGTGATGTAAAAACACATGTCCCTAAGAAAACTCTTGCTTCAAATCCTAATAGCAAAATTGATATTATGAAACAAGGTATTTTATGATATAATAATGGCTTAATTTTCTCACAACGTTCCATAAACAGTTGCTCAAATTACATCATCCTTTCACTAGTGACAATGGTTTAAAATATCTTGCCTAAATAACAATTTGTTATATAATGTCTGGTATAGTTTTCTAGAGACTTGAGTTGTTTTCTTTTAGAGATAGGAATAAAAACTTTCTTTTAAAATAAAATCTAGCTCTTCTCATATGCAGAATTTTAACATAATGATCTTCAGGGGCTGAAGCATCTATTTTATTAAAGTTTTCTCTTTTGATGCCTATGATGTTTTATTAAAAGGGGACCCAAGGAAGGGACTGGTTTGATATAAGGTAAAGTACTCAAATGGCCTTGGTGGATGCTGCATGCTCTATGGTTTTAGGATATTATTTGGGGCAATAAATCATGTTCCTGTTCTTTGTTCTGAGTCTGGTGTTTGGACTGGATGAAAGGGTACTCAGATGGTGAAAATAAGTCTTCTCTTATTTGTCTGTATGTATTTTTTAATACATTTTCCTTCTTGTCAAGAAGTTATCTCTCATACTTTCTTGCTTATAAAGTTCTGGATCTTTGTTGCTTTGGCTTTATTAAGTTTTACCAAATTTACTTAATATTGATGCTGCTATTTTATCCTATATATGTGTCTGAATAAAAATATTAAAAACTTGGCAGCATAAAGCAGATTCAGGCAAGTGTATCACTTAATCAGTACATAGCCAACCATGAAAGTCTGGGATTCCCATTTGAGTCTCTGCAATTCCCTGACTCAAAGGAAAAGATAAAAAATCTTATTCTGAGATTGGGACCTGATCTGCATGTCACTGAACCCAGTAATTGTCTACACTATGGTGGGCCTAGGAATTAGAGAATGCAATTATACAACTGATGGACCTTTTGAAAAGACGCTTCAGAAATTTATAGAAAAACACATCTCCCTTCTAAGTCATTGAAGCTGCACTTTGTGAATATTGTGTTTTTAATGTAGACATCTAAGAATATTGGTCTCAAATGCCCCACTGAGTATATGTATATGTTTGCTATTCTCTGTGGCTTTCTGGAAGTGCCTGTTAGGAACAATAATAACAAATAATTAAAGCTGGATTCTCCATTGATTCTTTATTCCCATCGGGGGGCAATCTAGTTCATGGTTTTTTTACTTTGAATTATTCAATTCAGCTTGTATTTGTAAAGCACCTGCTGTATATCCAGTCCTTGGTGGTGTGAAGAGTTCTCAAAGGCGTTCGAAACTTGATGTCTGTTTGGGAATTTACAGTAAAGTTGGGAGGCAGGACTCACATTAAACAACCAAATGACTGACATGGTAATGTAGTTCCAACATGTATGATCTAGATACCCTAGTCCTCAAAGTGTGAAATGTGGACCAGCAACATCAGCATCACCTGGGAGTTTGCTAGCAATGCAATCTGCGTTCTCACAAGATCTAGATGTTAAAGTCCAAGTTGAAGCACTCAAAACAGTGAGCACCTGGGGATCGAGTTCTGGATGAGGCTGATAGAGACTAGAGTTGTGGGCAAAGGCTTTATGGAAAACCACAGAGGTTCTTGGAAGAAGGGTAGGATTTGGGTAACGTGGATTTTGGACCAGAATGTCTGAACTTGTTTTTTATGTGAAACTCATCTCCCTTTGGGTGCTTGTTTAAAATGCTGATTCCTGCAACTCCCTCTCCATGCCTTACTGAATCAGAATCTCTAGGGAGGGCCCTACGAAATGCATTTTTAACAAACTCCCCAGGAAAGTTTCTAAACTAGATTTGAGAATCACAGATGCAGATAAAAAGGAGTGCATTCAAGTTAGGGAAAGTTTGCCCACAGAAGCCACACAAGTTTTATTGTCTTTGTTTCTTCCCTACTGCCCTAGCCTTCATCATTTCTCACCACTCTCTATTCTAGTTTATCCTCCTTACTGTTACTAGATGAACTATAGAAAACCAAATCCAACTGCCTTGCCAATTGCAAACTCTGCTGTTGCCTAAAGCTAGACTCTTAGAGTGTGATTGTGGCATTAGCAGGCCCTTTAAACACTGGCCTTACCTTGCTTTTCCATCTCATCTCCCAACACTTTAGTTCTATGGCCATGAAATTCCAGGCAAACTAAACTCACTCTTCCCAGAACACACTGGGCCCTTTCAATGCCTGTGGGCATTTCCTTATAATGCCCTTTTCTTCTGGCAAACTCCTTCTCATCCCTCATCCTCAATAGCACTTCTGGCAGGGATGAAAATAAAAATTGTCTTTTTGCAGAGCTGTTTGCTCTCCATAATCTAAGGTTGGCAACTGAAAGCAGCATTAGAAAAGGCAGTATTTCTCTTTTTTGGGGAAAGCAACTTATTGAGCTTTTGATTATTTCAAAGGCCAGGCATATTCTGGAGAGTAGGGTCTGGGAAAAGAGGAGCAAAGCTGCTCTTTATAATAAAGTATGAATGTCTTCTTTGAGACAAGGGAGATTGTTATAATGTTTCCTTTTTGTTTCTGTGTTTGCTTGTTTGCTCTATGTAGCCTGCAGAGCCAGTAAGATGGGCCTGGTGAGGAGATGGGAGAAGGGGAATGTTCTGACCTTCCAGTATCACTGGGGCCAACTAGGGGTAAAAACAGAGTGCCAGGTGGTGACACCCGGGAGGGGCATGGATGTGGTCTTCAGTGATCATCTGACAGCCAGTCAGTTGATCACACAGTTTTAGCTGTGTCTTCTCC
Source organism: Homo sapiens (assembly GCF_000001405.40). Taxonomy (NCBI): domain Eukaryota; kingdom Metazoa; phylum Chordata; class Mammalia; order Primates; family Hominidae; genus Homo; species Homo sapiens. The sequence goes on along the minus strand of NC_000008.11, from coordinate 93,375,461 downwards.
AAATTGCAATTCCTCTATGTTATGGTCAAGTCTTCAGTTAAGCTGGCTCACTGGTATTGCCCCATTTTGGTCTTAAGTTGGTACCCCTTGGGAGAAGGAAAGGACCAGCTCTATCCATATTTTGGAACGGCAGCAACTTGGAGAGAGGGTGAGGAGTGGGCACACTGAATTGAGGAAACACTCTGAGCATCGGCCTGGAGACAGAATTTGTGGAGTTAACACAGTAGGTACACACCTGTCACAAATCTTCAGAATCATTCATTCATTTATTCATTCAATAAGCATTGACTGAGCACCTACTGAGTGTCTGGAATTGGTCACCTCTCTTCTTCACTGAGGTCTGTGGAGGAAATGACATAATTTTTCCAATTGTTGTCTAATTCAGACTGGATGCTTAGCAAGTCTTTAACTCCTCTCTGAGTGACTCAATTTTTCAATGCCCTAGAGCAGTTAAAACATTTTGGTATTCTCATTAAGCTACCTATTCCTCAAGCCTTGCCTAGCACTTCACAGAAAAATAGAGATGAATTTATTCTGATTCCTGTCCTTCTGCTCCAATGTTTTGCTATTTTTTTCCCATCTTTATTCCTTCCTTCTTAAGGAAAAGGTGTCTTAGGCCTTTTGAGTTAATATTGTTATGATGATTAAGAAGGGACAAATAACCCAACACAAAAGTAGGTAAAAGCATGAACAAGCATTTCTCATCAGAGGAAATACATGTGGCCCATGCATATATGAAGAAAAGACCAAACATGACATGCACACTTTGCCCAGAGTCTCATCCCCTCTGTCTCTTTTAGAACCTTGCTCTCTTGTACCTATATTTTCAATCTCTCCCACTTCCTTGGCTTTGCCATCTTCAAATCAGCAGATTTCTATTCTGTTTTCCTGGGTGCTGTTAGTCTTTCTTTTCCACCTTGCTACCATAATTCTTGAAAACTCAACTGCACTGTCAGTTTCCTCATGGCCTCTATAGTCCCCATCCCCTGCAACCTGGCTTTCGTCTCTGTCACTCCACTGAAACTTCTCTGGGCAAGACCACAATAACCCCCTTACTTCCAAATCTAAAATCCTCTTTAAATTCTCACTGCCATGATCTAAGCATTTGTGTCCCCTCAAAACTCGTATGTTGAAATCTCAACTCACAAGGTGATGATATATATAGGAAGTGGGGCCTTTGGGAGGGGATTCTTTGGGATTGCTGCCCTTATAAAAGAGGCCCTAGAGAGACCCCTCAGCCCTTCTGCCATGTGAGGACAGAGGAAGAAGTCAACAGTCTGCAACCTGGAAGGGGACCGCGCAGAACCTGACCATGCTGGCAGTCTGAGTGTGGACTTCCAGGCTCCAGAACTGTAAGAAATAAATTTCTGTTGTTTCTAAGCTACTCAGTTTATGGTATTTTGATGTAACAACCTGAACTGACTAAGATACACTATTTGATCTTGATGTCATAGCAATATTTAAAACTATTGATCACCTAGTCATTTCCTTCTTGAATTTTTCTCTTCTTAGTTTTTTTCTTGCCTCTCTGTTTTTTTCTCGGTCTCTTTCAGTACCTCCCACCTCCACATGTGGCTGTGCCTCAAGATACATCCATGGTGTTTTGCTTTGATCTCTCTTTATCTCTGTCAAATACTTTCTCTGAGCAAGTTTATTTATCTCTGTTCCAGACTTTGGCTACCTCCATAGACATTTGGTTCTCAAAACTCCAGCCTCCCAGCTCTTGATTTATCTCATCATATTTCTAACTGCAACTGAAATAATTGTAAATGGCAATAATAGCAATAACTGCAACTTAATGTTGTTGTTGGGGTAGACCGAGTTAGTAACTGTAAAAAGCTTAGCACAGTGACTGGCATATTGTGAGCCCTTCATAATTGTTAGCTGCTGTGTTCCTTACTAGAATAGAAGGATAACAAAATCATCATCACTATGATGGCTACAGAAGAAAGGCAGAATATTGTAAGGCCAGTATAAGGCCAATTTACTCTCCAAGTCAGCTGTGGCTTAAAAGCAAACTGCAAAGGACGTATAAATGGGGTCTTCATGTGATGTTAAAATTAATTCTTTTTGTCAAATATATCCAGATCTCTGCCTTCTGAGTACATGGTAGGATGGTATTTCTTGGATTCCTGAGGTTGGTGGGGTTCTGTGGCCACCTCTGGTCAATGAGATGTGAGAAGAGATGATGTGTGTCGTTTCTGGATCAGGCTTTTAATCGCCAGTGCAAAACTCTCCAGCGCACTCTCTTCTCTCTGCCAAAATGTTCTAGATAACAGTTATTCTATCAGCCAGGCTTGTTAGTACTTATAGACAAATACATGTAGGTTCACTGCTTCTTCTTTATATGACTGGGTGGGTTATAAAGGTTACTAGTTTGGTATACCTAAATATAAATGCCTCTCTGGGGTTGGGAGAGGAAATTCACTACTCCACTGTGTGGTTTTGCTGCTAGTGTTACTACAGAGCTCCCACTATGTAAGCACATATCTAGCTAGGTGGAATGTTCAAAGTTTAGAAAGAATCCTGGCCATGCACAGTTGCTCATGTCTGTAATCCCAGCACTTTGGAAGGCTGAGGCAGGAGGGTCCCTTGAAGCCAGGAGTTCAAGACCAGCCTGGGCAACATAATGAGACTCCACCTCTATGGAAAAAAAAAAAAAAAAAAAGAGAGGAGAGAGAGAATCTTTTATTATAAGTGTGCAGCAAGTTGATTGTTGCTTTTGTTGCTTTTAGTTGCTCCTACTCTAGCTTTTAATAATTATTATTGGTTTCTTCATGTTGATTTAATTTGTTGTGAGTTGTTAAACCATAGAGTGTAGAGAATGCATTTTAATTTCAACAGTATTTTTGGCCTATAATTTTCTAATAATTTGAATGTAAGGCATAATGGTGTTATGGCTGAAATGTAAATAATCTGTATATTTTTCTTAAAAAATGTATCTGTACTTCATCTAAAATTCGCTTGCACAGTAATACTTCATTGGTGATATGCTCTCTGTAAATCTGTGCTACTTAAAACATATGCTAAGTAGTAATAAGATAATAAGATGACCAGGATATTTTTAATTTATAGGGCATTTAAAATACATTTCATGTTATTTAATTCTTACTGTGATTTTGGGAGAAAAATTGCTCCATTTTATAGAAATGGAGATGCAGGGGTAGGATGAAAATTTTGTATAAGATCGTATTTTTCTTTCTGGAATAAACAATGAGCAATTATATTGTGTGGTTAGCAGTACATTTATTGCAGCGTTTAAATTTTGATCCTCTATCATTGTTTTTTATTACTAAGTTGTGAGTAGTGGGAAGGATTGGTGATGTGGGTCCCAGGATCTTTGGCTCTGAGACTGGGGGGCTGAAATATAAATGTTGGAGAGTCACTGACACAAGTCCTCTTAAGTGGCCTGGTGAAGAGCTCAGCCATTGGCATAAACTTGTTGAAAACACCCTCAGGCTTTCAAGATGTGAAGGATGCAAAAGAAGAAGGATTAGATTTTTCTTATGTGGTCCAGAGAAAGGTTGCAGACTCGAGTTACACCCGCGGCCAATAGGCAGGTAGTAGACATGATTGAATAGTGAAGTACAGGATAGAGTTCTGGGCATTGTGTAGAGTATATGACTCACTTTAAAGCAACAAAAGATAAACAAACAAATGACCTCAAACAGCAAAACAGGCCTGCAGGCTGAATTCAGTGCATGGACCCTCAGTTGGTACTCCTTGTTCCAGAGGGCAGACACAGGTCCATGAGAAGGAAAGAAGAGGACTTTGGTTCAACATTAAGACTCATTTCTTGTAACTGCTCCTGCGTGAAGTTGAAAAAAGGCTGCATGTAATCTTGCTGGATGTAGATGCCAAGATTTAATCATTCTTAATCCTTAGACTCTAGAGAATCTACGTTTTTTCCCCTAAAAGGATAAATAATTGATTTATTAACTTCGACTTTTTTTTAGTAATTTCTGTTATCTCTGTATCTTCCACCTTTTGGCCTGCTCAGCCTGCAGCATTTAGTGTTTCTGGCAAGGCAGGGCATCTCAGTACGCCATCGGGAATTTGGGGACAGCAAGGGTCTGAGTGGGCCTTTTTTCCCCAATTTTTATTTCTCCTGGATTATCATCAGTGATTCTGCATTTCATCAGCAAGTTATTGGGGATAACATATATCTGGGATCAAGGACTTAAAAGCTACAATAGATTCTCTTAATTTTCATTCATCATAAACTTTGTAACACCTTGCAGTTTGAAGATTATTTTTCTTGGTGAAAAATGTAAGCAAAACTGATGGTGAATAATTCTGCCTTTTATCTGTCATCCTCTCAACATTATATTACCTACTCCAAACAGTGGGTCAATCCATTCCTTTATACTTCTTACTTCTCCCCACCTCCCAAAATTTTTAACAACATTTGTGTTGTCTTTGGCATGATCCCCAACCTTCCGCTTGTTCTGGACTTACTTAAGATGCCAGTCCTTCTTGTTTGTGCCTCTCCTTCATGTTTGATGACTGACACATTTTGATCAAAATCTTTTAGAATCCTACTTCACCAGAGAAAGCCCTGTGTAGCCACATCTGTGTCTTTGATTGCCTTCCCTCTCCTCTTTCCACCTTCGACCATAATTAACTTGACTGTCAGAAATTTGTTTGATTATAGCTTCCTACTTATGAGTCTAATGTCTGTGGTAACATACCCAATTATCCCCTGCTCCAACACTTTGAAATCTGCTCACGTAAAATCAAGAATACACTTATGGATATGGCTTTAGTTCTTTGCATTACGATTCAAACTTACTGTCAACACAACTACTTCCTTTCAGTATTATCGACATTTCCATGTTATCTACAAATATTCCAGAAAAAGGTCCATGCTCAGTGGGAGGCAGTATGGTATCTTGGAAACAGCACAGCTCTGATGAGCTGTGTGGCCTTGGGCAAGTTGGAAAACCTATACAAACCTCAGTGATGTTTCTCATCTGTAAAATGCAGACAGTACCCACCTTATGGGGTTATTGTAGTAAGTACACATAAGAAATGCTTTCAGCAAGTACCTGTTATAAGAGTTCTGTAAGAGGTAGCCAATATCTTAAGACATAAAACATTCAGTGAAGTGAGTCGAGAGTTTACCAGATGCTTCAATTTTAGTGGAAGAAGTAACTTCTGCCGTCTCGTGGTTAAAGGGATGATGGTGACCATGACTCGAGTTCACATTTACTGAAACACTCACTCTGTGCCACCATTTATCCCTAAGAGCGCCCTATACAGCAAGTAGCTTTTACCATTTCCATTGTACAGTTGGGGAAATTGAGGTATAAAGAAAGAGGAGGTAAGTAACAGGGGTTTAAAGTGGCAGAGACTGGATCCAAACCAGTATGCACCTGACATTGACGTCTGTGCTCTGGAGGTTTGGATGACCCCCAGCACTCGTCAGGGCCAGGCCAGCCATGTCCCCTGGCAAGCCTGTCCACACAGTCCACCTGGAAGCTCTGGGTCACACCCCGCAATGATGTCACTTCCATGCCCCCCTCTTTTATCCTGACCCAGTTTTATTCATAGTGTCTTTGCTCTCTGCTCTTTGTACCTGCACACAAAGAGCAAAGATGCTTCTGAAGTCTCAAAAAATGACATTTCCCTATGTTTCTTTTTCCCCCAACATGGTTACCGTTCTGCGTGTTGAACTCTCCTTTCCCATTCTGCACTTGTCTTGATGACATCTCAGTCCAATTCCACAAGTTTCTAGTCCCCTTCAGTGATTAACACAATTTCATCTTAGTAATTAAGATTAAGTCATGCTGATTTCTAAGCTTTGGTTTTTGATTTGATTCAAAGCTCTCTTCTCTCAGGGCAGAAGAGAGTTCCCAGCATGGGTCTACAGCAGAGTGGGGGTTGTCTGCTCTCTTGCTCTCCCTTCCCTCTTCTCTACAGTGAAGCTATTGGGGTTTGAAAAGGAAGGAGGAAGAGGAAAGCAGCCTGGCATTTTGTCTGTCTGTGATGAGGTTCTTTTTCTGCAGCACAGTAGATAGGAATTGTGATGGTTAATTTTGTCAATTTGGTTAGATTATGTTGACCAGCTGTTTGATTTAACACTAGTCTAGATGTTGCTGTAAAGGTATTTTAAAGATGTCATTAATGTTTACAATCAGTTGACTTTAAGGAAAGTAGATTGCCCTCCATAATGTGGGTGGCCTCATCCAATCAGTTGAAGACCTTAGGAACAAAGACTGGGATTTCCCAAAGAAGGAATCCTGCCTCCAGATGGCAATATAGACATTCTGCCCAAGTTTCAAGTCTTTACGTTTGGGACTGCAACATTAACTCTTACCTGAATCTCCAGCCTGCTGGCTTGCCCTACAGAGTTAGTTGGACAGCCCCAACAATTGTATGTGCCAGTTTTTAAAAATCTCTCTCTTTCTACACACACACACACACACACACACACACACACAGAGTCTTCTGTATTTGTGTATTCTGTGTTACAGCTTCAACCAAAAATTGAGATCAAAAATATTCAGGAGAAAAACATTCCGCAAAGTTTTAAATTTGCCACGTGGTGAGTACTATGTTTAATCCACATGAAAGAAGTGATGTATAGGCATCATATTAGGTACTATAAGTAATATAGATGATTTAAAGTATATGGAAGGATGTGTGTAGGTTATATACAAATACTATACCATTATATATAAGGGACTTGAGCACTGGTGGACTTTGGTATCTGTGGCAGGCAAGAGTGTGTCTTGGAACCAATGTCCCATGGGTACCGAGGAATGACTCTGTATCCCCTTGGTTCGGTTTCTCTGGAGAACTCCGACTCACACAGTGCTGATCCCTCAAATGGGGCATGTATACTCAGGGGAGGTGCAAGATACTCCACTGGGATGCTGCAAGAAAACATGAGAACTTCTGCCTATAGGTTTGTGTTAATCCAAAGAAATAAAAACAATTCAGCTTCATTAATGTTTACTATGCATATAGACACCAGCATCTCCCCTGGATCCATGTGTCAGCTGGTCATGTTTAATGTACAAGGCCTGAAGATTCAGGGTCTAGGAGGGGAGTTTCACAAAGTACAGGATTTGCCTGCAATGCTCTTCCACAGTCACTGGCTTTTTGTGTATTCAGACACTTTGCAATTTACCCTTGGAGAGTTAAATGTATTTATAGATAATATGATCTAATTTTAGAAAAATCAGTCTTGATACAATGGACAAATAATTTCAGATGATCTTTGCAAGGAATCCAGGCTTGGAGTAGATGTTAATAATGTAATCACAAATGAACAAAGGATACAGCAGAGATTTCTTGTGCATCCTGTATAAGAGCTTCTTCCTCTCTATGTTATGGGAATGACAGAAAATCTGAGACACTCCAATTAGAGATAACCAAAAGGCAGCCAAAAGGTTTTTCTAATTATCAAGAGACTCTTAGAAACAGGGGTTTGCATTCATCCCATACCTTAGCTTAAGTTTACTTTACTGTCTAGTCCCTTTTTATACCTGCTGAGATAAACCATTGAAAAAGCATTTCCTGATCCAATTCTGTTGCCTGCTTCCTTTATTCCCTGATATTATATGAATAGATGTAGGGAGGGAAGGATGATTTCAAAGTTTTATAATCCTAGGTGAACGGGTGAGTTGCGATGTGGAAAGTTGGGAACTTAATTGTGGGTGGTGTTGCTTTTTGGACAAGCTACATCTGAGGTCAGAAGACATTTAAGAATGAACTGAATAATACACACATACACATACACACACACAATAGTACATATTGAGGTATATACTTAAAGAAAGAGTCTATTTTGAAGAATGTGAAAAAATGAATTTGTAAGCTCAAATTTCTATAAAGTGTACTGCCATAGTATGTTAAAGCAATGTGCTATATTACACTTTTTAAAATACAGATATTAACTCTTGAGCACATTTATAAATAATAATGCATTGTGAGGGAAAAGTGTTGGTTCCAAAGTGGTGGTGCTTAACAAAGTGCAAGATTATGGTGTTTAATTGTACGTTTTGCAAACAAAGCATTTTTTAATTAAAATGTTTGTTGCTTGTATATACAATTTACAAATCTGATTTTTTTCAAGATGCTTTCCCACTGGAGGTATGTGGACTGGTGAGAGTATAAAATGATAATGCCGTTGTCAGCTCAGAGTGGAGAGAAACCAGAGGACTCTTGGGAGAATCACTGTATCTAAGCAAAGTTAGATGCATTTCATGACCCTGCAAAATCTGAGCCCATTATAAAGAGACACCTTGAGGCTGAGATCAAGTCCTTGTTTTCTTTTGCCTTTGGCCTTTCCATGCCTTTGCTTCTCCACTGCCAACCCTCCTCTTCCTACAACACATACATCTACAGTCTCCTGTGAAACTGGACAGCAAGCCGATAGAAATGAGTCAAGTCAACCTCAGCTGAGGGCTTTTGGACCTATGAGAGTTAACTAGTCTGAGTTCATCTTACTCATTGAGCCTGGTCAAAATTCCCTAAATGCCATATGGCAGCAGTGAGAGTCCAGTGTGGAGCCTGTGTATTCCCTGAAAGAATGAATTGTGCAGATCTAGTTTTTTAAAAAAATAAAAAGAACAAGAAAGAAAACATCCCAAATCACACAGTAGTATGAGGCAAAATATCTGATTACAGAGTCTAAAACTGCTTTGTGTGTGTAATTTTTGAGAAGAAAAAAATTACAAGCCAGCAGCAATGAAGTGCTTAGTGCAAGATTTCAGTTTTCAACCTTGCAGCTATTACATTTCAATCTAAGCAGAAGGAAGATTCTGCTGATCCTAAGCTAACGAATGTCAAGAAGGAAATGGCTGCTTTCTTCTTTTAGCAGGTGGTTATTGTTTTAAAAATGAAGAGCCTTAAACCTGGCTGGAATCCAAGGCATGTCACATAATCTTGATCTGGAGATCTGCAGTGAGACTCCCCAACCCCCGAATATTTGATTAGAGCATATGAAAATCGTCCTATGTTCTTGGCATGGGCTGAACCAGGAATGACAATGTAGATTATGATGTTCTTATATAATCAAAGGTTATTATTACTATTTTTTCCCCAAAGGAAGTAAAACTTGTTTAGTCAGGGGATCTGATGCTGCTTGGTATGGCAGATAATTTCTGCCTATATACAATAAGGAAATAAACAATGAATGGAGCAGTTCATGACATTTTATAAATATAATTTAGATTTCTTGAAAAATTAATAACAATGCTAACACTGAAATATGTAGTCATTCAAAGAACTATCAGCAGTTTTCTTTATTGACCCCAATTTCTAAGGACTATCATAACTGACCATAAGCCCTGAATCAGAAAATTAGATTTTTGATAAAATATATAGCAAACCCATTTAGAAATTGTGTACTAGCTAAAATATGAAAGAGATGCATGTTCTTACTATACAACTAGTTGATGAGGAATTTCAACATTTTATCTACTATGTGTCTGAAGCAGCATCTGGAGAAGTAAAAATCGCAGTAATCTTAAATGCCAAAGTTCAAGGCTCGGCAGAAAACAGCCCCATCCTCTTGCTAATATCCCTGGTTTGTCCCATAGATCTGGCTGTTCAGAGTAAATGCTCTAACCCCGTTCCAAATATAGTTAAAATAATGCTAGGCAAGGCTTCTCTTAGCATAGTGATAAAGACACACAGGAGGCACAAATTTATCAAGAAAATGACATTGCTGTGAGTTAACACAATGAAAAAATGGAATTGTATGTAGCTAATATAACTTGTCATCAACAGAGAATTACTGTGTATCTACAGAGTAAATCTGGGGGTGTGGGCACTTCACACATATCACATGCACGGTTTGAATAACAACCAGAAACATGTTTATATCTCAAAGTTGTCAGTTTAAAAAAAATGCAGGTGAAATCTTTCCTATTTAGCTCTAGAGGTAGTTAAAGTATTAAATTAAAAGTGCTTCTTGCTCATAAGAATGAAAAGGGGGGAAGGGATGGAAACGCAATGCAGACAAGAACCAGTTTTGCCTGGAGATAGAAATGTATGCGATGCCTCAGAACAGACAATAGAAAACTAATGAGGTAAAAAGTCTGGCATGATTGTGATCTGATTTTCACAGATTAAACTAATGTCAATGAGGAGAAAAGAAGAATGAATGAGCCTAAATGGCTTTGAGACACCTGCAAATAATTGTATTCCCAGCGATAGATTATATGGGCATTGTTTTATACAGCGTTTTACAACAGAAGGAATGGAATGGGGATTTGGAGAGAGGTGGTATTCTTTTCCTCCAGCTTCTTCTTGTCCAAACATGTCCCTCCCTTAACCCCCTCTCTCCGTGCATGTCCCAGGAAGGGGCTGCCCGCTGATACCCTCTGCCTTTTAAAATTTTACAATTCTATTGATAAGAAAATAAAATCACTGAAGCTGGAAGCTGTACCCCAATCTTTAGAAAGAAACATTCTTAGTGCTAGCATTTTATAGCACGTTATCTGTACAGTATATGTATGGGTTGCAATTCTTGGCAGAGTTCTAGGGGCTATTTTGGATTCATTCGCTTTATTTTCTCTACTTTGGGCCCTTGATCAAATATTCCTGGTCACATATTTTACTCAGAATTCAAGTGAGGTCCTCTGTAACCAATTGAAATTTTTGACTGACAGCCCTGTATGAGAGAACATGCTCCGAGTCCTATGGGTAACACCTGTGAAACAATATAAACAGTTCTCTGAGCACTAGATAAGGATGGGGGAGAGGTTAAATCTATACAACTAGGCTTATGACCTGAAATCTTTTGTTACCATTTGGAAAACAATAAAAATAAAATGGTTATCATTGCAAGACCATTATACTTTTTGTACTCTCTGGAAATTAATTACTAATGTGGTAGATATGCACTGAAAACTTTATTTCAGAGTTTAACCATACTCAATTATGTGTCTGATTAGCTTAATATGACTTCATTTTACCAGAGAACAGTTTGAACTACAAAGAAAATACAATCTGATTTTAAAAGAGGTAACACAATTCAAAGCAGGGTAACAAATTCATGTTGACTTTTCTATGAGTCTTTTTTTTTAAAAAAAACACAGAAACAAGTTTATTGAGCTATAATTTACATATAGTAAAATTCCCACTTTTAAATATGAGCCCTGACAAACACAGGCATTCAGGTAACCACCGGCATAATAAAAATGTAACATAGTCTCATACCTGCAAAAATGTCTTCAGGCCCCTTTGTATCCAATCCTCTCCCTCACCTCCAGCCCCTTGCAGCTGCTCATCTGTTTCCTATCCTATAATTCTATAGTTTTCCCTTTTCTAGAATGTCGTGAAAATGATATCATATGTATAAGCTTTCTGAGCCTAGCTTTTTTCATTTAGTATAATGTATTTGAGATTCATCTACATTGCTGTGTGTGACAGTTTATTTCTCTTTATTACTAAATAGTATTTCATATAGTTCTAGTTTTTAAAAAGGAACACATCTGCTATATGGTTCTTCTATTTTGGTTATGATGGAGCCAAGGGCAGACAAAGCCTATGTCTGGTGGCCCTGGGCCCTCTCTGCAATTTCTCCCATGAAAAACACCTGGACAATAGGTTTTAGTGTGGGAGAAACCAAACCAAATAAGCATGGTGACGCTATGTATGGACTGTGTTCTCACTGCATTTGGGGGCAATTCTGATGAGAGAAGAGTGTCTAGAGCTGAGTTAGATACTTAACTAACGTACTAATGTTAGCAGTGATAGATTTAAAAAAAAACTTTTCTGCAAATACGCCACTCAACATTTATTGTTTTTCTGAAAGAAATCAACGCAAAGAACCATTTAGAAGGTTAGGGAAGATCTTTAGAGATGATTAAACTTGATGACTGAGATATTATTTTTCAAACTAATAGTGCACGCACTTATCTAGCACTGTCTAATATTGAAAGAATTTCCCACATGTGCTATCTCATTTAATTCTCATAGTGATCCCATGAGGTCAGCAGGGCAGATGTTATTACCCATAATTTACAGATGAAAAAACTGAGAGTCCAAGGACACAGTGGCCTAGTCAAGATCCAGCAGTCCAGAATTGTCAGTGCCTGCTCAAAAGCCTGAGACTTCTGACTCCCAACCTAGTGAAAACTGACAGGACCAAATTCTGATTAATGAATTTAAGCAGCAGTAAATATTGTCAGAGTTTAGTATTTGGGATTGTAATAGCTAAACTGATAAAAAAATTCAGCCATGAGTCTCTTGTTAATTCATAAAAATTGGAATTTTTAAAAGGATACAATTTCACCATGTTATTAGGTTAAGCACTTCTAACACAAACAAGCAAACAGTGATGTATTGTAAGTTAGACCATTTTGGAATTTGTGCAATTTGAATGGTTGAGTTATTTTATGTTAGGGAAGTGACTGCACAATATTCATTAGCTAATTTTCATGATTTAAAAAAAACCACACATTGGGCCAAATTACACTTTCAGAGATGCCCTCAGAATTTTGATTAACATAATAGGTCCAACTTCGATTCTTTATTTAGTACTTCTTTTTGATTCAAGAAGGTGTTGAGAATTCTAACTCCCCCTTTTGTAAGGTAAAAAAAAATCAGTTTTTGCAGGCTGAATTATATACCCATTGTCCAACAGTGAATTGTAGAAGAGTTCATCATAGTTGTGGGTTTCGTGAACGTGAAGTTCTTGCCCTAATAGTGGTGCCAATTGGTAAAACTGGTCATATCCACATTTGTCCCAATGAATGGCTTAGTTATGCTATCTTCCCTAGTCCCCTACCTCTTCTCTTTTGGATTTGTGGAGGTCTGAGAATTATGGAAAGAACAAGGATCTGCGTATATTAAATGAGTTTTTAAAATATCCTAAAAATATTGTAATAAAACTGAAATGTTATTATTTATATTTATATGGCAGCATGTCCCAGCAAAGCTTCGCAAAGATGTCAGTATTAATTGTCACCATCCTCCAGGGAGGTAAGTAATGGTATTTCTAAGCCAACTGGTTTATTTAAATTTAGTTCCTATATGCATATGATTTTTATGTAAATGAGCTCCATGATAAAAGCAACCCTACATAACAATAGCCTAATCTGTGTCATTCTGATGGCCTGCTGGTTTCAAGAATTGAGCGTAAATATATGGAACCTAAACAAATTGCATTCTAGGGTTAGAATCTCCCAGAAAAATAGACTTACCTTTAGCATCTGAGAGCTATTATCACTTGTCTTGTGGATCTATGGTTTAAGAAAAAATATATTAGCAGGAGCTAGGGAGTATTCAGTGCTTAACATAAGCAGCTGTTAATTGTAAAATGGCAGTCATTTATATTTTCCTAAAAATGTTCATATGGCTTTCAAAGAATTTTTAGGAAGACATTAAATCCTTTTCATCTATGCATCTGATATCTACGCTTGCTACCTTCTCCCCACTAAAGAATGCCTGTTCTCCCTTCAGAGCCCTATCCAGGCTCATAAAACCGATAAAATATCTTTTTGGAGGAAGCCAAAATGTATTTGAAGGAATTAGGGCTGACTTGGGAGATGCGATGCTGGTGTTATAGCAAATTAGTCCTGTTAAATATGAGTGGGATGAGTGTTCTGTAGATTGTTTTGCAGTAAAATATATGGTCATGTGTATACATGTATACGAAGGCAGTACACTTACAAAGAAAGCTGCTTGCATGTATCAGCACGTGTTTAATCAAAGTAATATTGTGACAAAAATAAAAGCTTGGCCAAGAACAATAGGTTTTTCTGTAGAAGCTGTAGACGCCACTACAGTGTAAGATATATTTCTCGCATTCAAGCCTGTCTTTTATTTTGTTTACACAACAAAGTTATTATGCTAATTACATAGTAATATGCTGCCCCTGAGGAGTTTCTACACTGATAGCATCTACTTGAGGATGCAGATTTGGAGCCAATATGTGATTATTATGATTTCAAAATGATATGATCAGATTGACAGTTTTGCCTTCTAAAAGGGAGTTCTCTCTGGCTCTTTACTGCTGGGTGTGGAGTTTAACAATGAATGGTAGAAAACATTCAGGAGAGTTTGGGCAATTTTTGTTCATGTTATTTTGAAAGAAGGTGGAGTGGACAATATTTTGGACAAACGAGTCAAATCTGTGTGTGTGTGTGTGTGTGTGTGTACGAGCAGACGTGCATGTATGGAGGAGCTCACACTAATACTTGTGCAACTTCACTAGGGGGAGCTCTTGGCTGGCTGTTCAGCAGCTTGACCATTGTCTGTAGGAGACAATTTTTCTTTGTTTGAAAATTTACAAATCATCAATGAAAATGCCACAGATATGGCAGAAGTTTTGGGGTTAAGTCACTGGTTCCCAGTTCTGCCTTCAGGTGGGATTGGGAGTGATGATGTGTTTTTCCCCATGGTCCCATTGCCCGGCAATGATTTTTCCCACATCCTCATAATTTAACAGATTTCAGAGCTACTGTAAATATTTCTTTTCACCCAGAGATAGGGCTTCTCTGCAGCCCGTTCCCTCTGAAAGGCTCTCCACTGACGCTTGATGGTTAACAGTGAAAAAGTATACATTTCAAAAGCCCAGAACTGAGATCAATTAATTAAACGATGATAGACGTATGATTGCCATAAATGATATTGCAATGCTGATTTAAAAATGGAAAACTTTGTGATTATAAATACACTTGATTAAAAGAGTTATTGGGGGAAAATGATCAACTGAAAAGACAGAGAAATTATTTGAAAATCTTTATAATGTAATCACGTTGGAAAAGAAAAGAGAATATGCCAACTTTAAGAGAATGGTGACACTGGTTTGGACAATTTTAGGTTTTATTGTCCTTATTCTCTAAATGTTCTCTCCCTATCCCTCACTTAGGTGTGTGTGTGTGTGTGTGTGTGTGTGTGTGTATGTCTTTTTAAATTGGAGGAAAAAAATAAAGCTAAGTGCTTCTTTCCCTACCATGTTCCTTTCCTTTTTTCTCCACTCTAATGACATTTGGCAGGCTCGGCTGTGTAATGCTTGACTGGTTTTATTGTTGTCTGTTCCCAGTGGGGAATAGTTGACACTGCTCTCTGTTTTCAATTGATATCCATTTTCAACAATATTGCTTTCTATTAGATTCCTGCACAGTTTGTGCCAAGCAAACTGAATATTTACTGGGCTGACCTCAAAGCCTTCAAATCAACAAACACTAGAATAAGCAAAATATGCATTTTTAAGATAAAATGTTTTCAAATGCTGTTTTCAAAATTATTATTTTTAAATGCACTGTGAGCTGCAGATTAAAGAATATTATATTGCCACTTCTGTCAGCCCAATTTTATTTATTTATTTCCTTACATTAAATAATGGGATTAAACATTGAAAGAATAGTTGTATACATTACCTGGAAAAGGTTAAAAGCAATTCAATTTTTTCATATATAACAATCTCTTCTAGGCAATCAAGCATTTTTTTTTTTGCTTATTACTTTTTAACATAGGCATAGTTAATAATATTCTATTGAGCAGAGCAACTGAATCTGATAAACCAGAAGACAGGAAACCATTTCAAGGCTTCCTGAGTGTCAGGGGGCTCTGTGTTGGAATTAAGGGGTAAAAAATTGAATTTAGCCATAAAGAAAACCAAATAGCAAGTGAGTTACATGAGTTTTTCTAACATCTTTCCTTCAATTTGCTAAGCAAAGTTTTCGGAGTCTTAATTGTACACCCTACCTACATCTGGCTGCAGCTGGCACATAGGGAAGAAATATGCTTTATTTTTGGAGATAATCAAGAAAAAGATTAAAAAAGAAAAGGATTGGTTTTATGACGAGCACCTCACAAGCTATTGCAATACAGCCAACTATGTTTAGTTACTTTAAAAAAGGCTTGTCCTTCTTTTACACTAAAGTTGAAACAACCCATAATAGAAAGGATGTGTCTGCATTAAGTGTTTTGGTTAGGTTGGGGTAACTATTGGTAACTCAAGCAAAGAAGCCCGCACAGGGAGGTGGGAGTTGACTCTTATGAGGGCGGTGTTAAGAAATGTTATGGCCAGAATATATGTTTGTGAATGGTATTTAGACCACTAAAGCCACCATGTTACAGAAGATAAAACCATTTTATGAAACTCCAGCGAGTCACAGGGAAAGGGCATGAACCCAGTTTTCTATTTTAAAAGGCTCTCCCTCCCTCGTTTTTTTTTTCTTCCTTTGTTCTATAAATATTTATTGAGTATCCAGATCAGCAACCTCATTTTTTTCAAGGCAGAGACTAATTTCTCTGTTCCATTTCTTGTGCCTACATTACCTGCCAGCTACCTGATGCCAAGCACTGTCCATATGCATCATTGACTCCTCACAACAACCACATCCTCTGAACCTGTTATTTTACCACCTCTCAAGTATGTGTGTATTGCATTTGAAACACACTGGAGTCTTTAATGCTCATTTGCCATTTGAGGTCTCTTACCCAGAAAATGTGGCCAAGTAGAGATTGCCCAGGCCTGGCAAAGAGTGGCCTGGGTCTGATATGCCAGTGGTTCTGGGGAAATCCCTTACTCAGCTTCATTTTTCACCATCTGTGTTTCAGTTTTTCTATTTGTAAACCAGCCATAATTAAAACTGCCCAGTGTGCCTTTCACAGGCATGTTGGGAGGATTAGCAAGAGGCTGCAAACTTTCCTGAGCTCTTTGACAGAGAGGTGCTATAAGAAATTCAAGGCAGGAGTCTTGCATGCAAGATGTTGGATGCATTTACATTTAAACTTCCATTTTTCTAAATTAACTATGGCATTCTTTGGCTTGGACACAGAGCACAATTAGTCAGATGGGTCTCAATAAAAAATATAATTTTCATGGATTCTAGGAACGCCTGGAAGCTCATGGGCAGTATGGAACTAGCATAATAGATTGACGTGGTGCTGGGTGTCCTGGATGGATGCAACAAATTTGGGTTCCAATCAAACACCGTCACTAACTAGCTGTGTCAACCTTGGCAAGCAACTTACCTCCCTCTGCTTTCCCACTTGCAAAAGCAATGCACTTTCTGACTGCCTCAAAGGATTGTAAAGGGAATAAACTAAGGAATGTGAGAAAATATTTGAAATGATACCATGCATTATTTGTATGTAATATGTGCTATTGGTGGTTTTTGAAAATGGGATGAGATAGTCCCACACTTTCCTCTTTGGCTAATTGCAGTTGCATTAAAAAAGGCATTACAGATTATTTAAAGAGGAAAGAACTCCACTTTTCTCATCGCTCCTTATGTGTCTTTCTTGTCATTAAATATCCTCCTGATTGAGGACTGACACAACTATAAGACTGCAATTTCTCACAGAGCTTTGTCCCCAGAAGTACCCTCAGATGAAAGCTGAGTTTCAACTCTTATGAAAAATGTACATGACATGATCTGAGAGTGTTTTATGAACCTAGTCCAGGAATTTGCAGGTAAAATATGTGGTGTGCTGGCTACACAAATGATTTTCCTTGTGTCCCTCGTACCGTCTTAACATTCTCACATCTATGACTATCTTTCCCAAGTGGTATCAGGATTCAGTTATGCTTTACTTGATTCTTTTCCAAATGTGAATGATTGTTAATCACAGCAGTGAACACACAAATGACAAAAAAAAGAGAATATAAATTTTATTGAGATCTGTTACTTTGGTGAATATAATTCACATTGGATTAGTAAGGTGAAATTTCTATTTTCTCTCCATGAGTTTCAGGCCACCCTTAAAAGTAGACTTGAAGCCAGGACACATGGGAAGGTTGATGTCTCAAGGTACCTAGGATCATCTTGGTGATGGATACTGTAGGTGTGAGGGTATAAGTTATTGCAAGGATGTAAGGACAAAAGAAAGGTATTAGGCAAGGAAATAAAGAGTGGAAGAAATCACAGTATGTTCCCTTAATTCCATTTAGGTAAAATTTAGGTTAAAATGAATCCCTCTACCCTAGAATGGGAGAAACGACAAAAACATTAAGAAAAAGGTAGGCTAAGATAAAGTGGGCCGGGCGCAGTGGCTCACGCCTATAATCCCAGCACTTTGGGAGGCCGAGGCGGGCGGATCATGAGGTCAGGAGATTAAGACCATCCTGGCTAACACAGTGAACCCCGTCTTGACTAAAAATACAAAAAATTAGCCGGGTGCGGTGGCGGGCGCCTGTAGTCCCAGCTACTTGGAAGGCTGAGGCAGGAGAATGGCATGAACCCAGGAGGCGGAGCTTGCAGTGAGCCAAGATAGTGCCACTGCAGTCCGGCCTGGGCGAAAGAGCAAGACTCTGTCTCAAAAAAAAAAAAAAAAAAAAAAGAAAGTTGAAGGGGAGAGGAGAGAGGCAATTATATCCTGCTCCTCTCCCCTTCCTCCTCATATGCCATGGTCTTCTATTATTCCAGTTTGCTAAAGTGTAGGGATGAATCCAAGGCATAGAGGCTTATTTTCATGTCATGCCTTGGTAGGGTTTAGAGTCCCAGATATCCATTGAAAATATTCAGGACCTGACAAAGCATCCGCAGCTGGAGTATGGTAGGATGTGATAGAGTGCTTTGGAACCCAGAGAGGAAAGACTAGAGGGTAGAAGTAGCAAGAGATGAAGGCAGTGGGTGTGGAGATGGCATTGGGGGTCTCAGGATGAAGACGGAGACTGTAGTGGTGGCAGGGATTAGAGCAGAAGTCAGGCGGGGGAGGAAATTGGCACAGGAAGAAGGAACATGAAGCTGGCCTGGTGTACTCACTCAGTTGTCATGCCAACTAAGGTGTCAGAAGATCAGGTACTTCATCTCTAAAAAGAGAATTTAAAAAAGGGTGATCTTTAGAAAAGTTGGAAGTAACAATTGGGATAGGGTATGTAAAGCATTTTGTCCAAATCATCCAATAATGTGCAAACATAAAGCTTGCTTAGGATCGACTGTGAATTTGGTACAACTATAAGAACAACAAGAACAGTCTGAAAGAGTTTTAGGAGTGAAGTTATGGCATCCCACCCTGTCCTCAGCGATCAGGATTATCTGTGGGCAGCTTGCTGTGCATGTCCAGGCTGCTGGATCCATCTCAGCATCCCCTTGGCAGATGCTGGCTGTGCACTGAGCCCCCAGTTAGTGAGGAGAGGGGAACTGTGACAACCTAACTCATGCAGAAAGCTGCTTAGGAATGGAGGTTTTGAGACCAGACCTCACAACCTTGGCCTCAGGAAGCATTCCAGCAGAGGACACTACCCAGGAAGCGTCTTGAGCAGAAAGAAGCAGACTTTAAAAAGTCCTCACAAATGAAGAAAATATCATCAGTTCAGACACAGATTCTTTAAAGGCATAGTTCAGTGTCTGCAGTTGGCTGGATTTTATAAAATGAAGAAAATCAAACCAGAGAGGCCTGTTTGTGAAGTTGAGGTGTGATTGTATTTTTAGTTTTCTTAACTAAATAAATCCATCAGTTGACAAAGATCAGAGTGTAGTGGATTAGACAGGGAAGGTATGATTGAAGACATGAAGGCAGGGTCAACTTGAGACACATTGATCACGGTCTCATTAGGCCTGGAACAGAAACAAAAATGAATTTGAAATGTGAGGATGGGGAGGGGAAGGATAGAACGGGGACTAAAGGGAAATATTGGTATATTTTCCAACAGTGCGATTCATAACACATGGATGATCTCAGACGCGGAGATACAATTCATCTCTTAAATTCCTGACAGACTCTGAGCCAGGGTAAAGTGTTTCTATCAACCCATCTTTCTCTTTCTCATTGTCTTTCTTAGTAAAGTGCCCTGAAATAAATTTCGTAGCATCGAAAAGGGATTCTACTCCTGAGAACTATTTTTAATGTTGTAAGACTGAAAAATATATTCCAAGGAAAGTCCAAGTAAGATGCTGGGAGAGAGACCAGTAAGAGCCCAGGCCATTGTTACTGTTGATAGGTCACTTCTCTGATTTAGATAGTAGGAAACATATATTAGCAATAAAAGAGATCTATAAAAGAGCCGATTGCGTATTTCATTAAATTGGTAGTGAAGCTGATCATAAAATTTAATATTAGGAGGAAGTGGAATAATTGGAGCAGAATTAAAGTAACTGTTATTAAAAACTTAAATTTAGTCTTCAAAGCCCCTCACCAGCTACCTTGCTGTCCCTCATCTAACTCCTTCATTTCTTTCTTTCTTTCTTTCTTTTTTGAGATGGAGTCTCACTCTGTCACCCAGGCTGGAGTGCAGTGGCACCATCTTGGCTCACTACCTCTGCCTCCCGGGTTCAAGCAATTCTCCTGCCTCAGCCTCCTGAGTAGCTGGGGTTACAGGCGTGCACTACCATGCCCAGCTAATTTTTGTATTTTTAGTAGAGACAGGGTTTCACCATGTTGGCCAGGCTGGTCTCGAACTCCTGACCTCGTGATCTGCCCACCTTGGCCTCCCAAAGTGCTGGGATTACATGCATGAGCCACCATGCCCATCCCATTACTTTTCATTTGCTTAAAAAATTTCTATATTCCTCAGGTTAATTTTCCTTCTCTACATACAGCTTCTTTTCTTTGCCCAGGCTGTTTTCTTCACCTTCCTTCTCCTATCTCTTTTATCCCATTCCAGTTACATCCTTCACAAACCGGTGGAAAGCTTTCTTCAGCAGTTTCCCTTGAGTAACCCCTTCTGGGATTCAAGGGAGCCCCAGGATGAACACTTCTCTCTCCCATCTGAGTTCTGATGCATTTGAGAAATCCACAGAAGTAGGACAGATGAAGGTCAAAGGATGATCTTTATTCTGATATGACTGATGCTGGAGAAAGTGGCAAGTGAGATGTGAAATGTATAATCCAGAATCAGAAAGGCATGTCCATCTCTTCACAGGCAGAGCTGCCCCCAGCAAGAACCTGGCCCTGCCAAACCTAGAGTGGAGTGTGTGTTTTTGTTGAGCAGGTGGCTCCCTCCCAAGAGAAGGAGGAAGTGACAGAGCTATGCAGATCCACTTCCACATCCCAGACTCATCAATTAAGAAGGAGGTTGTGGGTGGAGAGAGGCTAGGAGGGTTTTGCAAGTGGGCATCCCCTACATGGAAAAACAAGAAACTTCTGGAGTGGGGTAAGTACTATGTCTCCAAATGCACCCCCATTTAAAAATTTTTCTTCAGGGGCTTCTTCTATGATGTCATATTTTCACATACTTTGATTCAGTGGGATTCAGTCAGGGAAGCAGAGCCATTAAGCATAATAAGGGATAAGGGGTTTATTACAGATATTAGACCTTACACAACTGTGGAAGGAGCTGGAGATGTGGAATCTCAGGGGAGGAGCTGAGGGTCAGAGAAGAGTCACTACCTCTCCATCCTGAAGCACGAGGATACCTCACAGCCTGAGGAGGAAGTCTGAGAAGCCAGGAGATGTCAGCTGCCACAATGGGACCATAACTGGGAAGCTGTTGCCCCTGAGTAGCTCCTGTCTTCATGGTTCTGTCATTAAGCTTCTGGTGGTAGACTCAGGGCTGCTGTGGTCAGCAGTAGCTTGAGCAGTGGCCACCAGCCAAGGAGAAGGACTGGACCAAGGCAGAGGAGAATGAGGACAAGCTAGGACCCTCCTGGCACCTCTGATCAGTCTGTCAGCTCATCTAGTGTGAAAAGCATTGAGAGTCATGGATGCTGCTTCTTTTTCATCTCCTTGGCTAACTCTAGCCTGGAATTATATAGGGGAGGGGATTCTAGCAAAAGGGTAAACACGTTGATGATAAAACAATGCAATACAGTCAGCACCTTGATAACTTGGCATCCGTATACACCTCTTCTAACCATATTTAACTTCAAAATAACGATAAAAGTCTTGCTTCTGCTTAATGTGATACAATTAAAAACACTCTAACTCACTCCCTAAAAGAGCATTTGAGTTTTCATATGTCAATTTACTCACTGGGGAATGTTCATTCCTCCTCTAGCTCAACATATCCACCCCCTGATATCTTGTAACTTAAATGCTGATATATAATGTTAGCAACTATGGACACATCTTACATCAGATAGTAGGAGAATCAGAGAGGAGAAAAAAAGAAAATATATATTTATATCAAAGTAAGAAAGAAATACTAGTAAGTACTACTGTCCTTTTTTCTGCAAGTAGTCACATGGTCTTAGATGGTATTTAGAACTTCCTTCTTCCAGTAGCCATTCCATATCCCTTTGCTCAAGCAAGCACCTCAACTCTTCACAGTTCCTAGCCTGGTGGCAGGAAGGGGACCTAAGCCTTCACTCCTAAAGGTCTGTGCTATCAGCAGCCCCCACCTATGCTGGGTTACTGTAGTTTTCTATTTACTTTTATCAAAAAGCATGGGAGTATTAAAAGGCCTCTATCCTCATTATGCAGTAATGTGGTATAATAAGAAAAGTATTTGGTCTTTGTCCTCAGTTTATGGCACAGAGCTCCTGAAACCTTTGAAATTTCCTGAGTCATAAAGGTGATAGGAACATCTTTTGTTCTCATGTGGTGACACATCTTGGCAGGCCCCTAGATAGCTGCAGGATGGGGGTTGATTGCCAGATGAACTAACCATGTGATTACAGGGTTGGAACTTTCAGCCCACCCCCAACCTCTGGGGATGGACGGCAAAGGGGTTATAGACAGAGATCATCAATGGCCGATGATTTAATCAATTCTGCCTACATAATGAAACCTCCATAAAAATCCCTCAATGACAGTGTTCTGAGAGCTTCTGGGTTGATGAACACATCCATGTAAAAGGAGGATGGCACACTCCAACTTTGAGGGATAGAGGTTGCTGCATGCGGGACCCTTTCAGACCTCACCCTATGTACCTCATCTGGTTGTTCATTTGTATCTCTTATAATAAACTATAATTGTAAGTATAACATTTTCCTGAGTTCTGTGAGTTGTTCTAGCAAGTTATTGAATCTAAGAGGGGGGCTATGGGAACCTGTGACTTTGCAGCCAAGTTGGACAGATGTGTGGGTAACCTGGGGACCCGGTACTTGTGACTGGAGTTTGAAGTGAAGGAAATTTTGTGGCAGTGTGGAGTTCCTTAAACTTGTGGAGTGTGACAGCTCACTGTGGATAGTTAGAGACAGAATTGAGAATTGCATTGAATTTTAGAGCGGAGGAAAAAAACTCTCTAGGGGCAAACCAATTCCTCTCGGTAGAATTAATCACCCCAACCAATGCAGTAACTCTTTCTTCAACTCTTGGTTTTCTGGCATGAAGAGTTCATGTGTCTACATGTCCCTCTCAGCTTCCAGTTTAATGAAATCATTATCTTTTGTGTGCTCCTGGAAGCATTCCTTTATAACAACAAAACTAAATCAGCAGAGCCCAAAGTTGTGAGGATAGGATGCAAACATTCACTAGTCAATGATTAGGGGAAATATGAGAGGAGCCATTCTATTTCCATCCCTTGATTCTCAGGTTCTGAATCCTATCCATGTGGAAAATGATACAATAACCACTAATTTGGAACCTCCACTGCATCCTGGAGGATATCACACCCACTCTGCAAAGTATGGGCACCCAGCTGGCACCATCACTGAGTCTTCAAAGGCCCTTTACCAAGCCAGCTGCTTCAGTGAGATGAGGACCACGGCAAGCCCAGTAAATTTCATGAGCATAAGCCCATGACCCTCTTTACTTATTTCCTTGGTTGATAGCAATACTGTGTAAAGCACTGTGATTGCAAATGAGGCATTCTGTGTTCACGATGGTGGTTTTTGAATAAGTATTATGGGAGTGGAAGGCAGATCCATATCCAGAATAAGGGTCTGTTCCAGAGAGAGCAGAGTGCTGTCTTTCTGTGACATGGACATGGACTAATGTAATCAACCTGGCAGATTTCCCAGGAAATGCGCCATATCAGGGACTCAGTGTTGGTCTTTTTGCTGACTGGTTGCATATTTGGCAATGATTATAACCAGAGAAGCCAAGTCAGTGTGTGGTTGGGCCCAATACAAATTGTTGACCCATAGAACTATGAGGAAATAAGTGTTTAAGCCACTAA
This sequence comes from Homo sapiens, assembly GCF_000001405.40. Lineage (NCBI taxonomy): Eukaryota > Metazoa > Chordata > Mammalia > Primates > Hominidae > Homo > Homo sapiens. The sequence continues at coordinate 93,351,544 of NC_000008.11, read as the reverse complement.
TTTTTGATGTAGTTTGTTGGGCAGCAAAAGCTAACTAAAACAGAAATTGGTACTTAGAAGGGGGATGCTGCTATAACAGAAACCTAAAACATGTGGCACTGGTTTTGGAGCAAAACAATTGGAAAAATATTGCATGTGGTCACTTGGAAGATAGAACATTTATCTAATAAACTTGTGGATCTAGTTAAGAAAATTTCCAGGCATATTGTTAATAATGTATAGGCCGAAGGAGATGAACTAAATAAAGAACTGTTTCATTTGCAAACAGAAAGTAGAAACAAGATAGAGGGCTCAGGACCTTCTAAATTAGAAAATAAACTTGTTTTTCATTTCAGTCTCTCCAGTTTGCAAAAGATTCTTCTAAAATCTAATTAAGGGAGTGACTTTAAGACTCTTGCAAAGACCTCAGAAGGATTTGTGGTTGTTCCTAGTATATTATATCAACTCAACAAAATAACTTCTAAAGATCTTGAGGGCATTAACTCACAACATTGTGATATACTGCCTGAAGAAGAAAGAATGCTGCATTAAAAAGAATTGTGTGTGTTTCCTTTGTCTATTGAAATGGATGACTCCCTGATACATAGAAAACCCACAAGGTATTAAAGGGGGCTATATAAGCTTGCATTAAGAGACTAAGACAGAATTTCTTAGGGCAGGAGTTAGGATGAGGAAAGCTATTCATCTGTAAACAAGGGCTATTTCTGATGGTCATATGCACATGACTGTATTCCTGAATTGCTGTGGACCTATGGCTCCTATGTGCTCCCCATTTCTCCTTTTTGAATGGGGTGTCTATTATGATTATCCTCTTGCCATCTCACCATTGTATGTTGGGTATGGGAGAGGATGGAGACAAACTTGTCTGTTTGGTTCATAGATTTCTGGATTAAGAGGAGCCACATGCAAGGAGCTGTAATAGAAGGTCCTCATCCACACCTGGACCAAATGCACTTCCTGAGATCCTGGACTTTCAGTTTGATGATACAATTGGATGAGACTTTTGGGCGGTCTTGGGATGGGGTGAATTCACCTGGCATATGGGAGAAATAGAAATAATTATAGCTAATGGGTGACCGTAGTAGATTAAATATGACCACATATTCTTTACAGCTTGACCCATTAAAAGGCGGGTGTAGGTTTCTCCATTTTTTGAATTATAGCTGCCTCATGACTTGGTTTGACCAACAGAATGTGGCAGAAGTGATGATACTCAAGCTGTGAACCTAAGCCACTAGAGGCCTTGCAGCCTCTGCCCTTGTCCACTCTGTGAATAAGCCAGCCCACTTCTTCCAATGAGGAGAAAGATCCAGCCACCCCAGACTTGCTAGCTGTCCCAGCTGAGGCACCAGATATAGGAGTGAGCTCAGTAGACACTATGTAGGGTAAGGATGAGATGTCTAAGCTGAGCCCAACCCAAACTGCCAACCACAGAATCATAATTGAATACATGATTATTTTAAGCCATAAAGTTTTGGGTGGTTTTGTTACCTAGCAAAATCTAGTTAAGACTCACCTACATTTTGCACATCTTTCACATATAGGTCTTCTATCTCTCTACTGACATTGTAAAAACCTTGAGGGAGGCGACCGAATTTTATAATTTTTGTGACTTCTGCAACACTTAGTACAGGACTGGGTACAGAACATTGCTTTATGAATGCTTTTGGTGTGCCTAAGGTTCTCCTTCCGCTGTTTGAAAATACAGAGTTTGAAAAGTAAAAGAATGTCAGAAGAAAAAGTTTAGGTTAGCTTGGGCTTATCATAGTATCTTGTTTACCCTCACCCTTCCCTGAATTTTTTTTTTAACTAGGAAAGAAGTTTGGTCTTCAGGATCAGAGATAACCAGATTTAAATATTTTTTTCTCTGTTAAACTCTCAGTGGGTGGTAAATAAGTGCCCATTGCCCAGGCTCAGTGGCTCATGCCTGTAATCCCAGCATTTGGGAAGCTTAGGCAGGCAGATCACTTGAGGCCAGGAGTTTGAGACCAGCCTGGCCAATCTGGTGAAACCTTGTCTTTACTAAAAATACAAAAAAATTAGCTGGGCATGGTGGCTCATGCCTGTAATCCCAGCTACCCAGGAGGCTGAGGCATGAATCGTTTGAACCCGGGAGGTGGAGGTTTCAGTGAACCGAGATTGCACCACTGCACTCCAGCATGGGCAACAGAGTGAGACTCCATCTCGGAAAAAAAAAAAAAAGGCCTATTACTTAAAAAAGTAAAAATTATTAATAATACATTATTGTTATATAAACATAATAGTAGTAATAATAGATAAAGTGAGAGCCAAAAGTTTTTTGAAGAGGGGAGTATTGGCTCCAATTCTGAATCTTTTAGCCAGTGCCGATGTCCATCACTGGATCTAATAACCAAATAACTAAAATAACCAGGTAAGTCAAAAGCACGCCAGTGAGAGAACAATGGCCTAGAATCATCTTGCTTCCTTCCTGATCTGATTCTGCTCTGCTCCTATTTTCTCCCAGATCCTGATCTCTGGTTTCATTTCCCATTTGCAACTGACTCCCTCCCTTTGAACTTGGCATTGCTACTAAGTTTTCCTGGCTTGGACCATTAGTAATCTGTACAAATACTGGCTTAGACTCACGTTTTGGGTCTTTCAGTCAGAGTTGCCTTAGATGGGATAACCTGCCCTAATTCAGCTCCTCAAAGACTGACCATCTATCCCAGATTTCTCCCAGTGAAGAGGAGTTCAGACTGCCAATAGTTTTCACAGACAAAATAATGGGGTAATGGTGAGGAGGGAATGAGACAGAACAGGGAGAGAACAGGAAGGCCCTGATCTCATCTGTCATCTACGACAGGGCACCACCTGGTTTACCTAGGACCTCAGAAAAATCCTCCCATGGGAAAATTCTTGATGCTGGAATATATGTAATCAGAGGAAGACTCTTCCTTTTATTTATTTATTTTTATTATTATTTTTAAGATAGAGTCTCACTCTGTCACCCAGGCTGGAGTGCAGTGGTGTGATCTCAGCTCACTGCAACCTCCTCCTCCCAGGTTCAAGCAATTCTCCTGCCTCAGCCTCCCCAATAGCTGGGACTACAGGAATGTGCCACCACACCCAGCTAATTTTTGTATTTTTATTAGAGACAGAGTTTCACCATGTTGGCCAGGTTGATCTTGAACTCCTGACCTCAGGTGATCCACCTGCCTCAGCCTCCCAAAGTTCTGGGACTACAGGTGTGAGCCACCGCACCCTGCCGGACTCTTCCTTTTAAATCTACTTTCTAACTCCTCCCCAAGGGCTGTTCAAGCTCTGAAGGAAAACATGTCCCCTCCAGGTCTCTCTTGTTTATTATGTGAGGGGGGCCCTCCAGTGATGCTGCAAGAGTGAGCTGATGGATGGGTGATTTTATGCATTTCTTGTGCTGTTGGGTCTAAGAGGTAGTTGGTTCAAATCAAGGCTGACCAACCAGACAAAAGGAAAGAAAATATTTTGATATTTAAATGCTAGGAATGTAATAATTTCCTTGTGAAATTATTATATGACATATATAATGTATACTGTATAGATCTGGACTTGCTGGAGTTTAGAGAGGAGGTTCTCAGGCCGTGTACAGCTGGAGCAGCAAGTGTCTGCAGAGCTGTGTTGAGGGCACCTGCACCCACACCCACACCCAGCAGAGAGCTCTGCTTCAATCTGCTTAAATGTGGGTGATGTATAAAAGGATGCTGCAAAAGGATTCTGCTGGCCTGCAGAATCCAGTGTAAGGATTTAGATATTAAGTTCACATCCTCTTCATTTTTCAAGCCTAGTACGAGAGCTCATTATAAGAACTTGCTCAGTAAATGTTTGTTGACCAACTGCCTGAATATATCTCCACATTTTATAACGACAATAGAGTTGCTTTAAAGGCCATGGAATGACTTTTAATTTTGCAATAAAGTTGGAATGTGACTTGTTCCCTTTATGTTTCTTTGAAGAGGCACACATGAATCTCTGAAGTGATAGTTACTAAACATGTGGGTGGGCAAAGTTAGCAAATGACAATACTGCCTTTCTATGTATGAGGCCTCATTAATACTTCAACATTCATCTAAAGAGAGAAGGGTGTGTGTCCCATCAATTCCCTTGCCTCTCATTATGTTTGTGCTTGATTACTGCAGGTGTGCAAAAGCGTTTTCCGTGTGAAGCCACATGCCTCTGTCTAGGAGCTTGGGGTTTGGGAGTACATTTATCAAATGCATGCCAGCTCCTGCAAACTCCCTGAGAAAATTGTAGAACACCTGCATACTAATGGTTTTTATTGTTGGAATTATTTTATTGCACAATCAAAAACCTACAATTGTACCATAGAAACATACTACATGACTCCAAGTACAGAAACAGGCTGTGAACTTCACTGCTGACACTTTATTTCTTGTAATTAAACTTTTACTTTTATTTCACCTATTTTATCCCATAAACAGGGAAAGAAAATAAAACATATGGAGTAAACTACAGGATATTGTGGTTTATTCCATGTTTTGGTATTTTTAGCTGCTCCCAGTGAGCCTACAGTTCTGAAGTTTGTATCCGAAGTGTATTAAAAAATAAATTCATTAGCTAAGGAATATTAACAAGTTGGCTATATATTTAGGTAGGAATCTTCTTTATTTTCTTGTTTTGCAGAAAGCAACAGCCCACAATTGCCTGCATTTTCTTTCCTCTTCAAAACCACTTCTGCTCCAAAGACCATGAACCTGAACTGAAGAAACGACTCCTTCCTGCTGGTGTGAGATAATTCAGTCTCCATGATGTCTTAATCCTGGGCCTCCCTTAATTGACTTCTAACTGTGCTGAACTGTGGCTGCTAGGAGTTGCAATGTGGATCGCAATTTACAAGGCACTGGAATCGTTTCTTGTCTTCAAATTAGTCCTGAGCTGTACTGGAGAAAGAAAAAAAAGGGGCCTTTACCCTTCTTGCTGTCTTGTCACCACAAGTGAGACTTTCTTACAGTCTCAGAATGGATGGTTGCCTTTTAACAATTTAGTTAGGGACAGAAAGGAAAAAGAGTTAGGGTTGCCAATACTTCGTCAATTTTGTCTTAATAAAGTTGCCTCACATGGCCTATCTTGTTCCGGGGAATGAAGAACTCCTAATGGTTTTAGGCTTTCATGAAGGGGTAGTCATTATTTTGAAACCCTGTTTTGTGGGAAACAAAACAAGATAGAACAAGGGTCACTGCTTTTTCTTTCTCCATGGATATATATAGGATATATTTATTAATTAAGAAGTTTCTAGTTCTAAGCAGCAGGAAAAAAAGGAGTTATTTCTTTTATGGCCTTTTATAGCTACTTAACATCTATTTCTACTTCTCCTCCCTGATTTCTTCCTTTCCATCTTGGAGCCCTCAGTTAGAAAGCCACGGTATACACACACACATTCCCACCAGTTGGTATAGGCACTCTGTTAGACCTTGGGGGTAAATGTTGTGTCCAGAGTTGGTTCCTTCCAGTGGGTTCGTGGTCTCACTGACTTCAAGAATGAAGCTGCAGACCTTTGCAGTGAGTGTTACAGCTCTTAAATGTGGCACGGACCCAAAGAGTGAGCAGCAGCAAGGTTTATTGTGAAGAGCGAAAGAACAAAGCTTCCACAGTGGGGAAGGGGACCCGAGCGGGTTGCCGCTGCTGGCTGGGGTGGCCACCCGAATTTCTTCCTTTCCATCTTGGAGCCCTAAGTTAGAAAGCCATGGTACACACACACGTTCCCACCAGTTGGTATAGGCACTCTGTTAGACCCTGGGGGTAAATGTGATATGGTTAGCATCCTCAGAGGGAAGATACACATGTAAATGATGATAACACAACTTAGGAAGGTATATACGGGAGATGTTTATGGGAGCATAGAGGAGGGACACCTATCAGAGGCTAGGGTAGAAAAGGGTGGAGGAGGTAGAAACCCAATGGACTCTTTAAGAATGATTCTGAATCAGCCAGAAGAAGAACGTGAAAATGGGATTTCTAGGCAGAAGGAATAGATGAGAAATGTTTAGAATCACATCCTGTTCTATGTCAGAGAAACTCAGAGAGTGAGGTGGAGGAGTTGGGGAAGGGCATCAGGTCAGAGCAGGTAAGCAGGGGTCAGCTATGAGTGGCCTTCCATGCCATGCCAGTGAGCTTGGACTTCAGCAAGTAGATGATGGGGAGACCCTTAAGCAGAGAAGGGAACTGATTAGATTTGTGCTTTATATATATCCTTCTGGCAGTTGTGTGCAGGATGGATTTGAGCAGAGGAAGACTAAAGCTAGAGGTTAGAGTGGAGGCTGGTGCAGTTGTCTAGGACGGAATTTGGAATAACAGAAGTGGAAGCAAGATACAGAGGAGCTAGGGTTGAGAAATAACTAATAAGTTACATTGGCGAGACTTAGGTGGATGAAGTGTATAGAAGGTGACTTAGAGGCTTATTAAGCCTACAGAATTGCCACAGCAGATAATCTGGCTTCAAAGAGAATGGATTCTCTATTCAAGACCTGAAGATCCTTGATCATGCAAGGCAGATCGAATGCCTATCATGGTGGTAAGGCTGGTATTTTAGTGAACCAGGGATTATGGGTGGGCATTTGGGTATGAAGCCAGTTCTTATAAGAATTCCATGAAGTCTGGTCCTTCTCATTCTTTGAACCCTTAAGACATTTGTGGGGTAACTCTTCTAGACAACTGAGGATGAAGAGGACTGGGATGGTTGGGGGCTTTTTTTTTTTTTTGGATGGAGTTTCGCTCTTGTTGCCCAGGCTGCAGTGCAATGGCAGAGTCTCAGCTCCCTGCAACCTCCACCTCCCGGGTTCAAGTGATCCTCCTGCCTCAGTCTCCCAAGTAGCTGGGATTACAGGCACCTGCCACCACACCTGGCCAATTTTTGTATTTTTAGTAGAGAGGAGGTTTCACCATGTTGGGCAGGCTGGTCTCAAACTCCTGACCTCAGGTGATCCGCCCGCCTCGGCCTCCCAAAGTGCTGGGATTACAGTCCTGAGCCACGGTGCCCAGCTGGGGCCGTTACTTAGCCATGAAGTCTAGGATTTCCATTTCTAAGTGTTCCCTAATTGAGAGCCAGTTTTATGTCGGGGGAAAGCCATTTGGCTCCAGAATGATTCCTCAGAACTTCCGGGAGAAAGCCAGTACCCTGGGCTGTGTATGTGAGGTCTTTGGCCAGTCTGTCCTCATGTTCTTCCCTCTTGTCTCATACCACTCCACACATGCGCCCTTTCTCCATGCCACACCATGGAATAATTTATGGACTTTTGCAAATGTTATTCGTCTGAAGTTTTCTCCCATGGTTTTTCATCAAAATACCTTTTATGGCCGGGCACAGTGGCTCATGCCTGTAATCCCAGCACTTTGGGAGGCTGAGGCTGGTGGATCATTTGAGGTCAGGAATTCAAGACCAGCCTGGCTAACATGGTGAAACCCCATCTCCACTAAAAATGCAAAAATTAATCAGGTGGTAGTGGCGTGCGTCTGTAATCCCAAGTACTTGGGAGGCTGAGGCGGGAGAATCACTTGAGCCTGGGAGGCAGAGGTTGTGGTAAGCCAAGATCCTGCCACTGCACTCCAGTCTGGGCGACAGAGTGAGACCCTGTCTCAAAAACAAAACAAAACAAACACCTTTTATGCACCTTTAAAAAGCATCTTGTTCTTTGTAAACATTTCACAAGTCCCAGGTCTGATTTATTTCAGACCCTGCTGAGCCTGTCCATACCCTACTCGTGCACTTACCACACTACTGTGCTTTCTGTAGTTTTCCTGTCAGTCCTGTTAGATGGCAAGGCCTTTAAGGGAAAGAAATGCACTAGAGCATTTGTGTATATGCATGCATCCCCAGTGGCTAGCACAGTGCTTAGCCAACAACTTTGAATGAATGTTGGCAGATACATCTCTTGTCCTATAGCAGGCTCAGAATTGTGAGAATTTATAAATCATGAGTATAATTTAAAACACTCAGCAATAAAAATTTCCTAGAAAAAAATAAAATATGTGACAATACTTTAAAAAATGTAGAGAATTGAATGAAGTACATTATTATATTATACAATGTAAGTATGATAATATTATATTACTATTGTAATGGATGCTGTGTTCATCCACATGTTTATTTAGCTAATACCTATTTGGTGAAAACTGAGCAAAGCACAGATAGAACAGGTAGGGCGTGTTTAGGAGACTTACCTGATTGAGTTCAGATATTGGAAGACTGGAAGTTCAGATACAATGTTGAGTGGTTTACTGACCTCTGTATGTTGTGGAGTGGCTAGCTGTGATTCTGGTGTTTAGTAGGAGACCTGAGCTCTAATTAGCTGATTGGCCTTGAATAAAATGACTTTCTGAGCTTCGGTAGCTTCTTCTGTAAAGCCTGGATAATGTTAAAAACCTCCAGTATTGCAGAGTTATTGTGCTATTCAGTAAAAGACAGGAGCTAATGTGGGTATAGCTGTGCCTGGCACCAGGGTTGGCTGCATGGGTGTGTGACCCGCGCAGCTGCACAGGACCTTGCCTTTCCTCTAATGCTCTGCTCTCGCCATCCTAGAATTCTTCATAATTATTGAACAAGGTACCTCACATTTTCATTTCACTCTGGGCCCCTTGAATTTTGTAGCCAGTTCTGCCTGACACATAGTAGGCACATAATAGTGCTCTCAAGAGAGCCCTGAATTCTCACCCTGACATTAGAAGGGAACCCGAGGAGCTACTTCCAATGAGTGCTGCTCTCTGATGATGTCTTCATTTTGCTTTTCTGCAGAAGATGAGTGGTGCCTCCTTCTATTCCCACACCTGCTTCCTGTGGAGTACATAGATTTTCAATTCTGCCATCCACTTTATCTCATTTATTTAGAAATGCCATACTGTGATCATTCTTTTATCTTAACTACTATTTTTATCCCCCACCTGCCCCCTCTCCCTACCAAGATAAACACATTGGCCACCAGCTGTACATAAAATCAAAACGCAAATTCCTTTTTGATTCCACCAAGGTTTGAGTTGCAGCTTTTTTGTGGTGTTAAAATACTTTTCAAAAATGTAAATTTTTTTTTAAAAAAGAAAACTAAGTTACTGAGATAATTTGATTTTGGCTCCTACCATGTAACTTTAAGATTTTAGTATCTTTGTTGGTCCTAAATTGACTATGAGTTTTGCTCTGATGAAAATTACTTGTGCCAGAAAGCTCCAGTGGGTTGAAACATTCTGCCACAGTAATCCCTATGGATTAGAGCATATTGAAGCACAACCATGGGAAATAGAATGCTTCTTTTAAACCACTGAGCCAACAAATAAGGTCATTTGATGCTGAGAGACTGTGATCATCCATGAAGGGGCTAGTTCACCAGAAACATTAAGCTGGTTTGGGTGGGCTCATCTGTTGGTTGGTGGTGAGAACACTGGGGTTTCTTTTTCCATCAATCCCCCTTTGCTTTTTTATCCCTCAAAGTTACAAGATATAAGATCACAAACTTACAAAATAACAAAACAAGGTGGTTGTATCCACACCTGAGCTAAAGCTAAGTCAACTTTTTGTACAGTCTGTTGCCTTTCAGCTTTCTGTATAAATGACTTAACATGGCAATGTATTAGGCATTCTAAATGGCGAAAATTCCAGGTGTTATTTCTCAGTAACAATTCAGAGATATTTACTTTATATTCCTCCAAATAGTCTGAGAGGGAAAACTGAATGGAAAGAAAACTGGAAAAACAAAACAAGTTGGAATCATGCCTGGCTTGTTTACTTTAGGAAATCTCTTAACACTCATTTTAATCAATTGAAAAGAGATGGTTCATCAGATCATAGAATTTTAGAGCCGAAAGGAACCTTAGAGATTACCTCATCTGATTCTCTCATTTTATGGATGAGGAAACTGGGATGCAGCGAGGGGGAAAGGCCTTCCTAGTGTTCCATGGCTAATTAGCAGCTGGGCAGACAACCCAGGTCTCCTAATGCCCAGCCTGGAGGACTGCCTGATTTTTATACCCATTTAAAGACAATATATTTCCAAATCAAAAAGGCTTACAAAAGTAACTTAGTGAGCACAGGAAGAATATATTTTTCAATTGAATCAGAGCTTTCAAGTTTGTTTCAGAATACTGCCTGTATCGGATATTAAACTATTTTGCATATAGTAGCTACTCAAAAAATGTTGTCAATTGATAAATCTATTCAGAAAATCTTAGTTTATAAGAATAAGGGGAACGAAACCACTACAGAAATAAGTCTAACATCACATAAGGAAAAAAATGCTTATATTTAATATTAAATAAAATAGGTCCCCAAAGAAAATAAAATCCCAAGGCAAGTTCATGTGTCATTTTCAAAAATAAAAAGAAACCTAAATGGTGGGGTATTTGCAGACTCTCTAGGTCGCATATCAAAAAGGTGGACCATACAATGTATTGCCCAAACTGGGACATTTTTGAGAGTGAAAATGGGCATTATAAATATTTTTGTTAAGGTGACAAGTATAAACTGGGACTGTCCAGGGCAACTAGGACATATGGATCATCTTACATATGAAAACAAATAAAAAGTTTGCATTGATTATCTACCCTGTACTAGGGAAGGTCTTAGGGACTTCTATACTTTACTGCTTCTTTTTTATTACTTTTTATTTTAAGTTTCAGGGTACATGTGCAGGATGCGCAGGTTTGTTACATAGGTAAATGTGTGCCACGGTGGTTTGCTGCACCTGTCAACCCATCACCTAGGTATTAAGCCCAGCATGCATCTTTTAGTGGTGGGGCAAGTAAAGTATTTAATAGCATTTTATGATAAGAGGTTCAATATTATATTAAGAGGTAAAGATGTGGGGTCTCATAATTTTCATGTCCTACAATGAACGATCCAGACATCTTTTCTGTTTACCTACATAGAAAACAATAAAGGCTTTTTGTATGTCTCTCCTGCACTCTTCATTCCCTGCCCTGCTGCAATTTCTTATGTAAGTCCCTCTTTCTAAACTTCTATGAGTGGCAAAATTTAAATAGGATTATTCGGTATTGAATATTTCTCTGAAAACAGTGAGGAAGGTTTCTTTGTCTTGACAAGATAGGTTGCTGCTGAATTTGCTTTTCTCACTTTTAGTTGGTCTTATAATGGGGTTGTTGAAAGCAATGAACAGTTTATAAAAATACCCTTGGTGCTGTGAAATAGGGACCATTTCCAAAGTTTGTTCAAAATCTGATTACATTAGCAATTTCTCAAATCCATTGTACTAGCTTTGTAATTTGCTTCCATGACCCACGGAGTCTATTGACTCAGCCAGTGAATTTCGTTTTTATTGTTTTTTTCTTAAAGGAAGAGAAAAAGACCGGTCTCTGTTTGGAAATTACAAACATAGAAGAACTTAGAAACAATGGGTTTCTAGATTGGGTGGAAGGTAAGCTCTAAATCTACTGATTTGCTTGTCTTTGTTTGCTCTGCCTCTGTGGGTAGTTGGGACTATCCCTAAATAAATCTTTGGGGTTTTCCACCATGCTTTGAGTAACACTCACAAGCTGTGCTCTGAGTTTTTTTTTTTTTTTTCTTTTTAATAGGTGATATGGTTTGGCTGTGTCCCCACCCAAATTTCATGTTGAATTTTAATACCTATAATCCCCATGTGTCATGGGAGGGACCCAGTGGGAGGTAACTGAATCATGGGGGCAGTTTCCCCCATGCTGTTCTCGTGATAGTGAGTTCTCATGAAATCTGATGGTTTTATAAGTGTCTGGCATTTCCCCTGCTGCCACTCATTCTTTCTGCTGCCACCCTTGGAAGAGGTGCCTTCCGCCATGATTGTAAGTTTCCTGAGGCCTCCCCAGCCATGTGGAACTGTGAGTCAATTAAACCTCTTTTCCTTATAAATTACCTAGCCTCGAATATTTCTTCATAGCAGCATGAGAAGGGACTAATACGGTAGGGAAGGAGAAATCTAGACATTGGAAAATAGCTAATAGGTTTACTGAACCTAGAACATGTGCCCAAACTTTAGTACCCACTGTTTTCCTCATAGTTTCTCACTTCATCTTTACAACAATCCTCTGAAAATGTAAACCATTATTCAACCCAGTTTGCAGGTGATGAAGCTGAGGCTTAGAAAGGCAGCCTGGCCAGGCACCGGGGGAGCTGTAATTTGCAGGTAGCTTTGTCTGGCCCCAGGGCTGTACACTTAGAGTCTAATTAATCACTCTGCTAGGCTCTGTTTGAAGAATTTCTTGGCTTTATCTCAATTTTGAAAGAATTTTCTCCATGGAAAGCCAACCATCCAATTATCAGAGCCAGAACACTGCCTGTTACTATGGGTTGAATTGTGTCTCCTCAAAAAGGTATGTTGAAGTCCTAACCCCCAGTACTTCAGAATGAGACCTTGTTTGGAAATAGGGTCTTGACAGGGCTAGGCAAGTTAAAACTAGGTCATCAGTGTGGGTACTAATCTAACTCGGTGTCCTTAGTAAAAGCAGAAATTTGGACACAGAGGAATCACAATGTGAAGAAACACAGGAAGAAGATGGCCATTTACAAGCCAGGGCTCCTAGAAGGGACAGAGGCCTGGAACAGACCCTCCCCCAAAACCTTCAGAGGGAGCATGGCCCTTCTGGCCTCTAGAATGGTGAGAGGAGAAACATCTGTTGCTGAAGCCACCCTGTTTGTAGTACTTTGTTATAGCAACCCTAGCAAACAAATACACATGCTTGCCCACATTTCAGTGGGTGTGGACTTGCTAATGAGTGGCCAGCTGTTTCATCTACTCCTTTCTCTGACTGTGGTTGGTGCAAGGAGCAGGAGCCAGGTCCAGGCTGGAAGGACCTGAGGTGGAGAACAAGCCAGTTGCACCCATATCCAGGCTCTAGACTGAAGTGAAGCCCTCATAGCTCCACCCTGAACCTTGGAGAGAGGGAGGGCAGGTGGCCTATATATTGTCTCTGATCTGCCCTCTCAGACACAGGTAGCAGTGGTTCCAAGAAGAGTCCTTCTCCTCCCTCTCCAACCCCCAGTGGTTTCTAATAGTCCCTTCAGTGACATTAATTGATGGGAGAATGATCTGTCACAGCTGTTGAATAATACACATGCTGATGATTTCTTAATAACTTAAAAGCCCTTGTGATGGAGTGAGGAGAAGGAAGAAAAACATGTCTCACCTCTTGCAAAGGGGGAAACAAAAGCCTTTATTCAAATTTTTCACAGAAAGAACCCCAGAACTGCCAGGTGGGACCTAACACCAACTTCTAGCAGAAGGAACCTGGGTTTATTGAACTCACCAGCAACTCTAAGCACAACCAGAAACAGAACACTACTATTAGCTAGAAATAATAAAATGCTCAATAAACCCCAAATTATGAAGGCCCAGCCAGGAAACTCTCAGACATTCATGTTTACAGCACACCTGGCAAGTAGCTTTACAGTAAAGTATAAAATCTGCCCTTTTAAATAGCACAGAATTGGTGGCACAGCATATTTACACTCTTTAAGATGTAAACCAGAATTTGCAAAGTTTAAAAATGCCTTATAAGTATTTGCTACAATATAAAACTTGGAATAAAATGAGTGGTTTGACAAGCTGTAGAGGTCAAAACAAACAGCTTTTCTTGTCCAAAGAAGAGAAAGCTGCAGGGTAACTAAGTATTGTTGTTATGGAATTGCTTTGGCCCAGGGGGAAAAAGCCTGTAAAGACAATTTCATTCCGTCTTCTCTTTGATTTCTAGTTTAGAGTTGAGAAGAAACTTCCAAAGAAGAAAACTGGTTAAATAGGGTGTTAGAATAGTGATGACCCATGTAAGGCCAGCATTTCATCCCATCAACATGGAGGAGCCAGGTGGGGCTGCCTCTGGGGCCTGTGTTCTTTCGGTATGCAATTCTGCTGTCAAGTTGTCATATTTTGTGGTCTTTCCCTGATTCTGGGCTTTTCCATATCCCTGTCAAACCACTCCGCATCTCATCCTTGGACACTCTCTTCCCAGCCCCACTCCAGTTCCTTCAGGGTGTTTTCATTCTTTAAAAAGAAAAACCCTTTGTTTTTTTTAAGAGATTCTTTGGAGGGTCTTGCTCTGTTGTCCACAATGATAACTCAATCATAGCTCACTGCAGCCCTGAACTCCTCAGCGGAAGCAATCCTCCTGCCTCTCAGCCTCCTGGGTAGCTGGCACTACAGGCTCGCACCACTACATCCAGCTAATTTGTACGTATGTATGTATGTATGTATGTATGTATGTATGTATGTATGTGTGTATGTATGTATGTATGTATGTAGAGATGGGGTTTTGCTTTGTTGCCCAAGCTGGTCTCAAACTCCCTCCAGGGAATTTTTTGATATCATCACTAGCCTCAGCAGCATGCTGGGCACTCATTCCTTCCCCACATTCTTCTGTCTTATCTCTGTGGAGAAGTAGGAGTAAAGGAAGCCCCTGTGGGAGTAAAGGAAGCAGGAGGGGGCAAAGAGAACTGATCCTGCTGCAGCAAGGCCTCCACTGGCCCCATGGGAAACTCTTCAGAGTTGTCCCCAGTGGAGACCAGGGGCTGGGTCTTGGTAACCCACCATCAAACAGTGCTAGGGGTGGGCTGCCCTAGGGAGGAGGATGATTTTAGGCAAGTCACCTCTGTTTGGCTGACGGCAGTTCTCTCCTGGGGAGGGACTCAGTTGGGAGCCCTTAGCTGCAAACGTGCCAGTGTCTTGCAGCTGGGGGAATGGGCATTGAGTCTCACAAGGGTGGATCTGGGTGGGTATTACTCTATTGAATACACCTTCACTGTAAAAGTCAAATTTGAGGCAAACAGTATCTTATAGAGAAGGAAGCAAGTAAAGTTAAGGAAAACCTTAAATCTAATTTTTCACTTCTACTGAAATATAACAGTGAAACACATTAAGTCAATGCTGTTTTACATATTGTTATTCAGTAGTAATGTTCTAATAATTAGGTTACTTATTGTTTATCTCCTTCAGGATCTGTCTCCCCAGTTTTAATATGATAAATGTGTTTTTCTTTGTTACAAATAATATAACTACCACTAATTGAGCACAGGCTATATTCCAGATATATTTTATTAAATCTTCATAAGATTCTGTAAGAAAGATAACTTTGTCCCCACTTTATGGATGACAAAAACAAAAATGACTTGTCCAATTCACACATAAATGGCAGAACTGGGATCTAAACCCAGCTGACCCTGGAAACTACTCTAAAATCTATCATGTTGCATTTTATCCTAATAAACGTCTTGTTTTCCTTTTTTCCTCTTTCCAAATATCCAATGCCTCTCTGTTTTGTTTTCACTCCAAGTTATGAAAGTCCATTCCTGAAATATGACTGTAGTCCCAGAAATAAAGACATGGAGTAGACTGAGAGCCTGTACGTAACCTCCTTGGAGTAACTAGGTGGGTGGTCCGCAGAGAGCCCTCCAGGTTCCCAGGCTGGAATGTGGCCTGGGTTTCCTGATGGTGTCCCACCTGACCGCTCCTTCATCCATTAACGCAGGACTGTCTTGTTGGCCTTTCCTTGGTTCTCTGAATCACTCAAGATTTC
The DNA here is from genome assembly GCF_000001405.40 of Homo sapiens. NCBI lineage: Eukaryota > Metazoa > Chordata > Mammalia > Primates > Hominidae > Homo > Homo sapiens. The sequence goes on along the minus strand of NC_000008.11, from coordinate 93,336,055 downwards.
ACTGAAACAACCTCAATCCATACTCCACTATTCTGTTCACTACCCAACCCTCAGTTCTTTTCTTCTATTTGTTAATAGGAATGATTACTGATGACTAAAAATTCAGATCTAAAATCCTCATGACAACAAAAAGAATAAATGTATATGTTCCCCCACCTTAAAACTTCAGACACAGGGAAGTGTGAGTTAGGAATGACTGTTGTGTATATAATGACTTAAAGAGCCGTCTTAGTGTGTCTTTTTACCAGCATGTTGCCTGTCTAAAGCCGGATTTGATCAAGACTAGAAATTCCTAGAGTTTGATATTTCAAGTAAAGAAATTTCTTACTTAAGCATTTCAGAAATTTCAAATTTGAGTCAGTTCTCTCTCTCACTCCCCTGTACACACACACACACACACACATACACACACACACACACACACAAAATATAATTTTGTATTATATATCTGTTATATATAAATGTATCATTTGTAAAATTATAACAAAAGAAAGTTTCAAATTTAAATAGAACCATGACGAGTTGATAGGTGCATCAAACCACAGTGGCACACGTTTACTTATGTAACAAACCTGCACGTTCTGCACATGTATCCTGGAACTTAAAATAAAAAAAAAAAAATAGAACAAATTCTCTCTATAAATACACATTAACACACACATATAAAATATATAGCTATATTATATATCTATTATATCCATATTATATATAGATATGTGTACTTATAATTTATAAAATTATGACAAAAGAAGTCTTCTCTAGCTGGTTCTATCTCAACTTAAAATGTACCATGTGGGCTTTAGAGAAGAAGTCAGAATGAAGTGCTTTGCTGAGGCCCTTTTTTATACTAGAATGGTAGAATTATAATCTCTTTCTTTGAAATAAAAAAAGAAGAATAGATTTTCATCTGTCTTGGATAATTTAATATAACCTACTTGGAGGCAGAGGAGAATGGAGCAAATGATTCTTCCAGTCATTTCTTGCTCTATAATTATATTTTTAGAGGGAGAGAATAAAGATTCCTGCTGCTTCACACATTATTATACATTTTGAAGAGGATTCAGAGTTTAATATTTGTCATTCAGCCACTTTCCTAATTTTATGTGTAATTGGCCAAGAAATTGAAGTTTCAAAAACATTCTCAATGTGCTAAGTTCCCATATGTATTTCAATTCAACACACATTTATTACATTTGTTCTGGGGATTAGGGACTGAGGGAAGGAGGCCAAATGAGGAGGCACAGGCCTGTCTTTGCAGGGTTGGGCATCCATTGAGAAAGGAGGACTCCTTCACAATCTACTTGCATGAGCTGCTGAACTCCCAGCACAAATGTCATTTAACGGAAGCACAGAGGTAGGATCATTGAATTCTGTTGAAGTGTAGGAAGACCACCAGGGAAACTTTTACAAGGGGCTGACATTGGAACTGGGTTAAAGATGAGAAGAATTTACCTGGGGCACAGGAAGGAAGAAAAGGTTCTTTGAGCTACCCCTCCACTGGCCTGTTGCAATTTGCCTTCATCCATTGTGTCTACTCTAGGGTGTCTGACGGATCAGGCAGGAAAGGTCTGCAGCTCTGCCAGGGTTCTTTATTTCAGGATGGTCCATTGTTGCTCCCCATCTGCACTTCAGATTAGGTGAAGTGTTGCATCAGGCCAATGCTGCACTTTTAGTCAACCCAGGTGTTTTGTATGGGAGGCTTCTACTGCATCTCACCACCTCATCACCCCATAATCAGAATGCTCCTTCCCAGTAACCCCACCATTAGAGCAGATTCCTGACGTGAATGTTCCTCCTCTCAAGCCTGCCTTGTCTTTCTAATCTCTAAAAACAATTGCACTGTGTCTTTCAGCCCTGCTGTGCCCATAGAGATAAATCTCTCCTTCCACATTTGTATTATTTTGCAGGATATTGTTAAAAACATCTTTGCCTAAATAACATATAGTAAAGCCCAGGTGTATTTACTTTTCCCTTTCATGAGTTTGACTTTGACAGGCATCATATAGCTGCAAAGGATGCATGCTTTTTTGGGGTTTGTTGCAAACAGACACATGACCACAGAGCTATGCTCGAGGTCAGCACATGTCTCCACATGGAGGAAGTGAACTTAGACTTCAGTACAGTTCACTTTCTTTTGACTTCCTAGCCACCCTCAAACTCAGACTACCCTTCTTGCCATCAGCTAGTTGTTAACTAATCCCTCTAAACTAGTTGTTAACTAATCCTTATCCTCAAGGTACTCCACAGAAACACCATCTAATGGTGGAATCTCAGGCACTGTAACTGGTCTAAGTAGAAACATGTAGTGAAGGACTTGCCAGCCACATGTCAAAGACAGAAATGGCTATTGGGACTATTCTAAAAGGAGCCTTAGCTAAACTTTTATAAAGGCAGTGGCAACTGCCTTTTCTGTACCCACAAATTTTTACCAAAAATATTTGGACTTTTTAACTTCTAGGTACTAATGGTTGGTGGCTTCTTTGACACTGTGAATTAACCCTGCCTACCACCTTTCTTGGGTCTTCACATATAGAGGCACCAGCGACACCGCTTCTTATTCACAGGCGAGCTAGAAGCTCCTCAGCTTTTGAACTCCTCACCATTCTGCTTCTCCACTTCAGAGCGTCTGTGTCTGTGCGTGCCTAAGCATTTCTCCTGCTCCACTGCCTCCTCAGACCCGAAGTAAGCCCATTTCCTTGTGTTCTGGATTACACCCGCTTGCACTTCTCAGGAATCTTTCCATTGGTTTTTCTCTCTCTTTCTTTCCTATATCTTCTCCAAACCCTTCTCACCTGAGTGTCTGTAGTCCCTTCTTTGGAATTAAGGAGATACTGCCTTATCGCCTTTGTCTCCATCTTTGTCTTCAGTTGATTGAAGTTGACATTCTTTCTCTCCAATCTGGTGTGACTCTTCTTTCTAATGTCGCCAATGACCTTGTAGTGGTCGACCTCCGTGGACCCTCTCAGTCATCTTATTGATTTTCCCTGTAACGTTTAACACTGCTGATCTCTCCATTCCTCTTAAATTTTCCTTCCTCATTTTGTTTCTTCCTTGAGTTCCTTGTGCCTTTTCTTGGTCTTCTTTCTAGGTGTCTTTTCCTCCCTAAATACTGATATTTATGTAAATATTGATAACATAAATCTCTCATCAGCCACTTTCTCTTCTTTAGTTCTGGGGCTGTCTCCAAAACTCCAACAGTTTACAATCCCTTTTTATGCTGTTGACTCTGAGCTTGTATCTTCCACCTAGACTTCTCTTCCATGCTCTAGATATATGTACTCAAGTTTCTAATAGGCATCTATGCCAAGTCAATCCAGACATCTTAAACTTGCTCCATCCCAAAATATGTCTTTACCCTTCAACTCTCTTCACCTTACTTTCTCTCTTGTATTTCCTAACAGGTGCCTAATAATACTGTGTGCCCATAGTACTCCTGGACATATTCCCCTTCTTCTTCTTACACAGCCAATTGAATGACAAACTCATCAGTTGTACCAGCACAAGACACCTTTTGGCCATGCCTTCTTCTACTTCTTTACCACTACTATCTCCATTCTGGCGCCCATTACTTCTTATATAGACTGTTTTTCTGTTTCTATTCTCACCCCCCACCAGCCATACACCAAAACACCACTATCTGCCACCAGTTTGATCATGTCAGAATTCTTCAAGGACCCTCATTGCTTACAGCAGAGAGAACCACGGTCCATGAGCCAAATCTAGCCTACTGTCCAGTTTTATAAAAAAATCTTTAACGGAATACAGCTACTTTCATTCATTTATTTGTTGTTATGGCCACTTTAATGCAATGGCTGAGTTGAGTAGTTGTGAAAGAGATTATAGGGCCTGTAAAACCTAAAATATTTACTGCCTGGCCCTTTACAGAAAACATTTGTTGGCCCTTCGGTTGGAGTATTAGTCAAATCTTCGTAGCCTGGCACAAAAGGCCCATCAACACATCTGCTCTGTCTGCCTGTCCAGATTCATGTTCTTTGATGTTCTCTTTAATAGAAAGCAATATTGGATTTTTTTTTTTTTTTGGTACATGAAGCTGTGTAACATGGTGGTTAAAGTAGGATGTACAGCCAGGATACCTGGGCTGAATTCTGGTTCTGCTGCTAATCAGCTGTGTGATCCTGGGCAAGTTACTTAAAATTTTGTGGTTTAATTTCTCCATAAACTGGAACTGATGTGTTCCCTTTTACATTTTAGAGTAGCTGTGAGTGGTGAAAAAGGGTTGGGTGAGATTTCAGATGGTTCCAGTTCAAACTCTTTCTAATTTAGTCAACTGTTGAAACATATTTATTGTTTCAGAGCCTCATTTTATTTGTTTTTAATTTAGAGCTTATAAAATTGTCTTTTGGGTGATAGTTCATGGTGGTAGAGAGTACCAAGATATATTTTTGAGAGCAATGTTAAATATCAAAATATTCTCAGTGAAATAAACTTTCTTGTCTCAACTGACTTATCTGATACTTGGTAGGAACAAGCATCAACGTGACAATGCAAATCACAAAGGGATGAGAAAAGGAAAATAGAGGTATCTGTGAGGAGTGTTAACATTTATTTAAAAACAGAAAGAATATCTCTTTAAAAAAACAATTATTTCAAATGTATGCAAGTGCTATATAAACTGATAAGGACCAAATATAGATAAGGTGTTATATATAGACCTTTAGTGATCACCCATATCTGATTCTCTTCATCTAAGTTCATAGGAGAATGAGCTTTTTTTGTCCTTTTACAATTAGGTAGGGGTCATGTGACTTGTTTGGCCAACAAGCTGTGCCATTCATTACTTCCTGTATGAGGCATTGAATTACTAGTGAGAGACTAGCATTTTTTTCTCCTGCCAGATAGAACAAGGAGGGCACTTTTCCAGATGGTACCTCCAGGTGATGGTGGCACCACCGTTGGATTTCTGAGTCACCCTCTGGGTGACTGAGTCACTCTATGGGGGCAGTAGCTCTGGAGTCACCTGGACGCACAGTGGCTTTTGGGACTGCGAGAAAGAAATGTTGTTGGTTTAAATCACAGCGATTTGAGGCTTCTTTGTTATTGAGAATAACCTAGCCTATCTCAGATTATTATTTTATAAGAGAAGAGTGTTTTCTCCCACTCATGCTCATAGACAGATTTACATGGACATACCTGGAAGGGCAGAGCAGGCTTCCTCACATGGAGCCTCGCATGGGCAGTGAAGGGAGCCGGTCGATTGTTCTGTGCTGATGAGGCAGGGATGCCCCTTTGTGTTTGACTCCTGGTTGTTTTCCCTCTTTTAATTAGCAGTTTTTGTTATTGTACTTGTGAGACGAAGCTTTAGGAGCAAAGGCCACGGCTTTCATGATAAATGCCTCCTCAAACATTTCCAACCTAAAAATAAAGTAACATAAAACCTCACAAATGAATGTGGTAGCAAGCTGCAAATGTCAATTCTGCCATTGTATGGATTTAAAATCAAATGTAAACAATGTTTGAGAAAACATTGACCTGAATCCAGGCTTTTTTCACACTAGTAATTAGTTCTCCAGCAGCAGGCTCCAGCTGAAAGCTGGGTCAGTGCCCTCTCCCCTAGGAAGCCGAGAAAATTCTCACTGCGGCCAGACCACAAGACAGGGCCCCTGGGGATGTTGTCAGCTGCGGTTGCCACTTTGCACACTTGCGGTAAAGGGCAGGCTTCTTGGCAAATGCTCCCCTACCTGGGCTTGCAGGGAGTGGGCAGAAATTCTCTCTTCACTGTGGGCAGTAATTAGAGGGGAGGGGCTGGAGTCGGGTTCATAGAGGTGCAAGAAGGCATCGGCCAAAATTCTAGCAATCAGACAGCAGACTTCACCCATGGTGGGAATATTACAACTGAAAAGATATTTTAATTTTTTTTAAAAGCTTAATAGTCACACTTTTGTAGCCCTTATAAAAAATATTCTGAGATGCAATGCTGGCCATGAAGTCAAATTACCTGGGGATTTCATAATTTGATTTTCATTCTGAAGATTCTTCAATAACCAGAACTTCTGTTAACATATTCCTGATTCATAGAACAATGGATAAGTCTGAATGTCTTCAGAAATTTGAGATTAAATTCCTGGTTTCAGTTTCCCATGGTGAGCACTGTCACGTTAGGCCCAAGAAACAGACGTCAAATTGTGTATAAAAAGCACAAATCAGTTAATAAATAAGAACCCAAGTCTTTGGAGCTATTACTCAACTGTCTGCAGATTCTGACCTGTCCTTATGAACTTCCATGGCATTTAAAAGTTTATCTGAGGCCAAAAGTTTATCTGAGGCCGGGCGCCGTGGCTCACGCCTGTAATCCCAGCACTTTGGGAGGCTGAGGCGGGCGGATGACGAGGTCAGGAGATCGAGACCATCCTGGCTAACACGGTGAAACCCTGTCTCTACTAAAAATACAAAAAAATTAGCCGGGGTGGTGGCAGGCTTCTGTAGTCCCAGCTCCTCGGGAGGCTGAGGCAGGAGAATGGCATGAACCTGGGAGGCGGAGCTTGCAGTGAGCCAAGATTGCGCCACTGCACTCCAGCCTGGGAGACAGAGTGAGACTCCGTCTCAAAAATAAAAAAGTTTATCTGAGAGCCTTTGCTTTAAGACCATCAAGATTATTGTCTCTGTTTCTTACCCAAAGAACTCAGAGAAAATAAGACTCTACTTAATGAGGTGAAAAAAATCATTTGAAAATCAGATAAATTCCAAAGACTTCAGTATTAACAATTTATTATTACAGTATTCACTAACCTTAGGCAGGCTGATAGAAATTTTCTCTAAAGTGCTAAGCAGAAAGAATTTAATGATTTCAGTTTAATTCCCTGTTGCACTGAAGTCCATTCTGGAAAGAAAAAAATAAAAACCATCAGTGTACATTATACTAAAGGTCTGAGTCTTAGGAGCAACTCTTATCTTTAGCTGGGAAAACAAAGTATCCAAAAATGTGTCCTGAGTTTACTGAATTTCATCATGATTGAACAAGGTTAATCTTATCAATAGCTAGTTCCTGTGTTATGACAGTAAATTAAAGTACCATTCTTTGCCTTAACGAGAAAAAATGAATAAGAAGAATAAGAAATTTAAATGACTTTGCCAAATCAATTCTTTGGCTTGCTTTTCCACAGCTCCCATCGCTGAGGACTATCTGATATCCTTCAGATAGACAAGACAGAGAAGAAAATGGCTCTTACCTGTCTGCTGCCTTTTTCTTTCTTCTAATCCTTCTGGACTTTGCTCATCATTTTTTTCAGGTCATTACATCCCTTCGGGATTAATTTCTTTCATATCCCATTGGCTAGGCTGCCAAAACTCATTTCTTCATTACTGTTCTTTGCTTAAGGGTGGCAGTTGCTGAATCCTCCGCCACATCCCCTTTGATCTGCCTTGGATTTTATTTTTTTATAACATCTATTTCTTTCTTTCCTTTGTTTATCCCAGTGGCAGAAAAAGAGGATTAATTATTTCTATGAAGCCAGCACTTCTCTTTGTGTCAAAGTGCTGGCAAACAGAACACATTACCTTAAGAAAGTGCATTTCTCTGTAGGCTGTGATTTTGGGTTCTATGAATTAAATGTTAAATTTCCTGAGAGCAAGATCTCTGTTTACAAATTCTCTTGGAAGGGCCCATCTAACAGTGATAAGTGTCTGCAGGTCTAAGTCCAACTCCAAAATAAGCCTCAGTGCCTCCAAATTCATCCTAGAATAATCTTTCTGATACACAAATGAGATCATGTCACTACTCAGTCCCAAATATTTTCTGGGCTCTCTGCTATGAAACCCAAACTATTTAGAATAGCATTAAGACACTTTTTCCCCCTGCTTACTTCAACTCTTCCCATTCTCTACAGATCTAGTATCTTGCATTCTAGTTCTACTAAAATGTCTGGGATTCCCAGATTGGAAGCATCCTCTTCCATCTCTAAGCTTTTGAACCTGTTATTCTCTCCTGGGAATGCCTTTCCCTCCTTTGTCTATTTGGCAACCTCCTCACAGTTTTTAAGACAGCCTAGAATCAACCTCTCTGAAAACTTTTCCCATTTACCCAAGACCTACAGCTGCACTGTCTTCGTAGCCTTTATGTACAACTTCAGTGTTGAGCTTATCACATTCAATGTCAGTGTCTACCTACCTGGATCACCCAGTAGGTTTTGACCTGCTTAAGGGCAAGATTTCTGTCTAATTCATCTTTGGGATCTCCATGCCCTATTAAAGAACTTGGTATTTCATAGGGCTGAAAAATATTATGTGCTCAGATAGGTGAATGATGGATTGTAAAGTAACTCAATATTTCTCATTAGTTGCATGGCATAAATTATGAATTGGTGTAGTTTTATTTTTCTTTTTGGTAGGCAATAAGAGTATTCCCAAATGCAGGTACTTAATAGTTGTTACTGCTGTTATTCTAATTAATTAGGACTCATGCTTTGAACAATATGAATTGATTGTGTACATGGTCTAAATTTTTCAGGAATTTGTTGCTTCCTTTTTATAATTTTATGGAGCTTCTCATCTTTTTCCTTGATAAGCTACACTTCTGTTGGTTTTCTAGACAGCAAATACAATTTGGACTGTTCACTTTAAGAATGTCCTGAATCCTAAAGAAAAATTGCATTAATAGTCTGAATTTATCAAGGTAGTGTTGGATTAAAAATTGGGGTCATATTATATATACCACTGTTGTTTTTCAACATTTCTCTATATTTCATTATATTGTTTTGTTGTGAGCATTGTAGCATGTTATTAAACAATATAGGTAAATATAATTATTGACTACATAATACATCATTGTGTGATTGTACCCTTTCTTCATTGTTTTATTCCTTCAGTCACCATTTATTGAAGTTAAGTATTGTTTCATTAAGCTTGTACATGTATGTCTTTCTTTATATATTTATCTGTTTGTACTGTGTCATGATGTTGAATGTGTTTCTTATTATAGATCAGGATCAATAGGGTTTAAATGCCACTGACTTACTTATAGGGTAGTTCTGAGACTACCTATTCCCCCTAATATTTTTCTTACAAAGGCAAATTAGGTTATGATAAACCTCAAGGAAGGCAACTTGGAAAGATTTGGTAAGTCTAAGGCATGTGTGTAGAAGTTAAGCTAGTCCTACCACAGGATAATGAAATATATTATTCATAAATATAATATACTTGATTTCCTTGTATGACTTATGGAGACCGTACTCATTATTTTTAAACTTACTCTCTAGACTTACGTTAGGCCTCCTGACTATTCTGTTTCCCCGAGTCCCTGGTTCTCTGTCATTTACGACAACAGACTGAGGATACCCCAAAAGAGGGGCCCAAGGCAGTGGACTCCGTTCAACATGGTCAAGTGTTATTCCTACCTCTGGCCAGCCAGCCTCAACCCCCTGCTGTCATTCCTGCCATGTTCAATCCATTGTCAAAGCTGAGCCATGTCTCAGAAGTGGGTGGCTTCAGTTAAAGAAACCAGAATAGTAGTTGCTGCTTTTAAAAATTACATTCTATATTCCTGCACAGCAATATGATTATTGATATAGTAAATTAATATCTTCACAACTCTTGCATCTTGTTTTCCTACAATAACACCTAGCACACCCCACAAGCGCATGGCCTGGTAATTCCTCTTGTGTACATTTTCCACAATTCATCTTGGTGATTCACCATTTCTAATGTTAGTAATTTACAGTAATGAGCCATGAGCTGACACCCAGACTGGGTGAGACAGAGGCAACTTTCAATATACAGCAAGTGGAAAAGAGTACTTGAGGGATACATTCTCTGCATTCTGAAAGCATCTTAATGATCCTAAGTGGTTTGGATGTTTAGAGGAAGTTCACAGGCACTGAATCAATTGCACATTATTAAAAAAATACAATGCATAAGACTTGGGAGCTAAAGGAATGCTGTTTCTTGTTCCATAGTCTGAGAAGACCGAGAAGGTGGCAGGTTAGGAGAGTATTGGAGCAAAGCTTTTGTTCCCTAGAAGCATGGGATAAATGCATGTTTTGTTATGTGTTCATGGCTGGCTTCCATGTATGCCTGGGCAAAAATGAATGAATCCAGGCAAATTTGGGAATCATGGAACATCCCAATCTATTGTTTTTTTCAAATGTCTTGCATTTAGCAAAGCACCACACATCCTTAGCTGAACACTACTTCATATTAAATTGTTAAATTGATGTGTACATATCAGAAGATAGAATCCACATATTTCCAAAGCCTTTCACATTTTTTTTTCAGTAAGGGTAGTCAGATGCCTTTGGAACTGTGCCTTTTATAACAAATTATTTCTTTTGTGATAATGAGAATGAAAAATCTATAGTTATTAGAACACACACATTATCACCACGTAGATTGAAATACTCAGCTCAGAAGGTCAATTTCCTAATATAAGAACACAAGCCATCAATTTGATGAATTGCATTTTCCTTTTTCCTCAGAGTGGGCCCTTTAATTTGGCTTCATTATTAAATAAAACAGAGAATTCTAGTGTCGGGAAACTCCTGCCAGCTATTTTTAGATCCACATCTATATTTCTCTCCAGAACTGTGGAAGGCATCTAAGTATCTGTGTAGTGGAAAAAACATGGCCATTGGCTTCAGAGAACTCTAGGCTGAAATCCTGGCTTTGCCCCTGTGACTGGTTGAATGGCCTTAGGCAAGTCACTTCACCTCTTCAAGGCTTCGTTTGTTCATTGGTGGAAAGAGCACAATAATCCACCAGACTGTGTTCTTGTCAGAATTAAATATCTAGTATGTGCCAAGTGACTGACACAGGGCCCATAGGGAGCAGAGGCTCATGAAGTAGCAGTTAGCTCAGAGATGCTGATCTAATCACTCTCTCCAGTCGTGCAATCAATGCGATTGGTCTCTCTTTAGTTGCAGAGACCAACGTAGAAGGTGCTCTGCTTTCTCCACCTTGGGCACTTCTGTGTGTTCCCTGACTTGCAACCATTGCTTTGTTGGCTGGTCCAAGACTATTGCAGCTGTGCTGTTTAGATGTCAAACAGGCCTAATGCCAGTTCAAAGTCGAGAGTGTTGCTCTTGATGACCACACCACAGAGCTGTCTTCCCTGAAGCTCTTGATTAGAATTTCTTGCCTCTGCATTCTCTGGCTTGCTATGGCTTCCTCACTGCATCTCACACTCCCACCCTGTTGGCAATGGTCTCTCTTTCCCTGTGCTGAAGGCAGAGTAAGAGAAAACTGAGTCCTTTGTGTGAAATACATCTCCCCCTCTCTTTTTACATTGGTTCAGTGCCCACAAGTGTTACAAGGACCATGAAAGCCAGAAGTAACTATGTCTGTCTAGCCAGCAGACTGGAAGAGGACTAAATGTAGAAGTAGAAAACTGGCAAAAGCCACTGTTGCCTATTGGTGCCTCAGCCCTGTTATCACAAACCTGGTCTTGCTTCCCTTGTCCAAGAGACCAGATGTAGGGGAAAGGTCATTCCTATGATATGATACGATATGGTACCATACGATTATGATATGATATTTATTAGTCAATCTTCATCATTCACCGAGTCCATATCTGTGACTTCACCTCTTCACTAATATTTATTTGTAACTCCGAAATCAATATTGCTGGTGCTTTCACAGTCATTCAGGTACATGCAGAGCATGAAAAATTTGAGACTTGCTATGTACGAATTCCCAGGTGAGGTTTAAACAAGACGTTCCTCTGTTCTTGTGTCCTCTCATACAGAGGTCACCAGAGGATGCAGGCAGTAGAGGGGCAGGGCAGTGTAGGACAAGAAGCTCTGGCTCTGGGGCCAGTTGGATAGGGTCTGAATCCCAACCCTGGTGCCTGTTAGTGGGGTAGCTTCAGTCAAGTCTCAACTTTTCTGAGCCTCATTTTCTCACTTGTAAAATAAAGAAAATAGAATCTACCAATCTATTACCAATGTCTTACCTGTAGCAAAGCACTGCACATCTTTAGCTGAACACTACTTCATATTTAATTGTAAGTTGATGTATATGTATATCAGAAGATAGAATCCACGTTTCCAAAGCCTTTTACATTTTAAGTTATTTTTTAGGATTTAAGATGGTGATCAATCTACATATTTATATCATTCTGTGTATATATATATATATATACACACACAATATATGTATACATTTGTACACACATATAGTGTGTATATACATACACACACACACACACAAGTGCTCATCCTTAGGAACAACAGTTTCATATTTGCTAACTGAGTGTTTGCAGAGACTTTATGGAATACCATGAGTAATTAGAATGTACTATGTCTGTGTGTGTGTGCCACTTTTCTACTGTACTCTGCCTACTCTTCCATTGGAAGGTATATATATATCCATATCTACATATATGTCTATATATGTATATATCTTATATATCTTTCACTGGATATACACATCTTCCAGTGGAACAGTAGGCAGGGAGTAATAACTAGGCTTTGGCTTGAGTTCCATTTCTATCAGTAAGGTCCACTGATGTGTGAACTGAGACATTACTTTACTTCTGTGCCCCATAGTTCCCTAATATATAAAGTTGGGATCAAGGTGTCTGCCTTCCCAACAAGAGGTTGTTGTGGGTATAAAACGAGTTTAACAGACATGAACATCCTTAGTAACTTTTAAAGCACGCTAATAACAGAAGGCATTAGTATTGTCTGGCACATGTCCAGGCAGCAGGAGCAGTCAGGAAGCTATGATGGTCATTCTATGGGGGCTGTAGTCTACGCTGGATTGTTTGAATACAGTGTTCACTCCTTTATTGATTTATTTACTCAATCTTTTAGCAGACTTATGTATTGAAAGCTGATTCTGCCCAGCCCTATGTAGGATGCCAAGGATACAAATGAATAAGCAAGATCCATCTCTCAAGAAACTTACTGTAGAAGGAGACAAACATGCTATATGGATTCTAGGAAGGAGCGCCCTAGGCTTACATTCTTCCACCAGACTCAGCTTTTTCACATGGCCCTGGGTCTCTACCTGACAGTGGGGACTCTCTTTTATTCACGCCAGTTGTGTATGGGTCTGTACTTGCACACGTGTGTGCATGGATATGAATGTGACCAGAGGTAGGAGTGGGGATGCAACATACACTGGTGCTTTCAGTAAGTGCACTCTCCTAGATGTTCCACTTTCATCCATACTCATTCCCTTAGTCTTGTGGAGTTTCATGATCCTTTCTCTAGGATGTTGGTAATATTCCTTCATGTCTACAGCTACCAATATAGGGAAATTTACACATGCCCAGATGATTCCTGAGATATAAATGCATCTGCTGAACAAATGTATGCACTTCAGATGTGCTCTGTGTGAAGCGTGATGTGCTCTTTTTGTATCCAAAGCCTGAAGGTCCCAGAATAAATAAACTCACTGACATGGTTCCCTCAGGTATTATTTATTTAGTAACTTCAATTCTCTGATCTCACGTGAAAGCAATTCTTAGATATGTGTGTATGAGCCAAAAAATATTGGTATAAGGAGCCATAAAATCGCAAGTGTTTTTTTAAACTATCTTGATTACGTATATAAAATAAGGAGAAAAATCTTAGACTCCCCTAGAAATTTGCCTTTCTGTGAGATCTGAGTGGTCACAGAATCTGTCTTAAAAGAGCTACAAGAAAACTGAGTAATTACGTAGGCCAAATCCTTCCTTTCACAGATAGGCTCTAGAGTGATGAAATGGATTCCCAATGTTTGAATTGTTTGCATGAAAATACTATAAAATCTGGCTAAAATACAACATATCTTAGATCTTTTCTCCCAACTTCCTTCTCTTTGATTTTTCTCTTTTTTCATTCATTCATTCTTTTATGCATTAGTTTATTACTTAGAGAGGAACCGGAAGCCTTTATGTGCAAGATACAGTCCTAAATACAATTCCTTTTCTAGAACATCTGCAGTGGGAATAAATGAAGTAGATATCCTGATCTATAGTATTTTGGGGGTGGTTTCCAGCATTATACATCTGCTAAATTTTAGCAAACTCACTCTTATTAAAGGTATCAAATATTTTCTTTCATTTTGTAAAAGTTAAAAATACCTTAGCCAAAGTAGGGTTGGGCTTTCAGTTCGAACACATATTAATTTTAAGATGTCCTCCCTGGCTTCTGGGAGGATAGTGAGCAGGTGAAGAGCAAGGTTGGATTGCCTAGAGCCAAACCCTGGTTTTGCTATTTTCTATCTGTGAAACTGTAGACAAGTCACTTAATTCTTTTACCTCTTGTTATTCTTACCTGTAATGTAAGAATAAATATTCTTACTTTAATAAATATTTTTTAATAAATACTCTTACTTTAGCTATAAAGTGGAAATGATGATATCTACTTCATAGGGCACTTCTGGGATATTAAGTGAAAAGTCCTATAGAGCACACAGTCCAGTACCTCGCCCACATTAAGTACTTGATAGCTGTCAGTTGTTATTGTTGGTGTTGCATAATGGAAGCAATTTCTTTGATTCCTGGATTGATTTGTTAGCATGGTAGATATTGTCTGTCAGAAATTTTATATCTCTACTAATATACTTCTTTGGATAATATAGAGCCCATGAATTAATCATTCCTCAAACCCTAAATGCCAGGTTGGGGCCACAGCATTGATGGGCTGTATCTCTCACCAGTGAGGGAAGGGAGTTGTCTCTTGTAGCTGTATATGTAGAAACAGATGTAGTAAGCTACAGAAACTAGGAGTGGTGGAATGGAAACAAAAAAAAAAATAAATTCATGGAAATTTCACTTATATTTTTATATAAAGGAAATGTATTGGTGGATTTTGCAAACTTAGCCATTCATCAGAATCACCTGGGAGATTTTTAAAAATATGGATTTCTGGGCTTCCATTAGGACTGAGTAAATTAGAATTTTCTGAAATATCCATTAAAGATGTAAGTTCCCTGCCCCACAACTCCCCCGGTAATTTATACGCAGCTAGCTTGATACCAGCATTTGAGTACTGGCATACACTGTGGCTGGTGGTTGATGCCATTATTAGGTAGACATTCTGGACCAGGTAGAAGAGATCATTTGCTCCTTAATTTGGTCTTGTTGAAGGCATCCTAGGGCCTATGTGCCCTTATTTCTGGATTGGTGACATCAGGGGCCTGGGAGGAAAGAGAGAAATGAGGGGCTATTGTAATTTGTGTTGTGATCCTTTGTTTTCTATGAATCTCCTGGAACTTCATCTTAGAGCTTAGAAGAAAGATGTCATCTCTCATCCTTTAGCAACAGTTCCTAGGTCTATATGTAAACAGTCAAATATTCAGTTCATGGTTATAACACCTGGTTTGGCAAAAACCACGAGTAGCTGAGAAACAGAAACGAAAATTTAAAACACCAAAACAAACCACCATTGCCTCAAGAAAACAGTTTGCTTGAACTCTTTAGTTACTACATTTTGTTACTAAGAATGTAGCCCTTCTTGCTTTGACTACTAGAAAGCTCAGAGCCAAGTTCGTGGTTGACTTTTCACAAATCCAGTATAGTATGTTCTGCCAGGCATTTTATGTATTCGTCTCACTCTTGGACTCTTTTTTCCTACCCTTATTTACTCTCTGACATGATTTCTTCAGTTATCTATTTTTTATCCTAATGCACTATGTTTAGTATAAAGCATACAAAATCAGTTTTGGAACAAGTGGGGCTTTGAACGTATAGAAAAATATGCTAGGCAATTGGCACAAAAGATATTATTCCTGCCCCAAAGACCTCACAGTTTAGTAGCCAGAGAGACACATAAAAACATAAAATAAGTTGCAGTACTGTTTTGTAAGAGCTATCATGGTGGTGTAGACACAGTGCTCCAAGGAGTACAACTGAGGATGCATCACCTCAGTTGTGGCGTGTATTCTGTGCCTGTTATGAGCCAGCAATTCTTTTAGGCACTAAAGACACATATTCCCTTAGCCCAAAAGAGCTCAAGTCTAAGGGGAAGACAAATATGTAAGCAAATAATTACAGAGTCACGTGCTGCTTAATAATGAGGACACATTCTGAGAAATGCATTGTTAGGTGATTACATCATTGTGTGAATATCACAGAGTGTGCTTACACAAACCTGGATTGTAGAGCCTACTACATTTCTAGGCTATATGGTATAGCCTATGACTCCTAGGCTATAAACCTATACAGCAAGCTTGTCCAGCTTATGGCCTGCTGTCCACATGTGACTCAGGATGGCTTTGAATGCAGCCTAACGCAAATTCATAAACCTTCTAAATCCTTGAGATTTTGGCCTGGTGTGGTGGTTCATGCCTGTAATCCCAGCACTTTGGGAGGCCAAAGTAGTTGGATCACTTGAGGCCAGGAGTTTGAGACCAGCCTGGCTAACATGATGAAATCCTGTCTCTACTAAAAATATGAAAATTAGCCAGGTATGGAGGTGCATGCCTGTAATCCCAGCTACTCAGGAGGCTAAGGCACAAGAATCGCTTGTACCTGGGAGGCGGAGGTTGCAGTGAGCTGAGATGGTGCCACTGCACTCCAGCCTAGACAACAGAGTGAGATTCTACCTCAAAAAACAAAAAACAAAAACATTATGAGATTTTTTGCGACTTATATTGTTTAGCTCATCAGCTATTGTTGGTGTTAGTTTATTTTATGTGTGGCCCAAAACAGTTCTGCCAATGTGGCCCAGGGAAGCCGAAAGTTTGGACACCCCTGCTATACGGCTTGTTACTGTACTGAATACTGTAGGCAACTATAACACAATGATAAGCATCTGTGTATCTGAACATATCTGAACATAGAAAAGGTACATTAAGATTATGGTATTATAATCTTCTAGGACCCCTGTTGTATATGTGGTCTGTCGTTGACTGAAATGTCATTATGTAGCACATGACTGTACTATAAAGAGATTCATTCTAAAACTCAGTGTGTATAAAATGCTGTGAAAACACAGATGAGGGGCAATTAATTCTATCTGGGAAAGGAAGTCTCAAGGAGAGAGAGTTACAGAGAGGTGATGACATTTCAGCTTGATCTTGTGCATAACAAATGACTTCCTATGAGGTATTTTCCACCTGTTTTGAATTAACTAAAATGATTAGGTCTTAGAATTTATAAAGGTCATCTTTACTAGCATGAAAAAAGAGGATCACTCTTGTAAAATAACCATTTAAAATGCAACAGCCTGATTTTTGAATGGGTACTAGGGTGAATTAATGCTAAAGTTCAGAAGAAAGATTTGGAAATGGAGATGGCTGGGGCTATAATTATCAGGGATTTGACAGAAAATAGTGCTATCAAATATGTACAATAATTAGAATATAATTCATATAATATAAAATAATAATTATAGCTCCCCACCATACAACATTGCTTTTTAGTTTGTGCTTGGCGGATTTAGGCCTCATTATAGGAAAAAATTCACTGACAGATCATCAGAAACTTTATACTCTGGCAGAAACAATGCTGTGTATTCTCCAAACCCGCTTCCTTTTCCTTCTGTGTTTACTGCTAAACTCGATTTACCATTATCCTTGCTGATCTCTGCCACTTCCAGTACTGGCCTATTGAAATCTCCTATGCTTGATCTTTTACTCTCTTGCTTTCTCTTCCATGGGGACTTACAGATCACATGCTGAGGACAACAGTGTCAGGAGGTGAAAGGAGCTTGAGTCCCTAAGGGACACATAGAGGAGAGCACCCTAGGAAAGCTGTTTAACCAGGGATATCTGCAGTGAATCTTGCATGAGTGAGCCAGGTATCATCTTGTACTGTGCACGGCCACTGAAATTGGAGGTTGTATTGTGCATGGCCACTGAAATTGGAGGTTGCTTGTTATAGCAGTTATTCTATCCTAGTACATCCTCTGTGAAATTATGTAAACAGTTCTTCCTTTAGCTCCCTTCCATCGATCCTTATCATCACATAACATGCTGTAATTTAATAAATGTTTACAGAATTCATGAATCAAGATATTCTTTTCAGATATTGAGCAAGGTTAGTATTGCAACCTCAACCTATCAAATATGCATAAGTCAAGAAAATAAATAGAAGAGCATTTAGTTCTCAGAGGAGCTACAATTACATTTGCAGTGATGCATTTATTCTTGTAACACACAAATGGGACATCTCAGAATGTGGTCCCTGGGACAGAAACAGGACAAACACACACATAAGGTGAGGGGAGGATTCCCTCCTTCAATGTGTGAACATGTTTGGTAGAGGGCCTTCCAGGGTGTGAGAAATGAGTCAGGTCACTTGGCCTTAGCATTAGAGACCTGGATTTGTTTGGCAAATCAGTAGGGTTTTAAAATAAGCTATTTCCACTAGTGAGTTATGACATTATTTCTATGGCATTCTAATGGACCTGAACAATTTATTGTATCAAGATCATTTCACAGGACTTCTGCATATTAACTAGTCATTGCTCTTGTTGTTGGGACTAGCACAATGCACAAGAGATATGGACCCTGCCCTCAAGAACCTTATAATCTAATGGGGAAACAGACATGTAAAATACAGTGACAGTTGTTATGGAGGCAATCCAGGATATGTTGCTTTTTTTTTTTTTTTTCAGCATTTCCTTCTCATTCTGGACAAAAAGGCTATCCTTCTTCTGTTGTTTAAATCCAAAGCAACACCAAAAAGAATTTCTCTGTGTGCAAAATTAAATTCAATTATGAAGTCCTTAAATTTGTTTTGTCTCCTTGGTCATAATGGGTGTGGTGTGGGTTAGGAGTTGGAAGTAAGGTTTGGGAGTGGAGGGTACATTTTCAAACATGTTAATTTATTTTAAGGCTGTGATGGGACCATGTATATGCATTAATCTCTAAATAGGTAGCCACGTATTTCTAGGTAGGCAGCAATATACATGAGAATTTCCTTTTTTTATCACTATCACTAGGTTTCTTAGTGGCTAAGTCCTCATTAATTCCTCAGTTAATTCCTTAATAAGCTGTCAAAAATAGTGACTTATTAAACCTACAGTTATTGAACCTGGTTTTCTTGCATTCACATTCCCATGCCTCTAATACATCCTCATATTGCCATGAGATTACTTTCCTTAAGCTCTACCTATTATGCCTATTTACCCTGTTGAAAACACCTTCAGAGGCTCTCATTGCTTAATTAATCATATCCGACTCCATAATAGCATTTCAATACCCTTCACTGTCTGCCACCATGTATATTTCTAATTATAATAGCACCCCTCAATCTATCTCTACCACACACCCAAAGTCTTGAATGCTCTCTCATCTCACAGTCCCTCAGTACTTTTTCTTACCCTTACCCCTTCACAGAATCCTGAGGCTGTCTCATGACTCCTCACCCATTGTGCTTCCTGAGTGCTAAGATGCCCTGCAGAAAGGCCGTGTTGTCAGGGATTGGAGCTGAAGGTAGGGTAGCTGAGCTCAGCCCCTGTGGATGGGTCATTGGAGGAGATCACTGCAATGGTGCTGCCCGAGGGCATCTGTGGATCTTAGTGTAACTGATGTTCAGGGGACCTACTCAAGTCTACCTCTCTGACCTCTTGCTAGAGAGTCTCTGACATATTCCCCACAGTCAATATCTTCTGACCTTCCTTCTTCAGAAAAACGGGTGTAGGGAGGATGGAACCTGAGCCACGGCTGCCTAAGGAGTCAGGATCTGGAAGTCTATCTCCTTCCTTATGGCTGCTGTCAGTCACCTGCCTTGTCATCATCTGGATACTTATAAAATGCAGATTTCCAGGCCCACAGCAGACCAACTAAAACAGACTTTCCCGGGTGGGAGCATCTCTGATATTTTCAACTACAAACAATTATTCTTTGTAGTTGATTTAAGTCTGAGAGTCACGGCTCCCCAGATGGGCAGACAGTCTGTGGGAAAATCCTGGTATCAGTCCTTCTAGTGTCACCATGAAAGTGAGAGCTGGCCAGGCACGGTGGCTCACTCCTGTAATCCCAGCACTTTGGGAGGCTGAGGTGGGTGGGCGATTGGAGGCCAGGAGTTCAGACCAGCCTGGCCAACACGGCGAAACCCTATCTCTACCGAAAAATACAAAAATTAGCCAGGCATGGCGGTGCGCGTCTATAGTCCCTGCTATTTGGGAGGCTGAGGGACAAGAATTGCTTGAACCCAGGAGGTGGAGGTTGCAGTGAGCTGAGATTGTGCAACTGCACTCCAGCCTGGGTGATAAAGTGACTCTGTTTCATAAAAAAGTAAAAGAAGAAAGTAAGAGTTAATTTACTTTCCTTTCTTTGTCTAGTTGATATTAGTGTTTGGCTTTTCTACTGCCATGTAGATAATAGGAAAGTGGAGTCCAAGGAGTGGTGGGGTGAGGGCAAATAAGGAAGATACCTCTCTTGGGTACTGCCCTTCGCTGTCACAAGGAAGAGAATAAAATCTTATTGGGAGGCTGAGCAATTATAATGATATCCTTATTACCCACCACTACCTGTTTTCTTGAACATTAGGTACTGGGCAGGCAAACCAAAAAATGTCCACAGTCTCTGATGTCTGCCATTTCTTGTCCTTCACCCCATCCCAGTACTGTTTCTATAACCTTTATACTTATCTTTAAATCTCAGTGAAATTGCTGTAATCAGTGAAGAGGTATTGAAAGTATTAGGGAACATCTAATTATTCCTTTTTATTTGCATCTTCTTATTGTTGCTTTCTGAGTTTTTGTTTTTGTGTGCATTTTATAATGTACATGATATGTAGTGAACCATGTATATGTGTAAGTGTATATATTCAGGCTGAGTGCTTACTTTTCTTTAACTGATCACGTACACCCTCAAAAAACTTCACTATCAACTCTCTTGACGATGCAGCAACCTGATCCTCTGAGCTTTAGCCAATGACTGTCTCCTTTCTCCTGATAACTAAGGCCTGGGAATTCTGTGCTTTGGACTCTCCCAGGGCTTTAATGAATTTCCTTTTGATCCTCGTCCAATGGAACTAGCATTGCTATTTGACATTCTGAATTTCTCATTTCAGTACGTGACCTTGTAGGGTGTTGTTTTGAAGGAATCAAATCTTGATCTCAATCTAGTGAGCTTAACCCTTGCATATTTCTCTACCAAGGTCATGGCCAGTTAAATACTTTGGTTATTCATATAATGCACCAGAAAATTAAAGCTGGTCCTTAATTAAAAGTTTCTTCTCTTCAACCTATGTATGGCCTAGCTCAAATTATTTGGTATGACCTTATAAATTTGAGACACAAAATGGTTATATTCTCAGCTTCTTGAACCTACACCAATTAGATATGTTAGAATATCCAGTAATCATTAAATAGCAAATACCTGTCTCTATGTATAAAGTGCAGAATGTATATGTACAACCAAGAGTCATTTAATTTCTTTTTAAGTTGGACTCTTTGGGGCCCAGGGATGGTTTTTTTATATAATAGATCTAAATTTATACACTTGGCTACTATTCCAGGACAGCCTTGTCACCGATATAAATCATCTCATTTCAGCAGCTACAGTAAATAATTGGGCCCCTGAGACATTGTTTTCCATCTTCTCTGCAGAGAGCGTCCTACAACCTCTGGGTTCTCCCCTGGGTGTGCAGGGTGACAGTGCCGTTGCCTCTGGCCTTTTCATTTATTATTTATTTCATTTATTTCAGGATTCAGAACAAATTGGAATTGGCAAAAAATGGAGAGAGTCTTTGGAAGGATAAATCCAAGGTTCTCATAATTACCAGAAACTGTGGGGAGAGCAGAAAGGGGAAAAAAGAATAAGAGAAAAACAAGTGAAATATTTCAAATCAGGAGACTTAAAAGAAAGACATTTACAACAGTGAATTTTCAGGTCCCAATAACAAAAAGGCTGTTATAATAAAGTTTTTTTGTTTTGTTTTGTTTTTGTAAGGCCAAACACAGCTTCCACTGCTAGCAGGCCGAGAGGGCTGGGTCCAGGCCAGGGGCTCTACCAGGAAGCTGATACAGACTTTCAGTATTGCCTCCCTGAGGCCAAGAGCATCCCTATAAGCCTCCATTTTTTCCTGTAGTAAACACCCATGGATTATTTTTCCCAGTCCCCAAAGTATAAAAGGGTCAACTTACTACCAAGTTATAATAAAGTTTTCTCTTTGGTTTCTGGTTTATGAAAATACTTCCCAGCTTTTGTTCAAAGATTAATTTGCTGCAATAGAACTTGATTACAATTCAGTAGCTTTTATCATACAACTTTCACCTTGGACCAATTCTTCTAAAAACAGAGAGTTTTTAAGTGATACAATCCCAACTGATATCAAGTAACACATCTTACTCAAAGGCAGTCTAATGTGTATGAATGCTTGTTAGCCCAGGAGCCAACATAGAGTCAGCACTTAATAAACAGTGTCACTCTTCTCTTCTCTATATAAGTATAGATAAAATCAATATGTAAACACACACATACATGCATATATTCTGTCATCCAGAATTTGAGAGTTTGAATAAATTATGGAGAATTATATAGTTCAGCAATGTGGTAGATAGCCACTATTATTATCCATATTCTGCAGATGAAGAAACTGAAGTCTAGAAAGGTGAAATAACTTGGAGAATCACTCAGGATTCCAATGCAAGAGGAATGTGTAACTCCAGTAACTCTGTTCCTAAACACTATGTTAGATTGCCTCCTAGGTCTGCTTAAACTCATGACATCCATTTAAAAGTATTCACTATTTATTAAAGTGTAGCAAATCATCCCCAAAATTAGTGACTTAAAAGAACAATGGCTTATTTTCTTGTACAGTTTCTGTGGGCTAGGAATTCAGGACGGTCTTGACAAAGCAGTTTTGACTTAGCATCTCTCATGAATGTGCAGTCAGATATTGGCTGAGCCTGCAGTCATCTGAAAGCTTGCTGGTGCTGGAAGAGGCACTTCCAAGGTGGCCCACTTGCATAACTGGCAAATTAGTGCTGGCTCCTGGCTGGGGCTTCTGCAGCTCTCCATGTGGCTCTGTCCACAGGACTGTTGAGTGTCCTTATAACATGGTGGCTGGCTTTCCCCATAATGAGTGATCCAAAAGACCAAGGCTGAAGCCATAATGTTTTATTGTATGAACTAGCCTCAGAAGTAACATACCATTATTCCCACCACATGTCTATTGACCACACAGCTAACTCTAACTCCATGTGTGAAGGACTGTACGCAGGTGTGAATACCACAAGGCTACCATAGCAAACCACTACTTATTCTCTTTTTGCATAAACCCCTTCCAACCCTTCCTCTAACCTACCACTCTTAGTCTATATTGGCCCATCATAGACACTTAATAAATATTAGCCTAGCCAATGAACTTAATAAACATTTGGATTCAGGTTAAAAAATCCTTCCAGTTTTTTGAGCCATTGCTAGGGAAATTATATAACTTGAGCTTTTGCCAATGACTCACTTTTTCCATCTACTTTTCCTTTTCAGAAACTCTTGGCCTACCTTCCCTACAATTCTGTAACCCAGTAATTGTGTAGGGAACCTCACAACTGAGGCTGAACCTCACAGCTGCTTTGTCTGCCTCCACTGAGAACATGAGAATAGGTTTGGCATGGTGGTGTTTCTCAACTGATGAGTCTATTCCCTGATCAACTGCTCAGGAGAACTTCTAAAGGAGACTCTAGTCCTAGAGACAGCTGTGAAACAGGTCTCTTAGACACTCCATTTCAGAGCCAATCATAAGCCATTTCTGTAATGATAAAGAGCTATACATATCCCCATACATTAATAATGCTGGTTGGTATGTATTTAGAAATACAACATTTTGAAAAATATCTATTTGGAAAGAAGGCCATTTGTTTTGTTACCGTTAGCTTACTAGTGTTCTTGTCTTATATATCTCTTTATCCTATGTATTACATAATGAAGATAAGTCACAAAAGCACTAGTTAAGACAGGAATTATGTCTTTCCAGAAACAAACCCTGGTGTGATTTTTAAAAGTACAGTGTGCTTCCAGCCCCTGCGTCTTTCTTGTTCCAAGGATGTCATTATCAATACTAATATAAATTTTTCATTGCTTGAGCCATTACAATATACAGAGAATAGATTTTTCAATTTTTCCAGTTCCACTGAGTATATTAGCAAAATTATCTGTCTGTCAGCAGGCACGTGGTGACGCCAGTAGCATCTCTGATTTTGATTGTTCTAAATCTTTTTATATTTACAGGTCTCCAGCGGAGAAAAGGCCAAGGACTTATTTGTAAACCCTTCTCCCATGTGCTTCTTCTGATCACTTTCTCTTACATTTCTTATTCTCTTGTCTGAGTCTTTAAAATGATAAATACTAAAAGCAATCTAAATGATAGGAAGTATGTATATTTCATTGATAAAATTGTAGGCTTTTAAAAATCATGCTTTATTAGTTATTAATATACCTGTAAGTTAAGGGTAGTTAATGAGGGTTCTTGATCTACGCAGAATTTTCCCACACATTAGGGGCAGACTCAGAGTACAGCCATGTTCTAACACCCGGCTTGGTGAAGATTCTGAACTCATATACAATGACCTATGGCAGATTGAACTCTCAACTCTTTTGTAATCTTCATGAACTATAAATGTTGCACATGCCTGCAGAATGAATTTTAGTTTCATTGTGGGGTAGTATGCAAGAAGAAACCTGGAGTGGCATATGTTGGGAGGGATAGATTAGAACATAGCAAGACTTCTTAATTGAAAAGATGAAGTTTCTCAGGCCAAATAGTAATATGATAAAATCATAGAATGGTATATTTGGGAAGTAGCTTCAAAGTATGCCTTTCAGTTTCTTTCAAAATAAAATGAAGAAAGAGAGAGAAAGTGCATGGCCTAATGTCACATGGTTAAAAGAAGATGAGTGGGCCTTAAATCAAAATCTGCCTTTCAGTCACGGATTTTCCCCAATACATTGGACTATCTCATGGAAAAAAAAGAATATGGGATTAATCATGAATTCTTTTTTTAAATTTAGATTTTTCAGGGTTAGAGACTAAAGAATAGAATTTTTGTTTGTTTGTTTGTTTGAAATACCTGGCTCAAACAACTAATTGGATAGATTGAGTTCAACAGGAGGTCCTTTATTGTAGTGTATTGTTTGTATCTATCCACTGAGCTTGAACTTGCAGCATAACATCCATGACATTTTATTATTACATTACCATGCAGACAACCTTACCAATGGATCCAAGGTCATTAACATCTGTATTAGTTTACTATTGCTGGTGTTAACAATTTACCACAAATTTAGTGATCCAAAACAATACAATATAAATTTATTAATGTTCTGCAGGTCAGAAGTCCGAGGTTAGGTCTTATATGGCTAAAAGCAAGGTGTCGGCAGGGCTTCCTTCCTTCTGGAGACCCCAGGGAAGAATCTGTTCGTTGCCTTTGCCGTCCTCGAGAGGTTTCTCACATGCCTTGGCTCCTGGTCATGAGGACCTCTCCTTGCCGTTACACCTCCTTCCCTGAATCAGATCCTCCTGCCTCCCTCTTATTAGAGCACTTGTAATTACATTAGTCCTTCCTTGATAATCCAGGATAACCTCCCCATCTCACGATCCCTAGCTTGCTCACATCTGCAGCATCCATTTTGCCATGCAAGGTAACAAATTCACCAGTTCTGGAGATTAGGCCTTGGACATCTTGAGGGGGCCTATTCTGCCTGTCACATCTATATTTGTTATTTAGTTAGAAAATAATTGAGTATGACTGTAAGAGCCTTGCAAAGAGCCCATAGACTTCATTGTGAGTCTGATTTAGAGTACACCAGCTGGGTAACCTTGGGAAGCTTGGTTAACCTCGCTGAGCCTTAATTTCTTCATCAGCAAACTGGGGTGGACAAAATATGAGCCAAAATGTATTATGCTCTTAGTATATTCATTCACAATTCTTTAAAAAACATGATTGTGCCCTCCTTTGTGCCAGGGAGTGTTAGGTGCTGAGAGGATATGGTAAGTGGAACTCACATGGGGTCTGTCTCAGGCACTTACAGACTGGTGGAGGAGGCAGTCCGTCACAGTTGTAATCCAACAAAGAAGAGTAAAATTTCAAAGAGAACTGCATTCTACTGTAAAGGGACTTGTGTAACGGGAGCTTCTAATGTAGGATTTGACCACAAGGGAGCTTGGGGAAGTCTCCCCTGAGGAAGTGACTCCCAAATGGAGACCTGGAGAAGGTGTAGGCACCAACAAGGCAGAGAAGGGAGGAAAGTGCAGGTGCAGAGGCTCATGGGAGAAGGAAGGAGGCAGGTGAAAGGGGCTTGAAGAAGGCTATTGTCTTGGAGCAGGAAGGTGAGCTATATCAGTCCTAGGCCAACAGTGGAGGATCCAAACTTCCACTGATTTAGGCAAGTGACAGGCAAGTCATGAACTTTTCTATGACTCAGTTCCCACACTGATAAAATAGAGATAACAATAATAGTAGCTTTTGGGGAATGCACAGCTTAGATAAGAAAATGCGTGAAATCACTGTGCATACAGTCAGTGCTCTGTGAATCTTAGTAATTGCCCTAATCATAATCTCACTTATCCTTGCATCAACCTTATGAAGTAAGTAGAAACTAAGGTGGAGAATATTAAGTATCTTGTCCAGGGTCATACAGCCAGTGACAGATCAGGGGATTTGGAAAGAGGTACATCTGCCTACATGGAGCTGGTGTTCTGCACCACAGCATCTCCCACCCCAGAGCATGGCTTCGAGAGATAAATGGGATAGTATACTGAGAGTGCTTTGTAAAGTAAACCTAAATCCATAAATAAAAGGCTTGTGATTATTCACATTATCCTCCTCACCACTATTTTTCTTCTGTTATTACTCATAACAAGGGGAATGTAAGCTGGCTGAAGCTGACCCATTTAATTTCTTCCTCTAAATCATTTTCTCTCTAAATAAATTCCAATAAAAACAAGGGGAACAGGACTAAGCAGAAGATGCAAAGTGCAGTCATGTCTTCATTGACTCTGTGGCCTCATTCATTTTGGCCCAGATGCCAGCGCTTATTTCTGAGGGGCCAGGAAAGAATAGAACAGCTCACTCTCTGTTATACCCTTAGATTGTAGAAATAAGTGTTTGGGGCAATCTGGTAAATTGAGATAACCACATAAGCCATTTGAGGTTTACTTAATTTCAAAGAATTAGAACATTAAAAGTATCAAAGTTATATAAGTATATTTAATCTTCATTTAATAAATTTGAAGACACTTCAAAATTGTGCTGTTTCTCAGGATTCCCACCACCATTTCAATCATCTTGGCCCTGATAAAGTGCAGGAGTGCTGGCTTAATAGGCATTTTTAGTTGGTAGGATGCCAGATAATCATCTCTTACTGGAAATGGTCATAAATTGAAATTTGAATTTGTTGATTCTGTAAATCTGGAATAATACAGTAGGGTTTTGAAATTGTCTCCTTTTAATTTCATCATTAATGTGAAACAATAAAAATGAGTAGATTTAAGTGGAAAATGCATAACCCTAAAATGCTTCCCTAACTAAATCAAACAGAATACAGAAAGAAGAAAGAAGATCTTCCATTTGTCAAGTGATAGATTCTTTTTATCATTCACTGATGTCTGACAGTGTCGGAATATGAGACTTTAGCAATTATGATGCCAGAAATGTATTGAAGGACAGATTTATTTTCACAGACATGCACAAAAAGTATATTTGTATGGCTTTTTCTGTGTGGTTGTTATTTTATGATTGTTTGGTATTGAAGAAGATTTGAAGAAGAATCTAACATCAACTGACACTTTTAAATTTGTGTGATCTGAGATCTCAATCCCCCTACAAATTCAGGGCCAGAATCCAACTAATGAAAAAGTATGACATTAATTATTATGATAAGGTGTATCCTACTGCAAATTTACAGGTTTCAAAATCTGGTCATTGAATAGCTGAGTTAAGAACTAAAGAAGCCACTGACAGCTTGGAGCTTAGCTTTCAAAGTTGGAACCAACAGCGTATCTTATGCATTGACTGAAATAATGCAATGAAATTCTTTTCTCTCTTAACAAGCTTTCTCCAGTCATGAAATTCCCTTTGCTATGCCACAACCCCAATGTGAAAAAGGAGAACATGTTCCGATATTGAAAAACTATATGCCATTGCCTATTTTATCATTCATATCAAAGACACTCAACAGATAGCACATGTACAATTGATGGATTATTCTCATCATGAAAGTCTGATCACCCCACTTGGGTTTTCAAACAAAGCATTTAATAACCACTGCCTTGTTAAAAGGTGGAAAATGATCTGGCTTGTGGCCTGATAGGACGAGGTTTTATTGATTTTACTGAGGCCCTTGACTTGGGAGATCACAGGCTTCTTAAGGGCAAACTTAAAAGGAAGGATTGAGATGGATGAGTAATTACCTGTGTGATGGATGTCATTCTGTAAACATCAGGATCGGGTAGCTTCTCCTTGGAGTATCAGTTGGTGGGGGAGGGAGAGAACATAGTCGAAGTCTCATTTCAACCATTTTTAGTCTTTTTGCATATTTATAAATGAGCTTTGCTCTGTTGGAATATGGGGTTATACATGATTTTGAAAAGATATGCCTTTGTTTCTTAATTTAAATGTTGGTTTACAAAAAGAAATAGATTTTTATGGCTGCTAGACAACACAATGATTCTTCAAATGCTACAAAAAAAAAAAACAAAAAAAACCCAACAACTTGATAAATGTTATTTGTTTTCACGGTTCTTGGTCTATTTGGAAATGCAGCTATCTGAATCCCAGGCTCCAAAAGGGGCCAGGCTGAGCTTGAGGCAGTATCAGAAAAGAGGCCATTGATGGAAGCCTGGGGAAGGAGGTACTGAGTGGTAGTCAGTG
The DNA here is from genome assembly GCF_000001405.40 of Homo sapiens. Taxonomy (NCBI): domain Eukaryota; kingdom Metazoa; phylum Chordata; class Mammalia; order Primates; family Hominidae; genus Homo; species Homo sapiens. Next base: position 93,307,352 of record NC_000008.11, on the reverse strand, counting down.
CTCAGGAGATTTGGAGGCCTTGCAGGGTGCTAGAGCAAGGAGGTGACAAAGCAGCACTCAGTGATAGAATAGGCAATAGGCAGGAGGGACCACAGGGAATGGAGCTCTGGGTGGGCAGCATTCTGTGGACTGGGAGGTGGCCACCCCAGGGATTGTAGAGTGGGGTTGTTGTCAGGTCTGTCTCCTGTGGCCCTTGCTTTCTTTCAATTGGTGTCACAAAGTGTGACTTAAGAAAGCTATCTTGAGGGTGGAGAGGGAGTAGAGGAAGGAGTTGTGTTTACTGGAATCCACTGAGCTGCTGAACCCAGGTGATACGTGAAATTCCTTTAATGTCATAACACTGAATTGAGCAATCCTTTTGATGTGGAAGAAAAAAACCATTTTTTATCCAATCTGTTGGATACAGTGGAATGGGTGTGAGTTTTAGAGTCAGGCAGATGGGGTCACATGGTTCTAGTTCTGCCCCAGGCACTTTGAGACCTTGGGCAAGTTTAATTTCCCTAATCTTGACTTTCTCTCATTTATCTATCATTCATTTATCAAACATCTATTGGGTAAGTACTATGCACTAAGTACACAGTACTTATATTGCTTCTTGTTTTCAAAGAGATTCTAGTTTAATAGGGACATTAATAAGTAAATAAAGAAATGCAATATTGTTATAGCTACTGTAATATACTGGACAGAAGACATAGAAGAGTGAAGGCCTAAAAAAAGGAAGGGATTAAATTTTCTGAACAGAGTATGGGGCTGGAAACTATACAGAGAGGAGGTAACTGAGTCCTGAAAAGATGACCAGCTGGCAATGTGGTTGCAGAGGCAGGCAGGTACCAAGTCATGGAGGAATTGGAGTTGTCAAGGTGCAAAGAGGGTACTCCCTGTCGGGAGTGTCTTTGAGTGTGTGAGAGATAAATGGGTCTGTATATAGTCTGGGGAGAAAGAGGGCATGTACCTGTAAAATGTTTTGCCTGGGTAAAAGGTTATATGAACTTGTTGCAGAGATTCCTTTTAAGGTTCCAAGTTCTACAGGGAAGAAAAGGGTGTGGCCTTATTTTTGACATCTTGATCCATTTTGTTGATCCGTGGCAACTGAAGTTTTGCCTTCTTGTGGGGATCACAAATTGATATTTTCCTGGAGTATTTAAATAATGTATCGAATCTCCATGCTATGTAATAGAGATCAAGGATGATTTAAACATGATTATTGTTCTCAAAGAGATTCTAGTTTAGTAGGTACAATCAAGTATGTAAGTAAATAAATGCAACATTATTGTAGGAGAATTTACTTTGACTGTCAGGTAGCACATCCTCCATTCCCAAGTGAGAGACTATCTACCTTCTGCAGTTACTTCTGTTGTATGAGATATGGAGTCTCCTACCCATTCCTATAGGAAAGAAGTTTTTGCTCTTCATGCAAGTTGTGACTCTACTGGCTTCCATTCTGTGGGCTGAAGAACAAAGTTTTTGTGCATGATATAGCAGGACAAGTCAGCAAACAAAGAGCTTAATGTGATATGTGAATTCTTTGTAAATATCATACAGGTTTGACTTGATTTATACTAGATGGAAACATCATCAAAGCATTTCTTCCTTAGGAGAGGAAATCCCTTGTTTTATTTCCTACTTTAAATAACATTTTTAAAAGGTAAGATCCAAGAGTGAAATCATGAAGATGAGGTGCCAAAAATATATATTAATTCCATCATTAAATGAACTGATCATTTCTGTGTGAAGAAGGAACATGAGTGGGACAGCACTTGGGAGAATAGTCTGCTAAGTGTTGTAATGAATATATTGCAATTATATTCCAATGATGTGATCCTGTATAGTAGAGGAATATATGGGAGATTATTTTTCTATGTGAGAAAGTACTCAATGACTAGAATACATTTTTATTATATGGATTTTTATATATTTGTGTAAATTGGCTTTTTCCCCACAGAAAAAGTTAATACATAAGGTACTTCACTTTGTCAGAACAATCTATAGTGAAGTATTATTATAAATAATGAATATGTGTGAAGGGTATTTGAACTGAAGGATAATCTCTCTTGGATAGTAAACTGCCAGAAATTTCTTGATATTCCACAGAAAAGAAGAGGACTATCACAGGCCAAGTTAATGTATTTTTTTCATTTTCAGTTTTCCTGTATATTTTAAGCCCACTGCTCATTCCTTGGCTCAGATCTTTGATTCAAGCATATCCACAGACTCTTTCCAAATTGTTTATATCTGATGGGAGAGACTAGATTGGAAGCCCTACTCATATGGCCATGATTTAGCCTAGGAAAAATAATTCTCCATAATGGATTACAGTCGGCCCTTGAACAGCATGAGGATTAGGCATCCTGGCTCCGTATGCAGTTGAATATCTACGTATAACTGTTGACTCCCCCAAAATTTAACTGTTAATAACCTATTGTTGACTGGAAGCCTTACTGATAACATAAATAGTTGTTTGACATATATTTTGTATGTTATATGTATTATATACTATATTATTACAATAAATAAGCTAGAGAAAAGAAAATGTTAGTAAGAAAATCATAAGGAAAAGAAAAAATATTTATTATTCATTAGATAGAAGTGGATCATCATAAAGGTCCTCAGCTTTGTGGTCTTCATACTGAGCAGGCTGACGAGGAGGAGGAAAAGGGGCTGCTCTTGCTGTGTCCAGGGTGGGATGGTAGACAGAAAGAAAACCTGCGTATATGCAGACACGTGCAGTTGAAGCCTGTGTTGTTCAAGGGTTAAGTGTACTTCAGGTTTTATTCTGTGGAAATAATGCATGCTGTTGAAAGGCAGATTCCGTATTAGAAATGTGTTCGTGATTATTTGTCCATTTAGGGGGACATCTGTTTAACGAAGGCATTTTGGACCACAGTTTTTATGAACAATATTTAAATTTCAGCATATGTAATGTTTTTATTAATAAAATTATCAATGTATCTATATATTTTCAAAACATATCCATGAAATGTTGGCGTGTTTGGGGTGATAAAAAGTGGTATTTCTTGAGATGGGTGAGAGTTGTAGAATGAAGGCATTTCACATGGCTTGATTGGAGAGAAGTAAGGCCATAGGAGAGGCCCACAGGCTTTGCAGTAAGTAGGATCTGGTTCAGTTCCAGTTCCACCATCTGTGTGAACCATCTCATGTTTCTTAAACTCTTTAGCCCCTGATTCTTCATCAGTAATATGTGGTTAGCAATATATAATCAAAGGATATTAATAAATGTCCTTACCCAATGCCAGTCACATTATAAGTTTCAACAAATGATGGTTATTATCATTAAATGTAAATTCATGAGTAGCTTTGAAGGAATCTCACCTCTCACATGATAGTGAACTGCCTAGATTATCTGTAAATAACTTGGTTTATTTTTAGAATGACCCTAATTTGAGGATCTCTAAAAGTCTTGTTTTCACATCAGCTGCTTAGATTGGCTGTGGTAATTCACCTAGCAGCCTAGCAGAACAGTTTTCCACATAGTGAGTTGACCTAAGCTATATCAAATTGACCTGTAATAACTCCAAGCAGCAGTGGCTAAGAAGTACCAGGCCAAAAAGAAAAAAATATTATATATGAATTTAAGTATAAAACCCCAAAATATCATTACATGGCATTAAAATAATAACTATTTTTTCCTCACAATATGTGCTTATTATAAGAAATTTAGAAAATACCAACATCAGAAAAAAAATCTTTTCTTCCCATTACTCAAATGTAATTTACAATTGTTAACATTTATTTCAGTATATATCTGTTTAGTTCTTTGCCTAAACATACAGTGTATTTTTCCTAAAAAAATTGAACATATTTCTTTGAAGTAGGCTTTTTTGATGTAATAATGTCTTGTGAACACATTTTTCAAGTCTTTAAAGAACTCTAGCATATTTTTATGAATGTAGAAATATTATAGATATAATAGATACATACAATATTACAACTACAATATTCTATCAAAATTTAATCAACTCCTTATTTTTGAACATTTGTTATGTCTGATATTTTATTGTTATGAATAAGACTGTGATAAACATTCTCATAATTATTAAGCATTTATAAGCATGCATTAAAATTCCTTAGGATAACCTTCTGGATGTGAAATTTTGGGGTCAAATGCCATGACAGTAGACATTATTGGTTGTCAGTATATCCTTTTTCTTCTTTCTCTTTCCTAACAAGGGTCTCAGTTCTCTTTAGTTTTCCATCTCTCATCCATGCAGCCAATTGCCATGGGAGACACTGAGCCCACCCTAACTCTAGGATCGACTTTAATCAGCAATTATATTTCCTTTGTCAATATTTGATTCAGGACTGGCTTGGGATCCTGAGAGAGCAAGAAAAGTTTACCGGGAGCTTCAGAAAAAGTTATTCATCATTTTTGGAGTGGATATTCAGAAGTGACTTCCCTCTTTTGCTCTGGTAGGTATGGATATGAGACCTCAGAAACCCCAGAACTCCTCATTCTTTGCCTGACAGAAAAGCCCACACATGGGAAAGACAGCCATAAAGATCAAAAGTAGAGCCCCTGGACTAAATTAAGAAAGCAACTTGCTCAACCTTTCCACATCTAGTTCCGTGAGCAATCCATTTCCTCATGTCCAAAACAGCTTGACTGGGGGTTTCGGTTACTTACAGCCCAAAGCACACCAACTGGTATGGTCATCAGAATTTAAGGCTTTTAAGTACTTAAAATTCTGATTTTAAGGATGTTTAAATCAGAAAGTACCACTGGAAGGTTCATACTAATTTATTCTCCTACAAGCAAGCAGTACAGTTTCTTGAAAAATATACTGAAGTTTATTTTGGACTGCATGAAAATAAATTTATTATCAAAATGCATGTCTACATATGGCTTTGTTATATTACTGTTCTGGGAGATGCAAACTGTCCTTTCTTCAAACAAGTTGTATCCATTGCTCTTTTCTCCTCTTCCCCTCTCTTCTCCTATCTGCCTTTATGTATTTCAAGGATTGGTCTAAAAGAACATAAGCTGGGCTAGGCGCAGTGGCTCATGTCTGTAATCCTAGCACTTTGGGAGGCTGAGGTGTGAGGATTGTTTGAGCCCAGCCTAGGCAACATACTGAGACTCTGTCTCTACAAAAAAAAAAAAAAAAAGAAAAAAAAATCGGTGTGGTGGCCATGTGCTACTCCGGAGGCTGAGGTGGGAAGATGGCTTGAGCCTGGGAAGTTGAGGCTGCAGTGAACCATGATTGTGCCACTGCACTCCAGGCTGGGTGACAGAGTGACACCTCATCTCAAAAACCAAACAAAATGAAGCCATAAACTGTGTAGTAAGGGTCCTGTGTTCAAATCCCCCCATTTGCCATTAATTGTCCCTATAGTATTCAGTAATTCATTAACTCTGTGACCCTCTTCATTCACTTGCCCTCTCTAACTTAAAATGTTCCTGTTTGGAGTAAAGAAAACAATCAATTCGAAAGAAAGCTTTTTGAAAAAATACACAAGTACTATCAATTTATTTTTTATCTATAACTTATGTTTCTACAATTCCGTTTTCTATTTCTTTTTCTGGTTTTGCTGTTAAACTTGCTCTTGAAAAGCTCCAGCTTCAGATCCCTCAATTTCTCCCCACAAATTCTAGAATCTTGCAAGAACAAGGGGGTTCTCTACTCCCTACCATGTGGCATCTACCATTCTAGTCCCCCTTGGCTCTTGTAGCCATGTTTTTTCCCACTGCTGATATCCGGGCCAGAGCTATGCCAGGGACACACCAGAGCACTACTGTTGTGCTATCCTCACAAAAGCTGCCAATGCCCAAGTGCTGATGTTACAATACTCTTCCATGGGAAGAAAAGGATGTCTGATTTTGAGTCTGCATCATTTGCCAATGGTTCTGATAATACTGGCAACAATCTCCCTGGGCCTTCTCACATATTATCTTTTGCCTCTAAAAATTTTTTCTGTACCATCTCCTCCAAACCCACTTTTCTATACCATCTCCTTCAAACCCACTAATACATTGCTAGCTCTTATGTATTAGTCTGTTCTCATGCTGTTAATGAAGACATACCCAAGACTGAGTAATTTATAAAGGAAAGAGGTTTAATAGACTCACAGTTCCACATGGCTGAGGAAGCCTCACAATCATGGCAGAAGACAAAGGAAGAGCAAAGGGACATCTTACATGGTGGCAGGCAAGAGAGCATGTTCAGGGGAACTCTGCTTTATAAACCCATCAGATCTCATGAGACTTATTCACTACCAGGAGGAGAACAGTATGGGCGAAACCGCCCCCATGATTCATTTATCTTCACCTGGCCCTGCCCTTGACACGTGGGGATTATTACAATTTAAGGTGAGATTTGGATGGGGCACAGACAAACCATATCATCTTGTCCTTCCTTAAAGTGTCAACATAAATGTCTCTTCTTCTGGATTTTTCTCTGCCTCAGTTTTTTTGGCCTCTTGCCTGGGTCTTGGGAAAATAAATCAATGATAAAACAGAGTAAAATCAGTAAATAAACAGATAATAAATAAATAAGTAGTGTCCATATATTCAACCAGTATTTATTTATTTATTTACTTACCTATTTTTTGACACAGGGTCTCGCTCTGTTGCCCAGGCTGGAGTGTGGTGGTGCGATCTTGGCTCACTGCAGCCTCTGGGACCCCAGATGCATGCCATCATGCTTTTTTATTTTTTGTAGAGACAGGGTCTCCCTATGTTTCCCAGGCTAGTCCCAAACTCCTGAGCTCAAGTGATCCTCTAGCCTCGGCCTCCCAAACTGCTGGGATCACAGGTATCAGCCACTGTGCCTGGCCCTCAACTGGTATTTATTAAGTGGCCGCTATTTGCCAGGCCCTCAAGTCCAGGCGGGATATTTCTCTATGAATTTTTATAGCAGTCTCAGAGTATCATTTCATGGCAAGTAACATGTTGTAGTGTATTGCCCTATTTGTCCATACCCACACTGGATTGTATTAATATATTCCACTAGGCCAGGTAACTGTCATTTTTGCTTACCCTTATACCCTGCACTGGAACTCCAGACTCATGTATCTTCACATAGATGTTTAATAAATATCTAAAATGTTACATGACCAAAACTGAGCTCTGGTATTCTTCCTTCAAACCTGTTCGCCTAACAGGTTACTCCTGTCAGAAAATGGCCTTTCTACAGAAAATCTCTTTCTACAAGTTTAAAACACATGGGGTCATCTTGGACTCTTCTTTTTCATCCGCACTTCACACCATCAGCACATCCTGTCAGCGCCACCTTCTGAATTCAACTGTCCTTACCCTGTCCAACAGGTCCAAGACCCAGGTGAGGCGCAAGAGGTGCGTAGGCCACAAAGTTTCACTCTCAGTCATGCAAGTGAAGACCCTGCTGACACTACACATAAACAGCCCTGATGCCGAGTGCCTCCTGAAATTAAACTTCTGCTCTAGGTACTCCTCTTACTTAAACCTCGTGCTGTCCCGCTGTCTATCCTACCAGGACTTCACACCTGGATACAGCAGGAACCTCTTCATAAGCCTCTCTGCTGCTCTCTGCCTTCCTGCGGTTATTTCCACCACATTGACAGCTGATCCTATTAAAGCATGAGTGAGATCATGTCAGTCCTGTTCTCAAATCCTCCAGTGGCTTCTCATCAAGTAAAAGTAGATGGGGCCACATTGGTCTGCCAGGTGCTGATTGGCCTGCCTCACCATTTCACGCTGACTTCATCTTCTTCTACATTACACCTACTCACCCTGCTGCAGCTTCAGTACACCAGACGTGATCTGACTCAGGCCTTTGCATTTGGGAATCCTTCTGCATGGAAAGCTCTTCCCTTAGATCTTCCTCATTTCTTCCAGCATTGAACTCAAGTGCCATTTTGTCAGGGAGACCTGCTTGGCCAGCCTATCTACAATGTCAACACACCGCCTTAGTCTCACATTCCCTCCCCTGACTTTTTTGTTTTTCTTTAGCGCGCGTGTGCACACCCACACACACGTGCATATTTAGCTTATATATATTCTATCCCTACCACTCCCCACTCCCACCGGATTACAAGTTCCAGGTGGGCAGGGATTTCTGGGTCCTTCGATGTATCTAACACTTGTATTATCAGTGCCAGGAACTCAATAAATACTAACTGAATGATTGAACACTGCATCTACGGATGGATGGGTGCATTTATCTATCCACTTATTTATTAATTTTACTCTGCTTTTTGGCATATGCCTTTCCTCAGGACCTAGTCAGCCAAGAAGGCTGAGGCAGTCTTGCTGCACTCAGAATTGCTACCCACCCATTTCCAGCTCCCAGTGTCATCCAGGCAACCTCATGATTCCATACACCCTGTCCCCATGATCTTCCAGATATTTCTCAAAACTCCTCAATCATAGGGCACACCACAAGTGAAACCTCTAGTATATTAAAATGGATAAAAATGAATGAACTCCCATGTATGAAAGAGATAAAGATCTTTTATAGCAAGATTTTGAAATTAGATAGCAACTAATTCTGAGATCCTCATCAAACTTCTTAATATATACCTAGATATATGTAGGAAGGAAAAAAAAACTTTTTTACCAAATGTTAAACATTTCTTTTATAGTGAAAAGTCAGTACACTAGATCTTTTGTTTCATTAAAGCAAAATATATATATATATATATACGGGAGTGACAAATCTAGTATGTTAAAATTTATAATAATTTTATAAAGGCTAGAACCATAGACTTTTTGATGGGTATGGGCAGGTTGTGTCTTTCAAACAGAATTAGTTTTCAAAATTCCTGTGACGTTAGTGGAAATTGCTCACTACTTTGCTCTTCAAATGGTATGCTTGGTTCTTGAGAAAAATTTTTTGAAAGCCTTTATTTGATTCTTGACAGCTGTGCGTTTTTCTAGGCTGCCAGACGAGACTGAATCTTGTCTAAATGTAAATACCTGGTTACTTGATTCTCTGTCATGGAGGGCAGTTTATTCTTTTTGCAGGAAGCCTTGATTTTCAAGGAGGAAGTGACCAAGGGCCTTCATTAGCAGGCAGGCTTCAAACTGTTTCCAGGCTCTTTGTTTACTTCTATAGAGCAGACTTTATTTTCATGCCCAATAAGTTTGACAAAGCAGTAAAATCAGTCCGGTTAAATGGGTCACCAATACAGGTGGGGAGCCCATTCTGGTCTTGCAAAGTACAAAAGTGCTGCTCCCATGAATACGGATGCTCGGAGAGCTCAAGCTTCCGTTTTCCTTGGGCAATTATGTTCACAGAGTGCACATTTTGGGCTGTGGGGAGAGGCGGGTTTAGAAGGAGGATCAGCTTTGACTTAGTCTTATACGATCTTAACAGCTTGGATGAGGGAAACTGAGAACTGCCTCTAATAAAATACACATGTCACATACATACTCATAAGGCCGTTAAATGCTTGTAGTTTTTTTTTGCGGTGGGGGGGAGTTGGAGGGTTGTGAAATTGCACAATTTATGCTGTCATTTTTGCAGCACTTCTAGTGAAGTATCTAGGTGTTTCTTCTAATATCTCCATTGCAACTTCCAAATCATAGTCTTCTTGTGTTAGCTGAAAGCATTAAAACCAGAAATTATCATAATAGTGCTATTTACCCCTCATTTATGGAGCTACTAGCGTTATTTTTCCACTGACTTTACAGAATGCATTTCAACCAGCAGTACTTCTGGTTTGGTTGATGAAACTCGATTGTACTTAAAAAACACGGTTGGGCATTGTATCAGAAGACTAAACCAGCAGGCTTGTCATTTCACAAAAGGGACTTCCAGAGGTTGCAGTCCCTATAATCGGAGAGTATTTCATTTGGTGTTTGAGGCTGTGGACTAATGCCTTATTTCGCAGCTAATCATCTCCATGTGCTTATGTAGCTGGACCAGTGTTTCAATGAAGACTGCACATTTTAACAGCACTGCAAACTAGATGTAAGAAATTCTATTCTGCCTTACGTCAAAACAGACCTGAAAGTGGGGGATGGGTATGGTATAAACACTCAAAGAGTTCCTTAGTGTGAACCAAAAGGTTGAAAGAATAAAGTGGGGTATGTGTGTGTATGGATGTGTGTGATAACCCTAAGGCTGTTAGAGCAGTTTTACTTCATTGATGTTTTTTTCTAAGCCACAGCACTTGGAGACTCTGAACTCACAAGCAGCCTTGATTATGGTGTTTGTGACACTGCCACAGGGTCTTTGCATTATTTATCTCAGTCTGCTTTACCCATCCAGCTTGCTGGGAATATTTTCAGATGGAATCACTAATTAGCACATATGTGGGAACTTCTCAAAGCATTTGGGCCCCCTCCTCATTACTTTTTAATTTTTCTCTATTTGCCTAACGTATGTCAAAGATAAAATTTTAAATGATGGATTGGGGGAACTTTCAGACTGAAATGCCCATGTTCTATGGGAAAAAGATTAGTCAAGTAAGTGAACTTTTATATGATCAGAAAGCAAGCCATTTAAATGTGTACTAACGGAGAGTGAAGTTGGCTTGGCCCATACGGTGTTCTATGGATTATTTTATTAGTTAACCACCAGGAGAGCTTTCTAGAATTGCCTCACAAATATTTCAACAATTCTGTAAACTGTGCTTTATTTCTGGCTGCACAACCTGACTTTGCTAGACCATAGTACCCTACAGCCTTCTTCACCTTCCTATGCTTTAAGTTCTACACACTTTCAGCGTGATATTTTCCTTATTAGATCATAAGGCACATATTTAAGAACTGGTCTTAATGTTTTTTTAATTTTAAAACACTAAGAATAATGTGAAAATAAGGTTTCTGAATCTTTGCATCTCCTTTCCTAGGTTTTTTCTTATCTATGTTAAAAATGAAGTTTTCTCCCATGTCACATAGCAATACATGATAGGAAATGTGAATTCTTAGGCAATGGTATTTTTAAGATGACAGAAAAATCTGGGTTCAACCAGAAGAGAAAATACTTTTACTGGGGAGAAAACCCATAGGAATATTTAAAAATGCATGGTCAAAATGAAACAGATCTCTTAACCAAAGTATTCAGACTTGGCAAAACTATGTTCAATTGGATAGGATGTTATTTTCCAAGTAATATAGGCCTACCAAATATATATTTTGTAAGTATAGCAATAGAATATGTGTGTGTGTGAGTGTATGTGTGTAAGAATCATTGGATTGTTGTTCCTAAGGGATTTGCTACACAGTTTATTTATTACAGTTATGTATATATTCCAGAGAACTTAGTGTAAAAATGTGTGGAAAACTAAATATGTGTGGAAAACCATCAGGGTATTCTCTGTGGAATTCTAAAAACAAATAAGGTCTGTTAGACGGTTGAGTGTAACATTAGGTATAAAGTATATAGTTATTTGGTCAAGTAGCCAAGTTATAATTGTCATCTAGAAGATCTAATCAATGATACTGATTGAAGAGTTTTTTTAAAACCTACTCTCAATAGCTTCTTTTTGCATATATTTCTAGTGTCTTAAGACCTAGTGTTTAAAGCTTGGTATGGAATAGAGACTTAAGATTTACTTATCCATTGTGGTTTTAAAGCAGTGGCTATATGTTCAGGAAAGGGAAGGTGTTTGGACTCACCTTATATGGCAGATTCAATTCTTTCACAATGGCTGCCTGCAGACTTAGTAGGAAAATGTGTTGAGATCTAGGAGTAACATCTGCTGTTGTTACAGTAAAAAGTTGAGTGGCAGTAACAATACAAATGTCAGTCATTTTCCACCTCTTGTCTAAAAATTTATACTCAATTGTGAGATATTGCTATTTTCACAGCTGAGTTACAGATGAAAAGACTGTATAGCATTTGTTCCAAATTTAATTCATTTCAAGATGCTCTAAATCTGTTTTGTCCAATATGGTAGCCATCAGCTAAATGTGAGTATTGAGCACTTCAAATGTGTGGCTGGTCCAAATTAAGCTATGCTGTATCTGTAAAAATACATATTGAATTTCAAAAACTTAGTAAGAAAACAAGAATATAAATATCTTGTTAATATTTTTTATATTGTTACATTTTAAAATGGTAATACTTTGGATATATTAAGTTAAATAAAGTATATCATTAAGATTAATTTCACCTATTTATTTTTGCCATTTTTCCAGTGTGGCTACTAGAAAGCTTAAAATTACGTAAATGACTCACATTTCTGGCTCACATTGTATTTCTATTGGATAGTGCTGCTCTAAATTAACATCTTCTCTTCTTTCATTAGTTCTAATGTTTAAATATTGTAACCTTTAAAGACATATTGTGGTTTCTTTTCTACAAATATGTGAAAAGGAATTGTTAATTTTTTTTCCCAAAATATCTAACCAATTTTCCAGGCAGCTTTATGCCTCTAGTCTCTCACTGTGGCTCTCCCTGTTCTGTCTGGGATGCCACCATACCCTGAAGGGCTCAGACTTACAGTGAAAGCTACTCACTTATTTTCCAAGAATTCTCTCAAGTATCAGTATGGTGTAAGGCCTAAAATTAAGGCCCAATATTAGGTGCTGCCTTGATATCTGGTGAGATTAAGAGGGTCTCAACTAACCTAATCCTGAAGTCTCCTTCCCATGCTGCTCCTGCAAATAAGGTGCTGTAGCCAAACAACCCTCTTTATCAAGGAGATCAAGTGAAGGTAGAATTGGCCGTTGTTACACAACCTGTATAATGTATCTCCTTCTATCTTAGTAACCAGACCACTCAATTGCAGTCATTTGCATGTGCATCTATGCCCTTCTCTTAGAAACTGAAAGCTGCTTGAAGGTAGTAACAGTTTCTCTGTGTTTTTATATTTCTGGATCTGAGAACAGTGCCTGGTACACCATAGGTACTCAGTAAATGTTTTATAAATGAATTTGAAACCCAGGGCTCTCCCAGGCAAGGTTTAAGTTCAAAATACTCTCCTTCACCGATGTGTATAGCCTCTGGCCCCGAGGATCTTCAGGGTTCAGAAGACAGAATTCATGATTTATATTTCTCAGCTTTAGTTTATTTTTCAGTCTGCAGATTGTCCTCTATTTAGAATTAAATTAACTTAAAAAGAAAGCGCAAGTATACCTCGTTTTAAAATCTGTTGTTTGCCTAGTGATTTAATTTTCAGCCTAGATATGATTTGGCCTCCCTGTTGGATGGTGTCTGCTTTCCATTTGCTGGGGGTTGTTCACAAGGTCCAAGGACATGGCAGGAGGCTGCCAGCAGGACAACAGCAAGCCTTGGGAAAGCCAGGCCCCATGCATACTTGTTAACTTCAGAGTCACAGCACTTGCCTCTCAGCCTGCTGCATTCGCTCCACTTCAAGGAGGAAGGTGTGCTTTTTGTTCTACAAAGCGTCTTGCATTATTTTTTAAACATTTTGCCTTTGGGACATACCCAAGTTCTGCACATTTTCCCCCCTTAATTTTTAAACTGACACACACTTCAAGGGAAATTGAATCCATATGTTTCTGATTCATTTACACACAACTCATCAAAATGTTGTTTTAAAAAAGCTAAACTCAAATCCCACGGGGGCTGAGTGGGTTTCAGACTTGGCTGAAGCCTCTCCCTTCTCTGATCATGGCTGGATATGGGCAAACCAACCACAGTGAAACAGGAACCCTCACACCTCCCAGAATTTGAACTGAATAGCACCTTTCTTTGAGGTTTAGCTAAAGAGAGCCTAGTGACTTCTTACCTTGCAGTCAGCCTTCATCTGCACAGCTGCCATGGCCTGTGCTTGTCTTAGTACAGACTGCCTGGAGAAAACCAACAGAAAAAGGAGCTCTTTACATTGGTCTAGCCAAACTGGAATGATCAGAAATCTTCTGGGGAGACTGCTTATGCATGCTGTTCTGCCTGATCGTGGACTCATAAAATCATGGCTCTGGCAGGGACGTTGCGAAAATCATGTTCTTACCTTCAAAGAAGCCTCAGAAAATTCCTAAGCAAACAGTAAAGCTATCCTAATTACTACCACAAGTAATATTATATAGCAAAGGCCATTTCTTATTTCCTTTCAGGTAATTCTGGCCAAAGCTCAACAATTTTCAATGCCAGTAACTTTCTCAAATTTTAGATACATATAAAAAGTTTGTATTCTTGCCCACAACTAAATTCTTGAGGTTCCACTAGTTCTTGGATAATGATCTGTGAAATTGACCCATTATGCTGTCTGGTTTCCGATAACCATTGGAACTAACGAGAGACTGGCAGGGCAGCCTGCAACAAGAGGCTTTGTCTGGGCTTAAGAACTGTTCCCTTTTGCCTGAGTTGATCAGGTAGCTTAGTTGGAATGGGTAAAAGAACCAGGAGCATCTAGAGATTTCCATCATGAAAATGTCCAAGGCAATTGTAAGCATAAATAACAGCGTTTTGGGTTCTATTCTTCCATTGCTAATACAGATAACAGGAATACCAGATGTTTCACAAACCACTGGAAGGTTAGCTAGGTGACTGAGATGCATGAAGGTAAGCAGGAATTCCTAAACCTCCAAGAAGGTTCAGGCCCCTGAAAGCAATACATTTGCTAGCTGTCAGAGGGGGCCCCATACACACTCTCTGACTGACACTCTAGAAGAATGGGTGAACTTTCCAATAGACTTTTTGATTAATGTCAATTAATGTAACTGCTCTGAAATGGTGGGGTCTCATTAGTATCAAGAAGTTCTGTTAGCTGGGACCAACATGGCATCAGGCATTCAGCTAAATTTCTGCTTTCCCCAGGGGCAACCAGCCCAGTTCAATTTGCCTGGGGGCTTTTGACTCTACAATCTCTTCCAACATTAAACAAGTGAATCCTGCGCACCCTGGTGAGTTCGCAAACCCTGACAGATGTTTCTTTCCAAAAACATGCAGGCCCAACATCCCTTGAAAACCTTAAATGTATGATGTTCTTTCTCTCTCTCTCTCCTAACTTTCTCCACGTTGTTTATTTCCTCATTTTACTAAAATGCATAGTAAGCACCCTGTTGAGGTTGGCCCTCAGATAACATTACATGGATATATTTAAGGTTTTCAAAATTAGTTTATTATTGTTTTTTAATTTATTCTTTCATTTATTCCAGGTTAGAACTGTTTAGTGGCCATGGAATATTCCTCTGGACAATTCTTCTGTGGCATCATATTTTGATCTAAATTTATTATAGGGGTTGGTTGGTGTAGCTAAACATAAAGGTACAATGGGACATATCACAAGGGCACACTTTGTATAGGTTCCAAAGACAGCTTTTAAAATCAGCTGAATCACTTATCAACTATATTAGAAATAAGCACATTGATTTCTAAGTATTCAGAGTCTAGATAAAGATAATTATCTTCATAACCTCCTGCTGTAATCAGGATATAGTTAGGCCATGGGATTTGTGTCCCAACCATTTGAAGAGTACTAATAATACAAATATTAGCAGCTAATACCTGTGGTACCCTGATATGTGTCCAGACCTACACTTAGCACACTATGTACATTACCTTATTAAACAGAGACAACGAGGTGAGGTGGGTATTATCACATCTGTTACACAGATGAGAACACTGAGGCTCACAAAAGTTGGGTCATTTATTCAAGAAGCAGGGCTAGTAAATAGAACAACAGAGATTTGGATCTAAGCTTTTCTGATTCCAAAGCCAGGTGATATGGTGTGGATGTTTGTCCCCTCCAAATCTCATGTCGAAGTGCGATTCCCAATGTTGGCGGTGGGACCTGGTGGAAGGTGATTGGATCATGGGGGCAGATCCCTCATGAATGACTTAGCGCCCTCCCCTTGGTGATGAGTGAGTTCCTGCTGTCAGTTCACAGGAGATCTGGTTGCTTAAAAGGGTGTGGCCCCTCCCCCACTCTCTCTTGCTCCTGTTCTCACAGTGTAACATGCTGGCTCCTGGTCAACTTGCACCATGATTGAAAGCTTCCTGAGGCCACACCAGAAGCAGATGCTGACACTATGCTTCTCATACAGCCTACAGAACTGTGAGCCAGAAAACTTTTTTCTTCACAAACAACCCTGTCTCAGGTTTTCCTTGATAGTGACATGAAAATGGACTAACACACCCGGGAAATTAAACAAGAAAATGAAATATAATAAAATTAAAATAGTCTTGGCTGGGAGTGGTGGCTCACTCCTATAACTCCAGCAATTTGGGAGGCTGAGGCAGGCAGATCACGAGGTCAGGAGTTTGAGAGCAGCCTGGCCAACATGGTGAAACCCCATCTCTACTAAAAATACAAAAATTAGCTGGGTATGGTGGTAGGCACCTGTAATCCCAGCTACTTGGGAGGGTGAGGCAGGAGAATCAATTGAACCCAGGAGGCCAAGGTTTCAGTGAGCCGAGATAGTGCCATTGCACTCCAGCCTGGTCGACAAGAGCAAGACTCCATCTCAAAAAAAAAAAAAAAAAAATAGTCTCAGAAATATTAAGCAGTGCTGAGAGTTCTACTTACTATACTTTGAATATTTGAAAACATATTATAAGAAAAAAGGGGCCGGGCACAGTGGCTCACACCTGTAATCCCAGCACTTTGGGAGGCCAAGGCGGGTGAATCACCTGAGGTTAGGAGTTCAAGACCAGCCTGGCCAACATGGTGAAACCCCCTTTCTACTAAAAATTTATGTAATTAGCCAGGCAGGGTGGCAGGCACCTATAATCCCAGCTATGTGGGAGGCTGAGGCACGAGAATTGGTTGAACCCAGGAGGCTAGAGGTTGCAGTGCGTTGAGATTGTGCCACTGCACTCCAGCGTGGGTAACAAGAGTGAGACTCCATCTAAAAAAAATAAAATAAAATACAAAAGGACTATTGCAAAGGTTATTCTGCTTTTTAGGTGAAAACCATGAGGTAAATAATCAGATTTAGTTGACAATGCACTTCCTCTGTGATGCCCTCCCTGATCACTAGGCAGGGTGCCCTCTCTCTTCTCTATAGAGTATCCTCCTATTTCTTTCTACAATTCCCTTTATGTGCTGCTTTTTTATTATTTTTTAATTTTTTTTCCTGGGTCTCTGTCACCTGCCAGACTATATTGCCCTCCAGGGAAGGGTCGGTGTCCCGCCTGGTACAGTGCTTGGCATGAAACACATGCCCTCCAGCAGGTGTAGGTGAATGGGGACATTGAAAAAGCTGATCAGTCTGTTGTGACGTATGAAAGCAGTGGAAAGAAGGAACAGAACAGTGCCCAGAGATCTTTGGGGCTTGAGAGCTGATTAGAGCTGGAGGCTTTCATGAGATGGGGAACCAGTGAAGGACGCTTATGAGTAGTTTGACATAACTATTTTTCCATTTCAAAAAGTCACTTTGTAAGTAATGCAGAGGATGGTCTGTGAAAGGGAAGAATATAGCAAAATAGAATGTGTTCACGATATCTGGTTCATGAATCAACCTGGTTCCAACGGCCACAATACAGCTTCTTGTAAATTCACTCTGCTGGTGATACCAAGAGTCCTGTGAAGACATAGTTTGCTCCCAACCCAGTCATGCAGATGAAGCTCACTAGGTAGCCAAGACACATTGAGGTTAGAGGACACGCAAAGCCTTCTAGATCCAGAAGCGTGCCGCTGTCCAAGCACAAGCCCCCCACAGCAACTCCTTTCGAATCCTTGATGCAGGGGACACTGCCATGGTAGTAAGTGCTCTGCAGGTGGATGGCTGCCCTCCAGGCTCACACTCCCCAGTGCCAGCCACCTGAGGCCCCAGTGCAGCTCCTCTGACCTCCCCCAGGAAATTCAGAGAATATCTGGTAAGGCTTTTAGGGTTTCTTCTGCTATGGTATCCACAGGCCCCCCTTTTTTTAAAGGCTGATGAGTGCAGGATTTGGGGTACTGGTGCTGGAGTCAGGCTGTCTGGGTTGGCATCTTGATGTTTGTACTGGGCAGCTGAAGATTTTGGTCAAGTTACCAACAGGCTGGGTCTTTATTGTCTCATATTGTAAAACCGCCACAAGAAACAACTGCGTTGTTTTGAACGTTAAATGACTAAACACGTGTAAAGTGCCTACAACAGTGCCAGACACGTGGTAAATGCTCAAGGAATAATGCTTTATTGTATTTTCATCATTTAGGGGGTCCTCCTGTTTGGATGAAGGAGAAATGTAAATGATTTTAATTCATATAGTTAGGGGATCCCTTCTGCAGAAATTACAGGACCCTGGCTTAGGAGTGGGATGAGCTATGGGGTGAGCCATAGAATTTGAGATACTTTCCAGCAGCTGGCCTAGAAGAAGAAGTCCAAAATGTCTTCCACAAGCAATGCTCTGTGAGGGCCTCAGGGAAGCCCTGTGTGATCAAGCAGATTTTTACCACAGAAGCCAGCCACCTACAGGTACTGATGGGCCTGCGGCTGGCAGCGATGCTTAGGACCCGGCCACACATAGGAAGATGTTCATTGAAACTTTTGCCACCCTACAGGTGGGGCAGGTGAGGTTCCGGAGTGACTAGGACATGTTCTGTTTCCCACTTATAGCAGCAAAGGGGACATGTTGCCAGGTGGGACATATACACCTCTATTGTATCAACCACTTCTTCCTGGTGTCCTAGCACTATAAGCAGAGTCTGTGATTTATGCTTTCAAAAATTATGATAAAATGTAAATAACAAATGCTCACCATCTTCACCATTTTAAAGTGTACAATTCAGTGCCATTACAGACATCCAAGATGTTACACAACCATCACCACCATCTAGTTCTAGGATTTCTTCATCATACCAAAAGCACTGTTCAAATTTGCAACTTCCAGACAAACCTTCAGGAGAGTGTCACCACCAGCTGTCATACACAATTTCCCCTCTCCCTCACCCCCTGGCAACCACAAACCTGCTTTCTGTCTCTAAGGCTTTGCCTAATTGGAATAGTTCATATAAAATGGAATCATAAAACATGTGGCCTTTTGTGCCTATCATCTTTTACATGGCATAATATTTTCTTTTTTTTTTTTGTCTTGGATAGGCATGATGGCATAATATTTTCAAGACTTATGTAAGTTTTAGCCTATACCTGTACTTCTTCCCTTTTTATGGCTGAATAATATTACATTGTATGGATGGATCACATTTTGCTTATCCATTCATCACAACTGGGTTTGTGGGAAATTGGCTAACCTTTCTCCTTAGTCAAAACTGGCCTGTGGTTGCCAAGTGGGCCTGAGGTTGTCAGGCCTTTCAATTTTTTCAAGATTCACCAGAAATCTATATATTATGGGATATTTCCTATTTTTAAAATGTTTTTCAGGATTTTACATTTTTAGAAAAAACACAATGTGTGCCATCTTATCTGTGCCAAAGGAAACATGTCTTTAGGTGAGGTCTGGCTCATGGGTCACCAGTTAGCAGTCTGGTTAACCTTCTATATAAACAGCCTCTCTTGGTGATATGTTCAGTGCTATTTGTCTTTATTATATTATTAGACAGAATTTTCCCAGCATCTTCCTATGTAGATGGTTCAATACATTACTCTGTATTATGAACTAGGTGTGATTTTTGCAGAGAAAGTTCTAGCTAACCTTTGAGCTATGTAGACTATTAGGAAAATAATCAATGCTTATTAAGAACTTATTTATTTAGACGAAACAGATCAAAATCTTGCTATGTCATGCTTTGTTGAAAATGAATGCTGTTGGCTGGTCCCAGCACAGTCTTTTGGTACAACGCAATAGACACCCCTCTACTTTCAGAGCACAGTACGTGACACAGGCGGACAAGCAAACATAATTAAACACTGGCCCAGATAGGGTTTTTCTTAATTAGTTATGAGTTTCTATAATGAAAATACCTGGAGATTTATCTGACTTCAAAGTCCCATTAAAGCTGTCCTGCTTTTGTTGCTTTGAAAATGTGGGAGTTTAGGACTCCTCGCCTCATGCTTCTTAATGATGATAATTATATGATATACTTAAAAGTGCTTTTGATCTTGGCCTCTCAAAGCACTCAAGTGAGGCATCAATTCCCTCAACCCCACTCTGAGGCAGGCCTTCCTTGTTTACGGGCAATGTGTGCTGACATGTGTGTCGCAGCCATTGCTGCTTCTGAGAGTATCTGCCAACAGCGCCAGTGAAAATGCACGGTTACACAGCTCAACTCTCCAGCCTTCATGTTAATTTGTGGAAATAATTGTAACAACTCACAATCGTGTTGTTTTACATAGCCCTTTATCTCATTTAAACAATAGCAAAACAATTATAGAAGAACCAAGTAATACAGCACCCACTGTTCCTATAAAAATAAGTAATAGAATCTCTCCTTCTTTCTTTTTCTTTTCCTCTTTCTAATAGTTTCTCAAGGCAGTTCACCAATCAGGTGACAGGTGAGTGGGGTAAATCTCCTTTCAGGCTGCAAAGAGCAATTCCCTACCTTCCCTGCAGTGCCCAACCATATTAATGAAACAATTTGGAGTATAGTGAATCTCTTTATACATCTGGAACTGATTTTGTTGACTTTGTCCCTTGCTAGAATGTTAACTTCTATGGTTTCTTCATCCCTGGGGCAGGCTACCAACAGGCATTCATGTCTATTATGGAAAAATGAATTGAAAGTTATATGATTAAAGCTTGGTTCGGACACAGGCTTTTTCAAGGAAATAAACTCTCTTATGGACAGGCTGAAATTGAGTGAGATAATCTTCTAACTGCTACATCTTTACCTAAAATGATTAACAAGTAGCCGATTTGAGCAGATGGTTCATGGGTCTAATTTGGGGAAACCTCTCAAGATCCACAGAGAAGAGAACTTGATATTTTGGCCTTAAGAACACAACCTGAAGAGTAAGCTTTTTTTATTTTTTATTTTTTCACAAGAAGACCCCAGAGTGCCATGCTATCCTTCTACAGCCATCTATGAAGTAAAGGGGCCAGGGTTATACTGACCTCAGGGACAAGCGTTATGAACACATGTAACCATGAACTTCTAGTATATTTGGAGAGATTGATGTAAGTAAAGCATACTCATTTTGTAGATCCAGATCCATGGAGAAACGACAGAATCAGTTAAAGAAACTTATGAGCAAAGTAAATAAAGCACAATACACACACACACACACACAACTCCATAGATCACACTTAAGATTTGTTAAAATTAGGCTAGCAGCAACAATGGAATTGTTGTAATTACTCTACCTGAATGTCTGTCTAAAATGTACATTTTTTAATCTCGAAGAGTCTGATGTGCTGTTTTTCTATGGTCAGAGTTTTAGAAAGTTAAGAAAAGGGAGTAACAGCAAATATTTACTATATTCTTTTACTATGTGCCAGAATTGTTCTAGGCTCTTTAGATGTAATCTTCACATCAGCCTTACAATGTAGCTGTTGTTGCTCTAGTTTAGAGATGCAGAAACTGAGATTCAGAAAGGTTAACTAACTTGCTAGAGGACAATGTTAATTTAAAAAAAAGCAGGATTATTACCCAGAGCTGTCTAAAGCCAAAGCTTACGTTCTTATCTGGTAGATTATTCTGCCTGGAGGATGCAATTTTAACTGGGAGACAGGGGACCTGGAACCAATAATGTTAGCACAAGAAAAATCCATCTCATATATTGTTCCTATGGAAAGGTAAACACACTCGTGCACACACACACACACACACATATACACAGAGAGAGAGAGAGAGACAGAAAGAGAGAGGTGGGGGGAGAGAGAGACAGAGAGAGAGAGACAGGCTATACCATCATATTTTGTAAAGTGGGCGTTAAATGAGTACTCAAAACATAGCTAATAATTCTTTTCTTTAAAAAAGAAAAACCCTGCATTAGAAAAGATTATTCAAAATTTGGAAATCAGGCAAATACAAGTCCTTGCGATGTCATACTGGCGCATTGTTTAACAGACCCTTCTAGGAATTAAATCTTTGCTTTACTTCCTATTTACTTTTGGTTAAGACCAACACTCTGTACATTAAGCTGTAGATTCTCATTCAGGAGAGATGTATATGATTTTTCCACAGAGAAGATAAGCCCAAAAGTTATAATTTTATTGTCTTAAAGGACATTGGCCAGGTTTGTCTTTAACTCAGCGAACTTATTTCAACATGCCTTTCGTGAGTTACTACGTAAATTTCTGCTCCTCAAATTCACCTTTGAGCCAGCTTTAGCACCTTGCCGGATGCCTCATTAATGAGTTCTATGAATTTTTGACATGTGCTGTTTATTTGTATAAGAGTCATGTTTTTAACTATTTTGAAAATTAAAATTTGATATCTGAGAAGGTTGAATAGGTGAAATGGATAAACCTGAGCTAGGATTTTAAAGACAGATCTAATAGAGAAGGCCCTCGATGAATAAAAACTAGAAGAGCAGGTGCATCATAAACCCCTTAAACATGTATAGCTTGAGCCACAATACTAAGTTAGCATCCCTCTCTGCTTGGGCAGGACCTCACTTCTTTGCTGAAGGAAGCTGGCTGGAGCCCATTTGCACAATGCATCAAACAGAAAGAAAAGCAGACTTGATTTCTAATGTTTTCCTAGGGAAACTGAAGAATAGCTACGCTTCCATCATGTCTTATCCTCTAAAACTGAACAGATGAGAATGAAGCTGATGTGCTGCTTGTATTCTAACAGAGACGGATAAGACACTCTGTTAATTCAGGAAGTCAAAGGCCAAATTATCCCAGCAGTCTCCTGAGATGATCTAAGTATATCTTTAGAGAAGTGTTTCTCAAGGATGAGATTTGGCCTGTTGGAGAGCAGCTGTGGCCCTTGTAATGGACTGCAAACGGATCCCAAAACATAAGCCATTTTTTTGAGTGTGAATTATGCACATTTCTTTTTTATTTTTATATGGCC
Source organism: Homo sapiens (assembly GCF_000001405.40). Taxonomy (NCBI): domain Eukaryota; kingdom Metazoa; phylum Chordata; class Mammalia; order Primates; family Hominidae; genus Homo; species Homo sapiens. Next base: position 93,284,654 of record NC_000008.11, on the reverse strand, counting down.
AAGACTACTTGATAGAAATCTATCATGTTTTAATATTAAAAAGAAAATGAGATTTGCCACTCTATGTTGCATATATGCAGCCATATACAATCTTGGTGAGAGGAGAGACTTTGCTGTGTTCACTGCTGTAGCCCCAGCACCTGAAAAGATGCTTGATGCACCTGGTAGGCACTTAACTAGTGTGTATGTACTGAAATATTTGAGTAAATGAAGCCTCCTCCTTCACATAGACATAGGCATCACATTAGATTTCCCACGATTTTCAGGAAGGACATTTTGTTATTAGTACATCGGCAGTTTGTTATGATTTTCAATTGCTGCTAATCTTGTTTTAGAATGATAAATTCCTGTTAGTTTAGCTTTGTGAATTACTAATTTTAGCATGATGTGGGTTGTTTGATGAACCCTACAATATGTAAGTTTGCACATTTGCATCAACATTAATTTGATTTATAATTTTCCAATAAATAGATTTTAAGGCATGCCTATGATGAGTTCAAGAATGAGTTGTCTATACCTCTAGAGATAAAGCAGGCACGTGCATCATCTGCCAAATTGGTGCTGCCTATATGTTTGCTCTATTCAAATAACTTAAAAATGTACTATCAAAGTAAGTGTAACAAAAGTTCTAGATTATTTTTAACTTTATAAGTCATCATTGTATAATACAAAACTGTGTGTAAGCTTGTAATTAACTTGTTCATTTTGTCATCTTCTTTTCTTAGTTGTTGGGTTCTTCATCCATTGAAAGTTAGAAACAAGTAGGAATGGAAGACATGGGTCTTTGGCCTACCTATGTAGAATATGATGTCTTCCACCCCACCTTAGCTGTCTGTGTTCACAAAAAAAGTCAGAACCACTGATTTAGAGCCTGATGCTCATATGTTTAAACTCTGGCCAAAAGTATCATCTTAAAAATTCTTTGGAGAACACCTCCATGTTCAGCTACTTCTTGTCTAATCAGATTCTCCTTTGTATTTGTTTCCTGAGGCTCCTGTAACAAACCATTGCAAACTGGGTGGTTTATAGCACCAGAAATTTATTCTTCCACAGTTCTGGATGCCAGAAGTCTGCAATCCAGCTGTTGGCAGGACTGGTCCCTCCTGGAGGCTCTGAAGAAGAATCTGTTCCATGCTTTTAAGAAGCCTCTCTCCTAGCTTCTGATGGCTACTGGTAATAGTTGGCTTTCTGTGGCTTATAGGTACATCCCTCTAATCCCTTCTTCATATTCATATGATACTCTCCCCTGTATGTCTGTGTCTGCATCTGAATTTCTCTCTTCTTCTAAGGATACCAGTCACTGTATTAGAGCCCACCCTAGTCCACAATGACTTCATTCTAACTTGACTACATCTGCAATGACCTTACTGTATTTTCAAATAAGGTCACATGCACTGGTACTGAGGATTAGAACGTGGACATATCTTTCTTGACAACACAATTCAATCCACAATATCCTTATTTACTAATTATTTTTCTGTCATTAATCTTCTTGCCTCTGTGTCTCGTCTTCCAGTCCTCAATTAGCCCCACTTGATTGGTGAGCTGGAGTTTGAAAGCCCCATGGAACCTTCCAGCTTGACCCCCACCCACCACTGTCCAGCCCACAGACACCTAACATGGAACTTTGCTTCCAGAGTAGACCTTTGGTATGTGTCTGCTGGTGTAACTTAGTGGCTCTTAGCCTCCGAGCAATATTTTCCTTATTTGAAAAAATCAATACGACAGAATGACAGCTTAAAAAATGATCACTATCACAAAAATGATACCAATTTAAAATGGATTTTAATTTTTTTTTCACCAAAAACAGCCATATTCTAATGGTTGCTGGAGAAGACAAAGCATATATTGTCAGTCCATGAATGTATTTCTCTGTGGCTTAGTGCCTCACAAGGCCTTCAGAGGCATGTGTGCTGGCCCAGTCATAGGACATACCCTACCATATCTTTTAGTTTAATTGTGCTTCAGACAGATTGAGTTAAAACACATGCGTTAATTTTTTTTATCATGACTCCAAGGTCATTTTTCTTATGTTCACTGGTATTTTTCAAAATAATGAGTTAATCACAATCACTCTCTTGAGACCCTATAGTGGCTGCAGAGTTGAAGTTGGGGCTTACTTGCCTATTTGCCGTTTCTATGCCAATTAGTGCACACAGAGCCTGGATGTTTTGCTTTAAGAAATCACTGGGATTCTTCTCCAGACAGGAGGGGTATGGTTACAGCCTGGCCTCATCATCAGAAGGTATTTATCAAGTGAGTGTTGTTATCTTAGCATTTGCCACTTTATACTGGAATTATCTGCTTGTATTGATCTATACACGAGATTGGAAGGTATTGAAAAAAACAAACCATATCTTACACAATTTTGTATTACTAGTAGAGTGCCTGGAATATGAGTCACTCAATAAATGTTTGTTGACGCGAGTTGAAGTATTTTCAAATGCATTGCTCTAGATGACACAGAGCAGGGGATAATCCAGAGAGACAAAATGGCCTCCCTTGTGTTATTTTTCTAAATGTTATCTAAACAAGAATAGATCAAAGAATAATTATAAAGAAAGGTCGAAGGTAAAGCCTTGAGAAAAGTATACTAGGCAACTATGAGCTGAAAGAAGGTTGGGTACAATATATTATAATATCAGACATATTGACTTAAAAGTAAAAGCAATATATACATTGAATATATTTAAGATAGAATATTAGAACAACACAATTAATAAACTTTATGTAATGAACATGTATGAAACCCTATAACCAAAAAATTTAGAAATTCATATTTTCTCAAGTACACGTGGAATATTTCTTTAAAAATTAACATATAGTAGGCCAAAACACAAATATTAACAAATACCAAAGAAGCAGTATAGTTAAGATCACATTTTTTTTTACCATAATGGAATAATATTAGAAATGAGAAATAAAAACAAGGCCAAAAGAATGCCATGCATTTGGAGACCAAAAAACACTCTGCTAAATAATGCATGGATTAAAGAAGAAATCATAATGGAAATGTTAAAAGTATGTAGAAGGAAAATAATAAAATTATCAAATATCAAGGTTTGTGGGATAAAGCTAAATTAGTGGTTGAGGGATTTAATAATTTTAAATGTCTATTAAAAACTAAGAAACACAGAAAAAGTTAAAATTAAAAGCTAAGTTTTCAAGTCAAGAAATTGGAAGAAGGGCATCACAGTCAATCCAAAGAAAATAGAAAGAAGGAAATATAAATCAACATAAAGAAATAATTTTTTAAAGCAATGGAATTGACCAAAAAGCAAAAGCTGATATTTGTGAAAAAACTGCTAAGAGTAAGAAACTTTTGGCAAAATCAAGGAATAAAGCAAAAAAGTAGAAAATAGTAATATTAGAAATTTTAAAATAGAACACAACAGCAAAGTAGAAATGAAAAACACAAAAGAATCCTATTCATGATTTATGCCAATAAATTCTAAGCAGATTAAATGATTTTGTAAAAAATAATATCAATTGCCAAAATGAACCCAAGAAGTATTGGAAAAATCTGAATATACTAGGAAATTTCCACCAGTGATTAAAAACCTACCATGAAAGATACCACAGGTAGGGGGTTACAAGTGAGTTTTCTTTTAAAGAATAAGCAACTCATATCTTGCATAAATCGTTTCTGTAAACAGAAAAATCAGAAAGTCTTTATACCAAATCCAGAAGGTACAAGGAAAGAAAATTATAAACTAACCCCATCTATAATGATGAAGATAACAATTGACATTTAAATTGAACATTTACTGGTATGCTATAAGCACTTTGCATGCCTTATCTTCTTAATGCTAACAACAACCTTATGAAGTTGGTACCATTCTTGACTCTAATTCCCAGCTGAGAAAACTGAGGCATAAATTGGTTAAGTAACTTATCTAAGATAATAGCTAAAAAATGGCAGAACTTGGATTTTAATGCAAAAATTATAATTTAAGTGAATGAAATCCAGGTGTGTGTGTAATCTACTGCATTAACTGACCAAATGAAAAAGAACTACATTAATATCAAAAAGAAAACATGATGAGAATTATCACTATGGCTCCACACTGAAATAGAAGTTCTATCCATCATGGTAAATAAGAAAAAAAAAATAAGATACATACAAACTGGAATGTAAGAAATAAAAATAATTGTTATTGACACGTGATAATGATTGCCTACACAGAAAAACTAAGGAAATCTACAAATTACTGAAGTAATAAGAATTCAGCAATGATGTTAGATACATAGCCATGTGAAACATGGCTTATATATAAACCATGCCAATAGTATTCATGTTCTTATAACTAGGAATAGTAGATTAGAAAACATAATTTTAAAAAAGAAAAACATAGCTATTAAAATAATTGTAATGGATGGGAAAATGGAGAACAATCATGATGTAAATAAAGTTAAAAAAAGCAAAAAAAATTATACCTATGTCAGCATTTTGTTTAAACTATATAAAGCCCATTATTCCAGGGGTTTTGGTTGTGATTTTTTGGTATATGTTTATGAAGTCCAATAAAACATCAAATAAGTCATGGGAATTTGAGAGATATTGTTACTTCACAATTTCCTGCATTTTTCAAATGTTTATATTAAGACATATTTTGAAAGTCAGTAAAAATCTCATGAAAAAGTTTAAACTAGGTGTGCTGAATTGGACCTAAAGAAAAGTTTTGGACAAATACTTTTGGGAAACATGGCAAAGTTTCTAATAAAAGAAATAAGACGACTTAATACAGATGCTAATTCAGGAAGTGGGAAATTAAACTCCAGGATGGCCTTATAAAGGCTAGACTTCTAGTACCAAATCAAGGCAATGGATTTTGGGAAAGGAGACCACATGACACTCTAGTTCTTTGAAACAGTTCGTTTCTCAACATTTTCCCGTGTTGAGAATGCCAGCAAAATGATTCCATGCACTGGCCAGAGACCAAAAAAGAAGAAAATATAGATTTAATCATCAAATCAATCAATGATAATTATGTTGTTGGTTGTGATTAAAATTACATACCACAAGGAGAAATGTTGAATTTACATGGAACTTTCCCTCCATCAGTTAGGACTATAAGTCTAGTGGTGGTTTGATCCTCTGGTGGGTATCTTATCCAAAAAATGAATTAAAAAACTGTTATTAGATACAAAATAAAACATAATCTTATAGGAGCTCCAACCCAGAATTTTGATATTAATATTTTACATTTGGTCTTCATGCATTGCAGGGGTCAGCTTGTGGGGCAGGTGCAAGTGAGGGGATCCCTGGGGTCCTTTGGTTGATATGTGCAAGGCTTGGATGCTGGATGTCTCCTTAGGCAACAGAATGTGTTCGTTAAGGGGGTGGGTCTTGGCTTTAGACTTGCTTGGTTTGAAACTTATTCTGTCACTTTCCAGCTATATGACTCTGGGCAAGTCCCTCAGTGTTTGTGAGCCTCAGTCACCTAATTTGTAAAATGGGGTAATGGCAATAACTGGGTCACAGAATTGTTGTGAGCATTTAACTAGGTAACAAACGTAAAAAACTTAGTGTGATCTGACACTTGTGCAAAGGTTAGCCATTATTACACATGCTAAACACAAACTGCTAACCTTTGTGAGATATTCAAGTATTATAGATGTGTCAGTTCATAAAAGCTTAATTGTCCTTTCCGAATACTTTAATCTTCAGAAAATTGCTTTCTTTGAATATATGTATTGCAATAGCACTTATAGATCAAGACTGAATTTCCCTACTTCTGAAAAAAAACTAGAAAATCCTGAAGGCTATACGGACTATGTGTACTTGCTATTTACCTAAGGCTGAGAGGGATGTTTAGAAAGCACTCTGGAAGAGGAAAGTCCAGAAAGGGAGTGCAAGGCAAGTGCTGCTGAGTCTAAAAACCAAGCAAACTGACCACAATCAGCTTGAATCTGTCAACAGAAAAAGGAAACAAAGTCAAATGGTTAGAAGCAGACAGCAGGAAAAGAATTAGAGAATAAAGGAGCAATGAAAGCAAAGTTAGAGGTCCTAAATTCATCTGAAAATCCACAGCTGACTGGTTTGCTGATTGATTGATTGACTGATTGATGGTGGGCCCCAATTTTGGAATGAATGTGCCACTTTTGAAGACTCAGATAGGATGGACAATGCATTTTTCTAATAGCTGTCAACTATGAAATTGATTTTGAAAGAAAAAGAAAATCAAGTCAATAGCTATTATAATAACCAGAAACAATGATAAAATTCTTTATCATCTACTTCTGTGCTGCTGAGGCCCATACAATAATAGATATGAAATGGTTAACAGGTAAAATTTTGGTCACTGGTCCCTGGAAAAAAAAAGTGAAATCAATGGAATTATGCAGGACACATTCATAGTTTTTATTTTGTCTATCTCAGACTAATCCAGGAGTTGCATTTTTTTTTTCTAATAAATGGCATTGGCTTTGTACACTCATCCCTTAAATAGCTGAGCGAGGCATCTTTTGACTGAGAAGCCAGAGCACCAACTCATTCTTAGGTTACTAAATATCTATCTACAGATAGGTATTTTTGAAGTATATTAGAGGAAGTACAGTTAATTTTCTGTGTTTTTTTATGGACTTAGAGTTTTGACTTACATAGAAATTAGGAATTGCGGCCGGGCGCGGTGGCTCACGCCTGTAATCCCAGCACTTTGGGAGGCCGAGACGGGCGGATCACGAGGTCAGGAGATCGAGACCATCCTGGCTAACACGGTGAAACCCCATCTCTACTAAAAATACAAAAATTAGCCGGGCATGGTGGCACGCGCCTGTAGTCCCAGCTACACGGGAGGCTGAGGCAGGAGAATGGCGTGAACCCGGGAGGCGGAGCTTGCAGTGAGTCGAGATCGCGCCACTGCACTCCAGCCTGGGCGACAGAGCGAAACTCCGTCTCAAAAAAAAAAAAAAAAAAAAAAAAAGAAATTAGGAATTGCAAGTATCTAACTGATAAAAGTCTAAAGTTATCAGCATAGGCCAAAATTATATAGAAACTGTATAAAACATAAAATACAATCAGGACCTTAAAGACTAAAGAAGAAAAGTCAAACTGAGCAGTGGCAACAATTGTGTGGTACTAAGAATGTTGAGTGAAAAACAAGGACTGTTCGGCTTACCACCCCCTGATCTATCAACCTGTATCTGTACCTATATAAACTGCTTTTCTACCTATTAAAACAAAATGATTGAACTATCCTTGTATCTTCCTAAAACTAATGTATCCCATTCCCTCTCACCAACTCAGGGACTTAGCTGCTCCAGTGCCTCGTCTGAGTCTCTTCTGCTCTTCATTCTTTTCCCCAAAGACTAAAATGATGCCGAAATAGCTTCCATAAAAGAAACAAAAACAAAACACAAAACACAAAATAACCTCATTCTATTTTAGTCCATACTCACAGGGTGTTCATTTCCCATTTCTTGCTCCCTTTTGTAGCAGACATCTAAAGAATTATCTGCACTCTGAGTTTTTGCTTTCTCATTCTCCTTTCTTTAACCCAATCAGGTTCTCTTCCCACCGCTATGCTTCACTTAGGAGCCTCATTGCCTCAAACTCAGCAGTCTGTTTTCTGCCGAGTGTTGTTTGACCACTCAAAAGCTCACTCTTGACTTCAAACAGATTGCTCTTTCTTTTTGGAAAAATATTCTTCTCTTGATTCCTGAGACATTATCACAGTCTTCTGGTTCTTCCTCCTCCTCCTCCTCCTATGTACTAAATAATGGACTTCTCCAGGGCTCAATTCACAGGTCCTAGCCACTCCTCTATCTACATTTTCTCTTTAGGGACTGTATTCCATTGAGTCTCATGGTCTAAACATCACATAACACTAAGGAAACCCAAATTATCTCTCTTACCCTAATCTTTCCTCAGACAAACTCTAATGTCTCATGAACATCTCAAACTATACAAGTCCATAATGTGACTTTTGATCTTTTCATCTTGAGTCTTCTCTAATTTTTTGAACTAAATTAGTAACACTGTCCTTAAACCATTTGCTCAGGCCAGAAATCTAGGGATCATTATTGCTTCCTCTTTTTCTTTTACTCTCTATCCAATCTAGGAGCTAGTGGATTGCTGTTGGTTCCACTTCAGTTTGTAATAACTTTTGAGTTTAAAAAATAAAATAAAAATAAAAACATATTCAGAAAAATATATTCTCTATTCACCTCCATTACCATCCTCGTCTAAGACCCCAGCATGGCCTTCTGACCTCTGTGATATCCTCCTAGCTGGTTGTCCTGCTTCCCATCTTGTTCACACAGGCCTCTGACACACAGCAATGAGTCTTTCAAAATGCAAGTCAGATCATGTCATTCTCCTGCTCAAAACTCACAGCTTCTACTTCCCTTCAAATAAAATTCTAAATCGTTATTCTGACATATGAGGTCCTATGTGAATTTGCTTTGCCTCTTTTGCTGTGGCTATTACCTCCCTTTTCCTCCAATGCATAATAGGCTTTAGCCCATCATTAGCCTTCTTTTTGCTGGAATACACAATGCTTATTTTGCCTCTGAGACTTTTATATCTGCTGTTCCCTCTTCCTGGAGGACTCTTCCCCGGGCCTTGGCATGGCTGTCATCATTCATGTTTTTCCTGCAATGCTCCCTCAGAAAAGACTTTCCATGCTACCCTACCTAAAATAGCAGCATCCTGTCTTCCATCACTCTCTCTGTTTATTTTGCTTCGTAGCATGTATCACTAGCTGAATTTATATTATTTTTTAGTTTACCGATGTGTTTCTCCCACTAGAGTGTAAACTCCATGAGGAGAGGGACATTGCCTTATTCCTTGTTGTAGCTCCTGTATCTTGAAGAATTTCTGGCACATAGAAGTAGCACTAATAACTTGTGACATGTGTACACAAAAGAGTGCATATCCATGCATGCATAGCTGGCTTTCTCTTTTGTAGGGGAGAAACCCTTTTGTGATGTTTAGTGTGAATATCTAGATGTCCCACCCCCAGAAAAACTAGGTCAACATCACATGATAAAAGACCATCTTGTTTTTTCTTTTCCTTTCATTGCATGCATTAAAACTAACAGGTAGATGACTGACAGATGACCAACTTTAAGTGCAGAGAGAAAAACTAATGACTCTTTTATAAGGCAACAGACAAGAAAACATGTCCAGCAGCATCTACATCATAATTCCTTCTTCCTTGCATCTTGTCCTACCACCCCCACCCCACAGCAGTTCATTAAGAAGTTGTAATCCCATAGACACCAGTGGCAGGTGGCAATGGCTGACAAACAGCAGGTATATTGCTCCAGGGCACCCTGTAATTTAATGTACCAGTAAAACATGTCTGCTGATTTATGGATTGATGGATCACAAGGACCTCCTGGGTATATATTGGAAAGGTAGCATCAGAATCCACAAGGAAGACTGTCTGAAGCACAAACCAATATGCATTTATTAAAGAAATTGGAAGTCTTGGTGTTTCTTTCCACTCAAAACTAAAATGAAAGCAAACTCACAGGCTTTAACAACCAAAGATTTGTATAGCTAGATAAGATCTCAGGTATCTTCTTATTTAATCCCTTTATGTATAGATGAGGAGTCTAAGGTAGAAACGTTAGGAAATTTGCCCACAGTCACACAACCAGCCAAGAATATCTCCCTACCTGTTCAATCCCGTACCAATCCCTGAAAACCACTGGTGCCTGTCTAATGGCTGGCTTTCACCAGAATACCTTCCCATTGGAATTAATGTTCCCAAACTGTTATTCCCTACACCACACTCTATTTATTTCATGTTAACTCCGTCAAATTACCTTGACTTTGGATTCATTAACACACGTTTTGACAGACACCACCTTTTCCATGAGACATGTAACTAAAATTCTTAGCATGGCAACTTTGTGTGGTATTTACCTCACATGCATAAACAAAAATAGCTGTACTGGATTAATCTTTATAAATGAGGTCAAGCCATCCCTCCATTTCTGTGGGGCAGTGTGCATGGTGGTTGAAGCACAGACCCTGCCGTCACATCCCAGGGTCCTATCCACTTTTCTATTATCAGCACTTACTAGCTTTGTGGTCTTAGGAAGGGTGCGTAAGTCTTCCTATGTCTCGGTTTTCTTAGTTATAAAATAGGGATAATAACAGTACCTGCCTCATGGGATTTACAAGGACTAATTGGATTAATGAACATAATACATTTAGAAACAATGCCCGGCATACACTAAGTGCCACATGCATGTCACCAAAAAAGGAAAATCTTTGATGATCAAATATTTTTCAAGGAGTCTTTGTCCTATTACACTTAAGAATTCACTGCAAGAAATATGGCACATTTTATTGAGATTGACTTTCCCAGGATGTAATATAACTAAGCAGTACACATTATAACTACTACTGAAATTTCTATAAGTTTGTAACAAAGGAATTTAATTATAACATGATCCTGCTTAGTGGCTCCATTACTAAAACCAGAAGCACAAATATAAGGCAAAAGTTGAAACTGAGGCAATGTACTCATGATTTCAACATCTTAGGAAGGATCTTTGAGCAATTTGGAAGTGGAATTCTGTTTAATATTTTGGCAACAGTTTAAAAAGCAGCAATAATCCATGCTTGCCAAATCATCACAAGTTTTGTATTAGTAAAGGGATAATTTAACTTTTTACAAAAGTTGTGGCTACATTTAATTTTTCTAAGGGCTTAGTAAAATAATAAGTGTAGACTTCATTTACAACATTCCTTTGCTCCAAAGTTTAGTCTGTGAAAACAAGCTGCAAGGAAGCTCCATTTTACAGAAAAAGTGAAAAAAAGAGAAACTGAGTACAGAAACTTCAGAAAGTTGTCTAAATTCTTACTGTTTGTAAGAAACAAATCAGATCTGGGACTCAAAAAGCAAATACCATTTTTAAAGTATTAATATGATGAACAGTTAAAAACATGAACTCTGAAGCCAAAATTGATGGCCTCCAATCTTAGTTGTCTGACCTTAGGCAAGTTACTTAACACCTCTGTGCTTCAGTTTCTTTTTCTATAAAGTGAAGATACTAATGGTACCTGTAGCTATGTTGTAAGGAGAATTACACAGGGAAGTTTAAAAGGCTCCAAGTAACCTGGGTGGAACACAATTGGGTCTGCTACCCAGAGACTGCCCCAGCCGTGGCTCCAACAGGAAGCTGGTGATGGGCTCCTGGCTTGATTGCTAGGGAGGCGCAAGTACAAAGAGAGGGAAGGCCCAGCCGGGAAGGCCAGTGCTGAGAGTATTCACTTGCTTTCTTGAAGCATAGACACTTAACCCCAAACATTTCTGTCAATTCCACAAATAGTCATCGGAGTGATTTAAATGGTCTCATGTTCTGTCAGAGCAATAAGAAACCTTCAGAGGAAAGCAAACCAATATGTTGTTCGATTTTCAATTGGAAGTTTTAGTTGATTCCATTCTCCCATTTTTTTTAATGAGCTCAGTGAGGGAGCGATGTTAATTTTGTCTTGTGTATAACATGTATAACATTTTCCTAGACGATCTGAGTCACACTCCTCACACTCTACATAGTAACAGAACTCATTCAGATTGCATGTTTTGGTATTTAGGAAGTGGCATCTATATTTATATATTACTATGTATATATAAATACATATGTGTATAGATATAAATATACGTGCATCTACATACTTTTCATTTGCATACACATACACAGATCTATGGAGAGATGTATCACAGGCCAGAGTGCAATTCAAGATGAGCTTTTTGGATTCAGTTTCTGGTTACCAAGCTGCTTATCAGATTACAAATGCATAATGATCTGCACTCTAACACTGCTTACCTAACCTAGACAGTCACCAGGAAAATTCAAAGAGCAATTAGTCTTTTCCTTTATGCTTGAGAGTTTCTGGCAAACTCTAAAATGTCAAGTCATAAAATAGCTAAGAAAATCTAGTTTCAACTTAAACTATTTGTCATCACCATTAAGATGACATTAAGTTTAACTTCAGGGAAATCAGGAGAAGATATCTATGTAAATGGTTTTATCATCAGGAAATAAATATTTTATGAGCTCTCATGAGTATGATTATAAACATAATATTATAGTGGAAGCAGAAGGCCTAGGTTGAAATCTCAGCTCCCTCACCTATTACAGATGACTTGGAGCAAGTCAAACTTTTGGAGCCTCATCTATAAAAAGAGGCTAACAATAAATACCTTTTAGGGTAGTTATGAGAAATAAATGAGATGATATAAAAGAAGGCACTTTATAAACTGTCAACAGCTACATGGTTGTATAGTTTTAGGATCATAATAGCCAGAGTCATAACCAAGGTCAAAGTGATAATGGAAATGGAAGTCATCTATTCCTCAAATTAACTTATATTCTACAGGTGGTGGCTCTGCTGTTGGTGGGTATATTCATTCTAAGGAGAGACAGAACTGCATATCTCTAAAATTTCACAATGAAAAAATCTTTAAAATTATCTGTTATTTGAGGCATTTTCCACTCTCTCATGCCTTGTTATTTCCAAAGTACTGTAATATTTATCTTGGTAATGACAGCACCAGCACGTACTTTTTTCATAACCAGGAAAACACATTAAAGAGGAGTTGTAATTTCAGTATACTTTTAGCTAGTTTTTCTTGATGTATGTAAACACTCCCATTTGCCATATCTGATCCAGAGAGCAGAAAATGTTGGCCATCATCTCCCAATATTTTGGTGCTGTGGGGGGTCTTAGAAATTGACTTCATTGTGCAAATTTCAAACATGAAGGATGCAAAGCCTCTCAGTATTTTCCTGAACTCCTATAAAACTCGTTATCCACTGCCAGTCTCACCTTGCTAATTTTCTCAGCCTAAATCCAGTGTGGTAGGGTCTGTGGCTCAAATCTGTGTATACTTGGGAAGGTTAGTCTCTCTAAGCCTCAGTTTCCTCATCTGTAATCATGAGACAATAGTATGTACCTCACGGAGTTAGAGGCTGTAAATGAGTCATCATGGTCCTTAGCATACAGTAGGCATTTAATAAGTGTTTCTTCTCCTCCTCCTCCTCATTCTCTTTTCATCTTCATTGTGAATGATCTTTAGCAACCCCAGCTCCTCACCCTTTATTTGCTCATTTATTTTAAACCTGATATTTAAATCTGCTTTATCCTAAAACTGGACTACTCTTGGATACTGTGGCTTAGCTACTGTCTAGGCTAAGAGTCAAGGAGAACCTGCACTTATTCAGAAAGCAACAATGAATGTTGCCATTGAGGACAGTTAGAGTGATGTGGGAATGAACACTTCTCTTTACATGCAGGGTCCTTGAGAAGGGCGACAATGTCAGTAACAAGTTATGAGAAAACTGCCTGAAAACACCAGGGATGGTTCCATCCATTTATCTCACGTCACTGGTCACTGTTGGAGTGTTGGTTGTCAGGTTGAACCCTGAAGCAATCCTACTCAGGTGAAAATAACAGAAGACATTGAGATCAAAAAATGAAGAAATTTTATCATAAGGTGGAAAGGAGAAGGATTTACAATAGTGTTCTCTGCTTTTTAAAATGTCACTTAAGAAGAAGTTTATAGGCCAGGTGCAGTGGCTTAACGCCTGTAATCCCAGCAGTCTGGGAGGCTGAGGCAGGCGGATCATGAGGTCAGGAGTTTGAGACCAGCCTGGCCAACATGGTGAAACCCTGTCTCTACTAAAAATACAAAAATTAGCTGGATGTGGTGGCACGTGCCTGTAGTCTCAGCTGCTAGGGAGGCTGAGGCAGGAGAATCACCTGAACCAGGACCCAGGAGGCGGAGTTTGCAGTGAGCTGAGATTGCGCCACTCACTCTAGCCTGGGTGACAGAGCAAGAGTCTGTCTCAAAAAATAAATAAATAAATACAAAAGAAGTTTACAGACAAGCAAATTACTTTTGACTCATTATATTACTAATCTCAAAAGATGTGACCAGTTTTATTGCTTTTATACACATTTGTCTATTTCTTAGGGATCTTTGTATCCTTTTACCTTCACATTAAAAAGGTCAAGGAGAAACCATCTGCCTGGGTACAAATTCTTGTAGTGTAAAATAGAAAGATCATAGGCCTTTGAATCAAAGTCTTGGATTTGAATCCTGCCTTGATCAAATGTTGTGTAAATTTGGAAAAAGTCAACTAACTTCTCTGACCTTCAGTTTATTATTTGCCATGACAGGGATTATATTAGATGGAATGAAGAGCTGTGTGGGTTAAATGAGATTATTTATATCAAAGTGGCTAATATATTCCTAGCACTTAAGTGAGGGTCACAATAAATGCTAATAGTCTCCTCCTACTCCATTAATACAGCTTTCTAGAAAGTTCTCACATTAAGGTAGAATAAAGCAAGGCAGCAAGCATATTGATTTCACCGAAGGGTGAGATATATGGAAAATAATAAACATTTTCCTGCCTTTAGTTTCATCTTGTTCTTTCTCTAGTCCAAAGTTGATACACATTTGCAATTTTATTTTGGTAGCAATAGTTATTTCATCTACTGGGAAATTTCTGATATTCTTTTGGAGAATAGATGATTTTATTGCAATTATACATTTTACATTTACTTGTTTACTGTTTACTGAGTGCCTAGTCTGTTCTGTGGAAGCAGAGATAATTGTCAACATGCTCATGACATTTAATGATCTCAAAGAGTATGCAAGAAGCAATAATAATATATGACTAAATAAAAGTAATAAATTCTTATGAGTGACATCCACTGAAGGCACTGGCAGACTGAAAAGAGGAATAGCCCATTCTTACTGGATGAAATAAAAGATTTCATTAACAAGGCAACCTTGAATTGCATTTTAAAAGATAAGATTTTTCTAGGTGGACATTGTAGATAAGTGAGAAATGAATAGAGAGTGCAGTGGTATGCAGAACAAGGAGTTCCGAGTGGCTGAAGGATAGAGTGTGATAAAGGGGTAAAGGTAAAATGAGACTTGAGAGTTGGGCTGGGCCTCATGGGGGCAACATCATCACATTTGCAATTCAAAAAGATGGTTCTGGAAAAAATATGCAGAACTGCTTGGAGGAATGGCAGGGCTAGAGACCATTACAATTGTGCAATAGCAGATAATGGGACAATTGTCCTGTAGCTATAACCAAGAGCCAAAGAGGAGGGTATGGACTGAGACAGTAAGGAATTATACTATTCAGTATCTGGTGTAAAAGGAAGAGTCCAACATGGGTCTGGCTTAGGAAAATGGACACATGGCAGTGCCCATAACTAAGCATGGCTCACGGGAGAGGGGCATGGGCAGTGTAGACAGAGAAAGGCTTCAGGAAATTGTGCATCCTGATGCGTCTATGTGGCAGGGCATACTGGATATATTTATGTGGATCTGAGGAGACAGGCTTGACCTGGAAAAATGATTTGGGTAACTTCAGCATCAGGTAATACTTAACATTCTTGAAGTAGAAATAAGGTTTAATATGTACAAACCACTGGGCAAGGTAATTTGTCACTTACGTTCACAGTGAGAGATTTGCTTCCAAGCTAGTTTTAACAGGGAAAAAGGCAGAGGAGAGAGTAGAGCCGCATTGGACAGCCCAGGTAGAGGAGGCACAGGGCAGAAAGGTAAGCAGGAAGCTGAAGAGAGTCTCCACCCCCTCATCTCAGCCCACTGTAGAAGATTTCCCATGTGATATATGCACTGACTTTCAGCAGCCTTAATTATTTTTAAGTCTCTGGTCCAGTGATCAATACTATAATAGTATTTCATAGAATCATAAGATCTGAATATAGAAGGGACTTTTGAGGGCAGTTAGTCTACTTGGTCAGTTTAAGCAGTTTTTCCAACATCATTTCTGGAAAATGGCTATTCAGCTTATCTTATATGCTTCCATAATTATATATTGTGCTATAATCTGCATCTAATTCAAGAATGCATCCAACTACATGGATTTTAGAAGAGAAAGAAACCTTAGAGATGATGTGCATCTATGCATTTCAATCTTTCTGCTACCGGAAACTGTCCTCTCCCCATTCAGCCTATTCCCCCTCCCAAACATGCTTTTCTTTGGCCATATTCTGTGGTTCAGTTGCTAGCTTCAGCCTTTAATCAAGTCAGGAATCTGATGGACTTCTTTAAGTCCCTTCGTTGATTTTCACATCCAACCAGTTTATGGACAGAACTCTGGAAAGTGTGGACACAAATCTGGAAAGTAATATTTTGGGAGTTTAAGTATTAATAGGCATCTTCTATAAAGGAACCTGAGAAAGAATGGTCAGAGAGGAAGTAATGCCAGAAGAACAGTGCCATAGAAGTCAGAGAGAGCAGTGTGCAATGTGCAGTGCAGCAGAGAATTCTTTTTGGTGAGGGCTACGTGGCGTTCCTTGGATTTTGCATTTTGGAAGACCATCCCTGAAATATTTGCTGTGGAGGAATTCAGTCAGAAGTTAGTTCCAAGGAACTGAAGAGTGAGTGGAGTGTGAGGAAGTTGAGACAGAAAAAGTATTGACTCTTCTCACCAAAAGCTTGGCTGAAAAGAGAAGTTGAGAAATAGTGTAGAACTATCAAGGGAATGAAGCAACACACGCACGCACACACACACATGCCCATATACATATGCTCTATATGTAATAAAATTACATATGTATTAATATAAATTACATCTATATATATTTTAATTGGAGCAAGCCAAGCCCATTTATAGGCTGAAGGAAATAAGCAATACATAAGAAACTGTTTAAGAAATAGAAAAGAGGCCAGGCACAGTGGCTTACTTTTGTAATCCCAGCACTTTGGGAGGCCGAGGCAGGAAGATTGCGTGAGTCCAGGAGTTCAAGACCAGCCTGGGCAACATAATGAGACTCTGTCTCTACAAAAAGTAAAAAAAAAAAAAAAAGGTAAAAAAATGTTAAAAAAAAAATTAGCCAGGCATGATGGTCTGTGCCCATATTCCCAGCTATAGTCCCAGCTTCTCAGGAGGCTGAGGCAGGAAGATCACTTGAGCCCAGGAGTTCAAGGCTGCAGTGAACTATGGTAGCACCACTGTACTCCAGCCTGGGTGACAGAGGGAGACCCTGTCAAAATAACAAAACAAAACAAAGCAAAAAAAAGAAGGAAACAGAAAAGAGAGAAAGCATTTGAGGATGACTGAGAATGTAAGTACAAGGGCAGACAGGAGTGAGGGTCCCACTGGTGTGAGTCTGGAGGGAAGAAAGGATGAATATGTAGAAATATGATTGACTTTTAGCAGAAAGAAAAATAACATTTATAGAAATTGGCTTAAATGCTTATTAATTCTGGAGAACTTTCATAATTCATATCAGAAGAATTGAATCTTCAGAAGAAAATTCCTTAATGGCCTCTTGGAGTGTGAAAGATGGAGGCCTAGCACAGCATGGCCTGGAGGGTCCTGGAGTTTTGTAGCCCCAGGAACCTCTTTACACTTTTAAAAAATATTGAGGACCCTGAAGAGTTTTTTTATGTAGGTTTTAAGTGTTTACCATATTAGAAATTGAAACAGAAATTGCTTTAAATATATTTTTAATTTATTTAAAACTAAAATCAATCAAATGCTAACAAAATGAGATATTTTATGAAAAATAACTATTTTCTTTTCTTTTTTTTTCTTTTTTCTTTCTTTTTTTTTTTTGAGATGGAGTTTTGCTCTTGTTGCGCAGGCTAGAGTGCAATGGCGCAATCTTGGCTCACTGCAACCTCTGCCTCTCAGGTTCAAGCAGTTCTCGTGCCTCAGCCTCCTGAGTAGCTGGGATTACAAGCATGTGCCACCATGCCCAGCTAATTTTGTATTTTTTTTAAAGTAGAGATGGGGTTTCTTCATGTTGGTCAGGCTGGTCTCGAACTCCTGACCTCAGGTAATCCGCCTGCCTTGGCTTCCCAAAATGCTAGGATTACAGGAGTGAGCCACCGTGCTCTGCCAATAACTCTATTTTCAAAACTAAATAATTAGCCAGAAGAGAGCTACTGTTTTACATTTTTGAAAATGTCTCTAAAATCTTTGTTTTTTGAGACAGAGTCTGTCTCTGTCACCCAGGCTGATGTGCAGTGGCACAATCCTGGCTCGCTAAAACCTCCGCCTCCTGGGCTCAAGTACTCTGCCTACCCCAGCCACCGAAGTAGCTGAGACTATGGGAGTATGCCACCATGCCCAGCCACGTTTTGTATTTTGTGGGGGTAGAGACAGGGTTATCCTATGTTTCCCAGGCTGGTCTTGAACTCATGGGCTCAAGCAATCCTCCCTCCTTGGCCTCCCAAAGTGCTGGGATTGCAGGTGTGAGCTGTCACACCTGGCCTTTTTGATTGTTTGTTTTTGAAGTCTTTCTTGATAGGAGACAGCTGGAGTCCCATGTCTACTTCTGCATTAAGTCTGTAGTCACATCCCACATCATGCAGGCTCCAGAATCTTCACTACACACTAATGAGAAATGACAGTGAAAAAGGCAAATAATTTCTTAATTACATTGTAAAAATAGTTTTCCCCTTAGCAACCACTTAAAAAGGTGACTCTACAGATGAAGATTCTAAATAACACACTGAGAACTGCTGTTCTATGGTTAGGTCAAGATAGAGTAGAACTGCGCTGTGTGACGAAGAAAGATGAGGCCAGGCGTGGTGGCTTAGGCTTGTAATCCCAGCATTGTGGGTGGCCGAGGTGGGAGGATTCCTTAAGCCCAGGAGTTTGAGACCAACCTGGGCAACATAGTGAGACCCTGTCTCTACAAAAAATAAAAAAAATATATAAGCCACATATGGTGGCATGTGCCTGTAATCCCAGCTATTTGGGAGGCTGAGGTGGGAAGATTACTTGGGCCTAGGAGGTGGAGGTGGCAGTGAGCCAAGATCCTGCCACTGCACACCGGCCTGGGTGACAGAATGAGACCCTGTCTCAAAACAAACAAACAAAAAATAAAACAAAATTAAAAAATAAAGTAGGAGGAATTGGTAGTTTCTGGGAAGGGTATTCCTGGAGAGAAGTAAGGAAAATCTATCAAAGAGCAGTGAGAGTTGGGTTGGACAGTTGGGTTATTATTAAGGAGAAAGGCTTGAGAAAATGACAGCAAGCTTGCTCTTTAGGGGGCTCACAGCCAGAACGAAGTTCCAGATCACAGGGAATGGCCAATGGGTTTGAGGATAGTGATGTTTAATATGCAATGTTAATAATGGCTTTTATTGGCCGGGTGCAGTGGCTCATGCCTGTAATCCCAGCATTTTGGGAGGCCGAGGCAGGTGGATCATCTGAGGTCAGGAGTCCGAGACCAGCCTGACCAACATGGCGAAACCCCATCTCTACTAAAAATACAAAAAAAAAAAAAAAAAGCCGAGTGTGGTAGTGGGCTCCTATAATCCCAGCTACTCGGGACGCTGAGGCAGGAGAATTGCTTGAACCTGGGAGGCGGAGGTTGCAGTGAGCCGAGATTGCGCCATTGCACTCCAGCCTAGGCGACAAAAGCAAGACTCCTCAAAAATAAATAAATAAATAAATAAAAAGAATGGCCTTTATTGTTCTGCTCTAAATCCACTTAGTGACCCAAACCATGCGTACATGTTTGTTACACAGCAAAAAGAATGGTAGCCTCGAGTAAGAAAAATGGTTTTCTGCCATAGAAAGAAAGTTTTTAAGTGTGGACAGATTCAAGGAACACATAAACCATTCCTACCTTGGTAAAACATTTTGGTAGTCACCACAAAGTATCTAATGAGGGTTCAAATCTTTTTCTTTAAGTGTTAAATAAAAGGGTTCCCTAGGCAGTGCAACCTGGATGTGAGATCATTAGAAGTAGGATGTTGGGTAATTGAGTCAGGTCAGATTGGATTTTGCCTAAGTCTTCTGGGTGCACCAAGCAAGGTCACCTGAGAGTGAGAGGGATGGGAAGTGGAAAGGAGCTGAAGAGAGTAGCAGACAGTTATTTTTGTTTTGTTTTGTTTTTTGTTTTGTTTTTGTTTTTTTTTGAGAAGGAGTCTTACTCTGTCGCCCAGGCTGGAGTGCAGTGGCGTGATCTTGACTCACTGCAACCTCTGCCTCCTGGGTTCAAGTGATTCTACTGCCTCAGCTTCCTGAGTAGCTGGGACTACAGGTGCATGCTGCCACACCTGGCTAATTTTTTTTGTAGTTTAGTAGAGATGGGGTTTCACCGTGTTGCCTAGGCTGGTCTCCAACTCCTGAGCTCAGGCAATCCGTCCTCCTTGGCTTCCCAAAGTGCTAGAATTACAGGCGTGAGCCACTGCGCCCGTCTGCAGGCATTTTTAATAGTTGCTGAAGGGTGTGCTAGTATTAGTCAGTGTTCTCCAGAAAAACAGAACCAACAGAGAAAGAGAAAGAGACAGAGAGAGAGACAGAGAGAGAGAGAAAGAGAGGTTTATTTTAAGAAATTGGCTCACGTGATTATGGGAGCTGGCAAGCCGGAAATCTGTAGGGTAGGCCAGCAGGCTGCAGACCCAGAAAGAGTCAACATTGCAGACTTGAGTCTGAAGGCCATCTCTAGGCAGAATTCTTTCTTCTTTGAGGGACCTCAATCTTTTCTCTAAGATTTTCAACTGATTGGATGAGGGCCACCCACTTTATGGAGGGTAATCAGCTTTACTCAACATCTGCTGATTTAAACGTTAATCACATCTAAAAAAATACCTTCACAGCAATATCTAGATTGGCATTTTAGCAAACAACTGGGGTAGCACAGCCTAGCTAATTTGATACCGAATTAACTATCGCAAGGTTGAACCAAGAACCAAGGACAAATAAACAAATGTCAGGTAATTGTAAGAGTCCAGGTGAGATTGGGGATCCCTATGTCATTGTATCACTAGTCCACGTGGTTGCTGGGATTTTCTCAAGTAATGTTTAGTAGTCTGAATATAGGAACAGAGAAGATGACATATGGGAATGACCCAAGGATAGATTAAGATCTGATATTGTAAGGATTGTGAGGAAGGTGACTGTTCATAGGATATTTATGTGATTGCCATTGGTCAAGCCTGGTCAGAAAAAGATGTGAGCCTGGAAGGTTCAATCTCCTAATTATTGTGGGATATGGATGGCAGGAGAATAAGATGCCTCCATGAGAGAGGGTCTAAGAAAAACTTTGGATGAGTTTGAAGTTGTAAATGAGAGTTGAAGAAGCCTCAGTTAAAACTTGTTAGAGCAGTAGGAGTTCTAGAATTTCTCTGCAGGAGAGGCTTATGAGTACAAAATATATTGAAAATGAGGGCTTGGAGACTTGTCTTGAAGCTATATTTGCAGAACAAGTCCCTTGTTTACTTAGATTGAGACCTTTGTAATCCATTTCTTGGTTTCTCTGACCATTTAGATGGAGGTAGGGAGAGGGAGGGCGAGAAGAGTTTGGGATGACAAATGGAAGAACTGTGGGACTAATATTTTAGCTAATAGTGACAAGAAGTCTATTGAAACGGGCTGGTATCCAGGTTCCAAGAGAGTTTCTGATGACAGAGTTCAAATAGAATGATAGCTGGTGAGCTTGTGGTGAGGAGGGCCAACTGCAATGGCCGTGTTGAGGCAGAGTCAGGTTCAGGTTAGCAAGTCAAGGGCCTGGACACTTGGTTCTGTCTCTTATACTTGACTTTAGGCTTCTTGAAAGCAAAGGCATTATTTTGTGATGGTTGTTCGTTTATAGTGCCAAGTAGCTTGAAAACTTACCAATGTCACATGGTATGTGGCAAAGCTGAGCTCAACTCATTCATTCATTCAATGAAAATTTATTTAGTACCTACTATGTGCCTGGCACATGCCAGCTTGGAAATACTAATGTGATTATGACAGAAATTGGTTTCTGCATTGATGGTGCTGATTATGAAGATTCTTAATTTTTTGATTCTAGTTAATTTCAGGATGCACTAAGGGGAAGCATGGAAACCTTGAAAAGATATCAGTAACAATATCATGCAGAGTTCAGCTTCATTCCTGTCACCTTAGGATGCTGCGGGCAGGAGACTATCTTCTTTTAAATTCGATTAGTCTCTTTCAAGCCATGTTATTTATTGCCTCACCCCTCAACCTCACATTGTGCATCTGCCTCTTCCCTGATATGCTCCAGTAGCAACATAACACCGAGCACACGGCTCTTTCTCAATCAGAGCAAGGCTGACTGTGAGGACAGCAGGTTTCACTGGGTTGGAATTGCAGTTTTGGAACGAGAGGGAGCTCTCTTGGGAATGGAGCAGGCACAGATTGTATTAGCCAACGTGATTCTAGGTGAATTGGCAAAAGAGAAAGGAACTGTCAGCGTTCAGGATGAATATGGGAGAGAGCAACACAGTGCATGCTGGACAATCCAATAAACAGACAAAGGTATTTAAGCAGCACCCCTCAGGCAGTTGGCTTGGTGAAAGAAAATGAGACTCAGGTCTCATGAGAACTGAAACAGCAATGATCGGCATTGCTTCACTGATGCTTCTTCCCTCTCCCCCTCTCCTTCTGCTCCATATTTGAAGGTATTACCTATTCCTTCTTCATTCTCACTGAGAGAATTGTTTTAACATCCTCCACAGTAATCCGTCTACCAGTGTCAGCCCAGAGTGGCCTGTGGAGTCCCCTTCACCAGCGTTGGCCACGAAGGCACACAAGGTCCAAAGCAAGTAGCTCCTTCCCAGCCCCTTCAGGAAACAGTTCATTCCATGAGACTCTTAAGGAATAATCTTTACACTCTTCTGTTTGCCTTTCATCATGATTCTATTGTTAGCCATGTGAGTTCAGCTGTTAACTGATCACTTAAAAAGAAATGATCTCTTCCCCCATTCTCATTTTCCCCAGTAACAGCCTGACAAACAAATAGCACCTGTGGTTGCTCGCAGAGAAAAATATGAGAAAATAGAAAACCAAAGACGCAAAGCACGAGAATCCCACTAATGCCTGGTGACTGATCTTGTTAGTACGCACAGTGCGTCCTCATATTTTTCCAGAATCTTAGCTCTCTCTGCTGAACAACCACACACACACACACACACACACACACACACACACTCACACACACACAGCCCTCCCCCCCCCACACACAAAAGCATTTTGGGGCAGGCTGCATATGCCCCTCTACCCTCTGCCTGGAGCTTGATTGTCAGTCTAATACACAAGCCCAGACAATGCTCTCAATAGGCGTCTTTTGGGGAGACAATTACAGAAAGCATGATAACGGGATTTGTCACCCTGATGTGGCTGCTGTTTCAGCAAGCGTTTCAATAATGAAAGAAAGTTTTACTAATTGTAAATGTGAATGAATTTCAGCTGTCTCTTCTTAAAAAAATTCTTTTGGAAGAAAGCCAATTAAGATCATCTGCCTAATGCATCTATTCACCCCCACTGCAACAATATGTCAGTTATAATAGATGTCTAAGAAACAGACTTCTCAGGACAGGGTGCTGAGCAGGCTGAAAACAGGGAGAGATCAGAGCCTCTACCTGCAAAATATTTGGAGGTAGCTGATGAAAACTCCTCCCTGTGAAATTTTATTTTTAATCCATAGGGTAGTGGAGCAGGGGGCATTTACAACACACCGACGCATCAAGATGGAGTAAGTTTCAATGCAACCGTCTATAGTATCCAGAGCAAGTCTCTTTCCTACTGGTGGCCTGGTACACAACTTGTTTTCTTTCCAGGGAATTGTGAAAGCTAATTGTCAAAATCCATGGCCTGGCTACTGGATGCCTGCTACCTTACCTCCAGAGGGGAAGTATTTATTTATGTTAAGGAGAATGCACAAATGCCTCCAGGAAGTGGAGCATAGGCAATCATGCTGACAAACTCTCCTTCGAGAAAAAATCATCATGCCTCTTGAGACATCAACTTATTGGGAGGGCGCTGTGTCCTAGAAAGAGACTGCCCGAAGTCACTAGAACACACTAAGAAGTGTGACTAAATATGCAGCACATCATTTGCTTCTCCAAAGAAGGTTGCACACAGTGGCTCCCAAGTCACACACATACCTTGGAGGTGACAGTCTTCCATCATGTATACTGGAAAAATTAATCGTACAGAAAATCCTGGAGAAGTTACAAAGGAAGGATAAATTCTTTTCATGAGCTTAACATTCAAACCGTCATAGACTCATGAGCTACCAGCTTTGTCTCAGTTCCAGATCAATCCACTATGTGACTAGCTATTCTTCCGTAGGTGACATCCTTCTGCCTTTTACATACTTTGAAGGGGACTTCTGTGTAACTGTAGTTTTTGTGTATAAATCATTTCCCCCCACAAGCAAGAAACTGTCTTAGCTTCCCACTGGGCTGACATTGCTTGTTGAAGGCCAGGATGTAGTTAGTCTGGTTGGGGCACTCTGGCCTGTCCTTTAGAGCCATGGGCAAGAGTACTGTGCACTGCGACGTCTAAACTACCATTGAGAGTAAACCCCCTTTGCTGATGTTCCCAGTCCTGCTATTCTGCTCACATTAACACCACCATTGCCTTTGCCAACATCAACGTTGCCTCCGTTGCCACCATCATAGTTTGTACTATCACCATGAACTTCATCAACACTTCTGCTACCATCTGCAGTACCATTACTGCTGTCTTCATTACCACTGCCACCAGAACCACCAATATCAGTGTGGTGAGCTGAATAATGGCCCCCAGAGATATCCAGGTCCTGATCCCTGAAAGGATACCTTCCAGATGTGATTACATTAAGGACTGTGAGATGGGGAGATTATTCGGGATTACCCAGGAGTCCCAGTGTAATCTCAAGAGTCTTTTCAAAAGAGAGGCAGAGGGAGATTTGGCTATAGAAGATGAAAAGGCGATGTGATGATAGCATAAGAGATTGGACTAACACAGACATAAACCAAGGGATGCCTGCAGCCTTAGAGGCTGGAAGAGACAAAGGAATGGATTCCCCCTTGAAACTTCCAGAAGAAACCCACCCTTTCAAAACCTTGTGTAAGACTCATTTTGGACTTCTGATCTTCAGAACTGTAAGAGAATAAATGTATGCCGTTTTAAGCTACTAAATTTACAGTAATTTGTTACAGTGCCAACAGAAAACAACTATAGTCAATAACATTACCTTTGTTTATATTACAATGCTTTATTTTCTTTTCCTTTTCTGGCTTCTGGAGGAAAGTAAACAATCCAAGGGGAGCCTAGAAAGTGCCTGCAGATCCTTGCAGCTGTCCCTGGGTCCCACTCCCTAGGAAGGGAAGTCAGGAATATAGAGTTTCCGTTTTCCAAAACATTACTTGGATATTGTTCTCTACAAGGGAAGAAGAAAGTTAAGATTAGCAGCCTAGACATTTGTGCAAAAGTCCTAGATGGTGTCCCTTCTCTTTTCAATCCAAGAGTGTTCCATTGGGGTAGCACGGGATTGATCTCAAGTTGATATAAGGCAACTGCTCTGCACGTAAACTATAACTACATACTGACCCATACATTTTCTCATTTCAATGGTCTAAACCTCAGAAAGGAAGAAAATTATCTTCGTTTCTGCAATTGCCCTCTACCTGTGGTCCTAGCCAAGCATGGCACATGCAGATGATTTTGAAAATGTTCAGTTGTGGCTGAGTTACATGTGCAACAATCAATAGATGAAGAAATGGCTTTCTTAGTTTGTTTTTCCTTGAAAATAAGCCTATTGAGGAAATTATCTGATGCCTCATACTCCCACATATTAAAAGAAAATAGCTAGAATAGAAGGAAAGTTCTTAATTTTGTTTATTACTATGAGCAGGATTTACTAAATGTTTATTTGCACTTGGCTGGGTCTTGGGCAGGGTGGTTTTACTTTCTTTGAGCTATAATGAGCTTGAATAATTCTGATTAGGTGGCTACACTAATTAAATTTACCACATAATTAGCTCACGATTTTCACTTCGTTTTGCCATGCAAATCCTTTCTAAAAAGTAAAACCCATTCTAACTTATCTTTTTAATAAATCAAATCAAAAGTTGGTCAATCATTTTATGTACTTAGATTAAAAAAAGTCTCTTTTGAGTTAATTTTTTGAAGGTTTTATGTGGTATTTACATACTTATTATTTATTTTTTCTTCATAAGAGTAACATATTACAATTTGGAGAACTAAGGAAAATATGTAATTTTATCCTTGGGGCAAAACCATTTGTAGCAGTTGACTAATTTTTCATCCATTTTTTTCTTGGCCTATAACTGTCCCATAATTAAAATTAGAGTGTTGGTAGTATTTAAAATAAGTAAAACATTAAAAATGCATTATTTTTCACTGAAAGTCATTGATAATCATTATAGCCTATAAAATATTTACCTAATACATAAATCAAAAATATCCTAATTCATAATATTTAGAAATATAATATACTCTTTTTCAGATAATATTCTAAAAAGCAATCTTAGAAAACCGAAGTTACACCTAACATGACCTATTTGTCTCTTCCTGTTTGGTGTAAATGTACCTAACATGACCTATTTGTCTCTTCCTGTTTGGTGTAAATGTATCAGTACCTTTAAGACATTCATAACAATCATCGTTGGTTACATGTAATAGAGTGTTCTCTGGGAAAACTGGAGCCCTCAAATTGTCAATAAATAACTTGTCAATAGAGGTCATGTTCAGCACTCATCAATCTGAGGAATATAGTGCTTAAAGCTAAACTTAGGAGTATTTCCAACAGTTTTTATATGATTTTGGAAGTGCATACTACTAACCATACAACAAACTAAACCTTAACTTCTGTAACGTGATGTTACTACTTTGCACATTGGACTGGATTTAAAATGTTAAAGATGAAAAATATCAGTGTGCATGTAAGTGGAAACTTACTCCTCTAAGATTCCTCAGTTAATATAAATGATCAAAATTATTTCCACTTCTATTTTTCCTTATATAGCTGTAAAATGTCTTCAATATAAGGCAGATATAAAATTTAATGTATCTTTTTTTTTTTTTTTTTACATTTCAGTTTCTGCATCAACCAAATGAAAATGTCCACTTACTGCTTATTTAAAAATTGCATTTGAAAAGAATGGATCTGGAACTATATTATTTCCATAATAATAAAAAATGCAGCAAAATTCAAATTTATGCAAATAGAAGCAGTAAATATATATATCCCCATAAACATTTACAAATACAACAGGTTACCAACAAATACTCATCTCTGTAGCATCTTTAAGGAAGTGTAGAACAATGAAAAGAACATGCAGTTTGAAACACACTAATTTGGTTTATTTGCATTTAAATCTTGGCTGTGTTTTCACTTGGTGCTTATTTTGGGCAAGTCATTTAATCACTTTGAACTTAATTTTGTCATGTGCTGAGAACAACATTCTTGTTTTACAGTGGTCTTTCAAATATCTAATCTTTGCAATAGATATTGTTTTAGAGCTGTTTTATTCAGTACATTACAGCCACTAACCACATGTGACTATTTAAATTTAAATTTTAATTACTTAAAATTACATAAAATTAAAAATTCATTTTATCAGTTGCACTGGCTACATTTCAAGGGTTCACAGTGTAGCTAGTGGCTACTGTATTGAACAGTGGAAATACAGAAAACATTTCTAGCCTCATGGAAAATTCTGTTGAACAACACTGATAAGAGCATAACCATTATGTGAAAAACAACTTGTGGCAAGGTGTGGTGGCTCACGCATGTAATTTCAGCACTTTGGGAGCCTGAGGCCGGTGAGTTACTTGAGCCCAGGAGTTATGAACCAGCCTGGGCAACATAATGAGACCCTGCCTCTAGAAAAAATTTTTTAAAAATACCCAAGGCTGCAGTGAGCCGTGATTGTGCCACTGCACTCCAGCCTAGGCAACAAAGTGAGACCTTATCTCAAAAAAAAAAAAAAAAAGTTTGGTGCTAAAATATTTTGGAAACATAAATTAAACCAAGTGAAGCATATTTCTTTTTTTATAACTGATCAGTTATACATATTTTTGGAGTACATGTGATATTTTGATACATGTATACAAGGTGTAATGATCAAAGCATAATTGAGATATCCATCACCTCAAACACTTATTTTTGTGTTTAGCATTTCAGAAGTGGGTTTCATGTACACTCCTAGCCCAGGACCTGCACGTCCCTTCCCTTGTGTAATGTGCTAAAACATTATAATTCTTCTCTAGTTATTTGGAAATATACAATAAATCAGCTATAATTTCCATATTGTACTATTGAATATCAAACTTAATTTTTTCTATCTAACTGTAGTTTTGTACCCATTAGCCATCTTCTCTTCATATCCTCCTCCTTCCCTTCTCGGACTCTGATAAATACCATTCTACTCCCTACATCCATGAGATCCACATTTTTAGCTCCCATGCAATATGAGTGAGAACATGCAATATTTGTTTTTTTGTGCCTGGCTCATTTCATTTAACAAAATGACCTCCGGTTCCATCCATATTGCTGCAAGTGACAGAATTTCCTTCTTTTTTATGGCAGAATAATATCCCATGGTGTGTATGTGCCAGATTTGCTTTATCCATTCATCTGCTGATTGACATATGTTGATTCAGTATCTTGGCTATTGCGAATAGTGCTGCAATAAACATGGAAAGGCAAACACTTCTTCAATATACTGGTTTGCTTTCTTTTGGACATAAACTCAGCAGTGGGATTGCAGGATCATATGGTAGTTCTATTTTCAGTTTTTTGAGGAACCTCCATACTGTTTTTCATCATGATTGTACTACTCTGCATTCCTACCAACAGTGGATGAGAGTTCCCATTTCTCCCCACCTTTGCCAACATTTCTTATTTTTTTTGTCTGTCTGATAATAGCCATTCTAACTGCAGTAAGATGATATGTTATCATGGTTTTGATTTGCATTTCCCTGATTAGTGATGTTGAGCATTTTTTCATATACTGCTTGGCCATTTGTATGTCTTCTTTTGAGAAATGTCTATTTAGGTAAAATGAAGTGTGTATACTGCAGCATGTCTTGGAGGCTTCGACATGTGACATAGACATCCAAAAGAATGACATTTGGAAGACTGTTGTCTAGTAAAAATATTCTCCCATCTTTTTTCTTGCAAACACAACATGTTTTGGTATTATTTGGGAGGATATTTTTTCTCTTTATTTCAAACTGTTTATAATATGAATTTATATTCATATAATTCTTTATAATATGTCATATGTATATGATAAAATAAATCATTTATTGGGAATAGACTCTTTGGTCTCAGAGAAGGGAGGTGTAGCTCCTGGGCTAAGAGTATACATGAGACCCACTTCTGAAATGCTAAGAGAAATCTAGTACATTTCTGGAATGATTGTAATTCCTGTTAGACAGGCAGAACACTATGGCATGGCACCTTCTTTTTTTTTTTTTTTTTTTTTTTTGAGACGGAGTCTTGCTCTGTTGCCCAGGCTGGACTGCACTGGCGCGATCTCGGCTCACTGTAAGCTCCGCCTCCCAGGTTCACGCCATTCTCCTGCCTCAGCCTCCCGAGTAGCTGGGACTACAGGCACCCGCCACCACGCCCGGCTAATTTTTTTTTGTATTTTTAGTAGAGACAGGGTTTCACCGTGTTAGCCAGGATGGTCTCGATCTCCTGACCTCTTGATCCACCCGCCTCAGCCTCCCAAAGTGCTAGGATTACAGGTGTGTGCCACCACGCCTGGCCCTTCTTATTCCCTTTTTTCCTGATATAAATCAATCTCTCCATTGATTTATAGGTGTAGACTTTGATAAAGTCATTTTGTCTTCATTACTATAGCTTATATTAGATATTGACATCAGGTAGTGTAACTCCTCCGACTTTAGTTTTTTCAAAATCATTTTGACTATTCTAGGCACTTTTCCTCTGTGTAAATTTTAGAATCATGTTTTCAATTTCCACAGAAAAATCGTCTGAGATTTAGATTGGGAATGGATTAAATCTATAAATGAGTTTGGAAAGAGTAGCTTTCTCCATTTTACCCAGTCTTTCAGTCCATGAACATGTTGGCTCTCTTTGTTTATTCAGGTCTTTTAAAAAATTCACTTAGTGGAGTTTTGTAGTGTTCAGCATTTTGGTCTTACACATATTTAGTTAAATTTATTTCTAAACATTTTAAGCTTCTAGACACTACTGGAAATACTTATTATTTAAAAATTTCATTTTCCAATTATTTATTGCTAATTTATAGAAACACAATTGATTTTTGTATGCTGACCTAGTATCTCGTGACTCTTAAATTTATTTATTACTTCTTTAGTTTTCTTCCCCTCTCCTTTTCTGTAACTTACATTTATATGTGTATATATATATGTGTATATATATATTTTTTGTTTGTTTGTTTGTTTGTTTGTTTCCTTTTTGAGGCAAGATCCAGCTCTGTTGCCTAGGCTGGAGCGCAGTGGTGCAATCATGGCTCACTGCAGCCTCAACCTCCAGGACTCAAGCAATCCTACACCTCAGCCTCCCAAGTAGCTGGGATTACAGGTGCCCACCACCACACCTGGCTAATTTTTTAAAAAGGATTCTGTAGAGACGAGATGTCACTATGTTGCACAGGCTGATCTCAAATTCCTGGACTCAGGTAATCCTCCCACCTTGGTCTCCCAAAGTGCTGAGATTACAGGCTTGAGCCACCATACTTGACCACCTATCTTTTTTTAAAATACTGTCTTTTGAAGAACAAATTTTTAATTAGGATGAAGTCCAAATAAACAATATTTTACGTTATAGTTTGAGCTAACTGTGTGTTCTATTTAGGAAATCATTGTTTAAGGAAATATAAGATCCTTATTTCTTCAAGAACTTAATAGTTTTAACTCTTCCATTTACATTTGTGATCTACTTTGAATAAATTGTTGTGTATGGCATGAGATGAAGATTGAAATTCATTTTCCTTACATGTAACTGTAATTATTACAGCACCATTTGCTGAAAAATATTATCCATTTCCTTATTGAATTGTCTTGACTTTTTTTTTTTTTTGAGATGGAGTCTCCCTCTCTCTCCTAGTCTGGAGTGCAGTGGTGCAATGTCGGCTCACTGCAAGCTCTGCCTCCCGCGTTCACGCCATTCTCCTGCCTCAGCCTCCCGAGTAGCTGGGACTACAGGTGCACGCCACCACACCCAGCTAATTTTTTGTATTTTTGTAGAGATGGGGTTTCACTGTGTTAGCCAGGATGGTCTCCATCTCCTGGCCTCATGATCCACCCGCCTCGGCCTCCCAGTGTGCTGGGATTACAGGCGTGAGCCACTGCGCCCGGCCCTGTCTTGACTCTTTTGTCAAAAGTCAAATAACCATATATGTGTGGGTCTATTTACTGACTCTGTATGCTGTTGTATTTGTTTATATTTCTGTCTTTACTCCAGTATTACACCGTCATGATTCCTAGAGCTTTAAGGCATATCCTAAAATCCATCAGTGTACATTCTCCAACTTCATTCTACTTTTACTATGTGTTTTGGCTATTTTAAGTTCTTTTATCTCTATTAGATTAAGAATGAGCTTATCAATTTTTACAAGTATACTTAATATTTTGATGAGTATTGCACTGAATCTATTGTTTAATGTAGAAGGAATTAAAATTTTAACAATATTGAGTCTTCCAATCCAAGAATATTCTATATTTTTTCATTTGTTTAGGACTTCTTTAATATTGTTTAATTTTCAGTGTAAAAATTGCTAAAGAATCACTCCAAGTGTTTGCATATCTTCTGTCAAATGTATCCCTAATTATTTCAAATATTTAATGCTATTGAAACAGTTTTTTTTTCAAATTTTTATTGCTCCTTGATAGTGTATAGAAATATTACAGAATACATTGGTTGTTCAGTGTAGCCTTTCTACACGGGCTGGTCAGAACTTGAACATCTCATATTCTCAGGTGATTTCTAGGAATTCTTCATCCTACAATTTCTTGGTAGTTGCTATTTCCTCAGTAGTTGTTCATTGCTTGGCCTCTTGTAGTCTCATTCTATGACTGTGCAGATTGATATTCAGGCAATGATTCAAAGGGTTCCTCGTGCAGATTTCTGGAACTCTTTCTTTGTGAAGTTGCCTCACCTTTGCTTCTGTGTCGCACACATTTTAGCTGACTCAGGCTTCCCAGACCCAGATCTCTGCTCCCTTATCTCAGTGAGACTTCTGTCTTATATTTGGGCTCCTTCTTTCTGCACCATGAATCAGAAGTCCATCCAGGCAGAGATTGTGGGGACGGTAGTTTCATCTCATTTGTTTCCTTTCTCTTTGCAATAACAGTTACATATTATCTAATGTCTGAAATAGTTGTTTCATATATTTTATCCAATCACTCATTCTTTATGGTGAAAAAGTAGTTTGATGCTAGCTGGAAGCACAATCATTTGTTGGCTTTTGAAATGTGCACCACGTCAACCAAAGGGTTGTGTGTTGTGTGTTTCCCCAGTTGGTGTGTGAATAAAGGCTATTACTGCTTATAAAGAAATTGTTCATTAGCAACCATGCTAATTACTTGATGATGAAGTAATGTTTTCAGTACTTTGCATTCCAATATGATAGCTTTTATTCCTTTATAGGTATTTTATTATTTTTAGTTAATATGGGAAACTGGTTTAGGGGTTTGGCCAAACTGAAAGGCATTTTTCTCACTTAAAATAATGAGAAATAGGCTTCTGTTTAGCCATATCATGGACAAGATCTGAATTTCTAATGTTAACTGGGAGATGCGTTTATGTGTACAAGGTATCAGCTGTTCTTGAACACACCTTACCTTTTTCACAACTGTATCTTGAGGATCTAGAACAGTTTCTGGCACGTATTGGGGACCTATGCAATATTTGTTAATTAAATGAATGACAAATGTTCAAGATGGAATCTTTGATGATGATGATGATGATTGTCTCGTTTGAATGTTATTTGCTCTTTTAATTAAATAAATTACAGTTGACCCTTGAACAACAGGGGTTTGAACTGCATGGGTCCACTTATATGGAGATTTTTTTCAGTAAAAGTTGTGCTGAGTATGCCTGGCTCTACAACCTCCCTTTCCAACCCCTCCGCTGTTTCTGCCTCTGCCACACCTGAGACAGGAAGACCAGCTCCTCCTCTTCTCCACTTCCTCCTCAGACTACTCAGTGTGAAGGCAATGAGGATAAAGACCTTTAGGATGATTCACTTCCACTTGATGAGCACTATATATATTTTCTTTCATGATTTTCTTAATAATTTTTTAACTTACATTGCTGTAACAATACAGTATATAATACATATACAAGGTGTGGGTTAATTGGCTTTTTGTTATTGACAAGGTTTCTGGTAAGCAATAGGCTATTAGTAGTTCAATTTGGGGAAGTTGAAAGTTAGATATAAATTTTCAGCTGCATGGGGACGGGGGGGCGGTGGTCAGTGCCCCAACCCCTGTGATGCTCAAAGGTCAAACTGTAAATTGAACTACTCCATGTACTAGGCTGAACTAACTTACTGAAGGGAGGCATGCTCCTTCTCCATGAGATAGTAAGAATGGAAAAAGAATATCCAGTCAATAAGCATATGTAGCAGGATTTAATAAAATATCAGGTTAGATGGGGCTGTTGGTTTTATTATTTAACTAAATATCTATGAGTATATCCAAACTACAGTCAGTTCTATCAATGTCTAACTTCTCAAAGTGTGCACAAAATGCCAGTTTGGAGATAAAGACTCATTCTCCCAGACCCATGAATTTTTGGCCCTGTCCTATTCCTAATATTTGTATGGCTGGGGGTAAGAATATGAGTGGAGGCCCACATATCATCTGTTTAAATGTAAGTTATCCATCAGTTACCAAAAAGTTCAATAAAATACGTCTTATCCTGCTACCTGAATAAGTATATTCTCATGATGACCAGGTTTGAACTTAGAATTCCTAGACTCCTCAGTGTTCATGCCCCAATGTAGGGGGTCCTCTCAAGTTCCTCATATTCCCCTCCCACAGCATGCCACCCCTTTTTCCCACTTTTGGTTCTGTCCTGCCCTATGAGGATCTTTGCATACACATAAATAAATACCCTGCTCACATATCCAAGTTCTGTCTAAATCCTGTGCAAGTAGCTGTCCCTTTGTCACCCCTCAGGCATTGATGCATTCACATCAATGGTGAATTCAGACTTCAGAAGAACTGACCCAAGGACAAAGGTCCACCCAGGCCATGGAAGAGGCTCCTCAACCGTTTGGGTGGGTAATCCCTTGGCCTGCATTTGGGGGATGATCTGACATGGGTGGGAATATGGCTTCTGTGTAGATATCTCCCCTTGGCCCTTAGAGAGGGTCATGGCTCTGGAGGGACAGAGCAGTGTTTCTAAAGTCCCAGGCCCAGAGCAGGGTTCCTCCTGGCTGAGTCTAAAACACTGAATTCTGAGCATATGGGAGAAGGTAAGAGTTGGGAAGTTAAGTCATTCACACAGGTGAATTTCATTGTCAGGACTTCTTGCCATTTGACTAATATCCGTATTTTCTTTGTTCTTATAAATAGAACCCTCATTTTGTTTAGGGCAGCAATGGTCCTAACTTAGAGACTGTATCTTCTTTTCTTTTCTTTTTTTTTTTGAGACAGAGTTTCACTCTTGTCACCCAGGCTGGACTGCAATGGCGCGATCTCTGCTCACTGCAAACTCCGTCTCCCAGGTTCAAGCAATTTTCCTGCCTCAGCCTCCCCAGTAGCTAGGATTACAGGTGCCCACCACCACACCCAGTTAATTTTTGTATTTTTAGTAGAGACGGGGTTTCACCATATTGGCCAGGCTGGCCACGAACTCCTGACCTCAACTGATCCACCTGCCTCGGCCTATACCAATAAAAGGAAAATGATCAAATTTATTAATTAAATTTATAAATTATATTTTTGTCTGTCCACTACACTTTAAGCTCCTTGAATATAGGAATTGTATTCATTTTTTCCAAAGCTTCCCACATAATCTGAAACATAATCATACTAATAACACAAAATAGAGGTATATTAAAAGTTTGGATGAAAGAATATTAACCTGTATATACTGAGCACTATCCGTTGTACCATGAATAGCTTATAATTCAGATAGGTAGTAAAACAACAGCATCTTGAATTAAAATGTAAACAGAATGATACTTTATAATTTCTGAATGTTCTTCCATATTATTTCTCCAATATTCTTTTTAAAAAATCTCTAAAACAAAAACTAAGATTGGCCAGGCATGGTGGCTCACACCAGGAGTTTGAGACCATAATGGGCAACATAGCAAGACCCCTATCTCTATTTTTTTTAAAAGTTTTAAAAGAAAAACTAATATCTATTCTGAGATGTTTGAATTATACTAGTAAAATGGCAATGAATGTATGTTTTTGTTTCTTAGTGATTCAGTAACAGTTTCAAATAAAATATTTAGGTTAAGTTTACAAGTATTTAAATCATTTATTCTCAGAAATAAAGAAAACATTTTTATTTATGATTTTGTTAAATATATTAGACATCATCTTTTTGGAGATAACAGAAACACTGAATATTTAGACTTATAAGCCATGTACATTTGCAGAAAATATATATTCCGGATATGATTTTCTACCAAAAAATACATAGGGTTTTGCTGAAAGATCAGCATGTACGATGGCAGAATTTAAGATTAGATATTTGGGAGATTTACCAAGAAATATAACTTTCTTCCACCTAATTCATTAAGTGCCTTTTATCTTTTTTAAAGGAGAAAGTTTCTATTTTCTCTGGCCTTTCATCAATGTCTTTTTATATATACATAGAAAGAAAACAAAAATAGAGTCTATAGGACATATCCATATTTGAAGTTCTCTTTGTGTACTGTGATATTGAAATCATTTTGTAAAAAATAACATCCTTTTTTCCCCTGGTGTAGAATGTGTTAGGTATTAGATTAACAGAGGGAGTGTGTTAGAAGTTGGGCAGTCTTATCATTTAGACTTTCATAACAAAGGTACTTGAATATGAAACCATCACTTCTTTGAGGATAGAATTTTTTTATTTTATCATCTTATTTTTCTTTGGATGGAACACATTTTGGTCCATCAAATTCAAGTTCCTTTCTGAAATGTGCCCTGTGGATACATGCCATAAATTCCAACATATTCAGCATTTCCCAATCAAAATGATAACTTGTTACAGTATTCTGTTTCTATTGACATCCATGAGTTTCTTCTCTCTCTTTTTCTTCTGAATTAAAGGTATAAGAAATGGTGTCAAATGTCATTTATTACTTCCTCAGAAGATCTGAACAGAAACTATTATCTCCTTCAAATCTTTTGTGCTATCTTTATTGAAAATTCTCAGGGAGACCTGAACCAGTGTACTTACTGTTGACCTCAGAGCTATGGTACTACAGTTTCTGTTCTGAAAAAAATGTAAAGCATAAAAGAGCTGGAAAGGACACACATTCTGAGTTACAAAGAAAAAAGCAGCCTACAGCATGTGATTGACAAGAACTCAACATATTGCTTTGTCTGAGGCACAATTAGTTTTTTAAAAAAATACCATTGAGTAAATAATGCGATTGTCATAGTTATGTCATAGTGGCCCTTGAAGATTGTATTAGTCCATTCTCACACTGTTATAAAGACATATCTGAGACTGGTTAATTTATGAAGAAAAGAGGTTTAATCAGCTCACAGTTCTGTGGGCTGTATAGGCTTCTGCTTCTGGGGAGGCCTCAGAAAACTTACATTCATGGCGGAAGGTGAAGGGGAAGTAGGCACATCTTCACATGGCCAGCAGTAAAGTGAGAGTGAAGTGGGAAATGCTGCGTGTTTTCAAACAACCAGATCTCATGAGAACTCTATCACTGAAACAGCAAGGGGGAAGTCAGCCCCCATGATTCAATCACCTCCCACCAGGCTCCTCCTCCAACACTGGGAATTACAATTTGACATGAGATTTGGGTGGGGACACAGAGCCAAACTATATCAGGGATGACATAAGAACATTTGCAAAGAAGAAAGTTAGGATAAAAGCAAACTATTTTCTTATAGGCCTAAACATAAAAATATTCATACTAAATAGTATTAAAACTGAAAATGGGCTAAATCTTGCAAACATAATCATTTTTAAGCTTATATCATTGAACTGAGGCATTAATTCTGCATCATCCTAAATTATAAAAGGGAAGGCTTAGTTCTGCTTCCTACTGCTATAATTGATTTCTCATTTGTTCGTTTATTTATTTAATAAATAAGCATTTTTCAGTGACTCTAAATGAGGTAGTTCCTACAAATAAATACAAAACCCTAATATTTGATATAGGTAGTCTCAAAGCAGAGTTATCAATTATCTCTTGGGGAGTAAGACTGACCCTTGAACTGAGTCACAGGTCAGGATGTTTCAGAGTTGAAGCTGGAGAGGACGTTTGATCAGAGTGGAGGCAGTGAAGATGAAAGGAAAATTAGGAGACAATAATTGTTGTGAGATTAGGGGTGAGGGAGAGGGAAACTTCCCTAGTATGAGCAACTTGGTGGGTGGCATTGCTATTTACTGAGAGACAATAATTTGAGCTCATGACAGAAGATGGAGCTGGAGCTAGAAGTCTTGAGTGGCTCTGAAACATTGATAGTGGATGGGCTCCTTTAGGGAGGGCATATGGAGGGCGAATCTATGAAGGGCAGGATGGCCAACAGCTTCATTAGTCGAAGCATAGGACAGGCAAAGGAAAATAGAATAAGGGA
Organism: Homo sapiens; assembly: GCF_000001405.40. Classification (NCBI taxonomy): domain Eukaryota; kingdom Metazoa; phylum Chordata; class Mammalia; order Primates; family Hominidae; genus Homo; species Homo sapiens. The sequence continues at coordinate 93,247,169 of NC_000008.11, read as the reverse complement.
CCTCTGAATGCCAGGCTGAAGAAACTGGGTTTTGTTTCCTAGATTCTGTGGAATGACTGGAGGTATTTATGGTGCAGGAACTTGATTAGAGCTTGGCTTCAGGGGATTAATTTGGAGTGAAAAGAAAGCTAAAGCCAGATGACCCAATTTGGAAGCAACTGTTGGTGAAAGGTACTGCAGACATGGGGTTCTGGAGAGAGTGTGGGGCTGAGAAAATCCAGTGGCAGATTCTATAGGACCAGGCTACTCACAGGATATGGGGAAAGAAATAACTGGGAAGATGGTTAGCAACATTGTTAGAAGAGAATATTGAGTTTGAAAAGAAGGTTAAACTGGGCACAGTGGCTCACACCTGTAACCCTAGCACTTTGGGAGGCCAAGGGGTGGGGATCACTTGAGGTCAGGAGTTTGAGACCAGCCTGGCCAACATGGTGAAACCCCGTCTCTACTAAAAATACAAAAATTAGCTGAGTGTGGTGGCGGATGCCTGTAATCTCAGCTACTTGGGAGGCTGAGGTAGGAGAATCACTTGAATCTGGGAGGTGGAGCTTGCAGTGAGCCAAGATTGCACCACTGCACTCCAGCCTGGGCAACGGAGGGAGACTCTGTCTCTAAACAAAAAAGAAAAGAAAAGGAAAGAAGGCTATAGGAGGGATGTTGATTAAGGCTTCAGTTTCCAACAGGCTGCATTTGAGGGAAGGGGAGACACTCCCAAGCTTGGAAACCTGACCACAGCTCTGACCAGAGCCTGGGAGATCTGTCAAGGATGAACATGAAGAATTGAGAGTTATCTGAAAAGCAGCAATAGACTCTGTGAGAATCTTTCCTGTTACAGAAATACTGTCCTCGCTGAAGCCTATGGAATAATAGAAGGTGTTTTTTGAAAAAGACTCTCAGGAGAAGTGAAATGCTTTGTGTTTCAATTATCACTGGATACCTCTAGTCTCTACATGAAGTAATAAGGGGCATGCATGACTTTAAGTGACTTTTTGGAGAGTTGGTTGGTAACAATGCTAAACTGTGCACCAATCCTGAACTTTGTATTATTTCCTTTGCCCAGTATTTTTTAACATAATGTTTTAACTCAGGCTTGGTATTTCAAATAAATTCCTCAGTAACACTGGCTGAGGACAGACGCATCCAAAGAGCTGGGCCAGCATCCCAAGCAAGCCAGCGAAAGGCTATGAGTTTCCCACTATCACTTTGGTAATGCATGCACAATGCCTAATGTATTATTAACTATTCAAAATGTACTCTGGTTCCTGCCGTTTCCACAGAACAAGTGTGGCAGCCTGCATTGTTTTGCAAAACACCTTTCAAAACTGGCTCCCAGTTTTGCCTTACCTGCTGACATTTAAAAATAACTGAGTTGTTTACTCTGTTTTCATTTCTTGGAGCAAATAAAAGTAAAAATGATACTGTTAGCATTTGAGTCCTGGAGCCACAGTTGGAGATGGATTTTTTTTTCTCTTTCCTTCTTGCTGTATTTTTTTTTTTTTTTTAAATGAAAGGTTGTTACTTTTGTTGATTGGCCAATTAGAGGAGCCGGTAGCTGCTACCTACTTCTAAGACTTGATTCTATTATGAAACCTCAGAAGCTAATGCTGCTTCAGTCTTGCCCTAAAGAGACATAAAAGGATCCACTTGCAGTTAAGTCTCCCGGCAGATGAAGGAGCATAAACCATTGATCACAATGTGAAATGCTGAAAACTGAAAAGGAATCCAATTTATTTTAAATAAAACTACTCTGTTCTCCAGTGACAGATTCCAGAGTCAGACAACAGAAAGGAACTGACAGCAGATGTTTTAGAGCCAAGACACAGAGAGACTGAGTAATAGTATAGAAAAGAAATTGCTTTGAACTTCACCCCTGCTTTAAATACTTCAAATCAATAGGGTCACAGAGCTCTTTAATAGAGTGATGAGGTCTTGCCCTAGCAGATCTGCACAGTGACAAGTTGATGTGCGTCCTAACAGCAGGGTCATAAAAATGGCAGGCTTCTACCTGAAAGGGAGCTTTGTGTGAGCGGGGTCCATTTGGAGTGACTCCCCTCTACGGCCACTCTCGAGAGCCAGGCCCTAATAGTCTCCATCTAAATGGGACTGACCTCATGAATTACCTCAGGAAACTTAATCTATAAACTGGCTTCTTCTTATGCAGACTGATGAATTCTTGTTTATTCCTAAATGGCTGTCACAAGACCTATTCATCAAACTCTTAAAGGGGGGAAAGGAGGCTTACAGAAGCCAGCCTCGAGTGCAGCGCCGTTAAATAATCATTAGGTTTCATGGCTGGTCTTGAGACCCACTCCAAATCCACAAAGCGGGCTTCTTTTTTATTTTTTAAACTATTCATCAGAACTGCATTTAGATGAGAGTCTGACCTGATAAAGAAAAAAAGAGAGTGCTTTTTGTCACTATCAGTTTCATGGCTGTGTTCTTTCTCTTTTGAGAGTTTTTTTTTTAAACAAAAGTAAAAGAAAATAAAGGCAGATGGCCAACTCTTTTCAATATCCGTTTGCTTTATTTGAGCAGTTTAATGTAGTGAAACAGAGTGAAATGTTGCTACTTGCTAAATGGTAAACAACACCATTACCCAGAATTCTGCTGTAGATTGGTACAAAACAGGGTGCTGGTGATTAATTAAACTGTTGTTGTAATTGTAATTCATGATACATAATAGATAGTGTGCCATGTATTTTAAAAGCAGCAAATTAGCAAATAATAACTTTCCTACATAGCACATATCCATTGCTTGCTGCTAATGCATAAATAATCACAAATAAAAGGCTATTATCCAACTACCTAATAAAATGAATGTATCTGATGTTCACCAATCTGTAAACACGTGCTAGTCAAGCTACACATCATGGCTGCTATGGGTCAGGTGTCCCTGGAGGCAAGAGGAAGACTTTTTTCTCCAGTTGACTTTATAATGTCTGCTGAATTATAATATTCCTAATCCTGCCAACAGTCATACAAGGAGTGATCTCCTCTCTCTATATATATTTAACATTTTTTTTGTGGACATTTACAGAAATGACTGCACAAATACCTTTTTTAGAAGAACTTTTTTTTTAAAAGAACAATTTTATGAAATCTGTTCATGTTTTGTCTACTTTTTCAGTGTGATGACTTTTCAAAAAATGGGAATGTCAAGGTGATTATTTCTCTTTTCCAATTCTTTCGGCATTCTCTAGCATTTGGTAAGTGGAGAAACAGACCTAAGATAAGGTAACTTAAGCCCACCAGTACATACTGGGCACTCCTGTGGGATAAATGAGATAAAAATACACAACTGGCAAAAAGGGGCTCGTGTAAGTTCTATGAACATGAGAAACTTCCAGCCCAGTCTTCTTTTTCCCCTTCCCCTGTCTTGCTTAAGTTGAATGATCAGCCTAAATTTTTTTCTCTGATAGCTTTCTTGAGGTATAATGTACATATCATACAATGGATCCATTTTTTAACTTCACAATTCAGTGACCTTTAATAAATTTACAGAGTTGGGCAACCATTGCCACAATTCAATTTTAGAACATTTCTATCACTTTCAAAGAGCCCATATACTCATTTGCTACCAATCCCTGTTCCCACTCCCAGACCTAGGCAAAAAACAAAAAGAAAAAAACCAGTTTTGTGATACCATGTTCATGTTTTGTCTACTTTTTCACTGTGACAATTTTTCAAAAATCGGAATGTCAAGGTGATCTACTTTATGTCTCTATTGACTTGCCTTTTCTGGTCCATTCATCTAAATGGAATCATGCAATATGATGTCTTCTGTGTTTGGTTTCTTTTACTTAGCACAATATTTTTTTATGTTTACCCACATTGTAGCATATATCAGAATTTCAAATCTTTTTATGGCTGCATAGTATTCCATCACGTATATATACCATATTTTATTTATCTGTTCACCAATTGATAAACATTTGGATTGTTTCCACTTTTTGGCTATTATGATTAAAGCTGCTATAAACATTCACATACATGTACTTTTGTAGGCATATGTTCTCATTTCTCCTTGGTAATTTTCTATGAGTGAAATTATTGGCTCATACAGTAAATTTATTCGACCTGAAATTTTAAAATGATCTCTCCCCACTCCAGAATTTTGTTGTGAAATCGTAATGTAACCCATATGGAAAATGATATTGAATTCCAGGACTGAAGAGTTGTTGAGTCTTTAGTACTCTAGTGGGACTAGGAAATACTGGGCCTGCTTGCATATCCACCATTTGTACCCTTGTGACCACAGCCATATCCTCAGAGGGACTGCTAACAGAGAGGGCCCCAAGGCAGTCCTGGTGGCACTCCTTGAATTCTCAAAGGCAAGAGATGCCTGGAAACAACCAACTCAAACTTGGTTAGCATTGCTTGTTGGGTTATATGAATTGGCAGACTGGCATGAGACAGAAGATATTTTGGCACACAGCAGTAAGCATGCAGACCAGATGCAGTACCCCAATGTCTGGAAACAAGGGAGGAGTCAGAACTGTTAAGTCTCTGTTCTTTTGGCCTAGTACTGTTTCATAAGAAGAGAGTGAGTGAACTGCAAAAGCCCATTGCCAACAAAGCAGCTCCTTTAATGTGATGCTGTTAGAAGAGGCTTTTCCCTATCAAATTGCAGTAAACATATTCCCAGGAGATAAGGAGGTCTGGGACTCCATGTTTCCCACCCCACTCTACCATTTATTCCTGGGGATAAAGAAGGCCTCTGTCTATTTCAATGACTAGGGGTTGTTTTAGGACACACTGATGGCAGCTGTGGGCTGTCTGGAGACGCCACTACCGTCACACCAGCTGCATCATGGAGGCATGACTGGGGCTGCATGCTCCATGGAGCTGGAAGCTGGGAACAAGCAGGACCCCTGCCCATTCCAAGTTGGGGTGGGAGCTCCCTGGATGCTGTTGCAGCTGCTCAAGCCACGGCTGCAGACCTGGGCATCCCTGTGCTCTCAGGGCTCAGAAGCAGGCAGGATCCCTGCCCTTCTGCGTACAGCCGCAGCCACCCAAACCGTGGCTGCAGACCCAGGCCTCCTACTCCACGAAGCAGGTAGAAGCCCTGCACCCCCCAGGTGCAGCGCAGCCAAACAGCTGCTGTGGACCCAGGCATCTCTACAATCTTGGCTGCCCTGGAAGGCACCCCCAAGATCCTTGCAGGCTTGGAAGTTCCTGCTCCTGCTGCCAGGTTTCTCCCTGCTGTCAGCACCTGCTCCAATTTTGGAGCAAAGTTGGGGCCAAGCTCAAGCACTGTCACAGCCTGGCTGGGTGTGCACATGCTTGAGGCAGTGCTGACACGCCAGCCCCTTGCTGTCTTGGCCCCCTCTGGACTTCGGGCACTGACAAGCATAGGAGGGAAGCTGAGATGGGGCTGAGGACAGCTTGGTGCTGGTCTACAGGTGCCCCTCAGCACCTACAGCCTGGGCATCATGAGGAGGCAGACAGGTTCTTGGGCAGGAGAGGGCAGGTCCCTGGTGAGGCCTCATCTTCAGTTTGGGGTGGGCCTGAAGGCTGGGAGCCAGGCTGCCAGTCCTTTGGACTGGAGTGGGAACTTGTGGTGCCTTTTCCAGGCTCACCCATGGTTGCCTATTGACCAATTGGAGTGCATTTCTTCCCCTCTAAGGCCCATAAAAGCCTTGGGCTCAGCCAGAGCTGAGAAGATGTTGGGACAGCCAGCTGCAGAGAGGAGCAACTCACTCTAGGAACTCCTCTCTGCTGAGAGCTGCAAAGACAAGGGAGAGATGATTGGGAGATGATAGGATGACCTGCCTGCAGAGAGGAGCCACCCACTCTAGGGCTTCCTCTCTGCTGAGAGCTGCATAGATGACAGGATGGCCAGCTGCAGAGAGAAGCTATGTCTCTGCTAGGAGCTGAAAACTTGTCAGGACACCCTGGCTACAGAAAGGACCTGCACCCTGCAGCTTTCTTCTGAGCTGTTCTATTGCTAAATAAAGCTCCAGTTCATCTTGCTCACCCTCCACTTGTCTGCATACCTCATTCTTCCTGGCAGGACAAGAATTCACGATCCACCCATGGTGAGGCTAAAAGAGCTGTAACACAAACAGAGCTGAGACATGCGCCTTGCTTGCCATATTGTGGGTGAAGAGAAGGAAAGAAAAACTGTGGCCTTTCTGGGAGCCCAGACTTAGGAGCTCCTCAAGTCAGAGCTGTGACTCCCTCTTTTGGACTCTGGTGTCTTGGTGTTTTGTGCAGTTCCTGGTGTCTCCAAGCTTCTGGGCACCCACCGTGTTCCTTAGTGCCAGCTGTGAAAGCTGCTTGTGGTGTGCCTGGTCTGGCCACAGCCTTGCAGAGAGCCAGTACCTGTGCCGGCACCTGGAGCTGCCTGCCCCACTGCAGCAGCTGGCAAGTTTGACTGCACAGTGGCCGGATCCATGCTTGCTCACATACCCCTCATCATTCTATGCCTGACTCACCCTTGGCAGGCATGGGACCCAGCCGGTAGCATAAGCCAAGAGCAGCCTGCCAGGCCAAGTGGGCAAAATAAGCCCAGAGGGCCCAAGCAAAGCTCAGGCAAAGGCACCACTGGCCACAGAGGTTTCCAACCAGAAAAACAACACCCCCAAATATCCTGTAACAACATGACCATCTAGGTGCTTTCTCCTACCAGTTATTGGCTTGAAGTGCTGATAAATCACACTCTGTCCTACCTATGCTTCCTATAAATATACATAAATGATAATTTCCCCAAGCATAGTAAAACTCTGATCAATGTTATAAAGCAAAATGTAGTTATTGCTGCCTGGCATATAAGTAATGCATTTCAACACTCACTGTCCTCTTTAATAGTCCAGGTAGCATTTAGTCAATAAAGACTCAGTGTGTGTGTGTGTGTGTGTGTGTGTATACTTTTTCTTTCCTTTCTTTGTCAGACACGAGATTCTATTCTCTGCCCCACAGGGGGATGCTGTAGACCTCAAGAAGTTAGCCAAGTGAAACAAGGACATCCTGGGAGGTAAAATCAGTGTAAATCCCGCAGAGTGAGCTTCCCAAACTTCTGTGGGATTCAGACATTTCATGGAACATAGACACTTCCTGGTGGGAGATGAGAACATTATGTACAAATAACTCTGTTTGCTCAGGTTCTGCCTACTTCTATTTGCTTCTTTTGTGACAACATGATTTTTAAAATAGCATAAGGGCAAGGTGATGCTTCTACTTACGTAATATTGCCCCTGCTGGGAGGTGGGATGTGGAGCAGTGTCATGTGGGGCACACGTGCATGTAGAATAGTGCACTTGGGCAAAGAGCAGGGGTGTCTTCAGTCACCCTGCAATGCCAGGTTTGCAGCAGACTCCCTATGGGTGTCTTCCATTGTGACCTCAGCAATGTAGCCAAGGACTGCGATGTACTTGGGGTGAAAGTTGTGCCAAAAAATTTAGTTAGTTTTATTTATCTTGGTTGCTATGATCTGGGATTCACATAAGCCACTGAAAGGAAAAGCAGACTTATTTTAAGGATATGTGTGATGAGAATTGGAAGTGAAAGACCATCCAGGGCTTGGGGAGCTCTACGGGCCTGTTACTTGTGGCCAGCGTATTACTGGGTCTCACAGCACATTGATCATCAGTTTTGCCGCATGCCCAGCTCATTCTCCACCCATTGCTAATTGGATAGTTTCTCCATTTTCTGCAGGACTGAGAAGGCGAGTGCTCATCTGATTGGTCACATGAAAACCATCACCCATACGGTTGTCAGGTGCAAGGTTCCCTCTTTACCAAGCAAATAATTCACTATAGAGTTAGAGCTATTTTATTCAATGTCTTTGATCTGTCAAGGCTCTACTTACCCATAGGGAAAAGGAGTGCATAGCTTGTCCTTTTTTCCTTTCTGTGCTGAGTGGAGTGTCTCTCTCCCAGGATCTTCTGCCCCAAACTATGCTAATTTGTATTAATTTATTTTATAATATTTTATTGGCTTGAAGGGGATGTTTCTTTGATTTAATTTTTAAGAATTATATAACATCATGGGGTATTACAAAACTGTAAGACAAACATTTTATTTGAATTATTTTTTTTCCTGAACTCTGAAAAGTAGAATGAAACTCAAAATGAGCATGGAATGAAAATAGTCTGCTTACCTTGAAAACTAGGCTTTCCTCTTAGCTGGTGATAATTACCTGTGTTCACAGCCTTATTAATGTAACATCTGTATCCTTAAACATTATATTAATAGGAATTCTATTTACATTGTATCCTTTTCAACCAGTGAAGAGTTTTATAAGCACAGTTTCTATGTGTCTTTTACTGAATATTACTTTTAAATGTCATTGTTTTGATGGCATTTATTAGGCGTTATAAGGACCTACCTCTTCATCAAACTTCAGTAAATTTAAGTTTCAAATTTATTTAGATAAATAATACCTAGATAAATATGAAAATTATAATTTACATTAGTTCGGTCCATTGTGCTTTACAAAGCCATCTCAAGTACACTATGGTATCTGATCCTTAAACCAATCATTTGAAAGAGGTAGGATGAGAGTTTCTGAGTTTAAATCCAACTTCCATTAAATGTTGAAGTTGAGATGACAACTTGGATATCTAGTCTCTGATATTATTATTCTTTTCTAAGAGTCAATATTATTGAAAAACAGCATCTCAGAGGCAGGGAGTATAATAGTTTCTGGCTCAGTCTCAGCCAAGACCTCACCGTATAGGAGAAGTTTTATATACCAGACATTCTGAGGGGTTATCATGGGAATAATAGCTTGTGTTCCCATTACACATGTACAAGCTCATCATCTTTGGTCAAAATTGTAATCCCAGCATGAATTCCCCTCGAAGCTCTGGTTCATCTTTCTTTGGTCCCAGTGGTCAGTGTTCAAACATCAAATAATAAGAGTAAGCCAAATACAGTTAGGAAAAGAAATTTACTGTGAAGAAACGTAAAAACCTTTTGTCACGGAGGTCCTTTGCCAGAGGTTTGGCTTATATTGACAGGATTGATCATACTGTTGTTGGTTTCTACTCCTCTAAAAAGCCTGTAAAAATATATCTCACAGAATATCGATTTTCTCTATTCACGATAATTCATGCATAGGTTAGTAAAGACTCTCCTTTATGAAGAATATAACTAGGATGACTACCCCGTTAAAATATTTTTATTATTATTTTTTAAGAGATGAAGTCACACTATGTTGCCCAGGCTGGACTTGAACTCCTGGCCTTAGGGGATCCTGCCTCAGCCCCCTGAGTAGCTGGGACTATAGGCATATGCCACCACACCTGGCTTTACCCCCATAAAATTTCATACTCTTTCCATGATGAGATCTTCTTCACATCAGAGGGCATCAGGTTTAGACTGAACAGACAAAACCTAGTAGAGACATTTTTATCTCCCAGAAACACAACCCAATAAACCTTTAGTTTCCTGTGTTTGACTAGGAATAAGGTTAATCAGATGGAATCAAAATATGAATTTCCACATAATGAATTTTGACCTCTTGAACAATAAAAATTCATTGTAGCATGGTCAGGCAATACTTTGAAATGTTAACTAATGTATATTTAGTGCTCACCCTGGCTGCTTGGCTTATGAGTTTCAGAATCTTAAGTCTTAAGCAAACAGGGAGGATTTATGCACTTAAACATAAATCTGAGTGAATATATGATAGGAAAAAGCATAACTTGGCACACATATTTCCTCCTCAACTTCCAAGACTTGAAACCAATTATACTACACTGAGGAAGGAGAAGAACATAAAGGTGAAACAAAAAGTGAGTAGATAATGTGGATCCTTGAGACAGAAATTCTCTCACCCTGGTTCCTCCACCTCCTGAAAATAGCATTTTTAGGAAGATTAAATATAACAGCTGTCAGAGGGAAGATTTAGAGGGAAGCAAACTCAAAACTTACTTTCAGAAAGCACAGCAACCCTGGAAAAGCTTATAATCTAATATTAAAAAAATAGCAACCAATGCCACACAAATAAATGATTACTGGTTGAAAATAGTATTGGAATTTGTTGAGCTCACTAGCTGTACCAATTGTTGGTAGATTACATGGAGTAAATAATGCAATATTTGACAAGAATGATACCACTTGTTGTATTAATCTGGATATTACTCTCTTTTACTTTCAGGCCAGTGATTAGTTATGTACCCACAGACAAGTTACTAACCATTAGGGTTTAAAAAAAAATATATATATATATATATATATTCTTCAACTCCATAAGCAAAAAGTAAGAGAAGTAAGAGAATTTTGTCAGTTGCAGTTTTTGGATGTAAGCAGCAGAAAGCTAACTTAAAAAAAAGGCAATTTGTTAAGAGATGATGGAAAAGTTTTAGGATCAAAGCAGAGGCTGAAAATCAAGCAGAAAAGGGCAGGAGCCAGGCAGCTTCTAGGGGCTTAGGAACATCACTACACGAATTACTTGATGGTCTTCTCCAAGCACCATTGCAGGATTGAGTCACACGCAAACATGTTCATTCTCTGCCATTCAGCTTATGATTTATATTTCAGAAGTAGAAATTGGGTCACATGCCTGTTGCTTGGATAAGGAAAGAACAGGGTTCCTTCACTGGCAGGGGTACCACCAAGCTGTATTCAAAGGTGCAGTTTCCCTCAAAAGGAAACTGACGTCTAGTACCCAAAGGAGGAGGGAATTGGTTTTACAGGGCTAACCAATTACACATGTTCCCTGCAAATTGTATGGCATTTTGACATTTGTGAATATACAGCAGCAAATAATACAGAAGTATTATCATATTTACATAACAAATATAAGTATGCAATAGTTCCTTGTGTTTCTTTCTATGTTTTCTGGTTTGCAGCATCCATTTGCACAAAGGATGTTAGAATTCCTCTCAAGTTCCAATTGCCTTTTAGAAAATGGAACAACTTAACAGATCCTGAGATGCTAAGACTGGGTCTGAGCCAGAAATACTAAGTGCTGAACATTAACATTTGGCAAGCGACCATGAGGTCTCCTATAGGCAGCCATATATCTCTTCTTAAAAGAGAGAGTGTCCTTCCCAATCAGCTTGAAAAGCATCCCCAACACACTCATCATTTAATATGCTTTTGTAAATTTCTTCTTTCTAACTGAACATTCTTCTGTTGTAAGGAAAACTGCTGTCTCTTCATTCATCACTGAAATTATCACTAGGAACCCAAATATTTAGAATCTCTCAATCCTCACAATTCACAATTAAGTAAAACTTATGTCTAAAGTAAATATCTCTTATTTATTAAACTGCTTTCATGATCAAAGAATGGAAGATGGACATTTTTCATTACAGTCTACAATTTCTAGTTTGTAATAATGACATGCTGATGTAAGTCATGCTTAGCTCTCTAGTGGACTTTCTCCACCAATGTACTGGGCCTTTCAGTTGAACTAAAGACCGATCAGCTGCTTTCTATATAAATGCATTAATCACTCATTTATTCATATCATTTATTAGAAACCAATTATTATAGGATATTCAAAACTCACTTAGGGACCAATTCATTTAAAAATCAATTACACAGTTAGATTGTATAATGTACCAATTAGTCTAAATGATTTTCGGCTTTTGGAAACTATTAGTAATTTACAAAATATATCTCACTAAGCTAATAGAAATGATATATAAATAATTCAGCAACTTGTATGTTTATTCACATCACTTCTTGTAACAGCACTAGTTATAAATGTTGGAGATGGGGGTATGGAGAATGCTACAACTCATTACTTCCTATTTACCTCACTGCAAAGACTACTTGAGGGTAGGCAACAGAAATAGCACCTAAGATGGGCTCCAGCTCCTTCAGGTAATCTAATCTGGAGGTATAAAACCAGAGCAATTGATTCGAGGCCCAGGTTGAACATAGACACAACACATAAACACTTAGACAAACACTGAAATGCACACGTAATATACACACCCACACCCACTTACTGATACACAGAGATCATGAAAGTGCTCATCACATAAGGCCAAAAATGTTGACTCCCAATTATCTTTGAGTATGAGCAGGTTACATCAAGACTATGAAGCTATTTTTTGTTTTCTCTTTGTATCCATTTCACCATTATATTCTTCACTGCACCTAGCATTGTTCCTCCATACTAGTTGTTCAGTTGTGGGTTTTCAAATAAAAAAATCAATTAAAAAATCCACACAATTTAATAATGTCATTTTACAGTCATTACTGTACCTAATTATTTGCTCTTTAAAAGAACGAAGAATTCACTGTTTTATTCCATTTTGGCACCTTTCATTATTTGTTCTAGTGGAAATGTTAACGAGAATTTTATAATCTCAAAACAGATTCTGTTGCAGAAAAGCAGTCCAAAATCATCCACAAGCTGAGAAATCGGCTCCTGGACATTAGAGAGTAAGTCTTCTCCTGACGGAATACCCAAGGATCATATAATGTCCCACACCATGCTTTTTTCCCCCTCAGTAATGTAGAGTGAAACGTAAGTTACAGCTAATTTGTAAGAGAAAATAATACCAAATTTATTCATCCTATGATAAAAAAGGCATGTATATGGAAGACAAATTTCATGCTCAGAATCCATGACATCCCTAATATTGCTCACATATTCCTGTGAAATTCCTGGAATCTTGAATATTTTAACCACGTTAGAGAAGAAGCTACTGTCAGACATGGGCCTTGGCAGTAACTATCCTGACTCTTTGATTTGTCTTTAAATTTTCAGTACTGCAAAGAACTCCAGGGGAACATTTAAATTGATTGTTGGCAATCAGAAAATTGAAATACTAACAAAGTAATCTCTGCACATTACTACTTTTTCAAAGTAAAAACTTGGCTTGTTTCAAAATAAATCATTTTGTCAACCTTATAACCTAGATAGCAGCAAAACTTCATTTTGGAACAATAAAATTGAGTGAGGACGAAAACATCTTAAAAGCAAATGTTATATTCACATACTTCCATATTTAGAATCATTGTCATTCATCGCAAGCAATTGGATGGTCTTTTCTGAAATTCAGTCAACATTATTTTCCTACTTAGTTAGGTATTTGTTTTCAGGGTTTTAAGGATTTCTGGCCACTTCTGTTTTGTTATTTCTTACTTTTTTTCCTTTAAAATAAATAGCCAATAGAAATGACAATGTATTTCACATCTTCTGGTGATACTGTAGCTATAGTAGAGCCATCCATTCCCAAAGAGATTTGGCTGCTGTCTTAGAGTGTTCCTTCTAGAACCTGGTTTCATCAGATCAGAATCACTTTATTCTCAGTGGTATTGGTGTGGACTGATAACAGATAAAGAAGTTCAGAGGGCTCACATTATGATTAGGAAAATAACTCATCACGAGCAATATAGATTGACAAAATGGAGAACTTTGTAATGAAACCATGCCCTCGGTAATGCTAGCACCAAGTAGTTAGTCACCTTTCAGGTATTAAGTGAATAATTTACTCTTAAATTTTAAGAAATGTGGAAGGAAAGGAAGACACTTTCTGGTGAATTAAAGAAATATTGATTACCAGTGTCTACTTCCTTGTGCCTCTAAACATTTCTGTGATAGAAGCATTTGGTCTAGAATGTCTTTCCCATTATGAGAAGAACTTGTCCCTATGACTCTTGGAATGAAATTGCAATGTTCCTGTATTAGTCTGTTCTCACACTGCTATGAAGAAATATTTGAGAGTGGGTAATTTACAAAGAAAAGAGATTTAATTGACTAACAGTTCTGCATGGCTAGGGAGGCCTCAGGAAACTTACAATCATGGTGGAAGGCGCCTCTTCACAAGGCGGCAGTAGAGAGAATGAGTACCAGGAAATGTGGGACACTTATAAAACCATCAGATCTCATGAGAACTCACTCACTATCACAAGAACAGGCTAGGGGAAACTGCCCCCATGATTAAATTACCTCCCACTGCGTCCCTCCCATGACACATGGGGATTATGGGGATTACAATTCAAGATGAGATTTGTCAGGGGACACAGCCAACCCATATCAGTCCCTGTCCAGGGCATTGAATGTTGAGAGTAAAGTAGGATGGTCAGGGAAAATAGGAGGCGAGGGGCAAGAAGAGAGAAGAAAGGAAAATGAGTCCAAGTTCACCTTCTGTAGGAACTGCAGCCCCTGGAAATCAAGCAGTTACCCAACTCCATGTGAAAGAAGTATCAGAGCTCCCCAGATCTTGCCAGGGTGCCTAGGTGCCTGGGTGCTGGCTACAATCAGCTGGGCTAGGTCAGGGACTAACACTTTCTTCTAAACTTCAGCACAAATTTGATCAGATGGAGCATCAGAAATATGATTATCTGACTAATTCAAGTAAAGACAGAATTTTGATTGACCCACGAGTGAACAGACTGAGATCATCCACTCCTATAAACATTCATCCAAAGTTCTTTTTCAGTTCAGAACCCTGTGGTTTCCTGCAGAGAACTAATATCTGAGGGAAAATAGAGAAGATTCTGGGGATTTTGAATGAATACAGGAAACTAGAACTCCAATTCTTGTGTTTGCCTTGCAGAATCCATGAAGTTAATGTAATCAGTTATTGCAAGAAGAAGGGGGTTCAAATCATTGTTTTCTAAGTTCGTGTGTGTGTGATCAGGTTTATTTTAAGCAACAGGACTGATTTGCAGAAGAATGACAGAAATGTTCCTTTCTCCCTTGGTGGTTTACGGCTCAGACCTGTACTTCCTCAGTATATCAAAAGATGGGAGAATGTGTTCTGGCCTTGGGGTGGCCAGATTCAGTAAGTAAAAATACAGGATTCCCAGTTAAATTTGGATTTCAGATTTTTAAATGAATACTGTTTAATATAAGTATATTCCATGCAACATTTGGGACATACTTATATTGAAAAATTTGTTTATCTGAAATTCAAATTAGCCAGGTACCTATATTTCACCTGGTAGTGCTATCTGGCCTCTGCCTGGCCTTTGTTTCTGTGAGTGGCTTATTTGACAGACAATGTTTCCTGTACTATTTTTTCTATGTTTCTGGTCAGAGATCCAGTGCTTTTCAGGCTCCCACATTCACCAGAGCCATCATGGCTTCAGGGTTCTCCCAGACATAAACCATTTTGCTTCTGGTGACAAATCATAAAAGCCAAGATAATTGAAAATTCCAGTGAGAGACATAAAACAACTTATTGCACTGAGTATCTGATAAAACCTTATTGTTTACAATTTTATATTAGTGAAAAAAGAAAAAAGAAATGAGATAGTGTGTACCAAATCTTCCTTGTCAAACTTTGGCAACTGAGATCTGAAACCTTTGAATGTGAATCCCAACTCTGTCATCTACAAGCTGAGTAGAACCAAGTTATTGAACTTCTCTGAGCCTCAGTGTCTTCACTTTTACATTGGAGATAATGACAGATAATAATAGTAGCTACCCTAGGAGGAGGATTAAATGAAATAAGATATATAAAGTACTTAGCACAGTCATAGTAACAGCTCTTTCTATTACTACTTTTACTACTGCTACCTCTACAACTATTGCTGTCACTAACATTATGTGCAAGGCATTGTGGCAGACAATATAAAGCAATTGTTAAAAAGCTCACAGGCTGTTTTGGAAATAGACCAGCTCCTAAAGAAATAAAGAACAATACAAGCCAGCAGGTCCTAAGTGCCAAATGAGTGTCACAGATGGATAAACTACAGGAGCTCAGAGGAAGAAGGGACATTGGCCATATCCCTGGAAGCACATGAGGACAGAATGGTTTATGTCCTACCATGTTCCCCTGGGAACTTCCTTCTTAATAGACACCTCCAAATGCAGATAACTGATTACTTGCTACAGCTCTACCAGCTGCCTCTATTTCCTCCATATTACCTGCAATGCCCTAGGTCTCTTGACTAAGAAACACAAGTGTGCTCCCTAGAATCACCAATAACTTTCTCCAGGTTGAATTTGAAAGCTGCTATTTCTTTCTGTATCCTTCTGAAAACTTTTTTTGACCCTCTGTTGATCATGCATCCATTCCTTTCTTAGTATACTCTATGTATTTACCTGTTTGGCTCTCTTCTTTCTATTCTCTGCTTATGGATGCCAGCCAGTCCCTGGCCTTCTCTTTTTGCTCTTTTTTTTTTTTTTTTTTTTTTTTTTTTTTTTTGAGACAGAGTCTCATTCTATCACCCAAGCTGGAGTGCAATGGCACAATCTCGGGTCACTGCAACCTTGGCTTCTTGGGTTCAAATGATTCTCATGCCTCAGCCTCCTGAGTAGCTGGGATTACAGGTGCCTGCCACCACACCCAGCTAATTTTTTGTATTTTGAGTAGAGATGGGGTTTCGCCATGGTATGGCCAGGCTAGTCTCAAATTCTTGACCTCAGGTGATCCACCCTACTCGGCCTCCCAAATCTTTTTGCTCTTTTTTATTCCTCTGTACACTTTTTACTTTTTAGCTCATTTGTGCAAATGGTTCCTGTTGCTAATTTTATATGAATATTTTGTTCCCTCTAAACAACTTCTTTCCATTAATCACTAAAACAGTTGAAAGAGGAATATCCTGGTAATGTGCCACATTTATGAGAATATTAGTAAGCCTATAGTCTTATACCAACAACAAATTCATAAAATTGGAGTCAATATAGAATTAGCATTGTACTGAACCAGATTAAGGTTGACAGATGTCCACTCAACTAAATGAGTATTTCCAACTTAATTGAATCATTTGGTGTTTTCCTAGCTGACCATTGTGGTTCTTCCCCATGCTTTGCCTTAAAAGGTGTATTATTAGGATGTCACTTTAGTAAACATTGAGAAATGGTAAACTTTCTGTTTTTTTATTTTTTTGTTTTTTTTCCCAATGACATCCACTGATCTACTCTTGGCGTTTTGTGAAACAAGCATGCGCCAGGGACCACAACAGCAGAACGCTAGAGAAAAAGATAGTGTCAGAAGTGGTGGTGACTTGGGGAAAAAAAGTGGAGGGAGTTCTCTGTCTCTCTCTCTCTAACAGATTCATTTTATTTTCACCATGGGGCGCACCCTGTTGGTGAGTTCTCTGGGTCAGACCTCCGGTGGCTCCTAGGTCTCCGGGCTGGGCCTGAAGTTACTCGCTGCTCAGGGAGAGAATGGAGTTGGTTGCAGTCCCCTCACTCAGTGGGTCCGGCTGTGTCCCCTCACTCAGTGGGTCCGGCTGTGTCCCCTCACTCAGTGGGTCTGGCTGTGTCCCCTCACTCTGTTCCTCCGCCTGCGTCCCCTCACTCAGTGGGTCGGGCTGGGTCCCCTCATTCACTTGCTCTTCCAGCTAGGTCCCCTTACTCAGTTTTTCCTCTGGCTGGGTCCCCTCACTCGGTGGCTCCGGCCGCAGCTCATGCTGAGGGAGCTCCTGGTTCAGCGGGACACTGGGGCCGGATGGTGCTGGCCCGCTCCCTTCCTCAGGTGTTCTTACAGCCGCGGTCTTTTTTGGAGCACTTTTCTTCCTGGCTCTCCCTCGACGAGTTGCTTTTCCCTTCTTCGCTATTTTCGGACACTTCTTAGGGCTTCTGGGTCTTGGCTGAGAGGAGGACTTCCTCTTTCGCGTCCCCTTGGTGCTGGCTGGTGGCCCGGCGGTGGGCAGGCTCTCGGCTTTCCATCCGTCTTCAACAAGTCAACGTCTCCTAATGGTCCGGAGATTTCTAATCTATCAAAATAGAAGTCCTGAGACTTTTAAAAAATAAAATAACGTAGATAGCCTTAAGATTATTGTAGAAAAATGTTCCGCTAGTGGAGGGCAAACAAACTTTTCCAGAGCACCAATTGCATGCCTGGTTTCATTTTTCAAATATGACTAAAATGGAAGTCCTGCCCTTTATCCAAATTTTCATAGAGAACATCAGATTCGACTTTTGATCTCAGTAATACTGATAATATTAAACTAATATCTTAACGATATAGACTACTAATAATTAGACTATTTCCAGGTAATCAATTTTTCCATCTGAAAAAAAGGGAATGCTAACATTAGATGTCAGACTAATATTTAATGATGTAGTCTAATTATTACTAGACTAATAAATTAGCCTATGGAGCAAGAGATTTGCTGTTCTACAAAACTAACAAATCAATAGACTGGTTGGTTTAGGGAAACTACTCTTTAGAAAAAAATTTAAAATCCCGACATGAAAAAGGTGAAGTCTGTAGCTCTGCCTGGAGCCTAAAAAGAATTTGGACATTAAAGAACAATAAAGTAAAACCAACTATCAATCAATTGATTACTTGTCTTTTAGAAATGAGGATCTATTCAAAGATATAATCCATAAACCACTTTCCTCAGACATTTTCATCAGAAGAATATTTCATTTTTAATAGAAATAAAATTATCTACAATTCATATAAAGTTTTGTCATTTTCAAAGAGCTTCTTTTCACACATGATGAATGGGACAGGATCTACAGTAAAAACAATAACAACAACATGGCTGTTGGTTCAGGCTCTGCCATTTTCAAGGTAATCAATTCTTCCATCTGGAAAAAAAGGGAATGCTAATACTTCTCAGGATTGTTAAGATGATTTATTGAAGTCACCTAGTAAGTTTGTCCATTGGGATCCATATTTGCATAAGGAAATAAAACCTCAAATATCCAAATTATATAATTGTTATTATTACAATAAAGTATACTAATTTTGAAGCAAATATTAATGATTTTCTCTCATTTTTCTGTCCTTCAGAAATGCCTGTCAATGTATAGAAAGGATTTAGTTAATTAATTACATGTATGTGAGCATCTTGAACATAGCCAGCAACAAATACCTGCTAACCGGTTATAAATGACATTGATGAATATTCAGACAAAAATTTCAACAGGTAACTCTGAAGTTTCTATGTGCATAATGTAAAAGCAAAAAGCACATTTTAGCATTATATCTGGATTACATGTTTTCTAGTGGTAAGGTAGATTTTGTGCTGATTCATGTAACAACAGGCCTACCTGTCATTCAAGGCCAGCATCCATTATGATTGGTGGTTGACTTCCATGCCATAAGTGTTAGATATTTTACATTTCACCCTTCCCTTATAGTTACATAAAAATATTTTTAAAATTGTAAAAAATAATTGGTCAACACATACATGTGAACACACACCCATACATACATTTGCAAAACACAAACTCAACAAAATACAAGTATCTAGAATACATAAAAAACTCTAAAAACTTGCTAGTAAACAAACAAACAATCCAATTAGAAATAGGCAAAAGATATAAAGACACTTTTTTTTGAAGAGGACACACAGATGGCAAGTAAGCTTATGAAAATACGTTAAACATTATTAGCCATTAGGAAAATGCAAATTAAAATCACGATAAAATATCATTACACACCTATCAAGATGGCTAAAATAAAAACATAATGACAAAGCCAAATGCCAGTGAAGATGGTGAAACTGGATCACTCCTACATTGCTGGTGGAAATATAAAATGTAAAATGGTACATTCTGGAAAATAAGTCCGGCAGTTTCTTGAAAACATGCAACAACCATATGACCCAACAATTGCCCTCCTGGGCATTTATCCCAGATAAATAAAACTATATTCACTTTATGGGTAAATGGCCCTAAACTGGAACAATCCAGATGTCTTCAAGCAAGTGAATGAACAGGCAAACTATGGCACATCCGTACCATGGAAGACTACTCAGCAACCAAAAGGAACAAACCATTGATACACATGACAACCTGGATGAATCTCCAGAGAATTATGCTGAGTGAAACAACCAAAATATCCCAAAGGTTATATACCGTATGACTCTATTTAGATAACATTCTCAACAGGACACAATTGTAGAAATGAGAAACAAATTAGTGATGGTGTAGGGCTAAGAGTGGTGGGGGTGAGAGGAAAGGGGATGTGACTACAAGAGCAATGTGAGGAACACTTGCAGTGATGAAAATGTTCTGTATCTTGACTATATCAATGTCAATATCCTGGTTGTGATACTTTAGTTTTACAGGATCATACCACTGGGGGAAACTGGGTAAAGGATAGTGGTGGGGAAATGTTTCTCTATCCTTTCTTGCAACTGCATATGAAATAATTATCTCAAAATAAAAGTTTAATTTTAAAAAACGTTAAAATATATGGCATTGAAATATTAATCTAGGCTACTGAGATTTTGATGTCCTCTTAAATTTTATACCCGAGTACTCAAGGCGAGTGCCTATCTTGCCTTACCTTCGTTCCTGTCCTAGAAATCAGATTAAATGTAGAAGAAGTCAGAATGAATGGGGCTCGAAATGAATTGTCAGGAGTTTCCAAGGAGGATTCTGCAGGCTTATGGTGATAGAGGTGATAGAATGCTTTAACATATTTTGGGAAATAAGAAAGGTAGATAGTAGGGAGACTAGAAACCCCAAGAGGTTCAGGAGAAGTTTAAGAGACAGAGCTTGGGAACAGAATCTTCCTCACAGCACTTGTAGGGAAGCACAAAGAGAAGGGATATTATGCAAATATGGATATTTAGAGGAATAAAACAAAGCAAGATTTTTGTTGTTGTTCCCCTTCCATCACTCCCTTCCCCCTGCTGTGAATCTTGCCAAGAGGAATCTTAGAATGCTAATGTCTCGGTATTTGACACAGCGAGTGATAATTGCACAGTGGCCGATTGATTTCTGACTCACCCCTTTGCAGATCAGCCCTGCAACTTTGCATTCATTCCAAGCCTCAAGGAGTAGAGCACAGCAGCAGCAGGGC
The DNA here is from genome assembly GCF_000001405.40 of Homo sapiens. NCBI lineage: Eukaryota > Metazoa > Chordata > Mammalia > Primates > Hominidae > Homo > Homo sapiens. The sequence goes on along the minus strand of NC_000008.11, from coordinate 93,226,536 downwards.
CCACCTTCACCCGTCCGTCAGATAATAAAGTTTAGTCATGCAGCTTAAAATAAAATAAGCAAGAAGCAGATGGTGAAAAGGACAGAATGTAGTGTATTTAATCTGTCCATGTTTGCGAGGAAGCAATTGTCTTCTTAGCTTCAGAAAACAGAGCAAGACAAACAATAAAGCTTCTCTTTCCTGGACACATATGACATTGTTGATAGAGATGATCTGGAGTTTGGGGTAATTTGACCCTCCTCTTGCTGAATTCTCTTTCTTGGAACCAGGAAACTGAGCTGGACTGCTTCTTCTGGTAGGCAATCAACGATAGGAGGAGGTTAGCAGCAGTCTGCTCAGTAAACAACTCCGAACACAATGATCATACCCAAATGAAACCAATATTGGACAAAATGAACCTCCCAAGGCCTGGGGTGGTCATCTGTAATAAAAGAGCTGTCAGAGCAAATAGGCTAGTGTTAAATAGTTCAGTGTAAACTGTTAGGCAGCCGCCCCTATGAAAACACAAGGTGGTGAGTAGTGTCATGGAGCGTTTATTCCAATTTGGCTTGTTTAGAATAGCTGCAATGCTGGAGAAAGACGACAGAAAAAATGACTTTGCCTCCTCTGAGACGGCTCTCTGACACTGAAATCTGGAAGGCTGGCTTGAGCCCTTTGCCTGGAATTTATTCTTATTCCAGTTCAGATGGTGCCTGAGTATTTTTTAATGATGTGTCAATTAAAGCCCATTGCTGACTGCCAGAGTGGAAGGATCGGGTAGAAATCTGTGTGTGAGACGAGGTAGAGCCGGGTGGCTAAAGAAGGAGAATCCGCAAGGAAATAGGCAAAGAGTTAGGAAAGCAAATGAAAATGAGGTTCAGCCTGGTTGTTGTTGGTTTTTTTTCTTTTTTTTGAGACGGAATCTCGCTCTGTCGGCCCGGGCTGGAGTGCAGTGGCGCAATCTCGGCTCACTGCAAGCTGCGCCTCCCGGGTTCGTGCCATTTTCCTGCCTCAGCCTCCCGAGTAGCTGGAACTACAGGCGCCCGCTACCACTACCACGCCCGGCTAATTTTTTTTTGTAATTTTAGTAGAGACGGGGTTTCACGTGTTAGCCAGGATCGTCTCGGTCTCCTGACCTCAGATGATCCGCCCGCCTCCGCCTCCCAAAGTGTTGGGACTACAGGCGTGAGCCATGGCGCCCGGCCTGTTGTTTTTCATTAAGTTTAATCGCAAACTGGGGAAAACATTCATAAAATCTACATCTTTGTTTTCAAAAGAACACATTCAAATAGAAGAAACTTGGAGGTGGTCAAGAAGAGAACAGCCCTAGCAGGCCCAGCCCTGACTCCCTTGCCATTGTTCCATATCCTTGGGGAGTGTGAATTCCAAAACACAGGGGAGGGGTATGCTAGTGGACTACCGTCTGGTGAAAGCCAATTCCCTTATCTACATACACTGGACTTTATGCTCTGTCTTATAGTACAATGAGTCAGAAACTGAGTGAGGAAGACGAAAAATGAGCCTCCCCTTCCCATGCTATAGCTGTTCTCGACCCCTGTGAGTCTTCACCCAGTACAGTACACCTCACACTTCCCTTCCTTCTCTGAGTTTCTGACCTACAGGGAATGTAGCACACATCTCAACATTTAGCTTTCTCATGTTTTCATTTTCATTTACTTGTTTGTTCATCCACCTGGCCAGCTGGTTTTGAGTGCTGGGGTTAACACAGTAAGCAAAATAGCCACATGGAGTCATATAGTTCCTGAGTCTCTCATAGAACTTCCTGTTAAGCCAGGTAGCAGACAATACCCAAACTACCTTAAAAACAAGGCCCCTCCCTGCATCTCATGATTTCTCAGAGATAATGGGGTATGTTTAAGTGGTTCCATTGGAAAATAAGTGATCTGAGGAGTTCGCTGAACTCATTCCCTATAATGGTTCCTAAATTACACTTCTTTTATAAAAATACAGACATCAGGCTTATAACTTTGATGATTTCCTAACAGCAAAATATGAGACTTTTAAAAATGGGATTATTCTAAACTATAGTTGTGTCGTGGGCAATAAAACATGAAATCGCCCATGCCGTAACAAAATTAGATATTAGAACCTGTCCTTGACTGTGGTTCTAACCATATGGACAGAGAAAATGGAGGAAGCGGGTCAGCAGGGGGAGAGGAATGAATCAGACACTCACAGGGTCACAGAAGCCAGGGATGGTGGCCAACTTTCTCTGTTGGCCTGCGCTGAGGGGTTTTCCAGGACCCTGCACTTTTAGTGCTAATGCCAGGAATGAGCGAGTTAGCCACCGTACCAGGGGCTGAGTTAGCCACCTTACCAGGAGTTCCTGGACCCCAGCTTTGTTCCTGTACTTGACTCTGTGAGAAATTTCCCTTTTTGCTTATGCTTATCTGATCTGGGTTTCTGTCACTTACTTGCAAACCGGAGTCCTAACAAATGGTTAAGTAGCATTTTCCACTTTGTAAAGAATTTTTGAGTCTCATGACAACTTTTTGAGACAAAGTAGATGACATCCCCATTTTGAAGAGAGGAAAATTGGCTTGAAATCCCAGGCACATTTACCAGCTCATATGGCTAAGTAGGTCAGGTAGCAAAGCTGGGCCCCCTGTCTCCTATCATGAGAGCTTTGTACTTCTGGAAAGCTCCCTCTCAGTGGGTGGGGGGCGGGTATCTTGCAGGAATAGATTCTGTACTGCCTGGGTATCCATCAGTCACAACTTGCACTTTTAAAGACACTTGCTCTTATATACCCCCTCTTCTCTACTTAAGTTTGCGTGCTGCATATACTTCCTCCACCCTACATTGTTTAAAACTCTGCCATTGTAGCACCTTTTCCTATCCATGGTCTTCTTGCCGCTTCACTGAGTGAAAAGGTGGGAAAGTAAGAGTAACCAGAACTCAGAGATGACCTCCCTTACGGGCTTTACGAACACGTAATTTAATCCTCAAGGAAATTGTATGATATAGGTTTTACTCTTTCCTTTTATAGATAAAGAATTTGAATCCCAGAGATGACTAAGTGGCTTTTCCAAGGTTACTCAGCCATTATGCAGTGAAACTGAGATTCCAATTCAGAGTGTCTGACTCCAGAGCCCATTCATTATTTTGCCTATATATAATGCAAACTTCTAGGTAGGCACATCCCTCTATTTTGGAGCACATAATTTATTTCACTGGGAGAACAAAGGTGAGTCTGTGCAAACTCTCAGGACAGAGAAAGCCCGGTGATAATGTCGGGCGACTCTGGGTGCCGAGTTTTAGGGCTGTCCTATGCAGCATAATTCTAGAGCTGCTAGAACAGGGTAGGCCCTAAGATAAAGTATAGCTTCTTTTCACAATTCATTTATACTCACTCTGGAATTTTTTCCTTCAAGCATTTGGAAGGCCCTCATGTTACCAGAAAGGGGTCCCAATCCAGACCCCAAGAGAGGGTTCTTGGATGACATGCAAGGAAGAATTCAGGGTGAGTCCACAGAGTAAAGTGAAAGCAAGATTATTAAGAAAGTAAAGGAATAATGGCCAGGTGCAGTGGCTCATGTCTGTATTCTCAGTACTTTAGGATGCCGAGGTGGATAGATCACTTGAGGTTAGGAGTTCGAGACCAGCGTGGCCAACATGGTAAAACCCTATGTCTACTAAAAATACAAAAATTAGCCAGGCATAGTGACAGTCCTCTGTAATTTCAGCTACTCAGGAGGTTGAAGCAGGAGAATCACTAGAACCTGGGAGGCAGAGGTTGCAGCAAGCCGATATCACGCCACTACACTCCAGCCTGGGCAACAGAGCAAGACTCTGTATTAAAAAAAAAAAAAAAAAAAGAGAAAGTAAGGAAATAAAAGAATGGCTACTCCATAGACAGAGCAGCCCTAGGGCTGCTGATTGGCTAGTTTTATGGTTTATTTATTGACCATATTCTGCCAATAATTCAAGAGGTGGATTATTCATGAGTTTTCTGGGAAAAGGGTGGGGATTTCCTGAAACTGAAGGTTTCTCTTCCTTTAGACCACATAAGGTAACTTCTGGACATTGTCATGGCATTTGTAACCTGCCTTTGCACTGGTGGGAGTGTCTTTTAGCATGCTAACGCATTATAACGGGCAGTGAGGACAACCAGAGGTCACTTTCATCACCATCTTGCATTTGATGGGTTTGGTTGGCTTCTTTATTGCATCCTGTTTTATCAGCAGATTTTTTGTGATCTGTATCTTGTGACCTCCTATCCCCTCTTTTGACTAAGAATGCCTAACCTCCTGGGAATGCAGTGCAGCAGGTCCCATCCTCCTTTTATCCAGCTCCTATTCAAGATGAAGAGATGAAGTTGCTCTGGTTTGACCACCTGTGACATGCAGGATGAGTGTTCCTCCAAAGGAAATAAAACATTTCAAGGAGAAGAAAGTGAAATAGGCATAATCTTCTGTTTAATGTCTAGTATTATATTTACTACCAGATGTTTATTATAAAATTATAATTATTGAAAATAATATAATTTTAAATGTATTTAAAATATATGTGAATAAAACAAATTATAAAAAGTCATCCTAAAAACACTTACCCAAAAACACCTCCCCAAACTCACCACTGTAAAGATGTTGCGGTTCATTCTTCCAGGTTAAATACATACACTCCCCCTGAAAACAGCATCATATAAAAATGGTTTTAGAACCAGTTTGTTTTCCTTTTAACAATAAGTTGTGAATATCTGTACATGTCAATGAACAATTATATTTTTAATAGCATAGAGAATTAATCTCTACCCAGACAGATGCTGGTAGTTACGTTTTATATCCATTCTTTCCTCTTCCCCTTCCCCCATCACCAAAATCCAGGCCCATCCATGAGTAAAGCAGCGTCTGATGAGCTGAAGTATTTAGTAAGCTAATGTTCACTGTCCCCAGCAGGAGGCCTGCACAGCTTGGCTGATGAGAAATGAACTGCCTGAAGCGATCTTTTAATGGCAACTAATTTCCCATATTTGATTCTCAGCTTAGCCAACTAATATATAGTTCAAGCGTGACAAGGCATTCACAGTTCCTTTTGAACGTTCTCTATCTGAGAAGCCAAACAATATGTTCAGGGCCATCATGACCTTCCAAGATCTTGTCCTGTCTACTCCAGAGCAGACTTTGATCTGCCAGGGTCAGTGATCTTTTAAGAAAAAGTTTATGTCTTTATATTGAGCTCTTCTTTTTGATTCTAACTATTTTCAGATAAGTTAGCGCTGAAAATTACTGAGCAACAAAGTTTGTAAATGTCAACTAAGACTCTTCAGAGAAACCATAGAGCTATTTGCATTTTCTTTAGGTTCCTGTAAACTGTTTCGTATCAATTGGTCTTTTTCATTCTTAATGCTTTTAAGGTATCTAATAGGTATTAAGCTCCTCTGTCCTTGCCTTAAACAAATCCTATTACTCTGTGATTCTATCCCATTACACAGTGATTATTGAACAGAGCTCAACTTAATTGGATATGATCATGTCCTGCTATGTAGAATTATCCAGGAAAATTAGTATTTTCAGTTGTCTCCAATAGCCCTATTTGTGGCTGTATTTTACACTTATTTTTTTTTTCTAAATCTACAAATAAGTTCTTTTATATTTTTTTGAAAGTAGCTCTAAAATTTCTTGTTAACAGCTACAGCATGGCTAGATTCAAGGGAGACAATATTCAAGGGTTACTTGATCTTAAGTTTTATAGGCAGAGAGGTAGGTGCAGGGTAGCTTAATGAATATTAGTGCCCTGGTCTTATACATAGGGCTGTGTGTGTGTGTGTGTGTGTGTGTGTGTGTCTGAAGGTTTTAGTATCATCAGAGAAAATTGCCGCATCCTACTTTCCACCTCCCACCTCTGTTTCACATACCTAGTTTTGGAAGCCAGAATTCCAATTATTTATATTTTGGACTAGATTGCCATTTTTCAATTCTGAGACAATCTCACCACTTTTTTTACACCTGAGTAAGAATGGCAATCTCAAACAGTACTATAAATCACTTGCCAAAACCTAGCCTAATGTAGGCAGCATTGCAAGCCTCAAAGAAAAAACCAGTCAGCAGAGGCCGTCACGGGGCACGATAGGTCTCGGGTCCTCACCCTAGATGGACTAAAGCATAAATGTGTTCCTGTCCTTGAGATGATCCTGAACTGTTCATTTCAGGGAAGAAACCGTCACACAAAACCAGACTCAGTGGTTCATTTCAGCTCTTTAGGAAGAAGTGAGATCCTTGTTGCCTTAGAGAGAGGCCATTCCAGATACTCCTCTGTCTCAATAGTCTCTTAAATTGTGCATAAAACAGTTTACCTAGTTTCAGACTCACTGATATTGGTTCATCAGCAGAGTAGTTGTCTAGCATGGAAACTCTTGCTTTTCTATAAAACCTAAAACGTTTTGATAATTTTGCGGGAATATCCTTAACCTTGATGTGGTTCAAGACCACATCACACAGTGGTTATGGCAGTAGGCTCTGGTGCCAGACTGGTCTGGCTTTGAACCTCAGCTCTGCCACATGTTCTTGCTATGACATTGGACAAGTAAGGTGGCCTTTAGAAGTCTCAGTTCTTCAATCAGTGAAATAAGAAAAACAATAACAACCATCTCCTAAGGCTGTCGTGAAGAATAAATTACATAAACCATGATCTTAGAGCAGTGCTTGAAACATAATAAATTATTATTCACTATTATTGTTTCTATATTAATTTTATTATTATTATTTTATCCATGCTTTCAAAGCCCAGTCAAGTTAGGCATGAGTTTTAGGATACAGGATTTTAGATACCTAGTTAGGTCACAAACTCTGATTCATTAACATTCCATCTCAATTAGATGAGAGTCTCATCTCTAATAGTCATCAACAATTAGGTTGCAGGCACCAAAAGCCTTAGACAAGCTCTGCCTTTCTGTTTCTTTCTTTGTTTTGTTTTGGTTTGGTTTTAGGATGGATTCTAATAAGAGTAATTATTTCAGTCTTAGATCCTTGTGCTTTTTTACCTTATCGATGATGACCAGGAATAGGCAAAGAAATGGCTAAAAAAGTGTCAAAGATGCTATGGAAAAGGAGGATTGGCATTATATATTTTTAAAGGGTAGGAGTAAAGAACTGTGGACAGTAGCTGACATTCACAGTCATAGTATGGAGTTGTTACTTGATAAACTGTTTTTTCCTTGCTACATTGTTCAACATGGTAGCCATAAGCCTCATGTGGCTCTTTAAAGTTAAATTAAATTCATTAAAATTGAATAAAATTAAAAATTCAGTTCCTGAGTCCTCCTTACCATTAGCTACACTTCAAGTGTTAAACAGCCACATGTGGCTAATGGCTAACATATTGCACAGTACAGATTATGGGATATTTCCATCATTATAGAAAGTTCTACTGGCCCACTTGACTTTCTAGGGTGCAGGGAGAAAATGGCCAGCTTCTGGGTAGGTTGAGGCTTACGTGCAGATCCTTTCCACCGTCCTACAGTATTCACACTGCCGAGGCTAAAGTGCTCTGAAAACATGCTTACTTTTCAAATGTACAAGATGTATCCAGTTTTGACCCCACCCGTGGACTCTGACATAGCCTGAAGGGACTTTTTTAGGTCTGGAAAAAGGTAGGAAAACTGTGGTTGAGCCTGACCCTGTCTGTCAAGGATGACTTCAATCTAGTTGGATCACCTGTCACCTGGTAGTGAGAGGGGTGGGGTCCAGATTTTCAGCCCTGCCAAGTGAAGGAGATGACGAGATGCTGAGCAGACCAACACTAACAGATGTTTCCTAGGGTTCACCTGGACCTGGCGTAGGCATCAATAAGACTTAATGTTGACACTTCTAATGCAGGATGCAATGAGTAATAACCAGCTCAAGTTTCCATATAAACAAAATTATTCTCTCCATTTTGAAGAACCATGGTTTGGCATTTTTAGGTGACTTGCCTAAGCTTGGCTATCTGGAATTGACATAGTAGCTACATGCGATTTTAAGCCAAGTTTTCTGATTAGAAATTCTGAGACACCCCCCATAAACTTATCTATGTTGTAGTTTTAACAATAAATATAAAATAACAAGTATCTTTGGTAGGGTGGTCAGAGTTTATTTTCATCTTGGGCTAATGATCTTTCATTCATCAGCATGAGCATCCCATTCACACATGGACCCATGATTCCAATAAAAATGTCACAAATGTAATATGACTATAATTATTTTGTTTTTCAAACTAGGATATCATGGATGCAAAGCCAAAAAAAAGTACATTTGTCCTATTATCTCTCACAAGCTCACCTGGCATATGCCAATCAGGTAATTGCTTGTGCAAACGGATCATTAGGTGCACAATTACCTCATTTGAAACACAAATTCAGGGCTGAGTAGAAGCATTCCCTGCATGTGCAATTTTGTGAGTGTACTAATCATTACAGCCAATATGGAAAAATTAGCCCTTCAATTCTTTTTGCACCTATGGCTTTCTGCTTCCTTCGCTGATGGTATTCATTAAAATCAAACAAACGTGATGTGTTTTTCTGGACATAAACAATTAGTCACTTTCCGTCATCGCTACTTGAGTAAACATGTACATAAAACCCTGTTGTGTATGCAAACTTCACCTCATTCAATCTAAGCAGGGTAGTTCTCCTTTTACCACAGGCTTCAGCTGACATTCTAGTTCATAACTGTTTGCATGAAAATGATGAAGCCTGTATTTTATTTTATATTTTTTTCTCTCCAAATACATTTGGCAAAATCTTCCAAGCTGTCTCCTTTATGGCAGAATATTGTCCCTGGCCCATTTATATGCTAATTGCTGAAGTGTTACCTTTTACTGACAAGTATTTACATGTTAATTAACTTTGGGAGGATGGTTAGAAATACTAGTTTGCCCTGTTTAAAGTGATAAAGGGGATGCTCTTTCCTTTCAAGACGAGAACAAAGACAGTATCATAAAAGGAAATTATTTAATTACCTCCTTCTAAGAATTAGAAATATGTTTTCCAGCCTTTCTCTCTGTAGAGGAATTCTCCAGATTGTGACCTGAGGCACAAAAGGAGCAGGGAGTGAACATTCTTCCTTTTAATCTGAGTTCCAGGTGAACACATCTGGTGCATGGAATCTAGGTCAGTAATAGTGAAGGAGGAAAAAGAAAAAGAAAAAGAAAATGAAAAGCAAGCTTGGAAATTGTATATATTTAATTTAAAATACATGAGCATGAATTGATTCCATGAAAACCAATACAAATGAATTAAACATACTCTCTTGACCTCTGATTTTATTATACTGTTGTGTGTCCTGGCAATCACTGAAGGGAAGGGAGTAGGAGAGTTAGGATGTGATAGAAAGATGATGTGGTGGAAATACTGAAGATCTGACAGGAAGAAATGATCAAAGTAGGAGTCAATAACATTAAAACAACTAAAATGAAGAGTACTTTGAACTTAATGAGCAAAAGAAGCATAGTGAAGTATGGCCCATCAAATAGGAGCAACAAGTAGAAAGACACAGTTATAAACCAAAAATAAAAATTCTAGGTCCCGGAACCAACTAAATGAATGCCTCTTCTCAGCCAAGGGCATTCCAAAATAAACCTGAAACACTAGTTCAGGCTACAATGGGAATGGGTGGTCTAACATGACCCATTATACCTTTGTGCCTTTGGAATTCAGCTGACCAGCATTAACATTAAAATAGAGAGAACTTAAGACTAACAAAGCAGATTCTTCAAACCCATAAAATGCCAAAATGACAGCTAGTAGGCCCTGAAAGAAATCAAAGTACTTTACTCCCAAAATATATTTATTTGACATATTTTGAAATGGCCCTGCAAAGCTGTCTCTTGTGTGGAAAATCTCTTTCCCTTGACATGTCTTTTTCCTGATCCAGGAGAGAATTAACTAAGAATCAGGCACCTTTTATAAGTCTGATAAGAAATATTTACAATCTATTCTCTCTGCAGCCTGTTACCTGGAGGCTTTATCTGCATAATAAGAACCTTGGTCTCCACAATATCTTATCTTAACCCAGACACTTCCTTCCTTAGATAAACTCTTTCAACCACTGGCCAATCAGAAAAATCTTTGAATCTTTGAATCCACCTATGACATGGAAGCCCCTCCCACCTCTCCTATAAAAGCAAGCTGTAGCCCCACCACCTCGGGCACATGCTCTCAGGATCTCCTGGGGCTGTGTCATGGGCCATGGTCACTCATATATGCCTCAGAATATATCTCTTCAATTATATTTCAGAATTTGACTCTTTTTGTCCACACAGGAAAGTTGATCCTTGTCAGCATGTAGAAGGATGTTTAGGGGAGTAGATGATTTAGTGAGTCCATACTTAGGCACTCTAAGGCTTGTAAACTTATAAATGTCCATGTTCATTTGATTGATATTCACATAATTTTTTGAAATCTTCATTTTTCAGGTGAATACCAGTGGGTACTGTGAGTCCTGTCTTTATCATCCTCTGGATGCTTGCCCAAAATTCATTCTGGCAACAAATACTGGAGATTTTACCTGTCCCTATTTTTAGAATGTACCTAGCCCCTTTTCTCCATTTCTGCTGCCTTTTAAAAGATCACTACTTTAAAAGATCACTACTTGCCTCCTTAATGTTATTAAAAAAATCTCCTAACTGGTCTTGTAACTTCCAGCTTGTCTAGTCTCCAGTTCACTTTCCATACCTCAGCCAAGATGATTCGCCACATCCTCACTTCATTGATTTATCCATTCAGCAAACATTTTCTTGTTGAAGGCTCAGTGGTTGGTGTGCAATTTTACATGATTGTGTACTCTAAGAAATTTGAATGGGTTTGCTATACAAGTTACATACCCTTTCACTTGCTAATTGGTAGTCACTTTCATAAAACCTAATAAGGTCTAAGAAGACTATGCTGTGAGCTCTGAATTTGGGATTAGAGGCATTTTTGGTGACTAGTTCAATAGAAAAGATAGAAATGTTTGTATTTTTCCATAAATGTAAGTATATGAAGTTTATATTTTTCTTCTCTAGTAATATAGATCTGCCCTACCAATGGAGGTATCTTTAGTGAAGTTACCCACTTAGGAGAAGTGGAAAAACAGAAAGTTACGTACCATCTTCTCCAACTTCTTTATTCTTCAAAAGGGAGGTAGTGAATGCTTAAAAAAAAAGTGAGGTCATTGTGGGGAGGCAGGTGGGAACTTGTGCATATTAGTGTATAGAGAAAAACAAAAAGATAAAGACAAAAGATAAGTTCATGGAGTTGTGTGGGGAGGAATGGGGATAATGGGAGGAGGAATAAGGAATGCCAAAAAGAGAGAAAAGACAAAAATTCTGATTTCAAAGTAGAAAAGTAGTCCCTGATGGGAAACATAAAGAATACAGAGTAAATGTTTTATATGCATCTCAATATGCTTAAAATTCATCCCTGGTAATAGAAGTAACATCATTTTGCAACTGAAGATGGATATATCTCCTTCAAAAGACTTTCTGTTGTAATAAGGAAACATAGTATGCTAATAGGGTTTTATTCATTAATTTAAGCATTGTATGAACTCTTAAACTTCTGATCACTGGAAGAAAGTTAATAACAGTATTTTGTAGAGAGGAAGTAATTTTCTGATTGTGTGCCACACAGACAAGCATTATTGCCCTGTTGCATTTTTTCTTGACTTTTTTTTTTTTTTTCCTTTTCACATTTTGTTTGGTCTGGAGCCAAAAGAAGAAATAGACAGAGTCTGAGTGCCAGAACTTGGAAGGATAATTAGGGCCTTTCCTCTAACTGGTTGGCTGTAAGCAGGCAGTGGGAGCTCTTTCTCTCTGAAGTAGCAATCTGTAAGAGAAGAAAGACCAAGTGTTTTTTTGTTTTGTTTGTTTTTGTTTTTGTGCCAATGTCGATCTAGCTCTAGCAGTATTTACTCCTCCAAGGGGCTGTCTAGACATGGTGATCCCCATGATGACATTATGTAACTATCCTACACAAACCTGATAGAAAGCCACAGGTAGATAAAGACTATGTGTGAGTAGAGTTCAAGTTGAGTAAGAATGGTATGTTGTGAAAATATATATTTACATTTTTTTCAACAAATAGATGAAGTATTAAGTATCAATAACATGTGCCAGACTATGTTCTAGGTGATCAGAATACATCAGTGAACCAAATCACTTGTCCTAATGGAGATTACAGTCTAGTAGAATTATACCTTTTTGTTTGCTTTTTTTCTTAAATCTTGCTTTATTAAAGTATGTTTTCAAATATAAATTATTACAAGTTATGTTGGATTACAATAATTAATTCTAGTATCTTGGGAAAAAGTAATTTATTGGGAGAACAGTCATTTTTTCCACTTAATAAAGAATAGAAG